>NC_000001.11:28200698-29552233 GCF_000001405.40 Homo sapiens | reverse complement strand
GGGCTGCTGCCTGCACATTCTAGGGGGCGCCCTTCACGGCATGTCCATGTGTGAGTTGTGCAGTGCACAGCCTGTGCAGCAGTATGCTGAGGCCCTGAATTCTAGAAAGCCTTTCCTGACTGGCCGAGTTTGGTCAGGGGCCTCTCTCTCCTCTCTCACCCCTGGTCCATACCAGTCTGTGAGTTCCTTGAGGGTAGAGGCCTTGTCCTGCCCACCCCTGTGTCCCCAAGCCCAGCTCAGCACTTGATCCACAACAGGGCAGGCACCAGCAACCATTCCTTCAGCTCATGGGCGGCTGAACAGAGATTTACATCTATGTTTAGGCTCCAAAGCTCTTAACTGAGGTCCAAAGAGGTTAAGTGCCTGAAATAGCTAAACATACCCTATTGATATTTGCAAAGCCAGAGATCTGAGGTGGACAGTTAGACACGGCCTAGTGTCAAAATGCACAAATCCCACATCTCATTGCCAAGTCACATGCCTGGCAACGCCCATGTCCCCGCCCCTCCCGGCTTAGTACCGACTGAGACTTCGAAGAGACACAGTGAGGGTGTCTGTCTCAAACACCACTGAGTTCCCTGGCACTGCTGGAATCCTAAAGGTCTATTTCGTAGGCCATATCAAAATATTTCTGATGTTGCCCAAAAGAGCTGCACGGGACACTCGTGCTGTGCCAACCACAGGAGGAGAAATGGCCCAAACATGTGACATAAGCAGATGTGATGAGCTGCACCCCCCAACACACGGGAGGGGCAGCTCCGAGTGCAGGAGAGTCCCAGCCTTCTCCAGATGTCCCCAAAGGGCCATGCAGGGACCAGGACTTGGCGCCCACTCACCTCAGGCATTTGGTTTCCCGTGGTGCTGACTGGGAGGCAAATGTCCCTGGAAGGGGGCGTCAGGCTCAGTGGCCTTTGGGGACAGCTGGAGCCTCCATGTGCCAGGCCCTGTGCTGGGCACTGGGGATGCAGAGATGCCAGATGTCTTCCGGGGAGGAGCGTCTATGCTGAGCCCCGAGGGTGAGATGTTAGGCAGACGTGGAGGGTGGGGACTGACCATCACTCGCTGCTGTCACCTGCCACGTGCTGGGGCTGTGTTCTAAGCGTTTACTTGTATTAAATCCTCACAGTAGCCCCCGTGAGAGTGAGGGAGACACTATCACTACCCCCATTTACAGATGAGGAGACTGAGGCACAGAGAGGTTAGGAACTGCTCATCATCCGGTCACCCACCCGGCCAGGTTTCAGACCGAGGGGGCCTGGTTCCCGAGTCCTCCCAGGTCCCTGCTGTGCACGGGCAGAGGGAACAGCAGTGGCATAGGCTCAGAGGCAAGAGTGGGGGCAGGGAAGACTCAGGCAAGGGACATAGCTCAGTCTCACCTGGAGTGACAGCATGGGCAGCTGAGGGCGAGTAAGGCTGGGGGAGGGGCCGGCCCCGGGGAGCCTGACCCGCAGTCAGGGTATGACCACCCACACTCACTGCCCCGGGCAGGAGCACAAGGACAAAGCTTTGCCCTCAGGGCACTGGGTGGTGACTCCCGCAGGTCTCACTCCCCAACTTCGGGGCTGTGTCATCACCTCTGGGCCCACAGGCCCTGGCACAGGGCAGGGGCAGCCTTTGTCCATTTGGACTGCACAGGGCATTGCTTTCTCCTGCTCTGCGCTCAGCCCCGAACAGGCACGATGGAGCTGCAGACATGGGGGACACTGCCCTCAGTAGCTCTCGGCCCAGCCAGGGACACAGGTGAAAGTTCTGAGTGCTGCACCCGACATCACCAGCTCCCACATTCCTGACAAGTGGCTGAATGCACTTGAATCTGAAGGGAGATGTGGCCACGTGACTGGCTCTGGCCACTGTGCTGTGAGAGGCGGCGGCGTGTGTCACCTCCAGGAGGGGCAAAAAGGGCCAGGGCAGGGTTGATGCCTTCTTCCTGTTGCTGCATGAAGCCCTGTCCAGGTGAGAGGTGAGAGACTGCAGTGAGCAGAGCCCCGAGCCCCACCCTGAGCCACCCAGGCAGAGGCAGGAGCCTGCTCCTGCTGAGGGCGCAGGGCCGTTGATCACTGCAGCACAGCCCAGGCCCAGCCCATGCCCTGCACAGAGCCAGGTCACCTGAGAAGGTAAACACCACTGTGAGGAGGGAGGGGGCGGGGAGGCCGACTCCCCAGCCCCCAGTTCCCCAAGGAGGCTAGTCCCTGTGGGACGGATCCCTCAACGCCACCAGTCACAGGTCTATGGTGGTCCTGCCAGCATCAGGGCGGCTCCCAGGCCCCACCTCCAGCCTCTGACTGACCCAGACCTGGGGCCAGGTCTGCATTTACTCAGCCACTCAACAGGGAACATAGCCAGACACCAACCCTGTGCCAGGCGTGTGCTGGGCCCTGGAAATACCCAGGAACAGGACCCATGAGGCCCCTGCCCGCCTGGAGCTCATGGACTAGTGAGAGCAACAGTGATTCCAGTAAACCCCCAAGGAAAGAATTACAGAAGGTGCTGAGAGAAACCAGAGGAATGCCAAGAAGCTGGGGTGAGGGGAGCCAAGTCTGTGGGGCAGTGGGGGGAGAGGTCACATTTAAGCTGATGAAGATCAAAGGGACCGGCCAAGTAGAGGAGAGCAGGAAAGGGCATTGCAGGTGGAGGGAACTGCGTGGGCAAAGGCCCTGTGGCAGCAAAGCGCTCGAGTGTCCATGGGAGAGACAGCAGGGAGGGGAGGGAGGGCGAGGGCTGGGCCACACAGGCCTGGGAGCAGCAGTGGGGGGTCTGCACTTGATCCTGGAGGGAAGGAGAAGCCACTGAAGGGTCAGGAGGAAAGGGATGTGACCAATCCTCATTTCAGAAGAATCTTCTGGGAGCCCAGGGCTAAGCACAGGGCCTGGCATACGGTTGGTGCTCAATGAATGCTTGCTGACAATGACACTGCAGGAGGGAAGTGGGGACACTCCATGTAGGGCGACACTGACCGGCCCTGCACGATGCACCTGCACTAACACCCAGCTAGGGAGGGATCCCCTTGAGGACAGTGAGGAGCTGGTGTTTGTGGAGCAGCTGCCACCTGCCTGGCCCTGGGCTCAAGCTTCTTACACGACAGATGAAATGTCCTCAATGATGATCCCAGGAGGAGGGGCACAGGTGTCCCCAGTGAGGACCAGGAAGAGGGAGCACAGACGTCCCCAGTGAGAACCAGGAGGAGGGGCACAGACCTCCCCAGTGAGGACCAGGAGGAAGGGCACAGAAGTCCCTAGTGAGAACCAGGAGGAGGGAGTACAGACGTCCCCAGGAGGACCTCAGGAGGAGGGGGCACAAACGTCCCCAGTGAGGATCAAGAGGAGGGGCACAGACCTCCCCAGTGAGGATCAGAAGGAGGGGACACAGATGTCCCCAGGAGGACCTCAGAAGGAGGGGCACTTGTGTCCCCTGTGAGGCCCCTGGGAGAAGGGTACATTGTCATCGCAGCTAGGGTCCCAGATGGATGGTACACAACATGGCTCCAGTGAGGACCAGGAGAAGGGTACACCACTCTCCCAGTGGGAACTGATGCTGTTTTTACAATGAAAGAGGCTCAAAGTGAAATGCTCTAACCTGATGCTAGTGCACTTGAGACAGGACTCTCATTAAAAAGTGCATCAAGAAATATTTCAATCCAGAAATCAATGGGAGCTCATGGAAAGAATTACTTGCTGAAAAATGAGGAAGGATAAGTCAATAAAACTGAGTATACGGCAGAGGAGAAAGCTACAACTCACCTCCTGATTGTGTGGTCTGAGACACCAAATTGATAAAACCGTGACTTTGAAATATGAGAAAACATGCAACTTCTTAACAAGAGGAAGAAGCCAGCTATTCTGACAACGAAAGATACTGGGGGAACATCAGAGCCTGCAGTCGGGTCTGGGCATTTTCTAGCCACATGAGTGACTCTGGAAGACCCCACCTCTGTCCCGAAATGAGCCCTGGGTTGGACCCTCAACCTGGCCCCACACTTGCTCCTCACAGAGTCAGAGCTCAGTCTCCCCAGCACCTTCTCTGTCCCAGAGGCCAGTCAGCCCTGTCCACCCCTCCACCCTCAGCATGTAATCCACCCCTTCCAGGAAGCCCTGATTACTCCAGGCCCCACGGTCACCCAACTCTGACCTCAGCCCATCTTCTTCACCTAAACAGCAGGTGGGCACAGCAGAACATCCTGAGCCATGTCCTAACGTTTAGGAGTAATGTGGACAGGGACAGAATAATGTTCCTGCAGGTAAGAATTTGGACTCTGGAGTCAGAGAGACCTGTGTTGACATTCCAGTTTGTGTATGACCTTGGCCAAGGGGCTTTACCATCTGAGCCTCAGTTTCCTCATCTGTGAGGTGGACTCACGATTCCCACCTCACAGCAGATTTAATGAAATGCTGAACGTAAAGTGTTGCCACGGTGCCTGGCATTTAGGTGGTGCTCAAGAAATGTTGGTAACAATTATCACAGCACTTCACGGTCTACAGGGTCCAGCCACACCTGTCAGGTTGAAATTCCATCCCCCGTAGAAGGGACTGCGTCTGGTCTTTCCGCAGCATTTTGGAGTTTGCAGAGCCCAACCTCGGCCTTCATCTTAGGGATCCTCAGAGCAACCCCAAGGAGCAGACCAGAGTGTGCGCCTGGGGCCAGAATCCCTGGGTTCACATCCTGCCTCCACCATGTCCTAGTTACCTTGAGCAAGGAATTTCCCCTGTTTAAGCCTCAGTTTTCCCACCTGTGAAATGGGACCGCCCATAATGCTTGCTTTGCATGGCTGTTGTAGGGTTGCACACAGAAAGCATCTACCTTGTGTCATGTCTGGGATCTTCATCATCCTCTCCATTTTACAGATGAGGAAACTGAGGCTCAGAGAGGGAAAGTGGCCTCCTTGAGTCCTTGCAACTGGTGACATTGCTGACCCAGGATTCAGACGCCTGTGCTTTGACCCGCTCTCCACTGCACCATCCTGGAAGCTGCTTTATCTTCTCAGTTTTATCAGCACAAGACGTAGGCAGGAACCAAGAGTCCCTCGCTTTTGTCTGCACAGGCTCAGGGCCAGGCCGGCATCTGCTGCCCAGGCAGTGCCCAGGAGAAGGGGGTAGCAAAACTGTCCAAAGATGACTGACCTCACGCCCATCATGGCACTGAGCACCTGATCTTCGTTTGCCCCTTTGTCATGACGACGACTCTATTCCCACTTCACAGTGGGGCAAACTGAGCCCGGGAGAGGCTGAGACACGTGTCCAGGATCACACAGATAATGGCCATCAGAGTTGGCTCTAACTTGGATCTGTCTTTGTCCAGGTCCCACATCCCACCCACCCATGCCAAGTGCTGTGCGGCTCCCAACACACATTCATCTCATTGAATCCTGCAGCATCCTTGGAGGGAAATCTCACCCCACATTGCACAGGCTAGGAAACTGCCAGGTTGGGCATGGAACTCCCCGAGGCCCCACAGCTAGTGAGTGGGAGAATCCCACATAATTCAAACCCAGGGCCCATCTGTTCCCAAACCCACAGCCAAGGTGGTTCCCTCCTCCCTGCCTTGTTCTCGAAGCCTGCAGGGAGATCGATGACCCCACCATGGGGAGGGCACTGCAGGAACAGAAGGGCCAGCTGGGGCCTTCAGGAGGGCAGGTGGGGAAGCCAGCCCCCAGGTCTCCAGAGATGACTCAAGTTGTGCAGTTCCCAGGAACTTTGCAGACTTCAACCCTTTGCAAAGCCAGAGGTCTTAGGGCAGAGCCAGTCTTCTGAGAGCCTGGGCGGAAGACATCGGGTGAAGCTTACTTCCTGGAGTTCATGCCTCACAGTCCTCCTCCCTGTGGCACTAGGAGAGCCACTTGTCTGCACCAAGTCATATATCTAAGGGCCTAGCGATAAACCCCAAGAAGATGGATTTATCATAAACCCCTCATTATCTTTCCCTCCCCAGGGTCAGAGGTCACATCGATAACTTCCTGCCCACTGCTTTCTCGTACAGATTCACATCAAGGCTGCAAACCTATTTTAGGAACTGTAAATCCATCCCCACTTCCCTCTAGAAATCAATTGGAAACTCGGTTGTTAAATCCACCCTAACAGAAAAGCTCTTAAACCACAGGCTTTTGCTGGGCCAGGATGGGGCTACATTCTGAGTCTGGAACACTTCAGACCGGGGTTCTATATAGGGTTGTGGAGAACAATGGGGATTTTCCAGGGCCAGGCCTGGCCAGGAACACAGAGAGCAGATGACACTGGAAAAACTTCAGCTGGGCAGCCTCTGTAGTTAGCACCTCCCTCTCCTCCTACTTAGAAGCCTGTTCCCCCTGGGCAGAGATCATCTCCATCAAAGGGATAAAGATCAGCTCAGAGGCAGCGAGGGTCCCACCATGGCTTCCACTGTGCATCAGGCTGAGGATGAGGACCATGGCCATGCTGCCCAGGTCAACCTTTGGTCCAGGAGACAAGGCTTTCTCACTGCATCAAATGTAGAATCATGAACCCAGGATTTCCTTAGGATAAGCTGGCCAACTATCCTTAGGATAATCAGACCAACTAGTGTGATCCCCATAAGCTGCTCTTGTTTTTAAAGAAGAGAAAACTTTTATGTGCAAGCGGAGAATGGATAGTCCTGGGTTCACAGAAAGGAGGTGACTGTCTCTGCAAGTATTGCAGGGCTCCAGCCTCCTGCCTGCCTTCTTGGTTTCCAGAATAGAAGAGAACATGCCATGTGCCTTTGCTGAATGATTGACTGGGATGGGTCAAACTTAGATATGGCACCTAGAATTGGAGATGATCTTTGACCAAGTTTCTGCAACAGCAATATTCTCCACCACAAAAAGTGGCAATTTTAAAACATTATCACAAATTCTTTAAGTTCTCCTCCCATAGAGAGGTGGAGTCTATGCCCTTTCTCCTTGAATGTCTGAGGGTTGTGACTGCTTTGACCAATGGTATATGATAGAAGTTGTATCACTTCCAGGCTAGGTCCCAAAAGCGGCTACGTGAGAAGTCCAACTACCCCTAAGGCTACCATGCAGTGAGGAAGCCCAAGCTACATGCAAAGGCTACAGGTAGAACTCTGGTTGACATCCTCAGCCAAGTGCAGTCTTCAAACCCATCCCAGCTCAGCTATCAGACACATGACTGAGAAATTATCTGTGTGCTTTCAACACCCAGCTGTTCAGGCCATTCCCAGACATTCAACCCTGAAAAGGCCAGATTTGAATTCCAGCTAAGGCCTCAGCCATTGTGGAAGGGAGATCAAACCATCCCCACTGTGCTTTGTCCAAATTCCTGACCCATATACTCTAGTTGTTATTTCATACCACTAATGGGCAGCCAGAATACCAACGAAAGGTCCAAACGCTATCCAAAGTGCTTTGACTCTGAGCCTCCATCTTGAAATTCTCAGGAAGGTTGTTTCCTTATCTTTGGAAAGATTACCAATCCTGAGTGCTTCCATTACCCTTTGCTGTGTAACAAATCACCCCAAAACTTGGAAACTTAAAAACAACAGCAATGCACTGTTTCTCACAATGCTGTGGTTGGCCAAGCACGTCCCTGCTGGTCTCACCTGGACTTTCTCCTGTGCTGCATTCCATCTGGCCTGGAAAGCCCAATCAGACCTCCCTGACATGGATAGTGCTTGGCTGTTGGTCAGGAAGCTTCAGCCATCCATGTGCCCACTCATCTCCAGCAGGCCAGGCCAGCTTCCTTAAGTGGTGGTCTCAGGGCAGCATTCTAAGAGGGCAGAAACAGAGGCTGCAAGGCCCCTGAGGCCATCTCCCAGAAGTCATATAGAATCTCTTCCCCTGAATTCTATAGCAAAAGCAAGCCATGGGCCTGCCCAGATTCAAGGTAAGGGGAAGCAGACTCTGTCTCTTGATAAGACAAGCAACAAAGTCCTGCTTCAAAGGGCATGCACATCAGGATGGGAGGAACTTGTGGCCGTGCATTAAAATCTACCCCACTAAGGAAACACCCGGCAAGCCTGTGGGAACAGAGTGTGAGTTCATGCAGAGAGAGAGGTTCAGGGACAAGCCTAAGAACCCCAAGTGGCTTACTCAGCCCCAAGGGGGCAAGCCCAGATTGCCACTGCCTCGTGCAGAAGACAGCAGGCACATGATCTCTGTGCCAGTCTCCATGGCCCCTGCAGCTGCCTGGACAGTCCTGATCCCCAGTGTCAGACAGCAGGGGTCAGATACTTCCCTCCCTGGTGTTATGTCTATAGTCTGCCTTCTGGTCCCAGCCCCACAGCCTTCTGTGATGGGTGGGCCCTCATACAGGCCAAAGAGGGCTCTGCTGAGCACCTGGTGAGGTGTGAGTGGCAAGTAGGCCTGGAGCAAGGTTGGGCTGTCAAGCTGAATGGATGGCGGAACTGGAATGAAAGTGCCGAAGGCAAGGACATCTGGAGGGTGGGTGCTGCCCAGGGGTAATGCAGGAGGGAGGGAGGGAAAAAGATAAAAGCAAAAAGCTGAGCTGGGGGTGGCCTGGGGCTAGGGCATGTTAAGGTAGGGCCGTCTCAGGCTCCGCTGGAAGCTGCCATAGTGGTATGAGGCAGACCCCTCCGCCACAGCCCCACCTGGGGACAAAAGCCCACTGGGAGTTGTCTTAGTCCATTTGGGCCGCTACAACAAAATACCTTAGACTGGGTAATTTATAAATGACAGAAGAGTGTTAGTCACAGTTCTAGAGGCTGGCAAGTCCAAGATCAAGGCGCTGGCAGAGTTGATGCCTGCTGAGGGCCCATTCCTCATAGATGGCACCTTCTTGCTGCATCCTCACATGGCAGAAGGGACAAATACACTCCCTCAAGCCTCTTTTATATAAAGGCAATAATCACATCTACAAAGGCTCACCTCATCACTGCCCAAAGGCCCCATCTCTTAATACTATTGCACTGGAGATTACAGTTCAACAGATGAATGTGGGAGGCCACACGCATTCAGACCACAGCAGGAATCTACCACCAGCAGCATATGGAGTGGGGGTTCATCTCAGCCTTATTCAACTCTTGGGGGTCTGCAAGCTGGGGGACTAGGATCAGCCCAGCATTAGTCAGGCACCAAATTTAGACTAAATTAACAGTGGGCAGGAGAGGGAACAAGATCAAGGAAGACCTTGGGAGAGCCCCCACTATTGCCATGTGGAAGGGGTTGGGGAGCAGGTGCCTTGAAGAGAAGGGGAACTGGGAAAGTTGCAATTCCCATTGCACAGATGAGAAACCTGAGGCTCATGGAGCAGAGGGAGCTTGACTGAAGTCACAGAGCTGGGACCTGAACCCAGGCTCATTGTGTCCCGGAGTCTGTGCTCTAACCACCAGGCAGCAGAACCTCAGACTACACTCAGGAGAGCCTGCAGAGATCGGAGGGGACGCAGGGCCCAGGAACCAGGACACCCGGGAAGGCTGGCACTCTGCCCCAGCTTCCCTCAGCCCTCTCAGAAGGCCTGGCTGTGTGAGCACATGTAGCATATGGGGGCTGAGGCGGGGGCACGTCTGGAGCTTCCACTCCTCACAAGCAAAGCTAGTGCCAGTAAATCACTCCAAATAATGGGACCGTTTGCTCAGGAAATCGAGGAGGCAGTAAACAGTTGCCAAAGTAATTAAACACACACAGTGGACGTGCCAGACTTCCCAATGCTGCCAAGCTGCTCCAGTGGTAGCCTCCCCTCCTCAGGGTGGGAGGAAGCCTGAGCAATCAAGAGTCAGAGAATTCAATCAAAGCCTTGATTTACAGATGGGGAAGCTGAGACCCAGAGAGGGTGAGAGACCTGCCCAAGGACACACAGCTGGCTAGAGACAGAGGTAGGTCAGGGTTGTTCCAAACACACCTGGCTAAGCACAGGGTCAAGGTCATGAGGGGCAAGGGGTGAAATCTGGCAGGGGATGAAGGAGGAAACCGAGGCTCAGAAAGGGTAGGTAACTTGCCCAACAGTTCACAAGTTAAGTTGTGGAACAAGGAGTTGAGCCCAGGTCTCTTGAACATATTTTAATTATTCTCTGCTGCCTTTTTCACTTTAGCTGTGGGGTCAGGACTTTAAGAAGAAGGATGGCAGTCAGAGAGGAGATTTCTAGAGGCAAGGGAAGGCAATTCCAGGCTGAGGGCAAAGCATAAGCAAAGATAGGGCAGGGGAGACAGGGGTTGGGGGTACCCTGCCTGGTGCACGTATTAGTTAGTCCTCTATGCAGCAGTAAAAGGCCCACTCACCCCAGCTCAGTCAAGGGAGTTTAATGGGTCATGGAACTGAGAGGCCCAGAGTTAAGCCCTGGACATCTTCCATGTGTCCATCCCAATCCACCCCACCCTGCTCCGTGCTCCAGAAGGATGACCCATGTGGACTGCACTACCATCCGTCTAGCTCAACTGGTGGGGATCACCCACGGGACACAGGAGGGAGGGAGGAGCGTGCGTCCAAGGCATTTACTGCCTGACTCCCTGAAGGGGCCACCAGGGTCAGTGACCCAGGCTCACAGCTCCAACAGGGCAGCCCTCTCCACCCAGCCCTGTGTCTCCAGGCTCTGATAATTGCTCACTCTCCTCACCCTTTTCAGGCCCCAGGGTAGTAATGGCCCCTTCGTTAGTTGCCCTGAGGTGCTGAACTATCCCTGGGGTGTCCCCTTCACCCTGCCGTCACCTTTTATAAATTGTCCATTTATCAAACTCTCCTCAAATTGCCCAGTTTTGTTTTCTATGGAGATACAGACTCACGAACAACTTCAGGTGTGGCTTGACCTAGCCGCTCAAATGATATCAACTTAGACACAGGCTCTCTCCATCTCCCTGCTCTGCCTTCTGAGATACCAGTTTAATCTTCAGGCTTCCCAGGATAGCACTCCTCGCTCTTCCCATCCCTCTCCACCCCCGCTTCCCCACCCCACCCCCGCTTCCCCACTCCACCCCACCCTCATCTCCAATGACCCACATTCTCCTGGTCTCACCTCTTCACATCACACCATTCGGAATGGAAGAGAGTCTCTAGCCATAGCTGAATGTAAAAAAAGAACAATTCGTTTCCCTGAAGTTGGAGCAGACATCTCCACATCTCATTGGTTCCGATTCAATTACGTGTCCAACCCAGCCAGTCACAGCCCAGTGACTATCTGGCTCAGACCAATCAGGGCCCACCCTGGAGCTGTGAGTTGGAGCAGGCCATCCCACCCAAACCACACGACTGAGAATCGTAAAGGAGAATTCAGGAGAGACTGGATGTGCGGGGTAGGGGGCGGGCAGTCAGGAGGCTGTTACAATGGTCCAGGTAGCACCGACAGGCTCTGGCCTAGGGCAGGGCTGGGGACAGTGAGAAGGAAGAGGGTTCAGAGACAGAAGTGTAGACATCCACTCCTGCATCCCAAAGGCCTGGGTAAGAAATTGAATTCCAGAGTTGGCGTCTGGCCCTGCCTAATTCAGGACTTGCCTCCTAGGTCTTCCCAGACAAGGTTGGTGGATAATAGTGGGGAAAGACCGGCAACCACGCAGGACAGGGGAAAGGTGTGGACTGAGGAATCTTACAGACCTGGGTTCAAACCCCAGCCCTGTCCCCCACTTCCTGTGCAACCCTACACAAGTTACTGATGTCTCTGAGCCTTGGGTTTCTTATCTGTACAAAGAGGGGTTAAACTTGCTTACAGGGACCAACCACCCATGTCAAATTCTGGGGCAATGTGGGCTGCAGCACAAAGATGGACTCTGAGACTGGAAAGGAGAAGTTTCCCACCCTGGCCCTCCATCCCACCCAGCTAACAACAACAACAACAAACAGCACTTAGTTGCGCTATTCAGGTACTGAAAACAGGATGAGCCTCAGCTAGGTATTTTATTGAGCCTTATGTATACATTGACCAGAAAATCTATTAAAAGCATCTGGGACCTGATCTGCAGGCGGTGCTTAGAGACAGCCCTACTCTTGGAATCCATAAGCCCAAGGACCCTAATTCCGGATCTGTGGCTGGTTGGAGCCTATGGTAAAGGCAGGATATTTTCACCGGCAGGCACTTCGTGGGGTTTGGGATTCCCTGCCTCCCCTACCCAGCTACCCTGCTACACTCCACTGGGTAAACAGCTAGGCCTGCTGTGGGTGCTTGTGGAGACCACACACCTCATGCAGGCCCCCCAGGTAACACTAGAGCAGATATTTCCATCTCAGGCTGGGTCCCCTAAGATGCTGGCTGCAGCGTGACGGGCACAACAGTATTCTCTTAGTAAATGGAAACAGTGTTCGAGGGGAAAGCAACTCTAGCCCCACAAGCGAGTCCCCCTAATGCAAAAAGGATGCAACCATACCTTTAGGGGTCCTGTTACCTCCCCTCAATTACTCACAGGGGTAATTTTTCACTACCTGAAATATTGGTCCCGATTCCAGGGAGTTCCTGAGAGTGCTCGGGCTTGGTTTACTGGCAGCGCAGCCAAACTATAAACTGATGGTGTCCACTGGGCAGCTGTCTAGCTGGAACAACTCAGAAAGTCCCACTTCAGGAAGGGTCAATGAGCACAGTGGGCCCAATTGAAAGTCATTGTCCTTGCCTTGGATGGTACTCCTAAGGACCAGACATGTTATATTTTCATCAACTCTGGGACAATGGCCTGTAATCCAGGTATCTGGTCAAGTACATGGGTGATGGCTGACTGGTATATTAAGGACACATTTCTGTGGAGCTGTGAGCTCTGAAAAGCCATGGCAGCAGCCCGTCGGGACATTTATAAATCCGTGTGGATGTCATACTCACAGGCGACTGGGTGGAAGAGGTAGCCGACATCACTACTAGGATCCGTCATTGGCATGGGCACAGCAATTCGGCCACCATAACCCAGTGGGCTCAAAACATGGTCTCCATCTGCCTGCCAAGGGGGGGCTGTGGTACCTTCAGTGGCAACTTCCCGTTCCTTACAGGAAGGGAACTCACTTGTTTAGTACTTGTTACAATGTTTACTGCATGCTCTAAAAGTACCAGACCCTTAGCCCCGGATTCCTCAGCTCCAGCAGGACTCACTGTGTGTGCAGCATCCACCAGAGTCCATCCCTTTGCCCCATGGGATTTGGGGCAGGGAATCCATGCAACTGCACTAATGGGCCCGCTGCCTGCTGCACATAGGTAAGAAACTGCTGTGCTCTGGTCTACTAAGTCAAGTCTGCTTTGGGCATCTGTGGCATGTAGCAGGGTTGCTCCTTGCCATCGTCTGTAAGGTTGGAGTTTTTCCATGACAGCCCCCACTTCAGGGCTGGAGAAGACACAGGGGAGCTCTCCAAACAGAAGCTACAGGAATGGAACTCTCATTGGCCCTCAAGGATTCTTTCTCTGCCTGTCTTTCATCTGTCTCTGCCTCATTCTGCAAAGCAGCCTCTGTTTCTCTCACCACATCCCATGAGGACAAGGAAGGGGGTCCCAAGCAGCAGCTTCTTCCAGCTGTGTGACCCCAAAGCCAAGAGTTTCTCCCATTATCTGCAGTGGAAGTCCCAGGGAGGGCTCTGACTGGCCCATCTCTGAGCCAATCCCTGTGGCCCAGAGTGCAAATCTGACTGGCCAAGCCTGGGTCATGTGCCTATCCTGGACTGGCTCCGGTGAGAAGAGGTTAAGGAATTGAGAGTTCCCAGAATTACGTGGAGCCATTGAGAAGTTCTCACGAAGGGAAAGAAGGTGCTGTTACTAGAAAAGGGGAGGGGAGATCAAGAAGTAGACATTTTACACACCCACACACACTCACACGCTTAAAGTCTGTTTCACCTGGTTAATTCCTACTCATCCCTTAAGACTCAGCTCAGCCTCCACCTCTGCCAGGAACCCCCTCCCCGGCCACCCTTAGACTCTATCAGAAGCCCCTTTTTTGTGTCACAGTAGCATCCCACATTACCACCATCACAGCCCTGGGCAGCTGGTGCAAGTGTGTCCCTCCCACCGGGCTGCAACTCCCGGCCCTGCCTGGTGCACATGCGCCTGGCATAGAGAAGATTTCAGCACCAGTGGTTTGTTGAACACTTCGTTGCACACCTCCCCTGACCTTTCCTAGGGTTCATTGGTAGTCGGAATCAGTCATCACCAGTGGGACAGGGAAGAGAGAGGGGACCCAACAGTGTGTGCAGCTGGGCCCGTAGGTGACCCGAAGGGTTGTTCTGATCATTCTGCCCAAAGGGCTACCTGGCCAGGGGCTCAGTGTCACCAGGAACTGTCCAAGCTCCTCCTGTCCCTTTGTAATTCCTCTCTCCTGTTCTCCATCCCCAAGCAAGCACTGATCTGTTTCTGTCACTGTAGATTGGTTACATTTTCTAGATTTGAATATATATGGCCACAGCAAGTAAACTATTGAATAAATGGAAGATCCTCTCCCATCTTGCAAACAGCCACCTGGGACCTGTAACCCACGTCTTCCACAACCTCCTATGGCCACAAACAAGGCCCACCCTGGCAAACCCTTCCACTCTGCAATTACACTTCTAGTTACCAATACTATAGAAAAACTCTCATGTGAACACAATGAGGCATGCACAGAATGTTTATTGCAATATTTTTATAGAGAGAAAAATGGAAACAACCTAAATTTCTATTAGTAGTAGGGGAATGATGAAGAAAGGGAGAAAAGACAGAGGGAGGGAAGGTGAGAGACAGGGAGGGAGGGAGAGAGATGCAAGCAATTGAACACGCCTTCTGAAAAAAAATGAGGTAGCTCTGTATACACTGAAAGATGTTTGTGATTTTAAATGATAAAAAGCCAAATACAAAACAATCCATATAATACAATACCTTTTGTGTTTTTAAAAACACACAGAGCAAACATACATAGCTAAGCATACATGTATGTACAGAGATGCATATTAAAAGCATCTGTAGGGCTCACATACCACTCTGATAACAGTGTACTGTGGGGAGGATATTGAAAGTTGGAAGTGACTGCAAAGGTGGCTAGAGTGGAGGAGTTTCCCTTTATCTGAATTCATGAATATAAAACAATGAGAATGTCTGCATGCAACACTTGTGTCATTAAAAATAATTTTAAATGAATGGGGAAAATGACTGGATACGTTTATTGTAACATTGCTGTCATAGCAGAAAATCCAAAACAACCTAAAAATTCATCTATAGGGAGCTAACTAAATACATGGTGGTGCCTATGGCAACAGAATTCTAGGCAGCCAGTGAGAGAATGGAGAAGATCCATGTGGGAAGATGAAGTGAAAAGCAACTTGAAAAAAATGCATATTATATGATGCCTTTTTTTTTTTTTTGAGCTCGAATCTCTCTCTGCACCCAGGCTGGAGCGCAGTGGTGCTATCTCAGCTCACTGCAATCTCTGCCTCCCAGGTTCAAGCAATTCTCCTGTCTCAGCCTCCCGAGTAGCTGGGACTACAGGCACACACCACCACGCCTGGCTAATTTTCAGTAGAGACAGGGTTTCACTATATTGATCAGGCTGGTCTTGAACTCCTAACCTCAGGTGATCCACCTGCCTCGGCCTCTCAGAGTGCTGGGATTACAGGTGTGAGCCACCGCACCAGGCCATGATGCCATTTTATAAAAGCAAAGAAAGAGAGAAGGGAAGAGAGAAAGGAAGGGAGGAAAGAAGGAAGACAGGAAGGCAGGCAGGAAGGGAGGGAAGGAGGGAGGGAGGGAGGGAAGGAGGGAGGGAGGGAGGGAGGGAGGGAGGGAGGGAGGGAGGGAGGGGAGAAAGAAAAAGAAAAAGAAAAAGTAGAATATACATTAAAATGAATGCCATATTATAGAGAGTAGGGCCTTTGGAATTACACAGAATTGGGTTTGAACCTCTGCGGTGACAGTTACTAATGGGGTGGCCTTGGGTGGGTCACTCCATATCTCTGAGCCTCAGTTTGCCCATCTTGAAATGGCAATAATAACAGCATCCACATCATGAGGTTCATGGGGAATCGATTGATCTAATATATCCAAAATGCTTATCACAGGGGATGCAAGAGAGTGAACTCATGATCATTATTTTTGTTCTTATTTCCAGTGTTTCATCTGAGAAGTGGATTTGGAGTGGAGGAGGAATGTTGCTTTTACTCTTTCTTTAAAAAGCTGTATTGAAGTGTAATTGTAACGCAATAAACTGAACACATTTAAGGTATAAAATTGGATAAGTGTTTACATAGGTACACACCTGTGAAACCATCACCACAATCAACATAAAGAAGGCATCCATCACCAATAGCTTCCTCCTGTCCCTTTGTAATTCCTCCCTCCTGTTCTTCATCCCCAAACAAGCACTAATCTGTTTCTGTCACTATAGATTGGTTACAGTTCTAGATTTTAATATATATGAACTCACACAGTATGTGTGCTTTTTCATCCAGCTCCTTCCACTCAGTGTAATTATTTGATGATTTAGCCATGTTGATAAATGTATCAAGAGTTCATTCATTTTTATTGCTGAGTAGTATTCCATTGTCAGATTTATATAAATCTTTTGTTAGATGTATTTCTGAGTATTTCACATTTTGTGCCATTCTCAATGGGATTTTTTTAATTCAAATTTCTGATTTATTATTGCTATTGAGATTATCTTTTTAAAAATGTGTTATGGTGAACTACATTGATATTTCTTACACATATAGGATATACATATATACATATATAGGATATACATACATGCATAGGCTATACACACACACATATGTGTGTGTGTGTGTACATATATATAACCACATATACATATATATAGATATATGTGTGGTTATTCAGTTTATCTGTTTGTTCTTCAATGAGTTTGGATACTCAGTGTCTTTAAAGTGTCTTTCAAGACATTGGGCCATTCCATGGAAGTTATCAAATTTATGTGCATAGGGTTATTCATAGTAATCCCTCATTATAGTTGTAATGTCTGTGGGCTTGATACCGACATTGGTGGATTTGTTCCCTCTTTCTCTCTCTCTCTCTCTACTAATGAGGATGTACCAATTTTATTTCTCTTTTCCAAGAACCAGCTTTTTATTTTATTGATTCTATTAATGATCTGTTTTCAATTTCAGAGATTTGTACCCCAATTTGTGTTATTTCTTTCCTTCTGCTTGATTTAGGTTTAATTTGTTCTTCTTTCTCTACTTTTTAAAACAAGTTATTGATTTTGAGATCTTCTTTTCTAATACATGCATTCAGTGCTATAAATTTCTCTCTAAGTGCCACTTTAGCTGCATCCTACAAATTTTGGTATGTTGTATTTTCATTTTCATTTAGCTCAAGATAATTTTTTATTTTTCTTAAGACTTTCATTTCAATCCATGGTTTATTTAGAAGCATGTTACTTAATTTCCAAATGTTTGGGAATTTTCCAGGTATATTTCTGTTATTAATGTCTAGTTTGATTCCATTAAAGTTAGAAAACATACTTTGCATAATTTCTGTTCTTTTAAATTTTTTAAGGTTTGTTTTGTAACCCCAGGTATGGCCTATCTTGGTGAAAGTTCCATGTGTACTTGAGAAAAACATGAATTCTGCTATTGTTGGGTGGAGTGTTATATAAATATCTATTAGGTTAACCTGGTTGATAATATTGTTCAAATCTTGAACAATTATGGATTAGTTTCAATTGATTGGTTTTCCTCCGCATTATGGGTCATATTTTTCTGCTAGTTTGCATGCCAGGTAATTTTTGACTGGGTGCCAGACATTGTGAGCTGTATCTTCCTGGGTGGTAGATATTTTCATGTTCCTATACATGTTCTTGTGCTTTTGTTCTGGGATGCAGTTTTTACATTCACACAGTTTGATCCTTTCAGGTCTTGCTTAAGCCCAAAGGAGTGTTCAGTCTTGGAATAACCATTCCCCATTCCTGAGGCAAGACCCTTATATGAATTCTACTCAGTGTCATGTGAGTCAGGAGGCATTCCCATCTGGCTGGCGGGAACAGACACTATTCCCAGCCCTATGTGAGTATGTGGCACTGTTCTCTGGGTGGTATTTTCCCCCAGCCACAGGAATATTCATCCTATGTATGCCCTGGTTAGAACTCAGGTGAATACTTGAAAGGACATTCTGCAGATCTCTCTCTCTGCATCGCTCTCTCCTTTCCAGGACTCTGTCCTGTGAACTCTAAGCACATTGGTCTTCCTAGACTCTCAGCACCGTCTCCTCTACTCAAGGAGTCCACTGTGTTCTGTTTGGATTCCCCCTCCCTGCACAACATACCACTGAAAGCTCTCTCAGAGCAGTAAGCCGGTGACATCACAGGGCTCACATCATTTGTTTTCCATCTCTCAGAGACCACCATTCATCGCCTGTTGTCCAGTATCTTGTGTACTGTTGTTTTATATTTTTTTAATTGTATATATTGTGCTCAATTTGTGGCAGGAAAAATTCAGTCCCTGTAACTCCATCTTGTCCAGAAGCAAATCCCCTCATTTTATTCTTATATACTTTTACATTGTGTGATGTAAAAGTGTATAACTCACTTGTAATACATTTCTAAATTAAAATGTATGTTTACAACGCACTTGTATTACTTTCTAAATTAAAGAAGAAAGATACTCTAATTAAGATTAAGGTGCAGGAAGGTGTATGTTCATTAAAGCGCTATTCACAATAGCAAAGACATGGGATCAACATAAATGCCCATCAGTGGTAGACTGGATAAAGAAAATGTGAGATATATATATATATAAAACATGGAATACTATGCAGCCATAAAAAACAATGAGATTATGTCCTTTGCAGGAACATGGATAGAGCTGGAGGCCATTATGCTTAGCAAACTAATGCAGGAACAGAAAACCAAATACCACATGTTCTCACTTATAAGTGGGAGCTAAAGGATGAGATCACATGAACACGTAGAGGGGAACAACACACACTGGGATCTATTGAAGGGTGGAGAGTGGGAGGAGGAAGAGGATCAGGAAAAGTAACTAAGGGGCACTAGGCTTAATACCTGGGTGACAAAATAATCTGTATAACAAACCCGCATGACTCAAGTTTACCTGTATAACAAACCTACACATGTACACCTGAACCTAAAATAAAAGTTCAATTTAAAAATATGTATATTAAGATGCAGGGAGAGGTGAATAACTCCAACCCAGCAGCTGCCTGTGATACATTCTTTCTTCTGGGTTCTACACCCTTGTGCTACCCTGAAGTGAAGGTCCTGGGGCCATGATGCTGGCCCTGCTGGCTACAGCTTCTGGTAGAGTGTGCCAGGCCATCTCCACTCTTATCTCAAGAAAATTGCTTTCAATTCTATGTAGTTATGGGGAAGTGCATATGAGTTGAGCCAGGTCCTCAGAGCATAGCAAGACAGGCCAAGATGGTCACTTCCTGGCAAGGGCTTGGCTGTGTCTGCCCAGTGTTCTCCCATTGTGCACACATGCCCTGTGAGCTCACATAGTTTTGAAATGTCTCCAGCTGTTGGTGGGAGGGGCTCCAGCCACATGACATTATACAGATAAACCCTTAAGCAAAGAGTACTGAGAACTTGCCTCTCTGACATTTTGCCACCAGCTCCGCCACAGCCCAACAGGTACATTAAATGACTAGAGTTCATAATGAGATACTCTAAGGGCTGAAATAAAAAGAGGGAGAAAAGTGGGAGGACCGCAAAATGGGCTCCTGCTTGAGAGCCACGTTGTTGTGTTGCTGTCACTTTTGGCAGAGGGAGCATCAGGCAGGTTCTGGGGGACTCCATCCCATTGTGGCAGAAGAGACAACACTAGCCCCATCAAGAGGATGTCAGTTCCACATGGACCCACAGAAGCGCAGACAGCTGCTCTGTTGGCCTTCGACCTGCAGGGCACAGATCAGTTTTGTGAAACAGAAAACATCAGTCCATTCAGCTGTGTGATGGAGTTGGGGGCTCCAATGCCATGCATTGAACACCTACTATGTGCCAAGCCAGGACAGGCCCCAAAGACGCTGCAGCAAACAAGACAGGCGAGGCCTCTCCCCCATGGACAGTGGTCGTCACCTTCACCATAAGTCATATATTCCTTGGTTGCTATGGCTGCAGTTCTCTGCTAAGTGCTTTACACGCATTTTTTTCAATTAATTCTCTCAAACACCCTCTGAGGTAGAATTTTACAGAAAAGGAAACTGAGGCTTAGAGGAATTAAGCATGCTCCCCACTAGAGGCAGCATGTTTTATATTTTTTTAAATTTTAAAATTTAGAATACTTTCTAAGAGGCAGCATTAGAGTTTGAACCCAGATCTCCTCTGTCTCCAGAGCCAAACCTGAAGCATTGCAGGCTTCAGCATCTCTCATTCTCTAGAACTGCGCTGTGTGGCACTGGGTGAGTTGTTAAACCTTGTACAATTGGCTAAATAACCCCTCCCCTGGGTACATACTTGTGTGATTTCTAACAGCTCTTCAACTCAAGACAAGGGTTCCTAATAATTATTTCCCAAAATCCTATGTGTCCCTAAACCTGGCCTTCTCCAGTGTTCAGATTTCTGCCCCCACGTCACTGACCTTCCTTCTGACTCCTGACCTAAGCAGCCAGGCATGAAGGCTCTGGAGTCTCCTGCACAGGTCCATAGGTGAGGGGAGGGACCAACTGGGGGCAAGTGGTGATGGCTGGAGAGAGTTCTCTAGGCTTTGTTGGCTGACACCTGCGAGGCAAAGCACTGAGCTAGAATGGTGGGATTGGGGAAGGAAACTGAGTGAGAGAGAGGCTTAACCATCTCCCAGTTTGGGAGCCTTAGGCCTCAGTGTCCTTATCTGTAAAATGCAAATAATAAGTTCAAATAGTTTATTTAGTAGTGGGGAGTGACATGATAATGTGGGAAGAAACATGGAGCCCCATCCACAGCCTCTCCCAGCAAAGATAAAACAACATGAACCATTTGGAATTTTTACAGGCAGATGATAGAAAACCCAATCTGAACTTAAGAAAAATTGAATATATCAAACGCAGTAACTGAAAGGATTATGAGGAGTTCAGTTTCTGACCTGGCTTCATCTAGGGTGAGCCCATGATCTCCCCACAACTTGGTTTCTCTCTCCCTATCTCTCTTTTCCAATTTTTCTTATCTGGCTACATCTTCAGACCTGCTCTCCATTGATAAAGATGAGAT
This sequence comes from Homo sapiens, assembly GCF_000001405.40. Lineage (NCBI taxonomy): Eukaryota > Metazoa > Chordata > Mammalia > Primates > Hominidae > Homo > Homo sapiens. The sequence goes on along the minus strand of NC_000001.11, from coordinate 29,531,253 downwards.
GTCTGCCGCAACAATACACCTGCTCCAGAGGTCAAAAAGTTTCCCTGGCAGGCTCAGCATAAGTCCTAGAAGTCACTTTGATTTCCTCCCTGTTTTTTATTATTTTCTTTCTTCAGCTTACTTTGAATTTAATTTGCTCTTCTTTTTCTAGTTTCCTAAGGCAGCAGCTACAGTCATTAATTTGAGATATTTCTTCTTTTCTAATATAAATTTTTGGTGCCATAAATTTTCCTCAAAGTACTGCCTTAGGGACATCCCACAAATGTTGACATGCTGTTCTTTCATTTACATTCAGTTCAATATACTTTCTAATTTCCCTTTTGTTTTTCTTTGATCCACAGGTAACTTTACAAATGTGTTTTTTGTTTGTTTGTTTGTTTGTTTGTTTGTTTGTTTTTGTTTTGTTTTGAGATGGAGTCTCGCTCTGTCGCCCAGGCTGGAGTGCAGCAGGGAGATCTCAGCTCACTGCAAGCTCCGCCTCCTGGGTTCATGCCATTCTCCTGCCTCAGCCTCCCAAGTAGCTGGGACTACAGGCACATCCACCATGCCCAGCTAGTTTTTTTGTATTTTTAGTAGAGACGGGGTTTCACCGTGTTAGCCAGGATGGTCTCAATCTCTTGACCTCATGATCTGCCCACCTCGGCCTCCCAAAGTGCTGGGATTACAGGTGTGAGCCCCTGTGCCTGGCCTACAAATGTGTTTTTAACTTCCAAACTTGGTGGGGTTTATAGGGAAAGTTCTTATTTTCATTTCTAATTTAATTCTATTACTGCCAGAACATAGTTTGACAACTTAAATCCTTTTAAATTTATTGAGATTATTTTATGGCCAAGAATGAGGTTTGTTTTGATAAATGTTTAATGTGCATTTGAAAATAATGTATATTTTTCTGTTGTTGGAAACAGTGGTCTATGAATATCAATTAGGTGGAGTTGTTTAACAGTGTTATGCAAGTTTTCTGAGCCTTACCAATTTTCTGTTCACTTTTAAAAATCAGTTATTGACAGAAGAATATCAAAATCTCTGACTATACTTATGGATTTGTCTATTTCTCCTTACAGTTTCATTAGTTTTGTTGCATGTATTTTGAAACTCTGCAATTGGGGGCATAAAAGCTTAGGATTCTTATGTCTTCTTGATGAATTAATCACTTTATCATTAGGAAATGTCCTTCTTTATCCCTGGTTATGTTGTATGCTCTGAGATCTATTTCTTCTGATGTTAATATGACCACTCCAGCTTTGTTTTGATATTAACATCGCATATCTTTTTCAATGCCTTCTACTTTTAAGCTATTTGTTTCTTTATATTCAAAGTGCATTTTATAGACAACATACAGTTGGATCTTGCCTGTTTATCCAATATGACAATCTCTGCCTTTTAATTCAGGTAATTAGACCATTTATGTTTAATGTAATTATTAGTATAGTTAAAGTCTCTTGTCATTTGTTTTCTATGCTTCTCAACTGTTCTTTGTTCCCTTTTTTCTTTTTCTGCCATTTTTCAGATTGAGTTTTGTGTGTGCATGTGATTCCATTCTATCTTCTTTATTAACTTATTAGCACCATCTCCTTGTTTTGTTATATTAGTAGCTGGCTTTATGGTTTATAGTATACATTTTCAAACTATCACAGCCTACCTTCAAGTGACATCATACTACTTCATACTATATCCTACTATTATAATATGACATAGTATCATACAGTATGAGAATTTTACAACGTATACATTCTTTTCTCCCTTCCTGGCCTCTGTGCTATATTTTCTGATACGTTTTACTTCTACATTTGTTATAAATCCCACAATCCATTGTCATTGCTTTTAATTTATAACCAGGTAATTATCTTCTAAAGGTCTTCTAAATAATCAGATAAAAAACCTTTTACTATTTACCCATGTAGTTACTATTTACCCATGTAGTTACTATTTCCTGTGATTTTCATTCTTTGTGTAAATCAATATTTTCATCTGGTATTATTTCCTTCTGCCTGAAGGATTCTCTTTAACATTTCTCATAGTGTAGAATGAATTTGCCAAGAATCTGTTATTCCAGGCTTTTTCACCCAGACACCCAACACCACAATTTCCCAGGAATTATGCCCTCCAAAAAATCAAAGTGAACCAACATTTCCTGTCAACCGTGTGGGGAAACAGTGTATAAATACCACAGAGCCACTAGCCAGACACTCTTTCGTCTAGTATTCAAGGTCCTTCTAGAGCTGATTGTGACCATTCCTCAACCCACTTCTCATATGCTTACTATCCCTAGAAAGTCTCTGCTGTTTTCTGCCTCCATCCTTTGGCATACATTGTGTTTTGTTCTCCTAAACATGTCTTTCCCCAGCTCATCCAATGAGCAAACTCCTATTCATCCATCAAAAGCCCAAGTAGAGGCCACAATCTCTGAAAAATACCCCCTGCCCTCTCCCAATCCCTGTAGAGTAAATCTTCTTCTTTCTACTGCTTCTGACTATGTAACTTCTTCTTTTTTTTTTTCTTTTTTTTTTGAGACGGAGTCTCGCTCTGTCACCCAGGCTGGAGTGCAGTGGCGCCATCTCGGCTCACTGCAAGCTCCGCCTCCCGGGTTCACGCCATTCTCCTGCCTCAGCCTCCCGACTAGCTGGGACTACAGGTGCCTGCCACCACACCCAGCTAATTTTTCGTATTTTTAGTAGACACAGGGTTTCACCATGGTCTCAATCTCCTGACCCTGTGATCCGCCTGCCTCAGCCTCCTAAAGTGCTGGGATTACAGGCGTAAGCCACCGCGCCTGGCCTATGTAACTTCTTATACAGGAGTCATTATCAACTAGATTGTAATTTATTTATTTGAATAAATCTCTCTCCCATGCACAGGTACAGAATGCTGTAAGGAGGCCAGTACAGACCTTGTCCAAGGCTTGAGCCATTAGCTAACACTGAAACACTCTCGCTTCCAACTCTAGTAAATGGGGGGACTGGGGAAGCAGCCAAGCATGTGCCCAATCACTCCCCTGGCTTGAAGTTTATACCCCTTTGAGATGCAGAACTTCCCAAGGACAGAGACTAGAACCTCATCTTCTTTGTCTCAGTAGTGTCACTGCCAGCAGAGTTTGGCATTTAGCAGGTGTTCAGGAACCAGGAGGTGAAGTGTATTATGGAGCCAGGAAGGGGAAATTTTCTCTGCTTCTGTGTGAAACTCACCCCTACTCTGGTAATTAGATGATGGACACCTCAGAGAGCATGAGGACCAGACCCCTTGGCAAGGACACTGCCATCCCCATCTCTGCTGGGACACCACCAATAGGGCACCTCCAGGCACCTCTGGAGGCTCCTTGAGTAGAGATCACTGAAACAGCCAGGGGGAGGACAGCACAGCCTCCACCTGGTGACTGTAGTTGGTAGGTTGGTTTGTGAACCCACGTGAACCACCCCAGGGACTCCCAGCGAGGTGCTTTGCAAGGGATGGCTGTTCCCTTGAGTACAGGAAGATCTTAAGGCTGTGCAGACCAGCCTTCCTGTGATGACCTGCTGCATTTCCGTGCTAGCTAGCGTGAGATCGCTAGCTACAGCAGACCCCCAGCTGGGTGCACATGTTCCCCTGTGCGCTCCTCCCTTAAGGTCTCTGCAGCCCAGAGTCAGGGTCTAACTCAGAAAGAAAACCTGGCCCATTTTGGTCCCTATCACATCTCCAACTCTGGAGCTATCAGAGTCTGTGATGAGCACAACGGCAGCTGGGTCCAGGGCTGTTTGCACAGAAACATGCTGCACCCCACCCACTCAGATCTGTGCCAGGGACATGAAGAGTTCAGCTCACTTGATCTTTTTCTTCTAAGAAATCAGTGTGTTTTTGCTGGAACCAAGCAGTGTGAAAAGTACAATGTGTGCAGGTGTCAGAGGCATAAAAACCAACTTCGGATTCTGCAGGTTCTATTTGTCTCACCCATGGTCACCTGCTGCCCTTCTCCTCCAGGGTCACCAGGGACTGGCCATGCACAAAGCCCTGTGCTTCAATCCCCTGCGCAAACAAAGGAACAGTGTTTTCTTTTATTTTCTTTGTTTTTTCCCCTCTTTCTCTTCCTATTTCCTTCGTCCTCCCTTGCTGCCTGTAGTCTCTGAGAACAGAAAAACACAATCTCAGAATGGTATTGCCTTCCTCTAATCAGAGGCTAATTCCTTTGTCACAGAGCTCAGAGATGGAGATTTCCAAAGGAGACAGATAAGAAAGATACTGACCGTAATTAACATTTGTCTGCTTTGTGGAAAACAGGAATTATTCCAGGGTGTGGGTTTCTTTTTAAGAAGCTTCAACATAAGAGACACTGGGAGGCCAGCCATGGATTAGCAGATACCCCAGGAGGAACAGCAAGAATTCAGAGGAAAGGAGGGATGCCAAGCTGAGAGATGAGAGGATGAGCCTTGAGGCAGGATTGAGGGGACCTCGTGACAGCGGCAGGAGCCCTGGATTCCCTCTACCAGGACAACAGGATGTTCTGGGCATCAAAGGAAAGGAGAGAGGGAAGGTGGTGCCTGGATCAATTCTGCCAAGTTTGCAAAACTGTTCGTAGTTTCAAACCTTTCCTAATCTCCTGTCCATACCCAATTCCATCATGCCGTGTTAGTGAAAATAATCTTCTGAATCCCAGAAAATTAGAAAGTGATGAGGGAGGATACCCAGTGACCAGAGTGGAGCACACTCTGGGGAAGAATCAGGAAATAAGGGCGGGGCTGGGCAGACCCAGTAAGAAGCTGTTATAGTCCTCGGGTGAGTGATGGTGGTGGCCTGGAGGGGAGAAGGAGACAGATCTGTTACAAGGCAGCAGGTGGAATCAGCAAGACTTGGTGGCCATGGCCATGTGGAATAAGACTCATGAGAAATACGTATGTGGCAAGGTCCACATCTAAACATGAACTGGGTTCCAAAGCTGATGTTTCTGAGGCAGAATTGACAGTCCTCAGGGACAGTGCAGACATGGAGAGGGCTGGGAGCAGAAGAGGAAAGAAGATGTCAGAATTTTACATCCCACTCTCCTCCTGTACATTCTGTCCAGGGCCTTTCCGACCCTGATGTGATTCGCCCAGTGTCCTAATGGCCGACCCATCCCTCCCCAGCCACTTGGAAGAAAACTGAACTTGGAGTTCAGCAGAAGGACAGAAATATTTTTAAAAAACCATCAAGAACATAGGCCGGCTGGGTGCAGTGGCTCACACCTGTAATCCCAGCTACACGGAAGACTGAGGCAGCAGAATCGCTTGAACCCAGAAGGCAGAAGTTGCAGTGAGCTGAGATCACGCCACTGCACTCCAGCCTGGGTGAAAAAAGTGAAACTCCATCTCAAAAAATAAAAAAAAAAAAAGAACATAGGCCCAGCTTCCTGCACATGTGACCTGCGCAGCCACGCAGGGCCCTGCCCTCAGAAGACCTTAGGTTTGGTTTAATGCTCTGCTGTTGCTGTCTTGAAATTCTTAACAACTTTATCTCTGAACTTGTGTTTTGTAAGTGAAGTCCAGTGGAGTATACGCAAGTGAGCAGAGGAGATCCACGCTCTATGTGTCTGCTGTTTCTTGCTGCCCCATCTGCATAGAACACTCACAATATCCTGTGAACTGAGAGTTCTAGGTGTGTACGAGGTCAGCGAGATGCAAAGTGAGCACAAGACAGGAGTGTTATGTCTGTGACCAAGTGAGTGGGGATGCTGACAGCCCCTGAAAGACCACCCTTCCTGTTTGAACCAGAACGGTCTTCAAATGCAGAAAGAGGCAATGGTGTTCTAAGAAATATAAATGACCAAGAACCTTATCATGTCCTTTCTTACCTGCCTTACTGCCCTGCACTAACCAACTATTTGCACTGCAAATGATGATGGAGAGAAAGGAAAAGACAAGGCAACTCATGGTTTCTTTTCCTTCCAATCTTTCTTTACTCAGTCATGATCCAAAGGTAGAGCTTGTTGGCAGAATGTGCATATCAAGAAGTGAAATAAAAGCACTTAATTTTGTGCTGAATTTCCACTCTTCTGATAAGAATGAAATACCTGCGCATGAATGACCCATGAGATACAAATTGTATCATTTCAGTGATTCTGTTTGTCGTTGAATGCTCCTATAATTTGTATTTAAAACTGGCATTGCATAACATAAAAATGAATGATAAAGTTCATGCTAATAATCTAAAGTTCTAAATTTTTACTTAGAACATTAAATAGCAAATAAAAAATAACATGACAAGGGAGAGACTTCGGCGGAAAAGAAAAAACTTTATATTAAAGTATATGTCATGGCATTTCTTGTTCTCCGCTTTTTAAACAAGGGCATCACATATCCGTGTTTCACTGGGCCCTACAAATTATGTAACTGGTCCTGCAGGGAGACGTCAACACACTTCTCCAGGGCAGGGAGGCCGCGTCCATGTTATGTAACTCCTGAGTAGCAGGTTGTGCTAATTAAGCAGGGAACTTCAGGACATGGTGCTGGAGGAAGTTTTAATTACCTCTCCTCTGAAGGTTGGGAGAAGGTGCGGGGGTGGGGGTGGCAATCCTGCAGGAGAGCGGAGCCCAGGCCCCTCAGAGGTGGAGTTGAGGATGGAGGGAAGTACGGAGGGAGGAGGGGAGGCTGAGGTCACCCAGCTCGCGCCCTTGCCTCTACCATCACCGTGCCTGAGCCCTCACACGTGTCGCAAGCCTGGGGGATGTGGACTGTCACCCGTCTGACAGATGAGGACACTAGGGCCTGAGTGGTGAGGAGACTGGTCCAGGCCCCATAGTCAGGGAGGGCAGAGCTATGTGGTCACCACACGGGGACAGAGATGTCATCGCTGCCCTCCAGACCCTCAGTCCGGGGGAGACAGATGGTGGCAGCACCGTGCGATCTGATGGGGGACACACAGACAACGTGGGAGCCACAGGGGCCCCTAGCCCAACCTGGGGGGTCAGGGAGCTCCCTAAGGAGGTGCTGTCTACATCGGGGCCTGCAGGAGAGCAGGAGCATAGATAGATATAAACATAGACATAAATCCTCCTCCTGACATTTAATGAGTACCTGGGTTGCTGGGAGTAGCACATCCGCGGCCCTCACACACAGTGGGTGCTCAGTAAACCTCAATGTCCACCTCTCCTGAAAAAGACCTGCAAACTCTATAAGTTGCGTCCAATGCAAAATCAACGATGAAAGAAGCTCCTGTATGAATCCTTGATCAGAGCAGCCTTGGGTCCCCAGCCCCACTCTTCAGAGGTCCCAGCAGGACTTGGAGCCCAACTCAGCCTAGGTTTCCTAACATAATTCGTGTGGTTTTTGCACAGACACACTTTACATCCATTATTTAGAATAAGTCTTCCAGGCTGTTCAAATTTCAAATAAAAAATTCTCCCCCAGAGGAATGGCTGCACTCAGCAAAGGTCGCACATAAAACACACCGAACTGGACGGGAAAGGAGGCAAGGACTGGATTAAGCAGCAGTTGCCATTCATTAGGGGAAATTGTAGCATCTCCTTTCAAGGAGCACTTGCTCTGCCAGGGCTGCGAAGCCCAGATGACTGCACTCTCCTCCCCGCCACCTCAGAAATGCGTAATTTAGGAGCTCTGAGAGGCGCTGCTTCTTAAGGCAAGTTGTGTTTTCTGAGCGCTGCTTCCTTGGGCCCACCAGAGCCCTGCACGGTGAGAAGAGGATCATTACTGCCACTGTAGGGGATGGAGACACGCAGGCTGAGAGGTGCAGGGACTTGCCCAGGATCACACACAGCAGGAAGAGGTGGGCTGGACTTTGAACCCAGGTGTCTCTGACTCTAAGGCTCCTTCTCCTTGCCCCCCATTCTCCTGCTCCCAGGGAACACGGGAAGATTACGGCAGGAAACGTGAACAGAGAAATCAGCCCAATCCAGGCAGACACTCCCCAGGCTTTAGGTTCAACCCACTCCTCTGCTCATTTACATATATTTGCATGCCAAGGCTCCAGAGACCTCAAGTATAGGCAATAAAGTTGATTAATTACTGCAACCGACCAGTGGGCACTTAGCTGCAGGATACACTTCATCAAGGTAAAAAATGGAACAGATTCTGAAAATGATCTGCTTCGTCACCTCCCAGTTCAGTAGAGTTGACCCTAAACCAGGCTCAGTCCCCACCACCATCAGCACCTTCTAGTCATAAGAGAGAGGCTCAAGGGGAAAGACCTCCCAAGCTCAGTTTTCTGGGAGAACAAATTAGATACAAATATAGATGGCATAGGCCGGGCGCAGTGGCTGATGCCTGTAATCCCAGCACTTTGGGAGGCCGAGGCGGGCGGATCACCTGAGGTCAGGAGTTCGAGACCAGCCTGGCCAGCATGGTGAAACCCCTTTTCTACTAAGAATAGCAAAAAAATTAGCCATGCATGGTGGCAGGCACCTGTAATCTCTCCTACTGGGGAGGCTTGGGCAGGAGAATTGCTTGAACCCAGGAGGTGAAGATTGCAGTAAGCCGAGATCGCACAGCAGCCTAGGCGACAGTGAGACTCTGTCTCAAAAAAGATAGATAGATAGATAGATAGATAGATAGATAGATAGATAGATAGATAGATAGAGACAGAGAGAGATGGCATAGATAGATATAGACACAGACATAGACCTAGACACAGACATAGATATAGATACAAAAAGGGCCGTGAGAAGCAGGATGGATAACGACCTCTGTTCTCTGCAAACTGGCCAGAGGCAGAGCCTTCTCCCAGCCCAGAGCCACAAGGAGGCTCAGACAACTCCCCACACCCAGAGGTGAAAGGACTTCCTAGGCAGAGTGAGGAAAGGTGATCTGGCCCAGGTCACACAGACAGCACTAAGAGGTGGCAGGCTCCCCTCCAATGGGCAGCTCTGGACTCCCCCCAAGGGACCACCCATTAATGCCCTGCCCCTGAGTGACCTAGGAGGAGGAAGCTGGGTGGGGACCTGGGGGACTTGAGGCCTAAATGAAGTCACACTGCGTTCTTTAAACTGCCCAGCCCCCTTCACAGGCACAGGAGGGATCCTGGTTTCTCACAGCAGAGGCCAGAGTCATGCACGGGTTGGGGGCTGAGGGAGGGCTGGGCGGTGAGTAAATGCACTGGGGAAGGGGAGCTCGGGGCTGATGGGGAATAAACCCACGCCTGGTGAATGAGGGTGCAGGTCCTGAGTGGGCGGGCGGGGGAATGGGAGAGAAGAATGAATGACCGCCCGGGGAACAGGAGACAGAGTGAAGCCCAGGTGTGAGGGAGCTGGGGCTGCCTCCTTCAGTCTACACTGCTGCCCTGCACAAGAGCCACCAGCGTCAACCCTGCCCTGTAGGAGGAGCGTGGGCACAGAGAGGTTAGGCAACATGCCCCACGTCACACAGCTCATGGGGAGAGAGCTGAGATCCCAGCTTCCTGTGTCCCCACAACGTGCCTCCGGCTGCTCCCTGACATCTACCCTGGGCTGGTACCAGGGCCCAGGCTCATCAGGGGACTTGGCCTCATTTATTCCCCAGTTGGCATTTGAAGTGAACTTAATGAGATCCAGCCCTTTATGTCAGAATAAAACCGTGCCAGACCCTTCTAAACTGCCCTAATGTTCCGGTGCTGGGTTTCAGCATCAAATCATTCCATGTGCTCAGGGCTGGGGTTTGGCTGGGCACGGACCTCGTCTGTGTGATGATTGTTTCTGGTGTGTTTTCATTGGTTCCACTTTTCTGCTGCTGCCTGGCTGGTGGGGTCCCAGGAGGCTGGGCAGCTACACTCTCTCCCCAGGCTGATACTGGGCACCAAAGGAGGGTGGAGGGTCTCTGCAGGAGGCTACCTGTGCCTGTTATGGCTCCCAGCGCCCTCACCCCACCATCCTGGATGGTGGCATCCAGGGCCCACTGCCCCCAGACCAGGCCTGCACTTTGCCCCCACATCCTGACACTCCGAGTCTTCAAATGCTCCCAGCTCCCAGGGCTTGGCACAGGCTGTTCCCTGCGCCTGGAATGCCTTTCCCAGATCTTCTCCATCTGGAGAATCCTGCTCATCCCCCAGGCCCAAGGATGGAGGGACAGGAGGGAATTAATATATTTTGCCTTGGCTGTGCCAAGAGCCGTGCTGGGAGGTGAGTGCCCTGCGTGAATCCCAACACAGCCCTGCACCAATCACACAGAGGGGGCTTCATGATCCCATTTCTCAGATGGAGAAACTGAGGCTCTGAGGCATTGAGTGATTTCCCAAAGTTACCTCATGGTCAGCGGCAGGGCTGGGATAACTCTGACCAGCCTTATTTGTCACCTCTGGCCCCAGGCATCCTCTCTACCCCTGAGAACAGGATCATTCCTTCTCCCAGAGCACCACTGAGCTTCCTTCCTGGTGGGCGTTCCTACCTGCCCACCCCTGTCCCTGACCGGCCCCTCCTCCAGAAGAGGAGCAGACTGGACACCTCTTGCTTGTTTGGGTGAACTGAATTGAACTGAAGTGAGCCAAGCAGCCCCATCGGTTCCTGCGTCCTGGTGCCCAACTCTGCCCTAGAGGGAGGCAGACACCTCTGGCCAAGGACCAAGCTGTGCTTGGCTGTGTTAAGCCTCTGTGTGGGTGTCCAGATCACCTTACATATTCAGTTCTTCGTGGGAGGAGGAGCCAGGAGCCAGATTGGTAGGTGGGTCATGTGGAGGCAAATTTAGTCTCAGCACCAGCAGCCTGATCTGCCCAAGAATGGAACAGGTGACCCTGTCAGATGGTGACCTCACCGTCTCTACCAGAGTTCAAACCATTACCCAGGACAGTGAAGAGAGGACTTCCCGCATGACCAGGGGGAACTGGGCTAAGGTCACGTCCTGTGCTAAGATGCTGATTCCACGATATTAGATATCTTCTAATATCACTTCTCCCGATTGTTCTGTGATTCCAGGGGTCTGAGCTGCGTGGGTGAGTCTCCAAGTCTTCCCCAGAGATCCTTTCATTCTGAGAGTCTTGAGTCTGTGAGTCCACAAATGATTCTGTGATCCTGGGATTCTAGGATTCTGTGACAGGGAGCAGATGCTCAGATTCTGTGATTCAAAGCTTTTATGAAAGTGTCTTGGAGCTCATGAAAGAAGCTCTGACTCTGAGATCCCATGTGTGACAGCTGCCATGGAGGGGACTGCAAGATCTGAAAATCCTCCACCCGAGTGTGAGAAGGAAGGTTCCAGGACCCTCTCCTCCTGTTTCAGAATCTGCAGGAGGACGTTGAGCCAAAGATCTCTAAGCTCCTCTCTGCATCAAAATGCAGGGTCCTGGTCACTGACTCCAGATTCCCCCCTCCCATGGCTCACCCCAGTCTCCCCCTCCCAGCACCTCCATGTCTGAGTGGGTTAAACGGGCCCTGAAGCCCCAGGTGGCGAAGCTATGAGCTCAGCCCTTGGCAGATGCATCCCGGCTGAACACACGGCTGCTGCCGGGGTTGCTGTTTTCCCAGCATATTAACTATGAGGAGCGAGACAGGACCTTTGCTGAGTGGAGTTTTCTCGTGACTCTCCCTTGGCATGAGCAGCTTGGGCAGCAGGAGCCAGGAGCCCCTTGTCTTTCATGTCTGTTTATTCTTCTGGTGGACTCGCCCTGCCCCACCATGGAGGTCTTCTCCCATATTTCCCCATTTAATTGGCTGAATTCTCAGTGGGCTCTGAGCAGCAGCTGTCCTGCCAGGGTTAGTTCAGGCTTCTCTGGGAAGAAATTTGATTTCTGGGAAGGAGAGAAATGAGAGAATAGGCATGGAGGGGCTGGAACTCTGGAAGAGACGGGATCAGTACTGAGTCCCCCGGGACATCCCAGGGCAGCCCCCTGCCCACCCATCCCAATCTCAGCTGCTCTCCAGCAGGAAGGTTGGGGTCCAGGGGTGGCCTGTCGCAGAGAGGAAACCAGAGCCCAGAGCCCAGTAGACTTGGCCGTGGGGAGGGCACAAGCCACTCCCCTCTCACACCCTGAGAGGTGGATCTTGTGGTCTCAGCCTATAGTCAAGGACAGGGCAGCTCTGAGAGGCTGTTCAGCTCCCCAGTGGGCGGCCAAGCTGGACTTACACCCAGCCTGCCTAGCCCCAAGCCAGGCCCTCTCCCACATGGCCAGCTGTCCTGCTCAAGGTTCGAGGAGGACACCCTAGTGGGGACTGCCCACAGGATGCTTTGCGAGGATTGGGGTGTCGAGCTCTCAGTCTCTTCCCTACTGAAAGCCATGGGTCACTTCACCCAGAATAACTTCCCTGAGGAGCCAGGCACAGAGTGGCTCATGCTTATAATCCTGGCACTTTGGGAGGCTGAGGTGGGAGGATTGTTTGAGCCCAGGACTTTGAGGATGCAGTGAGCCATGATCACATCAACGCACTACAAGCTGGTCAACAGTGAGACCTTTTCAAAAAAAAAAAAGAAGAAGAAGAAGAAGAAGGAGAAGGAAGAAGGAAGAAGGAAGGAGGAGAAGGAGAAGGAGAATGAGGAAGGAGGAAGGAGGAGAAGGAAGAAGCAGGAGGAGGAGAAGGAGAAGGAAGAAGGAGGAGAAAAGGAGAAGGAGGAAGGAGGAAGCAGGAAGGAGGAGAAGGAGAAGGAAGAAGGAGGAAGAGGAGAAGAAGAAGTAGAAGAAGAAGAAGAGGAAGAGGAGGAAGAGGAGGAGGAAGAAGAAGAAGAGGAAGAGGAGGAAGAGGAGGAGGAGGAAGAAGAAGAAGAGGAAGAGGAAGAAGAAGAAGGAGAAGAAGAAGAAGAAGAAGTCATCCACCCTAAGGATAACAGTGACACTACTAATAACAATAATAATGATCACACCAATCCCCACTACTCTGACTGGGCCGACCCTGTGCCAAGCTCCTTCCAGCACACCACCCTCTTCATCTCATCAACCCTCACTACAACCCTGTGAGCTGCTATGGCTCACCCCACGTCACAGATGAGGAAACTTAAGCTCACAGAGGTGCAGCAACCTGCCCAAGGCCCCTCAGCCCCAGACAGAGCCAGACTGGCCCCGGGTGTCTAACTCTGGAGCTCAGAGGCCTCCTCTGCATCTCCCACACTGGAGAAGCTTCTCTGATACTTTCAGGCGTTTCGCTGTCCCCACCCTCCCCTTATACAATGTTGACTCACACGTCCCTTTAAACTGATTTGAAATGGGGCCCCTGTTTTCCATTTGTCTCACTCTGAGCAACAATATCCATGAAATCAAGGCTTCAATCCACTAATTGCTTGTGGGCTTTTTCCTGATACTATTAAAATACATACATGACTGGGAAACTATGAAATATAAAATGTTTGTGCATGCACAACCCATGCATATCCCAGTGAGTACACCCCACTCCCTGGGCAGCTCCAGTTGCTATTGGAGAAGTGGCAGGATCCAAGAGAAGGCGGCACCCTGGGTGGACATGGCCTGGCCCCTACCAGCCCAGCCCAGCCCAACCCAGCCCAGGGCAAGGCCAGTTCCTCTCCTTCCTGGAGAGGCCCCATCCACACCTGCTGCTCCCAGGCAGGGTCTGGGCAAAGGAAACTCCACGGCAGCTGGAAGGGGCCGGCTGAGCATGGGCCTTGTATGGGAAAGCCCATCAGGGGGATCCAAGGCTGTGATGACCCCAAGGGACCCGAGAATGGGACGCACACTGGGGTACTCACCACGTGCTCCTCCTTCTTCCCAGAGGAAGCCCCAGGCACTGAGGGGCAGGATTCCAGGCTCTGCACCACCCCAGGGAGAGAACCCAAAAGGTGGCTTCTGTTCAGGTGCCAAGGGTCCTACCGCAAACAAAGAGGAAACTGCAAGTGAAAATCTGACAATAAGAAAAGGGAACAGAACCTTCCAGAAAGGCAGCCACATCCAAACGAGCCCTGGCAACAATGGCAGGGTAGGGAACAGGCAGAGAAGCTTCTGGGAAGTAGTAGGGGCTATGGGGAAGGGCATGGGGAGTCCAGACATGGTACCAATCCAGGCAGGGACACCAATCCAAGTCCCCTGAAGAGTACATGGGGGAATGAGAGGTTTTCCACTGGGGAAGAGAAGCATCAGGGGCCTCATGGGGCAGACAGGCCCAGGTTCAAGTCCCAGCCCTTCCCTTTACCACTGCAAGGGCTTGCTCTCTGAGCCTCATTTTCCCCCATCTGGAAGATGGGATCAAATAGTACCTGCGTCCTGAAGCTGTTGTGAAGAACAGCAGTGTTTAGCATGTTCATCTTCAACAGTGAGGGTGCCCAGCCCGTACTCTGCACTTTGCACACATCCCCTTATTTCACAGTCTCCCCTAAGCAAGGAGAATTATTCTTGCCATCTCCCAGGGGAGCAAACTGAGCCCCAGAGCTGCAGTCACATGACCACAGCCACAGGCCATGCCAGGGACAAGGCCCACCACACCAGGAAGGAGGAAGGAGGAGAAGGAGAAGGAAGAAGGAGGAAGAAGGAGAAGGAGGAGGAGGAGGAAGAGGAGGAGGAGGAAGAGGAAGAGGAAGAGTCCATGGTCTCTCCAAGGTGTCTGTGTTGGGGTTCCTCCAACACCTCTGCTCAGTGTCTCTAGTATCCCCCTGCCCCCACCAGGCTGCAGTGACTGGGGCTCACAAACAATTATATTCTGATTTGAGGACAAAGGACTTAGCCATTTGCAAATAGGAACAAGAGAGGATAAGGCACAGGAAGGTGTCTCCTGGGCGTGCCCCTTCTCAGCCCCCACTTCACTCCCAACACACAGGTCTTGGCTGCTGCCCCCCGAATTACAAAGACTCTACACATACAAAGGCCAGGGAAAGTGGAGGTGACCCTCACACAGACACTCCAGAGTCATATGTGGAGGATGGCCCAGCTGGAGAAAGGGGTGTAGCCTTCTCTGACACCACAGACCCATGGTTTGTCCTATGAGCAAGGTCATTGCCTACCTTGGGAGTTTTTGGGAAAAGGAGATTAAAGAGTGAGATGCTACTGATATCCCTCAAGTGACAGGGGTAAAACCAGCTCTCTCTGATCAGGTCTGAGCCAACCCTAGTGCTGAGGACTGAAGGCTCCTCATTTCTGGAGACTCAGAGTCCCCGACACCAGACTCTCCCATACCAGCCCCACGCCTGCCATTCCAGGCCCAGCCTCTTCAAAACACAGCACCCCAAAGCCGAAGGAGCCTTCACACTCACTCCATCCAGTCTCTGGGGCCCATTTCACAGGTAGGAAAACTGAAGCACAGAAAGTGCCACCAGACAGCAGCAAAGAGAGAGTGAACATAACAGAAATTTCTGAGACAACAGGCCTGACTTCAAATTCCAGCTCCCACTTCAGTGCCCAAGGCGGGGTCTCCTTTAACGTCTGGAAAATGTTCATCTCCCACCTCTCTGCATCTAGCCCAGGGTCCTGCACACATTTGTTTGCCTTAGTTCCTCTACCTGCAAAATGGTCTGTAAAAATGGATCACAGCAAAGTTTAAATTAGAAAATCCATGTAAAGCCCCTAGCACATAGTAGGTACCCAAGAAGCAATAGGTGAGACCTTTTCAAAAAAAAAAAAGGAAGAAAGAAGAGGAAGAGGAGGAAAAAGAAGAAGAGGAAGAAGAAGAAGAAGGAGGAGGAGGAGGAGGAGAAGGAGGAGGAGGGGAGGAAGTGGAGGAGGATGGGAGGAGGAGCAGGAGGAGGAGGAGGGAGAAGTGTTTAGCATGCAGCTTCGTCTTGAACAGCGAGGGCACCCGGCCCGTACTCTGCACTTTGCACACATCCCCTCATTTCACAGTCTCCCCCAAGCGAAGAGAATCATTCTCCCCATCTCCCCAAAAAGCAATAGGTGCTTCTTGGGTACCTACTATGTGTTAGGGGCTTACATTCTGAGAGCTCAATAGAGGACCAAGGCTGTCCTGACCCAAATCCCCAGATATTGCATCTCCGTGGGCAGAACAGCCCCTGCCTACACCAGCATACCTGCTGCCAACTGAGCTCTGGTGGCTGAGCTTCCGAGCCACAAGGTAGCTCTGAAGAGGAGGCAGGTGCAGCCTCAGTTAGCAGGAAGCCCCTGAGAAGCTCCTGTCTCCTCCCCTATTAATTGCATTGGCATCTGGAACAGATGGGGTGCTGGGACTTTCCCCCCATCTTTCACAGAACTCTGAACCAGGACATAAGCCATGTAATTAAAAGAAGAGAAATGCAAAATAATCCTCTTAGTGAGACTTAACCATCCTCCCTCCCTTTTAAATCTATTAATGAACTGTAATTGCAAAGACAGACCCTTTATTGAAACCTGGTAATCAATTCACTATGGAGCAAAGAGGTTCCCAAGACCTAAAGATGATAAGAAATGTATATTAATTAGCTTAGTTCTTTATCTGTATAAAAATCAAGCAAACAAAAATATTGGCTGCAAAGCAATTTGCCATCTGCCAATAGACTCTGGCTGCCCTGGGGAGATGCTGGTTTCCTTTTTCCTGAAATTTGTTTATAACTTGCTGTTAATCAAACCTAGAGCAGAGAGATATGTGGAAATTATATGGAGACGACGGATTTCATGAGGACCTTGAGCAGACATGGGAAGAATTGCGACAAACGAGCAGCGGGAACTTGGGTTGCAAGACCCCACGATGCCAGCCCTGCCTTGCTGGGAGCTTGGCAACAGAGCCCTTTCTGAATCAGCCCCTCACAGAGAGAACGTGATCTACAGGATGGCAGGTGCCCGAGGATGGCTGTTCCAGAAGATTCCATATAGGTCGGTCTCCCTAGAAGCAGAGCCTGAGACGGAGATGTGTGGGGATGTGTGGGATTGTGGAGGGCATACCCTCAGGAGAACGGGAGTGACGGAAGCAGCAGAGGGCAGGCAAGAAGCCAGACCAGGGCATGGGCTCAACGCGAGTTCACCCCCAGCCTGAGCCCACGGGGAGCTCTGGAACGTCATCTGTGGCACCACACGGCTCTCCTGCCCTGGGCAGTGAGATAGATTTTTTTGAACCCTGTGTCATTAGCTGAAGGTCACCGTGTGGGGAGAGTTTAACCTCTTAGCCTTTGCAAGGTGAGTCTGCAGTCAGCGCTCTTGAGCTGAGGTTAATACTCACTGCAGCCAGAAAGAATTGGTGCCCTGGTCAGTCAAGAGGATCTGGGTGGGTACCAGCTGTCACGCCTGTTATGGCTTGGGTTGTGTCCTCCAAATATTTATATGTCGAAAGCCTAATCCCTAGCACCTCAGAATGTGGCCTCATTTGGAAATAGGGCCTTTACAAAGAAAGGCAATCAATTTAAAATGAGGTCATTGGGGTGGGCCCCAATTCAATATAACTAGTGTCCTTGTAAAAAGGGGAAACCTGGACGTAGAGACACACATACCAAGAGAATGCCATATGAAGATGGGAGCAGCAATTGGGTAACGCTTCTACAAGCCAAGGGACGCCGAAGATTGCCAGCCATCCATCCCCGAGAAGCTAGGGGAAGACATGGAACGTATTCTTCCTCACAGCCCTCAGAAGGAACTCACATTGCTGGCACCTTAAATGGGGACTTCTAGCCTCCAGAACTATGAGGGAACACAATACATTCTGTCCTTGAAGCCCCTCGGTTTGTGACACATCGTTATGGCAGCTTTAGCAAACTAAAAGCCCATCTGTGACTCCAGCCACCACCAACATCTGCTGATTCTGCCCACCCCACCAGAAGGCTCGCCTCTGATAATAGCCTCCTTATTTCCCTGGAGAAACCCTCTCGGTCCTAAGGGGTCCTGCAGAAATCACCCCACCCCAGATGGAGGGGTAGCCAGAACCCCAGGTCTAGCCAATCAGAGCCTTGCTTCCCCAGCCACAGTGACTGGTTCAGGCATGAGCACATGACCCAATCTGAGCCAATCAGGCTGAATTCCGGCCCTGTCCGTGGAATCAGAGACCACAGGGTGTGAGCGTGGAACCATGGAGCCATCTAGAGGAGAGAGCCTGTCTGTGTGTGAGGCTGGCATGGTGGAGACCAGAGCCAAGAATGGAGACCTGATGATATCATTTAGTTAACCATAAGGCTTTCATTTCCCCCATCATCCTGATTTCTATAAATATATTTCATCCAATGTATAACTAAACTGTTTCAGATCAATTTTGGAACTTATAAATTTAAATACTACAAAAAAATAGGTTGATTCAGACTGCAGTCCAGGGCGATCTTGAATTAGGAAGTGACACTACGTTATTAAACAAAATTATAGCAATCATTTATTAAAGGTGAATTACATACTGTAAGTGCCAGGCATTAATGCATTTGTTTTATATGCATTACCTTAAACCTCACAACCACAACCCTTCCTGTGACGTGAGGCCTATGATTTCCTCATTTTTCAGTTGAAAAAACTTGTGTTACTTTCAACCAGCCATTCCTCTACCCTGATACCAAAAAAGCCAAAGACAGCACACAAAAAGAAAACTACAGACCAATATCCCTTGTTTCTTTCTTCTGCCTTCCTGTGGGTTATGTGAATAGTTTTTTTAGACTTCAATTTTGACTTATCTATACTGGTTTTGAGTATATCTCTTTGTATAGTGTCTATAGTGGTTACTGTCAGTTACATTACATTAATATATAGATAATTTATCACAGTCTACTAGTGTCATCATTTTGCCAGTTTGAGGGAAGTATAGAAAGCTTGCCTCCCTTTACCCTCCTCGTTAATAATATAAATTTCTTAACTATTTCTTCTATATACATTTAGAACCACATCAGAAAGTGCTATAATTTTTTTCAACCATCAAATACAATTTAGAAAACTTAAGAGGAGAGTAAAAGTTCATTATATTTACCCATACTTTTGCTTACTGTGTTCTTTCTTCTTCCTGGTGTTCTATGATTCCTTCTTTTACTGTTTCTTCTCCATTTAGAGAGTGTTTTAGCCATTCTTTTAGGGTACGTTTCTGTTAGCAACAAATTATCTTAGTTTTTCTTCATCTGAAAATGTCAATTTCCCCTTCATTTATGAAGGGTATTTTCCCTGAATATAGGATTCTGGGTTGACAGTTCTTTTCTTTCAGCACTTGAAAAAAATGTTGAGCCACTTCCCTCTAGCCTCCATGGTTTCTGATGAGAAATCCTTTTTTGTTCTAATATTTTTCCCCTGCAGAGAGGTTGTCATTTCTCCCTCACTGCTTTCAAGATATTTTCTTTGTCTTTAATTTTAAAAATTTTGACTATGATGTGTCTTGGTGTGAATATCTTTTGAGATTATCCTGTTTGGAGTTCACTCAGCTTCTTGAATCCGTAGGTTTGTGTCTTTTGCCAAATTTAGGAAGTTTTCAGCCATTATTTCTCTGAGTCTTTTTTCAGCCCCCACCTCCTTTTTTTTCTCTTCCTGGGATTCTGATGACATAAGTGTTAGATCTCTAGTTATAGTCCCATAGGTCCCTGGTGCTCTGTTCTTTTTTTCTCCCAGTATATTTTCTTTCTGTGGTTCAGATTGAGTAATTTATATTGTTCTGTATCCAAGATTACTGACTCTTTCCTCTGTCTCCTCCATTTGACTATTGAACCCATTCGTTAACTTTCGTTGTTTTCATTTTTGTTATTTATGGCACAGGGTATAGTCTTACCTTAGTGACTGTTCCGTGGGCACTTGAAAATAGATGTGTGTTCTTCTGTTTGGGGTAAAGTGTTCTGTATATGTCAATTAGACCCTCTTGATCAGGGATCCCCAACCCCTGGGCTGCAGACCGGTGTCGGTCTGTGGCCTATTAGGAACCAGGCTGCACAGCAGGAGGTGAGCATTAGGTGGGCAGGAATTACTGCCTGAGCCCCACCTCTTGCCAGATCAGCAGCAACATTAGATTCTCCTAGAAGTGCAAACTCTATTGTAAACTGTGCATGCGACGGATCTAGGTTGCCTGCTCCTTATGAAAATCTAACTAACACCTGATGATCTGAGATGAAACAGTTTCATCCCCAAACTATTCTCCCCACTACCCCATGTCCGTGGAAAAATTGTCTTCCACGAAACCAGTCCCTGGTGCCAGAATGGTTAGGAACCACTGCTCTTGATCGTGTTGTTCCGATCTAAAGCTTTACTGATGATCTATTAGTTTTATCAATTGCTGAGAATAGCATATTGAAATCTCCAGCTACATTTTTTGATTTGTCTGTTACTCTGTTCAGCTTTATCAGTTTTGCTTCATGTATTTTGAGACGCTAGTATTTAATGCATACACACTTAGGATTGTTATGTCTTCTTGGTAAATGAATCCTTTTATCATTAGGTAATGTTCCTCTTTCTCTCTAGCAATTTTCTTTGTTCTGAAGTCTGCTTTATCTGATATTAATATAGCCACTCTTTCTTTTCTTATCAACATTTTTATGGTGTATCTCTTTCCATTCTTTCCATTTCAACCTACCTATGTTGTTGTATTTGCAGTGAATTACTTGAATGCAGCATGTTGTTGGATTGTATGAGGTTCTGTTGTAGTTATTGTTGCTGTGGGTTTTTTTTTGTTTTTTTTTGCTTGTTTTAATCCACTCTGCCAATCTCTGTCTTTTAATTGATGCATTGAGACAATTTGCATTTAATTGTTGATATGTTAGAGCTTAAGTCTGCTGTTTTATTTTTTGTTTTCTATTTGTTTTCTTTGTTTCTTATTCCTCTGGATCTCTCTTGGTATCTTCTTGTGGGTTACCTAAACATTTTTTAGGATTCTGTATTGATTTTTTATAGTGTTTTTGAGAATACAAGAATATCACTTTCTATAATTTTCTTAGTGTTTTCTCTAAATATCACAAAATATATACATAACTCATCCTGTTCTACTGGTGTTGATGTTTTAACACTGGGAACAAAGCATAGGCCCCTTACTCCTGTTCAGATCTCTTTACACACTTTATGAGGATAATCATAAACTACTTCCTTTACATCCATTATACACCACATTAGATGGTTTTTAATTTTTGCTTCAACCAGCAAATAGGATTTAAGAAACTCCTAAGAAAAAGGATAGTCTACTCTGTTTATCCCCACCCATTCTTAGAGTCTTCATTCTTTCTGAAATTCCTAGCTTTCCTCCATTATCATGTCCTTTATGTTCACAGAACTTCCTTTAGCTATTCTTTAAGGGTATATCTGCTAGCAACAAATTCTCTTAGTTTTTCTTCATCTGAGAATGCCTTTATTTTCCCCTTAATATTTTCACCAGATATAGAATGTGCTATTGACAGTTCTTTTCTCTCTGTACCTGAAAACTGTTGTGCCACTTAATTTGAGCCTCCTTGGTATCAAAAGAGACATCGGCTGTCATTCAAATTGGTGTAACTTAGAAGTAACATGTAGTTTCTTTCTGACTGTGTTTAAGATGTTTCATTGTCTTTAGTTTTCAGGTGTTTAATTATGATGTGGCTTCACATGAATTTCTTTATTTTTCAGACAGGGTCTCACTCTGTCACCTGGGCTGGAGTGCAGTGGCACACACACAGCTCACTGTAGCCTCGATCTCCCAGACTCAAGCAATCCTCCCACCTCAGTCTCCCAAAAAGCTGAGACTACAGGCATGGCTGTACATGGGACTACAAGCTGGTGCCACCATGCTTGGCTAATTTTTGTGTTTTTTTAAAGAGATGGGGTTTCAGCATGTTGTCCAGGCTGGTCTCAAACTCCTGCAGTCAAGCAGTTCACCTGCCTCAGCCTCCAAAAGTGCTGGAATTACAAGCATTAGCCACCACACCGGGCCGACATGAATTTCTTTGGATTTATACTACTTAACGGTTTATTCAGCTTCTTGAATCGTTAGGTATATGTCCTTCTCTAAATTGGGGGAGTATTAGCCATTATTTCTTCAAATACTTTTTCAGTCCCACTCTCCTCGCCTTCTGAGACTCCAATAATAAGACTGAGAGCTATTGTGCTGATGTCCACAGGTCTCTGAGACTTTCTGTTTTATTTTTAGGTCTATTTTCTCTCTGTTCTTCAGGCTGGGTAAATTCTATTGATCTTTCCTCAAGTTCACTGGTTCCATCCTCCATCATCTCCACTGTTGAGCCATTCATTGAGTTTTTTATTTGGTCATTGTATATTTCAGAACCATCATTTCCATTTTGTTCTTTTTTATTACTTCTATTTCTTTGCTGAAATGTTTTATTTTTCACTTGTTTCAAGATCATCCATAATTGCTTATTGAATCATTTTTATGATGGCTGCTTTAGAGTCCTTGTTAGATCATTTCAACATGTGATTCATCTCAATGTTGGCATCTGTTGATTATCTTTTCTCATTCAAGTTGTGATTTTCCTATTCTTGGTATGATAAGTGATTATTTTTCTATTGTATTCTGAGCATTTTGAATATTGTAAGACTCTAGATTCTTTTTTTTTTCCCACAGTTTTAATGAGAGGGCCAGATGGATATGTGTGTTCTGCTCCCCTTGGGCCTGCCTGCAAAGATGGGGTCAGCTCTACTCCCCTGTTGCCTCTGAATGGAGGTGTTAAGCTCAGCTTCCCACCATGCCCTACTGACACCAGGGGTGGAGGGAGGTGAGGGCTGACTCACATCACTTTATTGCTGCAGGGTAGAAGCAGAAACTCAGCTTCCCACTGGGCCCTACTGACACCAGGAGAGGGACGGGAAGGAAGCAGAGTGCCAACCAGCCCTACTTCCTATCACCTTGTTCTGCTTTATGGATGCCAGATTAGGGTGCAGGCAGTTTCTCTCTGGACACACTGATGATTGCCAGTTGGATGAGGTTGAAAGTGTCAAGTGTAAATAGCCCCACAGTGCATTACCCCCTTAAGTCTCACTGCTGCCAGGTGGAAGTGGAGGTTCAGCTCATGGCTGGTCCTGCTGACACCACCCTGGCAGGGGAGTCAGAGCATCTATGTCTGCTACATGCAGCGGAAGTGGGGATGGATGGAACATCAGCTTCCTGCTCGATCCTGCTCAAATTGCAGGGCAGAAGGAGTGGGAGAAGAGCAGCTTTTCTGTTGGTATTGGAGTAGGGCAGGATTTGACAAAAATATTTCCTCCTTTGGCTTCCCTTTTCCCAGTCCTCTGCGTAGAGCAACAGGTTTTTCTTGGTGCTTTTTAGGTCTGTGTCTGTTGGCCATTCTGGGTTGGGGGCTTATGCAGCACTCTGTCCTAGGATATAAGGGAAGCAATAGGGAAAGGCAGAGAGCTTGCCACCGTGCCATTCCTCACATTCTGAGCATCTAGACAGTCTGCTTTCCTCTGTCCTTCAGCCTTCCTGTGCCTACTGCTGGGTTATGTCCATGGCTTTTTAGTTGTCATGGGGAAGACCTGAAAGGACTATGGAGACTCTATCTTGGAGGAAATGAAAGCCCCATCCTTTCAATATTTTAATGCTACTCTTAGACAGAAATAGGGATGCCCTCCCTAACCCCCACAATAGGTGAGGGCCCCATTACCTGTTTCCATGGCAACCCATGTGCTTCCTGTGTGGCACAACCAGTTGTTTTTTTCATAGTTATGTGTGTGTGTGTGTGTGTGTGTGTGTGTGTGTGTGTGTGTGTGTGTGTGTGTGTTTCCTGGCTAATATTGGTCCTCATGATCCCTTTTCTTTTTATTTTTTTCTCGTTTTTTCTTTTCATCCTTCTAATCAATGGAAACTAAAGTTCTCATCATTACTCATCAACAGGACCCACAAGGACCCAAGAACAGGGACATGTCCTGCTCGCTGCTGTATCCTCTGTGCACAGCACAGAGCCTAAAAAGGAAACTGTGAGATGGACTAAAAGCACCAGCGCTGGGAGGCAGAGCTCCTTTAGATCCCAGAGGGCCTTACTGAGGTGGTGACATTTAGGCTGATATTAGAAAGACAAAACAACAGAGCCAGGCAGGTGACACTCAGAGCCTCCCTGACAGAGGGGACGTCAAGTGACCAAGACCCACAGTGGAGATGAGTTTGGTGCATTTCCAGAGGAGCAAGGAGGTCAGCAGGTGTAGAGAGAGGCAAGGCAGCAGACCACAAGGGTCAACGTCTGCCAGCGTAGGAGGGCGATGGGAAGCCAGGAGGTGACATGGCCTGACTTGGGTTTGGGGAAGAGCTTCTGTCTGATGT
This sequence comes from Homo sapiens, assembly GCF_000001405.40. Classification (NCBI taxonomy): domain Eukaryota; kingdom Metazoa; phylum Chordata; class Mammalia; order Primates; family Hominidae; genus Homo; species Homo sapiens. The sequence continues at coordinate 29,507,360 of NC_000001.11, read as the reverse complement.
GATCTGTGTGATCTGCATGGGCTGCAACAGGCACCCAGGGAGGAGGCTGCTGAAATGCTGAGGAGAGATGGAGTGGGGACCCTGAGTCAGGTTAGGGAAGATGTTAAGGGGTAGTTGGATTTGGGAAGTCACCACCTGCAGAGGGTGAGGGGTAATAATGGGGCAGGGTTCGGAAAGCCCCAGGCACACAGTAGCGGCCCCTCCACCCCGCCCAAGTAGAATCTGATTTCTCCCATCTCAGCTCAGGGCTTTCACCCTGCCCCAGGGTCCTCTGCAGAAAACAGGGTCTGCACCAGCTGCTCCAGCTCTGAAGGGGACAGTGTCAGCTGGCCTCTTGCAGAAGCAGACGTTCCTGCATGTTTTGCCTGTGACTTCTCACCACAGGTTTATTGGAGCCTGTCTCAGCACGCACTGGGGGCCCCTATGGAAGCATCTCCTCCAAAGCCTCACCTGCTAAATCCGGACCATTTCACTTCAAGCCAACCTGCCTACCAGAAATCTGCCATGCATCCAGGGGCTGTATACGGGATCCTGTCCTGAAAGCACAAGGGGAGCCCATTGCTTTCAAGACGCGTTCCAAGTCTCGAATCCCCACCGAGAATCTCACAAAGGCAAGAGTGTTAGCACTGGAACTCTAGGCATCCTCCCCTCCAGCCCCTGCACCTTACAGATGGGGACGCTGAGGCTAAAGAGGTCGAAGGCCCTGAGGCCCTGCTGCAATCATTAAGGGGAGTGCTTCGGGGTCAGGTAGATCTTGGATTCACGTTCTAACTCTACCACCTCATTGCTGAGAGCTCAGGTAAGTGACTTTCCCACTCTCAGTTTCCTCATCTATAAAATGTGGACAATAGTAATAGCCAACCCTTAAACTGTGTCTGACATTATTTTAAGCCCTTTATGTATATTCACTCTTTAAATTCTCAAAACAGCTCCATGAGATGGATAATATCATTACCTCCATTTTACATGGGAAAGTAAGGCACCCAGAGCTTAGGTAACTTGATAAAGATCACCCAGCCAATAAATGCAGAGCCAGATCCAAATCCACCTGGCCTTCAAGTCTTTCTTCCCAGCCCAACCCCACCCTGTCTCCAATATGTCCTTGAAGGTCATCTTACGTTAATTAATATATGTCTGTAAAGGGCTGAGCACAGTCTTGGCACACAGTCAGCACTCAATAAATGTTGACTAAGGTGTCAGGTGCCACCCTGCACTCTAGGGAAACAGAGTGGCCAGATGCAGAGTCAGCTCTCAAGGGGCTTCCGATCCCATGGGAAGGACAGAGGAGTGAATTGTCACTTACAGTGCAGACAGCAGAGCTGGGACTGGAGAAGTTCAGGGAGGCACAGGAGCTCGGGGAGGGGAAGTGGAGGTGACAGAAGAGGAAACAGCACGTACAAAGGTGAGGCAGGCCCGGGGACCCAGAGAGGAGCAGCAGGAGCCACTGTAGGTCCCAGAGGTCTAGGAAGGGACACAGTGAGTGGTGAAGGAGTTTTTCAGGGTCGCTGTAGAGCAGGACAGGGATTAGATGGGGAGAGGGCGGAGCCCGGAGTCAGAGGCTGGTGGGCAGCTGCCAGGGTTGGGGCTGAGCTCACATCCAGGTCCTCACTTCCTTACACTCCATGGGCTTGGGGGGCTTTCATAAGGACAGTAGGGGGCCCCCCTCACCTCCCTCTTATGGCGTGCTCTAGATTGGAAAGAGCAATTCTATGGGCAGATGCTGGCACCCCCGACCTCCTCCCGCTTCTCCCTACCCCATCCCCTCTCTCCCTGAAGATGTTCCCACACAGTAGCACAGTACATGATGAAGCACCCTCATTCCTGACAGCTCCAGCTTCAGGGGGCTGGGCTGGGGGAGCACTCAGGAGAGACACTGGACAGGGGCGGGGTGGGTGGAGCGGCAGAGCCTAGACAACACCACTGTCTTCATGGCACTCTACTGTGTCCTGAGTTTGGCGCAGCAGGTCAGTATACAGCTTAGCAAGCATTTTTCATTGTGTTTACTCACCCATGGTCCCATTTGATCTTGACAACAACCTGTGGCACTGTATTAGCACTGACCCCATTTTAGGCCATGGATATGGGCACAGAGAGGGAAAATGACTTTCTCAAGGTCAGACAGCTGGGAGATGGCAGAGCTGGGATGATCTTTGTCTCTGCCATGTGATGATACATACAGCAAGAAGGCGGCCATCCGCCAACCAGGAAGAGAGCCTCCTCAGATACAGAGTTGGCTGACACCTTGATTTTGAGGTTCCCGGCCTCCTGAACCGTGAGAAGTAAATGTCTGTAGTTTAAACCCCCCAGTCAATGGTATTTGTTATAGCAGCCTGAACTGACCAAGATATACACTGACCCCACACAATCACACACACTTGCTCACATGCACACACCCCACATGCTCACATCCCACACACCCTTTGTACGCTCAACAAATGTGGGTTGCTTTTCTAAGACCAGGTTTGCATCCCAGCTCTGCCACCTCCCACACACCAATTTCCACTGACCACCCGGGGGTCCTGTGGGCAAGAGTCAGGAGTATAGTAAGGGCTTTCTGGGGGAAAGCAGCACAGCCTCAAGAAGAGAGGAGACCCTTGCTGTGTGACCTTGGGCATCTCCCGTCACCTCTCTGAGCCTTTCTTTCCCTACCTGCAAAATGGGGATCATTCCAAATTAAGATGCACTTTATTCATAGCTAGCTAATTTTCATTATTATTGCTTCTGGGTGGTAGCTGGGTCTGAGGACAGCCTGACCTCAGCCTGGAGAAAGGAAGACTGAAAAGGGCCTGGGCTAGAGACAGGAATGAGCCCATGTGGCCCAAATCCCGGGACACTGGGGTGACTCCCTGCAACTTGTAAGCTCGAAAGAAACAGCTCAAGAGGAAAGCAAAGGCATTTCTGCTTCCCAGAGCAGAGGCTGTCAGTATGGGATGTCACATGCAGAGACGTGACCAAGGCCAACACTGGAAATATTTAAATGTGTAAGCATTCAATTATTTACTCTGGGCTTTGTTCCACAGAGGATTTGGAAGAGCATGCAGCAAAAGGCCATTCAATAAAGAGAAAAAATAAACAGAAACACAGACATCAGAACCGAGGAACACAAATCAGAGTGGGCATGGAGACCCAGAGACAACAGGGCTCCAGTTGGCTGCCCAGAGGCAGGAGGGAACTCCACGCATTCCTGGTGACCTGGAGGGAAGGGCACAAGGTCAACCCTTCCAGAATTTTCTAAGCCTTTCTGCTATTTTTTTTTTAGCTCAAAGCAAAGGTTGCAGCTTCTGAGTTGTTTCGGCTTCTGAAGGAGCCCTGGTTGTGGGAGCTCCCACATGCAGAGTCAGGGGCGAGGTAGTATTAGGCACCCTCAACCCTTTGCCCCCGGAGATAATTCCAGGTGAGGGACGGAACCCCAGCCCATCTCTTGTCACCTGTGCTGAGTTCCCTGCAGCCTCCTCACACCCTGCAGTAGGTGATTGGGTAATTTTAACACTTCGCATTGTTTCTCTTCCCCAGGCTGAGAGCTCTGTGAAGTAGGAAAGGTTCTGGATTATAGGCTGTGTGGACCCAGTGTCTGACAGCTGCTCAGTCAACACAAGTCAATGGATGGGCAGGAGCCGATGACTTCGGTTCAATTCAACACACTTTGATTAGACAGCTGCTCTGAGCCACCTGGGATAGAGCAATTCACAGCCTGGGCCTGGAGTCCTGTTTCACTGGAGAGGGCAAGTTCAGGAGAGGGAGGAGGGGGAATGAACTAGTGTTCATAGTGCACCTGCTGTGGGCATGCTTACCATTATTCATGTTTCACAGCAGCCCCTGATGGGCAGAATAATAAATAGCCATGTTTTTCAGAGGAGGAAACGCTGGGTTCAGAGGAGCAAAATTCTTTCATTCATTTATCAGCTAACTCAACAAATATTTATAGAGTCTGTACAATGGTCCAGGCACTGTCCTGGGTACCGAGGATCCGGGCTGGGAAAACAGGCAGGCATTCTGCTCTTGCATAGCTCATAGGCTGGAGAGGAGAGCGGTATTAAACAAGAAAGAACACAGATGAATGGATGATTACCAATTGAGGTAAGTGCTGGAAAGGAAAAGAGCAGGAGGCCAGAAGTGAGGACAACAGAGGGAGATTCATTTGGTGGGTGGAAGGGGGGAATCAAGAAAGGTTCTGCTGAGACTGAAGGCACAAAGAGAAGAGAGAGAAAATGCAGGTATAGACGACTCCGTGTGCAACGGCCCCAAGATGGGGAAACACAAGTGCTGTGTGGCTGGAGCAGAGAGGAGCAGCGAGGTACAGGGGCTGGACCATGTTGGGGCCACCCGAGCCAGAGGAAAGCCTGTGGACTGCATTCAAAGAGCGCCAGGAATCCAGTGAAGGGTTTTAGGCAAGGGAAGAAAAGTAGGATCTGAGTTTATCTTTTATAAAAATAACTTCTATATTGTTCAAGGCAGAGCTAGGACTGACTCAGGTCTGCCAAATCTCCATACATCTGTCCAGCCCACCACATCATGCTATGTCATTCATCCACCCCACCCCCACCCAAACCTCTGCCACCAGCTCCAGCACCCTGGATCCTCTCCTTCTCTCCCTGGGTTGGAGATGTGCTGAGTGACCTGGGGCCAATCTCCTGCCCTTGCTGGCCTCAGTCTTCCACTCTCATCCCCTCAATCTATAGAGTTTCCTGTGAAAGGCCATGCTCTGGAATTCCTGCTGATGGCATGATGTGGGGGGCAAGTGAATGAAGGACCCTGAAACAAGCCTAGGCAGGGCCTCAGGAGGGGGCACAGAGGAGGTTCAGGGGCCAGAGTCTTGGGACAGGCATCCAGAGGCCTAGGGCCTCTGCCACTGACCTCCAGAGAGGCCTGGGGCAGCCCATGACTCCCCATGACTCAGCTTCCCCATCTGCGAAATGGGAATCAGCTTGCTGTACACTGTGGGTGACGTAAACCAAAAATAAACCACATCAGTAATCCCAGCACTTTGGGAGGCTGAAGGAGGGGATCACTTGAGCCTAGGAGTTCGAGACCAGCCTGGGCAACATGTCAAAACCTCATCTCTACAAAAAATACAAAAAGTTAGCTGGGCATGCTGACACACACCTGTAGTCCCAGCTACTCAAGAGGCTGAGGCAGGAGGATCACCTGAGCCTGGGAGGTCAAGGCTGCAGTAAGCCATGATTACGCCACTGCATTCCAGCCTGGGTGACAGAATGAGACCCTGTTTCAAAAAATAAAATAAAATAAAAATTAAGAAGTTTTCTAAGCATAGTGGTGCACACTTGAAGTCCCAGTTACTTGGGATGCTGAGGTGGAAAGACAGCTTGAGCCAGGAGGCTGCAGTGATCTGTGATCATGCCACTGCTCTCCAGCCTGGGTGACAGAGCAAGACTGTGTCTCAAAATAAAAATAAAGTAAAATAAAATTCTAAGCCCCCCAACCTACTAAATGGACCCTCCTCTCAGCCAAGGGGATTTCAAAGAAACCTAAAAAACTAGTTAATGCCATGATGGAACGGGAGGGTCAGACATGCCTCATTATTCCCACCTCCCTTCGGAATTCAGCACAGCTGGCCAGCATTAACATTAAAATAGAGATCTTAAGGCTTACAAAACAGACTCTTTGTAGCAATAAAATATCGAATTCCAAACGGACTCTAGTGTAGCATCACATGACAGATAACAGACACTGAAAGAAATCAAAATATTTTACCCCAAAATATATTTCTTTGACATATTTTTAAATGGCCCTGCAATGCTTCTCTTGTGAGGGAAATTTACATTCTGTAGAGAATTCCTTTCCCTTTCCAGGTCTTTTTCTGATCCCGAAGAGATTAGCTTCGAGTCTAACTCCTTTTAAAGGTCTGAATAGAAAACATTTGCCATCTACTGCCTCTAAGGGTGGCCACCTAAGAGACTTCATCTACATAATAAGAACCTTGGTCTCCACAACTCCTTATCTTAAGCCAGACACTCCTTTCTATTGATTCCAGTTCTTTAGATAATAACTTAACTCATTCAACCAATTGCCCAATTGCAAATCAGAAAATCTGCGAATCCACCTATGACCTCCCCGCCTTTGAGTTGTCCCACCTTTCCAGACTGAACCAATGTATACCTCACATGTATTGATGTCTTAAGTCTCCCTAAAACATAAAACCAAGGTATAACCCAACCACCTTGGGCACATGTTCTCAAGACCTTTCCAGACTGTGCTTCAGGCCATGGTCATTCAAATTTGGCTCAGAATAAACCTCTTTAAAAATATTTTACAGAGGTTGACTATTTTCATTGACAGTGCTTTCTGGTAGCATAGGGCTTCTGACCCAAGTTGTGTTCCAGGAGCCCCTGGAAGGGATGGCATGGCTCCTTTAGTGGATCCCACAGCCAGGGGCAGTCAGGGTGGGTGAGGGCAGGCCCGAGGTTTATCCTGGGTGTCCAAGTGGAGTCATCTCCACTCTGCCCACTCTCTGTCCCCACCCAGGTGGAGGTGCAGGCAAAGGGCTGACCTCTCAGGGGCAGAGAGGCCTGCAGGGAGGGAAAGCGGAAGGCTGTCTGCAGGGGTGACAGCAGCCCTAGGTGAGCACAGTTACCCTCGAGTGTGAGTGTGTGGGTCGGGGGGTGTTAAGTGTGTGTGTGTTTGTGAATGTATGTCTGCATGTGTGTCAGTGTGTTTGAATACATGTGTATGCATGTCTGCACCTGTGCGTGTCTGCATTTGTCAGTGCATATGAGTGTGTGTCAGTGTGTGCTTTTCTGTGTATGAGTGCATCTGAGTGTATATCTACATGTGTGTCTGTTTATGTAAGTATTTATTTCTGTGTATACATGTGTATATGACTCTGTGTGGAAGCTCTGTGACCCCCCAGGCCCTTTCCCGCACCTCCTCCTCACTCCTACAGTAGGCTTGCAGAAGGTTCCAGAAGGGCCTTGGGTGCTGGTCCTTAATGTCTGAGCCCAGCTAGTCCTTGGGAGATCAGGAAGGTCTTTCTGACCTGTCCAGTCCCCGGTCAGCCCCCACCCCAGCACAGGAAGCACCCAGGCCCCACCCTCCTGCGTGGGCATTGCCTCAGCCCGGCCTTGGTGGACGGACCTCGGACACGACTGTGCTGTTCTCTCTTTGCACACTGCTGGGAGAGACCACTATGCCTACTCCTACTACCCGTAAGTAGTTCCACCTGGCCTGGGAGTCCACAGCCCCACCTAGGGGGAGATCTCCCACCCCCGCTCTCTCTGGCTGGGCTTGGGCTCGCTGCACCTGGCCTGGTGTCTGCCCTGTTCTCCATGGCCACCTCAGCCTCTGACTTTCTCTCCTCTGCTCTGTCCCTCCCCTCTGCCTCTTCCTCCTCAAGTCATGGTCATCAGTGCTGGAGCTGACTCTGCTGAGTAGCCCTGGGCAACTCACCTCTCCTCCCTCAGTCTCAATGTCCTTTCCACCACAGGGGCAGTCCCTTATGTCCTTGAACCATTCCCTGTGGTCAGGAGGACGTCCTGCAGAGCACAGTGGCTCAAGCCTGTAATCCCAGCACTTTGGGAGGCCAAGGCAGGCAGATTGCTTGAGCCCAGGAGTTTGAGACCAGCCTGGGTAACATGGCAAAACCCCGTATATACAAAAAAATAGAAAAATTAGCCAGGCGTGATGGTGCATGCCTGTAGTCCCAGCTACTCAGGAGGCTGAGGTGGGAGGATCACCTGAGCTCAGAAGGTTGAGGCTGTAATGAGCTGTGTTCTGGCCACTGCACTCCATCCTGGGCAACACAGCAAGACCGTCTCAAAAAAAATGAAAAACGAAGGACGTTCTCACCACCTACCAAATCCACATCCAGGACCATCCTTACACAGGTCCCACTCTAGAGTCCATGCCTGTGTGCACGTGTGTGCTTGCATGCACGAGGGCAGGGTGGACCTGTCCCGACACTGGCAGCTCTGTTCACAACACAGACGACTCTCAGATCCCCCATGAGCCCCTTCTCCAGCCAGGCAGCCCCAGCTCTGCAGACCCACCACTTCCTGGGCACCTCCTCTGGGCCAAGCCCTGTGCTCAGTTCTGGACCCAGAATCCTCATGACAGCCCTGACAATAGGAGCTCTTATCACTCCCACTTTACTGATGAGGAAACTGAGGCTCAGAGAGGCCAAGGGACTTGTGGGAGGTCGCAGAATGTGCCAGAGCTGGGACACATCCCAGGCCCCTGCTGACTCCACAGCCTGCCGATGCTACTCTGTCTTCTGTCTCTGTCTTCTCCTAATCTGCAAGCCTTCCAGAACATTCCTCCCACATCAGTGCTGGTTTTCCCTACTTCGCAGAGCAGGCCCAGATGGAACTGGGCTAGCCCCCAAGGATGGCAGGTCTCTCACCTCCTCCTCCCTGGACTGCTCCTTACCTTGCTGTTTCCCGACATGAGCTTTTGCAGCAACTCAACACCCAGTGACTCACACTGAGCCTCCAGCTCAGCTCCTGCAGGGGCTGTGGACAGGCAGCTCTCCCTCCCTGCTGCTTGTGCGGTTAGTTTTCAAAACCAGATGCAGAACTTTTCAAAGAACCTGTATTAAATTCCATCTGCTTAATCTCGCATTGAGCTCAGCCCGACGCCAACAGCGTTAGGTGTCCCTCCCAGGTTCCATCTTCTGGGGATCGGGTTGGTTTGTTTCTGTAGCTCTTCTTCCAGGTAGGCCAGGAGTCCTGGGCTGGGAACAGAACCTGTGGCACACCCCTGGAGAACGCCCTCTAGGCCAGCATCTGCTCACTGACGGGTCCTCTCTTGCCTCCATGTTCAGACAGCCTGGCTGGCTGTCCTCTGTCCATGGCCCTGTCTGTCCTCCCTACAGCTTTTTGTGTCTGGCCTGTCCCTCCCTCTCTCTCTGTCCCCTTCCCCATCTCTCTCTCTCTCCTTGTTATTGTCCTTTTCTCTCTTCTCCTCCCCTTCTCCTTCTCTGTCTGCCCCTGATCCTTTCCCCACTCAAGGTGGTCAAGGTCACAGCCACAGAGGCTGCTCCTCATCTGCCCCCAAAGGGTGCTTTGGCTCCGCCCTGGGCCACAGTGAGGGCGATGCCCAGAGCCTGGCAGGGACCAAAGGTAAGAGGCCTGGGCCTGGCGAGCCCTCTCCCATCCAGGCTGGGAAGGCTGTGCCCTCCTCAGTGCCCAACAGCAGTGGTCCCAGTGGGGACACAGAGCCATCTCCTTATCGCAGGAAGGACAACCTGGTCCTAGCAGGAGAGGCATCCAGAGGTCATCCTGTCCTTCCCTTGCCCCAGGACAGGCTGGCTAAAGTTTGTCTAGGAAGATTCTTTCATTGGCCTCCCTGTCCCCATGGATGGTAAGTGTCCCTGAGCCCGCATAACCTGGAAGTCCTTTCTCAGGTCTACCCTGCATCCTGCATGCTCTAGGGCCGAACAGGTGAACAGCTCTCTCCTCTGGAGCCTCCCCTGTGACTGGGCCGCTCGGGCTCATCTCCAGCCTTGACAAGAGTCCCAAGTTGTTTCCCCTGTGCCTGTTTCTTGGACCCTTGATCATGGAGCTGTCTCCTACCTCTCCACCTCCTTCTCTCCCTCCCAGTTTCCTCCAAGTTTTTCCAGGATCACAAACTGCTGTCCTCATGCATGAAACTGGGCCTGGAAGCCTGGGCCATGCAGGGCCCTTGCCTAGAAGCCACTCCAGAAGCTCTGTCCCTCCAGTGGAGGGACTGGGGCCTCTCACCTTCTTCCCCTGCTACTTGGTCTTAACTGGGGATGGGGGCTGGATGGGCTGATTGGGGCTGGCGGGAAGATGGACCCTGGGTGGATTTCTGTTCCATATCCTTTGTAGCTGGCGATGGGCCCAGGCCTGGTGGCTTCTTGGAGAAATGCGCACAGAACTGAAAGGCCCAGGTTGGAGCTCAGCCTCCGCCTACAAGAAACTCCCCACCAACCGGGCTATTGCCAGACCTCGGTCACTAAGAAGGAGGGAGGATGGCTTCACACAGCCCATTCCCACAGCTAGAGAAAATCAACTTGACTGTAGGTCTTTGGAATGGATGACGGGGAAGGGGATGGAGGTGGGGACACACTGTGGCTGGAGCCAGGCCAGCTACCTTCCCAGTTTGGGATGCAGTGGAGGCAGAGGAATTGTCTGCTGTGACACCAAAGTAGGCCTGGAGAGGCTTTCCTTCCCATTTTCTGAGCCCATGGGGCCAGTGAGACCTAGAAGCAGGATCCCAGCCTGAGGTCACTGCTGCTCCATGCCTTGCCCTCAGCAAAGGTCCCCAGGACAGGCACCCTGCCAGCCCCATTTTGGGGAGGCAGCAGCTCTCTGGGTTTGATGAGTGAAGGTTGGAGGCGGAGCCCTTCAGCATCCAGAGATGCTTCCAGGACAGCTGCTGGCTCCAGGCCTCAAGACCCTTGACTTTGGGGCCTCTCCACCCACCTCTGAGCACTGTCCGGCCCCACACAGCACCTATGTCTCCCATCAACCCCCGACCCCCACCCCGCAGGAAGCCGATGAACGAGACCAAGGCCACTGTCAACTACTGCCAGGAGAGGACCCACATGATGAGCACCATGGACCAGAGCTTCACAGACCAGAGCCCCCTGCAGGAGGAGGAGTGGCTGGGCCTGTCCTTCATAGACACTCACGGCTATAGCTCCCAGTGTGAGTACCCGGCCCTCCTGTCCCTTCCTTATTGTTCTGGGGCTCCTGACCCAAGCCAAAAGGATCAAGCCCCTCTGGGGCACTCCCCACATTGGGTGAGTTCTGTAACACCATGAATCAAAATTGAAGCATCTATTCTGCCCCTTCTGGGTACTGACACTGTACTAGAAATACAGAGAAGGCACATGGGGTATCTTGTACAGGAGGAGCTTTTAAATCATTGAGGACTTAGACACAGACTCATACTAAGATATGAAAAGAGTGGGGAAATAATTAGCCCTCTTTTGGGCACTGCTCTGGTTCCACCTAACAAATATTAAAAGCAAGACCAAGTATAATCAAACTGTTTCCAAGTAACTTAACTATATGCCAGACAAAGCTCAAGAATACTTATAGGAATACAAAAATATATGGCTTCCCACAAAAATTTGCAATGTCTAACATCCAATCAAAAATTACCAGACATGCAAAGAAGCATAAAAATATGACTAATAATGAAGAGAAAAATAATTCAATTGAAACTGATTCAGCATGCAGAGCATGGTCAAAGCAGGGGTGGCTGGGAAGCCGTGTTCAAGAGACTAGAAGGGAGTCTCAGCATCTTCTATCTCCTTTCACCTCTTACCCCTGACTGGTCCAGAATTTCACCTTGCTATGGTTTGAATGCCCCCTCCAAAACTATGTTGACCCTTAATCCCCATTGTAACAGTGTTAAGATGTAGTCTTTGAGAGGTTATTAGGATAAGATAAGCTCATCAGGGTGAAATCCCTATGATGGGACTGGTGGCTTTATAAGAAGAGGAAGAGAGGTCTGAGCAGGCATGATCTAGTCCCCTTACCATGTGATGCCCTGCACCACTTCAAGACTCTGCAGAGGAGACAAACAAGGAGGCCCTCACCAGATGTAGCTCCTTGCCTTGGACTTCCCAGCCTCCAGAACTGTGAGAAATAATTTTATTTTCTTTATGAAACACCAAGTTTGTGGTATTCTGTTATAGCAACAGAAAACTACCTAAGACACCCCTCTACCCTTTCTTCATCAAGATGTAGAGACCCAACTCCTCTGGCCTAAGTCTGAAAGCCATGTTATTTTGACAGTTCCTCAATATGAAAGTTTTTAAAAATGGACTTATCAGACACACTTCACACCCCGATTTGTATTTTAATACAATTTTCCAATAAAAGGAATCTGGGGTCCTTGGAGAAATCTGGCTGATTCTAAGATTAGGTTAGAAATTGTACAAAATGGGCCTGGAGTATCTTGTAGTGCCAGAAAATAAGTAGAAAGTGCTTAACACATACACACACAATAATGACAAAGTGTCAAAGGAATACAGGTGCCAACTGAAAAATCTCCCAATGGCAAAAGTCAGAAAAAAATAGCAAAAACTAAATAAAGTAATATCATATTATAAACCAAAGTATAAAATAAATATCCATGCCTTCATACTGATTTAAATAAATTATCTAATAAGTTAATATGGGAGAAGAGACAAACCTCCCATGCAGAATTCCAAATAATTTAGTTAGATGCTCAGCACTCACATGGGTAGAGCTTAACTCCTTCTTAAGGGTGGCTGCATATAATGACTTCCTTCTAAAGTGTGCAGTATGAGAAGAGAGAGAAAGAGTAACCTTATGGTGGAGAAACCTGATGAACGTGACCTTAGCCAGATGATTAAGGTTAACATCATCAGTGATAAGTCTTGTCAATATCACATAGTCTTAATGTGACATAGTAAGAATGGTGACTCTGTAGTCTTCCTGCCTAAAAAATATAACCCCAGTATAATTACAAGAAAAAAATCAGACAAACCCCAATTGAGGCTTAACAAGTGATACTGGGACAACTATTCTAACAGAGGCAAAAGAATGAATCCAGACCCCTACCTCACACCATCTACAAAACTAACTCAAAATGGATCTAAGTTTTAAAGGTAAGAGCTAAAACTATAGAATTCTTAGATGAAAACATGAATGTAAATCTTTGTGTCATTGGATTAGGCAATGGATTCTTAGGTAAGACATGTAAAACACAAGTGACCAAAGAAAAATAGATAAATTTGACTCCATCACAATTAAAAGCTTTTGTGATTCAAAGGACACTCTCAAGAAAGTGAAAGGACAACCCACAGAATGGGAGAGAATATTTGTAAGTCATATATCTGACAAGGGCCTAGTACACAGAATATATAAAGAACTCTTACAACTAAACAACAAAAAAAGACAGATTTTTAAATGGACAAAGGATGTGTGTAGACATTTCTCCAAAGAAGATATGCAAGTGGCCAATAAGCACATGAAAAAATGTTCAGCATTAGCCACGGGGGAAATGCAAATCAAAAACCACAATAAAATATCACCTCCCATCCACTGGGATTGTTATAATTAAACAATAACAAATATATTAACAAAAAACAAATATTAGATGTGGATAAATGGAAATCCTTATATATTGCTATAGGAATATAAAATAATTAAAGCCACTTTAGTAAAGTTTGACAGCATCTCAAAAAGTTAAACATAGAGTTACCACATGACCCAGAAATTCCATTCATACATATATACCCAAGAGAACTGAAAACATATATTCAAACAAAAACTTGTACACAAGTGTTCATATTAGTATTATTCATACTAGTCTAAAAGAAAAACCAGCTCAAATGTCTGCCAAGTGATGAATAAATAAACCAAATGTGGTATATCCATACAATTGCAATATTATTCACCCATAAAAATTAATGAAGACCTCACATCCATTAGGATGGCTACTATCATTTTTTAATTTTTTTTAAGAAAATGACAAGTACTACATTGCAGAGAAATTAGAACCTTTATGCACTGTTGGTGGGAATGTAAAATAGTGCAGCTGCTATGAAAAGCAGTACGGTGGTTCTTCAAATAATTAAAAATAGAACTGCCATATGATCCAGGAATTCCATGTATAGGTATATATCTGAAAGAATTGAAGGCAGGGTCTCAAAGAGATATTTGTACATCCATATTCATACCAGCATTATTCACAATAGCCAAGAGGTGGAAGCAACCCAAGTGATCATCAACAGGTAAATGAATAAACAAAATGTGGTATACGTACAGGTATTAGCCTTTTCTCACATTGCTATAAACAACTACTTGAGACTGGGTAATTATAAAGAAAAGAGGTTTGATTGGCCCACAGTTCCACAGGCTGTACAGAAAGCATGGTTGGGGAAACCTCAGGAAACTTACAATCATGGCAGAAGGCGAAGGGGAAGCCAGCACATTCTACATGGCTGGAGCAGGAGGAAGAAAGAGAGTGAAGGGGAAGATGCTACACACTTTTAAGCAACCAGATCTCATGAGAACTCAATCACGAGACAGCACGAGGGGGATAGCGCTAAACGGTTAGAAACTACCCCATGATCCAATCACCTCCCGTCAGGCCCCACCTCCAACATTGGGAATTATAATTCAACATGAGATTTGGGTGGGGACACAGAGCCAAACCATATTAACACATGATAGAATATTATTCAGCCTTAAAAATGAAGGAAATTCTGAGACATGCTACAACATGAAGGAACCCTGAGGACATTATGCTAAATGAAATAAACCAGTCACAAAAAGACAAATACTATATGATTCCACTTATATGAAGTATCTAGAGTAGCCAAATTCATGGAAGCAGAAAGTAGAATGGTGGTTGCCAGGGGCTGGAGGGAGGGGGAAATGGGGAGTTATTTAATAGGTATAGAGTTTCAGTTTTGCAAGATGAGAATGTTCTGGAAACTGGCTGTAAAACAATGTGAATGCACTTAACACTACTGAACCGTATACTTCAAAATGGTTAAGATAATAAATTTTATGTTATATGTATTTTACCATAAATTTTTTTTGAGATGGAGTCTTGCTCTGTTGCCCAGGCTGGAGTGCAGTGGTGCAATCTCGGCTCACTGCAACCTCCACCTCCTGGGTTCAAGCGATTCTCCTGTCTCAGCCACCGTAGTAGCTGGAATTACATGCATGCACCACACCAGCTAATTTTTGTATTTTTATTAGAGGTGGGGTTTCGCCACATTGGCCAGGGTGATCTCAAACTCCTGACTTCAGGTGATTTGTCTGCATCGGCCTCCCAAAGTACTAGGATTACAAGCATGAGCCACTGAGCCTGGCCTAATTTTTTTTTTAATTTTTTGAGACGGAGTCTCGCTCTGTCACCAGGCTGGAGTGTAGTGGCATGATCTCAGCTCACTGCAACCTCCGCATCCCAGGTTCAAGCGATTCTCCTGCCTCAGCCTCCCAAATAGCAGGGACTACAGGCGTGTGCCACCACACCCAGCTAAGTTTTGTATTTTTAGTAGAGACAGGGTTTCACCATGTTGGCCAGGATGGTCTCAATCTCTTGACCTCATCATCAGCCTGCCTCAGCCTCCCAAAGTGCTGGGATTACAGGGGTGAGCAATATTAAAAAAAAAAAAATGAATGAAATAAGGATACATGCAGTACATCAGCCAGATGAAGACAGCTGAAGACTCGAGGACTACAGCTTCAAGCAGGCGTATGAGGTGCACATTGGCTCCAGTCCAGCAGGACCCCTGCAGGGGTCTTACCTGGCTCCTCCTTTCTGCGGACTCTGACCCTGGTCTGACCTTAACCTGACTCTGATCATCAACCTAATTCACTTTTGACCTTGATCCTGCTCCAATCAACAATTCACTCAGCATTACATTAAGTGAAAGAAGCCAGTCACAAAGGCCATGTATTGTATGATCCTTTTCATATGAACGTCCAGGATAAGCAAATCCACAGAAATAGAAAGTAGACTCATGGTTGCCAGGGTCTAGGGGAGCTGGGGGAGGGAAAGGGGAGTGACTGCTAAAGAGAACTGGATTTCTTTCCAGTGTGATAAAGCTGTTCTGGGAATTAGATAGTGGTGACAGTTGCACAACCTTGTGAATATTCTAAAAACCACTGAATAGGCCGGGCACGGTGGCTCACACCTGTAATCCCAGCACTTTGGGAGGCAGAATTGGGTGGATCACCTGAGGTCAGGAGGTCGAGACCAGCCTGGCCAACATGGTGAAACCCCGTCTCCACTAAAAATACAAAAATTAGTGGCACATGGTAGTGCATGCCTGTAATCCCAGCTGCTCGGGAGCCTGAGGCAGGAGAATCCCTTGAACCTGGGAGGCAGGTGTTGCAGTGAGCCGAGATTGTACCATTGCACTCCAGCCTGGGTGACAAAGTGAGACTCCGTCTCAAAAAAATAAAATAAAATACATAAAAATAAAAACCACTGAATTGTACACGTTAACATGGTGACTTTTACAGTGTGTGAAGTATATCTCAATTTTTTAAAATCCCAACTGAGGAATATTTATGCAAAGTATCTGACCAGTAATCCTCAAAACTGTCAAGTTCAATAAAATAAGGAAAGTCTGAGAAACTGACACAGCCAAGAGGAGACAAGACGATTCAGTGTAAATGTGATATCTTCCATGGGATTTTAGAACAGAAAAGAAATATTAGGCTACAACTAAGGAAATCTGAATCAAGTGCAGACTTTAGTTAACAATAAAGTATCCATAAGGTATCCCTACTGGTTCATTATTTGTGACAAATTTACCACACTTGGGTAAGAGGATAATAGAGGAAACCGGGTTTGGGGGAATATGGGGACTGACTCTGTACTATCTTTGCAACTTTTCTATAAATATAAACCTATCATAAATAAACAGTGTACTTATTTTAAAAGAAATCAAATTGTCATGTCAGGCAAACAGTGGCAGGCTGGTGTGAGGAGCTTGCTGGGAATTTCACAAGCTATTTGAATTCAGTCCCCACTGGCTCCAAAGCACAGTCTGGAAAACCCCCAGATCCCCCAGCCCCATCCATCCTGAGCTCTTGACCCTGGCGGGTGCCAGTGAATTCCATCCAAGTGGTTTGCCAAATAAGTGCCGGTTTCTTTCATCAACGCAAATACTCCTTTATCAGGGGAAACACGGGAGCCTGGGGGAGAACGGGGTCCCAGTGTCAGGCGGGGCTTGGCATGAATCCTGAGGCCACCTCTTTCTTGCTGTGTGATCAGAGAAAGGCCATACTCCCAGGCTCAGGGCACCCGGGGCCAAGGGCAGCAGTGTCACTTGTCCTACACTGCCAGCTGCGTTTGCAGAGCCTCTTGTATTGTCCTTGGACTTAGCCAGGAAGCTGCCTGGCTTTGGCTCCATCCTCCTGACATTATCCTGACCAGGTGGCACTATTTGCTCATCCTCAGACACTGGGAGCTTACCTTGTGCCACTTTCTGATCCCCCAAGGGCACCAGCCCTTCCTGGAGCCCTCTCCCACCTCCTCCTTCCCCTAGAGGGCTCTCTGCTGAGCTCTCTGCACAGCTTCCATGAAGAGCATGACAAACTCTTTGTCTCCCAATCCCCTCTTTCTGAACTCCTAAGAGTTCTTTGAGCAGGAGAAAATTTTCCGTCTGGAAATAGAAGCACACGTTTTGTGCGCTGGCTGCAGCTGTCTCCCCAGAATCATCTCCCAGTGCCACCTTCCAAGTCCTGGGCCAAATTCTCAAACTAAAGGAGATTAAAGACAGATCATGCTCTACTCTGCTCAGCTCCAGCTTTCCTCTGTCCGGAATGACAGAGAATATTATTAGTCTTTCCAACTTTACGGTCAATTCTAGTAATAATAATCCCAACACAACAGCTACTATCTGTGGGCATTCACCACGTGTCAACAGTGGACTGGGTACTTTTCATGCATCATCTCGTAAATGCTCTCAGTAATCACGATACCTCTATTGGATAGTAATAACTTTATCCTCACTTAGCATTTAGGAAAACTGAGGCTTATAAAGGGCTAGTAACCTTCCAAGGACACACAGCCAGTAAGTGGCAGAACTGGGATTCGAACTCAAACAGGTCTTTTTTTTTTTTTCTTTTTCTTAGAGATGGGTCTCTCTATGTTGCCTAGGCTGGAGTGCAGTGGGCATTCACAGGCACAATCCTAGCTCACTGTAGCCTCCAGCTCCTGGGCTCAAGTGATCCTCCCATCTCAGCCTCCCAAGTAGCTGGAACTACAGGCATGTGCCACCACGCCCAGCCCAAACTTGTCTTCATCCAGAGCGCTTGCTCTTAAGCACCATGTCATACTCTTTCCCTAAAGATGTTTTGTGAAACAAACAAAAAATGATCTCCATGATGAAAGAAATTTGGGGAACGTCGTCCTTTTCATTCTCTTCATGGATGTTCACCATAGGCATTAGTGTGTTGGAAGGCCTGAGATGTTCTGCAGCGATCAGACCTGTTTAATCTTGTTTAAACCAAAATTTTTCAAATTCATTCTTAAAAATGAACATTTGTTTTTCTTGTTTACTTGTAAATGAACCACTTTGTCATCTTTTTCAGCTAGTGTTCTCTGGAACACGCTTTGGGAAACACTGCATTGCTAAGTCACAACTTTCCCAGCCTCTGCTGGAGCTTCTGGCCATGATAGAGCAGTGGCGGACTTCCCTCCCACCAGGAGCAACCGGAAAACAAGATAGAATATATGGAAAGACTGTTTTCAGATATTGGGCAACCAGAGACTCAGGACTGCGATCCTTGAGAAGAAAAACAGAACAAGGCGAGTCACATGACTGCCCACATGCATGTCCCAAGGCAGGTGTGGCTGTTCTTTCAGTCCCAGGACCTGATCTCCAGGACCAGAGTGGGACGTCCTTGAGAATGCTGAGCAGAACAGCCGGGGAGAGTGTGGTCCTGGGGGCTGGGGAGAGGGTGGTTTCCCCAGGTGTGGGGGCCACTCTGCACCTCTTGACTGACTCCGCCAGTGGTTACGGCCCCACACGGGCTGACAGTGGAACTGCCTGTGCAGGAGAAAGGCTCCCATTCAGGTGCCTCGCGTTAACCTGCAGAGGGGTTGGCAGCAGCTGCTTATTTCTGATTTGCTTGTCTTTGAATGGGGGTAATTGCTGGGAGCTGCCAGTGTTCCAGGTTGTTCCCTGGAAGAGGGGGAAGAAGAAATGGCTGTCATGGGCTCTGCGGAGTGCTGCCTTCTGCAGGTAGTGCAGTGAAGCCTCGCGGGGTGGAGTGAGGGGAAAATGGAATCATAGCCCAGCAGGGCCGCAAGGGCCCTCGGAGGCCACCTGATCTGACCGGCTCATTCTACAGGTGGAACCAAGATTCGGAGGGAGGGGACATGCCCAGGGCCACACAGGGTGGGCCTGGCTAGGCTGCTTGGCTCCAGCCAACAACCCAGCTGTCCTTGGCATTAGCTGTGCCTCCCCACCCCCACAGCGCCTCAGTCTCTCGGGCTCCCCAAGCTGGGGCATGTGTGTCAGGAACCCCTTTGTCTTTCTCTGACTGCGGGAGACCAGCGCAGCGGTGGGGTCACTGAGGCCAGCAGCCTCCTGAGGGACTCCCTGAAGCATCCCTGTGGCCAGAAGGGCTCCCCGCACCACATGGGGCAGCTGCACCCTGCAGTGCGTGTGGCAGACCTTCTGCAGCACATCAACCAGATGAAGACGGCCGAGGGTTACGGCTTCAAGCAGGAGTACGAGGTGCACGCTGGCCCCGGGCCAGCAGGACCCCTGCACAAGCCTCGTCTGGCTCCTCCTTTCTGTGGACGCTGACCCTGGTCTGACCTTAACCTGACTCTGATCATCAACCTAATTCATTTTTTACCTTGACCCTGACCCTCAATCTAATCCCACACTGACCACAACTCTGACCCTGAATCTCATTCCAGTCTCCATTAAGAATATAAACCCTTGTTCTAATCCTTAACTGACCCTGACCTTACCTTCTGGATTTTGACCTTGAACCTTATCCTAACATTTATCTGAATTTTGACCGTTATCATCACCTGATCCTCCTTCTGTACTTTCTCTGAATTTTGACCTTCTTCCATCAGTTTCCTCTACCCACATCTTGGTTTTGAACAATGGTCCCTACCCCAGCCTTCACTGTGGCTAAGCCCCCAGCCTGCCCATTTTATTCCTGCCAAGAAGTTGACCATCACTTTTCTTCCTTGCAGAGCTACATTGGAGCCTGGATACTTGACAAAGAAACAAGCTCAGGAACCTATGCCCGCCTGTGAGTCTTGGGGAAGGGCCTGGGGCCCAGTGGAGTGGGTCGGAGGCACTCAGAAGGAGCACAGCAGGGCGTGTGTGTGTGTGTGCAGGCATCTGTGTTTGTGCGTTTGTGTCATGCATGTGTGTGCCTGTGTGAGGGTCACATTTGCATGTATACATGCATATGTACATGTGTGTATCATGTGAGTGTGCGTATGTATGTGTCTGTGAGAGGGTGTGTGCATGGTGCATGTGTGCATGTGTGTGGAGGAGGCATGTGTTCTCTGTGTATGTGTTGTGTGTGTATATGTGTGCATTAGGGGAATTCTCAGTGCTCTGAAAGGTGCTATGGGCACGCTTGTGTGCCACACAGGAAGACCCTATCTGAGATCACAGCTGGAGGGATCAAGTTATGGTAATAGGAAGGATTTGAATTAGTCTGTTCTCACACTGCTATAAAGATACTGCCCAAGACTAGGTAATTTATAAAGGAAAGAAGTTTAACTGACTCACAGTTCCACATGGCTGGGAAGGCCTCAGGGAATTTACAGTCATGACAGAAAGGGAAGCAAGGACCTTCTAAACATGGTGGCAGGAGAGAGAAGCATGAGCGAAGGAGGAACTTGTCAAACACTTACAAAACCATAAGCTCTCTTGAGAACTCACTATCATGAGAACAGCATGAGGGAAACCGCCCCCATGATCCAATCACCTCCCACCAAGTTCCTCCCTCAATACCTGGGGATTATGGGGATTACAATTCAAGATGAGGTTTGGAAGGAGACACAAAGCCTAACCATATCAGACTTCCAGACAGTAAAGAAGGTGGCACCACAAAGCAGTTAAAAGTATAGGCTTTGAAGTCAGATATACCATGGACCACTCCCTGGTTTGCCTTGGGAGGCCTTCAGCAATTCACACGACTTCCCCAAGCCTCAGTTTTCATACCTATAAAATAAACATAGTGGCATCTTTCCTCACAATAACCGTATACACATAGACATATCATTATCCCATTGTATAGGGAAAACTGGGGCTGAGAGATACAGTAACACACCTAAGTTTACACAGTTGAGTCAGGAGCTCTGTCCTGAGCTCTGTCCAGGCTATGCAACTTTGCACAGGGAGAAGGCATTGAACTCCACCCAGTTGTGAAGGGGTCATCAGACAAGATAATCTCTAGGGTCCCAGAGACTGTGATTTGGGGAGAGTGAGGAGTGGTGGGGGGTCAGGAATCAGGCGGGTGGGGTAGAGTTGGACAGAGTGAGTTAATGCCTATGTTGGTTGCTCTTTTGCAGTGTCACCTTGACCAGGGCCTCTCTTTCTAGCCCTTGATTTCTCCATCCATAAAACAAAGCTAAGAGCCCCAGCCAGGCCTCCCTCATGAGGCTTTTAGAGGCTCACCAGCCTCATTTCTCGTGGGCACTGAACTTGGTCACCTGGCACTGGACACGGAGGAGCATTGCCCTGCTGTCCTGGAACCGTGACAAGAGCCACAGCATGGATATCCTGCCACCCAACCACTGCCTGCCCTTCCTCATCTCCACCAACAGGGACCCCAGTAACTGCATCTGTGAGGACTCAGGGACAAAGCAAACCTAGGGACGATCCAACCCCATCTAGACTGGGGGAGCAGGGCTGAAACACTAGAGGGGTCCCCTGTGTGCCCCTGTGCATCTCCCTTGGAACCAGGCCTGCGGGGAGATTCCTCTCCCCTTGAAGACTCCTCCACTCAGGACATCAAAGCCAGTGCTCCCTCCTCAGTGTGTCCATCTGTACCCTGGGGGCCTGGAGAGAAGGCTTGCTCAAGGTCCTTCCAGTCCTAAAGGTCTGAATTTGTGAGGGTCTCAATCAGGCTCCCTGGCCCTGATGGGAATGGGCCCAACAGGTGGAGAAGCTCTGGAACAGCCCTGCCTTCTGCTGCAGTCCTTGAGGCCCCTGATGCCTGACCCCAGCCAGGAGGGTCCTGTTGGCTCAGAAGCCAGGAGGCCTTGAGTCTCAGATGGCCCTGAACCTGTCGTTGAGTCTTTTGGGGATGGTCAAGTCTGCAAAGGGCCCCAATGGGCACCCAGGCCTGAGTTTTGGAGTCTGGCTGGGCCTGGCCTTGAGAAGCTACCAATCGTAAGCCTTCAGAAAGTCCTGGATTGGGGAGAGCCCCTTGTTTCTCCACACTGCCTCTTGCAGGATTACAGAGGATAGGTCAAAGTTTGGTCAGGGCCCAAGTCAGGGTCAAGGGCAGAAGAAGCCAGACACGGATCAAGGTGGTGGGAGCCTGTGCCACCCCCTAGGTCAGGAGGGCAGGGTTTAGAAGAGCTCAGGGGAGGAGGGGGGACATGACACAGGGTAGGGCATGGCAGGTCACCAGGGGAGCTTGGTGGCTGGAGCTCTAATGGGAGAAGGTCGGGTGCCAGCTTGCCTGGCAGGATGAGGTTGGGAGCAGAGAGCAGGGTCAGGGCCTGTCACAGCCTGGAGCTTGGGTTGGGATGTCAGATCCTCTTGGTCATGGAATTGAACGTGGAAGGAACCCAAGAGATTCATTCATTAATTTAAGTATATTTATTGGGCCCCTGCCATTTGCTAGGTCCTGGGGATGCTGAAGTGGACAAGATGTTCAGAAACCTCTGCTTTTCCAGAGCTTACATGGGAAAGGCAATAAACAGATAAGAATGGGGTGGACTATCGGGAGCTGGGCAGCACCATGAAGAGCCAGTGGGCAAGAGAAGTGGTTCGATCGTTAGCCTTCAGAAAGTCCTAGATGGGGGAAGGTCTCCTACCTGCCAGCTGCGAGACCCTGGGCATCAGATGCCCTCTCCAGGCCTCAATTTGTTCCTCTGTAAACCGAGGACCATCCTCTTTGGATGAGATGGGATAGTGATTAAGTGCCTTACATGGTGCCAGGCATGCTGAAACAGCTCAGTTTACAAACACAGGGCAGAGACAGGGGCAGAGAAGACACAGCCCTGCTAGGGATGACTGTCCTGCTGCCCCAGCCCAGCCTATTCCCAGCCCCAGCCTCCTCATGGGGTAGAGAGGGAGGAGGAGCAGGCTAACTGGTAGGAACCCAGGTCACTCCTGGCTCTGTCACAAACATGCTGTGTGACTTTGGGCAAGAGACTTCCTATTTCTGAGTGTCAATTTCTTTCTATGACAGCTGGCTCTATGAGGCACTCATTCTATTTGCACACTGGTAGACGCTCTGTCCCTCAGTTTCTCCACTGATTCTTCAGAAGATACCACCTATGCTAATGACCTCAGGAGCCAACATCCTTTCATCTGAATTTAAAGTTTATGAGCCAAGAGCCTGGGCAACATGGTGAAACCCCATCTCTACAAAAAAATTAGCTGGGCGTGGTGGCTCGCACCTATAGTCCCAGCTACTTGGGGGATCACTTGAAACTGGGAGGCTGAGGCTGCAGTGAGCCGAGATCATGCCACTGCACTCCAGCCTGGGTGACAAAGTGAGACCCTGTCTCAAAAAAATAAAAGTTGATGAAACAGTACGACCTTCTAGAGATTGATGTCATCTCTTCCTACCAGCCAATGATTCTGATGTGCACCTCTGAACAGGGCTCTGGGCATTCTGGGAAAGTGTTTAGAGAAGGAGCAGCAGCGACAGTGCCCCCAAGAAGCCCCAGCCCACCAGGGGAAGGAGAGACCACAGCATCATTAGAGGCTACTCCATGGGGAGGCTTCGAAGGTGGCTTAATACTTAACAGGATACTAATAGGTACTTTGTGAATTAATTAAACAATGTGATCTCACCCATGCTCTTCTCAGGCTGGAGACCCTGCCTTTAGGCAAGGTTTAGCTTATTCATGACTCTCTTGAGGTCTGATTCTCAGATGGCACAAGGATTTGGGCCTCCCAGTTGAACAGGACTCTCACCTACCTTTTTCTAGACTCCATAGCACTATTTACATGGTCTGAAAAACACCAGGATGGGCATGGAAGTGTTTGAGCTTTGGAGTGAGGATGAGGTGTAAATTCTCAGCTCTGCCACTTACTAGCTCTCTATTCCTTAGCTTTTCTGAGTTTCAGTTTTCTCTTGTGTAAAATGGTATCAATAATATTCACCGTGCAAATTTGCAGGGAGAGAGATTGTGAGCAGGATGCACTTGGGAACGGGTGGCTGTTCCTATCATTGTTGTTGCTGTTGTTATTAAGCTAGCCAGGTTTGGAGCCCCTCCATCCTACAGGAAGAGCCTTGGCTGGGAATGGGATGGCTGGGAATGGGGAGAGCAACCCAGGGACATGTGATGTGAGAGACACATGCAGCTCCGTGGGCTCACACTGAGCTCCCTGTCAGCCCCTCTCAAGGCCTGGCTCCCTCCTCTGTACCTGAACTGTTGATTTATTTTGCACTGCATGTTTAATTCAGGGTTGCATTTTAAATCCCATCGTGCGAGTCTCAGTCTGGAACTCTGGCCTCTGGGGATTTTCTATCTTGCCCTGGTCCAAAACACTTGTTTTTCTTCCAAGAGCCTGTCATCTGCAAACCCAAGGAGCCTGCCTCCCCGTGGAGGAGTGAAGCTTGCTGATAGTTGTCAAAAGATGCTCAGTTGGGAGCAGCAGGTGCAAACACCCTGAGGTCGGAATGAGCACGATATGCTCAAGGACAGGGGAGAGGCCAGCGTGTCTGGAGATGAGGGTAGAAGATGAGATGTGAGGAGTTAGTGGGAGAAGATCATTTCAGGTCTACAGGCCATGGCAGAGTTTGAATTTTCTTTTTAGTGTTGACAGAATTCATTGCAGGGTTTTGAGCAGGAGAGTGACATAATCTGATCTGTGTTGTAAAAAGACTTCTGTGGCTGCTGGGTGGAAAAGAGGCTGCTGGTGAAAATGGAAGCAAGAAGACCAGGGAGGAAGGATCGCAGAAATCCAGGAGCACCAGGGTGGGGGCCAAGGAGGGCGGGAGAAGTGGTTGCTCACACGTGGAGTTATTGAAGGATGTAGTACTTGTTCTAAAAACATAGAGGCTCAAGTGGACACAAGAGCTGATCTTCAACTTTGGAAGGGCTGTCAAGTGGACCAGAAGTTGGGCCCATTCTGCAGTCCACAAAAGGTCAGATCTAAGACTAAGGGGTGAGGTAGTAACCTCCTCACCACCGGAGATGCACTGCAGAGGTTAACTTACAGGGTTGTAAGGTGTAGTGGACAGAGTTGAGCTTTTAGAATCAGGCAAATCTAAATTCATAGCCTTCTTTTTCAGCCTATTATATGTGCTGCCTTGGGCCACTTTCTGGACCTCAGTTTCCTCATCTGTAAATTAGAACCAATACCTATCACATTGGACTGTTCAATAGAGTATGTAAAGTATCCAACACTGTACCTGGCACATAAAAGGTGCTCAAAAAGTGGCAGTGATGATGGAGATGATGATGGTGATGATGATGATGATGATGGCAATTATGGTGATGGTGAAAAGAAGGAAGATGAGAATGGCGCTGGTGATGATGATGAAGACTGATGAGGATGAAGACAAGAGTGATGAGGATGTTAACAATGGCGAAATTATTTTTATGATTGACAGTGGTTGTTGTGGAAGGAATCCTAGCACCAAACAGAATATAACTAGAAGATCACTAAGCCTCTGTTCAAATGCTAAGATTTAATGAGAAAATGCTCTGTGAGCTGGCTCACTTTATCTGTTGACATCATCATCCCCTCTGTTCACTCTGAGAGTGCTATAGACAGTGGATCAGAGTCTCTTGTACCACCAGACTTAGCCTCTGGACAGGGAAGCTCTGACCCAGCTGGTGATTGACACAGTGCATCCCCTGTTCTGTGTAGCCATGGGAGCCAAGGAGGCCATGGCCAGCTTGGGGGAGGTTTTATTTTTTCCACCACCATTTCATAGTCTCCCATATGCCATACCTGCTCATCCAGTTATAGTCAGAGATTCATAGGTCAGAAAGAAACTTAGACATCTTTTTATCCAACTAACTCCTCCCATTTAACACATGGGAAACCAAGGCCTAGAAGCAGAGACCACTTGCTCAAGATCACAGGCAAAGTCCAGGTGTCCTGACTTATCATTTCACTCTCTTTCCACTTCAACAAAGTGCATCTACTTGTGCCAGTTATCAATGTACTGCCCCTTAGCTCCAAGCTGAGCTTTCAATGCCTGATCTGTAATAGTGGACTGAATTCCTTTTAGCACCTCTCCTGTGCAGTGAACACATTAAGCTTCTTCAGTAGAGGGCTCTGAATGAACATTGCAGGAGGAAGGGGCTTCTCCTGCTGGTTCCAGTGCTTCACAGTCAGTCAACAGTGCGCATCTGAGGACATCCACTGATGCTCTGCCCCAGCCATGCTCTGGGAACACGCGGTCCCTTGCAACCTTGCAGCCTTGCTCTAGCCAGGTGATAACCTTCCTGTGGCCCTCTTGACATGGACACCCATGCCCCACCCACACCAGCACTCAGATTCCATCTGCGTGCCCACCCACATGCCCAGGAACAGGCTACAGCTTGCTACACTAGAGGATTGTTTTCTGCTTGTCCAGTGACTGCAGACCAGCACTGGCCCAGGCAAACCACTGAATGTCTCTGCCGTCCAGTGGGCTATAACTCCACCTCTTCAACAAGGTCTGAACCATCCTTGGCAAAGGAACCCCTTTCCAAGGCTGTCCTTCCTTGGGTGCTATATAAAGTTTCCTTTATCTTATAGTTACTGTTTTATCATAGTTTAATAAAGGTTTATAGTACATTTGCCCCCATTTAAATCACTGTGTGGTTCGTGTCTCATGATTAGACCCAAGCTAATACACTATTGGCATCTGTGTTCTAGTAATTAATCCACAGCAACTATCTTGGCTTGATTGTCCTGACAATCAAGCCCACCCCACACACACCATGCTATGTGAGACTGATCCACATTTATAGGTACACAGCCTAATTACATAGGTCAGCTCCATCTAACTAACACTTATTTTATAGAGATGTTTTATTTAGAAGTCAGTTAACCTTGTACCTGTCCTACTCTCCCTTGCACTAAGAGAAGTTGCTATTTTTGTACCTATTTTATTTATTTATTTATTTATTTATTTATTTATTTATTTATTTATTTTTGAGACAGAGTGAGACTCTGTCTCCCAGGCTGGAGTGCAATGGCACAATCTCGGCTCACTGCAACCTCTGCCTCCCAGGTTCAAGTGATTCTCCTGCCTCAGCCTCCCGAGTAGCTGGGACTACAGGTGCGTGCCCCCAGGCCTGGCTAATTTTTTGTATTTTTAGTAGAGACAGGGTTTCACTGTGTTAGCCAGGATTGTCTCGATCTCCTGACCTCATGATCCACCCTCCTCGGCCTCCCAAAGTGCTGGGATTACAGGCGTGAGCCACCGCGCCCGGCCTGTACCAATTTTATTAAAGTCCCTGTGGATTATCTGGGGTTTTGCTTTTTCTCAGCCATCCTTCAGAATAGCCTAATGTATCTCTTAGGAAATGCATTCATCTGCTAGAAACAGGAATCCAGACAATAAGGTCTTAAGCCAGTTAAAGGTTCACTCTTCCCTCATATGAGTTAAGTCTGGATATAGGAAGCCCAGGACTGCTGTGATAGCTACACACACAAAGCTGTCAAATTCCCAGATTCCTTCTTTGTTTCTGCTCCACCATCCTCAGTGGTGCATGACTTTATCCTAAAGGTTACCTCTTGGTTACATGATGGCTACTGGAGTTTCAGCCCACTAGAGCTGCATTCCAGGCAGGAAAAAGGGAGGGAAAGGAAAGGAAAAGGGGACTTCTGTCAATTGAATAAATTCCCATCAATGAATTTTCCCGGAAGCTGCAACCACCATCTCCACTCACATTTCATTGTCCATCCCCATCTGCAAGGAAAGCTTTGGACACAAAGCCATCCCCAACAGCACTGGCCCCTTATTACTAAAGAAGGGGTGACTAGATTCTGTGCAGACCACCGACAGGCTCTCCTACAACCAGCAACTAGGAGACTTAAATGTGGGCAGAGAGAGCCTGACATTGGCGCTCCACCCACAGAACTCCCTCCAATAAGTCCCCTAAGGGTGGGGGTTCCCTTTGTACTTAATCTGCTTTAAAAATAGTTAAACATACTTTAATATTCTGCTTCTTGCAGAATTTTCTTAAAACATAAAAAAAGAGAAGAGAAAATCCAAATCCCTCTTCATCTCATCAAGCAGAGATTAATAATTGCTAGTATTTTTTGCTTACTTTCTTCTGGGATTTCTTTTTCTTGGTAGATTTAGAATGTATATCCAGGCCTATATGTTGCTTTTTTCTCTCGCTCTTATTTTATCAGTATTTTCTCAGTGTGAATTACTTTCTGACTGTGTCCTTTCTAATGGCTGCACGACTTTCCACCTTATGGTTGTTCTGTAACTGAGGTAGCTAATCCTCAGGTTGTTAGGCATTTTGATGGCTCCCATGTAAGTTTGACCGTTATAAATTATACTGGGATGGCCGGCCCTACCCATAGATTTTGGTCTCCATCTCTGATTATTCCTTGGGATAGATCTGTGGTCTTCTCAGGTTAGCAGGTATGGGTATTTTTAAAGCTTTGCCTATATTTTGCCCAAGTGGCCCTTCCAGGTGGCTGGCCTGGATTCCACCGGCGGTGGGGTCTAAGAGCCTCTTCAAACGGGTTTCTGAGTCCTCCCTCCCACTTTTTCAGCGTCTTCTCTAACTCAGGCCTCCGCCTCCTTCCCCTGGCTCCCTTGGGGAAAACAATGAAAAAGTTTATATTCTGAAATATCTAATCATGTATTTATCTCTAACTACTTGAAAAAGTCAACATAATTACTCTAGTCCCATTAAGTTTAATTTGCAGCAAATTATGCATTTAGCGTGAAGTTGGGGGTGCGTTGCTGGATGAAGTGAGTAGGGTTTGGCTATTTAAAACTGGCGCTGGCGACAGCAGCGCAGGCTGGTTAAGCTGCGGCAGGTCCTTGCAGAGGAGGGGCTCTTCCCAGGAGGGCGCTCCAGCCGAAGCCCCTGTGCGTTCACCTGCTCCATGACCACTTCCCTCGGCTCTCTCCCCTCCTCCACGCCTCCTGGGGCCGCTCTCCAGGGTCCTGGGACGAGACCAGCCCCGGGCAGGGCAGCGCGGGAAGCCAGGGGTCCCACACCCAGGAGCGACCCTCACCGCGAGGGACGGGCTTTGGCGGATAAATGTCCGGCTCCCCTTGATGGGCAGAGTCAGCACCCCCCGACACGGTCCCTGAGATGGCCCTGGGACCGAGCCGCCGCCCCCGCCTCCTTGTGATTCAGCCTCTTTCCGCCCTGCTATCCCCTCCCCACTGTGCCTCCTGGGATCGCCTCCCCAGTCAGCCGCCTGAGCCTTACAGGGACCCCACCCAGACAGCAGGAATCAGCCGCGGCTGGAGTACAGGGAAGGGGGGAAGGGGTCGAGAGACGCTGGGAGGGGGCCGGCGGACTGCGATGGACACAGCGGAGGGGGAGGGGAGAGGTCAGCGCTGAGGCCCAGCTGCCTGCTCTGGCATCTAGTGAATCGTGGTTCCTTCCCTCATTTCCTTACACACTGTGTTGTTTTTCATCGGTAAGGGTTCTTGGTAATCCTTCTCACAGCTGGGTGGTGGTGGTTGTTGTTGTTGTTGTTGTTGTTTTGAAACAAGGTCTGGCTCTGTCGCCCAGGCTGGAGTGTGGTGGAGTGATACCACAGCCCTTTTTGATCAAAGCAGCATAGCGATGCTCATGCCTTGTATAATCCCCTCCCGCTGAGCACCAGCGGGACCTGGGACTTGATCTTCTGAACAAAATATGGCAAAGGTGATGGGATGTCACTGCCATGACTGGCTTATGAGATATGTATGTGTTATGTGTTATATGTGTATCACATAACATGTATGCATGCACACATGTAGATCTACATATGTATCTATCTATCTGTATGTAAAAAGACATAGCCATCATGGAAGCACACATGAGACTCTCTCCTTTGTTGGCTACCAGGAAGCTGCTGTTTCATGAGAGCCTGGTTCAGAGGGCCACATGGCAAGCAGCTGCCGACAAACTGAGAGCAGCCGCTGATGGGTGGCCAGCAAGAAAACATGGACCTCAGTTATGCGGCTGCAAGGAGGTGAATTCTGCCAACAAACTGAAGGTGCTTGAAAGCAGAACTTCCTCATTCAAGCCTCTGATGAGAATGCAGCCTTCTGAGACCTCAGAGGACCCAGCACCCTATGCCAGACTCCTGACCCATGGAAACTGGGAGATGATAAATGTGTGTTGTAGTAAGACACTTCATTTGTGTTATTTTTTTTTTCAGCAATGAAAAACTAATACACCAAGGAAGAACAGTTTTAATGGAAAGGCAGAGGAGAAAGTTTGATCTGGTGGGTTCAGGAGACCCCTATCTCACACCATGCACAACAATTAACTCAAAATGGATCATAGGCCTAAATAGAAGAGCTAAAACTATAAAGCTTTTATGTGACCTTGGGTTTGGTAAATATTTTACAAATATGACACCAAAAGCATGATTTATTTAAAAAAACTTCAATTTCATCAAAATTTAAAACTTTTGGGCTCCAAAAGATACCATTAAGAAACTCAAAAGATGACCCACAGACTGAGAGACAATGTTTGTAAATCATATATCTCATAAGGGACTTGTACCAGACTATACAAAGAACTCTTACAATTCAATAATAAGAAAACATGTACCCCAATTTAAAATGGGCAAAAGATTTGAATAGACAGTTCACCAAAGAAGATATAGGACAAAGATATTAAAGAAGATGTTGGTCAAATGGCCAGTAAGCGCATGAAAAGATGCTCAACATTCTTAGTCATCGGGGAAACAGAAGTTCAAATCACAATGAGACACTTCTTTGCACCCATTACAATGGCTATAACCAAAACAACAGTCAATAGCGAGCGTTAGCAAGGATGTGAGGATGTGGAGAAACTTAAGACCTCATACATTCCTTGTGGGAATATAAAATGGCACAGCCACTTCAGAAAACAGTTTGGCAAATTCTTAAATTATTAAACATAAACATAAACTTACCCTACAGCCCAACAATTTTACTCCTAACTATATACTCAAGAGAAATGAAAACATATGTCCACACAAAAACTTGTGTATGAAGGTTGATAGCAGCATTATTCATAATAGCTCAAAACTGAAAACAACCAAGAGTCCATTGACTGATGAATGAATGTGTAGAATATGGTATATCCATCCAATGGACTGTCGAACAGCCATAAAAATGAACACAGTACTAATACATGCCGCAACATGGATGAACCTTAAAAACACTATGCTAGGTTTTTAGAAAACCAGACAGGAAACCTCGCATATTACATGATTCCAAATATGAAATGACCAGAAAAGGCCAATCTATAGAGACAGAAAGTAGCTTAGTGGCTACCTGGAGATGGGGGTGGAAAGAGGGAGTGACCCCAAATAGGCACAAGACAACTCTTTGGAGGGATTGAAATATTCTAAAACTGATTGTAGTGATGGTTGTCCATTCTGTAAATTTACTAAAAATCACTGAAATGTACTCTTAACATGGGTGAATTTGATGGCATCTCTCTGTGCTTGATTGCTACTGATAGGGTGTAAGCCTGGAGTTGGGGAACATCTCATCACTGCTCGGGAAAAGCCTGTTAGAGAAAGTTGAGCCCAAAGAGGGCAGCAGGATACTCCTGCAGACAAGATTTGGGAACGTGGATCCAGCCAGTCCTGACCTAGTTTTTTAGTTATGTGAGCCAGTGAATTCTTCTTTGTTTTCTTGCCTGTTTTTATCTTAAGCCAGTTTTGGCTTCTTCCACTCGTAACCCAAAGGTTCCTGACAAATACCATAATTCATAATGATTATCTCTGAAGCAGAAACTTTACAGATGGTGTTTGATTTCATCACCACGAAAACCCCGTGTGTCAGGCACAGTGAACTCCATTTGTCAGGTGGGAAACTGAAATGGAACAGGCGAAGCGACTTCCCAAAGCCCCTTGACTAGTTAAGTGCAGAGCCACAATTTGAACCCAGCCGTGTTGGAGCCCACATCCTGTGCTGAGCCCACTGCACGAGGCCGCCTCTCCCAACACAGGGCTTGGCCCAGAGTGGATGAACACCCGGTAACTAGGACTGGCTTTGCTGCCCCAGGACACCCTCAGAGGAGCCAGGAGTGAACCAGATGTGGCTGTGGGTCTGTGTCTCCCTGCGACCTTGCTCCCGCTCCAGGCACTCAGTATTTGTCCTCTCCTGAGTTCATGTGATCCCTCCTGACCAAGAGTGTCCGAGGCCTCTCTTGGTCCCCATAACCCCAGTTCCCCTTCCCCCTAGGCCTCCATCTGGAGCCCAGAGCCTGCTCAGAGGTCTGCCTGATATCACCTGCCAGCCTGGCAGCCAGCCTCTCTGCATGAACAGTGGCCCCCTACCTTGCCCATTCCACTGCCAGGTGCCAGGCCCACCTGGGCATCTCTCTACCCCCTGCCCTGGGCTGATGTTTCCCTCCCCTGCTTTTAAGGCTCAGCCCTGCATATCCTGCTGTTGTGGTTAATTTTATGTGTCAGTTTGAAGGGTGTTTTGGATGAGATTAACATTTAAATCCGTGAACTTTAAGTAAGCAGATCACCCTCCATAATATGGTGGGTCTCATCCAATCAGTTGAAGACCTGAATAGAACAGAAGACAGGCACCCCCGAGCAAGAGGAATCTTCTCCTGTAGCCCGCCTTCAGACCTCCATACCACTGGCTTTCCTGGTCTCTCTGCCTGAAAATCCACACTGCAGATTTTAGCCTCACCAACCTCCATAATTGTGTGAGCCTGTTCCTTAGAATAGACCTCGTTTATATCTATATGCACACATCCTGTTTGCTGTGTCCCTCTGGAGAGCCCTGACTATTACACCTTCCCAGACCAAGATCCCAAAGTCCTTGGGGCTGTTCTGATCATCAGCAGGTGGCCTCCCAAAGCCTGCTCTCTGGGAGCTGGAAACCACATCTTTGCTCAGGTCATTCCCTGTCCCGTCCTGCTACCCTTTCTCCCCTCCTCCCAGATAAGGATCCTTATCAGACTTTGCTCTGGGAAGCCCAACCTATGCTAACTGATAATGGGAATGGCCCTGGGAGGCAGACTCTCAGATGGAATTGTAGAAATGGATCTGCCGTCACCAGCTATAGGAGGTTGTGGTAGTCCCTGATGCAAGATAGCAGTGTAATGGTTCAGACAGTCACCCACAGTGAATGGGGAAGGCACACGGGGGCGGAGGCATGTGCTCTGGCTGGTGCAAGTTCTCCAGCACTAGAAAGTACTGGGAGAAGGCAATTATAGAGAAATTGGCATTGGGGTCCATTGTTAAGTGTCACTGACACATTGAGGACTGAAAATTATAGACTCAGATCTCTTAATCAGCAGTTTGAAGCGAAATGTTCATCAGAGAGCCTACTTGGCAGCAGAAGAGAGACATCCATCTCCTATAGCCACAGACCAGACACAGGACCACAGGGTAGCAGTGCCAGAGCTCCGAAGAAGGGAGAATTATCTGCTTGGCGAGTCTCCTGTGCCAAAGTCAGGGCTCTATAGGAAAAGAATATGACCCTGAAACTTTTTTCAAGTCCATCTGGATGGGTGGACATGAGAGTCCAGATTCCCCTGGACCCTCTAGACCTGCAGAAGTGGCACACTCCCCCCTTGTTGGAAGATAAGAGCCTCCTTGCTAGAAGACTATACAGAGGCCTCAGATTAGGAGGGGGCCTTACAAAATAATGCTTTTTCAACATCTGCCCCGATGTCCCCTTTTCACCACCAGACTCATAACTAGGCTCCAATCTAATCATAAACCAACTGCCAAAGTATCAGGTATTCCCGAGGAAGAGACAGAGTGTATATCCAAGCAGCTGCAGGAGCTGGCCACGTGGACCAGTGGGAACCAGGAAAGCAGGTCGGCAGTGGATCCTGGGGTGTGGGATGAAGGTGGATGAATATGAAGCTGGCCTAGGGGATGCACAGACATGGGGGCTGTCCTGTGACCTGGATTGAGCCCCCCAGGAAGGGCCTGCAGATGGGCTTAGAATGCCGCTGGAATAGCTCTCAGAATCTTGGAAAAAGCCAGGCCCAACATTAAATGAAGTGACAATGCCAGAATCGCTTTGGCCGACTGTGGAGGAAGGGGTCAGGAGGCTCAGAGGCACAGGCATGAGAGAAAAGTTATATTATGCAAACCAGAAAGCTAGTGGGTTCTGTTCCTCAGGGGCCCTGGAAAGTTCTGGTAATAGGGGCACCAGCAACACTGAGAAGCTTAGTGGTGGCTTAGCTCTGTGAGCGAGAGCTGGTGTTAGGAGACTGTTCTAGAACAGTGTTCCCTGGCAGCTGTGGGGAAAGATAAGATCCCAACAGCAGACGGCACTTAACCATCAGAAATGAGCAGCATAATTATCATAATGGGCAGCAAGGTCGGAAGTGTAGCCTCATTAAATCTGAAAACTTTTAAGCTTCAAAAAGCACTGGTAAAAGATTGAAAAAGACAAGCCGCAGACTAGAAGAAAATATCTGCAAATCTTATATCTGACAAAGGACTTATTTCGAGAATCTATACAGAACTCTTAAGCTCAATAAAAAGAAAATAATCCAATTTTTTTAATGAGCAAGAGACTTAAATACATGTGGGTGACAAATAAGTACATGAAAAGGCACTCGACATCTTTAGTTATTAGAAAAACATGAATGAAAACCACAGTGAGATACTACCACATGCCTATTAGAATGGTTAAAATTTAAAAAAAAACTGACATTATCAAATGATGGGAGGATAAGGAGCAACGGCAACCCCTCTGCATTGCAGGTGGAAGTGGAAAATGGCAAGAGCCCTTTGCAAAACAGTTTGCAAGTTAAACATGCAACCAAGCATATGACCAGCCCATTCCACAACTAGATATTTTCCCAAGAAAAGTGAATATAAAAGTTTGTGCAAAGACTTGCACACAAATTTTCGTAGCAGCTTTGTTTGCAATATCAGAAAACTGAAAACAACCTCAATGTCCATGACCAGGGGAATGGATTCACAAATGACAGTATAGCCATACAATCGATTACTACTTGGCAATAAAAAGGAGCAAACTTTGATACATGCAACAGCTGGGTAAAACTGAAGGTAATTAGGCTGAGTGGGAAACAAACAGGCAAAAGTACATGCCTTATAATTGAGTTATATAAAATTCTAAAAAATGCAAACTAATCTATAGTGACAGAAAGCAGACCAGTGATTGCCTGGAGAAAAAGGGGAAGAAGAAAGTGTGGAAAAAGAGGAAAGGTAGTGTGGCACATTCAGGCAGGTAGCTGCCGACTTGTGGTCCACTGGGACTGTGAGCTCTCTCTTGTGCTAAGCAAAGCACTAGCCTGTCTCAATGTCTTCTCAGACTGTCCTCTCCTGGAGCTAATGTCGGAGGAACCAGGCAGGATTTGCTGATGGCAGGGATAAAAAGACCCTTCCCCCACCCAGGCAGGTCTCTGGGAAAGTTATTCCAGCTGCCAACCCAGGCCATCCTGGGTAATGAATGGCCTCTCTTCAATGTCAGCTGGAAGATGGGTCCCTCTTTAATGTGCTGCAGTGTCATTAAGAGAGAAAACATTAACTCCATGGGGCTCCTGATGGCCTTCAGAAACTGCAAGTTAAACACTAACCAGGAAGGGCTGCTCAAGCCTTAACCCTCCCCTTCCCAGCACAGGCCAAGGCATCAGCCAGATGGCTCTGCAGATCACTGACCTGGGCCCCCAGGGACCCTGGCTCCTGTTTCCAGGCTCTTCTCAGACTGGTGAGCAAGAACATATGAGGAAAGAGGGATGACAGAGGGCAGAGAAGAATCCTTGAGGCTCTCAGTTCAGGTGTTTGTAGACAGGGGCCCCATCCACTCCAGGGCTGGTTACAGAGCAGAGCACTTAGAGGCCGGGTTGGGGCTGGTGACTTTGGGCCACTCCCTTGACCTCTCTGTTTGCCAGGTTCCTGCTGGGTGGGGGCTGGATGGGCTCCATCCCTCCAGGTAGAACACAGTGGTCTTCTCCAAGATGGGTGGCATGTCCTCAAACCCCCAGGTCCCTGCACCAAAGCCCACTCCCTGCTCAGACCACACGTGACCAGGTGGGGAGGCCACATGTGGGGCAGAGGGGAGCAGCTGACCTGGATGAGCTGGCAGAGGGGCAGGAAACCCGGGCACAGAGCGTCCCTGGGTGCCTGGCACTGTGCTGGGGCTGTACACACACAAAATGCCTGTGCCAGCCTCATGACCACCCTGTGAGGAGGGGGTGCCATTCCCCCCATTTCATAGCTGACAACATGGGTCCTCTGAGTTCAGAGGGACCTGCCCAGGTTGAACCCAAATCTGCCCCATTCCAAACCCAAACTCTTCCCCATCAGCCTTTGGTAGGGAGTATGAAAGAGGGTGTGGCCTCACCTTGGCCCCTCTCCCTTTTGCACATGCTGTCTCCCCTCCTTGCCTGTCTTCCCCTCTTCTATCCAATTCTTGCCCAGCCTAAGGCAAGCCTCCCTGATGTCTGAGAGCCAAACCCCAAGGGTGCTATCCAGTGAGGACTCTGGTTGTTCAATTTCCCAACATGGCTTTAGACTGTGCTGCCGTGAGTGCAGACGCAAGCATGAGCTCGTTTCATTCTCTCACCAGGTTCATAGGTATTTGCTTGGCGTTGACTTGAAGCCAGGTGCCATGGGTCTGCAGAGAGGATGGGAATAAATATGCACTGAGTCCTTGCGGATGCCCCTCCCGTGCCCAGGGGAGCCCACGTGTCCTCCCAGGCAGGCTTCTTGCCCCATTTAGCAGACGAGGAAACTGAGGCTCAGAGAGGGAGAGGAAGCTGCTCAGGGTGAACCAGTGGCGGCGATTCAACACCAGGCCAGTCCCAAAATCCACACCTGCCCTTCCCCACATTCCCAGCCCTGGTACCCTTTAAGCTCCCTCTGCTGGGGCAGGACTGGCCCTTTGCTCTGGAGCCTCTTGTTGCCCAGTGGGGGCTCAGCAGCCACAGCCATGCAAGGAGGGACGGAACTGGCAGGGCCTTATGTCACCCCTTGGGAGGATAGACTGAGGCACCCAGGGTGCAAAGTTCTGAGGGGATGCTCACCCACAGGGCCGGGCAGGTGCCGACTCTGCTTAGTGGAAGCTCTCAGCCCTCTATTTACCCTCCAGTCTGTGGCTCCACATGGGGAGTCCAGGCCCCTTGGCTGTATACTTGCCTGTCCCCTTTCTCCAAATTATCCCCTGGGCCTGTCTGTAGCCACAGGATGTGGATTAACCTGTCTTTAGGCTTCTGGCTCCAGACGCTCTGTCTCCTGCCTTCCTGGGCTGGTCCCTCGCCAGCTCTGTCCTCAGAGAAATATGGATGGACCAGATGGTGGCAGCTGGTTCTGGGCCATGGGAGGGTGCAGGCCCGGCCCTGGGGCTGGCGCTGGTTGATAAATCCCATCTCTTTGAGCTGGTGGTGGCTTTTCCTGCAGATGAGTCTCAGCACAAAGTAGGGTGTGCAAGTGTGTCTGTGTACTTGCGGGAACAAGGAGTCCCTTTGTTTTCCCAGACGTGGATTTTATCTCTGTGTCCATCCTGGGGCTGCTAGAGTGAGTGTCCACTTTGCTGATAGAGGCTAATAATAAGTGTCACCGTGTGACCCCATTTGGGCTACCCCGGATCAACTTCAAGTTGAAAGAGAAAGTGAAAAGCAGAGAAGAGAAAGAGAAAAGGAGGAAAAGTTAATCCTAAGATGCCATAATCAGAAAGTCCTCCAAAAAACTGAGTCTAAATCTCTTTTATAGATGGGGAAACTGAGGCTCTGAGAAGCTCTCAGCAGGGTCACACAGGGTGAGGATTCAATGAATAGTTGCAGAGCACAGAGAGGGCTGGAAGGAGGAGATGATGACAGTGTATGTAAAGTGCCCAGCACTGGGGCCGAAGCCCAGAGTCCAGGCCTTGGTGATGAACCCCATGGAGTAAAACCGCTATAGGTCAGGACCAATCCAGGGCTCGGGCAGTGAGCCTGGGAGCAGGGCCAAGTGGCCTCAGCCATGAGGGGTGGGGTCAGCCCTCTGAGGTTGTATGGGGCAATGTCTGGCAGGGCTCTGACGGTGACCTACTTCCATAGACATAGACCACAGATGTCCAGGATGAGTCAGGGCAGAGGGCCAGGTGCCTCCCTGGGTCTCTCTGAACTCCTTGGCCAGCAACTCTACAATGTTCTTCCAAGCACCCTGGTATTTTGGCAATTCTGGTTTCCTGGAATCATTTCCCCAACCCTATTTATGGTGAAAGGGACTCTGTGATTCAGGTCACAGACAGGGTCTGCAGTTAGAAAGGGACCTGAGGGAGGTTTTGTCCAGGAGAGACCCACACCCTGACGCCAGTTCTCTAGGCCTCCCTGGGTCCCAGCCCCACTGCCGTGACCCTGGGGAGGATGCAACCATTGATCCCATGCTCTCCTAGGTGGGAAGTGGGGGGGATGCTCTCCTGCCAATCATGTGATGATTAAGAGTTTGGGTTTCTGAAGCAGACAAACCTGAGTTCAACTGGCTTGTGGTGTGACCCTGGGCAAGTCCCTCTGCCACTCGGAGGACAGAGGTCTCATCTGGGCAGGCCCCACTCTGGGCTCTGCAACACTGGGGCTGTCTCGGAGACCATTCATATATTCAGAGAAAAGAAATCACTCTCCATTTTATTAACCTAATTAGAAGTAATCAAGTCGTGGAGATCTGTGCAGAAAGCTGAGTGATTAGGAAAAATTATCTCCTGTGAAGAGTTTAAATTTAAATGTGTTTGGTTCCATCATTGAAAAAACAAATAGAGAAGAGTTGGCTTTCTGTCCCCACCCCTGTGGCCCAGAGTTTCAAGAGGTGGGGGCAGCAGCTCAGAGAGAGCGTCCAACCACAAGCAGGACTGGCAGGGGGTACAGCAGACCTGCCGAGACAGGGGCCTACATGCTCTGGAAGGAAAGCACTCTCTCGAGACCACCACCCTCACCCTCAGGGATAGCCACGGCCTCAGCCTCAGACCTCTGGCACACACACAAAGTCACACTCATGCACACCCACACCCTGAAACAAATGTGCACGTCTGTCCTTGGGCTCAAAGTATTCTTATATCCTGAACAACAGACTCTCCCCCAAGAGACCCAGAATTCTCAGGAGCCCAAGACGTGTGTGTGTATGCGTGTGCATGCGCATGTGGGTGTGGGTTGGGGAGGAGTTGCAGTGACTTCCCTGCTTGCTGTCTCTGTCGATTTGGCTCAAGTGGAATGGAGTGGGTAGGTGGGACCATCATTGTCAGAAGTCTGGAGAAGCAGACAGAGGGATGCAACTGCGGTAGGGCCATACTGCACCCAAAGGGGTGAAGTCACTCTCAGGTGAGTCCTTGAGCATGCACAGTGTCTTTAAGGGTCCCTGAAATCTCACTCTTTCCTTCTCCTTCACTGAGAAGTAAGCCCTTGGGCTATTTCAGAACATAGCACCTGTTTGCAGAGGGCAGGTCCCAGTCCAGACCATCCATTCCCTGGGGCTGGGTGGAGTCTAGAGACAGTTACTTTCAGCCCTGCTGAGTCAGGCATAATGGCCCTTCAATCCACACCCTTTCTTAGCTTATCCCCCAACCTGTGTGGGGCCCTTTCTTAAGGCCAAGACAACTGGGAGGGGGAGGAGTGCATGGCAGAGTGGGAAAGGATGGGAGGAGGTGGGTAGGGAGGCCACATTCTTCAGAGGAGCTGGGAGATCATAGGGATCTTCTCTTCTCCCACACCTGCCTTTGTATTTGAAGAGGAATAAATAGGGCACAGTACTCAGACCATAAAATCCAGAAGCCAGAATCCAAAATGATATATGCCAGAATCCAGAATGTATAATCCTGGGCCCCAGAGCTATAGATAATAAAACCTAGAACTACAGAATCTAGAGGTACAGACCTCAGAATCACAAAATTCCAAACCCAGAAATGCAAAACCCAGAGTCACCGAATTCAGAAACAGGGAATCTAGAACAGAGAATAAGACACTGAACCCATAATTACAGAGCCCAGAGCTCAGAATCATGTGCCCTAGGACACTAGAACCCAGGACGTTTGTGCTGTCTGAAATGTCCTCCCTCTCCTATGATAAAGCCTCCAGAGCGTTTGAGTGGCATGCTATTTCCCACAGGAAGCTCCTGACACCCTCAGATCTTGTAGGGCCCTCCCTTCTCTGCTCAGGTCTCCCCTAGATTCTGTGGTGCTGTTCCTGCCTGTTCCCTCCTTCCACACAGGTCTGACTCCCCTCTGTGCCACATCCTGTCCCTGAATTGGACCTGACCCAGTTCCCTGCTCATGGTGGGCACTCAAGTCATGTTTGTGGAATGGCTTTTGAATCATCTGCCCTGAACCCCATCATGTTCCCAAAGGAGTGCCTGAAGCCCAAGGAAACAGCACATTTTTCCCATGGCCACACAGTATATTTGAGAAGTTCCAAACAAGATTTCAATTCTCCTTCTGCCAAGCCTAGGGCTGCTTCCCTGCCCCAGAATGTCTCTGAAGGACTCCAGTGTTAACATGGAATGCCACCATATCTTCTTGCCATTGTTGTTAGTTTCACCCTTAAAAGCTTCAAAAGTTTAGGAGAAACTGCTCAGTCTGGGAGTAATGGTGATGATGATAAGGATGACGGTAGGCTTCCTGGAAGAAGTGACATCTGAGCTCATTGGGCATGTGGGAATCTATTCCAGTTAGAGATAGGCAAAGAGGTAGGAGATACATCCTATGATCGGTGACTACAAGTGGAAGATAGCCATGGAGAAAAAAAGGTAATGTTAGAGGAGAACTTGCAGTATTTTGTATGCCATCCTAGGATGTTTAGTTCTTACCTAATGTATGTATTATGTCCCTGGATTGCCTATAGCTCCTTGAGGACAGGAACTATGGTTTTCTCCAAAAACCCAAGGATAAACACAGATTTGATTGGGAGAAAAAGCAAAGGGAGATGGGACCTGGCAACAGTATTGCTTGTCCAAGGCTATACTTGTGAGTGAATGTTAAATCAGACCAAGGGGGTGTTGTCAACAGTGTCCTGAACCTCTGAGCAAGGAGTGGGGCGAGAGAGGAAGAAGGTGAGTGGAGGTCAGGAGAGTGGCCAGAAGCCACAGGTTTCTGTGGTGACTAGAGCAGGGGTCCCCAACCCCCAGGCCATTGACTGGTACTGGTCCGTGACCTGTTTGGAACTGGTCTGCACAGCAGGAGGTGAGCAACAGGGTGAATGAAGCTTCATCGGTATTTACAGCTGCTCCCCATTGCTCACATTACCACCAGATCTCCACCTCTTGTCAGATCAGCAATGGCATTAGATTCTCATAGAAGCATTAACCTTATTGTGAACTGCACATGCAAGGGGTCTAGGTTGCATGCTCCTTATGAGAATCTAATGCCTGATGATCTGTCCCTGTCCCCCATCACCCCCAGATGGAACTGTCTAGTTGCAGGAAAACAAGCTCAGGGTTCCCACTGATTCTACATTATGGGGAGTTGTATAATTATTTCATTGTATATTATAATGTAATAATAATAGAAATAAAGTGCACAATAAATGTACTGCATTTGAATTATCCCAAAACCATCCCCTACCGCCACCCCACCCCAACCCCACTGCCACCCACCTACCCATCTGTGGAAAAAATTGTCCTCCACAAAACCAGTCCCTGGTGCCAAAGAGATTAGGGACCACTGGGCTAGAGGATCCATATGGGTTTAGCACCATGGACAGCTACCAGAGCTGCTAGATGGCTTTTCTCTTCAGACTCCTGGGATCACTCGGTTCCCTGTCTTCTAAATGGAATTATCTGGATGATAAAGGAAATTTGCTCTTGCAATCATACATTGTGACCAGGAACGAGAAAACTGACTCTGGAACGAGATGATCTGAATTCAAATCCTTGTTCCACTGCTTACTATTTAATAGTTATATAGTCTTGGACAAGTTTCTTAACCTCTCTATGCTGTGGCTGAGTCTTATCTGTCAAATGACTCCTTCATGGCAGTCTTTGTTCATTATGTATTTCCTCAGTCATTGTTATTGAATAATAGCTGTTTTAGTAGTGATATAATAATATATATTTAGCACTTATTGTAGACTGAGCATTGTTGTCCCAATAATTGTCCCAATTATTGACTTAGATTATCTCATTCAATCTCACAACAATTCTGGTGGGGTCAGATAGTTATTGCTATTATTCTCCTTTTATGGATAAGGAAATTGAGGTTCAAGAATAACGTGCCAAGACCAAGACACTGAACATTAGACAATGAAGGACAGTGATCCCTGAAAGATGGGACACAAAAAGGTGAGACAAGATCCCCCAGCTTATTGTCTTGAGAGAATTTCCAGGCCATGGTGTAGGGAGAAAAAATACAGGAAGCGATGAGTTAAAGAGACAAGGCTGAGAAACTAGGAAGAACAAGACATTTAGAATTCATAAGACAAAGTACCATGAGGAGAGATATAAAAATAGAGAGAAACTGGGCCAGGTGTGGTGGCTTACTCTGGGAGGCTGAAGAGGGAGAATTGCTTGAGCCCAGGAGATTGAGTCTGCAGTGAGCCATGATCGTGCCACTGTGCTCCAGCCTGGGCAACTGAGCAAGACCCTGTCTCAAAAAAAAAAATAGAAAACTGAATGTACACAGAGGGTCTTTCTCAAGAATCCTGCCAAGTACTGACAAGTGCATGCATTTGAGGAAACCATTAAACTCTGGAGAAAGAACCACTCAAAAGAATTGAAGGTAACAGTACCCAGAACTCACACAGGGTTGGACATAGTGCCTGTTCCCCATTAGCCAGGCCAGAAAATCTCATGGTTCACATGAAATTGAATAAAGTACACAGAAGGGTCTTGCCTAGAGAGTGGAAAGCAAATAGCCCTAGATTAAGCATTATCTTATTTCTGCCTAACAACTCTTAAAAGCAAGACCTGAAAGGATCAAATTGCTAACAAGTAAGTTAACTGCACCCAAGAATATAGCTCAAGAAATTTTATGGAAATACAAAAACATCCAGCATCCAACAAGGTAGAATTCACAATGCCTAACATTCAATCAAAAATTAGCAGGTACACAAAGAAAATGTAACCCATAATAAGGAGATGAATGAATCCATCAAAACCAACTCAGAACTGATACAGATAAATAAAATTAGCAGACAAAGACTTCAAAGCTTATTATAATTGTATTCCATATATTTAAAAAGTTGAGACATAGAAGCTATAAGCAAAATCAAATAGAACACTAGTAAGTGAAAACTACAATGTATGAGATAAACATACACTAGAGGAAGTTGACAGCACTTTAGTAATTTCAAAAGAAAAGATTAATGAACTTGACACCATAATAATAGAAACTATTCAAACTGAAACAGAGAGAAAAAAATGAATTTTTTAAATGAACAGAGCAGCAGCAAATTATGGGACAAATTCAAACTGTATAATTGGAGTCTCTGAAGGAGGCAGGGAAGAAAAAACATTTGAAAAACTAATGGCAGAAAAATTTCCAAATTTGAAGAAAACTGTAATCCCAGAGATCAAAGGAGCTCAACAAAGCCCAAGCACATAAGAAAAACTACAACTTTTTTGTAGAAATTGACAAATTGATTCTAAAATTCATATGGAAACACAAAGAACC
Organism: Homo sapiens; assembly: GCF_000001405.40. NCBI lineage: Eukaryota > Metazoa > Chordata > Mammalia > Primates > Hominidae > Homo > Homo sapiens. Next base: position 29,464,056 of record NC_000001.11, on the reverse strand, counting down.
TATAACAGCCAAAAAAAACCCTTAAAGAGGACTATTTCAAGACATTATAAAACTATGGTAATTAAGACAGTGTGGTGTTGGCATAAAAAGAAACAAATCTCTCAGTGGAACAGAATAAAGTGTCCAGAAATAGTTCCTCACATATATGAATAATTGATTTTTGACAAAGGAGCAAAAGCAATTCAGTGGAGAATAGTCTTTTTATCAAGTGGTGCTGGAACATCAGAATATCCATCCGTAAAAAAATGAACTTCAATCCCTACCTCATGCCATACATAAAAATTAACTCAAAATGGCTCATGGATCTAAATGAAAACCTAAAACTATGAAACTTTTATAAGAAAACAAAGGAAAAACTTTTGTGATCTTGAATTAGGCAAATATTTTTAGATGCCATATCTAAAGAAAAATTCATTAAAAACTAATTGATAAATTAGATTTCATCAGAATTAAAAACTTCTGCTCTTCAAAAGACACCGATAAGAAAATAAAAAGACAAGCTACTGTGTGTGTGGTGGGCAGGGGGTAGGGGCTGTGGCTGGAGTGGGAGGAGGGCAGGGCAGACCTCAGAGGAAACCATGGAGGTCTTTAACAGGCCACAGAGATACAAAGGCAGTCTGCAGAGGTCTACAGGGGTCAGTATGAGTAAAGGCTGGACAAGAACCATTGTCAAAACAGCAGTTAAAAAAAAAACTAACATCTGGCTAGTTTTGTGCCTGGCTCTGTTCTAAGCATTTTATAAGTATTATGCCATTTAATCTTCACAATGACCCTATGAGGGAAGCACTATTATTACCCCCATTTTATAGATAAGCAAACCAAGGCACAGAACGGTTAGGTTGCTTCCTCAGGTCACAATGCTGGTACAGGCTAGGCAGAGACTAAATCCAGCAGCCAGCTCTCAAATCCACACTTTGCCTAACTTTACCCCTCATGGAGCTGCAATATGTTTCCACATGATCACAGCGATCCTCTGTGGAAGACCTAATATGTGTCACACACTGTACAAGGGCTTTCCTCACATTACTTATCTCAGAAAATAGCCAAGTGAAGGAGAGATCACCACTCCCACTTTACAGGTAAGAGCACTCAGGCTCAGGAGACAGAGAGGCTACCGGGATTTGCCAGGACCAGCCAAGGTCTCTGATGTCCCCACTGGGTTCTGGGAGATCTGACTCGAGTCCCCCTCCTCTCGACATGCACCCTACAGGATGCAATAGCAACTCTGAGAATGGACGAGGTTGTCTTGGGGTCCCAACCTGAGAGGCCCAGGTAGCCTGGAGTTCCCTTCAGAGGGAGGGGAGCTGCCTCCTACCCACTACTCACAAGGATCCAACCCCAGCCCTTGCCCCTGCCCAGTAAGACCCTGGGTCACCTGCCCTAATGAGACCAGGCTCCCTCATTCCTTATTAGAAATCAGATAGGCTCAAGAATTTTGCTGATCCCTTAGATCATAATAGAAATTCAGGCCCCAGAGTCCCTTTACTCTGCCAAGAGCCCTTTCCAAACTCATCAGGAGGGAAGTAGCTGCCCCTTTAACTATCCCTGGACATATGAAGCACCCGTTCCTGGTGTCCTGGCATGCAGTGGCCAGGCCAGTCCTGCTCATGGGCCCCCAGTGCTCTCTCTCCTGAATTGCAGTGAAGACGGAACCTGAGACGGGCAGGCTTCTGCTCTCCCTGAGGACAGACAGACGTATGCAGGCAGGGGGCTTGGAGGAAAGCCTAGGGCAAGGAGTTGGGGGGGGACCTGGAAGAAGTGGCCAGGGCAGGGAAAGGGAGACCTCAGATGAGCTGGGGGAGAACTCAACTTTCCTGAGCCCCTACTATGTGTCAAGCTCCCAGGGTCACACAAGCCTGGCCGTGGTGGGGCAGGAATCAGTCCTAGGCCTCCAGTGACACTTAAGTTTAACCTCTTCATCCCGACCACACCGTCTAGGTTTGCTCTTTACTGCATGTGAATCCCCATGGCTCCTTCCACCTTGGTTGTACCCTCACCCTCACCCCAGCACCCACAAAGCCACCATGCAGCTCCCTGGGAAACAGAAGCCTCAGTAAATCCCAGCTTCAAGGAGGAGGGCCTGGTTGATCCCTCCTGAGAGACAGACATTTCCTGGCAGAGTAAATCACCTCGGCCTCTCAGCTGCAGGTGCAGCCAGCCACCCTCCTTCCCCTGAAAGTTTGTAAATCAAACCTTACACCTTGACTCAGAATCTGCTGGGGAATAAATAAGGCCGGAAGCAGGGGGGACATGCAGGGAGAAGAGCAGCTCCCCAAGCCAGGCCCTGGAGGGCTTCTGGGATGGAGGTGAGGGGCACAGGGTGGCCACTGAAAGCCCACTGCTCCCACCTGCCGCTCCAGAGGATTGGGCCAGAGGCTTCCTGGGGTCCCTGCCAGCCCCAGCATTCTGTGTCTCCCTGACCCAGTGTCTGGGAACAGCTGGGGAAAAGGGGCTAGGCTCAGGGGTGGAGGCTGGAGAGGGGGCTTGGAGTCTCCAGCAGCTCTGAACTAAGCCCTGGCTGCGGCGTTTGGTGGAGCAGAGGGGGCTGGTGGTAGCAGAGGACAGGACAGTGTCGGGGAGCCCAGCACAGGCCCCGGGCCAGGGCAGCCAGAAGGAAGCCAGAGGGGCAGAACTCAGCACCCTGGGCTGCGAGTCAGGGCCTGGTCAGTTCTGGGTCTGCTGCAGACTTGCTGTGTGACCTTGAGCAAGACACTTGGTCTCGCTGGGCCTCAGCTGCCTCATCAGCAAAGCAGAGATGATTATTCCTGCCCTTGATGCAGAGCTGTTGGGAGGACCTACTGAGGTCAGGGAGGGAAGAGCCAGATGGGAAGAGGAGCCAGGAGCACAGGGATGGGACTTGGCTGCTGACCTGCTCAGGGCCTGGCCCTGCTCCACCCTCCTCTGCCCCCAGCCTCCTGGTGACTGGCCAGGCCCTGGTGTCCCTGCCCCTGAAAGCTCAGTTTATGGGCAGAGGTGAGGCCTTTATGCAAATGAGGCTGCCCCCCATCTCTTCTCCCCCTTTTCCCCAAGGCCACCATCACTGGGGCCTCCCAGATGGCTTGAGTTTCCCAGGTGGGGGCTGAGTCTTGTAAAGCATTTGACTTCTCATCTGCAGGCACAGCAGCTCAGCTGTCTCTCCCAGGATCCATGCTGCTCCCCAGCCCTGTCTTGGACCTTGTCCCCCTTGGAAGAGCAGCCCTCAGCTTCCTCTTTCTGACCAGTTATGTGACTTCAGGTGGGTCCCTTCACCTCTGAGCCTCAGTCTCCTGCATTAGATGGGGATAAGACAGCCTACCTCCTGGATTTGTCCTGTTTATTTACACATTCTTGGAATCCTCCAACAAATATTGAATATTTCCAGGGAGGCTGCTGTGTGCCAGGCCCTGGTCTGGGCACTGGGAACAGGTGTGGAGGTGGGCAGTGGAGACAGGGCCCTGCTTTCATGGGGCTCCCTTGGGCTGGGTGTCAGGTGGCTACAGCAGGGAGCTTGGCTTTGTCGGTGGCCAAGAGCTATACCAGGGCAGAGTGGGTGGGTGACACACCCAAGGTCACACAGTGGTTCAGTGCAGAGCCCAAGCCAGGCTGTCCCCAGAGCAGACACTGCCCACAGCCTGGGAGAGGACCCACAGCCCAGTGAGGTCACCCCCTCCCACAGGGACATGGGGCACCCACACTCAGCACGAGCTCATGGGTGAGGCTGAGCCCACCTGGTTCCTCTTGTCTCCTCAGGCCAAGCCAAGGGCTCTTGGGCCGTATGAGTGAGGGTCACCTGGTCATACACCCTCAGCCTCCCCTTCCTGAACTCTGTCCTCTAGCATTAAAATGCCCAGCAGACTTACCTTGGGACCTGGGAGTAGTTGGAGCTGATCTTGTTATCAGAACCCTCTGGCCACTCACCAGCCACAGCTGGCTGTGCAGGCAGCACCTTCCTCCCCACAGGTGACAACAGGATTTTTAATTATTATAATTATCCCTTGAAACGTTGCTTTACTGCCACTAATAAATAAAATGAGATTTGACTCCCTTCACCTCTCTCTCTCTTCAGCTTTAAATCTGAGGGTGAGTTTTAAGACATGTGAGAAAGAAGAGTTGGTAAGATGAGGCCCTGAGGGGGACTTTATACAGGGAGGAGTCTGAGTTAGTGGGTGTGAATGGGGACGCAGAGACACATCTGGGGGTGGGATCCCTCATGCGTGCATAATGTGCGTACTGTGCCCCCCAAGAGCGTGTGTCTGTGGGGCGGGTGCTTGTGTGTGCAGTGACTGGGGGTGGCAGGGGGCAGGCAGCACCTTGGCTGGGAGGTGGAGTCAGTGACAGATGATAGTGTGATGGGGAGGGTACTCAGGGGGTGGTGACAGGGTGAAGGTAACAGCCAGGGCCCCAGGGGCAGCCAAGCCAATGTGCCTACTTCCCGGCTGTTCATTTCTCCTCTCTAAGCCTTTTTCCTCATCTCCTCCTGGCTATAGTGACTGTCCCTCCAGCATAGGACTGTTGTGAGAATTAAATGAGACGGGACAGTGCACCCATGTGAGTGCCCAAGTAGGGATGGTTGTTAATATATTTGGCAATGTGGTGACCACACAGGTGACAGGGCATGACCATGAGTGACAGAGTCGGGTCCTGGGGTCCAGGCAGCAGAGCCCAGGCATTAGGTTTGTCTTGGCCAGGAACCCAGCTGTCCTCTGAAGGGACATCATCCTCCCAAGAGGTGGTCTGTGGGCTGTGGTCGGCCCAGCCTCTTCTCCCACTCTCAGCGGCCCCCAGGGAGAGTTTTAGACCCCACGGAGGGGACCATCAGGCCCCAGTGCCAGAGTCACATCTTCAGGAGCCTCAGCCTCAAGGGGGACAGGAAAGCACAGTAGTTACTGAGCACCTACTGTGTGCCAGGCACCTGTGCCTGTCCCTGCTCCCATCCGCCCAACATGCTGCTACTGCCCCACTTTGCAAAAGAGGAAACTGTGGCTCAGAGCAACTAAGTGACTGATTCATAGTTATATGCTGCTGAGTGGCAGGGCCAGGACATGGACCTGGGTCTGTCAGAGAACAGAGCCTGCTCCCTTCCCAGGGTCCCTCTGCTGATCACTCAGGGCCCTGGGGGGAGCCCTGGAGCCCCGCTCTCCCTCTAAAGGGCAGGGCAGTGGAGAAAGTGCGATTGGAGCAGGCAGCACCTCCCCCATCCAGAGAGCAGATTTCATTGTGGGGCTTTCCAGTGTGATCTTGGTGGGTCACTACCCCCTTAGTCTCAGTGTCCTCACCTGTCATGTGAGTACAGTTGTCCCCATCCTGGGGGCCAACTGGGGTCCACACAGAGACCAGTGCAGTGGTTAAGCACAGGGCACTGAATCCCAATGGCCTGGGCTCAGATCCTGTCTTCAGCACCTTCCGGCTGCATCACCTCGAGTGAATTATTTAACCACGCAATTTTCTCATCCCGAAAGCGAGAGAATCATAGTAAAATACTAGGTGTCTCGTACAGACGTCACAAAGATTAGATAAGTTAGGAGACTTAGAGAAGTTACCGCAGGACCTGGTGCTAGGTTACATTCAATGAATGAGAGCTGCTTTATTATGATGATGAGTAGTTACAAATTTTGAGTATAATAATAACTGACACATGGCAATTTGAAAAATAAGAAAGATACGTTGTTGAGTGTTTCATTCAGGAAAGCTCGGTGAATGTCACTGTCCCCATCACTCCCGCTTGGCCTTGGTGCTGCCCACTAAGTAACCTCCTTTCACAGCCCCCATCCAGCCCCAGTGCTCAGACTCTGCCCATCTCCTCTCAAAACCCCACTCAGAATCATGGAAATATGGAGCAGCTTTCAGTCTAACGTGCAGTCCAGCCCTGGCACTGATCACATCCCACCTCCCTAAGGGTTTTGCTCACAGGCTGTTGGGTCCCTGCTGCCTGTGTCTGCAGCATCGCTGAGCCCGCCAGCCCAGCAGCTGTGCAGCTTCTTGCCCTGGGCCCGTCGCAGTACCCAGTCAGGAGAGGGGTAGCAAGAGAGGGAGAATGGGAGGGGAAGGAGGTGGGACAGGCCAGGCCATGCTGGGAATGAGGTAGCAGCTTGGCTCCAAGAAACCCAGGATGTTTGCCTCAGAATGAAGCATTTAGATTAATGAATTTAGCCCTCGGTCTCCTCTCCATTTTTCAGATTGGGAAACTGAGGCTCTGAGGGCAAGAAACGTCCCCAAGGTTATACTATAAATCAGTGGCAAAGCAGGGACTAGTACTCAGGCCACCTGTCTCTCAAGCCAGGACTCTTTAAACCACTCTGATAAGAGGATTAAAAGACTTGTTTAAGGCAGAACACACTGATCAGTTTGCTGCTGTGTGGAAGACAGGGCTGAGAAGGGAGGCCCCTAATTCCAGGGTGAGGAGGTTGGAATTTATTCTATGGGCAAGAGGGAGCCATGGATGGTTCTTGAGCAGGATAGTGACAGGATCAGAGCTTGCTTTAAAGAGCTGTATCTGGAAGCAGCATGGGGGCATAACTGGAGATGATGAGGCTGGAGACAAGGCAACTGGTGAGGAGGCTGGGACATTGATCCAGGGAGGCAGTGATGAGACATGACCATAATCATCATGTAATACCAGTGACCTTACATTGAACATGGGCTCATGTGCTTCATCTTATTTAATCTTCAAAACTGTCCTATTAATAGTCTCTTTTTTATCAGGAAACTGAAGTTCAGAGAGATGAAGTTACTCACTGAGAGTCATACCTCTATTAAGTGGCAGACTTCAGGTTTGAACCAAGCACTGCCTGCTCCACACAGGACTGACAGGTCTGGGACTCCAGCAGTAAGGGTGGGGAGGAGGGATACTTCTCCAGAGATCTGAGAGGACAAACTGACAGGGGAGGGAGGTGACACAGTTGAATGAGAGTGGCAGAATCAGCCTGGGGAGTTTGAGCTTTGGACCGGAGATTGGGATGGAGCCTAGACTTGGGAAGAAGAAAGTGAGCCCATTGCATAGATGTGTAATATGAGGTGGTGAAAGCAATGAGCGTTTCTCTCCCTACTCTCACTCTCAGGCTCTCCTAATCTGGAAAAAAAAGAAATGGTTTTGATCAATCACTAATAACTCCCACAATTATGTAGAAGTGTGAGGTTTGTATCAGTCAGCTTGGACTAGATTGTGCTGTGGTAACAAACATCCCCCACATCTCAGTGGCTTAAATCCACAAAGGCTTCTTCCTCATTCGTGCTACCTGTGCTTATTGGTTGGCTGGGGCCTCCGACCCCCCTTATCCTCTCCCCAGGACAGGCTGATAGGTCAGAACAGGGCCTGCCAGTCATTCAGGCCTAGATGAAAACAGGAGCAAGGGGAATCATGCCTCTTAAGCTCCCATCTGTACATGCTGCTTCCACTCACATTTCATTAAGCAAGTCACATGACCTTATTCAAGTTCAAGTTGGCAGAAAAGTGCAATCCCACCATGTGGCTGGGAGAAGAGGAAAATTTGGTGCATCAACAGCATGGGGTGTATCCTCAGTTGTCCATTCAGGAGGCAGCTCAAACTTAGCAAATTCAAAAGAGAACTTCTTCTCCCTCAAACCTACCTGCCTCAAGCCTTCTCTGTCCCTGCAGATGGCACCTTCACTCACCCAGTTAGTCAAACTGGGAACCTCAGAGTCATCCTCGACTCTCCCCTTTTCCCACCACCCACATCAAATCCATTATTCAGTCCTGTTGATTCAGCCTCCATGATGTATCTGAGTTCCATGGGCTTCTTCTACCTTTGGTTCAGGCTGTTCCTGCCCTGGTCCAGGCTGCCCCAGCTCTCACCTGGACACCTGCAGCAGCTCCAGCCAGGTCCCCTGTTCCTTCTTGCCCCTCCACACTCCATTATCCACAATGTGAGCGTGATGTTTTGAAAATTCACAACTGTGTCACTCTCTCCTGCTTAAAACCCTCCAGGGACTTCAGCTGCTCCCAGAACAAACTTCAGAGTCCTCGTGATGGCCATGGCATTGTGCCTGAGCCATCGACCATCTCCAGCTGGCCCTTACAGCCCCATCTCCTCCCACAGCCCTCATGCACTGCCGCTTGGCCACCCTGACCTTCACAACACTGCTAGATGGTGCCACTGCTATGTCTTCGTATTCTGGCCCTGATCTCAGGATACCCTTCCCTCAGCTCCAGGCAAGGCGGCACCTGCTCATGCACAGACCTAAGCCTAAAGTCACCTCCTCCTAGAAGCCTTCCCAAAAGGACCTCTGCTCCAGCCACTCTTTTCCACAACATCCTGCTTTATTTCCTTCATGGCACTCAACACATTCTGAAATGATCTTGTTCATTCATTCATTGGTGTGTTTATTATCAGTCTCCGCCCTACAAGCATGCAAGCTCCGTAGGGGCAGGACCTCGTCCATTTTGTGCCCTGCTGCATCTCCAGTGCCTTGCATGGTGCCAAGCACAAAGTAGGGAGCTGAGAGACACTTGTTGAATGAATGAATGAATGAATGAGGTGGGCAGGACCCCAGACCTCCTCCCTCCAGTGCTGGGCTCTCCCAGTTCCACAGTCATTGGGAAGGAGGGGTTTTCAGGACGGTCAGTGGCTGCAGGACACAGTAGGGCCTGTCCCCAGGATCCCTGGTCCCCTAGTCCTCCTGACAAGGACTGTCCCCCATATCCAAGGGGTGTGAAGTTAGCATGCACCTCCCCTTCTTTCCAGCTCTCTGCTTACACCTTCCCCTCTCCCTTCCATGTGCCAGGTCTGGACAGAGCCAGCCTGACCACCAGAACCTCAACAGACACCAGCTGCCCAGGCCCTCGAGGAGGTCTGAAGAGCTGAGGTCCAGTGGGAAGCTAGTCCACCACCTTCAAGGAGGCCTCAGGTCGGGGGGACAGTCCTGACTTCAGGAGCCCTCAGTCTGGAGAAGACACGCGCCTGCTCTCAGGAGCCTCTAGGGGGTGAAGTCAGACACCTGCCCAAGGAGGCCGCTCTGACTAGCGGGGGGAGGCAGCCTTGCCAGTAGAGAGTCCAGTCTGCTGGGGAGACCTAGACCTCACCAGGGGCAGGAGCCCTTGCGGGAGGCCAGACACTGCCAGGGAGACCCCAGTCCCTGTAGACTCCAGTCCCTGTAGACTCAGAGACCTGCACTTACATTATTCAGAAACAGGCACGCAAGGTGGCCCCAACTCCCAGGTGGCCAGCCCCCTCCCTGAGGCAGAGGGGCAGCTTGGGGAGGTGGGGCTCCCAGATGGTGGACCCTGGGGCTGAACTGCCAAGAGCATCCATCTCCACGGAGGCCCAGACCCTGTCAGTGTGCTCCCTGGACTGGTGGTGGAAGGAGGGAGCCCGGATCCCAGCCTCGCGGTGCCCACAGCCTCCTGTGGTATCATGGACGGGTCCCTGTCCACTCTGAGACCATCTCCTCATCTGTGGCTCTGATGCTGCCTCCAGGCTGGGATCTCTCTGCTCTCTTCACCTCACACCTGCTTCCCCCTGCTTCACCCTATCACCTGTGTTCTTGATCCTATAATTGTAGAAACAGAAACTTGGCTAATTTCTTGGGCCTGCAAATTGCCCAGTGGGGAGACTGGGTGGGCAGCCCCCGCTTCCACTCCATCGCCCACCCTGATGCATCGTCTGACACTTTCAATTTATTTTTCAATTCCTCTACCATCAGAAATGACGATTAGATTTCCAGCAAAAATACCACGTTACCAAACTGAATTAATCACGGCAAGGAGGGGCACACACAGGCTCCAGGAGCCTGGGCAGAACATCCCAGCATTAACACTTCCATCCTCACCCAGGCACCCATCAGCAGGACAGAGGCTCCAGGCCTCCCAGAAGACGCCACTCAGCCATCATTGGGGTCACCTAATCCCAGACCCCCTCACCCTTTGCAGCCTCCCTCCTGTGGGCGTTCGGAGGAAGAGCCTTGTTCCGAGGAAGAGTCTTGTTCAAGGTCATGTGCCCCATCAGGACAGGGGGCTCATCCACATCCAGAACATAAGATGAGACTACCCAGGGTTTGGCATTGTCCAGGCCACATATGGGATGGGGCTCCTGCAGGTGTGAGGGTGGGGGCATCTGATGATCACAGGGTCTGGGCCCACAGGGGTCTTGGAGGGACCTGGGGGAAACTTCCCACCCCTGTACCACAACCAAGGCATTGCCCCTCCCTGCCAAGGCCATTCATTGATCAGTCCAACCACAGCTAAAGTTGACCTCAACTGTCCCTGACTACAGGTGTAACTGAGAAGAGAAGAAGGAGGAGGAGGAGGAGGAGAAGGAGGGGGGGAGGAGGAGGAGGAGGAGATGAATAGGAGGAGGAGGAAGCCGGGGAGGAGAGCAAGTATGACAACAATACACTTGTATTTAATGCTAACCGCCGGAAGGGGGAGTAAACTTGGAAGCAAGTGGTGTTTTAAGAGCCCCTCCCCTCTCCAGGGGCAGAGCCAATCTTCCCCTGGGCCCAGATTAACAGTAACAACAACAATCACTAGCAGGAGCGTCTAACAAGTGTGTTTGGTCCCTCAGGCACACTCTGTCCCACCCAGGGCCTTTGCACCTACAGTTCCGTCTCCCCAGAGTGCCCTCCTCCCTCCTTTCTGTCTCACTAACGCCTTTGTCTGTCAGAGCCCAGGTCAGATGTCACTTTCCCAGGGAAAACTTTCCCAGGGAAATCTTTCCTGATCACTCCCTCCCTCCTTTGGTAATCCACTCCCATCCCAGCCCCTCTAATTCTGTCTCATAGCACTTGCCCAGATGGGTGAATGTCTACTGGAGTGATTATTTTATTAATGTCTATCCCCTGCTGGACTCCGACCTCCAGGAGTGTGGTGGTCATGTCTGTTTCACTGCCCGTGGGAACACAGCACCCAGCACAGTGCCTGGAACAGAGGAGGTGCTCAGTAAGTGCTGGTGGCGTAAGTAGGGCAGAAGATGAGGCAAATAGATAAAGAAGTCCTTAGAAAGAGTGAGTCTTCCAAAAAGCACTGACCCTGGCCCCAGCCCCAGCAGCAGGGCAAGCCCCGATTCCCAGCTCCTGCTGGCACTGCCTCCCCATCCCCATGCACACATATCTGCCCCTGCTAAGTGACTGGCTGCCTGGCTCAGAAGGAGTTAACAGCCCAAGTTGCAGCCCAAGACCTCTGCAGGACCTACCTGGTTGACTGAGCCCTGTAAGGGTAAGCAGGGGTGGGGACCGTCTCAGGGACCCTCTCAGGAGGCCTGTGCACTCTGGGGAGAGTCAAAAGGACACCCTTCCCCTCCTGCATCCCCGTGCTCTGATTCAAAGCACCGCCACATCCCTCACCTCTCTTCTTCTTGAAAGCAGCCCTGGAGCAGGCTGCTGTCTCCCACATGAAGAAGAGGCCCCGGGAGGAGAGGGCTCAAGGCCACACAGCTGTTGGTGGTGGAGCTAGACTGAGCTCTGTCAGGTGGTTGGACACAGCTTCGGCTTCCACAGTCCGTGAGTGTTTTCCACCCTCCCTGCAACCCTTGCAGGAGCTCCACCTCAACGCCAGTCTGCCTCTCAGACTGCGGCTCAGGCCCAGACCCAGATTCCCTGCTCCCCATCCTTCAAAGTGGCTGAGGATGACAGAAGATTCCCCAGGACATCTGTCATCCCAGCGAAGCCTTTAGAAAGGAGAAATGAACTCACATCTCAGTTCTCTCTATTCTGGGACTTTTTATTAATTCATTCACCCACCCACCTGTCTATCCCTCCACCCACCCATCATTGGCTGAGTAGCTACCGTGGCCCAGGCACTGGCTGAGGCCCTGGGACACCACAGTGGACAGAAGAGGCCCCATCCCTCCCCTCGGGGAGCCCACATGGTAATGGGGAGAGATGACAGACACATAAAGGACTGACCAGCTGTGGGGCATGTGGGTGGCGATGAGGTCAGGGACACAGGACAGGTGAAGGGGCAGCGCATGATGGGAGGGAGTGGGACAGTGACACGTGAGACGCAGTCAGGAGGAGCGCGCAGATGAGGACGTCTGAGCTGAGACCTGAAGTAGGGGAGCCAGGCTGTCCAGGGGCCGGGGTGGGTGTCATTACTCCCAGTGCCATCTTCCAGTCTCCCAAGCATCCCAGTCGGAGGATGAATTCTGTGGTCACCATGGATAATGGGGTCAAATGAGCTCATGGGCATAACATCTTAACTCAGGGCCTGGCATACAGTAGGTGCTCAGTATGTGAGAGCTGCTATTGTCATTACTATTTTATTATCCTTATTATTCCACATGATGATGATGATCCTGAATGCACACGTGTTCCCACTCACCTCCTGCTTCCAAGTCTCAGAAGCTTCACCGTGGAGTGTGCAGGGTGAGCACCACCTCCACTAATGGAGCTGCCCCACCTGGGCTGTTGAGAGGGACGGAGCACCCTGAGCCCCCACTGGGGGTGGGGAGGGGGAAGGTGCCAGACGAGGGGGTGTGGGACAATCCCTCCCCCTCCTCTCATCCTTGCAGACTCGAAGGCGCAGCTGACATATCATCGCGTCAGGAGTCTGGGGAAGGTCTCATTAATTATGATTATTGACACCTTCGCAGATGCTGGCCATGTGACGCCCACTCTGGTGACAAAGGATTCCGGTAATTCTGTTTGAACTGCACTTTCCAGGCAATACGGTTTTCATTTGGGCCACTGGGAAAACGGTTTATCTTCGAAGACACTGTCTGGGGTGGGCTGGTGGGCGCTTGGCCCCACCCGTACTCCCTCCTGGAGGGTCTTGATGGTGCCAGAGCTAAGAGATGGCTGGGAACCAGGTCTGTCTCACCCAGAGCTCAGAGAGCATCTACTGAGGACCTAGTTCTCCCAGACCTCAGGGCAATTCACCTTGGCAACTAACCTCTGGCCTGTTTTTCTCAGCATCTGTGAAGTCACATAACTGGGTAAGGGACTTCATCAGCTTGCAATCCCACACACTCCCATTCCTCCGGCCCCCTGTGCCCATCACACATGGATCTTGGTCTCTTTTGTCCCTGATGTGACCCAAGCTCCTGAAACAGTGCCAGGCACACAGTAGGGGGCTTTAAAATGAGCCTGCTCTTAATGATAGCATCCACTGCTTCCTCGGTACCAGCATGAGCCTTCCACGGCTCTCATCTAACCTTCACACCAGTCCTGTGGGTGCTAATGAGGTAAAAGTCCTCGCTGGTGTCCATTAGTCCTAGCTGTGCGCCAGCAATGTTCTGAGTGCTTCAAATGGCTTGCCTTGCTTGACCCTCACGGAGCCTGTGAGGCGGGCACCATCATTAACTCCCATTTCACAAATGACTCATGCCTCTTGACAAGGACCACAGGGCCGCAGAGTGGCAGAGCCGAGCCAGAACCCGGCAGCACCCCCTGGACACTCTAGAGTCTGCCTCAGCCTCACCACACTGCGTTTCCATCTGGATTTTATACATGGAAACTGAGGCTCAGATGGGGCATACTGGTTTTCTTTCACTGTGACGCAAACCTCTCCAAAACTTGGCAGCTTAGAACAGCCACCATTATATTTTGCTTACAATTTTCTGGGTCAGGAATTTGGCACCTGGAGCACAGCTGTGTCTGCTGTGCGGTGATCGGTCTCAGCCAGGTGGCTTGCAGGGCTGTGGGTGGCTGCAGTGTCTGGGCTGGGGCCGTATGTCTGGGCCTCAGTTCTGGATGTTGGCTGGCTCCTTGGCTCTTCTCCCCATCACTCTGCCAGGCCATAATGTCCAAGATGCCTTCCCCACTCACCCGGTGGCTCCTGGGCCACATCCACCCACTTGGATGTCTGACCCTGGGCTGGGCTCCCCCAGAGGGAGCATTCCAAGGGACAAGAAAGGGAAGCCACCAGTTTTGTAAGGCTGTAAGCACCACATGCCCCAGATGGAGGAGGGGCTTGTTAGCAGGCCGACTCCCAGGACCTCTCCATTCCCAGAAACCAGAACCTCTGGAGGGGGCCACTCCCCTGGGTGAGTCTGACCTGCTCAATATCTGGGCACCACTGTTAATTCCCTCCTCTCCCAAACCTTGCCTGTCTGTGCCAGGCCAGGGCTGACCTCCACCTCCACTGCCCCTGCAATGGCCACACTGCAGCCCTGAGCCACTGCCACCACCAGTCTATGGGGAGGTCCAGCGAGGCTCCCAGCAGAATGGATGTGTCAGGCTCTGCGCTGGGCTCCTGGCCTGTCACTGCCTGTCCCTCCCCCACCCCAGGGACCCTGAGGCCACAATGAGCACAGACTCTGGAGGGGTCCTGGTTGGGGGGAGCCTGCTGAATTTCTTACACCAGCTGCCCAGGAAGGCTGAGGCACTGGCCTTAGAGCCCCCAGCCTCAAGCCTTGAGCTTTGAGGTTCTGCAGTGGCAGGAAGAGAGCCAGAAGCCCTCCCACTGTTTGTAACTCTCTGACCCCAACAGGGATTCACCGCCCCATCCACAGCCCCTCACTCCATTCTCACCAGGCTCCGATCCAGCCACAGGACCAGCTGACCTGGGGGAGCCCCGGTCACTCAGGCTCAGGCAGGTGACTCCATTTTTCTTTCATTACAGTTGCCTGGACCTCACCTTTGGGCCCCAAGTCCTCCTGTTTGTGATTCAGTGGGAGACAGAAAATTAACTCCCAATATTTACTTTATAACCTTCCACTCCTAGGAGATTGGAGTCTGATGGAAAGTTCTGGAACCCCTGAGTTCAAGGAACCTGAATAACAATCATGTTTATTGAAAGCTGACTGTGCCAGGCATACACTTCACCTGCGTCACCTCATTTCACCCTCGAAGCAGTCACACAGGGTATGTTACTCTCTCCCCATGTTGTCAGTGAGGAAACTGAGGCAGGGAGAGATTTGGCTCTTGGCCTGCAAGGCGGGTGGTGGGCTCTGAGCCCCCCCACCCTGCGGCACTGCCCTGGGGCACCTCACGCTCTGCCAAGGCCCTGCAGCCACCTCGGGGCTCCTTGGCAGTGATCACGGCCGAGACTGCACCAAGAGCAAACCTAGAAGAGAAATCAGTCCAGCAGCCCATGCGGCCGTGTCTGCCACGTGGGTCCTGGCTCTGTGAGGCTCAGGGGGGTCATCCCAGGTGGAGCCACCAAATCAGCCCCGCGTGTCCTGTTTTGAGCCCTGTGTCTTAAACTAAAGAGAGAGTTGTGACTGCTCTTTGCTCTGTAAATCCCAGAGTGGCCTTTGGCCAAAAGCAATACAATTCTGCCTTAGAAAAGTTAAAAGGACTTTGAAATTATGAGTCTCAAGCCCTGGCCTGATCCATGGATGAGAATGAGATGACTGAGGCAGCAGAAAGGAAAAGAAAGAGAAACACTTAACAGCAATTTCCCTTCCCGCTCACCTCCTCCAGGTTTCCATTAACCTTGCGCCACCCAGAGCCCTGACCTGAGAGGCAGAGAAGGGGGAGGCTGGGCGGGGGCCGGGGAGGGTGCACAGCTCAGGGCACACACAAGGCCGCCTAACCCTTGCTGACCCCCTGCTGCCTCCAGCCCTGGGTGCTGCAGCCTGGAGTGCAGGAGCTGAAGTGGCTGCCAACCCTGCCAAAGTCATAGTGGTTCTCAATATTTTGGGGTTCACAGCACCCTGGAATTTTTGGCAACACACTGGAAGGTATTCAAAGATTCAACATGGACTGGGCACGGTGGCTCACACCTGTAATCCCAGCACTTTGGGAGGCCAAAGCAGGTGGATCACCTGAAGTCAGGAGTTCAAGACCAGGCTGGCCAACATGGCAAAACCCCATCTCTACTTAAAAAAAAATTAGCTAGGCATGGTGGTGCGCTTGTAGTCCCAGGTACTCAGATGGCTAAGCAGGAGAATCGCTTGAACCTGGGAGGTGGAGGTTGCAGTGAGCTGAGATAATGAGTGAGACTCTGTCTCAAAAAAAAAAAAAAAAAAAGATTCAATATGACACAAAACACTCCAGCCACAACGACACAGCCACGGTGATGGCAGGATTGTGTTCACAGCACCACAGCATTTGCAGTGTCCACAGGTCCTCACTATTTCCTTGCCCTCTTCTCTCTGGGAGTCTCCCCACCATCCCCACTCCCACCCCCACCCCACCCCGTGCCCTCTTCTATATACTCATTGTTCCGTGAACGGGTTTTATATAAAAAGTGGCCCCCAAATGCTGAAGGAGCTGAGAAACCACAGAAGGAGACAGTCAAATCCTTGTCAGACAAATCCGGTTTGTCAGTAAAGAGTGTTTTATTAGCAAATTTACAGACAGAAGCATGGTCTTGAACAGCCACCAGACAGGCAGACCGCCACACTGTTACCCCCAACACCCAAAGCTTATCTATGACTAGACAGCAGACCTCCACACTTTTACCCCCAAGACCCAAAGCTTGTAAACCATAGGGAAAGGCTAAGTGTTCTAGCAAGACAGTCAAAGGCAGCCCTCCAGAATAGGCCAGAGCACTACGTGCAGCATAGCCTATGATTTGTGCAATGACATCAAGATAGACATGCTCTTGCCCCAGGGATAGTAAAAAAAAAAAAAAAAGGAATCAGGAGACATTCACAGTCCTGGGGCTAATCAGAAATCAACATGGCAGATTCACATCCAAGATAAAGTCACTTCTGTCTCCATACTCAGATACAGAAGTTTCTAGCTGAGGCTCAAAGTTTAGATGGGGCCTCCTACCTCATTCTTATATGAGTTTGTTTTTTTGTTTGTTTGTTTTGAGACAGAGTCTTGCTCTATCACCCAGGCTGGAGTACAGTGGTGCGATCTCGGCTCACTGCAACTTCCGCCTCCTGGGTTCAAGTGATTCGCCTGCCTCAGCCTCCCGAGTAGCTGGGATTACAGGCACCCGCGACCACACTCGGCTAATTTTTGTATTTTTAGTAGAGACGGGGTTTCACCATGTTGGCCAGGCTGGTCTCGAACTCCTGACCTCAGGTGATCCACCCACCTCAGCCTCCCAAAGTGCTGAGATTACAGGTGTGAGCCACTGTGCCTGGCCCCTATATGAGTTTTGAGATAGGTTCATCTCTGGCTGACCACAAAGAGAAAGGAAGTTCAGGAAGAGGAGACCCCAGGGCTGAGCGTGCAGCCTCTGGCCTAACTTAACCACTCAGTGCTTTTTTGGACAAGGTGGGAAAGAAGAGTAGGGTCTGGCCTTTATCTGCCCGCCATGTGGCAGTGCCGAAAGTGGAAGAGAAAGCTCTGTGGGGCCCTGGCCTTGCAGCACAGTGGCCCTGCCCTTCCATTACCTGGGCCCAATTAGCACATGGACCCCGATGAATCAGATTAGCAGCTCTATGGTGGGGTGGGCATGACTGGAAAGGAGGGGGCAGATCACCACCCCCTGTTGGACATAGACCTTAGCGATGCTGTCCGCGTCCCATCTGCATCCCTCAACACTCCCCACCCTGGACCAAACCACTGGAATATACAGACAAGTGCCTGTGACTCCATCTGAGGGCTTCCCTGAGCCTGCGTGCCGGGCAGATAGTCTTCAGCCAAGGGTGGGTGAGGACTTGGAGGACATGCACCCCAGGGCCCCACTCCACAGGTGGGTGGCTCAGAGGCAAGCTCTATAACTCTTAGAGTTCCCAGTGGACTCATCCCCCGTTGCCCCCAGGAGTACCTGTTCTGTCATGTGCTCTGAGTGATGACCCTGAACCTTTCTCACTGTGTGTTGGGTGGGTCTCTCACTTTCTGACTTCAGTTTCCTCCTTGGTAAGGATGCCCACCTGGCTGCTTGCTGGGGAGAGTTGTGGAAACAAATGCCAAGTGCCTAGCACAGCACCTGGGTATGGTGTGTGCTCCTTCCAGGAGTGTGTGCTAATGGGCGCCAGCTTTTTGTCTCCCCAGTAACCATGTCCTCTTATTTCAGCAACAGCCCTTGATTTGGGGGAGATCCTCCCTTTCCACATTCAGTCTGTGGTTCTGAGTGGGGCTTCACCCCAGGCCCCAGCTAGTCAGGGTATTATACTAAATTGGCTCAAGGATGATCACATGGCCCATAAGAGCCAACGGAGTGCAACAAAACACTGGTTGGGAATGCTGGGACTGAGGCACAAGCTCTTTGTCTCTGATATTGAACCTCGGGGGACAGACAGGCTGCCGCGGCCATTTGCCACCACACTGTGCCTGAGGATGAAGCCAATGGGGCAGAACCACAGCAGACTCTGGGACAGAGTAAAAGTGGGACCAGGTGACATTTTTTGAGCTCTTGATCAAGCCATTCCTGAAGTCCTACTCTGATTTTTCTGTCACCTATGCTAATGCCTCCCACCTTTGTGCTGAAGCCAGTCTGATGTGGATTTTCTTCTCACCATCTGCAGCTGAAAGCATTGACACAAACGTTGTTGTGTTGCTGTCATTATTATTATTGTCATCATTATGTACCTTCAGGCCTCAGCTTCCCCATCTGTCCAGTAAAAGGATTGAACCTTATGGCATCAAGAATCCAGCTCTGACATACTAGGATTCTAAGCACCCTGAGACCCTGGCAAGGCTTGGGGCTCTCAGAGTCAGGCAGGAATTTTTCTTGCCGATTCCCCAGGTTCCCCAGGGATGCTGAGACAGCAAACAGTGGGAGGAATATTGACAACGATGAGTCAATCATAGCTCTCACTTACTTGTCTGCTGGGAGATTTAGTTCACGAAAAATTGTGCCAGGGGAGGGAAGAAGAGCTTCTTGCTGCGCCGGGGATTGCTCGAGATCAGGAGGCCCTTGTGGTGAGAGTGATGCCCACGGGTTCACAATAATCTATCTTGGTTTTGTAAAATGCATCCTTATCCACTTAAACATCCCATGGCCCCAGGCAGGAAACAGGACCCAGGAGGAAAGGGCAGCCCAGAGAAATTAAGTGGCTCACCTGAGGTCACACAGCCATTACAGGGCTAACCCAGGGCTTGAACCCATCTCCACATGCTCGATCTCCAATGTCCCCAGACAGCCCTGTACCCCTGACTCAAGTGTGGTCAGGTGTGGTGGCTGAGCTGATGTTGGACACTTCTGGATGACCACACATGGCTGCCTGGGTGGAATCTTCCTGCTGTCAGCTGTCACTATGTGACCTCCCAGGAGGGGAGGGGAGGGGAAGGGCAGGGGAGTGGCCGTTGCACGCAGCAGCAAGGTAGCATTGTGGCCACACAGACCCTAGCTGCAACATTCAGGGCTGTGGGTCCTGGGGCCAGTGACCTAAGCTCACCTGTAAGGCAGACACTAACAAGAATCCCTATCTCACAGCCTGAGGTGCTACAGAGCTGTTCGGGGGTGCCAGGCACACAGCGAGTGCTATGTGAGGGTGTCTGAATAACCTATTTGCAGACAGGACACACTCCAGGATAGATAAGTACCTCGAGGGTCTCAGCTGTCATCTAAACCTTGGCCCTGACTCAGGCCCCTGGAGGATCTCAGATTATCTGCATCATCCACACGGAAAGCAGCCTTCTTTCCTCTTGGCATTTGTATCTGAACTCACCTTGCCCTTCAGTTCTGAGCTCCTTTCTCAGCAGGCCTCATTATTTCAGTCCTCCCAAGCCAGCCTTTCAGCCCACCTCTTTCAGGCAGCCCTCCCTGATTCGCCCCCCAGCCTGCATCCCTGCCTTCAGCTTCTCTCCAGTGCTCATGAGCACTGCAGCCAGGCCCCTAGTCCTGCCTCTACTAGTAACCCCCAACCCCTGTTTGGATCCAGTGAAGTTGCTTCTTCTCCCGGGACCTCAATTTCTTCATCCAACAAGTGGGCGTGACCATCCTGCCTGAGGAGCTCCCAGGATTGTGATGCAGATCAAACAAGTACATGGTTGAATGGGAAAATGTGAGAGCCACGTGGAGACTGTGGCTGCTTCAACCCTGTGTGGCTGAGGGTTCTGGCCCTTGTGTCCCGGGGGCAGGCGTGCTCCATGGTCAGGAGCTGTGACACCTTGGGCAAGTCACATGGCCTCTAGGAGATGCAGTCCTCACCTGTGCAATAGGGAAAGCCACATTATCTGCCTCTCATGGGACTCTGGGGGTTAGATGCGAGGAAACAGATCAAACACACTTGAGGGGGTGGACTAGAGAGATGGTGAGACAGGGAAGGGCATGGGGTAGAGCAGCATGCGCAAAGCTGAGAAGGAGGATTTGAGGATTCTGGATGTAACCAAAGCGGCAGGAAGAGCAGCAGCGCCAGAGGGAAGCTGAAGTCAGGTTTGCAGAGCCCTGAATGCCAGGATAAGGCACCGGAAGATGGAGCATGAAATGTGGGGCCTGGGGGGCTTCCTACCACATTTAGTCCTATCCCTCCCTCTAGAGCAGGGGAGGCAAAGCTGAAGTCAAGAGAATTTGCAAATACCAAAGATTTTCATGCAACTTGCCATCTAGCACCCCTGTGTCTGTGCAAACGTCACTTGGCTATTGAGGCGGTGATCCTGTGAGGCTGGGTGAAAACTAGGCATTGCGTTTCTTGGGTTCCCCCAACCCCTGCTTCCCAGTGCAAGGCAGCCCCAGTTTCCACCCACAAATGCCTGGGTTGGAAAAGAGACCAGGACCCCAGGCTGCCTGCAAGCAGAAAGGAGACATCGGGGTGTGTTAAAACACCCCCACCTCGACAACCACCTCCTGCCTGGGCTCCAGGTTCCCCTCCCACCTCCCACCTCCTTCTTCCACTAGGCAACCAGGGCAAAATCTTAAAAATAAGTTAGATCATGTCCTTCCCTAGCTTAAAACCCTCCAGTGGCTTCCCAATGCCCTTGGAACAAAATCCAAACTTCTGTCCACGTCCCTGTATGACTAGCTTCCTGTAGGGCTCTCCTCCACGCCCTATCTTTGACCCCCTCCCCCAGCCACCCCGCCCTGCGCACTCTCTGGTTCCCCTCTCTGGAATGCAGTTCCCCCACTCTCTGCCCAGTGGACTTCCTCAAATCGAAATTCTCAGCTGAAACATGGGGTCAGCCCCCATGTGCTCTGCATCCTTCCGCCAGTTCTGCACCTCCCCGGCTGGAGCAGCACCCTGGGAGGACAGGGACACTGCCTGAATATTCAGCTCTGAATATCCAGTGCCCGCAACACAGCCTAGTAGGTGTTGGATAAATATTTAGCCTGTGAGTGAAGGAATGAATTAACTAACTGATGCACTAGAGCAATCATATTTTACAGAGAGGGACTTACCGGAGATCTCAGGACTGGGACTGGGACTCAGACGTTCCTCTTACCACACACTGCTCCTAATTTCACTGTGAAAGCTGAGGGTAGGGTGGTGGGGAGTGTCTGGGAAGAGAGGAGAGGAGGAGCCAAAGCAGAAACACTAGATCCATTTTTTTTTTTTTTTTTTTGAGACAGAGTCTCGCTCTGTTGCCCAGGCTGGAGTGCAGTGGCATGATCTCGGCTCACTGCAACCTCCTACTCCTGGGTTCAAGCAATTCTCCTGCCTCAGCCTCCCGGGCAGCTGGGATTACAGGTGCACACAACCATGCCCAGCTAATTTTTGTATTTTAGTAGAGACAGGATTTAACCATGTTGGCCAGGCTCATCTCAAACTCCTGACCTCAAGTGATCCACCTGCCTCGCCCTCCCAAAGTACTGGGATTACAGGCGTGAGCCACCATGCCTGGCCAACACCAAATCTATTTATCCCTCCCTAAGCGACAGCCCCCTCAGCCCAGGCTTCTCTGGTGTAAGAGGCGAGGCGAGGGCTGCCAGACAGACAGGGAGGGGGCATGCTAGGGAGCTGGGTTGCTACAGCCAAGCCCGCAGGCTCTGGAGCCAGACTGAACTGGGTTCCAATTCCCCTTCCAGTTACAAGCTGTGCAACCTTGGGCAAGTGACTCAGTCTCTCTGTTGGGCTGAGGGGTAGAGGAACCTGGAGAAGTTTCAGCAGGTAGGAACCGGGTGATATAACTGAGTTTGCAGGGGAAGGGATTGGAAGGAGCCAGGTTGGGTGTGAGAAACCCAGTTGCCATCTGCAGCAATAGTCCAGACCCTAGTAGGCTCTTACAGAGAGGGTCTGCAGGAGCATCAGCTGAGCCAGAGTCTGTTGGTCCCATCCCTCCTCGTCCCAAGCCAGGATGGCAAAGCGGAGGTGGATGCTGCATGAGTCAGGCAGCACTGCAAACTGCCCTCGCCATCCTCTCCACAAAATCAAACATGTGCTGCTCACATAGGAGGTTTCATCTGGCTGCCTCCTTCCTGCAGCCCCCTGATATCTTCTTGTATTTTGTGCAAAGATCTCTCCCAAAACTCCATTTTTGTCAAAACACCAGCTTTGGTTCCATTGTGCAAAACACAATCTAACCAAAATAATAAACGAGAAACAAATTTGATGTTATAAAAATGACAAATGCGTACAGTAAAACATTCAAGCAATAGTAAATAAATATCACCCCCCAAAAAATGTTTTCTATTTGGTGAATCTCGTCCCAGGCACTTCTCTGTGTACCTACATAGAATAGGAGACACAGATAGACAAGGAAAAATGAAATTATATTATATATGCTATCTTTAATAAAAGAATATTAGGTATAATTTTACTTAATTTACCAGGAGAATTGGAAATTGGGGTAAAACTGAAATAAATATTAACTTCAGATAAATGTTGCTTCACAAGAATTTTTTTTTCCTAAAAATACTTTTACAATAAAGGAGAAAAACTTGTAAAATATTAAGATACTGTGGTCATGCTTTTTAAAAAATAACTTTATGTTTTGATTTTAAACTGATTGTATTGACCCCTTGGGAATGAAAGTTAGGAAGTTAGCACACTTATATTGTTTCTTATAACATTATTATTACCTTGCCAGGGTTTATAACATTTCATGATATTTGGGAGGCACAAACAAATCTCATGGCAATTTAGGGTGGGTTCTTTTTTTTTTTCTTTTTTTTTGAGACAGGGCTTCACTCTGTCACCCAGGCTGGAGTGCCATGACACAATCACAGCTCGCTGTAGCCTCGAACTCCTGGACTCAAGCAATCCTCAGCTTCCCAAGTAGCTAGGACTACAGGCACACACCGCCACACCTGGCTGATTTTTTTAATTTTTATTTTTTGTAAAGTTGGGGTTTCACTATGTTGCCTAGGCTGATCTTGAACTCCTGGCTACAAGCGATCCTCCCGCCTCAGCCTCCCAAAGTGCTGGGATTACAGGTGTGTGAGCCACCGCACCTGGCAGGATTCTGCATTTAAATAGGACTAATTCTCAGCCCAAAACATTCCCTTCTTGCTTCCTTTCTTCCTTGTTTCCATCCTTCTTTCTTTCTTCCTCTTTAATTTTTGAGTATATCTTTACCTTTCCTTTGTTCTTTCTTAATTTCACATTTTTGTTAATAGATTTTTTTTTCTGGGAAAACTCATGAATGTTGTATTTCATGAGCTCCTCATACTTCGAAATGTCTCCAACGCCTTTTACTTGAAAGACATACTGGTTGGGTGTAAAACTTGGGGGCTGCCTTTTCTTTCCCTTGGAACTCTATAGGCATCATTCCACTGCCTTCCAGCGTTGGGAAGGAGATGTTTCTATCAACCTAATTTCCCCGCTGCGTTGTGATTTGACTTCTCTACCTTGATGACCAGATGTAGTAACTTTATTTTTGAAGCTCAATTATTTTATGCAGATTTGTCTTGGAACTGATAGTTCTTCAGCAATATTTCCTGGAAGATTGTATATACTTTGGGCCTGCAGATTCATGTCTTTATTTCAAGATTTTCATTTTTAGTGTATCTTTGAGTATTTTTATACCTCTTGTCCCACAGAATGTGTATTCATTGGATAATGTTTGCCTGTCTTTTATGCCTCTCATCTCTCTAATCTTTCACCGAAACGAAACAAAGTTATTTTCTATTTAATGCTGTGTGACTTTCTATAGCTTATCCACAATATTCCCTACTATAGTGTAATCATCCTCACTTTATTTGTAAGTGCTTCTAATGTGGTTTTTATCTCTTTTGTTCCCCACCTCTCTCACTATCTCTCTATCTATATCTGTGCCTATAAATATATCCATAAATTTAGATATAGAGATAGATAGACTTAATTTTATGCCTAAGAACAGCCAGCTTGATTTACATCTCATGCTGTTATTTTATAATCGCTTTTTTCAATCCTCATATTTCTCAAGTCTTTTTAAAGAGACATCGTGTCATCTGAGACTGATTGAGACTCTGAAGAACAATTGTTTTCCCCTGTTTCTTTGGGCAATTCCTCTTGCGGGCTATTTTCTTCATCTGCCTTTGTTTACGTTCCATCTCTCTTTTTGCAGCAGCTAGGCATAGTTCCTGTGTTGGTTACTTTTTACCTCACTCTGGATAGGACCAGTCTTTGTGGGAGGATAGCGTGGGAAGGTGTGGGCAGGATGGCCTCAGGCGGTCTGCAGCTCCCATTTGGGCTCATGGTCTGAACTGTCTCTCACTACATCAGTTGTTTCTTCTGCCGTGGGAGCAGAATTCCGTGTTTGACATCCCAGCAGTCAGGGTGGCCCCAGCCAAGCCGCTAGGGTTCTGTGTCTGGGTCTCAGTGCTTTAAGCCAAGGACTCTTGGATGAAGTTTTTGGGTCTGGGATGTGGCTTTCCTATCTACAACATACTAGGGGGTCCACATGGATTGTCAGTTTCCTCTGTGTTCTGGTCTAGATTTCGCAGTATTTGGAAGAAAGGCTCCAGGGTTTGTGGTTTGGAGCTGTGGTGATTTCTGGTTTCAATAAAAATTAAGGAAACATATTTCCCCTATAATCAGATTTTTGTTTTATTGTCTTTGGTTGATTTCGAGAGACGAGTGGAGTTTAAATGTTCGACGCCATCATTTTCACCTGGAAATTAAATGCTTTCTCATCCACGTCTCTTTTAATCCTAACACCAACCCTGGTAAGCGAGCAAGACAGTGTCACCCTGGGCTGGATGACAGCAGGGCTGACAACTGGAAGACCCACGGCCTGAGCATGGAGCAAAACTGCATGGTTGCCTTAGATAAGAGCAGGTGTCCTCACAGGCACCCTGCCCCGCCGCAGGGAAAAATCCTGATACATCAGCCAAAATTCTCTCACGCTTTGGGTTTGGGTATATTTGAGACTTGTGTGGCAAGTACATAGCACTCACACTGTTGCCTCTGTGGGCACCAGGCAATGGCAGACATCGCTAATCAATCACAGTACTCTTACTTATCCCGCTGCATCTTTTCAAGACTACATTACAGGAGGACATTACCAACTAACTGACATTGGCAATTGAAATGCAACCTATGTGCCACTCCAGTATCAGAGATTCTTTAGCTACATCGAGCATTGACAGAGGAGTCAGAAAGACCTGGGTTGAATTTTAGTTCTGTGATTACCAGAATGATCCAGGCAAGTCTTTTTTTCTCTAAGCCTCAACTTTACTATTTGTAAAATGGGAATCATGTCATCACATAAAGTTATTAGAGGGAATACATGAGATAATGCATGAGTCATGACTACATAAAAACTACTTCAAAACCTAGGGGCTTAAAACAATAAACCTGGGCAAGGGGCAGTAGCTCACACCTGTAACCCCAGCACTTTGGGAGGCTGAGGCGGGCGGATCACCTGAGGTCAGGAGTCCGAGATCAGCCTGGCCGACATGGCGAAACCCCGTCTCTACTAAAAAGATAAAAATTAGCTGGGTGTGGTAGCACATGCCTGTAGTTCCAGCTACTCTGGAGGCTGAGGAAGGAGAATCACTTGAACCCAAGAAACAGAGGTTGCAGTGAGCTGAGATCACATCACTGCATCCAGACTCCAGCCTGGGCGACAGAGGGAAACTGTGTCTCAAAACAAAACAAAACGAAACAAAACAAAACAAAACAATAAGCCTTATTTAGCTCATGAGTCTACAGCACAGCAGGAGGTTTCTTTGCTCTGGACAGACTCATCTCATCTCAGCTGGACTTGCTCTTCTGTCTGTGGTCAGCGGGCAAGTCAGCTTGAGCTGGCAGTCTCAGATGGCCCTACTCAAATGGATGGGTGGTTAGTTGGCTTTCATCTGGGGCAATGGGGGTGATTAGGCCCTTGGGTCTCTTGTCCTCTAGCAGGCTCTCCCAGGCTTGTTTCCACGGCAGCAGTAGAATTCCAAGAGACTGGGTGGAAGAATGCAAGGCCTCTTGGAGTCCAGGCTCTGAAATGACACTCTGTCATTTCCATCCCATTCGATTGCACAAAGCAAGTCACAGGCTGACCCAGGTACAAGGGGTGGAGAAAGAGACTCTGCCACGAGATGGGAGGTGCTGCAAAGTCACATTGTGAAGGGTTTGATTAGTCCATTTTGTGTTACTATAACAGAACACCTGAGAATGAGTAATTTATAAAGAAAAATGTTTTATTTGGCTCATGCTTCTGGTGGCTGAAAAGTCCAAGATTGGGCAGCTGCATCTGGTGAGGGCCTTGGGCTGCTTCAACTCATGGTGGATATTGGAAAAGGACCCGGCATGTTCAAAGAGATCAGATGGCAAGAGAGGAAGCAAGGGAGAGACTGAGGAAGCCAGACTCTTTTTAACACTGCCACATTACGGATCAAATTTCAACATGAGTTTTAGCGAGGACAAACTACATTCAAACTATAGCATTCCACCCCTGCCCCCCCACCAAAACTTATGTCTTTGTCACATGCAAAATATAATCATTCCTGATCCCAATAGTCCCAAAAGTCTTAACTTGTCCTGGCATCAATTTAAAAGCTCAAAGTCTCTTGCCTGAGACTCAAGGCAAGCTCCTTCCCATTTATGAGCCTGTAAGATCAAAAATAAGTTATTCACTTCCAAGATATAATGGTGGTACAGGCATTGGGTAAACATTTCCATTCCAAAAAAGAAAAATTGGCCAAAAGAAAGGGGCAAAAGGCCTCACACAAGTCTGAAACCCGGCAGGGCAGATATTAAATCTTACAGTGCCAAAATAATCTCTCTTGACTCCAGGTCCTGCATCCCGGGCACATTTGTGTGAGCGGTGGGCTCCCAAAGCCTCTACAGCCACACTTCTATGGCTTTTCTGGGTGCAGCCTATGTGGCTGCTCTCATGGGTTGGAGCTGAGTGCCTGTGGCTTTTCCAGGCTCGGGGTGCAAGCTGCCAGTGGCTCTAACATGCTGGAGTCTGGAGAGTAGTGGCCCTGGTCCCACAGCTCCAGTAGTCAGAGCCTGGGTGGGGATTCCATGTGAGGGCTCTAACCTCACATTTCCCCATGGCACTGCCTGAGTAGAGGCTTTCAGTAGAGGCTCTCTGCAGGGTCTCTGCCCTGTAGCAGGTTTCTGCCTCCAGGTCGATACATCCCCTGAAATCCAGGTGGAAGCTGCCATGCCTCCATCACCCTTGCATTCTGCATGCCTGCAAAATTAGTACCACGTGGATGCAGATACCACCAAGGCTTACCACTTAGGATCTCCAGAACTGTGACATAAGTTGCACCTGGGGCTTCTTGAGCCATGGCTGCTCCAGCCAGAGCAGCCAGGATATGGGGCAGCACAGGGTAGCAGTGCTCTGGGCCCGTCCCCAGAAATCAGTTTGTCCAAGCCTCTGGGCTGGTGATGGAAGGCATGGCTTTGAAGATCTTTCAGATGCCTTTGGGGCCCTTTTCCCATTGTTCTGGCTGTTAGCACCTGGCTCCCTTTTAACCTCGCTTATCTATTTAGCAAAGGGTCTCTTGGCTACACCCTTGGATTCCTCCTGAAAATGCTTTCATTCTTTACCACATGGCGGGGCTGCAAAGTTTCCAAATCTTTTCACCCTGCTTCCCTTTTCCCTGGCAGTTCACCATAAGCAGTTAGACATAACCACACAGCTGCCTGAATGCTTTGCTGCTGAGAAATTTCTTCTGCCAAATATTCATCACTCTTAAATATGTCCTTCCAAGGCCCTAGGGCAGGACACAATGCATCCAAGTTCTTTGTTACAGTGTAATAAGGACGGCCTTTACTCCAATTTCCAATAAGATATTCCTCATTCCCATCTGAAACTTCATCAGTATGGCCTTTACTGTCCATATTTTTAATCAACATTTTGGCCACAACCACTTAACCAATCTTTAAGAAGTTCCGGCTCATCTTCTAAGCCTCTGCCAACATCACTCTTAATGCTCCATTCCCAGCAATACAGTCTTTTTCTAGCCTATTCTTCTTCCAACCTCTACTCATTATGCAGTTCCAAAGCTGCTTCCACATTTTCAAGTACCTGCACAGCAACACCTGGTACCAATAGTCCATTCTGTATTGCCATAACAGAATACCTGAGGCTGTGTAATTTATAAAGAAAAGAAGTTCATTTGGCTCACAATTCCGGTGGCTGAAAATTCCAAGACTGAACAACTGCATCTGGTCAGGGTCTCCTTTCTGCTTCTACTCATGGCAGAAAGTGGAAGGGGAGCCAGCATGTGCAAAGAAGTCACATGGCAGGCCAGGTGAGGTGGCTCACGCCTATAATCCCAGCACTTTGAGAGACCAAGGTGGATGGATCACCTGAGGTCAGGAGTTTGAGACCAGCCTGACCAATGTGGTGAAACACCATCTCTACTAAAAATACAAAATTAGCCGGGTGTGGTGGCACACACCTGTAATCCCAGCTACTTGAGAGGCTGAGGCAGGAGGATCGCTTGAACCCAGGAGATGGAGGTTGCAGTGAGCCAAGATCGCACCACTACACTCCAACCTGGGTGACAGAGCAAGACTCCACCTCAAAAACAAATAAATAAATAAATGAAATCGCATGGCAAAGAGGAAGCAAGAGAGAGAAACTGAGGAAGCCAGATTCTTTTTAACAGCTCGCTCCCAAAAGAGGGAGAACTCACTCACCCAGGTGGGTGAGAATTAATCTCTTCATAAGGAATGTACCCCCATAACCCAAATACCTCCTGCTAGGCCCCACCTCCCAACACTGCCACACTGGGAATCTTTTTTTTTTTTTTTTTTTTTTTTGAGACCAAGTTTCCCTCTGTTGCCCAGGCTGGAGCACAGTGGTGCAATCTCGGCTCACTGCAAGCTCTGCCTCCCGGGTTCACACCATTCTTCTGCCTCAGCCTCCCAAGTAGCTGGGACTACAGGCGCCCACCACCAGGCCTGGCTAATTTTTTTGTATTTTTAGTAGAGATGGGGTTTCATCATGTTGGCCAAGATGGTCTCCATCTACTGACCTCGTGATCTGCCCACCTCAGCCTCCCAAAGTGCTGGGATTACAGGCGTGAGCCACCACACCCAGCCTGGGGATCAAATTTTAACATGAGTTTTGAGGGTGGGAAACAAACCACATCCAAATCACAGCAGGTGGAGAATTGTAGCCACTTTTGCAGTGAGTCTAACATAGTATTTCACACTAATGGCCATGATTGAAACTCAATAGTAGGTTTTAGAAAAATTTTTAAATCCCAAATTGTCTAGTTTTTCTCTTGGTTGATGGCGTTCTCTTGGTTGATGAAGACGGAGTATGCAAATAGGCTTCATCTTGTGAGTTAACTCCAGGTTAAGATTGTGAGATCCACGCTGATCGGGAATGGTGCCGAAGCCAATTGACACTGTCTGCCCTGGGTATGCAATGCGAGGAGGCAATAAGTGCATTGCTGGGGAAGGAGTGGGCAATGAGGTCAGAGCTTAGAAGAGCCAGGTTCTGCTCCCTCACACACTCCCCGCTGTTTCTGGTGGACCACAGAGGTATAGGGGAAGAAGGATCTTACATTTTCTTACAACCTGATGACAGTCTAGTGGCCCACATTTTTTCACCAAAACTGATGGGGATTAGGATTAACACGTGCATTGTGAAGGTCAGTGAACATAGCATGAGAAGGCCTATATTCTAGTCCTAGGTCCCCATGGACCAGCTGTGTGACCTTAGACAAGTCTCTCACTTCCTGGGAATGGGGGGGTGGAAGGAAAGAGGTGATGGAAGAGGAATGCCATCCAACCTTGAAAGTGAGGTTAGTCCACATGAACTCTGAGGTATACGATGAATTAATTTTTCGAAGAGAGGCTGCCACCAACTCACATCACCTGACACACCCCATCCCAACTTTCTCTTACCCCTCCAAGTTTCCTAAACAAATCCTAGAAGGTCACTGTCCCCATAAAATCAATGGGCCTGGACTTGCCTCCTAATTTAATGCAAATCCAAGCCTGCCTTATTGTGCTGGAGTTTCTGTTCATTTCAACTTTCTTGGTGACGCAATCCATCCTCATTTCCAGTTGAGTTTCTAATCCCTGCAATTTCCATGGTGCTAGTAATTACAGGGAAAAGGCTGAAGCACAGAAATTCTGCATCCTGCCTATGAGATTACACACTTTAGTGGCGTTTATTAAATTTATTTTGCAGTTACTGAGGAGATGAAACTCACTGTACAACTCCAGAGGGCAAAGCAAGGACTGGTTCATAGAATCCACCAGAAAGCAGCTTGGAATTCAAAGGGAAGAAGCATTTTCTGACAGTCAGAGCTGCTCAGCATGGAGTGAGCCATCCCAAGAGACTGGGGTGAGGCTGGCAGGGCCCAGGCCTGGGGTGGTCAATGTGGGGGCCAATGAAGTGCAATGGCTTTGGGTCAGACCTGGGTTCATTTCCTCACTGCCCACTTTCCTGGGGATTCAGGCAAGAGCTCGCTTTTGTAAGCCTTGGTTCCCCCTTGAGTAAGATGGTGACAGCTGTGCTGGCCCACCTCACACCCAACCATGCAGGAGTCTGAACCCTGATGAGAGGGGTCAATGCACCTCTGATGGGTGGCTCCTCCCTGTCTGGTCCTGAGGTCTGTGGGGTCGAGGGCGGGGGCCACATTCCCTCAGGGGTAAGCACCGTCCTCCAGCATCAGCCTTATGGGTGATAAAGAGGGTTCATTTCTATTCAACATGCCCTTGACCCTGTCAATTGGACTGAGGAAGGGAAACCAGTGCCTTTAATGAGCCCCCAAACCTCAATGTTATTGCCACAAGGGCTGAAAGCTCGGCCAACATCTCACCTATGTTCAGAGGAGAGAAGTCCAAGCCCATGGAAAGACATGAGGAGAAGGATGGACAGGCTGCACCAATCCCTGCTGTTGGCCTGGGGGCCAGGCATGCACCCAGAGAGGGTGGCATTGGCAGACTGAGCAACCACACAACTGGGTATGTGAGTTTGAGGATCAAGATCAGCAGAGGAGAAGGGTTGAGGGGCAAATGTGAAGCTGAAGGGGTGGGATGGGGGCCTGGATATAATAAGGCCACAACTTTACCATCACGGAGACCTGAATGAAGTCCTGGCCTCCCCCTTCCTAGCCATGCAGCCATCAGTACATCATTTAGCCTTCCTAAACTCCACTTTCCTTGACTGGAAAATAGAGAAAACAGGGCTTAGGGAGTAGTAAATAAGGTGGCACATGCAAATCCCAGAGCCCAACACACAGCAGCAGCTCCATAAACGTTGGCTGCTACTTTTATTCATTAGTGAGTGGACATCAGTAGTCACCTACCATGGCAATTTGACAGAGTCCTCTCTGACCTCTTGACCTAGTTCAGGTCCTCTTGTCCTGTATGTTTATAGAGCTGTCTTCTGCCTCTTTTCTAAGGCTCATTACCTTGCTCCATGTCTACCTCCACCTCCAGGACATCTGCTCCAACACTGCAGGGAGCAGGGCGCCCTTCTTCTCCACTGTCTTGCCCCAGTTCCCAGCACAGTGCCTGGCACATAGCAGGTGCTCAATAAAGATTGCTGAATGAATTTTGCTGCCATACAGTGTTAAGGGCCATGACAGGGATATGCACAGAGGGCTGTGGGGTCCCAGTGGAGGTGGGAGGCAGAGTGTGAAGTGTAAGAGTCATAGAGGGGTCTATGAGCTGAATTGTGTCACCCACAAAATGTATGTATTGAAGTCTAACTCCCAGTACCTCATAATGTAACTGTATTTGAAGATAAGTTCCTTAAAGAGGTAATTAAGTTAAAAGGAGGTCTTTAGGGTAACCAGGAAACTCTTCCTTATAAGAAGAAGAAATTTAAACAGACACACACAGCACAGAGGAAACGCCAGATGAGGACACTGCATGAAGGCAGCGGTCTGCAAGTCAAGGAGAAAGACCTCAGAAGACACCAAATCTGCTGACACCTTGATTGTGGACTTCCAGCTTCCAGAACTATGAGAAAATAAGTTTCTATGTATAAGCTTCCCAGCCTGTGGTATTTTGTTATGGAAGCCCAAGCTGTTTAATACAAAGGGCTTCCTGGGAGAGATGGCTCTGAGCTGAATCTTCAAAATGAGACAGAGAGAAGAGAGTCCAGGCAGAGGTAATAGCAAGACCATGTGTGTCAGAAACCAGCTAGGCAGCCTGAGCTGGAGGCTCAAGTCAGGGAGTGACGGGAGAAGAGATCAGAGATCAACAGAAGCCCCATGGTAAACAGCCTCAAATTCCAGGCCTGAAAGACTTTAGCCTGAGATTCTTGAGCTATTTTTTTCCTGAACCTAATCACTTGATGTGTATTAACTGATTGAATCCTACAAGAATCCTGGGGATGTTCATTATCATCTCCATTAACAGTTGTGGAAACTGAGGCAGAGGGAATTTAGGGAAATTACCAAAAACCACACAGCGTAAGTGACAGAGAAGGGAGTCGAACCAGGGTGCTGAGGGTCTGAAACCCATGTTCCTAGCTACTACACTGTTCTTCAGCAAGGGAGGGATAAAGTCAGATTTTATTTTAGAAAGAGTCCTCTCATGACAGCTGTCTTGGTCCATTTTGTGTGGCTATAACAGAATACCTGAGAGTGGGTCAATTTATAAAGAAAAAAGCTTTATTCAGCTCGTGATTCTAGTGGCTGGAAAGTCCAAGAGCATGGCACTGGCATCTGCTCAGCTTCTGGTGAGGGCCAAGTGCTATGTCAAGACGTGGTGGAGAAACAGAAAGGCATGTGCAAAGAAAAAGCAAACATGAGGAGGAATCTCACTTTATAACAACCTCCTCTCACCGTAACTAATTCAGTCCTGTGATGGTGAGAACTCACTCCCACAAGACAGCATTAATCTATTCATGGAGGATCTGCTCCTATGACACAAGCACCTCCCATTAGGGCCCACCTTCCAACACCACCACAATGCAATCAAATTTCAGCATGAGTTTCAGAGGGGACAAACCTTATTCAAACCACAACACCAGTCCAGAAAGTCGATTTGGAACATAAAACTTGAGCCTGGTGATAGGTGATAGGTGATAGGTTTAGAAGCAAGTGACTAGAGTCCAGTGAAGAATGATGCGGTAGCCTTGACCACATCTACCAGGTCATGCTTAGCTGCACAACATTAGTATGGCAACCTCTCTTGATTCAAATAGCAATGTGTCAAATTCCTGTGTTGACTTAGATCAAAACTACTGGGGAAAGTAGCGTAGGAAGCCCCCAAGCAAGTGATTAGGGGCCGATACTTCCCAGAGGACAAATGTGCGTCTCAGGAGTGCTGTTGATGAAGACTCAGACTTCGGGCAAATGCTAGAAAAGGCCTATGTCACAAGGAAGTGACATCAGGAGACAGAGCAGCAGGAGCAGGAGGAGTAGAGACCCTCAGAAGCAAGGACCCATGGAACCTGAGGACCATGGGACCAGGCAAGAAAGAAGAGAACAGAAACCACCATCCCTGTGACACTTCAATGGAGGAGTTTTCACTGGTTGCCTGGAGAGGAAACTTTGAAAATTTGTACACAAACTTCATTCCATCATTCATGTATATTTATTTAGCAGCTTCT
This sequence comes from Homo sapiens, assembly GCF_000001405.40. Taxonomy (NCBI): domain Eukaryota; kingdom Metazoa; phylum Chordata; class Mammalia; order Primates; family Hominidae; genus Homo; species Homo sapiens. The sequence continues at coordinate 29,430,495 of NC_000001.11, read as the reverse complement.
ACATGCTTTGTTATGTATTGGTGCCTCAGTGGTGGACAAAACAGACATGGTCCCTGTCCACATGGAAATTACATTCTCACAGCACCCTGTATCAGTCAGGATTATTAATGTTGGCCACCACTGTAAACAAACCCTCAAACCTCAATGGCTTAACACAATAAACATTTATCTCTTCTCTGTCTTGTAGCTATGCTGTCTGGAACAGGCAGTCGCCTGGGTCACCTCTTTATGGGAAGACAGGGATGGAGGAGTCACATTAGCTCTTGGCCACCTCAGCCTGGAAATGACATACTGATATGTTTTGAATGTCTTGTTGCTTCCAAATTTTATGTTGAAATGTGACCGCCAATGTTGAAAGTGGGTCCATTGGGAGGTGTTTGGGTCATGGGAGTGGATCCTTCATGAACCACTTGCTGCTGTCCTTACAGTAATGAGTGAGTTCTCATTCTGTGAGTTCACCCATTCTATGGTTGTTTAAAAGAGGCTGGCATCTCCTCCCTCTCTTTCTCACTCCCTCTCTCACCATGTGACATGTGGGCTCCCCTTCGCCTTCTGCCATAATTGTGAAGTCCTTACTAGATGTCAGCACTATACTTGATATACAGCCTGCAGAACTGTGAGCCAAATAAACCTCTTTTCTTTATAAGTTTCCCAGCCTTGGGTATTCCTTTATAGCAATGCAAATGAACTAACACACGCATATTGCTTCTGCTCACAGTCCATTGGTCAGAACTAGTCACATGGCATGAACATAAGTGCAAAACAGACTGGGAACTGCAGGGCAGCATGTGGACTATTTGGCAAATAATGTCTTGGCCAAAGGCTCCACTGACTATCTTTCAAAGTTGTATTTAATTAGTCTGCAATTTCCTGTATGGTGAATTGTCAACTGCCCTCTTCTCACAGGTTGATTCCACCTTTCTCAAGAAGCCATTCAGTCAGTGCCTAAAGCTCTGGGTCCAAGAACTCTTACAGGTCACACAACATGAAGCCAAATGGAGAGGGATAGTCCCTCAGGGCCACAGTCAGGATTCTGGAGCCCAGAAAGGGTCCAGCCAGAAAGACAACCCCTTAAAGAATTTCACCTCAAAAGTATTAACTATTGCCCTGGGGGACAGATAATTTGAACACCACCTTTCCCCTCGATGTGACAGGAACAGAAAAGAGAAACAAGTTTGGGGTGAGAGCCGGCATCTCCAAGCAAAACCTCATTAGTGGGAAGAAGCGGGTGTTAGGTTTGAGTGAGGTGTTGGATGAGTGACTAAGTGGCCAGGCTTGGAGCCTGCATTAAATGTGACAGCAAGCAAACGAGGAGACATGGCCAGCCCATCACATCTCCTCACCTGAGGGGTGTTAACATCTCTGAGTGACCAGGGCCACCTCCCCAGGAGGCTTCAGCAACCAGGAAACTGAAGGGCACAAAGCCATGGGCCTGGACAGGACCCCAGAGCAGTTTCCACAACTTAAAAATGGCCCATGCTCCTGCAAAGCTCTCACATTCATTACCTGTCTTAATTACCCCAGGGACCTGTGTGTGTGTTGGAGAAGAGGAGAGAACATTCTTGTTAACCCCAAGTGTCAGGAGAGAAAACTGAGCTACAGGGAGTGTACTGCCTGGTCTAAGGTCACACAACTGGTGCATGGAGCAGTGAGTGTGGTCTCTGCTAGCTTTCACATTGCCATCCCTCTCCAGGAACAGAGGAGAAATGACAAGTGGACTGAAGTCAGTCAGTGTCAGCAAGCCCTGCTCTGTCCTTACCAGATATTGTTCTGCTATGTGATTAAAGGGTAGCCTTACCAGCCCCCTGTAACTGCATCAGTCAGAACAGGCTGGCTCTGCCACGTAACAAACAGCCCCAAATCAACAAAGGTCTGTTACTCAGGCTTCCTGTCCATTGAAGCCCAGATGAGGCTCTGTCCATGTGGTCCTCACTCAGGGACTTGGCCAATGAGTGGCCACTGTCTGGTGCCTTGCCAGTCACTGTGGCAGATGAATGAGAACTCTGAGTGGTCTCAGTCACAACAATATCCAGCTCGGAACCGGCAGGCATCACTTTCACTCACAACAAATAGGCCAGAATTATTTGTTCCACTTCTCTCCCCACAACCACAGGGACCGGGAAGTCGATCCTGCCTTGTGCCAGGAAGAAGTGTGAGCTGGAGCAGTGGGCAAGTGATGCTAAAGGCCTCCCCATCCAGCTTTCCAGCACAGGTGATGGAGAGGATGATGGCACCTTTGGGCAAGTCCCAGAACCATGGAGGAGAAGCACAGTTGAAGGGATAGAGAGAGATAATGCCCCGTATTGAAAAATTGCTGCCTGTGGGCCCTACATATGCATACGTAACATGCAGCCAAGTATCCATGCAGAATTTTACATATACATAAGTAATGTGCATATATACAAAGCATACCCACCTTGTCTAATTTAAACATCACAAGAAATTTATGGGGCAGGTGGTCCCCCATTTTACAAATTGATTTGCACACAAATAGTTATGGATCATCTATTGTGTGCCAAGCTGTGCCCTAGATGCCAGGGAAATAGCAATGAGCAAAACTAACCAAAGCCTTGTTCTTATTGAGCTTACACTTTAGTTAGTGCAGGGTGTGGATAAAAACCAGATCAACAAACGCATATATGACACAATCCTGGAGCAGGACATGTGCCAGGACAGGAATGAGGCAGAGGGAATGAGGGAGCCATGGGAGGCTGCAGGGTGCAGAGGGAGGGCAGCCCCTGAGGAGGAAGCATCTGAGTAGAATTTATGGATGAGTCATGTGGGTCTGAGATGGACAAGCATCCCAGGCAGAGGGAAGAGTATGTGCCAAGTCCCTGGGGTGGGAATGTGTGGAGCCTGGCCCAGGATGGCCAGGAGGCCTGTGAGGCTGGAGCAGAGTGAGGAGGACATAGTTAGACAGGAGGTCAGAGAGATGGGGATCAGATCAGGCCAAGGCCTTGGAAAGGCCCCAGGAGAGGCCTTAGATCTCATCTGTAGTGAGGTGACCTGGAAGGGTGAGGTGACCCAGAAGGGTGAATAAGGAGTGAGGTGAACAAGTGATTTCCACCCTCTGTGCCTCAGTTTCCTCATCCTCTGGGGTGACATTGCACCTGCTTCATGTGATGTTCAGTTGAGGAAGAGCATGGGAAACACTCAGCACAGGGGCCAGCACACCAAACGCTCAGTGCAGGATGGCTGCTGGGTTCGAGTCCCCATGACATTTGTTTCACAATTGCGCCCAAGTGGCTCTCTAGCTATTCCTGACCATGTCTTCCATCCTCCATCTTTCAGAATGACTCCCTTAGATGCCCAGGCAGGAACTAATACCACTGAGTGCCATGTAAATGTCACTATTTTGAGGTTGATACAGATAAGCCTGAGGCCCGAGACTCTTAAACGCAGCAGCAGCACAGACACTTCAGGAGACTGGCGCCATGCCATCTGCTAATGCCTATCTCCCAGGCTGGTGGCCTGGGGTGGCCAGGCTGTTCTGAACAATGACACACACCTGTTAACAAGAGGTCTGGAGACAAAGTGTGCACAGACAAGCCTGAGCAACCTCCCAAAGTGGAGTGCAAGTGAGGACCCAAGAAAACGAGGGCTGGTCTAGGCAAAGCAGCAGCCGTCAGGGCATGTTCACCAGGACTCACTGGAACGGCCAGGGCAAAAATGTCCATATGGGCTAGTAGTGGTTGCCACCCTGAGCTCCAGATGCTCCCATACTGCCCCAGCCCCTCTCCTGGTGCCCTCCCCAGCTCCTCACAGTCCAGCACCCAGAGAATTTATTTCCCACCCTGCTCTGGCAGCCTCCCTTCTGACTGGTTAGTGCATTTGATCTACTGCTTGATAAAAATGTTAAATCTCATGCCTACTAAAAAGGCTATTTTTGTCGACTTGACACCCACTTCTCCTTTCTCTGGAGTTATGGCTCCTCCATTTGGGGAACGTCACCCCCTCCTAGGTCCTTGTGGTTTGAGTTCCAAGAGGTGGGCTGAAGGCCTCAGCCTGGCCAATTAGAGCATCCTATTCCTCTGGCCTTAGTACTTAGCTTAGGCATGGGTACATGACTTAGCACTAACCAGTGAAATTCTATTCTAAGACTTTTGGAATTACTGGGCTAGTGAAGCTCTACCTTCTCCTGCAATTCCTAGAGGCCACCAGGAAGAGCAGGCCTGCCGGTAGACAAGTGAGGAGAAAAGCAGAGACAAGTTACAGAGACAGGTGGATTCCTGAAGGCCTCATTTGAGCACCTGGATTCAGCCATACCTGAAATTCCTCTGGACTTTTTACTTAATAAGCCTATAGTTCTGCTTCTGCATTTCTTTCCCTTATAATAAAAAGGGTCCTAATTGATACAGTTATTATCCCCATAAATTATGGTTTCCATGAAGTAACATATTGATCGTCACATACCTGGTCACACACAGGCACGTAAGCTCAAATTCTGCTGTCTCTAATGGTGATGGTCTTTGAGGAAAACTCTAAGAGCTAATAGGGCTCAAGGAAGCCATATAACAGACCCTGCCCAAGGTGCAATTTGTATAGTCTGAAATGACTCACTGAGGCCATCTAATTTGAGAGGTCCAAATTGCAGGCAATCTCCACAGTTTCCTGGAATCCTCATTGCTCACCTCCCAGGGCCAGTCTGTCCCCAGACCATGACACTCCTGTTATCAGGCTTGGCAGGACACAAGCTGTTGCTGCAACTGCCTGGCCAAACAGGCAACAACATATGAAAGGTAATTTTCCTCCCTCTCACTTCCTGGGGAGCAGCCCCTCAGCTGCCATCAGAGCTGTTTGGTGGGGAGCGGGGATTCTCTGGGAAGCCCGCAGCTCAAATGAACCTTGACAGGTAATCCTGCTCCAAAGCAGCAGGTGAGTCGTGATTAGCGCTGCCAGCTGGAGAAGAAGTGGCCTGGGGAAGAAGTCTCCACCAACTCCCTAGTTAGGACTCTGACCTGGAAATTGTTCGAACTAGTGCAGATGTGGGGAGGCCTCCAGGTACTAGGAGATCCTCCTGTGATGACAGCCAGGATCCACCACCAAAAGGCCCTTCTAGATTGATCTTTGCACATGGATTGAGGGTAAAAAGGTCAAGGTGAAGCAGAGGCCATGATCCCTAATGATCCTATCATCTGTCTCTCCTTCTACATGATCCAGAAATGTCTCATTGAAGACATTGAAGGTGGGAAATATCTCATTCACTGTGGCTCCTCAAGGCCTACACAGTGCTGGCAACTAGGAGAGGCATGTTACGTGGTTTTTGATGATTGAATAAATGAAAAAAAAATTGAGAAGACCTCACTTCACAGGTGGGGAAACAGAGGTCAACAGAAAACTCAGTTCATTTGTAGTCTGGATTTTGCAACAGCCACCACCAGCTGTAAAGAAAGTGTGTAGGGTGACCATATGATCCACTTTGCCCAGGACAGTCTAGTTTATGCCTACTATTATCCTAGTGTAGGCATTAATTGTACTCCTTTTGCTCTCAAAAGTGGCCTCATTTGGACAATTTTTCCAGGATAACAGGGGGTTTGGGGTGGGCAGGAGTGGTCTCTGGAGTGGAAGGGGAAGCTCCACTAACTTGTCAGCAGAAAATACCTAAAGCTCACCTTCTTCCATTTGATCCTCACAACAACCCTCGTCTTAGGTGTTTTTTCCCACGCCCTGGGCTTTCAGGTGTTAATGGATGCTCCATGACAAAGACATGCCATGGCCAAGTACATTTTGGAAAGATTGGATTAAACAACAATTAACTGGCAAACTGGTTTCCTTGCTACAGACTTTCTCCATGCCTTAAAATGTTAGTACGAGCAACAAGAATAAAGAAAAGATACTCCCCTGATACCACAACTCCAGAAAGAAGGAGTTCATTGGGGAATAAATCTTCATACTATTTCCCTTTCATTTATTTTCTTACCCAGACAAGTAGTTTACCCGCCTCAGAATGTAATTGAGTTAGCTGGGGAGAGGGGAGCCCACACACAAGCATCTAAAGAGTAGAAGCTCAAAATAGATGGTTTTTTGCTCAGTCAAGCAAGGCGGGGTTTTTGGCTCAGAGCTTAGTGTGAGGTGTATGGAGGTGGGGAGGGAAGTACAGTCACAGGAAGGAGATGGAAAAATTTAGCAGGAAAAGAAAACCAGGGTAAGAGTGATCAGGAGACCCAGCCCTAGGGAATTTGTAGACCCCATAGAGAGTCCCCTGGACATTGCACAGTGCCTGAGATGGGGCTCAAGCCAGTTTATAAGACATGAAAAAGACAGTGACACCAGGAATCCAGAGGACTTGGGACACCTCAGCTGGAGACATCTGAGGCCTTGGTGTTCTGTAATTTGGTTGTGCGTCTGCAGTGTTACAATGGTAGGCTGGGTTTTTGTTCCCAACTCTTCATTCCCTTCCTGCCTCTCCCATATGCCCTTGCAGAGCACTGGAACAGGCAAGGTACGGTTGCCTGTCCCTGATCTTGGACTTGCTTTGCTCAGTGTAACACTGATAGAAGTGGCAGTTACGGCTCCAAACTGAGACCTTAAGAAGTAAGGGGGCCCTTGGGAGTCAAGAATGTTGGAGAAAAGCACAGGGAAGGGGGAGCTTGAGAAAACCATCCAATAAAGTTGTGCATGAAGACTGGATCCACCCGCAAGTTATGCACGTATGGAACTGACCCAAAACAGCTCACTAAATAAAGGCTCTGAGAACTGAACTAGAATGTAGTGTGTCCTGGGAGACACAAACAGGGAATATCCCAATAGTATTGAAAAGTCTTTAAAAACTAAACTGAAGTTGAAACCACAGCCCACTAAAGTAGATCAGTCCTTGTGCCCTGGGCCTTATAAGGTTGACAGTATGCTTTAAAAAAATGCCAAAGTGCCCTATCCAACCAACAACATATACAACATATATACAGCTTCAGGAAAAAGTCCTCCCCTACAAAAGTAAATTCAAAAAATTGGAAAAAGCAACTGTTCCACCAGATGAACAGATATGTGTATTAATGTAAGGATATGGGAAACATGAAAAAGCACTCTGATTCATAAAGCAAATATTCCTAGATCTAAAGCGAGAGATACACTCCAATACAATCACAGTGGGGGACTTCAATATCCCACGCTCAGCATTAGACAGACCATTGAAACAAAAAAATCAACAGAGAATCACTGGATTTATACTGGAATTCAGACCAAATAGACCTAACAGATATTTACAGAACATTTGATCCAACTACAGAATATCAAAATCAATGTAAATAGGAACTTTGGAAACTATACAAATACATGGAAATTAAACAACATGCTCCATTGGGTCAATGAAGAAATTAAGATGGAAATCAAAAAAATTCTTGAAACAAATAGAAATGGGAACACAACATGCCAAAACCTGTGGGATTCAGCAAAAGCAGTACTAAGAGAGACTGCTGCCTGTTCATAGCAGGCAACACCAACATCAAAAAAGTAGAAATATTTCAAATAAACAACCTAACAATGCTCCTCAAGGAACTAGAAAAGCAAGAACAAATCAAACCCAAAATTAGCAGAAGGAAATGAATAATAAAGATCAGAGTAGAGCTAAATAAAATAGAGACTAAGAAACAATACAAAGGATCAGCAAAACAAAAAACTGGTTATTCAAAAAGATAAACAAAATTGATAAACCGCTAGCTAGACTAATCAAAAAAGAACCAAATAAACAAAATCAAGAATGAAAAAGGAGACATTGCAACTGATACCATGAAATTCAAAAGACCACCAGAGAGTATTACAAAAAACTATACATTGGCAAACTGGAACCTAGAGGAAATAAATAAATTCATGGAATATACAACCTACCAGGATTAAACCCAGAAGAAATAGAAAACCTAAAGAGACCAATTATGAGTAGTGAGGTTGAATCAGTAATAAAAGCCTCTCAACAAAGAAATGCCCATGATTAGACTAATTTAAAGTCAAATTGTACCAAACATATAAAGCAGAACAAATACCAATCCTCTGGAAACTATTACAAAAAAGTTGAATTGGAGATAACTCTTCCTAACTCATTCTACAAGGCCAGCATTACCCTGATACCAAAACCAGACAAGAACACAACAAAAGAAAATGACAGGCCAATATCTTTGATGAACATAGAAACAAACTCCTCAATAAAATACCAGCAAGTCAAATCCAACAGCACATCAAAAAGATAATAGAACATGATCAAGTGGGATTTATCCCAGGAATGCAAGGATTATTCAACGTACACAAATCAATAAACATAATATATCACATCAACAGAACGAAGGACAAAAATCATATGATCATCTCAATAGATGCAGAAAAAGCATTTGATGAAATTTAACATCTCTTCATATAAAAACTCTCAATGAACTATGAACAGAGTATGATATTGAAAGGGGAAAAGCTGAAAGCCTTTCCTCTGGGATCTGGAACAAGAAAAGGATGCCTGCTTTCGCCATTCCTATTCAACATAATACTGGAAGTCCTAGCCAGAGCAATCAGGCAAGAGAAAGAAATAAAAGGCATCCAAGTTGGAAAAGAAGAAGTCAAATTGTTCCCTTTTGCTGATAATATGATCTTATGTTGAGAAAAACCTAAACTCCACTAAAAGACATCCTACATTTGATCAATAAATTCAGTAAAGCTGTAGGATACAAAATCAACATACAAAAATCAGTAGTGTTTCTATATACCAATGATGAACTAGATAGGAGAGAAATCTAGAATGCAATCCCATTTACAATAGCTACCAAAAAAATAAAATACCTAGAAATAAACTTTACCAAAGAGGTAAAAGATTTCTACAAGGAAAACTACAAAACACTGATGCAAGAAATTAAAGAAGACACAAACAAACGGAAAGATATCTCACGCTTAGGAATCAGAAGAATTAATATCATTAAAAAGGCCACACAGGCCAGGTGTGGTGGCTCATGCCTATAATCCCAGCACTTTGGGAGGCTGTGGCGGGCAGATCATGATGTCAGGAGATTGAGGCCATCCTGGCCAACATGGTGAAACCCCATCTCTACTAAAACTACAAAAATTAGCCAGGTGTGGTGGCGCATGCCTGTAATCCCAGCTACTCGGGAGGCTGAGGCAGGAGAATCACTTGAACCAGGGAGTCAGAGGTTGCAGTGAGCCAAGATCATGCCACTGCACTCCAGCCTGGCAACAGAGCGAGACTCCACCTAAAAAAAAAAAAAAAAGCCATACTGTTCAAAGCAATCTACAGATTCAATGCAATCCCTATCAAAATATCAAGGTCATTTTTCACAGAATTAGAAGAAATAATCTTGAAATTCAAATGGAACCAAAAAAAGAGCCCACTAGCCAAAGCAATCCTGAGCAAAAGGGGAAAAATCTGGAGCTACCACACTACCTGACTTCAAAACACATTACAAGGCTATAGTAACCAAAACAGCATGGTATTGGTATGAAAATAGACACACAGACCAATGGAACAAAATAGTTCAGAAATAAATCCACATATTTGCAGGCAACTGATTTTTAATAAAGGTGCCAAGAACATACACTGGGGAAAGGACGCCCTCTTTAATAAATGTTACAGGGAAATTGGATATCCATATGCAAAAGAATGAGACTAGATTCCCTATCTCTCCCCATATACAAAAGTCAACTTAAGATAGATTAAAGACTTAAATGTAAGACCCGAAGCTATTCAACTGCTAGAAAAGAAAACATGTGGAAAACACTTCAAGACATTGTTTTAGTCAAAGATTTCTTATTAAGACCTCAAAAGCACAGACAACTATAACAAAAATAAACAAATGAGACTATATTAAACTAAAAAGCTTCTTCACAGCAAAGGAAACAATTGACAGACTGAAGAGCTAACCCGTTGAAGAAAATATTTGCAAATTATTCACCCAACAAAAGACTAATATCTAGAATTTACAAAGAACTCGAACAACTCAACAATAAAAAAAAAGCAAATAATTCCATTAAAAAGTGGGTGAAGGACATGAGCAGATATTTCTCAAAATAAGACATACAAATGGCCAACGTGAATATTTAAAAATGCTCAACAGCACTAGTCATCAGGGAAATGCAAATCAAAACCACAATGAGATATCATCTTATCCCAGTTAGAATGGCAACTACCAAAAGACAAAAAATAACAGATGTTGATGAGGATGTGGAGAAAAGGGAACTCTTGTACAGCATTGGTGGAAGTGTTAATTAGTACAACCACTATGGAAAACAACATGGATATTTCTCAAAAAGCTAAAAATAGAACTACTACATAATCCAGCAATGCCACTACTGGATATTTATCCAAAGGGAAAGAAATCTGTATGTCAAAGGGATACCTGCACTTGCATGTTTATGGCAGCATTATTCACAGTAGCAAAGATATGGACTCAACCTAAGTGTCCATTGACAGACAGTTGAATAAAGAAAATGTGGTATAGATAACAGAATGGAATACTAGTCAACCATAAAAAAGAATGAAATCCTATCATTTGCAGCAACATGGATGGAACTGGAGGTCATTATGTTAAGTGAAATAAGCCAGGCACAGAAAGGCAGATACCACATGTTCTCACTCATATGTGGGAGCTAAAAAAAGTTGTTCTCATGGATATAGAGAGTAGAATGATAGATACGAGAATGGAAGGTGTGTGTGGGTGGGAGGGGGCGATAACGAGAGGTTGATTGGTGAGTACAAACATATAATTATAGAAGAAATAATCCCCAACATTCAAAAGCAGAATAGGGTGGCTACAGTTAGCAACAATGTATTGTATATTTCAAAGGAGCTGGAAGAAAGGATTTGAAATGTTACCAACACATAGAAATGATAAATACTCAAGATAATGGATACAGCAAATACCCTGACTTGATCATTACACATTCTATGCATGTAACAAATACTCACAGGTATACTATAAAAATGTAAAATATTTTGTATCAATCAATATAAATAAATAAATAAATGTGCTGAGTGAAAGAAGCTAGACTCATAACACCCCATACTATATGATTCCACTTTTATGACATTCCGGAAAAGGCAAAACTATAGGCATAGAGAACAGATCAGTGATTGACAAGGCTTAGCGGCAGGGAAACAGTGTAACCAGAAAGGGGCAGCATGGGAAACCTGGGGGGTGATAGCACCGTTCTGTGTCCTGATTCTAGTGGCAGTTACAGGAATGCATGCATGTGTTAAAACTCATAGACCAGCAGGTAGGGAGCTAGGGGAGGAGGAGCATTAGGACAAACAGTTAATGCATGCAGGGCTTAAAACCTAGATTACGGGTTGATAGGTGTAGCAAACCACCATGGCACATGTATACCTATGTAAAAAACCTACACATTCTGCACTTGTATCCTGGAACTTAAAGTAAAATTAAAAAAAAAAAAACAAAAAACCTCATAGACATGCACGCTGAAAAAGGTGGATTTTGTATGTAAATTTAAAATGTTTTTAAAGACAAAATAATGTTTGAAAAGGAGTCATTGAATGTTCCTCTTCACCCCTCTGGTGCTCCTGTCATTCGTTGTGTATGAAGAGCTGCTGATTCAAGGAGAGAACTGAGGACAGACCTAGAACCTCCTGTACCCTGGAGCAAAGCTGCTTCACCCGCCCTGGGGAACCAACCATGAGCAAGAAAAATACACGTTGGCTATTGAATCCATTGGATTTTGAGAAGGCTAATTATGGAGGAAAAAACTAATAAAGTTATGCAAACTGACTTGACCATAGAATCATCTTCTGGAAAACACCTGTTAGCATCTCTCAGAATGCAGCATTCCTTGGAACCTGCTGTTCTGGGCAGCTTATTCTCCCAGAGAAGTGGTAGCTGACTCCAGGCCAGAATCGGTTCTCCTTGTGTGCAGTCCAGGAATCTTTTCTCCATGAGCCCAGTGCATGGAGGCTGGCTGCTTCCCTCAACTCCCAGGCCAAGTCCTGGGCCTTGGTGGCCTTGGTGATGCTGACCAAAGGTGGGCAGTTAGGGGCTCTATTCTCCAGGAATTCAGGGATCAGAACTGGGAGGTAGGGGAGGGGAGAAAGGCTGGCTCCTCAGGCCCTTCCTTGGCCATCTTTTTGCTGTGTGACCTTGAATAGGTCTCTATCAACCTCTCTGAGCCTCGGTCTCACCAGCTCTGAAACTGGGACAATTGTGTATGGTGAGAACAGAGTGAGATGAGGCAGGTGGGTGTGAGGGCTCCTCTGGCTGGGGTTCAGGAAAGCTTCATGGAGGAAGCTGAATCTGAGCCAGGCCCCGAAGCACACTGGGCAGGGAATAAAAACTTCTTGGTACTATGGGCAGAGGGGCCCAGCAGGCAGGAAAAGCATTTCTCTTGAGCTCGGCAGGGAGGGGCTAGGAGCAGCCAAGGAATCAATGAAGATATCAACATGGCCCAGTGTGGGTCCAGCACTTGTCATGTGTAGACCGTGACCTCATCCGCTGCTCACAGCAGCCCCATGAAGCAAGGGTCACACGTGGGGAAACTGAGGCTCAGATAAAGGAAGTCCAGGTTTGAAATCTGAACTCAGGTCTGATTGTCTCTAAGTCACAGCCCTTTGATAAGAAGTCTAAGGATCTTTCCATTCTTACAGAAATTGTCAATTGGCAGCCTTGAGCAGAATACTGCTCCCAAGATGAAACTCGTTTGACGCCCACCATGTAATAAACACCTAGAAATTTCAAAAAATCAAGATCTCCAATTTCTCTCTTGAAAATCAGGAAATTGGGGCCCTGCATTCTAACAGTCCCACATGGCAACAATTACCAAGAGCCAAGCTCATCTTCAAGAGCATCTCAGGCTTCGGAGCCAAACGCCTGGGTGACCTTGGGCAAGTGACAACCCCTGGGCCCCAGTGGCGTCATCTGTATGATGGGTATATCACCAGCTCCTACCACACAGGGGTGTCCTGAGCAATAAATGGGTTTAACACAGGGGAAGTCCTTAGAGTGAGGCAGCTCACAGCAAGAGCGTCCCTGGACTCCCTCCTGTCCTCCTCCGATGGGACCTGCCCTCTCCCACTGGCCGCGGTCCCCTCCTCTGCGTGTTATCCGCACTGCCTTCACCCCTCACTCATTTAGATGACCTGCCCACCCCCACCCGCCAGCCACTAGTTTGTGACCCCTGCACTTCCAGGGCTACTTCCCAGCCCAACAGGAGAAAGATTTTGGCAAGACACATCTATGAGTCAGAAGTATCCAGGCCAGAATGTTCCCAACATGAGTTCCAACCTAGATTCTGCCTTCAGTCTGTGTGTCAGAGACTGCCCGCCTGCATCTGGGGTGTTCTCACCAACCCATACGTGCCTGTTCACAGGTGGCCCTTCTCCGAAGGGTCTCAAAGGAGCAGAGGCCCTGGGAGTACCCACCTATATCCTGGGGTGATATCACCGTGACCATAAGGACAGGCATGACATCTCCTACCTCCTGGCACCCAGGGCATCTCGAAGCTCCCTGCTGCTCCCCCTGTGTTGTGTCCAGGCCGCCTCTGAGCTCTCACCAGGAGCTCCAGGCCAGGGGAGGAAAAGGAGCCCCTGCTTCACTATCCAGAAAAACATCTGTCTGTCACCACCAACAGGATGGTGTGAACAGTCCGCTAGCTCCCATAGACTGTTACTGGAGCCAAGCAGGAGGCCTGGGTGAACTTGGAGAGAGAGAGAAAGATTGATTTTCAGATTATGTCCCAATCCATAGCTGTCAAGGAAGAAAAAAGACCTAAACAATCGTGAAATTAAATCAAATGAGTTTCTGGATGCTGAGTAGTTTCTCCCCCCTCCATGGATGCCTTCCGCCTGTCCCTAGGGAAGGGACGATGAACGAGCTTACTGTGTGTTTGTTCACTCACTGGTCACTCTGATCATCCGTGCATCTCTGCAGTCAGCAGAGATTCACTGTGGTCCTACTGTGTGTCCAGCTCTGCGCTTGGTGCTAAGAATCTAAGAATGAACAGAACAAACGCCAGCCCTTCCTCTGGGATCCACCAACTGGCAGGAATGAGCAGTTACCACTCAGGATAAAGTGCTGTGCTGGGGGAAGCACAGGGCCCTGGAGGAATAGTCCAAAAGGACGGGAGAAGACAGGAGGACTTCCTGGAGGAGGCTGAGCTCAGCACTTTGAAGACCAGTGAGCCTGGCCAAGTCTGGGCCAGCTAATGGAGGCCTCGAGGAGCAAGTTGTCAGGATTTTGGACTTTGTTCTGAGGGCAATGGAGAATCACTGGATGGCTTTAGTTGGTAGAGTGACATGATTAGATTTGTGTCAAATCTTCACTGTAGCTGCTATGGGGAGAATGGTTTGGTGGAGAGCAGCACAGGACATGGAGAGGACAGACTGGAGCATCTGCATCCTTCAGGTGAGAGGTGATGGCAGCCTGAATTCAAGTATGTAAAATTCCCAGCACAAAGATGCACGCACCACCCAGAGGCGATCAGCACAGGGCAGTGAACAGCCACTGCATGTGAAAAGCACTCCCTCTGTCCCTTCCTGTCTTCCCTCAAAAGCCCCCCTAGGTACGGCCCCTCCTGGCCACCCCTCTTAAAGCTGCAGTGGCTCCCCCAGCTCCTCCAATCCCCCTTATCTTGCTCTTATCCCCTTCAAACATGCAATACAATTTACTTGTGTATTGTGTGTACATAATAAACACAAGACAGAGGAATGTAAACTCCAGGTCAGTGAAGACATTGTTGTGATTATTTGTCCTCTGGTGCATCCCTAGCACCTAAAATGGTGCCTGCACATAGTAGGTGCTCAATAAATATTTATTGAATGAATGACCATTGGCTGGTGGTCACTATCATCATCATCACCCACCAGAAATGTGAGGTCCTCTTCGGACCCGTGCTGGAGCTCAGGGAGTGGATGTCACCTTCCTCATTGCCACTGGGGGTCAGTGGTAGAAGGTGTTTGCAGCTCCAGGTGGGAGGGGACAGCCAAGTAGGCGGTTTTAGGACCAGGGACACAATTGGGTGGAGGAGAATGAGTGTCAAAGGAATGCACCCAAGGGAGAGGAAGGGGAGTGTGTGGCCAAGCTGAGAACAGCTGCATAGCTGATGGAGCTGGGGGGTTCAGGGAGGTACTAAGTCTAAGTAATGCCCAGAGTAAGAAAGAGGCTGAAGAGCAGGGCCTGGAGCCAGGCCAGGTCACGGATGGGGCCGCGTTAGCCCGCAGGAAACATTCTGCTCCCCTGCTGGGTCTTCAACCCGCCCTGTGCCAGGATATGGGGTGAAGGGCTGCCGTCAACCTGCACAGGAGACTCAGGCTCTAGCCTTCTCCCAACCTCCTCCCCTTCCTGACATCTCCCTCACCTGGCACTGGTCTGGGCATGAGAGTGGGCCAGGGGCACTGAGCACATCACCCTCTTCAGACTTCCAGACTGTCCAGGCCAGCCAGGCCTTTGGGAAACCCTTGTGTGCCCACCATGGTACCTGTAAGGAAATTGAGGCCCAGAAAGGGCAAGGGGAGGCCCAGAAAGGGCAAGGGAAACCCCAGGCCACACAATAGTTTGTTTTTCTCCCTCTGCCTTTCCTGCCTCTGAAGAGTGGATGAGCCTGGACGGGAGGTCAGGAGGTCTAGACTCTCATCCTGCCCTGTGTCCCTGCCCCTGTGCCATTGGGCAAGTCATTATGCCAGCCTCAATTTCCCCATCTGTAAATTGAGTCCAAGAGGACTCATCTTGCTTCCTGTGCACCCGTACAAAGCCACATCCTCCAGCTTCTGCTTGCACTGTTTTGAACTGAACAGAACGTACCTCCTATTTCTCCTTTGCTGGAGGGGAGGGTAACTCAGATTTACTGAGAGACTCCTACATACCAGGCTCTTTAACCTACATTCCCTTACTTCTTATGACAGTCTCAGGAAGATTCCCCATTTTACAGATAGAGAAACTGAGGCTTGGAGATATGAAGAAACCTACCCAGCAACACAAACCTGGTGGGTGGCAGAATGGGGATTTAAACCCAGCTCCACATGAGATCAGCCCTACTGTTCATTCTGCACCCACAGCCTCAGTGTCCTCCAACCCTAACTCTATCCCTGCCCTGCAGGAGTCTAACATCTCCTGTCATGCTCAGCCTGGCCCTGCTTGGCAGGCTGACTCGGCCGCTGGCTGTGCTGATCACTCCCTCCCTCTGACTGAGTCCCCAAGGTGTGCAGTGTCTTTGCAAACAGAGCTCAGGACTCTGCAATCTGGGATCTGTTTGCTTTGAACTCCCCCATCCCCTTTGAACAGTGCTGCCAAGGAACCTTCTATTTTGAAAACACTAGGGCAGGAGGGACTTCTCAGCAGCCTGGGAAGCGGCTCTGGAGCTCCTGCTTCTGCCCGGGGCTAGGTTCTCAGGAGTCCTACCAGCCCCAGATGCTTCATTCTGCCCTCCTGCCCAGGGTATCCCCTCATGTGGTGGTCCTGATTTCCAGAAGGAGGGGAAGGAGCCCTGGTTTGGGAGTTTGAATCCTGGCTCCAGCACACAATGCAAACGGTAGCCTTGGGCAAGTCAGGTTACTTCCCTGGTCTCTCTTTCCTCATCTGTAACATGGGGATTACCCGGCAGGGTTGGTGACAGGATCCAAGGAGAGATGGCGAGGAATGTTTCTGGTTCTTTATTCATTCAAATTCATTGAGCATCTATTCTGAGCCAGGCACGGTTCCAGGCCCTGGGGACACGAACCTGGGGACACAACCCTGAGCAAAATGAGCCTCGTGGATCTCAGAGTAGAGGGAGACAGACAACGCCATGCAGTGCCGGGGCTGTGACATGGGGATGTGTGTGCTATGAAGGCACACGAAGGAGGGTTGAACAAAAGAGTGATGCCGAGGCATGGCATTATAGCCAAGGTCACCAGGGCTTCCCTGAGGAGGTGACAGCTGAGCGAAGACCTGGTGGGTGCTCAGATGCTGTGAGTTCCCTCCTCTCCCCACCCCCATTTGTCCTGCAAATGACCAATGCCAGCTGGACCACCTGCCCAGTGCATCCCAGCCAGGGCTCAAGGGAGGACACAGTCCCTATAATCCAGCAGGCCCAGGGTCAAATCCTGGCTCCCTTTCTACTTGCTGTGCCTTCTTGGAGGAGTCACCTCCCCTCTTTGGGCCTCAGTTTCCTCCTCTGTCATTGGAGGTCATGGTCCTCACCTCCAAAGATTCCTGGGAGAATTTATGAGAACCTGTGCCCAGCACACCAATGGTAGTGAGCATGGCGGGCCCGGGATGAAGCAGACCTCCCAGGGAGTGCGTTTGCAGGGAAATTTGCCCAAGGAGCGCCCACTTGGCTGCTCAGAACCTCCTATGGTTGTTTCGCTCTGCCCAGGGGACATGTCTGTAGAGAACCCAGCTCTGCCACTCACAGGCTCAGATGGGTGACTCTCTGTCCTTAATGTTCACTCTCCCCTTTGAGGAATAGGGCCCAGAGCACCACGCTGGTCCCCACAGATGCCCAGGCTACCCACAGTTCCCTCCACAGTGGTGCCTTCTCTACAGCCCTAAGGCACAGCCAGTCCTCCTGGGAGATGCTGGGCCTGGAGCCTCCAAGGTAAGAGCTGCTATGCCAGGTATTGGCCACAGGTAAGCCTAGGTGAGCGCTGGAGGCAGCAGTCGGTAAAGAGACCTGATGAAGGAGGTTTTGATGAAGAGGAGAGTCTAGAGGACAGAATCTCCCCTAACGTAGCAATAGCCAACAGCTCCACAGGCCTGGTGAGGGCAGCAGCCTTTGGGGCTGAGCTGGGAAGCACGTCCCCACTGCCTGACCTCTCCAAAGCTGCCCCTGGCACAGAGCCCACCCACCGGGTGCCAGGGCTCTCTCTCTCCTGGTCTTTTCTCAAAATGGAAATCCCCCACTGTTACCATTCTCATTACACCAGCCACACCCACTTGACATAAAACCAAACTCTCAACGCTGTCAGAGGGGTCCTGGAGGAAGGGATGAACACTCAGGACCTGCCTCCCCAGCTTGTGCACCCGGAAATGGAGCAGCTCAGGGACTGCTGCCTGGGTCCAAATCCTGGCACCACCAATTACTGTCACGCATTCTTCAGCCCACAGTTTGCTTATCTATAAAATGATACGATAATAATAGTACCTATGTTACAGGGTTGTTGCGAGGATTAAATGAATTAATATGCTTAGAATATCCAAGAAATATTGATTATAAGTGGTGAAAATAATTTTGTCTCTACAGAACAGAATAAAGAAAAGAAAGTAAAATTCTCTCACTACCGTCTAGAGATGGCTACTGTTACACCCACATTTGGGGCCATATCCTGCCTGTCTTTTTCTGTGCATATCAACATACCTACTATCTCCTTTTTTAACAAAAATAAGGGACCATGCTATATATATTGTTTTGAACCCTGTATTTTCCATATCACAATATATAGATTTACACATATCTTTGTTTATTCTTCTGCAATTCTAACTGAAGACCTGCTGTGTGCTGTACCCTCCACTAGGTGAGAGCAGAACAGAGAGTGGGGCAGGTGTCAGCTCTGCCCTCAGGTGTTCATGGTCCTGTCTGTTGGGCCTTTGTTGTCTAAACTGTTAAGTGTTTATAAAGCACACTGGGAGGAAATCCATGTGTGACCACCTTAATTTGTGCCTTTTTCTTTTTTTTTTTTTTTTTTTTTTTTGAGACGGAGTCTTGCTGTGTTGCCCAGGCTGGAGTGCAGAGGCACGATCTCGGCTCACTGCAACCTCTGCCTCCCAGAGTCACGCCATTCTCCTGCCTCAGCCTCCTGAGTAGCTGGGACTACAGGCGCCCGCCACCAAGCCCAGCTAATTTTTTTAAATTTTTTTTTAGTAGATACTTGTTAGCCAGGATGGTCTCGATCTCCTGACCTCGTGATCCGCCCGCCTCGGCCTCCCAAAATGCTGGGATTACAGGTGTGAGCCACCATGCCTGGCCCTAATTAGTGCGCTTCTTAATTTGTTCCCATGGGATAAACCTATCAAGGGGGCTGAGTTTCTGGCCACAGAGTGCACGTGTTTTTAAGTTTCTTAATTCATGAGGTCAAATCACCCTCCAAAGGCTGTGCTGATTTCTCCTCCCAACCACCAGATTGGGTTTTAAAGGACAATTCCAGCTTCAGGCTCACAGGAGGAAGCCAAAGAGAGCTGGACCCAGAGGAGCCACCATGCTGAGTAGATCATAATAGCACTAGCACGTGCTTCCCGGGGTTCTTATGTCATAATCTTTCCCTATTCCCTCTTGATTTGTAAAAAAAAAAAAAAATACTGGAAGTGTTAAGATTTTTATGTTTTTTCACCTGCCATCTACTTTGCAGTAAGTCTGTAAAGACTAAGAGGATGCTGTTTATCGAAAGATTCCAGCGTGCAGCAGGTGTGCAGTCTATAGGAGCCCTGCAGCCAGACAGCTGGATTCAGATCCTGGCTCTGCTACTCCCTGGCTGTGTGGCCCTGGGGAAGCTATTTAACCCCCTGGGCCTGAATTTCCTCAGCTGTAGAATAGGGATGAGGCTGATACACCAATGTAAAGCATCTGAGACAGGGCCTGGTATACAGTGCGTGTGACATGTGCTCACTGTCATTGATGATGGTGTGGCACTCAGCAGACACCAGGTTCCCAACCTCCTACTTGCGGCCAGTGCCTAGGATGCAAAACTCAATTCCTGCCCACATTGAATAATGTGGAGCAAACACTTATGACAAAAGGAGAAGGGGGAAAGGACTTAAAGTTGTATGTGCAGGATGACCCCAATTAAAAATCGTACTTACACGGGTATGTGCACACTCACGCACACACATTGGCAGCAGGTGGCTGCCCCTGCATTGCTCAGGAGCTTAATCAACTGTGCCTGGATAAATATCTCCCTGCTGCTGCCTATTTGCGTGGAGTTGCCTGGGCAAGAAGCCGCTTGATCATAAGTCAGTGCACCTGCCCCTGTGACTCATGGCAGGTGGCAGGTGAAGCTTCCATCTTTCCATCTGTTCTCTCCATCCATTGCATCTGATATGGATGGCAGGTCGAGACCAGCCTCACAGGCTTCTCTGGTCCCTAGTTTCAGTTGCACTTCTTGGTGGCTGTTAATTCTTTGTGATGCCCCATGCCCCACACCAGTGAATTTTGAGGAGGCCTCACTGCTTTCAAGTCAGATCATCCAAATGAAGCCTCCAAATTTGATGAAAACCTACAGAGCCATTTTCACCTGCTGGGATCACAGACAAACAGGAACTTGATTTATAGTCATGTGCATAGAAGAAAACTTAAAATATATTCACAATGGCCATAATATAAACAATGGTCATCTCTAAGGAGTAGGATTTCGGGCAACTGATACTTTCCTCTTTATGCATTACTTTCAGAATCATCTCAAAGCAAACAGTACGAGCTAAAAGGCTGCTCTGTGGTTTGTGTTTTCCTCCGCTGAGTCACATGCTCTCCCCCTGACCGACCGCCCCAGCCCCACCCCAGCCAGGTAACTGCGAACAGGTGTGCCCTCCTCACTGTGGAGATGTCAGGACTGGTCAGTATTGAGATTGTTGCCCAGGTCAGGAATTTTCCAGAAAGGCAGATGTTACCTGCATCTTCACAGCCTGTCAGCCCCTTTGCACATAAATTTTGCACATAAACTCCACTTTTTCTGTCCAGAGAACTCTGGTTGGGGTCCAGGAGTCACTGCAGCCACAGACCATGATGACTGTGACCGGCCACCCTCTGGTGACCACCATGGGCCTGGCTCTTTACCTGGCCTTTGGCAGACATCTCATTGCATCTACCCCAGTCCTGTGCAGTGGCCATTGCCAGTCCCATTTGACAGAAGAAGTCAAATATCAGACAGGTGGAGTTACAGAACTGAGGTTACGCAGCTGGGACATGGTAGAGTCAGGATGCCAACCAGTGGGCCCCAAGGCCTGATATAAGCCTCAGAACACCCCAATAACCTTCATCATTCTCCCCCCACAAGCCTTCTTAAATAAATTCATTGCCTAAGGTAAAACATAGCTTCAAGACAAGAGCTCTGGCTTCCCCCAGGCATCCCCCAGGATCTCCTGTGCTGGAATCCTGGAGCTGCCCAGGGTTAGATCTCAGGGGCCCTGCTCCAAAGCCTGGCCCCTCCCTCCTCTCCAGGTGACCACTCAGACTCGGCCTTTGCAGGCGGAGAGCCCAGAATCCGGCCGACCAAGACTCCTCCCGGCTTATGTGAAAGAGGGGTATAGAGAGGGTAAGGACACTGTGCTCCTGGCTGTGCCAATGACTCCAGGGGCCAAAGGAGGCAGGGCTGGGATGGGGACATCTCTGAGGACAGCTGGTCAGTCAGTAAGCCTAGACTGCCTTTCCAGCCAAGGCATCTCTAAGCTGTTCCCTCTTTGCCCTTCCAAAGACAAACTTGGGGAAACTGAGGCATTTTGGGATGACCCTCGGTCACCTCTTTTGTAACAAACCCAGAGAGCAGAGCTGGGGTCCTGCCACTTCTAGTGAACTCTGTCCCTCCCTCCTCCATGACCGAGCGAGCAGAAAATGTGGGAGGAGGCAGATCACTGGGCTTGCTGGCCCTCAGGGCCCAGGGCCAGGGTCAGGCTTGGGAGGGGTGAAGTAGAGGGAAGGGACAGAGTTTATGCCTTTAGGTTATTGTAGGACACACCTGGAAAATGAGGCTAATTGCAGCTCATCAGACACCACTCAACTTTAAGAAAATCTAAGGCTGCTGTTTCTGTTCAGCTGTGGTTTCTATCCCAGCAGTGCCTGGGCGGTTATTTCAGCTCCTCATCCTGCTCTCACTGAGTTGGGAAAAGAGAGGGAGAAAGATACCTTTCTGATTCAATCTTAGCCTCAGCAAAACTCTGGAATGAGAGTTACCTGTGGGTGTTGGATGTCCTTGGAAGTTTTGGAAACTAGAACAGATAAAATACATAATAAATTATATTTTATGGAGGGACAGGGATTTGTGTTCCCTGGGCTCTCATATCTGCTGCCTTATTAAATATCATCATAACCAATGTAGGGTAGGGATTATGATATCCATCTTATGGATGAGGAAACTGAGGCTCAGAGGGCACGTGACATGGTCAGTGGCGTCAGCTACAACAGCACTGGCATCCAGTCTCCAGTCAGAGTGACTCTGGTGCCTGCCCTGTTACCCAAGGACATCTGACAATAACGCCTGCACAAAATGTGGCTTTGTAATGACAAGCTTTGCAACAGCCCTACAATGTAGAGCTCCTAGCCCCACTCTTCAGATGAGGAAATGTGTCACAGAAAAGTAAAGTGACTGCATAAAGACACATAGCTAGTGAGTTGGCCAGGCACAGTAGCTCATGCCTGTAATCCCAGCACTTTGGGAGGCCGAGGCGGCCAGATCATGAGGTCAGGAGATCGAGACCATCCTGGTTAAAATGGTGAAACCCCATCTCTACTAAAAATACAAAAAATTAGCCGGGCGTGGTGGCGGGCATCTGTAGTCCCAGCTACTCAGGAGGCTGAGGCAGGAGAATGGCATAAACCTGGGCGGCGGAGCTTGCAGTGAGCGGAGATCGTGCCACTGCACCCCAGCCTGGGCGACAGAGTGAGACTCCATCTCAAAAAAAATAAAAAAGAAAAGACACATAGCTAGTGAGTAACAAAGCTGGGACTCAAACTCTCCATTCATCCATCATCACCTCCTGCAAGGTGGGCAGAGTGGGGACCAAGATCCACACTGCACAGATAGGAAAACTGAGACAAGGCAATGCAGGTAACCCATCTAAGTCAATACTGCAGGTTGTTTGCAGCAGGGCTTATTCTAGAGCCCAGAGCTTCAGCTTTGTAGCTGGAAATGCATGAGATGAAAACATAATCTATTTCATTGCACCCTTGGTCCTTGGTTCTCTGTCTTTAGTTTGCTGAAAAATCACCTGCTGTGGGGTGAGGGGGATCAAAATGCAGGCTCCCAGGCTCCACCCAGAGATTCTGACTTAGTATGCAGTGGGGGCAAGGAATTTGTATTTTAAACAGAAAATACCCTCGTCAACCTAGGTAATTCTGGCAGACCATTCTTGAAGAAATTGGCTTAGGGTGGTCCAGGCCCCATATGAAGTCCCTATGTGCATTTTATAGCCCAGTATTTGAGATCAAAGATTCTGGATCCATCTGGTCTGGGTTCCAGGACCAGCTCCTCCACTCACACCTTTGGATCCAGGGGGAGTTACCTAACAGCTCTGTGCCCAGTGTACCTATCTAAAACTGAGAAGAAGAATAATAGTGCCTCCTTCATAATGGCCCTTGAGGAATATTGAGTTGATTAAACAGAGCACCTAGAACAAAGCCTGCTTAAAGTGTGGCTCTACAAGGACAATCTCTGCAATAGCCCTACAGTGTGAAGCTCCTAGCCCCTACTCTACAGATGGAAAAACATGGCACAGACAGGTAAAGTAACTTGTATAAGGACACACAGCTAGTGAGTGACAGAGTTGGAACTCGAACTCTCCACCAGCCATCTGAAACTCAGTAGTCCTAACCAGTAGGCTGCTCTGCCCCAACAGCACAAGTTCCCTGGCCCTGCCCTTTGCACCTACACCTGCAGGGTAGTGCCACACAGCAGGGAGTCAGGAGAGGCCACCTCAGGCACTGGGCGTAGATTTGCCACAAAATCCTGGAAATCTGCAGTGTGATTCTCCAACTGGTGCTGGCCAGAGGCTCCAAACAGCATCCTTTTTGGCCACAGATGCTTTGAGTGTTGTTGGAACTGTTATCTCATAAGGCCAAAGGGGTAAAACAGTTTGCACTGCAGCCTAGAATTGCTACAGAGACTTCCCTTCCTATATTTTCCACTTAGAATTGGTGATTGACCCTGTTGTTGGATCAAAGTTGCACATTCGAATATGGTATATGTTGCCTCCAAGATCCAAAAGGCCTAGGAAGCATTGTGCCTCTTTTTTCGTGACAGGTAATGTAAGGTGCAGGGACTTGTCTTTCTGCCAGAAGGAGATATCTCAACATACTTCAGACCATTAAAGCCCCAGAAACTTCACTGAGGTAGCCAACTACTGGATTTTGGTAGGATTTACTTCTTATCCTTAGTTATCCTTCTCATCAGATCAAATCAGCATAATGTCATCAATGTAGTAGACCAATGTAGTGATGTTTTGTGGAATGTCAAAACAGCCAAGATCTCATCAGACTATGCAATGAGAGATAGCAGGAGAGCTGTCAGCCCCACTTAGGGAGGAATTCTCCCCTTAGTCCTTAGGCAAGATTCTGACAGTGCACTATTGGTCTTGCCAGGTTAAAAAAAAAAAAAAAGAAACACTTCTAGTGGTTCTTACAAAATTGGTATAGAGAAAAGGCATTAAGCAGGTCAGTAGTTGCATTCCAACTGCCAGAGGCCATACATATTTGCTTCAGCAAAAAGAATATATCTAGAAAAGTAGCTGCAATTGGAGTAACCACCTGATTAAGTTTACAACCTTCCACAGTCATTCTCTAAGACCCATCTAACTTCTGAGCAAGTCAATTGGATTAATAATGCCTCTATTGAGAAGCATCCCTGCTTCTTTCCAGTTTGCAGTGGTATTAATCTTCACAATCCCTCTTCCCCCCAGGGAAGTATAATCACTTCAAGTTTACTATCTTTCTAGGGAGGGAAAGTTCCAGGGCCATCTACCTAGCCCTTCCTACCATAGTATCATCACCTCATGGGTCAGAGAGCCTAAGTGGGAATTCCACCAGCTTCTCTGTATGTCTATTCCAATTGGGCTTTCAGAAACAAAGGAAATAACTGACTTGACCTTTTGTGAGATGAATTTGAAATAAGGCTCCATCCATCTGCTGGCCATTGTAATCCACATTTTGATTCATGGACCACAGTGGTATGTTGGGTCCTCAGGATTTGTCATCAATTCATAGCCAGTATCCAGTAATCCCTAAAAGCTCTGGGTATTTCCTTTTCTCCAATGGGCAGTGTATTAGTGCTCAAGGGACCCCAACCCCACATTTCCCCTCCACACTGCCTGCAGCAGCCTTTTGCCTGGACATCCAGGCTTTTCCATACCTCCTCTGAAATTTAGGCAGAGGCTCCCAAGCCTCAACTCTTGCACTCTACACACATACAGGCTTAATACCACTTGGAAGCCACCAAGGCTTATGGCTTACAACCTCTGAAGCAGCAACCCAAGCTGCACCTGGGCTCCCTTGAGCCACAGCGGGAGCTGGAGTGACTGGAATGCAGGGAGTAGTATCCTGAGGCTGTGCAGGGCAGCGGGAGCCCTGGGCCTAGCCCATTAAACCATTCTGTCTTCCTAGGCCTCTGGGACTGTGATAGGAGGGGCTGCCTCAAAGGTCTCTGAAATGCCTTTGAGGCCCTTTCCCCATTGTCTTGGCTATTAGCAATTGGCTCCTCTTTACCTATGCAAATTTCTGTAGCCTGCTTGAACTCCTCCCCTGAAAATGGGTTTTTCTTTTCTACCACATAGCCAGGCTGCAAATTTTCCAAACTTTTACACTCTGCTTCCCTTTTAAATATAAGTTCCAGTTTCAGGTCATTTCTCTGATCAATCATGTGAGCATAGGTTGTTAGAAGCAGCCAGGCTGGGGGAGCAGTTCCAAGATGGCCGAATAGGAACAGCTCCAGTCTACAGCTTCCAGCGTGAGCGATGCAGAAGACAGGTGATTTCTGCATTTCCAGCTGAGGTACCGGGTTCATCTCACTGGGCTTGTTGGACAGTGGGTGCAGGACAGTGAGTGCAGCCCACCAAGTGTGAGCCAAAGCAAGGTGAGGCATCGCCTCACCCAGGAAGCGCAAGGGGTCAGGGAATTCCCTTTCATAGCCAAGCAAAGCTGTGACAGATGGCACCTGGAAATTCGGGTCACTCCCTCCCTAATACTGCGCTTTTCCAATGGTGTTAGCAAATGGCACACCAGGAGATTATATCCCACGCATGGCTCGGAGGGTCCCATGCCCACGGAGCCTTGCTCATTGCTAGCACAGCAGTCTGAGATCGAACTGCAAGGTGGCAGTGAGGCTCGGGGAGGAGAATCCGCCATTGCTGAGGCTTGAGTAGGTAAACAAAGTGGCCGGGAAGCTCAAACTAGGTGGAGCCCACTGGAGCTCAAGGAGGCCTGCCTGCCTCTGTAGACTCCACCTCTGGGGGCAGGGCATAGCCAAACAAAAGGCAGCAGAAACCTCTGCAGACTTAAATGTCCCTGTCTGACAGCTTTGAAGAGAGTAGTGGTTCTCCCAGCATGGAGTTTGAGATCTGAGAACGGACAGAATTTCATATCCAGCCAAACTAAGCTTCAAAAGTGAAGGAGAAATAAAATACTTTACAGACAGGCAAATGCTGAGAGAGTTTGTCACACCAGGCCTGCCCTACAAGAGCTCCTGAAGGAAGCACTAGACATGGAAAGGAACAACTGGTACCAGCCACTGCAAAAACATGCCAAATTGTAAAGACCATCGATGCTAGGAAGAATCTGCATCAACTAACGAGCAAAATAACCAGCTAACATAATGACAGGATCAAATTCACACATAACAGTATTGACCTTAAATGGAAATGGGCTAAATGTTCCAAGTAAAAGACACAGACTGGCAAATTGGATAAAGAGTCAAGACCCACCAATGTGCTGTATTCAGGAAACCCATCTCACTTGCAGAGACACACATAGGCTCAAAATAAAGGGATGAAGGAATATCTACCAAGCAAATGGAAAACAAAAAAAGCAGGGGTTGCAATCCTAGTCTCTGATAAAACTGACTTTAAACCAACAAAGATCAAAAGAGACAAAGAAGGCCATTACATAATGGTAAAGGGATCAATTCAACAAGAAGAGCTAACTATCCTAATATATATGCACCTAATACAGGAGCACCCAGATTCAT
This sequence comes from Homo sapiens, assembly GCF_000001405.40. NCBI lineage: Eukaryota > Metazoa > Chordata > Mammalia > Primates > Hominidae > Homo > Homo sapiens. Next base: position 29,403,710 of record NC_000001.11, on the reverse strand, counting down.
AAAGCAAGTCCTTAGAGACATACAAAGAGACTTAGACTCCCACACAATAATAATGGGAGACTTTAACTCCCCACTGTCAACATTAGACAGATCAATGAGACAGACAGTTAACAAGGATATCCAGGAATTGAATTCAGCTCTGCACCAAGCAGACCTAATAGACATCTACAGAACTCTCCACCCCAAATCAACAGAATATGCATTGTTCCCAGCATCACACTGCACCTATTCCAAAATTGACCACATAATTGGAAGTAAAGCACTCCTCAGCAAATGTAAAAGAACAGAAATTATAACAAACTGTCTCTCAGACCACAGTGCAATCAAACTAGAACTCAGGATTAAGAAACTCACTCAAAACCGCTCAACTACATGGAAACTGAACAACCTGCTCCTGAATGACTACTGGGTACATAATGAAATGAAGGCAGAAGTAAAGACGTTCTTTGAAACCAACAAGAACAAAGACACAACATACCAGAATCTCTGGGATACATTTAAAGAAGTGTGTAGAGGGAAATTTATAGCACTAAATGCCCACAAGAGAAAGCAGGAAAGAACTAAAATTGAGACCCTAATTTCACAATTAAAAGAATTAGAGAAGCAAGAGCAAACACATTCAAAAGCTAGCAGAAGGCAAGAAATAACTAAGATCAGAGCAGAACTGAAGGAGATAGAGACACAAAAAACCCTTCAAAAAAAACAATGAACCCAGGAGCTGGTTTTTTGAAAATATCAACAAAATTGACAGACCACTAGCAAGACTAATAAAGAAGAAAAGAGAGAAGAATCAAATAGGTGCAATAAAAAATGACAAAGGGGATATCACCACCAATCCCACAGAAATACAAACTACCATCAGAGAATAGTATAAACACCTCTACGCAAATAAACTAGAAAATCTAGAAAAAATGGATAAATTCCTCGACACATACACCCTCCCAAGACTAAACCAGGAAGCAGTTGAATCTCTTAATGACCAATAACAGGCTCTGAAACTGAGGCAATAATAGCTTACCAACCAAAAAGTCCAGGACCAGACGGATTCACAGCCGAATTCTACCAGAGGTACAAGGAGGAGCTGGTACCTTTCCTTCTGAAACTATTCCAATCAATAGAAAAAGAGGGAATCCTCCCTAACTCATTTTATGAGGCCAGCATCGTCCTGATACCAAAGCCTTGCAGAGACACAACAAAAAAAGATAATTTTAGACCAATATCCATGATGAACATCCATGCAAAAATCCTCAATAAAATACTGGCAAACCGAATCCAGCAGCACATCAAAAAGCTTATCCACCATGATCAAGTGGGCTTCATCCCTGGGATGCAAGGCTGGTTCAACATACGAAAATCAATAAATGTAATCGAGCATATAATCAGAACCAAAGACAAAAACCACATGATTATCTCAACAGATGCAGAAAAGGCCTTTGACAAAATTCAACAGCGCTTCATGCTAAAAACTCTCAATAAATTAGGTATTGATGGGACTTATCTAAAAATAATAAGAGCTATTTATGACAAACCCACAGCCAATATCATACTGAATGGGCAAAAACTGGAAGCATTCCCTTTGAAAACCAGCACAAGACAGGGATACCCTCTCTCACCACTCCTATTCAACATAGTGTTGGAAGTTCTGGCCAGGGCAATCAGGCAGGAGAAAGAAATAAAGGGTATTCAATTAGGAAAAGAGGAAGTCAAATTGTCCCTGTTTGCAGATGACATGATTGTATATCTAGAAAACCCCATCGTCTCAGCCCAAAATCTCCTTAAGCTGATAAGCAACTTCAGCAAAGTCTCAGGATACAAAATCAATGTGCAAAAATCACAAGCATTCTTATACACCAATAACAGACAAACAGAGAGCCAAAGCATGAGTGAACTCCCATTCACGATTGCTTCAAAGAGAACAAAATATCTAGGAATCCAACATGCAAGGGATGTGAAAGACCTCTTCAAGGAGAACTACAAACCACTGCTCAGTGAATTAAAAGAGAACACAAACAAATGGAAGAACATTCCATGCTCGTGGACAGGAAGAATCAATATCATGAAAATGACCATACTGCCCAAGGTAATTTATAGATTCAATGCCATCCCCATCAAGCTACCAATGACTTTCTTCACAGAATTGGAAAAAACTACTTTAAAGTTCATATGGAACCAAAAAAGAGCCCGCATTGCCAAGTCAATCCTAAGCGAAAAGAACATACCTGACTTCACGCTACCTGACTTCAAACTATACTACAAGGCTACAGTAACCAAAACAGCATGGTACTGGTACCAAAACAGAGATATAGACCAATGGAACAGAACAGAGCCCTCAGAAATAATACCACACATCTACAACTATCTGATCTTTGACAAACCTGACAAAAACAAGAAATGGGGAAAGGATTCCCTATTTAATAAACAGTGCTGGGAAAACTGGCTAGCCATATGTAGAAAGCTGAAAGTGGATCCCTTCCTTACACCTTATACAAAAATTAATTCAAGATGGATTAAAGACTTAAATGTTAGATCTAAAACCATAAAAACCCTAGAAGAAAGCCTAGGCAATACCATTCAGGACATAGGCATGGGCAAGGACTTCATGTCTAAAACACCAAAAGCAATGGCAACAAAAGCCAAAATTGACAAATGGGATCTAATTAAACTAAAGAGCTTCTGCACAGCTAAAGAAACTACCATCAGAGTGAACAGGCAACCTACAGAATGGGAGAAAATTTTTGCAATCTACTCATCTGACAAAGGGCTAATATCCAGAATCTACAAAGAACTCAAACAAATTTACAAGAAAAAAACAAACAACCCCATCAAAAATTGGGCAAAGGATATGAACAGACACTTCTCAAAAGAAGACATTTATGCAGCCAACAGACACATGAAAAAATGTTCATCATCACTGGCCATCAGAGAAATGCAAGTCAAAACCACAATGAGGTATCATCTCACACCAGTTAGAATGGCGATCATTAAAAAGTCAGGAAACAACAGGTGCTGGAGAGGATGTGGAGAAATAGGAACACTTTTACACTGTTGGTGGGACTGTAAACTAGTTCAACCATTGTGGAAGACAGTGTGGTGATTCCTCAGGGATCTAGAACTAGAAATATCATTTGACCCAGCCATCCCATTACTGGGTATATACCCAAAGGATTATAAATCATGCTGCTATAAAGACACATGCACATGTATGTTTACTGCAGCACTATCACAATAGCAAAGACTTGGAACCAACCCAAATGTCCAACAATGATAGACTGGATTAAGAAAATGTGGCACATATACACCATGGAATACTATGCAGCCATGAAAAAGGATGAGTTCATGTCTCTTGTAGGGACATAGATGAAGCTGGAAACCATCATTCTCAGCAAACTATCACAAGGACAAAAAATCAAACACTGCATGTTCTCACTCATAGGTGGGAATTGAACAATGAGAACACTTGGACACAGGAAGGGGAACATCACACACCAGGGCCTGTTGTGGGGTGGGGGGAGGGGGGAGGGATAGCATTAGGAGATATACCTGATGTTAAATGACAAGTTAGTGGGTGCAGCACACCAACATGGCACATATATACATATGTAACAAACCTGCACATTGTGCACATGTAGCCTAGAACTGAAAGTATAATAAATATATATATAAAAGAAGCAGCCAGGCCACATCTTGAATGTTTTATGGCTTGGAAATTTCTTCCACCAGATACCCTAAATAACCACTCTCAAGTTCAAAGTTCCACAGATCCCTAGAGCAGGGGCACAATACAGCCAAGCTCGTTGCTAAAGCATAGCAAAAGTGACCTTTACTCCAGTTCCCAGTAATTTCATCATCTCCATCTGAGACCTCTTAAGCCTGGACTTTGTTGTCCATATCACTATCAGCATTTTGGTCACAACAATTTAACAAGTCTCTAGGAAGTTCCACATTTTCCCTCATCTTTCTATCTTCTTCTGAGCCCTCTAAATTCTTAGAACCTCTGTCTGTTACCCAGTTCCAAAGCCGCTTCCACATTTTCAGGTATCCTTATAGCAATATCCCACTCCTGGTACCAATTCTCACAAAAAATTATATAAAGAAATACCTGAGACTTGGTAATTTATAAGGAAAAGTTAATTAACTTTTTAATTCAATTAAACTTCTTTTCTTTATAAATTACCCAGTTTGCAGGCTGTACAGGAAGTCTGGCAGCATCAGCTTCTGGGGAGGCTTCAGGAAACTTACAATCATGGTGGAAGGCAAAGGGGAAGCTGGTACATCTTGCATGGCTGGAGCAAAAGGAAGAGAGAGGAGGGAGGTGATACATACTTTTAAACAACCAGATCTCATGATAACTCACTCCCTCACTATCACAAGAACGGCACCTAAGGGATGGTGCTAGCCTATTCATGAAAACTTTGACCCCATGATCCAATCACCTCCCACCAGGCCCCACCTCCAACACAGGCGATTACAATTTGACATGAGATTTGGTGAGGACACAGATCCAAACCACATCAGACTGTATCTCCAAGCCAGGGGTTGACAAACTAATCTAACCCACGGTTTATTTTTGCATGGCTCATGAGCTAAGAATGGTTTTTTATCATTTTAAAGTTTAGTTAAAAATTATAAATACCATCGTTGCTAGTCTATATCCCAGCACCAGTCTTAGTACCAATTCTATGTCAGTTGGGATCTAGTCAGAAGGCAGGATCACACAGTAATTTTATCAGGAAAAGCCTGATATAAAGAATTATTGCCTAGAGCTGGGAGCAGTGGCTCAAGCTTGTAATCCCAGCTACTCGGGAAGCTGAGGTGGGAGAATTGCCTAGCCCAGGAGTTCAAAGCTGCAGTGAGCCATGATTGCACCACTACACTCCAGCCTTGGCAACAGAATGTGACGCCCCTCTAAAAAAAAAAGAGAGAGAAGAATGATTGCCTAATGATGGCATTAATTACTAAGGAGTAAAGAGAATGCTAGGCAGACATAGCCAATATGTGGAGTTGAGGCAGAGTACTCAAGGGATAAACAAATTTGAAAGAACTCCCACTCCCGTGCTATGATTCAGACCTCACTGGAGAGGGTGTGGCTGTAGCCACTGAATGGTAAGGAAGTTTCTGAGATTCCACAAGCTGAGGTTGGCAAGCAGGAAACCCACTGTGGTGCCAAACAGGCTTGCCAGCAATCTGCTCTCTGGGGTGCTACCGTACCTTGTGGGGAAATCCACCTCCTCTGCAAGATGGAAATAACAATAGTACCCACAGGGTGGTTGTGAGGGCTGTATGATTCTATGTATGTGAAAGACTAAGAACACGTGATGTTTTTCTAAGTGTATTAAAGTGTAGTTAAGCCGTTGATGAATGTTAGCTATGCTATCACTATTATTATTATTATTACTAGAATAATAATCATCATCATTATCACGAACATCACCATTATTACTGCCATCTCCATGGAAAGAAAAGAGAACTTTCGAGAAGTTGTCTGCCTAGTGCCACTCCCGGGACCCAGCACGCTGGAACCCAGGCCCCAGCCTATCTGGTGTCAGAGACCATGCTCTTTCCACTCATACCAAGCAAGAAGCCTCTACTTCGGTCTCTGTATTCAGTAAATAGGGAAGCTGAGGTTCTGAGACTATAAGGGACGCACCTGGAGCCACACAGTGGGAGAATTCGTTCCAGGCCACCCCCACAGCCTTCTCTGGAAGGAAGCTTGAAGGCAACAGTAATCCTGGTCACCTGTGCGAATGTGAACCCCCTTGACTAATGTCACCAGCAGCTCCTGTCCTTTACTTTCTATCTCCTTGTCCCCCACCTCGTCTCATGTTGATTTAACCTGCAGTTTTATGGTCAATCATCTCATAGTAAATCCATTTTAATCTCCCATCGGGTCACCCAAGCTGTCTTTTTATTAGGAAATAAATAATGCAGCACTTTATGCCACACTGAGGGTTAGCCCTGGGAGCCTGGCAGTGGGAGGAGAGGCTGCACAAGCCTGGAGGAGCCTCGAGACCCCAGAGACAGAGAGAGGTACAAGAATAATTACAAGACGACAGGCGTGTGGGCATGGTTTGTGCAAGACATGAAAGCTGTAATAAAATCGGCTTTGTCTCCAAAGCTCTAGGTGAGATTTTAAATGAAAGGTATCAGCTCGGGGATGCTGGCTGTGCTTAGAGATAAGAGCTCTTAACCTAAGACCCTGCCTGTTGCTTACCTGCCAAGCCACCTGAGCCAGCCTGGCCCTCTCTCAGCCTCAGCATCCCCATCTGACTGACAGGAGTCATTCACCTACCCTGATAATGAGGTCCAGGTCACAAGCTCCACCCAGAGAACCCTGGGTTGATGGCTTCTAAGTAGCCCCAGAGGTCAGCCCTGCCTCTCTCAGAGACCCCTAGGTTAAGGAGCCCTGGGGGTCAGCCCTGCCCCTCTCAGTTTCATCTCTCCTGACTCTCTAAGGAGAAAGGGCACTAGACAGGGAGTCAGGAAACCTGGGGCCTCAGCCTAGCCTGGACAATGATTTGCTGTATAACCTTGGGCAAGGATCTTCCACTCTTGGGGCCTCATCTGTAAAATGGGGGACATGCTGGACACTAATGTTCTTTTCAATGTTCCAGTTTCTGGGGCCTGCCCAGGTTGACTCACTCAGTGGAGGGAAGGTGTGGGGGCTGAAGGGAGCCTCTCTGGCCAGCTGCCCCGCTGCTGCCCGTCTGTGTCCCTCCACCTCATTTCCTTATCCCTGGGGGTCCCATCTGGCCCTGTCTTCATGCCTGCTCCCCAGTTGCCAATGGAAGCATTTCAGTGCATCTCAGTTGGATGCAGAGAACTGAGTCTCTGCCTCCAGATGGCGATGTCCTCTCCTGCTCCAAGCCCTAAACTTAGATGCATTAAACATGAAAATCAGAAGCTCTAGCTACTTCCCCAAGCTGTCATCCTGCAAACTGTGCCTGGAAACGTGGTGCCAAATAAGAACAATAACAACAACACTGCGACTCACTGAACGCTGACTATCGAGGCACCGGGCACTGCCTTCAGGATTCACACGAATTCATCCATTTACTGCTCACAACAAGCCTACCAGAAAGCAATGATTATCCCCATTTTACAGAGGCAGAAACTGAGGCACAAAGAAGGTCAGAGGACTAATAATAGCCAAGCATGGACAGGACTAGACACTCTGACTCTTGAATCCTGATCATGACCCATAAGACCGGCCTTATTAGCTCCAATTTCCTGGACTTTGTCCCAGAAGACCCCAGAGGCAAGCTCAAAGGGATGCTGGCTCCATAGGAGGGCAAGGACTGGCCCCCATCAGCCCCTTCCCTGAGGGCCCCAGAGCCTCCCAGGGATACTTTCCCTACAGAGAGTGAAGCACACTCAGCCCGGCCTCCAGGAGTCCCCAGTACTGCCCAGAAAGGAGAGGCGGGGGTTGGGCTCACCCCCGGGTGTGCAGGCAGAACTGCATTGGGTGGGGCTGGACCCAGGGCAGCCTGAAGACCCCATGACCCTGAGAAGAAAGTCACGGAGCCTGAATGCTCTTAGTGAAGGGAGCACCGGGGCTTTCTGGGTAAGAAAAAGTTCTGGAGTCTGGTCACCCTTCTGGAGGCTGGAGACAGCTCTGGCTGAGCCCAAGGAAGTCATATATCAACACCTCATCTTGCCCCTCAGAGAGTCACCCCAGTACTGGCCACCACCACATTCAGGAAGTGACCACTGGCAAGGACCAGCTTCCTTATTTGTGCCTGGCTGGTCCCCTAGGACCTTCCCAACATACTTCACAGATTATTATTGTCTTAAAGACCAAAAAAAAAAAAACCAGAGCTGATTTCAGAGCTGTCATGGGACAGTGGGGAAGAGGAAGGGCTAGAGGTCAGGGCAGAGGTCTGGGTGACTTAGTAATGGAATGAACTTGTGGCCTCCAGCAATTCACTTCCCACCTTGGCCTTGGTTTTCTTGGTTGTAAATGGGAGCAATGACCTGACCTTACCGGGCTCAGAGAATTCAATGTGATCACGTTGATGGAGCTTTGACTTTGACACTTAAAACTGTGCGATCACCTCTTTGCTTTTGATGGAACATCTTTTCGTGACCTGGGAGGGAGGGAGGCACCAGCCAGTGAGAAGGAACAAGAAAACACTTAAAGTAAAACATGCAGCATGCCTTAGCTTTGAAAATCCAAACCTTCCTCGCAGGTTCAGGTCCAGGCCAGGACGCTCCCGCTGAGTTCTGGCTCTGCCCCTGCTCCCCACACTCAGGGGCTCCTGCTCTGCTTCTGTGTCTGGGCCAGAGCAAAATAGACACCTGGAGCCCGGCCAGCCCCTGGGTTTCTGCCCAGAGAAGGGCCGGGCACCCAGGCAGTGGGAAGGTGCTAGGAGAGGGGCCAGAAGCCACTGGGGAAGAGTGTGTGTGGTGTGTGTGTGTGTGTGTGTGTGTGTGTGTGTGTGTTAGAGAGAGAGAGAGAGAAAGAAAGGGAGAGAGAGAATGGGTAGGTACAGAAAGAGAGCAACAGAGAAACACACACAAGAGATTGGCCTGGCCTGTCCACCCTTCCGCCTGTCCTTGTCCTCTCCCACTTCCATGTGGCCTTGGGTGACCTCAGAACCTTGGTTTCCTTGGCTGGGAAACAGCATGATGCCCATCTCACAGGGAAGGTGGGAGGCTAGAGATGAGGGGTGTCAAGGGTCTGCTTGGTGCCCAGCCTAAGAGGGCAATTTAGCCTTCCTGCCTCTGTCCACCTGCAAACTTCCCTGACCCTCATCCACCAGCAGAGCTGAGGCCTGTGGTGGGCTCCAAACCAGCCTGCCTCAATCCCCTCCTGGCCCCACTGCCTTTTCGCTGGGGCCCTGGGCTGTGGCTTGGCCCCTGTGACCCGGTGGCTCCTCTGTACCTGGGGTGACCACAGCCCTGTCCCACGCTCGGTGAGTCCCCGCACAGGGGTGCTCAATACAGGGTTCCCACGGGTCCCCATGCTCAGGGATGGGGGGTGGCACCAGCCATGAGGCTATGCCCAGAGGTTCCCAAGGGAGCATCCAGAGGAACCAGGTCCACCGGGCACCTGTGTCACCTCGTCCAGGAAACCAGGACTGCTGTCAGGTGTTTACTGCTTGGTAAACATTTTGATGTTTCATTCATGAAACCTGCCTTTTCTGAGGTCTCCTGCAGTACAGACTGGAGTGAAGAATTTAATGAGAGCTGGGCCTGTGGTCCCTGAACAGCTCCAAGCACATGGCTCCCAGGAGGCCGTGTCTGCACTCAGAGCAGGAGTCCCCATCCCCATCCCACAGGTCACAGAGCAGGAGGGATGTGCTGCACAGGGAGGTGAAGTGGAGTCATCTCAATATATACAAACACACACAGTCGATGGATGGGGATAACAGTTCAGGCTTTTCTTTTTGCTTTTTTTTTTTTTTTTTTTTTGAGATGGAGTCTGGCTCTGTCGTCCAGGCTGGAGTGCAGTGGTGCAATCTCAGCTCACTGCAACCTCTGTCTCCCAGGTTCAAGCGATTCTCCTGTCTCAGCCTCCTGAGTAGCTGGGACTACAGATGCACACCACCACGCCCAGACAATTTTTAGTAGAAATGGGGTTTCACCATATTGGCCAGGCTGGTCTCGAACTCCTGACCTCGATGATCCACCTTCCTCATCCTCCCAAAGTGCCGGGATTATAGGCGTGAGCAACAGCGCCCAGCCTCAGTTCAGGCTTTTCGAAGAACATAGTAGGTGCACAACAAAGATTAAGGAAGGAAGGGAGGAAGGGAGGAAGGGAGAAGGAGGGGAGGAGGGGAGGGAGGGAGGAAGGGAGGAAGGAAGTGGGGAGGGGGGAGGGAGAAGAAAAAAGGGACATTCCATCACAGATATGTCTTGGTTTCCAGAATGACCCTGTGGATTGTGGGGGTGGCTGCTGTTAGCTCTACTTCTAGATGTGGAAGCAAAGGCTCAGAGAGATTAAGTGACCTGCCCAAGGACACACAGCATCAACAGGTACTCCTGACTGCTGGGGAGCGCTGAGTCTGCCTCTCCTTTGACAGACAGTGGAGCTCACACTCAGGGAAGGGAAGTGATGAGCCCAAAGGCACGAGCCAGTGTGATGCCAGAGTTGCCAGGACCTGCACCCAGCACTTCTATGACCCAGGACAGGCTCAGCTCCTGCACCCAAGCTGCCTCTTTCCTCTAGGCTACTCTGTACCCCCTTCCTCCTTCTCCTCCCACCCCAAAGCCTGCAACAGCCTCTGTCCCAGCCCTACCCTGTCCACAGTCTTGGGAGACCAGATGTCTGGCACTTTCCAGGCAAATGGAGATATGAGGTGCCTCCAGCCCTTTATAGACCCCAATAAGATGTTCTCCTTCTATGTCCTGTCCCCATCAAAGGCCAGGGGAACAAGGACACTCAACAAATGTTCCACATCATCCCAGAAGTGGGCCACACAACCCCCTGATGCCAGGACTCCAGACTGACAAGTGCAGTACTGAAATACCTCTTAGGCCACTGACACCAGACCTCACTGCCAGGCCTCTGCTTACATACCTCCTGTGATGGAGAGCTTACTCCCTGCAAGTCACCCACCATATTGAGAGAGCCCTGTTAGAAAGCCTTTCCTTAGCCTTCAGCTGAAATCTGCCTCTGTGACATTTATTCTGTCCTAAATACAATTCCCGGGGCTACACAGGATCACTTTGTCCTTTCTCCCTTTGCCCTAAGGCAGCTCTTTAAGTATTTGAAAGAATGATGCTTGTCACTTACTCATTCATGAAACGTTTACTTGAAGGCAACATCGCAGTTTTTTTCATTCCTCCATCCATTCACCCACCCATCCATTCATTCATTCATTCATTCATTCATTCATTCATTCATTCATCTGACTGAGTGCCAGGCCCTGGGCTGCCTTCTGTGCATACAGCTGTCAACAAGCCACAGTCTCCACCTGCAAAATGCCCCCAGCAGGGTGGGGGAGACCACGAATAAACCCACAATCGCACAAAATATTTAAGTGCTATGATGGGGGGTGCAAATAGTTGGGGGAGCCCGGAGAAGGCCACAGGGGTAGGGAGGCATGAAGGGCAGAGGAAGCAAGGAATGTCTTAGGGTCTGAAGTTGGAGAGAGACTCCTCCACATCCTGGGAACTGAAAACGGGAGGGAGCAGCCTGAAGCTGGGCAGGGGGATGGGGTGGAAGGATGGGTGAAATCAGACTATGCAGGGCCCTGGAGGCCATCCTTCCCACATGACCCTGCAGCTCTGTACCCCACCTGGATCTCCTCTGCATCCTGGACAGCCCAGGAGGCCAGGGCCCTACATGACCTTGGTGTTCAGAGGTAGATGTGAGACCCAAGGGACCTCAGAGCCAGGAGCAAAGTAGAGAAAAGCCTGCAAGGGACTCGGGAGTCTAGGCCAGAGCTGGGGGGCCAGGCCAAGGCAGGAGGACAAAGGGACCTATGTTGAGCCCTGTAGGAGTTCCAGGTCCTGTGCCAGGTTCCCCCATGTGCAGCATCCAATCTGGTCCTCACTACAGTCCTACAGGACACAGCTCATTAATCCACCTGACAGGTGAGCTGAGGGATGCTCCCTCACATTTCATCTCCTGTCATTCCCACAGCAATCCTGTAGGGAGGAGGTCATTCGTTCTCTTCGGGGCTTGGAGACTTTTCCTAGCTCACACAGGACTCCAACCCAAGCTTAGCCTATGTTCAGGACTCCACTGGAGTGGTGGTCAGGGAGGCTGGACTGTAGTGACTGGATAGTCTAGTTCAAGGAAAGGCCCTTGCCTTGGGCTCAGGCTCTGGGGCTGCTCAGCTCTGCCCAGGGCTCGCTTCCTAAAGACCAGGATCACTGGGGCTAAGGGCTCAGGTCTGGGTCAAACAGACCCAGGTTTAAGTCCTGCCACAGTACTCACTGGCTGCTCCCCCACCAGGCCATGGACTCCAGGGATCAGAGGGACAGTAGCTGGGGGCCTAGAGGGGTGGATAGGAGGGTGGACTCTGCTGTCAGATGCAGAGTCCAAGTCTTGGTTCCGACACTGAGCAGCCATGCCCTAGGAATGCCACGTAAGCTCTTGAGCCTCAGTGTCCACATCTGTAAAATGGGGTGATAACAGCCCCTGTCATCAGCTGCTTGTGAGGGGTCAGTAACCATGGGGTGGGTGTAGCAGAGCATTCAGCACTGTAAGTGCCCCACCAATGGCAGACCAGATACTTATCTCCACCTCTTGGTTCCCGGGCAGCCCTGAGAATGTCGTCAGTGGAAGGAGCCCTTGGGTGATGAATGAATCCCTCCCTGCCATATGATCCTCCCTGAGCCTTTGATTCCTTATCTATAAGACAGGGCTGGTGACATCCATGTCACAGAGCTGCGCTGAGGATAAAGCTGAGACCCTGAAAGCCCCACCCCAGTGACTAGCAGCAGACAGGGCCCGGGGATACGGTCCCCTACTTTCCCACCGAGCTTGCCCCTGTCACCACTGCGACGGGCTTCCTTTCCCTGAGTCTCCGTGGGGAGCCTGGGATGCTTCTCCTCTATGCAAGGTTGGAAGGCATTTGGTGCACTGGACGGCTGGTAATCCCATGAGCAGGCATTTGTCACGTGCAGGTGATGAGCAAAGCCATTTACACCGCTATTATCCCACTGAGTCTCCCCACAGCCCCAACAAGGCAGGGACATGATGCCACCACTTTGCAGGTGAGCAGGTCAGAGGTGCACAGTGACTAGCCCGAGGCCCCACGGGTGGCAAACAGTGAGTCCCAATTGGAACCCAGCCACCAGCCCCATCGACAACCCACTCTCTCAGCCACCCACCCTCCCTGCAGAAATAACAGTGATGAATGACCAGAGGTGACAGTCCCAGAAGGAAGGCTGAGAGAACTGAGTCCTCTGCTTCCTCTCCAGGAGACCCAGTTCCTCAGCAGGAAGGAGGCTCCACATCTGGCTGCTGCCCCCTGATTGACTGTCCAGGACAGATCTGCCCAGGACACCATCTCCCACTGTTTGATCTTTTGAGCTGAGCAAGCCCCAGGACAGAAGGTGAGCTTGGCGTTTGCTAAGATTCCTGCAAGACGGGGGTCAGGGAGAGGCCAGCCAGGTTGGAGGAGGGGCGGGGTAGGGAGTCAGCATGAGAGGTGGAGGATGCTTATCCAGTCCCCTCCTGCACTGGCTGCCCCTTGCTCTTGGCAACTCAACGTCCCTGTTCTTCTCCCCCCTCACACTGTTACATCTGCACTCAAGAACAGATCTGCTTGCACTGTGAATATGGACGGAGAGGAGATGATCACTGTTTGGGGGCCACAGAGGGTTCCCTCTCCTGATGCGAAGGAACTGGTAGAAACAAAGGGTACAAGCTTTGGGCTATATTTTGGGATCGAGTCACCTAACCTTTCTGGGATCAGTTTTCTCATCTATAAAATGGGGTAATAGATCATGCCTTGGAAGGAAGTGTGATAATAACACATGTAGAATTCTCATTGCTGGGCAAGCCTACAGCAAGACCCAGTAAGTCCCAGCTGCTACTGTTATTGTTAAAATAATAACCATCTGGTCCAAGCTCCCTAATTGTACAGAGAAGGAAACTGAGGCCCAGAGACAGCAGGCCTCAAAACTGTGAGCAGGGGAGCCTGAAGGAGATCCCAGGTCTCCTGAGCCTGCAACCCCAATCTTGGTGGGTCTCAGCCCCACTGGGATCTTCCAGGAGTCCTCAGAGAAGCCTGATAATTCCCACTTTCAAGAGGTCATTTTCTATAAGAGGAAACACTCATAGTCTCTGGTATCCGATCCAGAGTCTGCCAGTCCCCTAAAGGGGTTCCTGTAATGGGTAGGGGTCTGGGAGACAGCCTGGAGACCCAGAGCCCAGCAGTGGCTTTGCAGAGACCTAGATACCCATTTAGCACATGCTGCCTGCTGGGAACGATGCCAGACAGTAAGCCTGGCAATACTGTGCTCAGATCCAGCCCTGCTGCTGACATGCTGTGGGCCTGGGCAAGTTCTTTACCTCTCTGAGCCTCAGTTTTCTCATCTGTGAAATGGAAATACAATATCTACTGTATGGAGGGCTATGAGGAATAAACATAATAATTTATATGGGGTGCCTGGCACACAGTAGGAGCTCTAGTGCTCTTCCCCTCAGCCCTGACTAGCCTGATGACCTGGATGACCCCTGAGGGATGATCCTCTGAGGGAACTGGCCTCAAGGCTTCCACCCTCCTCCCTGGCACAGCAGCTCAGGGTCCAGCAGGCCACATTTTCTCTGTGCATCCTTACAGATCAACAATGGCTTGCTCTGAGGGCCAGGCCAGGCGGCAGTGGGTGGGGGTGGGTGCAATAGTCATTCAGAGGAGACGGGGGGGTGGGTAAGAGTCACCAGGAAGAAAGAGACTCTACCCCTCGCTGATCGAAGATGGTGGTGAGGAGGTGGATGGTAATATTATGGTGAGGAAGATTATATCAGGTAGCTACTGTGTGTCAGTCATTTAAGTACGTTTCACACGTTAATGCATTTACTCTTCCCAACAACTCTAAAAAGTTGGTATCAATATCATCCCCATTTTGTAGGTGAGAAAACTGAGGCACAGAGAGCTTCAGCAACCTGCCCAAGGTCACACAGTTGGTAAGTGACAATGTTAGAATTCAGATCGATGGGTCCAGAGTCTACATTTCTAGCCACAGAACTATGACAGTGAAGTAATGGACACAAATGACGACAGCAGCCAACCGTTATCAACTGTTGACAGAGTGCCTGGCTGTTTAAGCACTTCACATTACCTCATTTAATTTTCACTGCGTTCCTATGAAGAAGGCAATACTTCCCCCCATTTTACAGATGGGAAACTGAGACTCAGAGAGTGAAGTGATACGATCTCGCTCTGTCCCCACCCTAATCTCATCTTGAATTGTAGTTCCCATAATCCCCATGTGTCGTGGGAGGGACCCGCTGGGAGGTAATTGAATCATGGGGGCTGTTACCCTGATGCTGTTCTCAGGATAGTGAGTGAGTTCTCACAAGATCTGATGGTTTTATAAGGAGCTTTTCCCCTTTGCTCGGCACTTCTCCTTCCTGCCGCCATGTGAAAAAGACGTGTTTGCTACCCCTTCTGCCAGGATCGTAAGTTTCCTGAGGCCTCCTCAGCCCTGTGGAACTGTGAGTCAATTAAACCTCTTTCCTTTATAAATTACCCAATCTCAGGCAGTTCTTTATAGTACCATGAGAATGCTCTAATACGTGGAGTAACCGGCCCAAAGGCTCAGTGATGGAACTGGGATTTGGACATAGCTCTGTCCAAAGCCTGTGCTTTTAGTGTCTTTAGAAGGCACAGGATGGAGTCAGGAGCCCTTCTCTGTCTGCTCCTCAGTCACTGTGTGACCTTGGGCAAGCTGCTCACCCTCTCTGATCCCTGCCAGCCCTCAGAGTCCATTCCACTCCTTCCAATTGCCATGCCTTCTCCCTTTGTAGATGCCTTCTGGAGCCTCCTCCCTCCTGTACACCCACCTATAGCCCACATGCCCCTTGAACCCACCCATCCAAACCAACTCCCCAGACACTCCCCCCAACCCCTAGCCCAGGAAACCACGCACCCAAAGTCACCACTTGTGGGTCCTCAAGTCTTCTGAGGTGTCCAGCCGCCCCTCTGGTAATCAGAGCAGACATCATGATATCATCTCAGGTCTACCTTTTTCTCTCTTGTTCTCCCCACCTTCAGTCCTATAGGAACAATTACTGAGCCAATTCTTTCCTCTAACAGAACAGAGATCAGAAGCATAGGCTCTGGAGAAGAGCAGACTTAGTCTTGGGAATCTCAACTCTACCACTCACTGTGTGATCTTGGACAAGTTTCTTTACCTCTCTGAGCCTTAACAATATGCCTGCAAATTGTGGATAACAATAGTACCTACCTTACAGAGTGGCCGTAAGACTTAAATATGATCATGTATAAAGTGCCTGAGTGGTAGAAATTCTCAGTCAATGATAGCTGTTAGTATTATTATTCTCTGCCACTCCTCCACACTTCAGCAGCCCCCACTCTAGTTCAGGCTTCCATCTCGTCTCTGTCCTTGCTTAATGAAATGACCTCCTGCTCCTCCCCAGACCCCCTGCTGAGATATTTCCCTCCCCATTCTTATCCTTCTTGCACACTTCTAGCCACTGACCCCAACCTTTCTCAGCTCCAAGACTTTCTTCCCCAGCATCTGCCAGGGTCTCTCACTAAAAGGACTTAGCGTGGAATTCAAGGGTCTTCCCCTTTCCTCCATCAACCACAACCTGCCCTTGCAGCCATGGCTCCCGTAACTTCCTTTCCAAAGGGTGACCAGTGCTCCAGACAATCCAAGCTCCCCCATGGCCCCAGGATCCTTGGCGGAGGTTTACCTCTGTCAACCCTTTGCTCAGACTGTTTCCTAGGCTGAGAATATCCTTGCACTTATCTCCACATCTCCATGTCCCAGCTAAACTTGCAGACCTAGCTTGAGTGCCTGCTCCTACAGGAAGTCTGCTCTGATTTCCCACCTTACTTTTGGCCCTGCTGCATTCTCACTGGGTAAGAGTTCTCCCTCTGTTTCCTCGTCCTGACTTCCAGAACAGTTCTCTGGACTTTCTTTGTCTATAGCACTTACCATAGTCTATTCAAATGTTCGGTGTACATACATAGTATATCCTCTGCTTTGAAAGTATGGTAAGTTAAAGATGGAATTCTTTGCTATTCCTTCAGTCAAGAAGTGGGCACTAGGTCCCTTCCCGCTGCATGTGAGGTGGCCTGTGACTGCTTTGACCAACTGAGTATGGTAGAGGTGACATTATTCCAGGTCTGAGTCTAGACTTCAAGGGGTCTGGCAGCTTCTGCCTTGGTGTTGTTAACTTAAAAATTACACTGGACTTAAAAATCACACAGTTTAGGGTGGGCATGATGGCTCATGCTTGTAATCCCAGTGCTTTGGGAGGCCAGTGAGGGAGGATTGCTTGAGGCCAGGAGTTTGAGACTAGCCTGGGCAACATAGTGAGACCCCATCTCTACAAAAAAATTTAAAATTAGCCAGGCATGGTGGTGTGTGCCTGTACTCCCAGCTACTCAGGAGGCTGAGGGGAGGATTCCTTGAGCTGAGGCATTCAAGGTTGCAGTGAGCCATGATTGTGCCACTGAACTCCAGGCTGGGCAACACAGCAAGACCCTGTCTCTAAATTTAAAAAAAAAATCACACAGTTTATAAAT
The DNA here is from genome assembly GCF_000001405.40 of Homo sapiens. Classification (NCBI taxonomy): domain Eukaryota; kingdom Metazoa; phylum Chordata; class Mammalia; order Primates; family Hominidae; genus Homo; species Homo sapiens. Next base: position 29,386,533 of record NC_000001.11, on the reverse strand, counting down.
TGGACAGGAGACTTTGTTTCTTATAAATGATTACAGCCTGCAAGGTGGCCATTTCACAAGCTAGGAAGCATCGCCTCCTACCAAAGGCATTACCAGGCCTTTCAAAGGAGGGCAGGATAAGACAGAAATTTAAGCTGAATAGGTTAGCCAAACATACATATTCAACAGTTTATAGGAGCAGCTATGAATATTCATGAAGGTGGTCACGAAGGCATTTAAATGTGCAGTCTCTGTAAACTGACCATGGTAGGTAGTCTTCTTATCAGGAGAAAGTTACGGAAATCAGTCCCTTGTCCAATCAAAGCTGTAGTTATGGCTTGTGGAACTGGGAGTCAGTTAGTCGGTGTCTGGTGGTTGGTGAGCTGTAACTGCTCTAACATTGCTTATCTCAAGGTCAGTGCTTGTTTGGCTGATAGAGAAAAAAGAAAACCTGTGGCAATTAGAACATGGATTATTCTTGAAGTGTAGGGTTGTGTGACTCAACCCTTGCCTGGCATGGCGTTAGGTCCTGTTTATAATTTGGTATCTTACTGCCACAAAGAATTCGTTCTGTCAGCCTTATGATCTCTATTTTATTTTAACATTAACGCTGGGGCTGGGCGCGATGGTTCATGCCTGTAATCCCAGCACGTTGGGAGGCCGAGATGGGCAGATCACGAGGTCAGGAGATCGAGACCATCCTGGCTAACACAGTGAAACCCCGTCTCTACTAAAAATACAAAAAAAAGTAGCTGGGCATGGTGGCAGGCACCTGGAGTCCCAGCTACTCAGGAAGCTGAGGCAGGAGAATGGTGTGAACCCAGGAGGTGGAGCTGGCAGTGAGCCGAGATGGCGCCACTGCACTCCGGCCTGGGTGACAGAGCAAGACTCCGTCTCAAAAAAAAAAAAAAAACATTAATGCAGGTCAGCTGTTATGTCTGAACTGTAAAAGGAAGCCAGTGTAACTAGGCACATTGGACTTCCTACCCTGTCAAGGCTGGGAACTCCATTTTTAAGGTTTTTCTGGGGTCCCTGGGCCAAGAGGGGGTCCCTTTAGTTGATTGTGGGCTTGGGATTTTATTTTTAGTTTACAGTCTCTTGCAGCCCTGTGCCTCCATGTAAGAGCTCCATCTATCACGATGCTATCATCTGGTGAGGAAGCTAAAGGCATGCAGAAGGTTCTGGAGGAGATGCCATCTGAAGAAAGAGCCAAGAAGCACTAAAATGCCAAACAGTGAAGATGTCATCTTGGAAGGGACCCTCCAGCCCCAATATTGCTCCTGGCTGACACCAAGTGGCCCAGCTGAGCCCTTCTCAAATTCCTGGCCCACAACATGATGAACAAAATAAAATGGTTGTTTTAAGCCACTGAATTTTACAGTAGTTTGTTATGCAGCAATAAATAACTACAACAGAATTATCTTCCCCACCCTATTTACTCAAGCAGGGGTCAGCTCCTTCCCAGCCTTTGGGTTCTTGGCTCCAAATCACCTCCTCCAGGAAGCCCACCTTGACCTCCAGGTGAGGTCAGACCCTGGATCCTATGTGCTCATCACACCCCATACGCTTCATTACCACGTGTGGTCATCTGCATGTCTTGCGGGTACTTGAATTGTCTCTGTCTCCCCTACTAGACTGAACCCTCTGCTGCACTGCCACCCTTGGCACAAACGAGGGCTCAGTGAGTAATTGCTACGTGAGTGAGCACGTCTGTCCCAGCCCTAGGCACTGGGCAGGGGCAGAAAGGCAACCCCAGCTAGGCATCTACAGCACAAGCTCTGATTCCCTCCGAACTACAGGTTGGAGTCCAGGGCCTTGGTCACTCTGCCAGCCCTGGCAGGCGTTGTCTCCAGCTTTCTACCTCTGAGGAGCCCCTGTGGTGGCCCCCCCTGGAGAGAGGGACTGGGAATACCTGGGGTGTGGGAAAGGGGGTCTGGGCTAAAGAGGGAGGCACCAGCATCAACCTCCTGCTGCCCCCATGACCCCAACCCACTGTCTGATGTTCCCGCAGCCTGTCCTCTGCACCTGCCTCCAGGACACCTCCTTGGCTCCTTCCTTGACCTCCAGCAATTCCTCCATCCAGCATCCTCCTGTGGGCCTTTGTCCACTTGGGGGAAGCTTTTGAACCCTGGCTCATCCATCTCTTCATTGCACTCCCTGCATCATGCACTGGGCTTCCAGTTCTATAGCAATGAACTCATTTAATCTTTACAACAGCTCCATCTTACTAATGAGGAAACTGAGGTCAGACAGGTTAGGTGACTTGCCCAAGGTCACACAGGAAGTGGAAGAAGCAGGCTCCAGGCTCCCACTCTGTTTCTCTGGCTCAGAGTCCAGTGTTTTTCCCGCTGCCCCGGATGAGATGACTCAGAGTCCCCCTTGGATTTGCAACATGTTCCTTCCTTCCTGATGCCCAGCTGAGAGCTGCCTGCCTGCCCGAAAGCTGATTCCCCCTTCCTTGGAACTCAAGGCCCTCCCATCTGAGTCTCCCAGATTTCCATGTTGGTACCAGCAGCAAATATGGGGTGGGAGGAGCAAGCGAGTAAGAGAGGGAGAGAGATTCCATCGATTCATTGAGAAACAGAGAAGAGACATCAAGAAAGCCTTTAGCACACAAAGACACCAAGTGCACCCTCCACACACACTCACAAGGAAGGAAAGAGAGAAACACACACAGTGCGAGGTGGGGGCATGGAGATGAGATCATACATATGAAGAGGTAGGAGAGGGGGAAAGGAAGAGAAAAAACAGATTCACACTAGGAAGTAAAAACACAGAATAAGAAATGCCTAGCGGGAGATAAAGATAGAAAAATCAGATACACGAATATACAAAGGCAGTTACAGACAAATCCACGAAGAGAGAGCCGTTGTGAGAGGATATAAATGAGAAAGAGGCACAATCTCAGAGAGAGAGGGGGACGCTCACAGGACACACTCTCAGGCAGAGGCGGAGGGAGACAAGAGAGAGAAACATGTCACAACAGACGCAGGCAGAGGAATGGAGGAACGAGCTGGGGAAGATGGAAAAGGCCACAGTGAGACTGAAGAGATGGGGGAGAGAATAATAAGCACAGAGAAAGAGCGATGGGGAGAGGCAGCAGAGAAGCCACAGATGCCGGAGCATCAGGGCTGGGAGTTCGCACCTTCCCCTCCCCACCTCCCGCTCCGCTCCACTCCACCACCTCCTGCCTCTGCTCACAGCAGCCTGAAATGTAAGCCCTGAGTGGAGAAGTTAATTCTCCCAAGTCCAGCCGCCAAGACGCACTCTGCAGTCCACCCGCATGCCCTTAGCGACACAGAGGCGGAGGGGGATGCATCTGCACCTAGCACAGGTTTCTTCTCCTCTTGTCTGAGCTTTGGAACTGCTGAAAGGAGAGAGACCTGCCCAGCATTTGATCATCAAACCCATGCCCAGAGCCGCATGGTTATACCTGCTAATTTCTGAGCCACAGGCAGCTGGAGGCGGGTACAACCCACCAGCCCCTCAACAAGCACCCATAGGGTGCCCACCAGGGACAAGATGCAGCCCCTGCACTAGGGACCCCCCACGTGGGAGGCAGACAGTCCTAGGTCCAAATGTCCCTTACTGGTCCCTACCTGTGATGACTCACCTGATCTCCCTAAGCCTCCACGTCCACCTCTGTGAAATGGTATCATCATGTCTACCTCACAGGTTGCTGGGAAAAATCAAAAGTGGATCCTGGTGAAGCACATTACACAAAATCTGGCATATAGTAGGTGTTCAATAAACATTGGCTTTCTCTAATTGGGAGAGCCTGGGAAATACAGAGATAACAGCAGAAAATGAAGGGTAGCCACAAGACTATTCAGTCCTTCTAGTTGAGTCACGGGAGACTTTGATGGCTTTTGAACCAGGCCTTAGAATGTAGGGAATATTTAAAAGTGAGAGATGGAGATGGGAAAGGGGGGAGCTCTCTTGGCAGACGAATTGGCATGCGCAAAGGCGGGGAGGTAGGGATGGTCTCCAGAGTAGAGACCTGCCTGGTTTAGTTAGAGTGGAAGATGTGTGGACATGGGAGGGATCATCTAATACAATATTCACATTTCATGGATGGAGAAACTGAGGCCTAGAAATGTTAAGTGACTTGTTCAAACCTACACATCTAGCAAGTGTCTGATCCATCTCTTGAATCCAGAACTCAGTGACTCAGGGATTCTCCCCTTTGCCAAGCTGGAAGTCAGCCCCTTGCAGGCGAAAGCGGAGACCCAGACTGAAGGCATCTTGGGTCTTCAGAAGTTTGGTGTTTTTCTAACAGCTGAAGTCCCAGAAACTAAGCCTCAGGCGGGAACATAAGTGGCAGATCCTGACTGCAAATGTCAATGTCTGCCAAGCCTAAGCTTTGACTGTAGATGCCACTGAGGTAGGGCAAGGAAACCCTATCAGGCCTGGGGGTTCAAAGGTGGGGCTCCACTTCTGAGTAGGAAATCCTTCAGTAGACATGTGTGAGGTCCCGGAAAATGTCCCATGAGCCTCTGGGAGTTTTCTGGCCTCGGGTAAGAGTTGGGGTTATTAATCCATGATTTATGAATGAGAGGGTACGATTCAGGGAGGTCAAAACCCCTGAAATTTAATCAAATTTAATATTACGAATATATTATATATAATTCCTAATTATATAACTCTAATTATATTCCCATATACCTTCGAAGGAGGGTAGGTGCTCATAAATGAGGCCCTTCATTCTTCCGGCCACTTGGACACACACTCGAGGAGTCGGAGCAGAGAGCTGGAGCTCCCAAAGGCCACCAATGAAGGAGAGCAGGGACAAAGAGCAGTGATGGGGGAGAATACCACCATTATTATAAATCAAGTCACAGAGTGTGAATTGGCAGTGACATGAGTCAATAATCCTAGATCTGGGCCAGGTGCAGTGGCTTATGCCTGTAATTCCAGTACATTGGGAGGCCAAGGTGGGAGGATTGCTTGAGTCCAGGAATTTGAGACCAGACTGGACAACACAGTGAGACCCCGTCTCTACAAAAATGTTAAAAAAAAAAAAAAAAAAAACGAGCCAGGTGTAGTGTCGTGCACCTGTGGCCCCAGTTACTCAGGAAGCTGAGGTGGTAAGATTGCTTGAGCCCGGGAGGTCGAGGTTGCAGTGAACCATGATCATGCCACTGCACTCCAGCCTGGGTGATAGGGCAAGACCCCATCTAAAAAATAATAATAATAATAATTCCTAGAGCTGAGGTAGGAAAAGAAACCCCAAGAAGGTAGCCTAAATTTTTTTTTTTTTGAGATGGAGTCTCATTCTTGTTGCCCAGGCTAGAGAGCAATGGCACAATCTCAACTCACTGCAAATTCCACCTCCCAGGCTCAAGCAATTCTCCTGCCTCACCCTTTCTAGTAGCTGGGATTACAGGCGTGAGCGACCATGCCCAGCTGAAGGTAGCCTAAATTTTATGATTATATGGAAGTGCACATTTTCCTAAGGAGAAGATCCATAGTTTTCACCAGATTCTCAGAGAGATCAGTATTAATCAGGGTAGGCTAGTGTTATGCTATAGTAACAAACAGCCCCAAATCTCACTGGCTAGGAGTTTCTCTCTATTTCTTTATCTCTCACAAACTGCACTGAAAATCAGGTGATTCTCCAACGCTGCTGTCTTCCATGTGTTAACCCAGTTATCCGGGTTGCTTTGATCTTATGTCCCAACTGTGTCAACATGCTGCCTCCATGATCTCTAACAAAGAATAAGGGAAAGCTGGAAGATCCTGCAGGGGCTTTTCACTGCTTCAGCTCAGAAGTTTCACATGTCAAGTCTACTCACTGTCCATTAGTCAGAACTAGTCATAATGTCTGCCTAACCACAAGGGAAGCTGGAAAGTATAGGCTGCCATGTACCCAGGAAGGAGAGGAGAGCTGGATATTGATGAACACTGGATATGACTGGGACCTCCTCTCCTTAAAAAAATAAGTTAGGAACACTAAGGTTAGAGTAGTGAGTCCCAAAGTCTGAATCATAGACTACCTTAATCTACATTATTCTGAAAGCTTTGGGGAAAGGCACACTCCCAGGCCACCAGCTTGGAGAGTTATATTCTGTGGTCCAGGAATCTGTGTTTTTGACAAGTCTCACAGACAAGTGTGCAGAACAAGTTTGGCAACCCGTAGAGTAGAAGGTCCTCTGGTCACAGGGCTAGGAGTTGCCTCAGAGAGCATCCTGGGTTGGAATCTTTTAAAAAAACTTCCAGGCTTCTGGTTCCAAAATGGTGGTGTCGTAGCAAGCTGGCTTCACTCCCCCTCCATAGAAAACCAGAAAGAACTAGACAGCACTGAGATGATCGCCAGCAATATCCCAGAATTCACATATAAAGAGGAGACAGTTCCCAGGGCCATGAGAAGCAAAAAAACTCTGAGTAGATGCTAAGAGAATTGGACTTCCATATCCATAACACCCCTCTCCCAAACTGCCCAGCACCAAGTGCATGGAAAATTTCCCCAAGACTCACATTTTCTACACCAGAAAAAGTGAGATTGAAGTAAACAACCAACTTCCCCACCATCTTTGGTTTCCTGGCAGAAGATGTGTCCCTGCCTCAATCCATGAGAAGTCTCAGGAATGCCTGAAGGGAGAAATATCCCTGCAAACAGTCAGAGACAAAGAGGGGAGGCAGGACTACCATCCCCAATTCTGGAAACTCTGCTTAGTAACTCGGCCAAAGGAAACACCAAATCAGAGTGGCCATTAAGCAGCACCATGCTGTAGGAGGTTCATTCCACAGATTCCCAGGGCATGAACCCCTAGCCAGGCTTCCTGCACTACTCGGGTATTCCCCTTTGGGACCTTTCCCCAGTCAGTAAACGCAGCGCTCTAGTTGCTTATTTAGAACCAAGGCAAGCATGTGCTTAAGGCGCCATCTAGTGTCAAAAAGAGGCAGCAACAGAATGGGGAAAAAACAAAGAAAATCAACAGGTAAATTACAAACTCTCTGAGCAAGAGTATCTAATAAAAACCAAAACAAGCCAGCCAGAAAAGACTACAAAAAATAACTAATCCTTCAACGAAAAGACATAGACATATATCCGCAATAAACAAAAGCAAAACAGGGAACCATGACCTATTCAAACACAAAAAGCAAGGAACCAGTAACTAACCCTAATAAGACAGTGATATGTGAACACTCTGACCAAGAATTCAAAATAGCAGTTTTTTAAAAACTCAGTGATCTCCAACATAACACAGAAAAGCAATTCTAAAATTTATCACAGGAATTTAACAAAAAGATTGAAATTTTTTAAAAATCAAACAGAAACCTTGGAACTGAGAAATACATGTACTCAACTGAAAAACTCATTAGACGTTCTCAACAGCAGAATGGATTAAGGAGAGGAAAAAAAATCAGTTAGCTTGAAGACATGCTGTTTAAAAATAATCCACAGTCAGAGGGGAAAAAAAGAATGAAAAGGAATGAAGATCATCTACAAGACATGGAAAATTACCTCAAAAGACCAAATCTAAAAATGATTGGTGTTCAAGGAAGGGAGTTGAGCAAGAGCAAGAAGTATAAAGCTTATTCAAATAAACAATAACAGAAAACTTTCCAAAACTTGAGAAATATATAAATATCCAGCTCCAGGAAAGTCAGAGAACACTATGTAGATTCAACCCAAATAAGACTACCTCAAGACATATTAATCAAATTCTCAAAGGTCAAGGACAAAGAGAGGGTCCTAAAAGCAGCAAGAGAAAAGAAGCAAATAACATATAAAGGAGCTCCAATTTGTCTGACAACAGACTTCTCAATGGAAACCATACAGGCCAGGAGGGAATGGGGTGACATTTTCAAAGTTCTGAAAGAAAAAAAAAAAAAACTGCCATCTAAGAATACAGTATCCAGCAAAGTTATCTTTCAAATATGAAGGAGAGATAAAGATTATTCCAGACAAACAAAAGCTGAAGGAATTCACCACCACCAGACCCATTTTACAAGAATTGCTAACAGGAGTTCTTCAATCTGAAAGAAATAAAAATAACATTCAAATAGAAAACACTTGAAATATAAAACCAACTGGTAAAATTAACTCCACAGAAACCCAAAATACTCTAATACTGTAATTGTGGTGGAAATGAATTGTGAAATCCACTCCTAACTCTACTGTGAATCCCAAAAGATAAATCCTATCAAAAATAATAATAGCTACAGCAACCTGTTGAGATATTCACAATATAAAAGTATGTAAATTTGGACAACATAACATCAAAATTCGGGGTGGAGTTGAAATGTAGAGGTTTTTTCCCATTTGTTCTTTTTTTTCTGTCCTTTCCTTTGTGATCTAAGATAAGTTGTCATCTCTTCAAAATAATTTGTCATATCTATTAGATGTTTTTATAAGCCTCATGGTAACCACAAAGCAAAAAATAAATTAAAACATACTACCAAAGAAATAATTTCATCACAATGTGAGTCAACAAGAAAGAAAAAGATATATAAAACAACCGAAAAAAAAACAAGCAACAAGATGGCAGCAGTAAGTCCTTACTTATCAATAATACTGAATGTAAATGAATTCAATTCTCTAATTAAAAGGCATACGGTGGCTGAATGGATAAAGAAAAAAGACCTAAGTTTGTGCTGCCTTAAAAAACATCCACTTCAGACTGGGCACAGTGGCTCATGCCTGTAATCCCAGCACTTTGGGAGGCCAAGGTGGGTGGATCACCTGAGGTCAGGAGTTTGAGATCAGCCTGGCCAACATGGTGAAACCCCGTTTCCACTAAAAATACAAAAAATTAGCCAGGCGTGGTGGCACACACTTGTAATCCCACCTACTCGGGAGGCTGAGGCAAGAGAATTGCTTGAACCAGGGAGGTGAAGGTTGCAGTGAGCCGAGATCACACCACTGCACTCCAGCCTGGGTGACAGAGTGAGACTCTCTCTCAGAAAAAAATAAATTAAAAAATCGACTTCACCTATAAGGACACACATAGACTGAAAATGAAAGGGTGGAAAAAGATATTCCATCCCACTGGAAACCAAAAAAGAGCAGGAGTAACTATATTATATTGCATAAAATAGACTACAAATCAAAGACTGTAAAAAGAGGCAAAGGGCCAGGTATGGTGGCTCACGCCTGTAATCCCAGCACTTTGGGAGCCTGAGGCGGGTGGATCATGAGGTCAAGAGTTCATGACCAGCCTGGCCAAGATGGTGAAACTCCGTCTCTACTAAAAATACAAAAATTAGCCGAGTGTGGTGGCAGGCACCTGTAATCCCAGCTACTCAGGAGGCTGAGGCAGGAGAATTGCTTGAACTGGGGAGGTGGAGGTTGCAGGTTGCAGTGAGCAGAGATCACACCACTGCACTCCAACAGCGAGACTCTGTCAAAAAAAAAAAGAAAAAAAAGGCAAAGAAGGTTACTATAAAATGGTAAAGGGGTCAATTCAGCAAGATGATATAACAATTATAATTGTCTATGCACCCTATCCTAGAGCTCCCAAGTATATAAATTAAACATTGATAGTTCTAAAGAGAGAGACAGACTGCAATACAATAATAGTGGGAGACTTCAACACCCCACCCCCAGTAAAGACAGATCATCCAGACAGAAAATCAACAAAGAAATATTGGAGTTACACACTAGACCAAAAAGACCTTACTGACCTTTACAGAACATCTCACCCAATTGCTGCAGAATACATATTCTTTCCATCATCACATGGAACATTTTCCAGAATAGATTATATCTTAGGCCACAAAACAAATCTCAACAAATGTTTAAAAATTAAAATCATATCAAGTATCATTTCTGACCACAGTGGAATAAAACTAGATATCAATAACAAGAAGAATCTTGGAAAAGACACAAACACATGAAAATTGAACAACATGCTCTTGAACAACTGGTGGGTCAGTGAAGAAATTAGGAAGAAAAATTTTAAACTTCTTGAAATAAATGAAAATGGAAATATAACATACCAAAATCTGTGGGATACGGCAAAAGCAGCACTAAGAGAGAAGTTTACAGCAATAAACACTTATATTTAAAAAGTAGAAATAAACAACTTGTGATGGTTAATACTGAGTGTCAACTTGATTGGATTGAAGGATACCAAGTACTGATCCTGGGTGTGTCTGTGAGGGTGTTGCCAAAGGAGATTCACATTTGATTCAGTGGGATGGGAAAGGCAGACCCACCCATAATCTGGGTGGACACAATCTAATCAGCTGCCAGTGTGGCTAGAATATAAGCAGGCAGAAAAATGTGAAAAGAGGGACTGGCCTAGCCTCCCAGCCTACATCTTTCTCCCATGCTGATGCTTCCTGCCCTCAAACATCAGACTCCAAGTTCTTCCGTTTTGGAACTTGGACTGGCTCTCCTTGCTCCTCAGCCTGCAGACAGCCTATTATGGGACTTTGTGATCCTGTGAGTTAATGCTTAATAAACTCCCCTTTATATATATATATCTATTCTATTAGTTCTATCCCTCTAGAGAACCTTGACTAATACATAAACCTAATCATGCATGTCAAGGAACTAGAAAAGCAAGAACAAACCAAACCCGAAATTAGTAGAAGGAAAGAAACAATAAAGATAAACAGGAATAAACGAAATTGAAACTAAAAAAACAATACAGAAGATCAATGAAACAAAAAGTTTGGGTTTTTTAAAAAAGATAAAAAATAGGCAAAGCTTTAGCTAGAATAACTAAGAAAAAAGATAGAAGACCCCAATAAATAAAATCAGAACTGTAAAAGGAAGCATAACAACTGATACCACAGAAATACAAAGAATCATTTGTAACAGTACAAAGACTGCTACAAACAACTATATGCCAATAAATTGGAAAACCTAAAAGAAACAGATAAATTCCAGGACATGTACACCCTACCAATGAAGAAATAGAGAACCTAAACAAACCAATAATGAGTAACAAAATCAAAGCCATAAGTCTCCCATCCAAGAAAAGCCCAGAGCCTGATGATTTCACTGCTTGCTGAATTCTACCAAACATTTAAAGGAGAACTCATACCAATTCTACTCAAACTCTTCAAAAAATTTGAAGAGGAGGGAATACTTCCAAACTCATTTGACACGTCCAGCATTACCCTGATACCAAAACCAGACAGACACAACAAGAAAAGAAAATGAGAGGCCAATATCACAGATGAATAGAGATATAAAAATTCTCAACAAAGTACTAGCAAGCTGAATTCAACAACATATTAAAAAGATCATTCACCATGATCAAGTGGGATACATCCCAGGGATGCAAGGATGGTTTGACATACACAAATCAGTAAATGTAATACATCACATCAACAGAAACAAGAACAAAAACCATATGATCATTTAATAGATGCCGAAAAAGCATTTGATAGAATTCAACATCTTTGTGATGAAAACTGTCAACAAAATGGGTATAGCAGGAACATACCTCAAAATAATAAGGGCCATATGTCACAAACCCACAGCTAAATCATACTGAATGGGAAAAACTGACAGCATTTCCACAAAGATCTGGAACAAGATGCCCACTTTCACCACTTTTATTCAACATAACACTGAAAGTCCTGGCCAGAGCAATTAGGGAAAAGAAATAAAGGCCATCCATAAGCCACTGAAAACCACCTATGGGGGAAAAAAAAAGGAAAAGAAATAAAGGGCATTCAAATTGGAAAGGAAGAAGTCAAATTCACCTTGTTCACAGACAGTGTGGCTTATACTTAGAAAAACCTAATGACTCCCCCTAAAAAACTGTTAGAACTGATAAATTCAGTAAAGCTGCAGGATACAAAATGGACATACAAAAATCAGTAGGATTTATATATGCTAACAGTGAACAACCTGAAAAAGAAATCAAGAAAGTAACTCCATTTACAATAGCTACAAAGAATATAAGATAACCTAGGAATCAATGTAACCAAAGAAGTGAAGGGTCTATACAAGAAAAACTATAAGACACGGATGAAAGAAACTGAAGAGGACACCAAAAAATGGAAAGATATTGCATGCTCATGGATTAGAAAAATTAATATTGTTAAAATGACAAAACTACCTAAAGCAATTTGTAGATTCAGTGCAATCCCTATCAAAATACCAAGGACATTCTTCACAGAAATAAAAAAAATCCTAAAATTTGTATGGAACCACAAAAGACCCTGAATAGCCAAAGCAATCTTAAGCAAAAATACCAAAGCTGGAGACATCACACTACCTGACTTCAAAATATACTGCAAAGCTATTGTAACAAAATAAGCATGGTACTGGCATAAAAACAGGCACATAGACCAACAGAACAAAATTAAGAAGCCAGATATAAACCCACACACTTATAGCTGACTCATTTTCAACAAAGGTGCCAAGAACATTCAGTGGGGAAAGGAGTCTCTTCAATAAAACGGGATAACCATATGCAGAAGGATGAAGCTATACCCCTATTTCTCACCATTCCCAAAAATCAAATCAAAATGGATTAAAGACTTAAATCTAAGACCTGAAACTATGAAACCACCAGAAGAAAACACTCTAGGACATTGGTCTGAGCAAAGAATTTTTGTGTAAGATCTCAAACACACAGGCAACCAAAGCAAAAATAGACAAATGGATTACATCAAGCTAAAAAGCTTCTGCGCAGCAAAGAAAACAATCAACAAAATGAAGAGATAACCCACAGAATAAGAGAAAACACGTGCAAACTATTCATTTGACAAGGGATTAATAACAGAATATATAAGGAGCTCAAACAACTCAATAGCTAAACAAATAAATAATCTGATTTTAATTTTAAAAGAATCAGAGTCTTCTTTTTGTCTTAAAAGAAGACATACCCGGGAGCTTGCAGTGAGCCGAGATCATACCACTGCACTCCACTCCAACATAGGCGACAGAGCGAGACTCCGTCTCCAAAAAAAAAAAAAAAAAAAAAAAAGAAGACATACAAATGGCCAGTAGGTATATGAAAAAATGCTCAACATCACTAAACTTTAGAGAAATGCAAATCAAAACCACAATGAGATATCACCTCACACCTGATCAAATGACTATTATCAAAAAGACAGGCTTGAGACCAGCCTGGCCAACATGGTGAAACCTGTTTCTACTAAAAATACAAAAATTAGCTGGGCATGGGGGCACATGCCTGTAATCCCAGCTACTCAGGAGGCTGAGGCAAGAGAATTGCCTGAACCCGGGAGACAGAGGTTGCAGTGAGCTGAGATCGCGCCACTGCACTCCAGCCTGGGCAACGCAGAGAGATTCTGTCTCAAAAAAAATAAAGCCAGGGAATAATGTATGCTGGTGAGATGTGGAGGAAGGGGAACCCTCACACACTGTTGATGGGAACGTAAATTAGTACATGCACTGTGAGAAACTGTTTTTTCCTCAGAAAACTAAAAATAAAACTACCATGTGATCCAGAAATTCTGCTACTGGGTATATGCAAAAGAAAGGAAATTAACATAATGAAGAGAATAAGCACACCCATGTTTACTGCAGCACTATTCACAATAGCCAAAATATGAAATCAACCTACATGCCCATCCATGGGTGATCTAATTTAAAAAAAAAGTGGTACATATACACAATGGAATAGTATTCAGCTATAAAAAAAGAATGAAATCCTGTCATTTGCAGTAACATGGACAGAACTGGAGGTCATTATATTAAGTGAAATAAGCCAAGCACAGAAAGACAAATATCACATGTTCCCACTCATATGTGGGAGCTAACAAGGTGCATCTTATAAAAAGAGAGAATAGACTGGTGGTTACCAGAGGGTGGAAAGGAGAGGGGGAATGAAGAAAGGTTGATTAGTGGGTACAAATACAGTTTGATAGAAGTAAGACCTGGTGTTTGGTAGATCAGTAGGGTGACTATAGTTTATGATAATTTATTGTATATTTCCAAATAGCTAAAAGAGTATAATTCAGACATTTTGAGCAGAGAAAAAGGCAAAGGAAGAGGCAAATGTCTAACCCTGAATGTTCCGAACTGCATCCCCAGGAGATCTGATTACCTGGTATTTTCCAGGGCAGTGGGGCTTTAAGACGCAGGATAATCAAAGTACATCAAACGGCCCCATTATGGCCAATTCTCTCTTTGCTGCTGTTGTTTAATTTCTCCTGGAGAATAAGATTGGAAAGGCAGTGCTAATTTAATTTGCCAGAATGAATAAAGATAAGACAGTAACAGAGGGTGATGAAGCACTGGGAACACATAATTCACATCCCCGAAATCCAGTCTCCTTCCATCACAACTGCCTTCCCCATGCTGGAGCTAATTAAGCCAGAATGATGGCAGTTAATTATTTTCCTCTGTGGCTGGGGAAGGCTGGCTTCCCCGGCCAGGCAGTGGGCATGAGGGGGTTTGTAAAAGGGTAAATCAGATTAAAAGAAGGAACAGGGGCTTGTGGATCCCCTAGGGGCTCACAGATCTCCCTTACGGCGGAGGGAGGTGGCACTTAGATAACATGCTCATTAGCTAAAGTTTCACCAATCAATCCTGGTCTCTGGAGTCCAGTACTCCTGGAAGATGCATATGGGTGTATGTGAAAGTGGGTTCATCATTAAGCCCAACACTAGGCAGTCTTGCCAGGCTGGGTCCAGAACACAGAATGGTGTTCACAGGGACGGCATCACTATGACCTAGGCAGGCATCCATGTGTGCAAAAAGGCTTTTCATCCATGCACACAGGGGTGTTGCTCATCAGAGAGAAAAAAGAGTAGCTTCATGGTGCATACTGGGGTCCTCATTGCTAGAAGAGCACATGGGTATGCTTGGACACTGGTTCAGCCCCATACACATGAGTATGATATAATTAGAAGCACCTGTATTCAGACAGCCCTGAGGGTCCCTGGCCCACTGCTAACTCATTGCATGACCCTGGTGAAACTGCTTCTGTAAGCCTCAGTGACTTTGTAGAGTAGGGATAGTCATAGCACCCGCTTTAAAGAGTTTTGATGAGGACCAAGAGAGAGTGCCTGAAAGAGCCCAGCTCAGCACCCAGCCCATGGGAAGGGCTCTAATCATGAGTTATGATCCATGTTATAGTATCATGATGATCACATGGCTTCTCCTTTCTGAGTGCACGTGAAGGGTGGGCCCTCTGGGCTAGTTCATGCACTTCATGGAGAGCTGTATTTATGGCCATAGGGGAAACCTTTCTGTCACATCCGAAATGCTCTTTTGTGATCCTCCTTTGTGACTCGGATAAGAAGGTGGAGAGCCAGCCGCTCCTTCAGGGCCAGGAAATTTGGACTTTATGGAAAGCTGGCAGTCTGTTTTGCTGAAATTGAAGGCAATTTGCAGCAACACAAAAGGGTGCATTAGAGAGGGAGGGCCGGGAGCCCCTGCAATGGGGAGGCTGGAGGCTGGAAAAGAAGGGGATGAAACTGGCCCGGAGAAGAGCAGTTTAAAATGCAAACAAAGCATGAACACATCTGCCAAGGACTGGGGTTTCCATTCACATGGAATGAAGGACCCATGATGCAGGTGCCTTGTCTAGCTGATGGAGCAGGGGAAGGAAATCCCCACAGGGGCCAAGCCTCAGTGGGCTGGGCTTTCATTTCCTTTTTCATGGAGTCCAAAATGAGAATAGCTGGTGTCGGGGCCTGGGACTGGACTCAGATAGGGACTGGGATTTTTTCTTAACTGAGGGAAAAAGTAGAGTCACAGTCAAAGATGAAGGGGGTTTGGAGCTGGAAAGGCATCAGCTCTAGAGTAGATGCTGGCTGTGAGCAGGAGTTTCAGGGAGTAGGTAAGACTGAGGACAGCAGGTGATTCCCAGCAAAAAGCTCAGGACTGTGAAAGGGGAGGATGGGACGTGGCTCCAGGTTTGTGAGGAGCCTAGCAACTTAAAAGAACAGGAGCCTGGATGGCAGTACCCCGACCCCAACCCCAGCTCACCGTGGGTTTCTGGGACCCCTTGGGAGCCCAGGAAGTCCCAGATGGAAGAAATGTAATAAAACTCCACTACTCCAGTTTGGAGAATCATAGAGTATTGGAGATGAGAAAAGTCTTAGAAATGACCCAACCCATAACCATACACAGGAAATTCCAAAGGCTAGAGATGGGCAGTGACCTGACCAAAGTCTCTGCAATAGTTTAGATTTCTTTCAGCAAATATTCACTGTCCTCCCTCTTGAGGCAGAGTATATTTCTCTGCCCTACTGGTGTAGAAGAGCTTGGCTATGTGACTTGTTTGGGCCAAGAGAATGTGAGTGGAGGTGACAGTTGCCAATTCTGAACCAGGTCCTGAAGAAGCATCTGCTCACTCTCTTGGCCTGGTGCCATTTTTGATGAGAAGAACACGACCTCGGGAGCCACAACCCACAGAAGATGAGCGACACATGGGGCAGACCAAAGCCTGGCCCAGCCTAGAGCCAGCCCCTACCCCAACTTGAACCTGGAATGGAGCTGCCCTGGTCAATCCCCACACCTGAGAGCAGGAAAAATAAATGCCTACTGCAGTCAGCTACTGTCCTGGAGGTGGTGTTAGACAGCATTACAATAGCAATAGCAGCCACATAGCAAGTCAGGGACTAAGCTGGACACACCCCAAGCAGCCCAGGAAGAATAAAGGACTCATTCTCTCCCACCAACTCTGTCCCCTGAACAGGCCATCGTGCCTCTGGATAACATGATAGCCCAGGTCCAACTCTTAAGAAGCGGTATGTGGCCACTGCAGTGGAGTGCGCTGTCTCTGCGAGCACCTGTTAAAGCTCACACTGCCTGGAAGGGGTGAACCAGCCTCTCTCCCATTAGCCCAGCAGCAGGGACTCCTCTCAGACCAGGCAGAGATGCTGCAGTAATGGTAGGTGAGCCCAGCAGGGGGCCTGGAAGCAGAGCAAGCCCAGGAGGGGGCTGGACAGCAGCACCAGGGTGAGGGGTGGGAGGCTGAGTGCTGGCAGGCACAGGAAGGAGAGAGGGGCAGGGTGCTCGAGAAACGCCGTGTCCCGGGGGCCACTCTCTGCAGGGAAGAGCCCCTGGGTATGGAGTGAGTGGAGGGAATTTGACCCTCTTCCAAGCACAGGGCTCCATGGCCCCGGGTGGCCAGTGACCTCACTGCTCTGAGCCAGGGATGGGGATAAGAATGTCCCCTCCAAGGACTGCAGTGGGGAGTGAGATAACCTTTAACAGGTAACATGCTCAGCCCAGCTCCTGATAGACGGGCTCCCTCCCCAACCCCCGGTCAGGACACCCCAGGGGTCAGGATTGTGGGCTCCCCAGTCACACATCTGGGACTCGTGTCCTGCTTCACTGCCTCTGGCCGTGTGATGCGGGGCAGGTTCCTCTCTTTCCCTGAGCCTCAGTTTCTTCTTCTGCAAAATGGGGATAATAATAGCACCTCCCTCCGAGTTATGGTGAGGACACTGGGAGATAATCCTCATAAAGTGCCTTGCACAGGACCTGGCACAGAAAACTTGCTCCATCAAAGGCAGTAGGTGTCGCCCCAAGCTGGGGGGTCTGAAGGGGACTTTAGACAGTGACGTCTGGACCCACAGAAGGGGTTGTTATTCCCACAGCTCATTTGCTGTGGCTGCCCCTTCCAGGATTCACCGGTCCACAGCTATTCTTCTCCAGCCCCCAAACACCTCTCTCTCCCTCCCCATCCAGCTTTGACAGGGCAGGTCTGGCTCTATGTGAAAATGGATTTTTCTGTTCACATGAAAATCTCATGGAAGACAATATCTTCTTCTTCTCCTTTTTTTTTTTTTGAGACAGAGTCTCACTCTGTCACAATATCTTCTTTATAAACAAACACTCTGTCCCCATGTATGGGGGGATTATTAACAACAACTACCTGAGAAAACGTGGCTCCTCCTTTCAAGCCACATTATGTTCAAAGCAGTGTCCACTCCACCATCTGTTACCTGTTTCCTTTCTCTTCTTCTGAATGAGAGCAGCCTGTGTTCATTGCTATGGACTCAATTGTGTGCCCCCAAAAATTCCTACGTTGCAGCCATAACCCTCAATGCGATGGTATTTGGAGATGAGGCTTTGGAAGGTAATTAGATTTAGATGAGGTCATGAGGGTGGGGCCTCATGATGGGGTTAGTGCCCTTATAAGAAGAGACTCCAGGGAGCTTGTGTGTGCTCTCCTTCTCTCTCTTGCACTCCCTCTTTCTCAGTCTCTGCCATGTGAGGACATAGCAAGAAGGCGGCCATCTGCAAGCCAGGAAGAGAGCCCTCACTAGAACCCAACCCTGCTGGTACCCCGATCTGGGATTTGCAGCCTCCAGAGCTGTGAGAAAATTAGTTTCTGTTGCTTCAGCCATCCAGTCCATGGTACTTTGTTCTAGCAGCCCAAGCTGACTGACATTCCTTCTTGTAAAAGATTTGCTAGGGGAGATGAATTCAGGAAAAATCACAAACTCCTGAAAAGATGACGCTTGGAAAAAGCATTCATTGTGGTGTGGAATAGGGTTGAGTGTGAGTGGGTAAATCCAGGCAAGGGCACGGGGCCATCATGGTGGAGGTTGAATTGTTTTCCTGGAGTTCTGTCTGCAATTAATTACCTGCTCCTGACTGGTGTTCATGGCTTCGTGAGTGAAATGGTTGAAGTCTGGCTGGGTCCGTCAAGCCCCATAAGGCAGGCAGGTAAAACCCTACCTGTATCTTACCTGTCCAACTCTCTGGAGCCCAGTCCCCTTCTCTATCCAACTCTACCCTTGGGCCTCCATGCCCTAACTCGGGTCCTATCTCTGGTCCACGGTCTTGGCATGGGGTCTGTGAGTCTTACTCTTGCTAGTGGCTTGGTCCAGCCTCTTGGGTTTATCCCACTGCAAAGCCAGGCAGACAGCCTGGCAAGTGGATCAGGGCTGATTTCACACCATCCTCAGACCTGGCCAAGATGGATCCTTGCCCTGGGTCTCAGAATTTGATGACTGTTCCTCAAATTCTGCTCTGCTCCTCCTCTGGCCATGCCTCTCCTCATAAGATGAGGAATCTGTGTGGCCAAAAGGACATGACCTTTGGAAACTAACCCCCAATTTAGACAATAGTTTGGGTACCTGAGACTGCAGCACTCCCTGCCCAGATATCCCAAAGCCGACTTCCCAAGCCCAAGTGGGCCTTGTCACTGGGTCCATCCTCCTGAGGGTGGCGTGTGCTGCGGGTGGGCACACAGGCCTGGGTGGGGGTGGGGGTGTGAAAAGAGTTTGAATGCATGCACTGGTGTCCACATGCATGAGAGGCCCTTGAGGTGTGGGAGGGACCTGAGGTAAGAAGAGAAGGTGGCGGACCAAGGAGGGGCTAAGTCCGGTTCTCCCTGCATCTCCACATCTAGGGTGGGAACTCAGGGGCCTGAAGACTTTAAACTCAAAACTGGCCTCCTACGTTGTTATAAAATTGCATTTGTTAAAGGAGGAGGGTAGGACATCCTTTATTCACCAGTTTGTTGATTTGGTTTATCGTTTTAAATATTTGGAAATGTGGGCATCCATTTGTGCTCTTGCCCTGGGCCCCCCAAATGTCAGGGACAGCCAGAGCATCCACTGTGCACAGACAATGTGCTTGCCTGGGGGTCAGACCCACAGGCAACATCAGACACCTCCCCGTTGCATGATTAGGAGTGGGGGAGTCAAGGTGGCCTTTCCAGTCTGGTCTGATTGAGAGGCAGAGAGTGAGGTGGAGTCCTCACTTGCACAGCACTCCCCCTGTGGTACCTGCCAAGGTACCTCTCCTGCTCATGGGGAGGCATTTGATGGCACCGTGTGAGAGGGGCACGCTCTGCCTAAGTGAGAGTTGACTAATGTGCTCCAGGGCCCTTTAAGGAGGTGTGGCTGGAGAAGGTGGCAATCATCCTTCCTGCTTCCAGGTGAGGGCACCTCCAACCTCTTTGTCTGAAGAGACCAGTCCTCTTCAGAGTCAGCAGAACATCAGGAGCATGGGCCAAGAGCAGACTCAGAGGCTGTGGTTGGGGAGCTTGGTCAGCCTGGAGAGGTCTTTGTCACTCCTGCCCCCATCCTCAGGAGTTTTAATGTCCAGCACAGGACTAGGCACAGAGAGAGCCCTCGAAGCACGTGGTTGGTGAAGGGATAACACAGCTGCGGGGCCAGGGTAGGAAGATCCCCAGGACCCTTCATCCTGACCCCTCCTCATTCTTCAGCCTCTGCCTTCAGCAACTGGGGCCTTCTCTCTCAGTCTCCCAGAATGCACCGGGCTCCCGCCCACCACAGGGCCTTTACACATGCCCTTCTCTGCCTGGATTCCTCTCCTGGTCCCTGTGGCTCTTCTTACCTCCTTGGGGCAAGTCAAGTCTCTGTATTATTCGGCCTCTTTCAAAGCATCAGAGCCCCCTCTTGCCTGGCACTCACTCCAATTGTGATGAATTAATGATATGGGCAGTGATTTCTTCAGCACATCCCTCCTCCACTGGCTGCAAATTCACCAGTGAGTCTGTGCCACAGATTCGGCTGCAGCCGAGGTCCTGGGGGAGATTCGAGAAACAAGATGGTGCCCAGTAACTGAGGGGCGAGGAGGAGAGCCATTAGGATAAGAGTCTTGGTGAGGCTGATGGCCCTCCTCCCAGTCCCTCTCTCCTCTGATAAGAAGCAACACTGGCACACCTGAGACTGTTCTCCAGTGGCCTGAGGCCTGCAGAGTTGGTAGTATCTAGGAAGCGTTGGTGGAGTGATGGCTTTTTACTCATCCCATCTCCTTGAGGTCTGACATCTTAAAATTCATAGAATCACAGCATTTCAGGGCTGCAGGGACTTTCCTAGGCACTTGTTGATAACCTACCGTGGCAGGAATTGATTTATTATCCTGTGCATATTTCAACCATTTACACATACACACATACACAAGAATGTTATCTTTCCCCACTCAGCTTCTCCCCTTCCCCTGCCTTCTAAATGAGAATATTATCTTTGCAAGATGGTTTCTGATGTATGTGTGCATGTGTGCACATGATGCCAAGTCAGGAGAATGGGCTATGGAGAGGGGAAGAAAGGAGGAACCAGAAAGAATAAGCTGATCTTTCCATATAATGAAGATGAGAGGAAGTGACAGAAATAGGAGACAGAGAGAACAGCTCTGCAAGCTTGCCTGGGGAGCTGCTGGAGCTTCAGCTCATGAAAGGGTCTGCAGTTCTTGGTGGTAAGTAATGGGGCCTTCAGAGAAGAGAGAGAGAGAGAGAGGGAGAGAGAGAGAGAGAGAGAGAGAGAGAGAGAGAGAGAGAGAGAAAGAAAGAAAGAAGAGAAAGAAAAAGAAAAAGAAGGAAGGAAGGAAAGAAGACAAAAGAAAGAAGGAATGGAGGAAGGGAAAGAGGGAAGGAGGGAAAGAAGGAAGGAAGGAAAGAAAGAAGACAAAAGAAAGAAGGGATGGAGGAAGGGAAAGAGGGAAGGATGGAAAGAAGGAAGGAAGGAAGGAAAGAAGGAAGGAAACAAGGAGGGAGGGAGGGAAGGAAAGGAGCCTCTCCAAGGGCGTGGCTTTGCACAGCTCCCCCAGCCAATGAAAGTCAAGCGCATGGACTCAGTTTAGACCTGTCTTCAGCCCCTCAAACTCTTGTTACTTGTGCTCTATCTATAGCTGACTCCCAGCCCTGCCCTGGGGCCCTGAGCACTAGGCTAAGGGCAGCCCAAATCTGTGCATCCAGACTCAACAGGCCCCTCAGACTCCATCTGCCTGCCCCTGAGCCAGTCACCCACGCAGCCTCCTCAGGTTTCGCCCCTTGGACAGTTCTTAGCCAACTCAACAGCTGGGGTCAGTGACAAGAGTAGCTATTTTGAGGAATAAGAATAAGTTGATCTTTCCATGTAACAAAGATGGGAGGAGGCAACGAAAATAGGAGCTCGAGAGAGAGCAGCTCTGCAAACATGTCTCGGGGTACTGTCTTGCCCGTTGTCCACATTAAAGCCACATTTTCCTAAAGCGCCCACCAGACCAACTCACTGCCCTGTTTACGGCCCACCAAATCTGGAGCCACTAATGCCACCCATGTTCCCCCACCTCCCACCACCACTATGATTGTCCTGTTGTTCTCACCGTTGAGGAAACTAACCTCGGGGCTGTCCAGGTGTGACCTACACTTGTAAGCCACCCACCAGCCCTGCCATTGAGCACAAGATGAGGCTGCAAACAGTGGCCTGTCTGACCACTCATCATCTGCTCACTCCCAGCCACACCCCTGCATG
This sequence comes from Homo sapiens, assembly GCF_000001405.40. Taxonomy (NCBI): domain Eukaryota; kingdom Metazoa; phylum Chordata; class Mammalia; order Primates; family Hominidae; genus Homo; species Homo sapiens. Next base: position 29,364,447 of record NC_000001.11, on the reverse strand, counting down.
TCTCTGTCATTTGTCTGTGGCCTGGGCTTTCTTCTGGGAATCAGGCCTCATGTTTTCCTGTAGAATATCCATTGGGCGCAGCCATCACTCACTCTCTGGGAGCCCAGCACAGGACTCTCTATCTCAATCTGTGCCCAAGTCAGGGAGACTGTGTCCACCAGTTCAGGGGCCACACTCAATAGCTCTGGGAGGAGAAGGAGGGTTCTGGCTGGCTGGCAGCACCACCTGCCAGATACCTGGGTTTCCACCACGAGCACAGTGGGTCTTACAGGAGCCTCTTCAGACAGGCGTATTCTCTGTGAAAGGAAATATGTCATGTTTCTTCTGTTCTCCAGTTTTCTTCCCAATCATCTGGGAATGCTAAGCCCTGGATCCCCAGGCCTCTGTCACTGGGGGTCAGGTGCTGACATCATGTGACCTGGAGCCCCTTCCTTGACCACTCTGGACCCCAACCTTGCATCTGTCCTTGGGACAAAAATATGAGACTGAAAAGACAAGGCAAAAAACAGCCACCTCCAAGGGTGAAGGAGAGGAGTGGAGGAGAGGAGGCCTGTAAGTGCTTAGCCCAGCACCTGGCAGACAGGAGGAGCTCCATACAGGTTGGCTGCTACTATCACGGCAGCAGCAGCGGCGTGAAGTAGTGAAGGGTTCAGCCTCCAGAGTCAGCCTGGCTGGTTGAAATCTAGGCTCTACCACTTCCCAGTGTGTCATTTGGGCAAGCTACTTAATCTTGCTGTGCCTCAGCTTCTGCATCTGTAAAATGGGGATGGTGACGGTGCCCTCACCACAGCGTTGTTGATTAAATGAGTTAATATGTGTAAAGCACTTGGCACAGGTCTGGGCACACAGCCCCTCCTCTGCTCACCTCCAGCCGGGCCCTCCCTACCCTATTAAGAGTAGCTGTCTGGGGGCCTGTCAGCCTCACCCAACCACAAGCTCCTCAAGGGCCATGCGTGTCTCTATTAGGGTGATGAACACATCCCACTTTTTCCTAGGACTGTCCTGGTCTTATCACCAAATGCCCTGCATCCCAGGAAACCTCTCAGTCCTGGACAAACCAGGAGGGTTGGTCATCATAGTCTCCATCTTTGCACCCTCCAGGTTTGTCCATTTGGGCCCAGCTCTGTGTCGCCTCCTCACAGAAGCTAGCCCTGACCCACCACCCAAACAGGCATGTTTCCCCTCCTGGTCTGTCACCCGTCACGTGGGTTCGTCTCCACGGCCACTATCAGGTGTCTTGTCCAGTGATGTTTCCACTTGTTTCCTATCCTCCTTCTCCACCTTGGGAAGGGAAGTTCTCTGAGACCAGGAGTCCCGTTCCCCCTTTTCCACAGGATCCCCACAGGATAAGCCCTGGTATGCAGTCAGTGCTCAATACATACTTGTTGGATGAATAAATATCCATTTCCTCAGCACTATGTCCAAGGGAGGGGAGGCAGCACTGAGCAGGACTAATTCAGCACCCTGGGCCAAGCCCAGTGGCTTACGCCTGTAATCCTAGAACTTTGGGAGGCCAAGGTGGGAGGATCACTTGAACCCAGGAGTTCGAGACCAACCTGGGCAACATGGCAAGAACTTGTCTCTACAAAACAGAAAAACTTTTTAAAAATGCAACACCCTGGTACTGGGGACAACAGGTCGTGGAGCAGAACAAGGATGAGGGAATCAGTTATTTTATCCAGGAGGGAGCTGAGGCTCAGGGAGGGTCATGGGCCTGCCCAAGTCACAAAGGATTTGGTGATGAGGTTGCTGAGCTGGAAGCCCACTGTCCTGACCCCTGGCCGGCCTCTTTGGCCTCTGGTCTTTCTCTGCATCCTGGACCACTTCAGCCTCTATCGAACTGATCCTTTTTCCCTCTTCTCCAGCAATACCTCATTCACCTTCCACCCCGGTGGCTGAGACCATTTCTCAACGTCCAGCCAAAGGAGTAAAAATTATTGGATGTGACTTAAGTAATAAAACAATCACTGCTGAACCATCCGGGTGCTGGAGAGCGGGGAGCAGCAGGCGTGGCGGCAGACATGTGCATCCACCTCACTGCCTTGCTCAGGATGAGAGCTCAGAGGGGCTGGGTTGGGGCTCTGGGCCTGCCCTGAATCTGCACTTCCCCAGCTGAGTGAGCCTGGGTCCGCCTTCACCTTTGAGAGCCTCCACTGCGAAAAGTGGAGCCCCACTGTGCACCCCACAGGGGTGGTAGTGAGGCCTGAAGACACCATGCAGCCCCAGCCCTGGGTGCAAACCAGCCTCCTCCCGGAGGCCCTGGCGCTCCAAACCCCGACTGGCAAGGAGTGCTGTGGGTGCAGTGATGTTGGTCCTGCCCGCTTCACAGATGGGATGCTCACTACCTAGCCATGCAAACCCACATCTCAGTGGCTCTGTATGGATGGGAACAAATCAACGCACCCCACCAACAACCACCACCACCACCACCAATTCTCCTGGCCCCAGAACAGGCCCTCTGAGTTCCTACCCTGCACACAGGGAGGACAGGGCACCAAGCAGAGACTCAGGTTCAAGTCCTGGCCCGCATCTCCAGGGAGCTGCTTCCCCCTCAGGGCACACCTGACTCATCTGTACAATGGGGTCGTTGTCCTTACCTCTCGAGCTTGTTGAAGGGATTCCGATGCCCAAGCTCCCCCATAAACCCCCAACACTCTGCCACCCCAGGTTTGGGGTTTGCTATTGATCTTGTTACTTTTTCCCCACCATGTCTGCTGCAGTTTCTCCCGGACCTTGGGAGCTCTTCCTCAGGGAGCTGGTCCCTGCTCTCATGATCCTCTCTCTCTGGACCCTGTGTTCTCCTAAACAAGGTTTAGTCCCCATTTTTCAACCCAAAGTTCATTCTTTTCTACTTGTTTTTCAGTCTGGAACAGCATTTATACTAGAGATCATCTGGTACAATTCCCTTATTGTCAGGTGGGGAAATAGAATCCCAGGAGGTCTCTCAGGGACTCAGAGCTGGGATTAGGCAGGGGATTCCAATGCCAAGTCGAGGGCTCTCTCTCTACCTTCCAGGTGGCCACCCTTTTGATAGCGCTCCTCTGAGACCCACCCATATGGGGTCTCTACACACAACTATGCCCCAGATTAGGGCAGGGCAGATGTGGAGCAGGGCCTGGGGACACAGCCTTGCCCATTGGAGAGAGGTAGAGGGGAGCAGGGGTTACACAAGCATAGATTCCTCAACCTGTGAAGTGGACACAATAAGATCTGTCTCTCAAAGGTGCTGGAACAGAGAGGATTGCTTGAAATTACCCCAGTCAAGGGACACTGCCTGGTTGAATGTGAAAAATTCAAGAATGGGGTTGAGAGGAACAGGACATGATGTTTTCGAGGAAACTGATGAATAAATTGCAAGTCATTCAGAGGTATTTGAAGCTTACCTGCCTTCACTGAATTGATCTCCAAATCTTTCCCTCCCTCTAGCAGAGAGTGGAGTGAGGAATAAACAGCAACTTCCTCCCACACACATACACACACACAGAAGAGAGAGAGAGAGACACCAGCCTCAGTGCAGACATCCCCTATGAGGGTGGTAGGGCTAGAATAGGGAGCCAAAGCCAACTTTCCTTCTGGGATCAGCTACAATCCTAATACTAACAGCTACTGTTTGTTGAGTACCTACTTTGCACCCGACACCATGGTAAGTATTTTACTGCATCGTCTTTTTTTTAATTGTTTTTATTTTTAATTGTTTGTGGGCACATAGTAGGTATATATTTAATATATTTATGGGGTACATGAGATAGTTTGGTACAGGCATGCAATGTGTAAAAATCACATCCTGGAAAATTGGTTATCCATCCCCTCAAGCATTTATCCTTTGTGTTACAAACAATCCATATACACACTTTTAATTATTTTTAAATGTACAATTAAATTATTATTGACGATAGTCCCCCTGTTGTGCTATCAAATACTAGGTCTTATTCATTCTTTCTATTGCTTTTTTGTACCCATGAACCATCCCCACCTCTCCCCCGCAGCCCCATTGCCCTTCCCAGCCTCTGGTGACCATCCGTCTATTCTCTATCTCCATGAGTTCAATTGTTTGGATTTTTAAATACCACAAGTAAGTGAGAACATACATGCATCATCTTATTTCCATCTCTCAAGAAGACAGTGAGGTGAGCATTATAAATAGCTTCATGTTACAGTGAAGGGGTGGGTTGCCCCTCCACACCTGTGGGTGTTTCTCGTAAGGTGGAACGAGAGACTTAGGAAAGAAAAAGACACAGAGACAAAGTATAGAGAAAGAAATAAGGGGACCCGGGGGACCAGCGTTCAGCATATGGAGGATCCCGCCAGCCTCTGAGTTCCCTTAGTATTTATTCATTCGTCGGTGTTTCTCCGAGAGGGGGATGTGTCAGGGTCACAAGACAATAGTGGGGAGAGGGTCAGCAGACAAACACGTGAACAAAGGTCTTTGCATCATAGACAAGGTAAAGGATTAAGTGCTGTGCTTTTAGATATGCATACACATAAACATCTCAATGCTTTACAAAGCAGTATTGCTGCCCGCCTGTCCCACCTCCAGCCCTAAGGCGGTTTTTCCCTATCTCAGTAGATGGAACGTACAATCGGGTTTTATACCGAGACATTCCATTGCCCAGGGACGGGCAGGAGACAGATGCCTTCCTCTTATCTCAACTGCAAGAGGCATGCCTTCCTCTTATACTAATCCTCCTCAGCACAGACCCTTTACGGGTGTCGGGCTGGGGGACGGTCAGGTCTTTCCCTTCCCACGAGGCCATATTTCAGACTATCACATGGGGAGAAACCTTGGACAATACCTGGCTTTCCTAGGCAGAGGTCCCTGCGGCCTTCCGCAGTTTTTGTGTCCCTGGGTACTTGAGATTAGGGAGTGGTGGTGACTCTTAAGGAGCGTGCTGCCTTCAAGCATCTGTTTAACAAAGCACATCTTGCACAACCCTTAATCCATTTGACCCTGAGTTTGACACAGCACATGTTTCAGAGAGCATGGGGTTGGGGGTAAGGTCACAGAATCTCAAGGCAGAAGAATTTTTCTTAGGACATAACAAAATGGAGTCTCCCATGTCTACTTCTTTCTACACAGACACAGTGACAATCTGATCTCTCTTGCTTTTCCCCACATTACAGAATTACAAGAGGGTCAGATAGTGGCAGAGAGAAGGCTCTAGACCGACAATGGGTTTGATTTCCACCTCTCACACTTGGCCATTGTGAGAATTTAAGCAAGTTATTTAGCCTCTCAAAGCCTCAGTTTCCTCATCTGTAAAATGAGGAGTGACAACTTTGCTGGGCTCTTTTGAGGAGTCTGCGAGCAAGCAGGTCAGTGTCTGGCACGTAGTAATGATTCACAAGTGGTGGTCATGGTCATTCATATTGTCATTATTGTTCAAACATTGCTTCTACATCATTCCTTTCCCCTGTGCCATCCCAGTTGCCCATGCTGGGGAGAACTGCAGAGATGAAACCAACCAAAAATAGAACACTGAGATGTCTCATGAACTTTAAGTGACTACAGAGAATTAAGACTTCCCTGCTGGGAGGCAACACACACACACACTTTTCTTCCAGCAAGGAGAAGGGAGGTGGGGACTCCCTGGACATTCTATGTCCTGGACATTCTATAGTTCCTGGACATTCTGTAGTTCCTAATGATTGCAGGCCCAAGCTCCTGGCATGTCTGGACATGGGACCCTCTTTGCTGGCACTAGGAGGAGTGTGAATGAAACCAGTGGGCAGGGAGGTTTCACTCTGCCTGAGGGGCCTGCCCAGCTATGGCCACCTCCTCTTCAGCTCCAAGCCTCCACTCCTGCTTTAAGACAATCTGTTCTCCACCTGACAGCTGCAGAATTGTCCCAGTACCCAGCACAGAGCCTGGCACAGAGTGGACATTAAGAAAATATTTATTGAATGAATTAACAAATTCTAAGATTCTGTAAGTCTAGGTGTCTACAATTCTATGACTGTGATTTGAGAATCTTAAACTACTATTATTTTAACCAGTGCCAAAGGGGGCCAGGCAGGGAACATGTAGCAGTGAAATGAGCCAGACATAAGAGCAAATACACACTGTGCAAACAGGGCAGGCTGGGAGGGACTCCGCTCCCCATCATGGCTGTGGCCCATTCTGAGCCTAGCGTGGGTAGATCATCCGATTTTTCAGGACATGGCAGATATATGGTTTTTTTTTTCTTTTTCTGTCTTTTTTTTTGGTAGAATGTCCTCATTTTTGCTCACTTTTAAAGAGTGGCGGTCGGGTGTGGTAGTTCACGCCTATAATCTCAGCACTTTGGGAGGCTGAGGCGGGCGGATCACGAGGTCAGGAGATCGAGACCATCCTGGATAACGTGGTGAAACCCCGTCTCTACTAAAAATACAAAAAAATAGCGGGGCATGGTGGCAGGCACCTGTAGTCCCAGCTACTCGGGAGGCTGAGGCAGGAGAATGGCGTGAACCCAGGAGGCGGAGTTTGCAGTGAGGCGAGATGGCACCACTGCACTCCAGCCTGGGTGACAGAGCAAGATTCCGTCTCAAAAAAAAAAAAAAAAAGAGAGGCATGTTTTGAAAAATATAATAATGAGATAATGAGGGAAATTGAGTGCTGGGTTTATGGAAATTCTCTGGTCTATCTTTAACTTTTCTGCAAATCTAAACCTACTCTAAAATTTAAAATTTTACTAAACAACAACAAAAAAACACCATGAGGGCCAGCCAAAGGAAATGGATCTGTGAGCCGAATCAGCCCCATGGACAGCTGTTTGCAAACTCTGTTCTCATCAGCGGTAAACACTAGGTGCACAGCCAGTGCCCGTGTCCTTGAGCAGCTCAGACACTCCCACTTCCCAGTCAGGCTGGGGAAGGTGGGGCCACCCCCGAAGACTGGGGCTAGGGGGGACACAGGGCAGAAGCTGAGAAGAGCAGGCTTGGCTGGGCTGGGGGTGGAGGTAGTTCCAGGCGGACACATTGAGAGGCCCGTTAGACGTCCAAGTGGAGAAATGTGGCAGGAGCTGACAGAGTCAAAGCCCAGGTGAGCAGTGTCAATTTGGGGGCGGCGAGTGTGTAGATGGTATTGCTATGGGACTGGGTGGTCTCATCTGGGGGAGAATGTCGATGGAGAGGAGGAGAAGGTGGAGGACTGAGCCCTGGGCTCTCCCATTTTGAGAGAGCAGGAACAAGAGAAGGACCCAGCTAAGAGACTAAGAAGGGCCAGCCCGAGAGGTCAGAGGAAGACCCAGAGAGTGCATGCCCTGGACACAGTGTGGTGAGTGGGGGGACGTACTAGACTTTGACACCTGATGGCCCTGTTTTTTATCAGATTCAGTACGAATTCTGAGATTCCATTATTTTAGCAGTCTCTGACTCCAGCAGTTTAAGGGAACTCCTTCAGACCTCGGGCTTGAGTCTGACAGAGTCTGAATCCTGATTCTGCCCCTTTCTAGCTGTGCGTCCCTCTTTAGGCCTCAGTTTCCTGATCTGTAAGATGGCGATAACTCCTACCTTCGTCTCACCTCACAGGCCCCAGAAGATACCTGGTCCATCCTAAGACAGGACACACAGGGGCTCCCATTGGCCGGCGCCCCAGATTGGCATAGTCGGGCCCGCCTCTAGCACCGCCCACGGCCCCGCCCACCCTCGCCCTGCGCACCTGCCCAGGATTCCCGGCACCTCAGCTCTGCTGCTTCGCTTCTCCTTTCCAGGTCTTGCTTCCCTTCTGGAGTTTGACTCTGACCCTTGATTGAGGCTGGTTTTAGGCAGAACTTTTATTGCAAGGGGCAGAACACACATAGCTAAGGAAAGCTAGAATGTTCCTGGAAAATTCGCAGCATGGAACCATGGCTTCAGGGATGGGTGGAGGCAGAGGCTCGAACCGTGTCACCAGGCCCTGGCTCCCTCCTTCCTTCTCTTAGCTCTGCTTCCCTCTGTGTTGATACCTTTCTCAGGCAGTCTTTCTCCTCACTGCAGGGAAGGTGGCCTCCAACAACTCCAGGCTCAGATGGTGTTTACAGGTTGTGATTCTAGAGAAAGTGGGGCTGCCTCTCTCCAAGTGTCCACATGTCAGACCAGAGGACCCTGTTAATAGAAGGGCAGGTTCCTGGACAAACGCCTGAGGTCCTCTAGATGAGCTGATGTGCTTTTTGCCTTTGCGCCTGATGATCCTAGGAGAACAAGGGTCTCCCTGAGGTGACTGGGGGGGAAGGGGGCCAAGCTTAAAGCTGAGAATGAGTTCCATGGAGTAAGCAAAAGTAGGGTGGGGCTGGATCCAAGGGCTCAGAAGACTGAATTAGTGGAAAATTTGGGAAAGCAGAAATCTGCTCATAGGGCTCTCTGTGGAAGTAGGAAGAGAAGGGAATGCTGGAGGGAGTGGAGGTCTGGACTCAACCCCCACCACCGTCCCCATAGTCCTTGGAAGAGGTAATGTCCTAGGTGTTCTTTTGAGCTCTGGGCCTCAGCTAGACTGCCCCCTTCAGCTGCTAGCAGAATGGACACACAATAGGAAGGCGAGTGCCTTATATAACCCAGGACTGAAGAGGAAAGTATTTATCACACAAGCAAATCACAGGAGGAACCAATCAGCAGAAACCGCCAGTCAGATGGATCAATCCGATTAATTCCTTTATTCAACCAATCATGTGTTGAGCAGCTGCGGTGAGCTCCTATTAGGAGACAGGTGGGCTCGGTGGTGCCTGCTGGTTCCCAACAGCCTTGGGCCTCCAGGCGGCTTCCACCTCCCCCACCAGGGAGCAGGTCTCACCAAACAAGCAAAGGATAAATGGCCTCCTATGGGTGGAAGCCGTTCATCCTTTCCAGGCATGAGGGAGTGTGGGGGACTCCCGCCTGACATTTCAGTGGTGCATTGATACGCTCGCATCTCCAGGCCCCTGTTGATGTCAAAATGTTATGATCTTGCTGGGAGAAGTGATGAATGGAGCACAGTGGAATTAAATATAGTCCTGAAACAGGATGTGGGCTCCTGAGCGTGTAGTCATGGTGACAGCATCCCTGCTGACTTCACTCACCAAAGGGGATACAGGCACTTGGGGGGAAAAGGCACCTGTCAGGCCCTCCTGGGGACACTGCCCCCAGAATCTCTGTCTCATCAAGAGACTGAGGATGTTCAACTTTGTTTACTCATTCACTCACTCCATCTATTTACCTAGCACCTATTTTGTGCTAGACATCATGAACATCACAGGATGTTTCCCATCTGGAGACAGCAAATAGTCTAGGAGAGGAATGAGACATAAATAAATATAATTTAAAATGTGGGTGCTTATTGTGAAGTGAGAGAATAAAACAATGTGAGGGAGAACAAAAAGAGGGATTGATCTGGGGAGTCCAGGGAAGGCCCCACTGAGGAAACATTTGAACTGAGACCAGGAGGGTCAGAATGAGTCAGTCAGGTAAATAGGAGGAGAAGAGATTTTCTAGTGGCCAGAGCGGTCTATGCAAAGGGCCTGAGGCAAGAAGGAGCTTGGGGCATCCAGGGAACAGAGACCCCAGCGAGGTTGCAGCAAGGCTGGAAACACCACCAGGACTGGGTCAGGCGGGACCACGAGGGCTGTGCCAAGGTCTAGCAGCTTAACAAGGGCAGTAATGGGCCATGGGAGAGGTTGAAGCTAGGTTGTGATGCCACTGGGATCCTGTGTTTAAAGATCCTCTGTCAGCAGTGTGCAGAGTGGGTTGGAGGAGGGGGCAGGAAGGGAGAAGAGTATTCCAGGAAGAGGAAGCAGCTCACAGGCAGGTCAGGCAGAAGGCGTGGGCGGACATGTTCCAGCAACTGCAGGAGCAGGTAGCTGGGAGCCGTGAGGGAGGGGAAGGCAAGGGTGGGGATTTGGACGGGGATTTGGACAGGGCCATGCAGGCTTCATAGCTGCTGGTTCAGAGTATGACTATTAAATGGTGAGAGAAGACATGATCCATTTTTTAAGTTCCCTTTAAACTCATTCTTACTTTGTCCAAAAGCCACCAGTGATCACAGTGCAAGGAGGCTCAGCTCCTATAGGATGGGGGAAGGGATCCAACAGAAAACGGTCCCAGCACTAACCTTTCTACCTGTGTGGCCTCGAGTGGGCTCCCGAACCTCTCTGAGCCTCAGCTCTCTCCTCAAGAAATGAGGCTGAGGCTCCCTACTCCATAGGCTTTAGAGCGGGCCTGAGGAGCTCAGATGTGTGGCGTGGGGGTCAGTGCTATCGTCCATGTCATTATGTGTCCATTTACCTTGTAGACAAGGAGCCACCACAACATTCCAGGAAGCAGAAGGGTCAGGAGTTGTCCCTTTTATTTTCCAGATGAGAAAACTGAGGTCCAGAGAGGGGGAGTGGCTCTCCCAAGGGTGGCAGGTGGTGGGCAGTGCCCAGGAGATCATGAGGTGTAGGATGGTGGAGTGGTTAGAACTGGCCCTCTCTGGAGCCCCATGGACATACATTCCAAATCTCATCCCTGCCACTCACCAGCTGGTGCCTGGGTCGGTGGCCTGACCTCTCTGGAACTCAGTCACCTCACCATTTTTTATTTTTTTATTTATTTTTTTTTTTTGAGATGGAGTCTCCCTCTGTCACCCAGGCTGAAGTGCAGTAGCATGTTCTTGGCTCACTGCAACTTCTACCTCTACCTTCAAGCAATCCCCCTGCCTCAGCTTCCCAAGTAGCTGGAACTACAGCTGTGCGCCACTACACCCAGCTAATTTTTGTATTTTTGGTAGAGACGGGGTTTCACCATGTTGGCCAGGCTGGTCTCAAACTCCTGACCTCAAGTGATCCACCCGCTTCAGCCTCCCAAAGTGCTGGGCTTACAGGCGTGAGCCACCACACCCGGCCAGTCACCTCATCTTTAAAATGGGCTTTATGCCCTCCTGTTCCATGAGGTGAGGATGGACAAGATGGTGCTAGTGAGGGGCTGCACCACTCCTGGCACCTTCTCTTCAATGCTCGTTCAATGGTAATTTTGGTGACAGGACCTGGGACTTCCCCCAGCCTGGCAGAGGGTTCACAGTGGCCGAGGCTGCACCCATGTTTGTTAGGGTGGAAACTGCTTAATAAGCTGGCATTAAGGAAGCACATCAGGAGAAGGCAGGAGGACAATGCCTGGGTAGAAATCACTCTCCCCACTCAGGGAGCAGCTGCCCTGAGCCCCTCACACTTGGGCTCCTCTTCTCCCCTTGGCTCTTGGTGGGATCCACTGTCACTTCTGCACAGGGATAACAATAACAATAATGATAATCCCAATCCTCAAATCTGTCCTCTCAGCAGAGCTTTGCCTGCACCAGCTGTCGCTCCGTCCCCACCTCCCCCAAGAGAGGGCTGCTAAAGGCAGAGTCTTTGGGCAGGACGTCCAACACCAACACACTGTGTGACTCTGGACAGGTCCTTTCCCATTCTGGCCCTCAATTTCCCCTTCTGCACAACACAGGTGTTGAACTACATACTCCTAGGGGTAGGAAGAGTCAGTCCATTTGAGCCATTAAGTTCTGTAAAGATGTTCTGGGAACGTGCATGCATCTGCCCCCTCAACTCCCACTCCCCCCCTGACCTCATCCCCTCTCCTTTCCCCAGCACAAAGCTCTGCCCACAGTGACCTTCTGCTATTCCCCAGGGCCTTTTCACAGGCTGTTTCTCCTGCCCAGGAGTATGCTTCCCTCAGCTGTAAGCAGGGTTTGACCTTCAGTTCATTCCCATCCCTGCTCAGATGTCCCCTAAAGTGTCACCAACCCCCATCTATCACTCTTTGACTCCCTAAATTGCTTTTGTCCCCTCAAAATACTCGTGTTGAAGTCATAACCTCTAGTACCTCAGAATGTGACTGTATTTAGAGATAGGGCCTCTAGAAGGTGATTAAGTCAAAAATGAGGCCCTAAGAGATTAGGACACACAGATATCAAAGTGGACACAAAGGAAAGACCACTTGAGGACATAGCACAAAGGTGGCTAGCCAAGGAGAGAGACTCCAAAGAAACTAACCCCGCAAGCACCTTGATCTTGGACTTCCAGCCTCCAGAACTATGAGAAAATACATTTCTGTTGTTTAAGCCACTTAGTCTGTAGTGTTGTTATGGCAGCCCTAGCAAACTAATATGTCCCCACTACATAGTACTGATCAGCCCCTGGCATTTGTCATATATTCATTTGTTGTTTGTCCCCTCCCTACACCATACACTAGAATGTGAGCTCCACAAAGGCAGGGACTTGGCTTATTCTGTATCCCCAGACCACAGAACAGCACCTGGAACATAGTACGTCCCCAGTAAATGAAGAAAGTGGAGCCAGACATCCCTGATTTCAAGTTCTAGCCCTTTCACTCCTTCATGGTGTGACCTTGGACTGCCCCTTAACCTCTCTGAGCACACTGTGTCTCATCTGTAAAATGCACCTAATGATCACACCAAACTCAGAAAGGCTTGTGAAGCCATAGCAGACAAATGCAGGCAAACTGCCTAGCACAGTGCCTGGTGTGCAGCATATTCTCCAAAATAAAAGATATAATTGTTGCTGTTATTGCAACAGTAGCAAGTTCGATCCTTCATTTAACCCTCTACAAACACACATTGACACCTCTTCTGCTGTCTGATGCTGGAGACAGAAAAATCACTCTGGCTTCTGACCTAGGTATGCTCACAGTTTAGTGGAGGAGACAGACGAGGGGACATGTGCCAAGACAGAAATAGGCCAAGCAGGGAGGGCTTCACTAAGAAGGGTATATTGGAGCTGGATCTTGAGGCATGAGTAACAGCTCACCAGATCAACAGAGAGGGGAGGGCATCTAGACAGGGAGAAAGGCAGGTGCAAAAGTAGGGACACATGCTTTATGGTTTGTGTCTGGCTGATGTCTGTGCCTCTGCATGGGCTGTGAGCTGAGGGCACTGGGAGCCTGGGAAGGGTTTCCAGCTGGGAGGGACCCAGCCAGCTTTGTGCTGCTGACGGGCATTCTGGGTTAGACTGGAGGGGACAAGCTTGAGGGCAGAGAGCATGCATAGCATGTGGAGCTGGGGCATGAGGTGGGCTTGACTGGAGGACCAAGGAGGGCACAAATGGTCAGGATGTGCCTCAGGTCAGCTGGAGAGAAGCAGTCAAGACAATGGGCTTGATGTGGAAATGCCTGAGCTGCAGAACAAGGCTTCTTCAAACTCCCAACTAACGTTGGGGCCTCCCCACCTAGGCAGAGATAGACTGGCAGGCAAGCTTGGGGGCTGGGGGGTCAGAGAGCTGAGAAGGTCAACCAGGGCATCACCCACACAACTCACAGGGATCAGGAGGAACATTCTGTCAACCAGAACCAGGGCAGGAAAGCTGACAAGACTAGAGAAGTTTCCTCCCACCAGACAGCCAAAGGGAAACACATTTGTTTTCAGGAGACAACGTGATTGTTTTTTGCACTGAAAAGGCAGGAATAGAAAATTCCACTTTCCAAGACAGTCATCTCCTCCCCCAAGCATTAAAGGGAGCTTCTGTATCCAGCTTATTGGTGCTTGAAATTCTACCACTGGAGCTCCATTTCTATGGCTTGAGGCTTTGCCATTTGTTAAAATGCAAACAACTTCAAAGAAGTCATGTCTTCAACAGAAACTTATTTTCATTAATTCAACAAATATTGAGTTCTTTCTTTAAACCAGGCAGTACCCAGAGTCTGAGAACAGAGAAATTAATTAAGTCCTATCCAGAGCCAAACCTTCAAGGAACTGGCAAGCTCTGCGCCGATAGCAGGTAGAAAGTAGGGGCAGGGATGCCATAAGGAAAGCTGACCATAATGGTGTTGGAAATGATGGTGGGAGCGAGGTGCTGTGGGAATCCCCGGCAGAGATTATTCATTTCAAAATTGCAAAAGGTGAAGCTTGACCTGGGATCTAAAAGATAAGGAGGGTAGAGATTAGGGGCTGAGAATCCCGGATGGAGGGCACAGCAAGGGCAAATGAATGGAGTCATGAGCCAGTATGGATGAGGGGGGCTCCATTCCACTAAGCAGAGGGCTTGGCCATAAGGCAGGACACGAAGACAGGGCTGGAGCAGCGGGGGGAGTTCTGATTGACTGGATCATATTAATGATCTCAGGCAATGGCGATGGCGACTATCTCAGGGCTTTGTTTGCCTCCCCAGCCTCCATGTCAGCACTTCCCACCAAATCGACAGACCCTCCCTCAGGGAACTACCCTGTCCTCTCAACACGTGCCCTGAACGACCCACCCTCAGCTCCAGGGCCGGGTTCTGATTGGCCTAAGCCGTGGGGCTAGCCTATCTTGCTGGATAAAGTGATTGGTTCAGGAAATGGCACATGACCCAGTTCAGACCAATGAAAGGCGAGGAGATGTTCGCTGGGGTTTCTGGGAAAGAGGAGTTGTCCCTCTCTTCAGAGGGACGTCCCGGAAGCGACTGGCTCTTTTTTTCTGGTCGCTGCAGAGTGAGGGTGTGACGGGCCAGCAAGGACAGCAACAGTCGAGGAGAAAGGAGAGAATGCCAGAGAGATGGAGCCCAAACCTGAACCCAGGATCAAAGGGCAACTGAGTAGCACTCGCTCTGGAGTTCTCGGTCGGCTGCGCCGCTGACTTGCCAAATTTGCCTAAGCCCGTTTGTTGGTGTTTGCAGGTCCTAACTGATGCGGTGCCATTTTTCAAGTACAGAATTGGATAAGCGTTGGAGACAGGGAGCAGCCAGCAGGTGCAAGCACTTCTGTGGATCCAGTCCCTTTCCTTCTGATTCTGTCTCCGTGTACACTTCGTATCACAAATCAGGGTCTTGCCCTGGAAAACATCTCCCGACCCCTCTTGCTGGCCTGGCACCTGCACAGTAAGTCCTGGTCGGGCAGCCCGAGTGTCAGGAACCCTGGGCTCTGTCCCAACCCTGTCTGCTGTCTGGCTGTGGGACCTGGGCTGATTTATGCCCACTCTCTGGGCTAAATTTGTGATTCATCCACCAGCCCATAGACTGTGAACTCCCCGAGGAAAAGGGCGATGTCCAACCCATCCATGTGGCCCCCAAGCCCAGGACAGGCCTGGCATACAGCAGGTGTCCATGGAGCTGTTGACCAGTGTGGGAGTGGCACCTTCCTGCTCTAACCTCCCAGGATCAGGGCCATTCATGATGCTGACAGGGACAGCTGCAATTCCTTCTGTCCACCCCAACAGCCTCCTGGAGGCCCCAGCCCGATGCTAGAGCAGCAGGAAATCTCACCGGAAGAGATTTCACACGGAGGCTTTGAGGCAGAGGCCTCAGTTCGCACACAGCCTCTATCTCTGTTGAAGGTTCACTGAGCCACAATTAGACTATAGGGTGAGGAAAATCCCCCAAAGCCTCGACCCTTTCTTTACTCTCCAGCTGCAGCTGTCCTGGGCAAGATTTGAAACTCCTTAGTTCATTGGTGTCTGTGGCAGGGGTGAGGGAGGAAGAGCAATGATGAGGAGCCCATGTTATAAGACAAGAATCAAAAAGAGAAACAAGGCTGGGCACGGTGGCTCACGCCTGTAGTCCCAGCACTTTGGGAGGCCGAGGCGGGTGGATCACTTGAGGTCAGGAGTTTGAGACCAGCCTGGCCAACATGGCAAAACCCTGTCTCTATTAAAAATACAAAAATTAGTCAGACATGGTGGTGCTCACTTGTAGTCCCAGCTACTCTGGAGGCTAAGGCAGGCGAATCACTTGAACCTAGGAGGCAAAAGTTGCAGTGAGCCGAGATCATGCCACTGCACTCCAGCCTGGAAGACAGAGGGAGACCCTGTCAAAAAAAAGAAAGAAAGAGAGAGAGAGAAGAAGGAAGGAAGGAAGGAGAAAGAGAGAGGAAGGAAGGAAGGGGAGAGAGAGAGAAAAGGAAAAAGAAAAAAGAGAGAAAGAAAGGAGAGAAAAAAAGGAAGGAAGGAAGGAGAGAGAAAGAAAAAAGAAAAAGAAAGAGAGAAGAAAAAGAAAAGAAATGGGCCGGGCAAGGTGGCTCATGCCTGTAATCCCAGCACTTTGGGAGGCCAAGGCAGGCGGATCATGAGGTCAGGGGTTCGAGACCAGCCTGGCCAACATGGTGAAACTACATCTCTACTAAAAATACAAAAATTAGCTAGACGTGGTGGCAGGTGCCTGTAATCCCAGCTACTCAGGAGGCTGAGGCAGGAGAATCGTTTGAACCTGGGAGGCAGAGGTTGCAGTGAGCCGAGATTGCGCCATTGTACTACAGCCTGGGTGACAGGGCGAGACTCTATCTCAAAAAAAGAAAAGAAACAAATCCATGGTGTTCGGCTAATGTTTATTCCTTAACAACAGCAGAACCACTCCTCTGCCGTATTGGGTGGCGTGGGCTGAACCTCAGATTGTTCAGAGGATGAGGACCTGTGTGTCTGTATTCATAGGCAGGAGCAGAGAAGGCAGGGGTGGAAAGACCCACTTTCTCCCATGGGGAGAGGGTTCAGTCTAAAGAGAACTGGAGGTGGGTCAGGGGCTCAAAGCAACCCTGTTGTTATGTGTAGGGAGTTTGAGAGGGGAGAGTAAATCTTGTGTGACATGTGAGGGTGGGCAGGGATGAAAATAGAGGAGGAAAATGAGGAAGTGGTGGATGATGATTGGGAAAAGTTAGGAGCCAGAACATAAAATGTTGAATTCCAAGTTAAGGATCTTGGCCTTCACTCCATGGGCAGTGTACCTCACACCACACACCCCAGAAGAATTTTGGCAGTGTGCCCAGAGATACATGAAGCCATAAGATGGGTATAGGACATCCTCCCTCTGTGTGGAAAATGCCCATTATTTTATATTTTATATTAAAACAATCATGGATATATCACAGAGGGCAAAATATGCATGGCTTTGAAATATTAGATTGGAGAATTTAAAGAACCTATGAGCCTGTGGCTGGAGTAGACGAAGCCCTGTCTGGATGCAGACCTCTCAGTAACCTGGGTGTCCCCATGTCCTAATGCTATTAGCAGGAAGCTCCCAGTTTCTCTTTCCCAAACTTATCAAAATGGAACCTCAGCCTCCTCCATTACTGGGAGGGAAGAAATTGGGGGCGGGGATAGGGGGCTGTCCATGATGCTAAAACTGGATTAACCCATTTCCACAGATGAGCTCTGACCTTAAAGTTTCTATTCTGTCTTCACCTTCTGGAAGCTAGATGAAGGAGGGTGGCTCGGGGAGACCCCAGGAAGCTGAGTACTCCAAGGGCTAGGGAAGTAATAATCCTCAGGGCAAGGGAGGGCTGGATAGTAGAGGACCTAGAGGAACAAGATTAGGACAATTATCATGTGTAGCATTTACAGGTCCTAGGAAAAATATTTTCTTGAGTTTGGAGACTATCTCTGCTTCCTAAGAACCATTCAATGTTCTGGAAGTGAGCCCTGAAAATGGTCCCTTAGGAAAATAGTTGCTAGGTCCTCCTCTTTGTGTGTGTGGGTGTGTATCTGTGTGTGTAGTTGCTTCTGTATGCATGTGTATGGCTTACTATGCATGTAATAGACTCTGTGTGTGATAATGCATAGCTCATATTAAAACAACTGGCATCTCATAATTCAATTCCTCAGAAGGAAAAATCTAGGACAAATATTTAGCTGGTATTTTATCCCAATTCAAAAATGTGTACATCCTGAGTTGTCTCATCTCCACCCACAGCCCTGTAGTCACAACCACCCAGGTAGCATCTGCTAAGAAGAGAAAGCTCCAGTCTCCAAGTGCAGGGATGGGGGTGCCTATCTTGGTGGGGGCTGAGGGGAAAGCCTGCAAGGATTTCACAGTTCCAGGGAGATGGAAAGCCTGCAGCTCAGCACAGCCAACCTGGGCTTGCAGACATGGTCTCTAGCCAAACTTCTTGTCTGGCCCATCATGACTAAAGGGAAGGGGCCCGCACCCCAAGTGTCTATACCCATCCGTCTAGGGCTGCTCTGTTCCCCAGTCTTGCTGGGCCTTACAGGCCTGGGAGCATCCAGCCTTCAGACATGGTGTTAGCCAATTCAGAGCTTTGGCTGCAGACAGAGGTGGGTTGGAGTCCAAGCTCCACTACTCACCCATTGTGGGACTGAGGGCGTGTTGTTTCAGCTGCTGCACCTCATTTGCTGTGGACCCCAGTGCGTGCCCCAGTGTGGCTGCCCCACAGTCAGTGATCCCTCACTGTGGATCGCCCTCTCTGTCTCCCTAACAGGAGACATGACAGTCATTTGTTCATGGGTTCTCCATGTACATTTCTTCCTGAGTGATCTATTGACATGAAATTGGCCTTCAGCTTTTTTTTTTTTTTTTTTTTTTTGAGACAGAGTCTCGCTCTATCCCTCAGGCTGGAGTCCAATGGTGTGATCTCGGTTCACTGCAACCTCTGCTTCCCAGGTTCAAGTGATTCTCCTGCCTCAGCCTCCTGAGTAGCTGGAATTACAGGTGCCCACCACCACGCCTGGCTAATTTTTGTATTTTTAGTAGAGATGGGGTTTCACCATGTTGGCCAGGCTGGTCTTGAACTCCTGATCTCAGGTGATCCACCCACCTCGGCCTCCCAAAGTGCTGGGATTACAGGTGTGAGCCACTGCACCCGGCCTCAGCTTCTTATATATTTATCAGTTTAGCCACCGTTAATACATAAACTGTTGTCCTCACAGTAAAATTTGTTAACTGCATTCCTTTGCATGTGTGATTTGGGCTTCTGTGCCTCTTCAGACTTCTCTCAACTTGGACAAATCCATCTGCTCCTCTGCATGAACAAGCCGTCTTACCTTCCAGTGGGATGGGTTTTCCAGACTCTCCCAGAACACACACATTTGTAGATTTACAGCTCCTTTTCCCACTTCTGCTGCCACTCTAGCTACTGCATATTGAGGACTTGCTCCTGGCCAGGCATAGTACTGAATGCTTTGCCAAGATTATCTCTAAGAAATGGGCACCGTTCTTATCCCCATTTTACAGATGTGAAAACTGAAGTTTAGAACAGTTGAATGATTAGCCCAAAGTCCCCCAAATACTGAGCGGTGGAGCCAGCCTTTGATTTTAGATTTTTCTGATTCTAGAGCCCACAATTTCTGCTTGCATTTTGTACCATAGAATGGAAACAGTCCTCCTCCAAATGTTCCACTGTCTCCTTCTGTCTTTCTTTTCCTCCTCATCCTCTCCCACCTCCTCCTTTTCTTCTCACCCTCCTCTTCTTCCTCCCCATTTCTCTGTAAGCCTCTTCTTTCTCTCTTTCCCTTCCCCAGATATTTGCCCCCAACCCAGCACTGCCAAACCTTTGTAGCCAGGATGTTTAAGAGCTGAGATTCCATGTCACCTGCTGGGACAGAAAGGGGAATATGGCTTCAGAGACACCCCTACATTATGGGAGGAAGGATGGCCAAGGCCTCCAGACTTACAACCCACCCTGAGGCCCCTCCCCTAGCTCAGAGCTGTGTGCCTGGGAAAAGACACGTTGGTTTCTCCTTCACTTCTAGCAGCTCAAGGAAGGACCATCCCTGTCCTCAGCATCCCATCACTGCAGGTGTGTGGGTGACGATAACACTGTTCCCAGGTTTACTTTCACACAGTGTGCCAAGGAGTTTCTCCTGGACCTCACGTGATCCTCACATCATCCTGGGAAGTGGAGCATTATGCCCCTTGAATGGGGAAACTCAGGTCACACAGGAAGGTAGGGGCAGAACCAGCATCAGATCCCAGAGTCTCTCATTCCCAGATCAGCATCTGTAACAAAAGGGCAGGCCCAACCTGTGAGTTGGTCACGATGTCGGTTGTTTTAGTTTTTATTTCAGCACGAGTCTCACCTGCCAGCTCCTCAGAGCCGTGGGAGAGGGTGGGGCCAGAGCTGTCTGGATTCAGCTCAGGGCCCCAGGTCTGCCACTGGCTCAGTGTGTGTGACCTTGGGCAAGCGCTCCTTTGCCTCAGTTTGCCACAGGCCTGTTTTCTCATCTGTAAAATGGTCCTTTATGGGACCAGGGTGCTGAGTTTGACTCCCTGGCGATCTGTGCTAGGAGCATCCTGTTCCCCTGGGGCTTCGGGGCTGGACGTAGCCTGTACAGCCGCTTGGCTCCACAGCAGCTGTTTCACTTCCTCAGCGAGGATTGTAATTCCTCCTGCTGGAAACTGGGTCCATGCGTTTGGCTTGAATACGTTGATTTGTCAAAATTACCATTTCCTGGGGCTGCTCACATCAGAAGCAGCAGGTGGTTCTTCCGTGTGCTTCAGAAAGCACCCCAGAGTCCAGCTGGGACAAATCCATCCCTCCAAAGCGACATCTGCTGGAAGGCAGCACTGAATTATGTCGCATTATAACAGCATTTCACTGGGTTCCTGTGACCTTTATTTAGCCAGAGCCGGAATCTCCTACCGAGGGGCCCGCTCCCCTGTCTGGGGACTTTTCCTGGCCTGCACCAGGCAGACTGCATCATAGCAGGTAGGACGGGGGTCAGGGTGAGGGGTTCTGGGCCAGGCAGGGGTGGGCAGAGATAGGCCCCCTTGGCGGAGAGGAGAAGGCGGGGTTGAGAGGACCACATCCATGGGACAGTTCTCTCCGCGGGGCTGGTCACCCACCATGGGTGGCCCTGGAGACTCCTATCCCCTTCATCCATTCCTTTTCTCACTCACTCAGTAAACATTTCTTGGCCACTGATGTGCCAGGGTGACATGCCAGGTTAAGGGGACACAGAGGTAGGGAAGAGCTTGCTTTTATCTCAGGGACTCACAGTCTGGAACAAGAGACAGAAACTCTGTGTCAAGAAACAATAACAGGCATCAGGGAACAGGAGGAGGGAGCAGTTAACTCCCTCCAGGGTTAGGGGGACAGGGGTGTGTCTCAGGGTGGCTGCCCCAAAGGGTGCTCTTTTTGAAGCACATGGATGAACCACCTGTTGCTTCCAATGTGAGCAACCCCAGGAAATGGTCATTTCAACAGCTTGCCCTGAGTCAAGGGCCCCAGTGCTGATAGTTTATCTGAGAGGGGAACCCTCTCAGATAAAGTGTGGAAATGGAACGACTAAGTGGGGAAAAGAGAAAAGTCAGTGAAGCATGAACTAAGCACTAGGCAGTGGGTTACAGCGACGGCAGCTTCGGGGCTCAGTCCTGCTGGGGAGCCTCTGAGGCCTGCGTGGAAGATGCCCCCAGAGCCCACTCTCATGACTCAAGGGGTAGTGGGCACTGTTCACCACCTCTCGAGGCATTAACTCCTCCTGTCCCCTGTACTCCTAGCTGACACCTGCCACACAGACAAGCAAGTTCTCCAGGTGCCAGAGAGAGAAAGAGATGCAGGCATTTGAGGTGGGAAGCTGTCAGCATGCTCAGAACTGTCTGTAACTGCAGAACTCAGAGTGCCAAGGGGAGGGGGACACCAACCACATCTGTTACAGCATCTTAGGAAAGCTGACATCTGAGCTGGGTTTGAAGGTGAGTAGGAGGTTTGCAGCTGGAGCAAGCAGGGTGAGTGGCTCATCTGGGCAGTACAAACAGTATGTGGATGGGAGGGGAAGAAATGAAAGTGGCTCGAGGGGCCAGAAGATTTCAAGAAAGGAATTTATTTTAAAATTAAGTATGGGGGAGATTGAGCAGGCTTTATGCAGGGAAGTCAGGGGTGCTGACAAATGCCGGGGGAAGTGGGGACAGAGAGAGAGAACGCTATAGGGACAATGTCCCGCAAAGGCAGAAAGGAATCAGTCCGGAAGGTGGAAACGGACTGGCCCTCAACCAGAGGAGAGAGTCTGTCCTGAGATAGTTAAGAGTCCTCTTCCCAAGCGGGCTGAGAACAGGTTCAGGAGAGAAGGGAGTATTTGAGAAAGTCAGGTCACTACTGGGAGTGAAAAAGCTGATGGTGGGACTAGGGGAGAACTTAAGAAAGGTGGAGGATCTGAATAGTCCTTGAAGGGAAGGGCGGTTGGAGCAGATGACAGGGAGGTGGCAGAAACGATGGGTGATGCTGGAGCCCGCTGACGTTGGCAATCACCCCTTGGCGATGTTGCCAGTACTCACTAAGTGCAGTTTTCTCAGCAGCTTCTCAGCAGCTCAGAACAGGAGTTGAGAAAGCAGATGGCTGCCTTGGCAAGTGGCTGGGGATTGGTAAGGCAGGGAGGCGAGAGGAGAATGTCAGCCACCTGCAGGCACAGAATTCCTCGGGGAAGGTTTCACTGGCTTTCCATTGCCTTCCTACCCTTGGACCTGGGAGAAGAATGGGGAAGGGTTGAAAAGACCAGGGCTAGGGGTTTCAGTGCCTAGGCTCTCATCCAAGCTCTGCTGCTCACTTTCTGTGTGACCCTGGGCAAGCCACCTCCCCTTGTAAGACCCCTCTTTCTATACCTATTAATTCAGGACTTCTCATCCTCAGCACTACTGACATTGCAGGCCAGATAATTTCTTGTTGAGGGGCCAAGGCGGGGGCTGTCCCATGTATTGTAGGATATTTAGCAGCATCGCTGGCCTCTACCCACTAGATGTCAGTAGCAAAACCACATTGTGATAACCAAATGGTCCCTGGGAAGCAAAATTGCCCCCAGTTAAGAAGCACTGTATTAATCAGAATAACGATAATACAACTGGAATAATAATGTAAGTGGAATAATAATGACAAGATCTATCCAGCCAAGCCGTAAGAAGAAGGGTTGTCATGAGGATCACAGAACATCATGGAAATTGAGGTGAGGAGAAAGCCTTTGCAGGTCATTAGAGCAGCTTGGATGGAAGTAGGCATCTGACACAACTTCTCCTCACTTTCCCCACCTGTAAAGGACATAGGTTAGAAGCTGAGCTGGGCCTAGAACCCAGGCATCCTGATTCCCAGCTCTAGGCTTTGGCCTTTCTGCAAGGCATGCTGGGAAGATGCCACATCCTCATCTTCACCATGTTCACACAGAAACTGGGACTTTCCAAGACGGATCTGAAGGAGGCAGAGGTGAAGAGAAAGGCCAAGAGGAGAGCAAGGGGGAGGCCAAATCTTCATCTCAAATCTGATTAAGATGGAGACAGCAAGGAGGCCAGATGCCAGGGTGGAGAGTATGTGAATAGAGACCATTCAGAAGACAGAGACCACACCAGTAACCTAAACATGGAAAATGTAATGTAAAGAACTGTTCATGAGGCTGGGCGCGGTGGCTCACACCTGTAATCCCAGCACTTTGGGAGGCCGAGGTGGGTGGATCACCTGAGGTCAGGAGCTCAAGACCAGCCTGACCAATATGGTGAAACCCCATCTCTACTAAAAATACCAAACTTAGCTGGGCATGGTGGTGTGTGCCTGTGGTCCCAGCTACTGGGGAGGCTGAGACAGGAGAATTGCTTGAACCTGAGAGGCAGAGGTTACAGTAAGCCAAGATCACGCCACTGCACTCCAGCCTGGGCAACAGAGAGAGACTCCATCTCAAAAAACAAAACAAAACAAAAAAAAAAAAAACAAAGAAATGCCATCCATCTCTATAGCCTTTCAATACCCCTCCACTGCCCTCTATTGACAGAGATTAACATTGCACCAGCCTGCAAACAAATGTTTATAGGGTCCAGCTCCAGTAACACAAAGCAGGACACAGAAGGGTGGACTTGAGAAACAATTGGTGGAACCATCACAGTCCTTGCCTTTGACGAATCAGCTTCCATATATATCTACTACACACTTTTAAACTTCCCTTCACAACAAGGCAACTCTGTGTTTCCACCTAAGGAGATGCAGTTATCCCTTGTACACATAAGGAAGTTCCCACCCTTGCCTCAAAATAAGGAGACACGTAGTTCCAACATCATTCACCCCTTGCTGGCTATATGAACAACTCCTCAAAATCAGCACAGTCACACTGAATATTCTGTTTCCTAAAGGCCATATGGTAAAGTTAACCTCCAATAACTGGTATATAAATAACAATGGGGAGAACACATGAACACAAAGAAGGGAACAACAGACACCCAGGCCTGCTTGAGGGTGGAGGCTGGGAGGAGGGTAAGGATCAAAAAACTACCTATTGGGTACCATGCTTATTACCTGGGTGACAAAATAATCTGTATACCAAATCCCTGCGACGCATAATTTACCCATGTAACAAACCTGCACATGTAACCCCTGAACCTGAAATAATAGTTGGAAAGAAAAATAGGCCAGGCACAGTGTCTCACACCTGTAATCCCAGCACTTTGGGAGGCCAAGGCGGGTGGATCACGAGGTCAGGAGATCGAGACCATCCTGGCTAACACAGTGAAACCCCGTCTCTACTAAAAATACAAAAAATTAGCCCGGCGTGGTGGCACACTCCTGTAGTCCCAGCTACTTGGGAGGCTGAGGCAGGAGAATCACTTGAACCCAGGAGGCGGAGGTTGCAGTGAGCCTAGATCGCGCCACTGCACTCCAGCCTGGGTGACAGAGCAAGACTCTGTCTCAAAAAAAAAAAAAAAGAAAAAGAATAATACCAACGGGAAGAAGGAGAAGGAAACAATTAACATAGTCATAAATATATACACATAACAATAAATGAGAAAATATGCAAAGCTACTCTAGTCCTCATTTCTGTAACTGACCACAAGGCCATAATTTATATCTATGATTTCCTTCTTCCACTACCCATTCCGAATCTTCCCTACCCTCAACCAGAACCTCAGCTAGTTGGGGTTTTTTTTTTACCAGGAAGAGAAAGTCAAAACTTCATTCTTGAATGATAGGAGCCCTCAATTATCCTGCCTTTTTTGGATTGATGAAGTTCTCCATTAACCTGTACAGTTGGGCTTGGAAGTACTAAGAGGCACACCCGCAGAATCCCCTTAGTTCCAGACATAGCCCTCCTGTCCCCATCGTGTAGAAGCAATCCAATTTTTCCGTGGAAACCAGGATCAATCATTCCATCCAAAAGAGTAACCCTTTTATCGGCCTGTTTGATAGGTGACGTAAGAACCCCAAATGGCTAGAGGCAGTCTCATCCTTCCATTCATTGGAACCAACGTTGTGTCCTCTAGGATTCCCCCCATCCTTGCCTTAGGAACAAAGATATCCAAGCCAGCAGAGTTCAAATTTGCAAAGACAAGAAGCAAACATTCTCCAAGTGGGTGATTAAGAATAATAATGAGAGGAGCCTGTACCAGTTGCCATTTATTGCTTCTGAGTTCCAAATCCACCCCTCATGGCCTGCTTGTGAAACTAGAACGTTTTCTCTTGCAAGTTGGCATGGTGTTGATTTTGTCAATAGATGGCACTGGCAGGATGTTGGACACTCTGATTCCAGAGTACTTGGCTTCTTCTTGCATTCGGTGGTGTGCAGGACACTCAGTAGAGCACACCGCTGGTGATAGCAGCAGCCCTCCCATATCTGGCTTCTCAAAGGCAGGATCTATAGAAGCCCCAGCTCACTTCCACTCATCTTCCCAAAAATGGCTTCCTATCCTCCCACCCCAAATACTCTGAGAAACTTCTTGGCAGCCAGTGCTCCAGCTGGCTTCCCAGCAAGTTCAACAGAAACCCTCACAGGCAGCTTCTGAATTTCATCAGCATCTCAGCAGGCATGCCCACTAACCTTAGCCCACTGTGGGGAAAAGCAAGAGAGATCAGATTGTTACTGTGTCTGTGTAGAAAGAAGTAGGCATAGGAGACTCCATTTTGTTCTGTACTAAGACAAATTCTTCTGCCTTGAGATTCTGTTAATCTATGACCTTACCCCCAACCCCGTGCTCTCTGAAACATGTGCTGTGTCAAACTCAGGGTTAAATGGATTAAGGGCTGTGCAAGATGTGCTTTGTTAAACAGATGCTTGAAGGCAGCATGCCCCTTAAGAGTCATCACCACTCCCTAATCTCAAGTACCCAGGGACACAAAAACTGCGGAAGGCCGCAGGGAACTCTGCCTAGGAAAGCCAGGTATTGTCCAAGGTTTCTCCCCATGTGATAGTCTGAAATATGGCCTCGTGGGAAGGGAAAGACCTGACCATCCCCCAGCCCGACACCCGTAAAGGGTCTGTGCTGAGGAGGATTAGTATAAGAGGAAGGCATGCCTCTTGCAGTTGAGACAAGAGGAAGGCATCTCTCTCCTGCCCGTCCCTGGGCAATGGAATGTCTCGGTATAAAACCCGATTGTACGTTCCATCTACTGAGATAGGGAAAAACCGCCTTAGGGCTGGAGGTGGGACAGGCGGGCAGCAATACTGCTTTGTAAAGCATTGAGATGTTTATGTGTATGCATATCTAAAAGCACAGCACTTGATTCTTTACCTTGTCTATGACGCAAAGACCTTTGTTCACGTGTTTGCCTGCTGACCCTCTCCCCACTATTGTCTTGTGACCCTGACACATCCCCCTCTCGGAGAAACACCGACGAATGAATAAATACTAAGGGAACTCAGAGGCTGGCGGGATCCTCCATATGCTGAACGCTGGTTCCCCGGGTCCCCTTATTTCTTTCTCTATACTTTGTCTCTGTTTCTTTTTCTTTTCCAAGTCTCTCGTCCCACCTAACGAGAAACACCCACAGGTGTGGAGGGGCAACCCACCCCTTCAGCCCACCATGAGACCATCTCTGGGCTGACAATCCAGTGAAATTTTCTACCATCCAATAGGCTGCAACTACACCCTCCTCAAGGGTCTGAATCCCAGCTGTGGAGAGGATCCTCTCTTCCTTCTAAGTTTTGGGCCTTGTACATTCTCCTTCACTTTAGTGGTATTCTTTAGAGTTCTCTTTTATTCCCCCTTAGTTAATCTCATATGTTTTCTGTATCTTGATTGAAAATTGACTGACATAGAACCACTCCCACTTCCACCCCTGATTAATGGACCCAGGTATTCTAACAACAAGGAAGGTAGCACTATACAATGGTGCCTGATTCAAAGCATATATTGCATCCTTTCAGGGAATGTCTCCCAAGTGGTGCCATACCTGAGCCTTCAGTAAGCCATTCCATCTTTTAATTAGACCGTTCACTTCCAGGTGATGAGTGATGTGGTAAGACCAGTTAATTCCATGGGAATCAGCCCACTTTTACATTTCCTTTGTTGTGAAATGAATTCCTTGGGAAGAGGCAATTCTGTGTACTATACCATGATAGTGGGTGAGACATTCTATGAGTACATAGATGGTGGCAGGGACAAAAGAATCACAGGCAGGGACATCAAATATATCTCCAGATAATGATTCTATTTCAATAAGGAAGAATCTATGCCCCCTACATGATGGGAGATGTACAATGAAATCAAGATGAAACCTGGTAGATGACCAGTCTATCCAGGGAATGGTGGCATACTGTGGGCTCATGTTGGTCTCTTCCGTCAGAAGATTGAGCACCCAGCAGTGGCAGTATCCAAAGAAGTCCTTAGGAAAGGGATGTTCATGTTTTTAAGCCCAGGCATATCTTCCATCCCTGCCACTACAGCCACTTTACTCATGGGCCCATTGGACAAGCATAGGGACAGAGGAATAAAGAGGTTAACTGATCATCACAAAGCATGTTATATTGCTCACCTACTTATTGAAAGCCTCCTCTGCAGTGGATGCCCTTTAGCAAACATTCACATGGGACACAAATCTTCACAGTCTATGCCCATTCTGAGAAGCCCATCCACATGACTCTTCTGCAGAATTCCCCCTCTTCCATCTTCCAGTCCTGTTTCTTCCAAGTCTCTGACCAACCAGCCAAACCATACCATTAACAACTGCTCATAAATCAGTGTAGAGCCATACTCTGGCTATCTCTTATTCCAGAATGGACAACCAAATATACTGCTTATAAGATTTTCCCTCACCACTGTATTTCAAGGTCACCCTAATGGGGCTGTGATACCTCAGTCTTCTGTTTTGGTTGGTATATCGGACAGCACCATCTGTAAACCAGGCTTGAGTTTTCATTGTTCAGCAACTGGTCATAAGGAGCTCCCCACGAGGCCATAGGCATGATTTGAGGGGGACAAGGCAATGCGGCAGAAGTTGATGAGAAAGGAGTTTGAACTACTAATTCATACAACTTACTCATACCTTCCAGGCTTGCCCAAGTGAGGTCTCTTTAATAGCATTCTCATTTGATGATAGATTGCTGCCACACAAAGCTAACCTTATAACTAGTTGCGTCAATAGAATCTCAATTAGGAATCTTAGGCTGCATGGTCACTTGATGTCCCAGTTAGGCACCCAGTCTCTACCACAGTCCAATAGCAAGCTAGAAGCTATTTCTCAGGGGGGAAAAAAGTAGTGTCTGAATAAACAGGAATAGATTTACTTTAGAATCCTAAAAGTTTGCATTGTGATTCCCCTTTAGGGGCTTAGCTGTGACTCCATACAGCATCCCTACCTGCTGTGGACAATTTGAGAATCACTGGATCTACTGGATCATTCAAGTGGTAGAGAAACTTTTTCTGAAGCCTTAATTTGCTGCAGAACCTCCTTGACTCAAGACTGGAAGCCTTATGGAGATTTTTGCTCATGAGTCAAAGTTACACACGCAAATGTGACATATGTTGCCTCTAAAATCCAAAATGCTTACCAAGTGCTGTGCCTCTTTTTTAGCAGTATGTAATGTGCAGCAACTTGACTTTCACCTTGGAGAGACATATCAACATGTTCCAGACCACTGAACCTCAGAAACTACCGAGACAGCAGACCTCTGAAATTTTGTGGGATTTATTTACCACCCTGACATTCACATATGTTGTACTTGCTACTGCCTGTTCATCAGGCATAATCAGCTCATCATCAATGTAGTACACCAGTGCAATGCTTTGTAGAATGTCAAAATGATCATATTATCTGTAGACTATATAATAGGAGAAAGCAAGAGAAATTGACTTGGTTCTGAGGCAAGACTGTGAATGTGTACTGTTGGCCCTTCCAGGTAAAAGCAAACTGTTTTTGATAGTCCTCACTAATTGGTACAGAGAAAAATGCAGTAGATGGGTGAACAGCTGCATACCAAAGTGGTATACTGAGTTGCTCCAGTAAAGATGCTCTATCTGGGGCAGCAGCTGCAATTGGTGTTACCACCTAATGAAATATACAATAATATAGTCATTCTCCAAAACCCTTCCAACCTCTGCATAGGTCAAATAGGCAAGTTAAATGGGGATGGGATAGGAATCACCACCCCTGCATATTTCAAGGCTTCATGAATCTCTGAAATTTCCCCGCGGATATGGAAGTGCTTCCAATTTGCTATCATGGCAAAGAGAGGAAGTTCCAGAAACTTCTATTTAGGCCCTTTCTTCCATGATGGATCTCATTCCATAAGACAAAGACCCAAAATGGGGTCTCTTCCCAGTGAGAGTATGCCAATTTCACTTATACATTCAGAAACTGGGGGAATGTCCAACTGAACACATTTGGGCTAAATATCTATCACCTGATGATCTAAGTCAAGACTTTGAATGGTGGACCACAGTGGCATTTTGCAACCCCAGGAATTATCATAAATTCAGAGTCAATGTCTAGTAATCCCCCAAAGGACTGGGTACTTTCTTTCCCCAAATGCAGTCATTCTAGTAAGTGGCCACAGGTCCCCTTGGAGAAGGCTTGGAGGAAGTTTGGTTTTTTTTAATTATTTTTATTTCAAATGTTTTGGGGGCACAAGTCGTTTTTGGTTACATGGATAAATTCCTTAGTGGTGATTTCTGAGATTTTAGTGCACCCATCACCCAAGTAGTGTACACACACCCAATATGTAGTCTTTTGTCCCTCGCACCCCCCAAACCTTCCCCACTGAGTCCCCAAAGTCCATTATATCATTCTTACACCTTTGTATCCTCATAGCTTAGCTCCCACTTATAAGTGAGAACATACAATATTTGGTTTTCCATTCCTGAGTTACTTCACTTAGAATAAGGCAGGCATGGAGGAAGACTTATGGTATATACTTATAGCACTACTGCAAGAATCTTCTTCAAAGGGTCTGGCATCCTCCTAAATCAAGATGGTCTGATCTGTGAATTGCTTTAGGTCTAGAAACTGGATGAGAAGCCGTAACTGCAACAGTCATTCCAGTCGGGTTTTGGGCACCAGTGCTAGAGTTGTGTTTGTTCATTTGTTTTTCTGTGATACAGATCAAGCAGTGCTTTAGTAGGCTATCTGTCTATTTCCTTTCTAGGGACAAAGTGGTCAATTAGTCACCACCAAAGATCCCTATGGGCCAAGGCATTCTAATTACAGGCACATCCCTGCTGCCCTTTATGGCGCATCATCCATATTGTCTTTGGTTATTAAGCAATTCCACTTAGCCTCTGCAGCTCCAGGATGCTATCGTCCCCATGAAATCAAGAAGTTCACAGGAATGATAGCATAATCTATGGTAATAACTGGACTATGAAGGTGAACATCCACAGAGTTTCTTAAGGATGAAGGTTCTCCTCTCAATAATATATTTCTCAGTGCCTTAGTTAAGAAGGTGTCTTCCGAGAATTTTCATGGAACATAGTTTGCAGGGGTGGTTGTGCAGGTCACACATGATAAATTCACTCCAACATCCTATCTCCTTAAGCCTTTGGACTCCCTCTTCCACATTATGCCATGGAACCTCTGGCATTTCAATTTCATTAAATGTAAGCCACCTTCAAGTCCAAGTTTCAGTCAACCAACTGAGTAAACTGTTAGAGCGAACTTCAGTTGCACAACTTAACACATTAAATACCAAATCCACATCCATGAATTCAGAATTATTACCTTCCACCCTTAGAATCAGCTCCCATAAATATTCCCTGAATTATGTAAAATCTTGCCATTAGCAAAATCTTGCCTTTCTTCTGTTGTGTTGCCTCGTTCTGCATCACAGTGAGTACCTGTCCCCTTGGAGCATGCTGAGATTTGACCCTTGTTATGGATCTAGTGGTAACAAAGCGTGCTTGTGGCATCTCCTGAGGATAATGGTCATGCTATCTCAAGGCATCTGCCCCATATGAGGTTATCTCCGCATTTTCAAACAAAGGAAAACTAACCTCCTCAGATACAAGAGGGGAAGATATTTCCATTGGCAAGGGAGGCTCAGAGGGCCTCAGGGAATCAGGATTCTCCATTTTATCTGAGTCCAACCAGATGTCCCTATTCCAAGTTTCAAGATCACATTCTTCCCTGATTTATACCCAAACTTTCACATGAAAAACTTGTGATGCTATAAATTTAACTGACATTTAAATTCTGCCACCCACACAATTAAATTTTGTGTTTGGTTTTGAGCAATATCAGCCCTGTGGCTACATGAAATATGAGATTCTTTTACGGATGACATGGAAGCTCTGTGGTCCTCAAACTATGATTTGAGCTGAGAATTAAATAACCTCAACTTGTCTTTTCTTTTCTAGTAAGTGCTCCAGTGCATGCAAGATTCATCCCACACCACAGTCCTTGCGGGCATCATTACTGGTGTAATCATGGTCAGGTGCAGGAGTCACCTGAGTTCCCAAGACACTTGCTCCAGTTGGCATTGCACCAAAATCCATTACAGGTGATAGCAACATTATGGTGCCATTATGCTGTAGATTACAAGCATCCCATTCCCACTGGCAAGGAACTCAGCATTGTGCTCCAGCCCAAAGGCACAATGAAACCTATCAAAATCTCATCTTTGCGGGTCTGTCACCTGGGACCATTCCTGCTCTCAATTCCTTATCAATTAGGATCCAGTCAGGAGACAGAGCTCACACCCATAATCTGAACGTGGAAATTTTAATATAAAGAATTATTATCTAACAAAGGATAGTTAATTACTAAAAAGGGTAAAAGAACACTCTATGAGACCCAGAAGCAGCACGTGCAAAAAAGTAGCTACTGTTTCTAGGCTGAGGGAAAGTGAATAATGAAGGAAATAGGGCCTCAGGAGAAGGTGTTCCCCCTGACTCAGACCTCCTCTATGAGTGAGTGATGACCATGAGAACATGCAGCCTCCAGTGGCTAAGAAACCTGCCAGGGAAAGTAAGCTGGCTCAGTCTGTGGACATGGCCGTCTTTGTGGGAACCTGATCCCACATGGGTTCAGGCTGGTGTCAAGTGTGAGTAGGGCTGGTCTATAGAATCGATGTCCAGGTGGAGAGAGTGAAGCCTGATGGTTCTTTCCTGTTATACAGAAAAGACGTTTGGAGCTGGTCCACACAGGCCACTGAGATGATAGCACTGGGCCTTGGCTCCTGTGCTGGAAACAAAAAGATGGAAGGAGGACCAGAACCTGGAAGGGAAGTGCCTTCCCGCTGCAGAGGGACCTTACAGTGTCCCTCTAGCGCCCTCTCCTGACAAAGCCTAACATTGCTCTAGCTGGCACAAGAGAACTGTTCACAGGGTCCAGCTCCAGTATTACAAAGCAGGGCAACGAAGGATGTATTTGGAGCTCAGAGACAATAAATTAAGAACTGTCATGGGCGAGAGAGGCAGACATGGAAGGGAGCAAAGGGTTGATTGGGGAAGAGGCTAGAAGGGGAAGAGTTGCTATGCCTTTTGTAGGGAAAGGAGCATGCATGGGCTGGAGCCCTGGGGAGCAATCCCAGCCCTCTTCAAAGAGAGAATGCAGTCACAGAATAAACACAGCTCAAGAAAGCCACATTGTTCCACTTTCAAAAGAATAGAAAATAAAATTCCTGGACAGGTTCCCTCTTCCCACTTCTGGGAGTAAGTAGGGAGTGGGTTGAGATACATTTCATTTTTCTTCAAAAGGCTTTCTCAGCTCCTGCTGACTCAGGCCACCTCCACCCTCTGCAGATTCAAGACATTCAATTGTCCAGTCACTGGCTTTTGCTGCAGGCCTACTAGATGCCCAGCCCTGAGCCCTGTTTGACTGTGGGCCTCAGCTAAGCCTGTTTGTGGCTGTGGCTGAGCCTAGCTTGAGTGAGTGTTGAAAGGGCAGACTGGTTCACGGACAAGAGAAACTTCCAGCAGTTAATGTGGTTCAGGTTTAGATCTGCCAGTATTTCTCCAATGATTATAAGAGCAATGGTTTGGAGTCAAGTGACATGGCTTTTAATTCTGTCTTGGCTCTTTTCTAGCTGTGTAGCCTTAAGCAATTCACCTCAGCTCTCTGAGCCTCTTTCCTCATATATCAAATTGTTTTGGTAACATCTGTCTCTCAGGATTTCTGGGAAGATTAGGGACAATGTCCACATTAGGTATAATGCAAGGACCTGCCAAAGTAGGTACAGAGGTCCATCAGACCAAAGCTCAGACTACACCCAAGATTTCATCAGGCTCAGAAAGCAGATGCTTAGGCCAGTGGCCTGGGCACTAATGAGCAATGCCAGCCCCATTGTCTCTGAGGGATGTTGAGCCCATTGCTCTTCAAACAGGGATGCATTAAGAGATTAAACACAGCCCAAGACAGCCACATTATTCACTTTGAAATGAGCAGAAAATGACATTTCTGGTCAGGGTCCCTCTTCCCATCCCAGGGAGAGAGTAGGAGGTGAGCTTAGACGAGTTTCCTTTTTCTTGAAAGGCGTTCTCAGCTCCTGCGCTCCCGCTGACTCAGGCCACCCTCACGGTGAGAATGCAGCAGACTAGGATGATCAGGCAGTGTTTCAAGCCGGCCCTGGACCTGGAGAGGCTGTTGATGGTGAGGCACAGTGGAGATGAGCCCAGCTAGGGCAGGGTTGGGAGAGCAGCCTGGCTGAGGGTTGAGAGCAGCCTCAAGCAGCTGGTGTGGTGCAGGCATAGACTGGCTGTTGTTTGCATGAGCACCGGCTTTGGAGTCAGTCCCAAGTTCTAGTCCAGAGACTGAATCTTTTCTAGCTGTGACATTGAGAGCTCTGCCCTCATTTCTCTGAGCTTCAGCTTTCTTGCCTGCTAAATGGGCTTGGTGATACCCACCTCTCAGGATGCTGGGGAGATTAGGAACAGTCTGTATTAGGGACAATGCACAGCAGTCACTATTGTGATCACCAGGACCAGCCAGGGTGGGGGTGCAGGCCCATCAGACTAAAGTCAGTGTAAAGCCACCAGCCTCAGACACCCGATGCTTAGGCCAATGGCCTGGACCCCACTGAGCAATGTCAGCCCCATTGTCTGAGGGATGTTGAACCTGATGCTGTCCTACTTAGAATGAGCTCCTAGAAAGCACCTAGCTCTGCCTCCTCATGGACAAATCAGGAGACTGAGCCCCAGATGTTTGCTCAATGCCACACAGCATGGTGGTAGCTGAGCCAGCATTGGAACCCAGCCTCATGACTTCAAGCCATGTGGTCATCCAAGGACTAAAAATTATGTGCTTAAGAGTATAGGCTTTGGAGCCAGACAGACCTGAGCTCCAGTCCCAGCTCTGCAACTTTCATTCATTCAACAAATACTCGTTGAGTTCTTGTCATGTGCCAGGCACCATGCCCAGTGCAACAGACACAGGAGGACAAGACCTACATGGCCCTGGCCTCTCGCTGCTCAGTCTGGTGAGAAGAAATACCCAGTGAATGAACAAGCTCATCACCCACTGTGAGAAAGCAGCAAGGCACAGACACAGGATGGGCCCTGAAAGACACAGGGACAGTGGGTGCTGGAGGGCCACTCAGGGCATTCAGGGAGGGCATCTCAGGAAGGGGACATCTGATCTGGGAACTGGACACCAGGCAAGAGCCAGGTATGCAGGACCGGAGAAGGGTGTCCATGCAAAGAGCTCAGAATGATGGGGGAAGAAGAGCCTGGAGTGCGCAGGAGCGTGCAGGAGGGACGTGGACAGACAGGGTAGAGCCAGGACAGGTGGGCCTCAGAGGTCATGGTCAGGAGCACAGTGCTCATGCACACAGCAGCAGGAGGCACTGGAGGGTTTGAGCAGGTGAGTGATGGGATCTGGCCTGTTTTTTCAAACGATCACACTGGTTGCTGTTGTTTGTGTGACCTTGTTGGCTCTCTGACCTGGGGCAAGTTGCTTAAGCTCTCTAAGCCTCAGTCTCCTCATCTGTAAAATGGCGATGATCATAGTACCTACCTCACAGGTGGAACTGGAGACTGACATATGACAGTCTACAGAGAGCACTGAGCAATGTGCATTTCAGTGCCGAATAAAGCTTTGCTTTCTTACATCCCCACGTCCAAAGCCCTCATCCTCTACCTGCTGGCCATTCATTGCCTGACTTGAACCTGTTGATCCTGCCTATGCAATGACTCCATTATTTCTGCACTGCCCTTAGCCATGGGGATGTTGAGGCCAAAGCTCATTAAGCTCCTGTCCATCAGAGGTCACCGGGGCAGGGGGAGGTCCATGGAGCCCAGGGAGAGAGATTGGCCAGGCCCTGCTCCCAATGAGGGCCTTGCAAGTGGCCTTGGCATCCATCAATGTCACGGCTCCATCTCCTGGGTGCCTGGGATATATAATGCATCTCAATCAGGGGCTGAGAGAGGTTGTGTGAAGTAATCATTGCTTTCGCTGACTCCTACAGCCAGATTTATTATGGTATAAAGAAACAACTTAGCTTCTGGCAGTAACAGGCAGCTGGCCTAGCTGCACTTGTAGAAATCTTATTTGCTGGGGCCTGGGTGGGTGGAGGTTTCTACCCACACTTGCTCA
Organism: Homo sapiens; assembly: GCF_000001405.40. Lineage (NCBI taxonomy): Eukaryota > Metazoa > Chordata > Mammalia > Primates > Hominidae > Homo > Homo sapiens. Next base: position 29,329,134 of record NC_000001.11, on the reverse strand, counting down.
GCCAGAGGCCCTGGACAGAACCCGGCTGGACCATTCATCTTCCTGTGCTCCTGGCCACCTTGTCTGAGAGGCCGCCACCTTGTCTGAGAGGCCGCCACCTCTGACACATTTCACAGCATTTGAAAAGCAGTGCTTAGGCCACAAATTCCCCATCTGGTATTACACCGAGGGGATCCTTAGGCTTTTGGGCCAGGGAGGCCACAGAGCAGAGCAGTTAAAGGCCCAGGTGTTGGAGTCAGCCTAAACATGGGTTCAAGTCCCTGCTCTGCCATATAGTGGCCAGGTGACCTTGGGTGAGTAAACTCACTTCCCTGAGCCTCCATGTCTTGTCTCTAAAATGGAGGGGTAGGAATCCCCCCTTTAAAGAGCTGCTGTATGGAGTAAGGAAGAGCCAAAGGGTGTAGGACACATAACACAGGAATAGGCACTAGATGAAAGGTGATCGTCACCATTTTCATTATCCAGGGGCTTCAGTATTATGGCGTGAGATGCCCTTTATTGAGGGTCAATTATGTCACCAGGGAGTATGCTGGTTCCTTTTAAATATTTTGTCCCTAGACCTCACAACCAATCCTGCAGGTAGGTCCTGTTATGTTTATTGCAGGGTTGTTAGGGGATTGTGCAAGGTCACCCGACTGTGGGTTGTGGAGCTGGGGGCGGGACTATGGGTTCTGGAGCTGGTGCTCCTCCTAATACAGAGCCCACCTCCCCAGCTTCTCTGAGAGGCCACACAAGGCCCCTGGTCAGTCGGGCAGGCAAGTCCAACCTCTCCTTCCTTCCCTCCCTCGTGCCAACATTTCCAGGGCACTAGCTCCATGACAAGCCCCTTACTGGGCAATGGACACAAGATGGCACAGAAATACTCCCTGCCCTTGAGGAGCCAGCACCGAACAGAGCAAAGGGCCGAGCCGCATCCAGACTGCTCCGCACGCGTGTGTATCAGTTAGCAAAAACTAACTGTGTATGTAACAAGTGATTTCAACAGACTGTCTTCAAAAAAAAAAACCATTTATCATCTCTCCCAGTTCTAGGGGTTGGTTGGGCAGTGTCTTCTAAGCTTAGCCATGTGGCTACACTTACCTGACAGGTCAGCTAGACTGGAAGGTTCAAGACAGCCTCACTCACAGCCTGGGAGTTGCTACTGACTGTTCATGGCACGCGCTGGTTCTCCTCTGTGTGCCCTCAAATCATCCGGTAGGTGAGACAGCTTCCCTTGTATAGCAGAGTTCCAGAAGAGCAAAAGCAAAAACTGCAAGGCCTCATGAGACCTGGGATCCAGAACTCACACGCCATCACTTCTGCCCATGCTATTGGCCAAAGCAAGTCATATTCTATCGCTTGGCCAGTACCCGTGACACACATTTGTGATGCATCGCGTAAGGCTCAGAGGTCAGCTCAGAATGAGGATGAGGGGGTCAGTCTGTGCCCTATCCAAGTGTGATCCTAACTGGCCAATTAATTTTTAACTCAGATTAAAGTATGCTGAATTGTGAGGTCATTAGAATGGGTTGTATCCTCTGACCAATGGAGAAACTGAGGCACAGAGGGTCAGCCAGTGTGCAAACAGAATGAGTACATCATAGAGTCAGCCTTCATATGAAGAAACTGAGTTCCAGAAACAGGAATTGTCTTGTCCAAGGTCAGGCAGCAAGCCTGTGACAGAGTCAGGAGTGACCCAGGTCCCTACCAGCCAGCCTGCTCCTCCTCCCTCTCTACCCCATGGAGGCGGCTGGGGCTGGGAATGGGCTGGGCTGGGGCAATGGGACGGTCATCCCCAGCAGGGCTGTGTCTCCTCTGCCCCCATCTCTGCGATGTTTGTAAAGTAAGCCCTTTCAACACGCTTGGCACTACATAAGGCACTTAATCATTACCTCATCTGATCCAAACAGGACTGTCCCCACTTTACAGATGATAAAGTAGGCCCCAGAGAGGGCACTAACTTGCCCAGGGTCTCGCAGCTGCTGGGCCCATCTGCCTGACACCAAAGCCTGAGCCTCCCATGCTGCCCCAGAAAGAGCTGAACCTGATCCAGGGCCCCCAGTGGAGTGAGAGGCAGCTCTGTGGCCCTCAGGGATCTCGAGTTGATATACCCTACCTGAGGAACTGCTTCAGAGGCCTGGATGGGGACAGCAATGGCCAGGGTCCCTTGGAACCAACTCTGAAAGTGGAAGGACCCTGAGTGATGTCCTGGTCCACACTCCCACCATTTTACGAATGGAAAAACCAGGACCAGATCAGAACCCAGGCTTCTCCAGGGCCCTCCCACTGCACTGGAGGCTGGGGGCAGGTGAGCAGGCCCCGTCAGGCTGGTGAGACACACACAGGGCTGCTCTGTGGCATTCAGAGAGCACGTTTATTTACAAAGCGCTTTACAAACATCAGCTTATGCCTCCCCACAGCCCCCTGCGAGGTAGGTCAGTAGTCATATCTACAGTTTACAGATGGGGAAATTGAGGCACGGAATGGGGGTGTGGCCTGCCCCATTTTAAAGAGACCTTCCCACCCACCCAACCAAAAATAACAAAAGAAACAAAAAAGCACTGGTCCTACCTCTTCCTCTGAACTCCAGAGGGTATGACCAGCCCTGCTCTAACACTGCCCCTCCCCACAACGGGCAGCCTGACCAGGAGCCACAGGGGCCTCAACCCCAGGGGCTGTTGTTCAGCCTTGCAGATTGTCACTGGCCCAAGCTGAGCAGGACAGGCCAGTGAGGCCTGAAGATTAAAGGAAGAGGGGGGCGAGGTGACTTCATTCTGCAACAGTGGGTCAGGCAGGGAAGGAGCCCCCCATGGGGCACAGCAGTAATAGGCAGATCCTGGTTCAGGGAAGCTCAGAGCACATATCAGGGAAGCAAGTGGGGAGGGATAGTGAGCAAAATATCTCAGGGGCTGCAGGGGGCAGTGGGGAGGAGGGCGCTGCAGTTCCCCTGGGGAGGACAGTCAGTGTGCCCCACTGGCTATTCAGAATTGAGACCTGCTTCCCCAGGACCTTCAGGGGCTGGGCCAGATGGAATCCTAAATGCCAAGTCCCAGTACATCCTCTACCCACATGCAGAGGGGGCAGGCTGAGTGGGAACCTTGGCCTGGGATGCTCTCTGCAGGGCCTCACTCATCCCTGCCAAAAGCCAGGATGGTGCCAAGGGGCTTGGCCTGAGTCCCCCAGAGCCAGCCGTCCTGAGCCTTTGTCACTCTGCCAGGCAGCACCAGGCCTCTCAGCACAGGCCTGCAGGACCCTATGGAGGTGGGGCTGGGCTGCAGACTTGCTAAGCTCCTCCTTGGCCCACCACCCGCCCATGGGACAAGCGAAAGGCCCTGCCCACAGTGGAAGGGGGAGCAAGATAGCCCAGCATCCACTCCAGTGCTTGCCCCATGGGAGTGTGTTTGGGCAGAGCAGGAGGCACTGATCTTCCTCGCCAGTCCAGGATGGTGGGTCTGGCCCTGAGTGTGCAGTGGGTGCCCCAGGCCAGGGCCCCGCTATCTTGACTCCAGCCCCTCCAAGTACTCCAGGGCCACATCGTAGCAAAAGTGGTACTGATCCTGGGGAGAGGAAGAGAGGGAGGGAATCATGAGCCTGACCCCAACTCCAGTATTGTGGGGGGAGGGGAACGGGGAGTGAGAGGGCAAGCACGAGCCCGAGCCCAGGCCCGCCCTCGGGGAGAAGGGAGAAATGGGGGTAATGTTTTAGGACCACAGGGCTAGAACCAAGGCCCAGTGGTGGGGCCCAGATATGGGAGAGTGGGTGCTAAGGAACCTGGCCTGGCATGGACCAGGAAGGTGGAAGTGGCTGGGCACGGGACACAGCCCCTCACCATGGTCTCCACCATGTTGGGTTTGTAGTTCCGGAGGGTTTTGGCAGCAAAGAAAACGTCCACCAAGTTGTGGCAGCGGATCATCTCCAGGACCGTGGCGCAGGCGCAGAAGGTGCCGCTGCGTCCTCCCCCGTTTCTGAATGAGAGATGCAAAAGCTGAGGGGCGGGGCCTTGGAACCTGAAGGTAAGAAAAGGGCCAGGGAACCACGAGGGAGGGGCAGAGAGCCTAGAGGAGAGGGACGGAGCTAGGGAATCTAGAAGGGTGGGGCAGAGAGCCCAGAGGTGAGGGGCGGAGTTAGAGAACACAGAAAGGAGGGGCCCGAGAGCCTAGAGGAGAGGGGCGGAGCTAGGGAACCCAGAAGGAAGAGGCCAAAGAGCCCAGAGATGAGGGGCAGAGCTAGGAAACCCAGAAAGGAGGGGCCAAAGAGTCCAGAGGTGAGGGGCGGGGCTAGGAAACTAAGGAGGGCCAAAGAGCCCAAGGTGAGGGGCAGAACTAGGGAACTCAGAAGGGCGGGGCAGAGGACCCAGAGGTAAGGGGCGGGGCTAGGGAACCCAGAGGGAGGAGCAGGACCAGGTTAAGAAGGATCAGAGGCTAAGACATCTCAGAAGACATATTCTCAAGGCGAAACAGACTGCGGATTCTGAGAGAAAGGAGGCCAGACACACTCCAAGAGAAACACCCGGAGAGACAAAGACAGTGACAAAGAAGGGCGGAGGAGCAGCAAGCGCGTACCCAGAGAGCAAGGTGGAACAGGAATGCTGAGAAGACTGGTCACCACCTGGCATCGTGGGCACACAGGCACAAACGTACCCAAACCCCAAGTCAAACCCACAGCCTCCCACAGAGCTCCATCCCCTCCGTGCCTCTCCCTCCTTCCCTGTGACTCCACGTGTGGGGTGCCTCCTGGGGAATGGCAGACTGATGCGGCCCTCACTCCCCTTCTCAGGGGTCTTTCCCACCAGAACCAAAACCCCTGGGGGCCAGACCCGGACTGACTCAGCTCCGCACCAGCTTCCAGTAGGCCCAGCCTGCCACTCGAAAGGCTCAGTAAATGCTGAAAGCATGAAAAAGTGGGGAGCAAAGGAGTGACTGCACCCAGACATGAGTGAATACATGAACTTATGAATGGGGCATGCAGATGGATGGATGGATGGATGGGTGGATGGATGGATGGATGGAAAAAGTCACATGTGTGCATGCATGAACAAAGACTGGAATTCTATTGGCATAAAAGTGTGCCACAATCTCATGGGGTAAAAAATTCTGACCAAGGACTCTAATTAAATTGGCAAAGTCAGACATCACACAGAGGATACTGGGCAGTTGTTCAGGGCTGAGTCTATAGCCTGGAAACTCACTGGATTCCTCCAGGGCCAGCCTTGGCTGGTTGGGCAGCATCCTGGCCACAGCCATCTAAGAGCCCAGGGGTTTCGGTGCCAGCTTTGCAGTCCAGCCAAAGCTGGCACCCTTTCAGACTGGACCTCTGCCCCTGGCTCCCCAACCCCTCCACCCGCCCTCCCACAGGGCAGGTACTCACAGGCAGTGCACGATGGTGCGCCCATCCCCACTCTCGGCCTGCCACTTGTCCACCTCAGCCAGCAGGTGCAAGAAGGCCTTCTTGGAGTCAGGTGTGTCCCGGTATGCAGACCAGCGCAGGAACTGGAAGTGCCGCACCAGCAGGTGCCCCTCCTGCAACTGGGGACAGGGGCAGCCAGCCAGGGAGGACATGAGCACCAGGGTCCCAGGGGCCCCTGATGACACAGAGGGTCATTAAAAGCTGCCCCAGCCACCACCCAGGGTCCTTCCCTGGGGCTCCTCAGACCACTCACCCGAGAGATGTTCTGCACCCGGAAGACTCGAGCCACTAAGTCTTCATCAGCTGTGCCCGACATAAACTCCACCTCCATGAGGCCATATTGCTGCCGGCCTGGCTCTGGCCAGTACTGCAGGCAGGGCTGGGCATAAGCACGGAGAGGGGAGAGCTGAGTAGAGCCTGGCCGGGGCTCACCCCACAGCCATGCCCACCCCAAGGGCTCCACACTTGCCCTGTGGCTCCCACGAACCCTGGCCCACCCACTCACTCCAGACTCACCTTCAGCAGCTCCCCCAATCACCACCAGTTGCCCACAGGCTGCAAGGCCCACCTGCCCCAATGCGTTCTGCACTGACACGTTCAGATCAGCCAAGATGAACCCTTTGCAAACTGCACTGATGCCTACTGCTGTGCAGCTAGAAAGCTACACCTTAACCGGTTCACACGCTCCTACATGAGGCTGCCTGCTTCCAGGAATAGGCCTGGATCACTCCCACCCACCCCAGAACCTCCCCCCAGCCTTCTCTCTCACTGCCTCTGCCCTTCAGCACCAGCTCACAGAGGTGGGGTGTCCCTGATGCTGCAACACAGTTCAGTACCCCCACTTCTGCCCCAGGACCCCTCCATGGAGTCAGGGTCCTAAATACAACCCCCTCCCAGACTCCAGACTGTGGAGGGACAGAGGAGGTACAGCCCTATGACCTAACACACACAAACACACGTACAAATACACACACACATCCTCCAGGCTAAGTATCCTGAGCCTCAGTTTCTAGTCTCAGCTCTGCCTGAAGCCCAGGAAAGGCTCTTCCTTTCTCTTGGCCTCAGTTTCTCCGTCGGTAAAATGACTCCCATCCTCTCCCAAAAAGACACCGTGCTCATCAATCCCCTCTGACCACAGCCCAGGACAGGAGGACACCACCTTCCTCATTTTGCCTCAGGTCCTGGCAACCCTGTGCGTTCAGAACCCTGCACAGGCTGCTCCCTCTCCACGGGTCTCTCTTCCTCCACCTCCTCACCTAGTTAATTCTGCCCTTCCCACACATCTCAGCTCAGACACTACCTCCTCCAGGAAGCCATCGCCGATACATGATCCCCCGGACTTCTCTGTCCCTGTGCCAGCTCTTTCATAGCTCTTTTCCCTCTGTGCTGTCACTATCAGTTTTTCTACCTGTTTCCTCCTGGACCATGAGATCTGGGAGGGGCTGTGTCTCTTCTCCCTCTGTCTCCTCCCTGCCCACTGCAGGGAGCTGTTCATGGGCAAAGTTGGTTGAGCAGATGAGCAAATCAGTGCCCAGTGAACTACATCTCTGTGAGCCTCCCTCTGGGCCTCTCCCCTCTACCCTAGCAAGGATGGTTCCTGCTGCACCAGGGCTGAGGCCCATTATCCTGTAGTCCTGGGTCATTTTCACAAAGTGCCTGACTCATAAAGAGCCCAGTTAATGCAATCTTCTCAAGGAGGCCATTAAGAAGCTGTTGTACTCATTTTACAGCAAATCTTCCTAGCCCCCTGGGCCCAGCAGAAAGCTGGGGTGGGAAGGGGTCCAGAGACCTAAAGCACATGGTCAGGCAGGGCTGGAAGGCTGGGTATCTGTACTTCTTGGGAGCTCCAAAGGGAAACAGGGGAGTCAGAGGGGCTGCCCCCAGGCTGAGGTCACTGAACCAGTGTCTGGGCCAATCTCAGATACAACTGTCACCCTCATCATCTTTGTCCCTGCCACATACCACATGCCTACTGTGCAGCAGACACAGCAGTGCCACATATCCTATGCACACCTGACCTGGTCCTCACAATAACCCCACAAGAACAGGTCCTATGATGGCCCCCATTTTACAGAGAAGGAAAGTAAAACTCAAAAGAGGTCAATCAACTTACCCTAGATCAAACAGTCAGAAAGTAGGAGGCTTGAATTGTACTCTACCTCGGAGGCCCCCATGATGGGCGCTTTAGTGGAGTGACTAAAAGAGCAGAAGCTCTGGAATGAGGCAGCTGAGGCTGGGGAGCACAGCTCTGCCCCTCCCCAGCCATGTGGCCCTGGAGAAGGCACTGAACCTCTTTGGGTCTTAATTTTCTCACTGAAGCCTTCCCTCCAAGGTCATTATAGATTCTAAATAAGACCATGAGTGCAAAGCAGTCCCTGGCTTAGCAGGGGGCCAATAAAGAGCAACTGTGGCCAGAGGCAGTGGCTCATGCCTATAATCCCAGTTCTTTGGGAGACCAAGGTGGGAGGATCACTTGAGGCCAGGTGTTCGAGACCAGTCCAGGCAACACAGTGAGACCTTGTCTCTACTGAAAAAAAAAAAAAAAAAAAAAAATCAGACAGCTGTGGTGATGCAGCCTGTAGTCCCAGCTACTCGATAGGCTGAGGTGGAAGGATGGCTTGGGCCCAAGAGGTCGAGGCTGCACAACTTAGTGAGCTGTGATCGCGCCACTGCACTCCAGCCTGGGCAAAAGAGTGAGACCTTGTCTCAAAAAAAAGAAAAGAAAAAGAGCAACTAGTGATCTCCCATCTGACACCCTTGTTTTACAGATGAAGAAACTGAGGCTCTGGGAAGGTGTATGATTCATCACACAATAAATAGATGGCAGAGCTGGGACCCAACTTTTGGCTTTGGGGACCATGGCCCTGAATACACAGAGGACCTGGGAGCAGGCGGCCCATTGGCCTGGCCAGTGGAGGCCTCACCCAGGCGGAGTTGGACTGGTTCAGCTGGTTGAGCATGACGATGGAGGTGCACCCGTAATCGTAGACCAGCCGCCAGAAGTCGGGCGTGGTGCTCTGCAGCGGGTGCAGGGTCACGATGAAGGCCGCACTCCGTGTGTAGCTCTGCAGGGAAACCGGAACTCAGCAGGGCCCTGTTCCCGGCCCCTGGCCTGGGCTGAGCCTCTGCCCCAGGCTGTCTTCCCGCACTGCCCACCCTGAGTTGGACGGTTGTGCCCCACAGGACCAGGCTGCCTCCAGTGGGCCATTTCTGATGTTGGTTGGCACACTGAGGCCTGGGTTGACAGGGTGGGCCCAGGCCTCTGGGGACCAAGCCCATGACCCCCCAGAACTAAACAGCAAAAGTTTCCAAAGGTATGGCGAGGGGAGCTTGGGCATGAGGCTGAGCTCAAGGCAGAGGCTGGCCGAGCTTACTCCCTGCCTCCGCGCTTCGGCATCTGCTATTTTGGCTGCCTAGGCCAAATTTCCCAAATGTCTATATGGCTGTCTCCCTCACTTCCTTCTGGTCTTTACTTATCACCTCCTCAAAGAAGCCCTCCCCCACCACCTCATCAAAAATAGCCCCACACACACCCCAAATCCACATTAAACACTGCCTGGCTGTTTTTGTAGAAATTTCCAGTTGATGACATTTCATTGTATATTTCCTGACTATCCCACTCCACCTGCTAAAAGCAAGGTTCAGGAGAGCAGAGCTTCTAGGGTATGGTCTCCACCCAGAACCCTGTAGGGGCTCAATAAATATTTTGAATAAATCTCTAGGTCCCTTCCAACTCCATAAGTGAAGGGTCTGGGGCCCCAGGCTCTCCAGGCAGTGACAGGCCCCGACGCTGCTCACTGCTCCCTCGTCCTGCCAGGGGGGCTGGCACCCGGCCTTCTCCCATTAAAGATCTAGCTCCCAGCCTCCCCTGGTGACCTGCCCTGCCCCACCCTGTGCCATGTCCCCCCTCCCTTCCCCGAGCTCTTCTCCTGTCCCCCAGTCTTCCTCCTGACCTAGGGGCTGGCACAAGCTCCCATGACCCTGGTCTTTGTCTGGCTTCTTCTGGCCTTGACCCTGACTTGGGCCCTAACCAAATATTGATCTGCCCTTTGTAATCCTGCAAGGTGCAGTGCAGAGAAACAAAGAGCCCCCCTGGTCCCCCAGCGATCTCTCTCCAGGACTCTCTGAAGGCTCCTGATTAACAACTCCTCAAGGCCAGGCCCAGCCAGATTCCAAAACTCAGGCCTGGGTGCCCAACAGGGCTCCTTGCAGACTTGACCACCACAAAGACTCCAGCTGGCCCCTCACTGACGAGTTCAGGGCCTGTCTGAGAAATGGGGCCTCCTGGCTCCAAGCCAATAGGACCTGCATGGCTGGGGTCAGACGTCAGAGGCATCAAGGACCTCAGGAGGGGACAGGGCTGTCTCAGAACTTTTCCACGTGATAACCCACCCATCAGGGCCAGGGAGCCCCAGCTCAGGACCCTCAGACAGTCTCCTTTCCAGGCCCCCAATGTGCAGATGGGCACACCAAGGCCAAGGAGGGGGCTGGGCGGGAGGGCACAGCTTCCTAAGTTTAGTTCAAAGATCTTCCCGGTACTACATGCCACCCCTCCAGGACCCCTGACCCCTCAGCAGGCCAGATGTCCCCCGGCGAGCATGTGGGCACACACATTCCATCCACCAAGCTGAGTGACAGTGACTGATGGGCCCCTCACATCTCTCATCAGTGGCTAGGGCAGCTCTTCCCCTCCCCTTCAGCTGACACCCGGAAGCCCCCTGGGTGGTTACCCTCTTTAAAGAAACCCCGCTGTCCCCCGCACTGTCCTGCCAAGGAGTTCCTGGCCAGGCATCAGGCCGCAAAAAGCCCATCTCCCTCTTAACCGCTGTGGGAGAACCTTCCCCATCGGCATCCCTCATTTCCGCGTGGAGAGACGCAGCAGTGACACACCTGGCCCTGGCCCATCCTTCACTCACTCCTCCCATGAGCGAGGCTGCTTGGCTCCACTCCTTCCTCTTTTTCCAGGCCAGCCTACCCTTGGAAAGTGTGCACTCAATTGCTCCTGCTCCCTGCCAGTAAAGGCCAGTCCCTGACGGGGAGGGGTGGCCTGCGGTTGCACGGCTATATCGGGGAGGGGTGAAGGAGCGGCCCACCAACTGGCCACACATCTCAAACTCCATCTCCAGTTTTATCTATAACATATGATCTCCACCCGTGTGTCTCCTGTGTCTATATCTGAACTGGTTCCAGTGTGGCAGAGGAATAGGGATAATAATCCTAGACCCTTCCCGCCTCAGACAGCAGCATCTTGGAGCCATTTAGCAGGGGACTAAAATGCCAGCACCCATCTCCTGAGCTGCTTGCAACCCTCAGTAAAGGAGGCAGAGCCCCTGAGCTTGAAGCAGGGAAAGAGACTTCTAAAAGGCTCCTGAGCCCTCAGAGGGCCCATGCCCACCCAGGGAAGAATGGGGCCAGAGATCACTGTCCCAGGCCTGGTCCTGGAGCAGACTCCAGCTCATTCTCCCCAGGACAAGCTCCCCTGCTTCCAGACATCAGGTCTCGAGTTCCATCCCCAAACCCTCGAGGTCTCCCCAGCCAAAGTCCCCTGAATCACTCATCCTACCCCAGGCTCTGCTGGGCCTAATCTTGGAGACAGCCCTGCCTGAACTCCACAACCAGACCCCACTGAGGCAGAGTGTGGGGGGCACTGGCTTGAATGCCCTGAATGGAAGCTCCCTAGGAGTAGGAGGGTCACACACAGGCCTGTTCCCCAGAATGGGCAGGGGTCCCCCCAACAGAGCCTTCAGCTTTGTTCCCGTGGCCCCTGGACCTTCCCTGATGCTGCTGGGAAGGGGAGCCCCAGAGCCCACTCCACCCCAAGCTCTCACGTCAGTCAGGGCTGCATTAATGTAGTTGTTGGAGTCCCCATCAGTGGAGATGAGGAAGGGCAGGCAGCGGTCGGGCGGCAGGACGTCCATGCTGCGGTTCTTGTCGCGGTTCCGGGGCAACAGGGCGATGCTGCACTCCTCCACGTCCAGCGGCGGGGTGACCGAGTTCAGCGTCTACAGGGAGCGGGGGTGGGGACAGAGAGTTACGTCCAGGGCTTGCTGGGCCTCCTCACATCCCCATGAAGGAGGCTGGACTGAGTTACTAATCCCATTTTATGGATGGAGAAACTGAGGTCCAGAGAGAAGGGTACAGGGCACGGAGCCAGACTCCCTGTCTCTAGGCCATTATAGGGCCTGGATAGAGCTCTAGAGACCAGAGTCTACCTCCTTGCCACCCACATAACCTCAGACAAGCTACTGCATCTCTCAGCCTCAGTTTCCTCGACTGTGAAATAGGGAAGTAATATGCCTACTTCATGGGGCTGCTGGGAGGCCAAAGTGAGATCATGACAAGCACTGGGCTGAGCTCGGCACACACGGGCACAGTGAGGAACTTTACTAGCTGACCAGTGCCTTCACTGAGGCAACCCCTGAAACCCCACACCCTCCAAGAAGCGGACTCCAGGCACGTGGAGAGGGGGTCACGTTCCTTGGTCACGGCCCTGTCTGAACAGAATGAAGTCCTAAGCACCGGGCACTGAATCACACCTGGATCTCCGGGGCATCTCCTCCGCCCGCATGCCTTCACACCTCACGCATCCAGACCCAGGGGCTCTCAGTTTCTTTCTCTTGTTCTTGGAGATCCCTCACAGGGAACCACAGTCTATCATGATCCCCAAAGCCTGACACCCTCCTCCGGGAACCCTGCACCTCCTGTGAGAAGTGCCAGGTCCCCAGCACGTGCCATCCTGCTGAGCCACTGCAGGAACCCTGGAGTGGAGGGGACTTCTGAGGTCTCTGCCACCCAGTGATCGCTCTCAGGCTTCTCTGGAGAACCAGCCTTTTCCCATCTCAGCCATGTGATATGGTGAGGCTGGTCCTGCCCCAAGAGCCAGGCCTTGGGCATGTGACCAGAGCCAGGGGCAATCAGTGAGCTCCACCTCTCCAACCTGTGACTGGTCCAGGGATGGGAACATGAAAGTCTGATCTAGGACTGTTGGGGGGATGCTGGGAGCAGCAAGCGCCTTTTTCCTAAGTCACCAGACAATAGAGATGATGGGAGCCCAGCACTGCTGGCGGCCAGGTGCAGGTCTGAGAATGAAGCCAAAAATAGGAGAGCAGAACCAAGGCAGACAGAAACCACCTGTTGGCATCATCATCTGAGCCCCTGGATCCAGCTACAACTGAAGCTGCACGATCCTCAGACTTTTCAGTTATAAAAGCTGGATTTTCATCACTCACAACCAAAAGAATCCCAATGAATACAAACACCCCAAGGGACATATTAACTACTTCTCTTCTCTGGGTAACAAAACTGAGGCTCAGAGAGGTAAAGGGAACTGTTCAAGGATACTCACAGCTCTTAACTAGGTAAGCCAGGATTTGAACCTGGGTTTATCTGACTTCAAAGCCTGGGCTCTTAACTGCTTTGATGCACCCCATCTTCCGCTGTCCCAAAGTCCTTCCTGGTAGCTCAGCTCTGTCCCTCCAGCTGTGGCCTCAGGCTGGTCCCTGCTTCTTGGCCCTCAATGACTCCTGCAGTATTAAGGATGCCCCAACACACACACAGACACACACACACACACCTATACACACGCACTCATCCCCCACCTGGAACTCTTCCCGCAGCTGGGAGGAATTACTCTGAGGATCAATGCGGATCATCTCCTTGTAGGTGGCCTTGAACTCACTGACAGGGATGGTGGTCTCCCCACACAGGCAGGCCTCCAGGATTGCATCATGAATGAAGATGTACTGCTCCTGGAACAGGAGATGAGAATGAGGCCGAGGAGGGGCCTAGAAGCTGGAGATCTGTGGTGATGGGGCTTAAGCAAGCTCAAGGTTGAAGCAGGGTGTCCTGAGGTGGAGGCCAACCATGTTACTACAGGCTGGACCAAGCCTACCTGAAACAACCTCCATGGACATGCCCCTTTATCTCCTATTTCATCCCTACCCCCTATAACAACTCTGTGAGTGCTCTGAGAGGTGGGGGACAGCTCACGGTCACACATCCACTGAGGATGCAATCCCAGGTATGTCAGCTACAGGACCGGTTGTCTGACCCCACCCAACAGAACACAGGGGAGCAGTTCAGGATGACCCTATGCAGTTGGCGGCCCAAGGTCAGGGATGATCTGAGGGAAGGCAAGAGCCTCAGGACACCCTTTGGGCATGCTCTGCCGGCTCCAGGATCCTTCACGAGAAACTCCAGTCCTAGAAGTAATAATGGTGGGGACAGGGCCAGGTCCCCGCACCTCAGTCTGGATCATGTTGACACGCCGGGAGCAGAGAGTCTTCACACAGTTGTAAATGTCCACGACGCCCTCACACTCTGCCATGTCCAGCATCACATCCAGGACGATATAGCAACCTGTGCGGCCGGTGCCCGCGCTGGAGAGAGAGCAGCCCCAGACCAGGTCAGAGCTTTGGGGAGGAAGCCCGGGACTAAGGAGAAGAAGAGAGGAGGGCACTGGCCATGTCTACACCATACAGGGGACACGGACACAGAGATGACTGCCCCTCCCCGAGTAAGGAGCCAGGACGCAGGCTGCTGGATGGAAGAGCTCTAGTGAAATGTGCTAGAGGACAGAGATGGGATGGGCCTCAGGGAAGGAGAGGAGAGAGGGTGGGGAGAATGCAAAGGTGACACTGGCTCAACCTAGCAACTTAAGATTAGGAGAGAACAGGAATGATGATCCTCCGAGCTAATTCAAGAATGTTCTTTCCTCCTGAAAACCACCAAATCTCCTACACATCCTTGAAAAGCCCACACACTCATACCCATTCACATACCCACTGGAGCATCCCTGACCCTTCCAGGATGATGTCATTCTTTTGAGTTCCCAAAGCAACGTGGGCAGGTTTTTATTAAAACACTCTTCGTGGCCAGGCACGGTGGCTCAGGCCTGTAATCCCAGCACTCTGGGAGGCCGAAGTGGGTGGATCACTTGAGGTCAGGAGTTCGAGACCAGCCTGGCCAACATAGTGAAACCCTGTCTCTACCAAAAAATACAAAAAATAGCCGGGTGTGGTGGCACGTGCCTGTAATTCCAGCTACTCAGGAGGCTGAGGCAGAAGAATCGCTTGAACCCGGGAGATGGAGGTTGCAGTGAACCAAGACCACACCACTGCACTCCAGCCTGGATGACAGAACAAGATCCTGTCTCAAAAAAAAAAAATTAATTAATTCAATAAAACACTCTTCCTGCTACATGGTCATTGTTTATGTGGCTGTCTCCCTAACTTGACTGGGGGCACATCAAGATCATTGTCCTCACGCAAGGTTGTGCAGAGCTGAGGGGGAAGGAGAGTGGACAAAGATGACAGCAAGATTTCAGGTTTGAAAACAGTGGCATCCACGTGCTAGCGAGGACATACAGCAACTGAATACCCCAAATACCCCTGGTGGGGCTTAACTTAGCACAACCCCCTTGTAAAACTGCTCAGCAATATCTCCTAAAGCTGAACGTTCACACAGATAACAGTTCTACTCCTACGTACATACCACACAGAAAGAAATACATTTCTTGGCCAAAAGACATACGATCGAATGTCCTTAGCAGCACTACTCATAATAGCTTAAGACTGGAAACAACCCAAATGCCTATCATGGCAGAATGGACAAACACACTGTCATTTATTCACTTGATGGACGATGATCCACTGTGGACGAGCCTCACAAACCTAAGGCTCAGGGAAAGAAGACAAACAGCAAAGAGCACATGCTGTATGATTCCATTTATGACAAGTCCAAAAACATGTGCAACTAACTGCGCTTTAGAAGTCAGAATAGTGATTTCTCTGGGACTGGGGATGGGGGAATTCAGGCCAGAAACGGGTTCAAGGGGGCTTCTGGGAACTGTTCATGTTCTGCTCCTTTCTTAACTTTAAAAAAAAATTTTTTTTTAGAGGCAGAGTCTCGCTCTGTTGCCCAGGCTGGAGTACAGTGGTGCAATTACAGTTTACTGTAACCTGGAACTCCCATACTCAAACAAACTTCCCACCTCAGCCTCACAGGTAGCTGGGACTACAGGCTTGTGCCACCACAACCCACTAATTTTTTTATTTTTGTAGCAATGAGGTCTCACTATGTTGCCCAGGCTGGTCTCGAACTTTGGGCCTCAAATGATCCTCCCACCTTGGCTTCCCAAAGTGCTGAGATTACAGGCATGAGCCCCTGTGCCCAGCCAATGTTCTGTTTCTTAATCTCAGTAGAGCTGGTTTTTTCACAAGTGTGCTCAGTTTATGAAAATTCATATTTTTAAACATATTTCTGCACTTTGCTTTAAGTGTATTATATATCAATAAAGTTTTGTTTTTAAAAGATGGCATCTTAAAGAGGCCTAAAGAAATCAAAGAGAAGCTGGTTTAGGTGGCAGGGCAGGGAGGACGACTCTACCATGCGGCATTTGGGGAGCTGATAAGAACACAGTAGAGGAACCGCAATGAGACACAGAGGCCATGGACAAAGCCACAAAGGTTGGGGGTTACGCTCTCCAGGGGGAGACAGAGGGCAGGCCAGGACAGCGTACTGGGTCCCCATTTAAGAAGCAAGAGAAAGATGTGGAGCCAGGGAGAAAGCAGAGAGAGGAGGGGCAGCTGGGGTCACGGGAGCCAGTCAGGGTCTGCAGAAGGTGTGAAGGCCAAGGGGTAGGCAAGGCCCACTGGGTTTGGTGGAGAGAAGTGAAGTCCTTCCCACCCCCAGGCCAGGCCTAGCACGCGGCAGGTGTGCAACAAAAAGCTGCTTACTGAAAGCAGGCAGAACTCAATCGTGCCTGGCGCCTCAGCGGCCCGGAGGCCCCTCCCTATCTCCAGTGCCTCCTCAGCACCTGGGTCAAGGGGCTTCACAGGTCTTGGGGGGCACATGAAGATGCCAACCTCAGAGCCAAAGGCCAAAGGGGACAGGGCCTTTGGGGGTCGTTCCCTCCTGCACTCCATCTCTAAGCAGGAGAACCCAGGCCTGGTCCCCACTACAGATCCTGAACCAACCTGACCCCAAGCCCAAATTCCCAGGGAGAAGGGCCCCTTTTCTCCTTGGGATTCCCGGTGCCCCCACCTGCAGTGGATGACAATGGGCCCGGCATCAGGTGGGGTGGAGGCCTTCACGCGCCGGATGAAAGCCAGCAGCCCCGTGGCATGGTAGGGGACGCCATGCTCTGGCCACGCTGTGAAGTGGAACTGGCGGACCTCGTGCCGGGCAGAGTAGCCTCTCTGGGGAGACAATGGGAATAATAATCAGAGTCCCTGGCAGCATCTGTCACCATTAGACACCTGCTGTGTGCCAGGCACTGCAGTAAGCATCTCATTGTATAATCTCAACTAATCCCAATGATCAATTTACTGATGAAGTAGGTATTAATGTCCCATTGTACAAACAAGAAAACTAAGGCTCAAAGAGGAGAAACCACTTTCCCAAGGTTAGAGAAACCAACAACATGCAGGATTTGGACAATGGTCTGCCTGATGCCTAAACCTGGGCTGTGAAATACTCACCTCTGCCACCAGGTTGTTGTGTAAACATATATCATTTTGACTCCCAGGGTCTTAATTTAAAGGAAAAAAAACTATCTTTCCTCTGAGGACTTTACAGAGCAGATCAAATGGGATCGTGGACAGGACTCGCTGGCCAGCCACTGACTATGTGGCCTCTCCTGCCTGGCATAAGCCCTCTGAGCCTCACTTTCTGTATCTGGGCTAATCACACGGAGCTTTCCAGGACTGAAACAATATTTATAACAGGCTCAGCACAGAGTAGGAGCCAGCACCTGGCAGATACTGTCACCCCCTTCATTGTCTCAGCTTCCTCCTATGGGCACCAACAAAGGCAGTGACCTTCCTGCCCTTCTAGAGTGCTCCCAGCCAACAGTGACCAAGTAGCTTCCTTGCTGGGATGGGCAGTGGTGCGCTCCTCACCCTCCTGCTCCCAGGGCTGGGGGAAGTGGGAGTGGGCTCTAATCCCTGCTCAGGCACCCTCTGCAGGGAACAGGCGGTGGGGAGACTCACCCGCTCCAGGGCAAAAGTGCGCACGACATACTCAGCCAGGGTCTCTGTCTTCACCAGCATAATCTTGATGTCCCCGTAGGTGTCTGAGTCCTCCGGCCAGTACCGTGAGCATTTCACCTAGAGGCCCCACAGGACGGGACTCAGTGGGCTCTTTGCTGCCCCCTTGGCCTGCCATGCGCCCCAGCTCGCCCCACAGCCCGGCTTACCCTGCCCACCTCGACCAGCTTGGTGATCATGACGATGCTGGAACAGTGCTCCTGCCACACCATACGCCAGAAGTCATAGACCATCTCAGGCTTCGGCCCTGGGGATGCAGGCAGAGGGTGCCTGTCCCTGAGACAAGGTCTCCACCCCAGGTCAGCACATCCAGCACCATCCAGCACCACACCCCAGGCCAGGAGGCCTCCTGAGCCCCAACGGGGGCTTCATGCTGCCCACAACACCCAGCTTGCAGCTGACGCATGCCTGTAGGGCCCTGAGGTTGGGTAGCATCAGGAGAGGGCCTGGCTAAAGAGCCCGCTCATCCTGAATGGGACCCTGGAGGAGGACCAGATGGTTGGGCAATGGCATGAGTGTCCAGGAGGGACAGACAGATGGACAGTCGTGGAAAGGGATGCAAACAGAAGAATCCAGGCAGCCACCAGACCGAGAGGCCCAACCCACACCCATGAGGCCTGAGCCCAGCTGGCCCTTTTACAGACACCACTTTGGAGACAGGCAGGTAGACCAGGAGCAACAGATGGACTGAGCACATCAGGGAGACACAAACACAAAGAGGGGACAAAGGCAGTTGGCCAGATTCCAAGAGATCCAGCAGAATCGGGAGCAGATGAACAAGCAGGGAGCCAGAATATGGCGACGGTGGGGAGACATTCAGGAATCAAGCGGATCAGCAGGGGAGGCAGAAAGGCAAGCTGAGGGCATTCCAGCACGCTGGGAGGCACATGGGAAGGCGCATGTGGGCAGAAGTGCCAGGTACCTTGAGTGGCTATGAAGTGGTTTGACCTGTGGTAACCCTGGAACAGGAGGAGAGGGCACGGTTAGACCCCAGGGAGTAGCCCCTCACTCCCCCACACCTCCTCTACCCTCCCCTCCCAGCAGCAGAACCCCTACCCCACCAGGGAACTGCTCCCTCACATCCCTAGGACCTCCTAAGCAGGATGACTTTGCATCCCCCCAGGTCCCCAAGGAAGTGGAGAAGTACAGCTGGGACACCAGAGTCGTGGGCTTAATCCAACCTGGGCTGTGCAACCCCAGGGAGGACATGACTCCTTTATGTGCCTAGAGGGACCCCCCACCCATAAAGTGGAGAGAGGCATCTGCTTTCAGCCAGGCTGTTGTTCGGAGACAGAGTCCCCAATGGCCCTGCCCTGTTCCCAGGGTTCCAGAAGCTCTAATCAACCCAGATCCCACACGTGGGATAACCAGAGCTTGTCAGTTATCTTAGCCCCCACACTTGGGATAACCAGAATGGACAGTACCCCTCCCCCTTACTCCTCAGTCACTCAGAGCGTGGGGGGCCTAGATGAGGGCTTCAGGATGGAAGTATATGGGCACAGACATTACTCATGGCCCTTGGATAAAATGTTAAAATCTTTAAGATCAATAATAATGACCCTGTTATGGTCACGTACTGTGCTAAGCACTTTACCAGTACCACCTCCCACGAGAGAGAGGCCAAGAGCTACTTCATCCTCCATCCCCAGAGCCCCCAAGCTGAGGAGAGAAACCTGCCCTCCGACAAGCCACCCCAGGGCCACAGCCACCCATGAGGTCCTGCCACAAGGCCTCATCTTTCTGAGCAAAAGAATTCACCAGATACCAAGGGCATCAATGCGGGCAATGCGGAAAGGGGAATTAGTACTGCAGGGCTGGCGCTGAGAAAACTAGCCCAGCCCCCTACCTCAAGTTTACACCCTCAACACAGCTCCCAGCAACTCCTCCGGTCTCGTGAACTTCCCAGGCCTGAGGAGCCCAGGGGCCAGACTGCCAAGGTTCAAATCCCAGCTCTACCTCTCACTAGCTGTGTGCCTTTGAGCAAAAACTCCTTCATTTCTCTATGCCTCCATTTTCATGTCTATAAAATGGAATAATTACAGCATTTACCTCTGAGGGCTGTTGTGAGAAGCAAATAAAGTAGTATGTTAAATGTCTGCCACTGTGTCTAGCACAAAGTCAGTACTTATTCAGTAATAGCCATTATTATTACTACTACTATTTTAAAGCTGAAGCAGTATCCTTGAAGATACAAATGAATCAAGTGTATCAAATGGAAGTCAAGAATTGCTGGGGCAGAAGGCGATTG
Organism: Homo sapiens; assembly: GCF_000001405.40. Classification (NCBI taxonomy): domain Eukaryota; kingdom Metazoa; phylum Chordata; class Mammalia; order Primates; family Hominidae; genus Homo; species Homo sapiens. The sequence goes on along the minus strand of NC_000001.11, from coordinate 29,309,454 downwards.
ACTATGGGGTGAAGAATCTGAGTCTTGGAGTTGAATGGACCTGGGTCCCTGCCACAGCTATGCCGAGCAGTAGCTGTGTAACTCTGAGCGCTGAGAAGGTGCTTCTCAGTCTTTCTTGAGACATAAATCTCCCGGGGGATCTTGTTAAAAGGCAGATTCAGATTCAAAGGTCTGGGGTGGGGCCCGGGATTATGCATCACCAGCTCCCAGGTGGTGTCCATATTGCTGGCCTCAAAACATCCTGAGTAGCCAGGCTCTTGGCCTCTCTAAGCCTTTGTTCTCCTCTGCAATATGAGGATAATAGCAAGACAAACACTCAGAGATTCTGCTGGATACCTGCTCACTGTTCCCACGAAAATGACCAAAACATAGTCAAAGTGACTAATGACGAAAAGCCTCCCAGTGACTCTCAGCCCTCAGCACTGGAACTTCTCCACGTCTAGCCCAATTCCCTCCTGCTGTCGCTCCATGCCACTGTCTCCACTGCAGCCTCGACCTCCAGTGCTCAAGCAATCCTCCCACCTCAACCTCCCAAGTAGCTGGGACTACAGGCACAGGCCACTACATCCAACTAATTTTTGTTTGTTGGTTTGTTTGTAGAAATGGGGTCTCACTATGTTACCCAGGCTGGTCTAACTCCTGGGCTCAAGCAATCCTCCCGCCTCAGCCTCCCAAAGTACTGAGATTACAGGTGTGAGCCACTGCACCCAGCCAAGAAATATATTTTTTAAAAGAAAAAGGAGACAAAATGGAAAAAGCACCCACAAAATAGCAAATAATCACCAGTCATTAAATATTATGAAAACAGTATATATGTATTAAAAATCCCCAGCCTAGGCAACATAGTGAGACCCCATCTCTCTCTCTCTTTTTTTTTTTTTTTTTTTTGAGACAGGGACTGGCTCTGTTGGTCAGTCTGGAGTGCAATGGCACGATCTCGACTCACTGCAACTTCTGCCTCCCAGGCTTAAGCAACCCTCCCACTTCAGCCTCCCTAGTAGCTGGGACTACAGGCATGAGCCACCACGCCCAGCTAATTTTTGTATTTTTTGTAGAGGCAATCTCACTATGTTGCCCACGCTGATCTCGAACTCCTGGACTCAAGCAATCTGCCTGCCTTGGCCTCCCAAAGTGCTGAGAAGACCCCATCTCTTAAAAAAAAAAAAAAAAGGAAAAAATTAGCCGGGCATGGCAGCACACGCCTGTAGTCCCAGCTACTCAGGAGGCTGAGGTAGAAGGATTGCTTGTGCATAGGACTTCAAGGCTGCAGTGAGCCATGATCACACCCCTGCACTCCAGAGCAAGAACCTGTCTCAAAAAAAAAGAAAAAAGAAATCAAATTAGAGAATAGCTAGATGAATTAGGGTAGTTTTTTTAATTTTAAAAGGCTAAAAAATGGGCCAGGTGTGGTGGCTCATGCCTGTAATCCCAGCACTTTGGGAGGCCAAGGCAGGTGGATCACCTAAGGTCAGGAGTTTGAGACCAGCCTAACATGGTGAAACCCCATCTCTACTAAAAATACAAAAATTAGCTGGGCGTGGTGGTGCATGCCTGTAATTCCAGCTACTTGGGAGGCTGAGGCAGGAGAATCACTTGAACCCAGGAGGCAGAGGTTGCAGTGAGCCGAGATCGTGCCACTGCGCTCCAGCCTGGGCAACAAGAGCGAAACTCCACCTCAAAAAAAAAAAAAAAAAAAAAAAAAAAAGCATAATATTTAAAAACAGACTATCCAAACTGCTTCCACCAAAAAACATTCAAATTAAGGCTAAATTGAGGGTAAAATGGTCGGGGTTGAGTTTCAGGCAAACTGATCATGAAGGTATTTGAACACTAGGGAAAGTAGTTTTAGGAGGCTGACCTGGGGCTGTCCAAGATCTTGACCCTTAAGCAGCAGAAACAGGGCCCTCCAGGGCAGCTTCCCCTGCACCCTCCAAAGGGTCCTGTAGAAGGTGCAGCTAGGGAGGCTAGGGAGGACTCCTTGGGAATGGCGGAGCCAGGGAAGGAAGGTGACAGACTGTTGTGACCAGTGCAGAATGGGCAGGGGAAGCACCCCCAACACTGCTGCCCCTGCTCAAGGCAGTGGAGGATGGGAGGGAACTGCTTACAATAGGAACACTCTCGAATCTTCAGCCCTGGGCAGCCCCTGGCCAGGCTGCTGAAATGGACGGTTGGTGCTGGGCACATAAGTAGAAAGGAAGGACAGAGACAGAGAGACAGACAGCCAGAGACCGTGAGAGAGTCTGAGATACAGCCAGTCAGACAGACAGGAGGAAGAGGAGGAGGAGGAGAAGGGGAGAGAGATACTTACTTCTCGGTTTATCCGAATCTTAATGATTCCAGTGAGGAAACAGTACAAAGCAAAAGAGACAGATATTAGGCCAGGGGCAGATGGAGGTGGACGGAGCACAGGAGTGGCCAGAATGGGCGATGTGAGCAGGGCAGGCAGAGCGGAGACGGGCAGGCCGGGCTGGGCTGAGCCACAGAGTGGGGAGTGGCATGTCCCTGCCAGGGCCCAAGAGGAGCCAACTGGGACCTTGGCAAGACCAAGGAGAGGCCCGCTGTCACCAAAGCTGCCCAAGTCTTCCAGGCTGGGCCTGGCCCTGACTCCAACCAAGGGACAGGATGAGTGGGGGAGGCAGCAAGGGATTCTGGGAAACATGGCATGGCACATCTGGCCCCAGGAGGAGGAGAAGAAGAGGGAGAGGAGAGGCCACCTCCAGAGACCCTGACTACCTCGGCTCCCAGACCTGTGCCTTGCTCTGCCTGGCCCCCCAGGCCTTTGCTTAGGCAGCTCCTCACCCGGGACACTCTTCCCTCTCCTCTCCAGCCACCCAGAGGCAGCTCAAGCCCTGCTTCCTCCACAAAGCCCGCCACACCAGCCCTGGCTCTGCCACTAGCCTGCTGTGTAACACTCAAGCTGTGTGATCTCTCTCCTGGCCTGCACTTGCTCATCTAATCTGAAGTTATTTTGATTTGTAAACATGTCTATCTGTCTCACCCACTCAAATAGATATGTTCAAGGAAAGCAGAGGCCATGACTGTCTTGTTCACATCTGTATCCCTGGTGCCCAGCACAATGCATGGCACAAAGGAAGTGCTCAAAATATATTTCATACGTGATTAAATGATGCTCTCCCAAACTTGGTTTGCTGTAGGGATTAGGGGCCCTGTCCCGCCTCGCCCCTCTTCCACACCTAGGAAGTAGACTCATCACCTCTCTTTGACACCCAAGCCCAGGCCTCCTGGCTGCCTGCTCTGTCTCTGGCCCCTCCCTCCAATCCATCCAAGTCCTGCTGCTGCTGCAGCAGGGGGCAGGACAGCCTCACAGCAGCAAAGGCTTTAGAGACACAGACAGGCTGAGATTTGCGTCCTTTCTTTACCACTCACTAGCTGTGCAACCTGGGACAAGTCGCTCCACGTCTCTGAGCCCCGGTTTCCTCACCTGTAAAGTGAGGTCATGGTGCTAACTGCCTCAAAGGGTGGGTGGAGGGATTACAGAAAAGGAGATCTTGGGTGTAAAGTGCTTAGCACAGTGCTTGGCACTCAGTACGTGCTGGATAAATGTGCGTTATTATTCTTAAAGGACCACTCTGATCATGGTCAAAACACTTTAACAACTCCCTGGTGCCCCTAGGAAAAAGCCCCCACTCCTGAGCCTGCCATTTGAGGTCTTCACAATCCAGCCCCTGCCTACCTCTTCAGCCTCATGGTGCACGATGAGAATCCCATTCTCCATGCCTCCCGCCTTCCTCACCTCTTGGCCTAGCTGTCTGCCTCTTCCCTTTGCTTTGCTTCTCTAAAGCACCTCATCTCTCAGGCCAACTCCCACCTACAGAAAGCCTTCCAGAAGCTGCTGCTCACTGTCCTCCCTCCTCTGAGCTCCCTGGCACTGACTGCAGAGATAGGGGCACTCCGAACTCAGCCATTTGAACCCCCATTTATCCCGACAGGTTTCTGCCCTGCCTGGATAGTAAGCCTGGAGCGGGCAGGGCCAGGTCTGCAGAAATGACAGGGCAAGGCACTCACATCTATGTAGTTGGCATTAATGTAGTCGGCATTGGGGTCTCCCAGCATCGGGTGCAGTTTCACTCGGTGCCGATCATCTGTAAACACAGAGCAGGTGGGCAGGGGCTGAACTGGGGAGCCCAGAGCTAGGCAGTCAGGGAGGGATTCCTGGAGGCTAGGGGATAGGGCACAGGCAGGGCAGCCAGGGAACCTAGAGTCTCAGGGCTTACCAGTAGTCTCTGGGCACCATGGGAGGCAGGACACACCAGGGGGTAGAGCCTGGGCTATGGAGTCAAGGAGGCCTAAGAGTGTATGCTGCTCAGGCAATTACTGGCTCTGAGACCTTAAGCAGGAATCTTAATCTCCCAAGCCTCAGTTTCCTTATTTGTAAAACAGGGATTATAGTATTTCCCGTTTCACAGGGAAATTGAAGGGAATAAATGAAACAAGCACAGGGCGTGACGTGTGGTAGGCCCTCAATAAAAGGTGGCCAATGCTACTATCATCTCTGAGGCTGCCCCAGCTCACCCTGGCTGTGTTCCCCCTCCTGATGCCCTCCCACCCACTGCCCTGGACCCCAGGCCCTTCCCCAGGACTCACAGGCAGGCATTGGCTCCTGCCGGCTGCCCTTGACCTTGTCTTTCTTCTTTGTGGCGTCCCAGCCTTCAAAGAAGCTCTACCAGAAAGAAAAGTGGTGGTCAGTGGGAGAGAGGGACCCTCACTGAGGGCCCCTTCCCCTCAGTGGGGATGATGTAGGCAGGATGGGGGTGGGATGATAAGGGCCAGATTCAAGCTGAACTTGGGCCTGAGATAAAGTCACTGTGTCACTGTGGGTCCTTTTATCAGCCAGGGACCAGGGTCAAAACCAAGGCATGTGGGGGGAAGGGAAATGAGAAAAGAGGAAAAGAGGGCCAGGGTTCAAAGACATTTTGGAATAAGGGTCAGGCTTAGAATAACGGTTAGAAAGAAGGTAAAGGTGAGGTCAGATTTAGATTAGGATAAGGGTGATGTCAGAGTCCAGACAGAGGTGGGATGAGATCCAGAGTTCAAATGGAGCTTAGGATGACAGTCAGGATCAATGTCAGGCTGGGATTAGGTCAAGGTCAGTGTCAGTGGGCAGATTCAGTTTAGGGACAGAATAAGGATCCCGATCACAGTCCACATAGAGATGGAGACGAGATTCAAGGTCAGATTTCAAATCAGGGTTAGCATGAGAGTGAAAAACCAAATCAGTCTAAAATTAGGATGAGGGTCAGAGTCGAGGTCAAAAAGGTTGAGTTGGAAACTGTCAGAGCAGGCGTCCAACCAGGACTAGGCTGAGGGTTGCCAGGGTCAGAGTCCACAGAGAGTAAGAGCCAGGTGAGGCCTCTGCAGGGATCCTGCTGGCCCGGGGCCGGCGTGCACCTCATACTCCTGCTTGAAGCCGTAACCCTCGGCCGTCTTCATCTGGTTGATGTGCTGCAGAAGGTCTGCGACACGCACCGCAGGGTGCAGCTGCCCCGTGTGGTATGGGGAGCCCTTCCGGCCACAGGGACGCCTCGGGGAGCCCCCCAGGAGGCTGCTGGCCTCAGTGACCCCACCGCTGCGCTGGTCTCCTGCAGTCAGAGAAAGACAAAAGGGTTCTTGACACACATGCCCCAGCCTCGGGGGTCCTGGAGAGACTGGGGTCTATGGGGGTGGGGAGGCACAGCCAATGCCAAGCATAGCTGGGTTGTTGGCTGGAGCCAAGCAGCCTAGCCAGGCCCACCCTGTGTGGTCCTGAACACATTCCCTCCCTCCAAATCTCGGTTCCACCTGTAGAATGAGCCGGTCAGATCAGGTGGCCTCCGAGGGCCCTTGCGGCCCTGCCTGGCTAGATTTCATTATCCCCTCACTCTATCCAGCGAGGCTTCACCATGCTACCTGCAGAAGGCAGCACTCCGCAGAGCCCATGACAGCTGCTTCTTCCTCCCCCTCTTCCAGAGAACAACCTGGAACACTGGCAACTCCCAGCAATTACCCCCATTCAAAGACAGGCAAATCAGAAATTAGCAGCTGCTGCCAACCCCTCTGCAGATTAACACCAGGCACCCGAATAGGCGCCTTTCTCCTGCGCAGGCAGTTCCACCGTCAGCCTGTGCGGGGCCGCAGCCAGTGGGGGAGTGGGTGGAGAGGTCCACAGCTCCTCACACACCCTGGGAAACCATCCTCCCCCGAGCCCCCAGGACCACCCCGTCCCCGGCTGTTCTGTTCAGCATTCCCAAGGACGTCCCACTCTGGTCTTGGAGATCAGGTCCTGGGACTGAGAAAATAGCCACACCCGCCTTGGGACACGCACGCCCACTCACTCATTTAATACTTATGCATCGCTTAACAACAGGGATGCATTCCGAAAAATGCATTGTTAGGTGATTTGGTCTTTGTGCGAACACCACAGAGTGTATTTACACAAACTCAGATAGTAGAGCCTACTCCATGGACCTGGGCTGCACGGCATAGCCTATTGCTCCTACGCTACAAACCTGTACTGAATACTGTAGGCAATTATAACACAATGGTAAGTATTTATGTATCTTAACATAGAAAATGCACACTAAAAATACGCTATAAAAATAATAAATGGGCCGGGTGTGGTGGCTCAAACCTGTAATCCCAGAAATTTGGGAGGCCGAGGTGGGTGAATCATGAGGTCAGGAGTTCAAGACCAACCTGGCCAACATGGTGAAACCCCGTCTCTACTAAAAATACAAAAAATTAGCTGGGTATGATGGCACGAGCCTGTAATCCCAGCTACTTGGGAGGCTGAGGCAGGAGAATCACTTGAACCTGGGAGGCAGAGGTTGCAGTGAGCCAAGATCGCGCCACTGCACTCCAGCCCAGGTGACAGTGCGAGACTCTGTCTCAAAAAAAAGAAAAAAAAATCATAATAAATGATACACCTGTATAAGGCATTTACCATGAATGAAGCTGCAGGACTGGAAGCTGTCCTGGGTGAGTCACTGAGTGACTGGTAAGTGAATATGAAGGCCTAGGACATTCCTGTACGCTACTGTGAGCTTTATAAACACTGTATGCTTAGGCTACAATACACTTATTTAAAAATAGTTTTCCTTCTTGAATAATAAATTAACCTTAGCTTACTGAAATGTTTTAATTTGAATTTTTTGACTTTTGTAATGACATGCACATAGTACAGCTATACAAAAATATTTTCTATCTTTATTCTATACTTTTTTCTATTTAAAATTTTTTTTCGTTTTTTAAATTTTTTTTGTTAAAAACTAAGACACACACACACACACACACACACACACACACATACACATTAGCCTAGGCCTGCACAGGGTCAGGATCATCAGTATCGCTGTCTTCCACCTCCACATCTTGTCCCACTGGGAGGTCTTTAGGGGCAATAACACACACGTAGCCGTCATCACCTATGAAAACGTTGCCTTCTAAGACTTGGAACCAACCCAAATGTCCATCAGTGATAGACTGGATTAAGAAAATGTGGCACATACACACTATGGAATACTATGCAGCCATAAAAAAGGATGAGTCCATGTCCTTTGTAGGGACATGGATGAAGCTGGAAACTATCATTCTGAGCAAACTGTTGCAAGGACAGAAAACCAAACATCACATGTTCTCACTCATAGGTGGGAATTGAACAATGAGAACACTTGGACACAGGGCGGGGAACATCACACACCGGGGCCTGTCATGGGATGAGGGGAGGGGGGAAGGATAGCATTAGGAGATATACCTAATGTAAATGACAAGTTAATGGGTGTAGCACACCAACATGGCACATGTATACATATGTAACAAACCTGCACATTGTGCACATGTACCCTAGAACTTAAAGTACAATAAAAAAAGAAAGAAAGAAAATGGTGCCTTCTTCTGGGACACTTCCTGAAGGACCTGCCAGAGGCTGTTTTACAGTTAACTTTTTAAAAAATAAGTACACTCTAAAATAATGATTAATAGTATATTAAATACATAAACCAGTAACACAGTCATCATTAACTATTATGTACTGCACATAATTGTATGTGCTAGACTTTTTTACAACTGACAATGCAGTAGGTTTATTCCAGCTTCACCACAAACAAGTGAATAATGCATTGCACGATGACATTATGATGGCTACAATGTCACTAGGTCATAGGAGTTTTTCAACTCCATTATAATCTTATAGGACCACCATGGTATACGTGGTCCATTGTTGACCAAAACTTCATTATGCAGTGCATGATTGTACGCATGTCCCTCCTCCTGCTCTGGGTGAGGCTGTGAGGGGCTTATTCAACTCCAGCCCTCCCCACATTTTCAAGCCAATCTCTGCCCAGATCTAAGCTGGCAGGGTCCAGTGGGGGACTGTCAGTGGGGCCTAGATAACCTGCCCCCACTCCCTGTGCCTTCACATATGCTGTCCTTCTCCCTCCAAAACTCCTCCTCCCCCTACTTTTCTTGCCTGATGAACTCATACTCATCCTTCAACTCTCAACTGAAATGACCCTCCCGGCAAGAACCCTCTCCGGTGCCTGGCCTAGAATTCCTACTCAGCAACTAACTGGTAGAATGAATGCAGGATCACCAGGAGACCCCCTGATGAGCTCAACTTCCTCAAACTCCAACCAGGGCAGGGAGGCTGCCCCATTGTGCTTGGGTTCCACCTTCCTGTGCCATGGTTTGAAGATGACTTCACCTCATTTGCTTCTCTGCTCTCAGGAACCACGGTCTTCAGCTGCCTATAGTTCAATGTCTGAAAGCAATTGATTCCTATATTTTAGCTGGATTACTGGTTGCTTACAGCTGGATGGCAAATCAAGTACCAGTTATGCCATTGTGGTGGGATGCCCAAACCCTTAATTTTACAGATGGGGAAACTGAGGTCCAAAGAGAAAAGACTGGCCTAATTTGGTGGTTGCCAAAGTGTTTCAGAAAATCGTAGGTATGCAAGATGATTAAGTGGTGTCCCATTAAAAAGAAGAGCAAGAGGAGGAAGAGGAATTCTGTGTTTTAAAGGAGTCTGTGAAATTCTGGTTTAAACAAAAACAAACAGGTTTCTTCCCTGCAAGACCTCTCGGGGCTTTCGGCATGTTTGTTTGCATTTTAAATCTTCAAGAGAGGAGTGGAAACAGCAATGTTTCATAAACATCTTTTGCCACGGAGGGCTTTTCTTGTTTGTTTCATGAAACATCCTCAGGAGAACACTGTGCAATGTAGACACTGAGAGATGGGCTCTGGAAAGACTTCAGATCAATTCCCAGCTCTGTATGTGACCGTGGGGATGTTACCTACTCTCTCCAAACTTCCATTCTCACATGTCAAGTGAAGGTAAAAATTGTTACAATCCAATATGATGATGTAAATATTAAATATAATAATGTATATAAAGCACCCAGCCCCGTGCCTGGCACACAGCGAGCACCTGCAAGGGCAACTGTTGACATTACTAGTCATTTCCAGGAAAGGAAGGAAGCCCCTGAGTGCCAGAAAGCCATGGCAGCTGGCTGACAAGAGTCTTGGTGCTTCTCTGCTGTAAGATCTTGGGTCTGGGACCTAAAAGGCAGCTTGAAAAGATGATTCCAAGGAGTGTCCGTAACGCACCACCAGGCAAGTGCAACAGTTTCAAGAAGAGGGACTTCTGTTGGCTCAAAGAACTCAGAGAAGAAACTGGCGAGATGGAGAAGCCCTCGTGCTCTTTGTGGAAAGTGGGCCGACAGCTCCACAGAGAGCTCTCCTGGCAGAGAAAGGAGCAAATGAGGGTGGCAGAGAATCAAAGAGTTTATCCCAGAGATCCTGAAAGGCTGGCAGCCCTGGCACAGCCCCACAAGGAGGCATGCAATCAGTGCACAGTGGCTGAGGACAAGCAAAAAGTCCCGCCTGGAAAGCCAGAGCCACATCTGGGCAGCTGACAGCTGAGCCTAAGAATAACACAAGATGTTCTACAAATAAGACCACCAGGAAAGGAAGGGATGATGATGTTCCCAAAAGGACCCTCCAATTCCTGGGCCCAGAGAGGACAGGTCCCTACTCTCCTTGCCTATGAGTTCCCCTGTGGGACTTGAGACACACTTCCTACCCCACCCCATCCCCTACCCCTAAGGACCAGTTTGCCCATAGGCCCACCTTCAAAGTCTCCACTTTGGGACTCTCCCAGGCTCTTCCTAGCACCATCGTGACTGTGGAACATCTTCTGTGAGTAACCACTGGACAGCTGATGCTTTATGGGGAGGGCTGAGGCCCAGAAAAAAGAACACTAGGTTTGGAGTCAGAGAGACCTGAATTCAAATTCTGGCTCAAGTTCCTTGACCTCTCTGGGTCTCAGTTTCTTCTTCTGGAAATGAAAATCCTCAGCCCTCCCTCAGTGGTGGCACTTTCCCTGATTCCCACCACCCTCAGATGAGGAGAGGCCCCCAGTTATTCAATGTGGTAGCACCCCAAACTTTTCCTCCACTGTTTGCAATTAGCAAGTAAGTTTCTTTCCTACAGAAGCACAGCCTGTAATAAGAGCTAGCCATATCTAACATATTGAGTGCCCAGCACAATTCTTAAGTCATTTATTCCTTAGAATATCCGTATGGCAGGGGCACTACCATTGTTCCTCTTGTGCAAACGAGAAAACTGAGGCCCAGAAGAGTTAAGCTACTTGCTCATTAAATGGAAGCACTAGGATTCAAACCCAGGCTTGAATCCACCTGACTCTGAGACCCTGCTGTCCCCACTGCTCTCTCTGCTTCCCTGATTAAGGGGCATTGATGGGCATGAAAAAACCTGGCACTTATTTGACAAACAATTTGGCCAACACCGACTGGCACCCACAGGAGTCAATAGCTCCAGACGTACAAGGCCCAGGAGGATCTGAGGGTTTTCGCAGGCAGGATTTCAGAGACAACAGGGCTCATTCCAACACCTTGGGAAGGTTCCAGCTGGCTTTTTCACACCAGCCCCGCCACCAGTTACCCACAGTGATAAGTCCTTCATTTAAAATTTGCATAGAAGGATCCACCAAAATCAACATGGCTTTCCATTCTAAACCACAAAAACCTGGCCTCCACTGTTTGGAAAAGAAGGAAGTGGAAGGCAGACCAGCAAGTGGAGGGCAGAGAAGAATAAAGAGAGAGAATGTGCTGAGGCACAGCTCAGCTCATCTCCTGGACACGTTTTGGTTTTTTTTTTTTTGTCTTTTTTTTTTTGAGACAGAGTCTTGCTCTGTCTGCCAGGCTGGAGTGCAGTGCAGTGGAGTGATCTCGGCTCACTGCAACCTCTGCCTCCCAGGTTCAAGCAATTCTTGTGCCTCAGCCTCCCAAGTAGCTGGGATTACAGGTGCCTGCCACCATCCCTGGCTAATTTTTGTATTTTTAGTAGAGACGGGGTTTCACCACGTTAGCCAGGCTGGTCTTGAACTCCTAACCTCAAGCAATCTGCCTGCCTCTGCCTCCTCAAGTGCTGGGATTACAGGTGTGAGCCACCGCGCCTAGCACCTTTTGAGTTTCCAACCATCACCTCTGCCCAGGCTCAGTGCCCCTTCCTCCTCACCATCAGTCAACCATACCCATCTCACCAAAATGCTGACCACTCCTGCCCAAGGGCATATTTTCTCAAAACTAACAGCACTGATTGTCCCCACTATCCACATAGCAATTAGCCTGGTCCCGACTTCCCTGGGTCAGTCCTGACTCCCCAACTCATCAGTGAATCCCAGGAGCAGAGCCCATGTTTCCTGCCTCTCTCTGTCTCTCAGCAAGACTCAGCGGTTAGGCATGAGCCCACACCACCCTGATCTCCCGCTCTCTCTAGCACCCACTGGAGGATTTAGTGCAGTCACACCTCTCCCTGTCTCCTCCCATGCCTATCACCACACATTTGCACATACAGTGCCTCCTCTACACATGCCCTTTCCTTCCCATCTCTGCGGTCTGAATCCTACCCATCCCTCGAGGTGCAGCATGATGCAGTAGAAACAAATTTGCAATTCAGAAAGACTTGCATTTAAGTCCTGACTCTGCCACTTTCTGGCTATTTAACCTGGACAAGTGACTTCCCCTCTCCAAGCCTCTGTTTCCTGATTTGTAAGCTGAAGGGTTAATAACAGCTACTAAGCAGGCAGGTGCGGTGGCTCACACCTGTAATCTCAGCACTTTGGGAGGCCAAGACGGGTGGATCACTTGAGGTCAGGAGTTCGAGACCAGCCTGGCCAACATAGTGAAACCCCGTCTCTACAAAAAATACAAAAATTAGCCAGGCATGATGGCAGGTGCCTGTAGTCCCAGCTACTAGGGAGGCTGAGGCAGGAGAATCACTTGAACCCGGGAGGCAGAGGGTTGCAGTGAGCCAGGATTGCACCACTGCACTCCAGCCTGGGCGACACAGTGAGACCCTGTTTCAAAAAAAAAAAAAAAAAAACAGCTACTAAGCAGGGTAAAATGGTATAAAATGGTGAAAATTTAATAAGAGAGATTACAAGGAGAATATGATTAATAAGTGCATAACACTGAGTTTAAAAACATAAATAAAATGGCCAAATACCTAGACAAATATAACTTATCAAAAATATAACTTTCTATTTTTAAAAAAATAGAAAGCCTGAATAGTTGTTTAGTCCTTTAAATATACCAAATTAGAACTTTAAAATCTGGCCAGACACGGTGGCTCACACCTGTAATCCCAGCACTTTGAGAGGCAAAGACAAGTAAATCGCTTGGGCCCAGGGGTTCAAGACCAACCTGGACAACATGACAAAACCCTGTCTCTACAAAAAATACAAAAAAAAAAAAAACAAAGTAGCAAGGCATGACAGTGGGCACCTGTCATCCCAGCTATTCAGGAGGCTGAGGTAGGAGGATCACTTGAGCCCAGGAGGTCGAGGTTGCAGTGAACCATGATCACACCACTATAGTCCAGCCTGGGCAACAGGGTGAAACCCTATCTCAAAAAGAAAAAAAAAAAAAAAAGAAAGGAAAGGAAACATCATAATCATCATGACCAAGTTGAATTTATCCCAGGAATTTAAGGTAATTTTTTAAAAATCTAAAAATGTCACTCATCCCATTAGCAGACAAAAGGGGAAAAAATAATTATCACAATAATTGCAGAAAAAAGTATTTGGTAAGTTTAATGCCCACTTAAAACCTCTCAGCAAACTAAAAACTAAAAGGAATTTGGTTAGCCTGATAAAAACATTTCTACCAAAACCCCAAAGCAATCTTCATTCTGTGTTTAAATGTTAGAAACATTCCTGTTAAAGTCAGGAAAAGAAGACAAGGATTCCAGCTACAACCAGTCTATTCAACACAGTACCGGAGGTCCCAGCCAAAAAAACATGGGGAAAAAGAATAAGAAGTGGGAAAGAAAAAACAACTATTTCTTCTGCAAAGGATATTCACAGATCCTTTAACTGCTCAGAAAGCCTGAAACATTCTACAGAGAAATGAGAATAAGAAAGCATATCGAGAAGTATGTATATAAGGCTAGGCACGGTGGCTCATGCCTGTAATCTCAGCACTTCGAGAGGCCAAGGTGGGTGGATCACCTGAGGTCAGGAGTGCGAGACTGGCCTGGTCAACATGGTGAAACCCCATCTCTACTAAAAAAAAATACAAAAATTAGCTGGGCATGGTGGCGCACGTCTGTAGTCCCAGCTACTTGGGAGGCTGAAGCAGGAGAATCACTTGAACCAGGGAGGCAGAGGTTGGAGTGAGCTGAGATTGCGCCACTGCACTCCAGCCTGGGTGACAGAGTGAGACTCCGTCTCACAAAAAAAAAAGAAGTATGAATGTAAGATCAATATGCAATCAAAAATAAACTGCATTTCTCTATATAAGAAATGGAAATGTAATATTTGAAAAGTGTACCATTTGCAATAGAAGTCAAAAATAAAGAACCTAGGGACATCTATCTAAAAAAAGATGTACAAGATTTTATGGAGAGAATTATTGAAAGACATTCAAGACCTAAATAAATGGGGCAATATAAATCACTTTCATGGGTGGAAAGACAATTTCATAAGATGGCGATTCTTCCAAATTGATCTATAAATTCAATACAAAACCATCCAACAAAGTTTTTCAAGAAACTTAAAGAGATGACTCTAAAATTTATAACAAAGAGAATTAGCCGAGCGTGATGGCTCATGCCTGTAATCCCAACACTTTGGGAGGCTGAGGCGGGCAGATCACTGGAGCCCAGGAGTTTGAGACCAGCCTGGAGTAACATAGTGAAACCCCGTCTCTACCAAAAAAAAAAAAATGCAAAGATTAGCCAGGCATGGTGGTGCGCCCCTGTAGTCCCAGCTCCTCGGGAGGCTGAGGTGGGAGATCGCTTGAGCCCGGAAGACGAAGGTTGCAGTGAGCCCAGATTGTGCCACTGCACTCCAGCCTGGGTGACAGAGCTAGATCCTATCTCATTAAGACAGAGAGAGAGAATGAAAACAAAAATAGCCAAGACATCCTTGATGAAGCACAAAGTTGGCACAGCTTCATGTTTCAGATATCAAGACTTAAATAGCCTCGATAATTAGACCGTGTGGTTAGGAATCAACCAAACCAACCAATGAAAGAAACAGGGAACTGAAAAATGATCTACTTATCTGTAGAAATGGGGTGTGCGAGAAAGATGGCACTGCAAATCAGCAGGGAAAGCGTGAACTATAATAAATGATGCTGGGACAGTGGCTTATCACCATGGAAAAAATAAAATCCTTAACTTATACCACCACACACAAAAATCAATTCCAGATGGATAAAGATTTAAATATAAAATGTAAAATGTTATAAGTTCTAGAAAAAAAGCAAAAAATATTTTATAACTTTGGATAGGGAAAACTTCTTTAAAAAACACAAAAAGTAGAAATCACAAAGAAAAAGACTGATGAATTTAAATACACAAAAATAAAAATCTTCTGTTCATCCAAAGACACTATAAATAACCTAGGAAGATAAGCCACAAATTGGGAGGAGATATTTGCAATTCACAAGTGACAAATGATTATTATCCTAAATATATAAAGAACTCCTAAAAACCACTAAGAAAGCAACAGAAAACCCAATAGAAAATTAGGTGAAAGACATGAACAGGCATTTCATGGAAAAAGAGACCTGAATGGCCATTGATGACTTGAAAATACGTTCAACTTCATTAGTCATCAGTGAAATGCAAATTAAGACTATAGAGAATTACCATTTTATACAAACTAATGTGGCAGAAGTGAAAAAGGCTGGCAAATTTTGATCTTGATGTAGAGCAACAGAAAGTCTTACACACTGCTGCTAGGAAAGAAAACAGGCAGAGTTGCTTTGGAAAGCAACTTGGCACTCTTATTAAGCTGAAGATGCACGTACTCCATAATCCAGCAATTCTATTTCTAGAACCTTGTGTGCAGGTGCATCTAGACATCCACATCAGAATATTCACAGCAGTCTCATTTGTGATAACAAGAAAACTAAAAACCAATCGAATGCCCATGGATGGCAGAATGGAGAAGTCAATTGTGATACAGCCATACAATGGGAAACTACGCATCAGAGAAAGTAAATGAACTGCAGCAAAACATCCACATGGGTAAATTTAAATATGATGTGGAGTTAAGTAGTGTGTGATTTCATTTTTATAAAGGATGAAAATGAGCAAAACTATACAATGCGTTGTTTGGGGATATATGTACACATGGTAAAACTACCCCCAAAAGTCCGGGCGCAGTGGCTCACGCCTGTAATCCCAGCACTTTGGGAGGTCGAGGCAGGTGGATCACGAGGTCAGGAGATCGAGACCATCCTGGCTAACACGGTGAAATCCCGTCTCTATTAAAAATACAAAAAATTAGCCGGGCGCAGTGGCGGGCGCCTGTAGTCCCAGCTACTAGGGAGACTGAGGCAGAAGAATGGCATGAATGCGGGAGGCGGAGCTTGCAGTGAGCGGAGATTGCGCCACTGCACTCCAGCCTGGGTGACAGAGGGAGACTCCGTCTCAAAAAAAAAAAAAACAAAAAACTACCCCCGAAAAAGGTAGGAAAATTATAAACACAAATTTCAAGGGAGGCTGGGCACAGTGACTCACGCCAGTAATCCCAACACTTTGGGAGGCTGAGGCGGACAGATCAATTGAGGTCAGGAGTTCGAGACCAGCGTGGCTAACAGCGTGGCTAACATGGTGAAACCCTGTCTCTACTAAAAATACAAAAACTGGCCAGGTGCGGTGGCTCACGCCTGTAATCCCAAGACTCTGGGAGGCCAAGGTGGGTGGATCACCTAAGGTCAGGAGTTCAAGACCAGCCTGGCCAACATGGTGAAACCCCATCTACTAAAAATACAAAAATTATCTGGGTGTGGTGGCGCACACCTGTAATCCCAGCTACTCAGGAGGCTGAGCCAGGAGAATTGCTCCAACCCTGGAGGCAGAGGTTACAGTGAGCCAAGATCACACCACTGCACTCCAGCCTGGGCAACAGAGTGAGACTCCATCTCAAAAAAACAAAAAAATTAGCCGGGTATGGTGGCAGGTGCCTGTAATCCCAGCTACTTGGGAGGTTAAGGCAGGAAAATTGTTTGAACCTGGGAGGCAGAGGTTACAGTGAGCCGAGATCATGCCACTGCACTCCAGCCTGGGTGATAGAGTGAGACTCCATCTCACAAAAAAAAAAAAAAAACACAACAATTTCAAGGGAATATTTACATCTAAGAAAGAGGTAGGGGATATAGCCAGGGAGGTGTACCAAGATAATGTTCTAATTCACCAATGAGGTTCATTGCTGTTTGTTGTATTGTTATGATTTTATGACTTTCATAAACATTACATATTCTCTTCTGTACAAATCAACACTAAACAGAATAAAAAGATGTGGGATGAAGCAAGTTATGACACAGACCTAGTACATAACGGCTGACTCACTATATTCTGTGAATACAAGCACAGCCCTAAGTGATTTTGCACACATTATCTCATTTAGTCTTCACATCGGCCCTACTAGCAGAGGCAATCTGCATTCCCATTTTATACACAAGGAAACAGACATCCAGAGGGCTTAAGTGACTTGCCCCAGGTCACACAGCTAAGAAAGGGAGAGGTAAGCCCAGGTCTGACTCTATATCGGTCTCTCTCAGCCACTGTATCCCCACCTCTCACATAACAGGTGCTCAATAAGGGGTGAGGCCACTCTGATCCCTCTGATCCTACAGCAGCACCTCCTCCTTGACGACTGTCACAATGGACCTTGCATTCCTCTTTTGCTAGCAGAATTCCTTGCAAGCTCCTCTAGTACACAATGCAAAAACGCCACCTGTGCTGGCTCTATATCCAGAAGGTATCCAGCAGGAGCACCACAGATGCTTCACTTTTGGTTGCAGGTGTTACAGAACTCACCTGATGTGGGGACCCTATTGTCTCAGGTTGGGAGCCCCAGAGCCATGAAGAAGGGGTAGGAGGGCCGGGCACTCACCCCGGGTGCTGTAGCCATGGGTGTCCATGAAGGACAGGCCCAGCCGCTCGTCCTCCTGCAGGGTGCTCTGGTCTGTGAAGCTGCGGTCCACGGCGCTCATCATGTGTGTCTTCTCCTGGCGGTAGTTGACGGTGGCCTTGGTCATGTTCACCGGCTTCCTGGAGAGGGGGGTTGAGGGGAGACACAGGCATTGTGTGGGGCTGGACAGCACCCAGAGGTGGCTGGGGAGGCCCTGGAGTAAGGGGACCTCAAGGCCAGGAGCCAGCAGCTGTCCTAGAAGCATCTCTGGATGCTGAGGGCTCTGCCCCCATCCTTCACTCATTAGACCCAGAGCTGCTTCTTCCCTGAAAAGGGCTTGGCAGAGCCCGTCCTAGGGACCTTTGCTAAGGGAAAGGGGTGGAGCAGCAGTGGCTTCAGGCTGGGATCTCACTCCTAAGTTTCACTGGCCCCCTGGGCTTAGGAAATGGGAAAGAAAGTCACTCCAGGGCTAATTTGGTGTCACAGCAGACAGCCCCCTCACCCCCACTGCACCCCAAACTAGGAAAATGGCTGGCCCAGCTCCAGGCCCAGCATGTCCCCACCTCTCTCCTCCCCGTGTTAAACAGGGACCACTCTCCAGACTCCTCCTTCTCCTGCAGGAAGGAGGGACTACACCCCTCCTTCCCCGCAGAGAGTCTAGCTTGTGCTCAGCCAGAGCTCGGGGGCTTCCCCCACGCACAGAATGAACTCCACCCTTGGCTTCTCCCTACTCCCAGTAGCACCTAGGATGGTCCCAGCATAGACCACCACAGACTTGTAAAGAGACCCACAGAAGGTCCAGATTCCCACCACTGCCCACCAGTCCGTCCTGCTGCTCAGAGCAGCAGGGAAGAGAAAGAGAGACCTCCTCTCCCTCCAGGCCCAGCTTCACGGATGAGGATGGCAGTTTGTGACTTCGAAGGAACTTGGAGGAAAGTGGGAGGGAGAAAAGGAGGTGGGGAGATAGGGCCATGGACAGAGGACAGCCAGCCAGCCTGGCTGAACATGGAGCCCAGAGAGGACCCGTCACTGAGCAGATGCTGGCCTAGAGGGTGGTCTCCAGGGGTGTGCCACAGGCTCTGTTCCCAGCCCAGGATTCCTGGCCTACCTGGAAGAAGAGCTACAGAAACAAACCAACCCGATCCCCAGAAGATGGAACCCGGGAGGGACACCTAATGCTGTTGGCATCCAGCTGAGCTCAATGTGAGATTAAGCAGATGGAATTTAATACAGATTCTTTGAGAAGTTCTGCATCTGGTTTTGAAAACTAACTGCGCAAGCAGCAGGGAGAGCTGCCTGTCCACAGCCCCTGCAGGAGCCGAGCTGGGGGCTCAGCGCGAGTCGCTGGGTGTTGAGTTGTTGGAAAAGCTCGTGTCAGGAAACACTAAGGTAAGGAGCTGTCCAGGGAGGAGGAGGTGAGAGACCCACTGTCCTCAGGGCTGGCCTGGCGCCCTCTGGGCCTGCACTTCGAGGGAGGGAAAACCAGCACAGGGGCAGGAGGAATGTTCCAGAAGGCTTGCAGAGTAGAAGACAGAGAGAGAAGACAGAGTAGCATCGGCAGGCTGTGGAGTCAGCAGGGGCCTGGGTTGTATCCCAGTTCCAGTGCATTTTGCAACCTCCCACAACTCCCTTGGTCTCTCTGAGCCTCAGTTTCCTCATCAGTAAAGTGGGAGTGATAAAAGCTCCTATTTCTCAGAGCTGTTGTGAGGACTCTGTCAAGAACTGAGCACAGGGCTTGGCCCAGAGGAGGCTCCCAGGAAATGGTGGGTCTGCAGAGCTGGGGCTGCCTGGCTGGAGAAGGGACTTGTAGGGGCCTGAGAGTTGCCTGTGCTGTGGGAGAAGCTGCCAGTCTCAGAACAGGTAGGCCCCACCCACATGCACACAAGCACACACATGCACATGGACGTGGGCTCCAGAGCGTGTCCTGAACGTGGATTTGGTTGGAGGTCAGGACATACTTCTAACCACGAGGAACAGTAGACGTAAGGGGCTGCTCTGGTGGTGAAGGGGACATTGAGGCTCAGGGACTTGCTGGGGGTGACTCAGCAGGGCCAGCTCTGAACCCATGCCTCTTAGGGGCAGAACCAGCACTCATGACCACGACTTGAGGAGGAAGATGCAGAGGGGAAGGACAGAGCAGAGGAAAGAAAGTCAGAGGCCGAGGTGACCAGAGAGAACCGGGTGGACACCAGGCCAGGCTGGGTGCAGCGAGACTAAGCCCAACCAGAGAAGGCGGGGACAGGGGATCTCCCCCTAGGCAGGGCCGGGGACTCCCAGGCAAGGTAGAGCTACTTACGGGTAGTAGGAGTAGGCATAGTGGTCTCTCCTGGCAGCGTGCAAAGAGAGAACAGCACAGTTGTGTCCGAGGTCCGTCCACCAAGGCCGGGCTGAGGCAATGCCCAGGCAGCAGGGTGGGGCCTGGGTACCTCCCGGGCTGGGGAGGGGGCTGGCCAGGGACTGAACAGGTCAGGAGGACCTCCCTGGTCAGGCTCAGATATTAATGACCAGGACCCAAGGCCCTTCTGAAACCTTCCCCAAGCCTACTGCAGGAGTGAGGAGGAGGTGGGAAAAGGACCTAGGGGGCCGCAGAGCTTTCACACAGTCATACACATATGCACACTCACACAGACACACATGTAGATATATGCTCACATACACACTCATACATGGAGAAACACATATCAACACCCACAAATGCAGACACACAGGTGCAGACATGCATACACATGTATTCAGACACACTTGACACACACTCACTTAGACATATATTCACAAACACACACACACACACATTAGACATCCCCTGACACACACAGACTCATACTCTCTAGGCTAACTGTGCTTACCAGGGCTGTTCTCATCCCCCACCCTCCCACCCTGCACGGCCCTCTGCCCATAAGGGGTCAGCCCTTTGCCTGCACCTCCACCTGGGTGGGGACAGAAAGGGGGCAGGATGGAGAGGACTCCAGATGTATGCCCAGGACACAACTAGGGCCCACCCTTACCTACCCTGCCTGCCCCTGGGTGTGGGATCCACTAAAGGAGCCAGGTCATCCCCTCTGGGAGCACCTGGGGCACAGCTTCCATCAAGAGCCCTACCTTACCGCAAAGCACCCACAGTGTAAAGCAGGTTGGATTCCCATTTCATAGGCGGGGAAGCTGAGTCAGGGAGCATGGGCTACCTGGGCCTCTCTGGGGGTCAGTGGCAGAGTCCAGAGCAAACACCTGCCCCAGGACCCTGGTCCTGGAACTTCCTCTGTGCTCCCCTCCCAGGCTCTCCAGAGGCCTCCATTCACTTGCCCCCACATCACCCTGTCAGCAGGGACCCCAAAGAATGGCCTTCCACAGGAAATCCTGCAGATGAAGGGGAGGAGAGCGGAAGACGGACCAGCAAAGGCAGGAGCTTGGCCCCAGGTCACAGAGCACATCTCCTCCATCCCAGGGAGAGAGGGGAGAGTCTAGGGCGCTGGGGCTGTTGCAGAGGCCCCACGAGGGAGGACACGGCTGAAGAAATGGCATTCTTCTGGCCTCAGTTGACACATTGTGCCTTCAAAAGGGCCTTCCCGGACCACTCTCCCACGAGTGCCAGCTACATGATGTCTCTTGTATTCTCTTTGCCCCCAACACCCAGCACCCTGTTCTTTTCACAATTTGCAATTATCTCTTCCATTTGTGCTTTTTCTAATTTCATGCCAGGCTCTCCACTGGCTACAAAGTACAGGAGGACAGAATCCTTGTCTTTTTGTCTCCCTCAGTTTCCCCAGGGCCCCACACATTGTAATCCCACAATAAATATTTTGTTGAATGGAGTAATCAATAAATGAGGAAAAATAAATAAAAGAACTTCACCTCCATGCGCTTCCACTTTCTTCTTTAAAAAGTGAGGTTAAGCCTGGGCATGGTGGCTCAGGTAGGCCTATAATCCCTGCATTTTGGGAGGCCGAGGCGGGTGGATCACCTGAGGTCGGGAGTTTGAGACCAGCCTGGCCAACATGATGATGCCCTGTCTCTACTAAAAATACAAAAAATTAGCCGAGTATGGTGGTGGGCGCCTGTAATCCCAGCTACTCAGGAGGCTGAGGCAGGAGAATCACTTGAACCCAGGAGGCAGAGGTTGCAGTGAGCCAAGACTGCATCACTGCACTCCAGCCTGGACAACAAGAGCAAAACTCTGTCTCAAAAAATACATACATACCCATCCTGGCTAACAAGGTGAAACCCCGTCTCTACTAAAAATAAAAAAAAAATTAGCTGGGCGTGGTGGTGGGCGCCTGTAGTCCCAGCTACTTGGAAGGCTGAGGCAGGAGAATGGCGTGAACCTGGGAGGCAGAGCTTGCAGTGAGCTGAGATCGCGCCACCGCACTCTAGCCTGGATGACAGAGCTTGAGTCCATTTAAAAAAAAAAAAAAAAAAAACATACATACACAGTGAGGTTAATAATAATCTCCCACAGGGACTGCTGTGAGGCCTCAGCACCGGGAAGCACCCAGCAGTGCCCACAAACCACTCCTCCCTACACCTCAGAGTGGGGAGACCCGACTCCCCTGGGCTAGACTGTGGAGATATAGACAAGACAGGGCTTTCTCTGCCCTTCATGGAGCTCTTAACCCAGGAGGGGAGGCAAGCATTGAGCAAAACACTACAAGTAAGTAAATGACAAAGTGCAGGGAGAAGAAAGTGCTGCCATGGAGAAGGGTGGGGTATGGGGACTTCTGGAAGCACAGCCAGGGGATCTGACCTGGCCTGGGGTCACCAGCCTCCCTTCCAGGCCCTGGAATTCCCCTACAGCAGATGCATCCAGTCTGATGGTCCACAGAGGCAGGGCAGGATGGAGAATCTGAAATCTTCTTCCAGCTGGCCTCTATTACCCATAATCCCCCTGGGACTCCCTCCTGGGGGCGTGGTAACTGCCCTCCTCAGCAACTTCCTACTCTTGTTAGTTATGTTGGCACCCCACGTTGATCTGAACACCCCCATCCCTGCCAGGGCTGCTGCATCCCATGATACCCACAATGCAGACTGCAAAAGCCCTGAGGAGCACGGAAGGCCCTGAAGGCCAGGCTCAGATCCAGGGGCATGCAGTGGGTACTACACAGTGAGACTGAATGGCTTTTAGAGGAAGTAAGGAGGTCCAGAGTGATGGGGGATGAGGGGTTCCTGGAGGCATCTGGGATAACTTGGGTTTATGGGGTAGCAAATACATAATGGAAGGTTTCCCAGTGAGGCCCTGACAACATTTCTGATCCAGCCTGTCCTGGGCCCAGTGCTCTCTTTGCAGGGCTCTCTTTGACACCCCTCACTCTGCCAATCCTCTTCTCCTTGAGGGTAGATTTCTAGGACCTCAAATACCACCTGAAACTGAAATCTGCCCCCTCCACTATAGCCCTCTCCAGCCCCAGCCCTACTTAAAGTCACTTCTCAGGCCCCCTGCTGGGGGAAAGTCAGGGGCTTGCCATTCTGGGGGCACTGCCTATGCACCAGACTCAGTGAGGCCTTCACATTTGTAGGCGAGCCTGAGTTGAAGTCAGGCCCTACTGCTCATCAGCCAAGTGGCCTGGGCAAGGTGCTTTCATTACAGTTTCTTCATCCAAAAAAAAGGGAGTCAGTCAAGATCCAAGAAGGAAATGTTCTCTGACGCATGCTGAGTGCAGAACAGTGCCTGGTACACAGTAGATGTCCAATAACTAATGTACTCATGGATGATGTGTGTGAAGCTCCTGGCACATAGTAATCCCTCATTAAATGATACTTTAAAATAGTCTCTCTTAAAGCTGTGCAGGAACAACGAGGGGAAAAATCAGAGTGTATCGCCCTGGCTGGGCCATCCCCCCCATCTCCTCCACTCCGCTGCACACTCCACCCCTAGACTCTCTCTCTCTTGCTGGTGTCTGGCCTCAGGCAAGGTGGCCCCAGCCAGCTCTCTCTCTCATCTTCCTGGATCCTATTATCCGCTCCTGGCAGCCCAGAGATACAACCAACTCATCCATGTATGCCCAGCCTGGCAGCAGTAGGGGCTATAGAAGCCAGAGCCCAGGTGGGGAAGGGTGGAGCTGGCTCTGCCTCTGGCTCTCCGGGTAGCCTTGGGCAGCCCTGCGTGCCCTCTAGGCCTCAACATCCCCATCCCTCATTTAAGGCGCTTGGACCACAGTGTCCCACGGCTGCCTGGTGGGGAACATGGTGGGGCAGAGCTGGCAAACAGAAAAGTCCCAGAAGCCCCCACTCAGCTTCCGACCAGCACTGCTGCTCAGCCTTCATCTGCTCCATTTTACTAGGCTCCCAGGGAAGGGTTTTCTGGTGTTTTGAAGGCAGGTTCTGTTTCTTTAAAAAGATTTGAAAACCACTAGACTAGATGGCCTTGAACTACCTGGCAGCTCTTACGTTCTGGGGCTCTGAGCCTCTACAATTCTAAAGCCTAAGATTCCTAGAGTCCTAAATCCTACATTTCTGAAACTGCAAGATTCTAGGTTCTGGATTCCACAATGTCCTGGGATATATGCTGCCCTCTGCAAATCCGCTAGGAAACACATTTCATGCAAACACAGGCTGGACCTTTGAGACACGAGGGATAGTAGGGGCGGCAGGGGGAGGGGTTTATCAGTCACAGGCCCAGGAGGGCTCCTCAAGGATCCACAGGAACAGGGTCCAGGGCAAGTTGAGCCTGAGAGAAGGTGGATCCCGGGAAGAGCCATGGCTCAGGGCCCTTGGTTTAAAGAGGAGTGAGCTCCATCCTCTGCTCAGGTCAACTGCACAATCCCATAAGCAGGGCAGACACCTTGGCTGAAGGTCTGCAGGAGGGTAGGGGTTCAAAGCCAGGTCACCTCTATGCCCTCCCTATTGAAACAGTCCCAGCAGGCATAGCTCCTTGGCACCAGGCACTGAGCACCCCTCCCTGGATGGCAGCACCTGGCACCAGCCAGAACTGTACTCCAGCCATGCCACTCCAGGGCAGCCCCATCTTCCCAGTCTCTGGCTTCCCACCACCCAGCTCAGATCCATCTGTAGAGGCGATGCCCAGGCTGGCAGCCCTCCACACACCTGCAGGACAGCTGCCCTACCAGCTCTTAGCCACTATTCCTCTGTGCCACCAGGCCTCTAAGGGGTAGAAGCCACTGGTGGGACAGGGCACCGGCCTCACTCACCCTTTGCGGATGATGACAATGATGGCACCCAGGAGAAGGATGAGGACAGCAAGCCCCCCTGCACAGATGCCCAGGATAAGCCCCATCTCCTCCGATCTCTGGGACACCTCCAGGGGCCGCTTGCTTTCCTTGCAGGCAGCTGGGGAGAACAAAGCAGAACAAGGGATCAGAGGAAAGACAGGGACCATCGAGCCCCTCCTGTAGGTGGCTGTGCCCAAGGAACAAACTGGGCTGCACAAACCGCCCTACATCCTCAATGTGTGTCCTGCCTTTTGAGCAAATCTACCTCCTCACCATCCCTGATACCTTCTGCACTTCCACGCCACAGTCCTCACTGATATGGCTCCTTTGCCAGGAATAGCTTCCCTCGCTTCCCACTTTCTCAGATCCTCCCAGCTCTCAGTGGATAGGGGAGAGCAGACACCTGGGCTTCAGCCCCACCCTCTTGCCCTCCTGGGAGGTAACAGGGATTAGGAATTGTGTACCTAGGGCATGGTTAGTCCATCTCAGGATGGGAAACCAACCACATTCCCTGTCTGGAAGCAGGAAAGATACCTATAGCACAGGGCCCATGCTGACCTCACCTTCTCCCCCACCACAGGAAAGCCGGACAGATACGTAACCCAGAACCAGCACCCTGTACCCATCACCCCCAAGGCCCAACTATAATGGCTCCTCTCCACAAGCCTGCTCCAGGCCCCTGCTGTCACCCTGGGAGAAGGCGCCCTTGAGGTAGGGCACATGGAAACCCAGCAGGAAGCCCCTCCTGGCCCCAGGACTGCCCAACCACCCTCCTCTACTCCCACAGCCGTAGGTCCTCAGGATCCACCTCCCCAGCGCTGGGCAGGTGAGAAACCTGCCGCTGAAAGGCTGCAGGAACTCAGCGGACTTACCTTTCCTGGCAATGCGGATGCAATTCAGCCGGGTCTCCTGGAGGCACAGATGGGGGTCTCAGCGTTGCTGAAGCCCCGACCTCTCCCTCCCCAGGGTGGGAACCTCAGACAGCGTTTCTTGGGCCTGTTCAGGGCTTTGTCTTGTGCTGATGGCATCAAGGGACACCCCACCCGAAGGCAGGCCTGGGGGGACCCTTGAGAGCGGGGCCTAGAGGGGAGGCACCTGCAGTGCCTTAGGAAAGGGGGATGAGATCGGAGGCAAAAGAGAAACAAACGTCTTGGGGAAATGGGCGGGGCCTCGGGCATCGGGGCGAGGCCTAGGGCCAGAGGTCCAGCTAGGAAGTCAGAAACCAGGCAAGAAACCAGGCAAGAAGCAGAGGAGGGAGGAGCCTGGAGGATAAGGTGGGGCTTCAGGGAGGAGGCGGGTCCTAGGCCTTAACACAGGAACGCTGGAATCTGAGATGGACTCCTCTGGGAAGAGAAGCATCTAAGATAGAAGGCAGGGCCTCAGGAAGGGGCAGAGACTAGACTGGGGACCTGGATAGAAAGGAGGAGCCTGAGAAAGAAGGCTCAGGAAGGGGGTAGTGCTCTGTGGGAAGGAGCCTGGGGTCAGGAGGGCTGGCTATGGGAGGGGTGGGACCATGGGGGAGGGGCTATGGGAGAAGGGACTATGGGACGGACTCTGGGAGGTGGGGCTGTGGGAGGCGGGGCCGTGGGGGTGGCTCTATGGGAGGTAAGGCTATTGGAGGTGGGGCAATGGGAGGTGGGCAAAAGGAGGCAGGGCTATGGGAGGGGCAAGGTTATGGGGGAGGAACTGTGGGGCCAGGGCTATGGGAGGTGGGGCTACAGGAGGTAGGGCTATGGGGGTGGGCTGTAGGAGGAGGAGCTATGGGAGGTGGGGCTATGGGAGGTGGGGCTATGGGAAGTGCCGGGCCTGGAGTCTGCGCTGGGCCTGCTCCAAGGTATCTCCTGTCTGCCATCCCCCCACACCCAACCACGCCCACCATGACCCTGGCCGGTCCCTCACCCCCTTCAGGTGGCTTGCTGCCTGGAAGTAGATGAGATAGGCCTTCCTAGGCTCAAGTGGTGGGTTCCAGAAGCCTCGGTAGGTCTGGTTGTCACCCACGGTAAAGGGCATGGCCTCAGGTAGACTGCTGGCCGCCAGTTCGGCCCCGAAGTAGTGCACCAGGCCTCGGGCCAGCGCCGCCTCGAAGGTCAATGGCACTGGGAAGCAGTCCTGTCCACCTGGCTCCCGCCGCAGCCTCCGCGCCCGCTCCTCCTCCACAATCACCTGGTACACACTGGACAGGGAGGAGAGCGTACAGGGGATCACAGGCGGCCAGAGGACTGGGAGAGCCAGCTGGCAGTTAAAGGCATGGGCTTTGTGGTCAAGCCCTCCTGGGGACTAACTTCCACACACTGCTCCTTACTAGCTGGGCAAGTCCCCTAACCTCCCTGGGCCTCGGTTTCTTCCTCCATAAAATGGGAGTAATTGCAAGACTGTTCAGAAGATAGATGGGAAGAACAGGCAAGTTAAGCAAGCAGCCAGCACCTGTCAGCGGTTATTCCTGTTACTAATCCAGGCTAAGAGGATCGTGGACCCTGCTCAATATAACCAAGCCATAAGGCCCCAGCCTGCTTCCTCCATGAGTCCTCCTGTGTGTGTGACACAAGACCTGGGAAACCAAAGCTACTGAAAGCTCCCTTCTGGGACTCAGTAAATGACAGGGTTAGCCAGATTCATTCATTCATTCATTCATTCATTCAGAAAGAGATGACTGAGCTCAGACTATGAGCCCTGTGCTATACACTAGGCAACTGGGCTTCCTAAAACTGACCTCTAGTGAGAGACAGTGATTTAGCAAACAAGGACACCCAACACTATGTCTCTAGCACCCTCCCAATGCCAAGGCAGCCTCTGATCAGCAAATCGGAGCCCTGCTGTTTCAGGATCCTGACTGCCCACTCTGGTTCGTGCTCCCTGGTCCCAGCTGTGTTTCTATTTTATCTCTTTACTAAATAGGTTTCTGCTATGAGCTCCTCCAAATCCTCTGCAGAACAAAGTGGAGAGTAAATAAGTGAATCCTGACAAATTTAAATATTTCCAGTTACAGTCTCGGTCACGTCTTGGCGTGTGACATCCCATACTGACAGCCTCTCCTTGGGGAAGCAGAAATGCCTTTTCCTTGCTCACCAGATGTTTCTTTGGAGCATCCAAGTTGTGGGGAATCATCCCAGAGTGTTGGACACCAGCCCATGGCTTGTCACTAGCCCATTATAAACACCAGTCCAAGCCCCTTTCAGCCTCCATTGCCCCAGGCTAAGGTCAGGCCTCTCCTAGCCCTAAATCCCACCAGGAGGTAATCATTAACATTAGCCATGAACAAAGTGCATCTTAATCTAGAATAATCCCCATTGTGCAGATAAAGAAACGGAGGCTCAGGAAGGTAACGGGACATGCCCAGGGTCATGCAGCCATCTTGCCGCTCCCCTCCCACCAAGCCTGCCCCCACCTAGCCTTGCAATCATCATCCTGAGGGACCCTGACCAGTGCTGCTCACAGGATCCCTCAAGAGGACAAGAAAGAAAGGGTTCCCAACCCATCCCAGACTCAGTGGCATAAGGGCCCTGAGGCTCTAGCAACAGGCAAAAGGCCCTGCAGACCCCGTGACTTTTTCCTGGGTCTTCCCTGAGGGTCTGGGAATCAGCCCAGGGCAGGATTTGCAGTGGCAAATACAGGGAAGACAAAGCAGAAGAGGAGAGGATACAGTGGGGAGTGAGGAGGTGAGGGACTGCCATGGTCACCCAGGCAGCCCACTCTCTTCCTAGGGAACTGACTAGGACCCTCACACCCCCCCCACCTAAAGGCTGTCACCCTCTCCCAGAGCATGTACCTTCGTGGAAGGAAGGGGTGGACCAGAAGGGCAGGGAGGCTCTATAACTTCTAGAAAAGGTACAGGCACAGCAGATAGACCTGGCTTCCAAATCCCAGCTCCACCACTTACTAGCTGTGTGGCCTTGAGGGCAAGTGATTCAGGCTCTGAGTCAGTTTCCCGATATGTAAAATGAAGGTAATAATACCCATGCCACAGGGCTGCCATGAGGATAAATGGCTTCATGCAGATAAAGCCCCTAGCACGGGGTCTGGCTAACAGTACGTGCACACAGTTGCACAAACACCCTCACACTCTCACACACATGCACACTTATGTCTCCCATATACGCCTCTCACACACACTCACACCACACATCCCATGTCTTTATCACAAAGACACACCCAGTTTCACATCCCACATACACACACACACACACACACACACACACACAGTCTTGTCTCCAGCACCCTCTCCCCAGCAGAGGCAGCCACCACGGCACCAGCAAGCCCAGCTTCCTCTGGGGAGAGGAGGTGGAGAAGCCAAGCTCCTAGCCATTCCAGAGAGATGGCCCTATCTGGCTGGCTGCCCCAGCCTTCTAGAAAGCCCATCTCTGTGCTTCCAGGAAAAGGCTGGGATGATATAAGGCCCCCAGAGTTTCACTTCTCCAAGGTGTCTGAGGAAAGGCCCCCTGGACAGGCCTGGACAGTCCCCTCTCCAGGCTGGACCTATCCAGGGTCCTCCTGACAGTCACCATCTGAGACCCATGGCCTCAGAGGGGAGGGACTGCAGGCTTCTTGCCTGCCAAGCATCACAGAACAATCTCCTCCAGACACTCCAAGCCCTGCGTGGGAGACTGAGGGAGGAAAAGGGTGAGCTGGCCTGGGATGGGGCTCTGGGTCAGAGGAGGGGCCTCTTTCCTAAGGCCCTGGACTCCCACCCCTCCGTCCCCGCTTTCCCACCTGATGGGCGCACCGCGGCCCTGTGCCGGCCTCAGCAGCACGGTGATGGTGTTCTCAGACTCGCCCAGGGGTGACGGCATGTCGGCATAATCAAAGCTGGGAGCTGGAGAAGGGGACAGGGTCACAAGCTGGAGCTTGGCCACTGGACCAGGAAGACCAGGCTTCCAGCCTCCTTGACCACAGTCCTCAGATCTCCCCTACTTCAGCCTTAGCCTCTTTGTTCCTGCTGACATGACCTGAGCTACCCTGGCCCCTGACCTCAGGCACCAGCCCCAACCTCAATCTTCTGATTCCACTGACCAGTCTCCTGACTCCTCTGACTTCATCCTCCCTGAGCCTGACTTTAACTCCTAAATGGCATATTTATCTCAGCAGGGGCCCTCTGTAACTACCCCCAGGATGCCCCCCATTTCCCTTCTGCCCATGGAACCCTGGGATTCTGGGCCACCTCCGAAGAGGCTGGGCCGGGTCAGGTGGGGCTCACCAGAGATGTTAGTGGTTATCTCAGTGAGTGCCGCCTGGCCGAAGCCTTTGCCTGTGCGGGCCCGCACGGAGAACAGGTAGGTGGTGCCTGGGTGCAGGTTGGAGAAGACATGGTAGGTCTCATTGCGGAGCTTGGAGATGGTACGTCGTGGGCCTGGCACGTTCACTGCCGGGTCTGATGACTCGATGCTCTGGTAGCTGATCTGGGGGCAGGATTGGCAGGCAGGTGGGCACTGGATGGTCAGAGCATCCCTGACCAGCAGCCTCCACCCACCATGTCCCAGGGAAGTGAGAGATAAGGCTAAGCAAAGGAGACTATGGATGCCATCAAGCCAGGCTTCTAGTCATCTTCGGCTCTCCCTCCTGCCTTCAGGACCCTCCTCTAGAATACACAGGGCACAGACCTGGCCATAGTTGAAGAAACTATGACAATCACATCTGTCCTCCCATGCACCTCCTACTGTAGCAGCAGAGAGAAAGAGGGCCACCTCTCACCTTCCACCAGGGTCCCCCACTGTAATAGGGTCCCAAACCCACCTCATACTGGGTGATGAGACCATTGGGCTCCTGGGGCTCCTCCCACTTGAGGAAGATCATGTCCTCCAGTGGAGTGAAGGTCAGGGACTCGGCTGCAATCCCACTGGGCACTGCAAGGGAAAGGCAGCAGGGGCCAGGGGAAAGTGGGCTTTGGTGCCAGACACCTGGGTTTAAATTCCAGCCTTGCCGCTTCCTACCTGGTTCTCATGGACTATTCAGCCTCTCTGCACCTTACTTAACTCAGCTGTGAAGTGGGAATGATATAACCCCTCTCAAGCCAGGACTCAAATGATGTGATGTACATAAAGCCCCAAGGCAAACATCAGCAATTGCATATGGTTCAACCTATTACTAAGTACTCAAAATGGATAGCTGGCATTTTCATTACTGTGTAGGTTGCATTCAGGAGAGAAATACGTTTGAAGGCTCCAATTTTGTTCCAGTTGGGTAGTTTTCAGAAAATATGCACATGGGCCAGAGAAATGAAAACAGCAATTGCATTGCGGTATTGGGATTATGGGTGGCGATATTTTCTCGTCTAAAAATTTCTAATTACATAAATGACATGTTCAATGTAGAAAATCAAAATGAGCTTAAAGAAAATTAATGGCATCTACAATTGTATCACCCAGAGATACTGTTAACATTTTAGCATTAACACTTGCAGGCATGGCTTTGTTTTGTTTTTCTTGTGTAAATGTATACTGTTAATGGCAGGCACAGGAGTGTCATTTAGGAAGAGAATGATCTTTGCTTGGGAAAATACCTTGATAAACCACTATGGGGAAGCTGAAGTCCTAAGGCAGAGAAAAGCAGAAAGTAAAGAAGGAGCTGAATTTTGAATCTAGGCCAATGCTGTGCAGAACAGAAAACTGTGCACGTGCGGCAGCAAGACAAAGCCATAAACCAAGGAGCTTAGTGGTAACTGGAATCTGTAGGAACCCAGGGAAAGGCTTTGGACCTGTGATAGCATTCGAGTGTAGCTCTTAAGAAGGACAACTGGCTGGGCACGGTGGCTCACGCATGTAATCCCAGCACCTTTGGGAGGCCGAGGCAGGCGGATCACTTGAGGTCAGGAGTTCGAGACCAGCCTGGCCAACATGGTGAAACCCCCATCTCTACCAAAAATACAAAAAATTAGCCGGCGTAGTGGTAGGTGCCTATAATCCCAGTTACTCGACAGGCTGAGGTGGGAGAATCGCTGGAACCAGGAAGGCAGAGGTTGCAGTGAGTTGAGATTGCACCACTGCTCTCCAGCCTGGGCAACAGAACAAGACTCCATCTCAAAAAAAAAAAAAAAAAAAAAAAAAAAAAAAAAGAATGACAACTGTGAAGCCAGATGGTCAGGTTAGAAAGCCAGGCTTTCTGTGACTTCTTCTGTAAAATGGGAATAGAAATAAAATGGGAATAGAAATAGTAACCTACCACATAGGGTTGTCATGGGTATTAAATGCAGTAATATATCAAAACCATTCAGAATGGTGCTTGAATGTGCTAAGGGCTAAATATTAGTTTGACATATGTAGAACACTGCATTCAACAGCAACAGAATACATGTTCTTTTCAAATACACTGGAACATTTACCAAAATTTAACAATATGTTGGGCCATAAAGTAAAGATGAAATTTCACAAAATAAAATTTAGAGTATATACTCTGACTACAGTGGAATTAACCTAGAAATCAATAATAAAAAGACAATTAGAAAAGTCCCAATTGCTGGCCAGGTGCAGTGGCTCATGCCTATAATCTCCGCACTTTGCAGGGCCAAGGTGGGCAGATCACCTGAGGTCAGGAGTTCGAGACCAGCCTGGCCAACATGATGAAACCCTGTCTCTACTAAAAATACAAAAATTAGCCAGGCGTGGTGGCGGGCACCTGAAATCCCAGCTACTCAGGAGGCTGAGGCATGAGAATCACTTGAACCCAGAAGGCGGAGTTTGCAGTGAGCCGAGATTGTGCCACTGCACTCCAGCCTGGGTGACAGAGTGAAACTGTGTCTCAAAAACAAACAAAAAAGAAAAGTCCCAATTGCTTAGAAATTAAGCAACATAATTCTAAGTAACTCTTAGGTCAAAGCAGAAATTATAACAGAAATAACAGTTCAATTGTATAGACAACAAATTGAACTGAATGATAATGAAGATAGGAAATATCAAAACTTGTGGGACACAGCTAAAGCAGGACTTAGAGGAAAATGTGTAGCTTTAAACACGTATATTAGAAATGAAGAAGGGCTCAGTATTAATGATCTAAGAAACTTCTATCTCAAAAGGCAAACAGAACAGCAAATCAACTCCAAAGAAAGTATAACAAAGGAAATAAAAAATAGAAAATAAAGAAAATCAAGTAAGCCAACAGTTGGTTCTTTGGAAAGATTAATTTATACAGTCTTCACAAGGGTAAACAAGAAAAAAGAAAACAGAAATTACCAATATCAGAAATGAAAAAGATGATATCACTATAGAGCCTATGGACATTAAATAAATATAATAAAAGAATATTGGCAAATGAAGTGGCTCATGCCTGTAATCCCAGCACTTTTGGAGGCCAAGGTGGGTGGATCACTTGAGCCCAGGAGTTCGAGACCAGCCTGGGCAACATGGCAAAACCCCGTCTCTACAAAAAATACAAAAAAATTAGCCAGGCATGGCAGTGCACGTCTATAGTCCCAGCTACTTGGGAGGCTGAGGTAGAGTGATCATTTGAGCCTGGGAGGTCGAGGCTGCAGTGAGCCATAATCATGACACTGCACTCCCACCTGGACAAAAGTGTGAGTCCCTGCCTCAAAAATAAATAAACTAGCTTGGCGTGGTGGTGCATGCCTGTAGTCCCAGCTCAGGAGGCTGAGGTGGGAGGATCGCTTGAGCCTGGGAGGAGGAGGCTGCAGCAAACTGAGATGGTGCCACTGTACTCCAGCCTGGGCAACAGAGCAAGACTCTGTCTCTAAATAAATAAAAAAAATTATAAACAACATTATCTCAAGAAATTTGACAATTTAGGTGTAATGAACAAATTCCTTAAAAAATACAGTCCATCTAAACTGATACAAGAATAAAAAAATCTGAATATCCCAATATCTATTTTAAAAACTAAAATTTACTAAAAACCTTGCCACAAAGAAAACTCTATGCCCAAATGGCTTCACTGCTGAATTCTTTCAAACACTTAAGGAAAGAAATTAGACCAATCTAACCCAAAGTCTTCCAGAGAAAAAATAGGAGCTATCACTACTTTGGTGTTATACAGTTGGTTTAATCCTAAGCAAAAAAAAGAAAAAAATACCCTCAGTAAATTTCAGTCTCAGACATGGCGTATCTGTGGGAGGTACACAGGGCCCCGGGAATTGGGACTGAGACTCTTACCATCCTCATCCGTCTGGAAAGTGACCTCCTTGCCCTCTTTGCGCCCCTCAGGGTTAGTGAGGACAAGCCTCACGTGAACGTTCCGATAGGGCAGCAGGTTCTTGATGGTGTAGCGGCTGACACCTTGCTCTGTCTTCACACACTCTCGGATGGTCTGGTTGTGGCTGCTGCCCAGGGTGTAGTGATAGCACAGCGACACAGTATAGGTGTGGCAACGCGTCACGTTGTAGCCCAGTGGTTCCCACTGCAGGGTCAGCTGACGGGCCTGGATCTCAGCAAAAGCCAGGCCTTTGGGGGCCCTCATGGGCTCTGGAGAATGCAGGAAGCAGAGAGAAGAAGTTAGAAGAAATGGGAAGAGAAGAGGAAGAAGAACAGGGAGAGAAAGCATCAGTCAGCTGCCTGAAATCATCCCTCCATTGCCCCCAAGAGCTCAGGGGACCCCTAGAACATCAAACAGGGAGTAAAAGTATGTGCTTTGGAGTCAGGCGGACTACATTTGAATCCTGGCTCTGCCACTTGCAGCTGGCAACTGCTGGCTGAATCACTTCACCCCTCTGATCCTTAGATTCCTCAACTGCAAAATGAAAAGATAATAGGCCCTGCCTCATAGGATCATTGTAAGGTTTAAGGAAATACACACAAAGGATGCATGACAATGGCTAATATACAATAAGCCCTCAAAAATATTAGCTTTTTTTTTTTTTTTTTTGACAGAGGCTCACTCTGTCACCCAGGAGGGAGTGCAATGGCATGATCTAGGCTCACTGCAACCTCTGCCTCCCAGGTTCAAGCAATCCTTCCACCTCAGACTCCCAAGTAGCTGGGATTACAGGCGTACACCACCACGCCTGGCTAATTTTTGTATTTTTGGTAGAGATAGCGTTTCACATGTTGGCCAGGCTGGTCTTGAACTCCTGACCTCAAGTGATCCACCCACCTCAGCCTCCCAAAGTGCTTGGGTTACAGGTGTGAGCCACCGCACCCGGCCAATAATTTATTTTTAATAGCACAGTTCACCTCCTAATTCAAGATCACCCTGGACTACAACAGGCCAGTCTGAATCAAACTGTTGATATATTTTTCTTAAGGTATTAATTCCAAACTTGTTCTGAAACAATGTATAGTAATACATATAATATAATAACATACAGAAATCAGGGTAATGAGGGAAATGAGAGCCAAATAGTTAAATAAAGCCAGAGAATGACAGGGAAACAGAAACAGAAATACATGACATTAGGTCCTATGTGGAGGTCTAAAGATAAGGTTCAAATTCAGTGGTGGGTTCCCTGGCTGTCAAAGCAAAAAGGGAAACACAATCTATTATATAATGATAATGATAATAAAGGCAGTTAACATGTATTGGGGGTTTTGGATAGGCTGGGCATTGTTCTCGAGTCTTTAAAATGCTTTATCTCGACCAGGCGTGGTGGCTCATGCCTATAATCCCAGCACTTTGGGAGGCCGAGGCAGGCGGATCACAAGGTCAGGAGTTCAAGCCCAGCCTGGCCAATATGGTGAAGCCCCGTCTCTATTAAAAAAAGAAAAATACAAAAAAATTAGCCAGGCGTGGTGGCGCAAGCCTGTGGTCCCAGCTGCTTGGGAGGCTGAGGCAGAGGAGTCTCTTGAACCTGGGAGGCAGAGGTTGCGGTAAGCTGAGATTGTGCCACTGCACTCTAGCCTGGGCAACAGAGCGAGACTCCGTCCCAAAAAAAACAAAAAATGCTTTATCTCATTTAATCCTTGTAATCTAGTGAGACAAGTGCTATTATTAGCCCTATCATACAGATATGAAAACAATGGCACAGAGAAATTCAGTAACTTGCCCACAGTCACAGAGATGGTAAGTGGTGAAGCTGGGATCCAAACCTGGTCAGGCTGGCTCCGAAATCCATGCTCTTAACCACCACTCCCCACCTCCCCAATAGGAATTCACTGATGCCTCAGGAGAGAGCGAGCTACCCCAGCAGAAGGGAGGTGCATGTTATGTTTTACGGTTTCTTGATGACTCTATGGACCAGAATGCTATCCCCATCTTATAAATAAAGAAACTGGGCTGGGCACAGTGGCTCATGCCTGTAATCCCAACACTTTGGGAGGCCCAGGCAGGAGAATCGCTGGAGCCCAGGAGTTTGAGACCAGCCTGGGCAACACAACAAGACACAATCTCTACAAAAAATAAAAAGTTGGCCAGGCGTGGTGGCTCACACCTGTAATCCCAGCACTTTGGAAAGCCAAGGCAGGTGGATCACCTGAGGTCAGGAGTTTGAGACCAGCCTGGCCAACATGGAGAAGACCCATCTCTACTAAAAGCGCAAAAATAAGCCGGGCATGGTGGCACATGCCTGTGGTCCCAGCTACTCAGGGAGCTGAAGCAGGAGTATTGCTTAAACCTGGGAGGTTGAGGCTGCAGTGAGCCATGATCGCACCACTGCACTCCAGCCTGGGCGACACAGTGAGACGCTGTCTCGAAAAAAAAGAATAGAAAAGAAAAGTCAAGGCTTCTGAAGCAAAGGCAAGATGGAGCCCAGGACTCAGCCCTTAGTCCTGCATCTGCATTGACCAGCTGTGTGATCTTGGGCAAATCTCTGGGCCTCAATTTCTGGATCAGTAAAATGAGGGAAGACACCAAGACTGCATCAACTGATCCTTTTCTCTCTTACACTCTGATTCCATGAAGTATAGTTTCATTACTCTCAAGTTCTGTGATCGCCTGCAAAGTGTCCCCAGCTAGAGGGACCTCAGCATCCCTTAATGAACAGGTGAGAAAGCACCGCTATACAATCTCTTAAGAAGATTAAGTACAACCCCTAGGAGCATTTTTTTTTCTTTTTTTTTTTTTTTTTTTTTGAGACAAGGTCTTGCTCTGTCATCCAAGCTGGAGTGCAGTGGCAGGATCTCGGCTCACTGCAGCCTTGATCTCCCCGGCTCAAGTGATCCTCCTGCCTCAGTCCCCCAAGTAGCTGGCACTACAGGTGCGTACCACCAAGCCCAGCTAATTTTTGTATTTTTTGTAGAGACAGGGTCTTGCTGTGTTGCCCAGGCTCATCTCAAACTCCTGGGCTCAACTGATCCTCCTGCCTCTACCTCCCAAAGTACTGGGATTACAGGCTTGAGCCACCGCACCCAGCCCCTAGTGGCATTTTTTATGTGATTAATTTGTTCAGAATTCCCCTTATGAAGAAGATGCAAAGGAAAGCATTCGCCCAGGCTGCTCCTATCTTGGGAGTGCACCAGTAACACAGTTTTCAACACTGGCCCCATGTACAGCACAATACAAGATTCTGTTTCCACCCAGAAGGTTTCCTTTCTTCCCTGGAATGCAGGCAAGCAGCATGTCTCCAGTTATACATGGAGCCATCGAAGAGAGATTTCAGCACTCACTAGGAACAAAGCCTGCCTCCTGACTGGCTCCCTTCTCCCCACAAGCAGGGACCACCCAAATCCCATCCCATATGGACACTGAGGGGCTGGCTGCCACTGCTCCCTGTATCCTGGGTACTGTGGGCTGCAAGCCCATTCACCACACTTAGGTTTTCTCTCCCATTCCTGGCCCATAGAGATTTTTCTAATTTTTTTAATGTAGTTTTGTTTTAAGCCATCATTCTTCTATGTTTGCGCCAGAGGAGGCAGATCTGGGGTGTGCTCACTTGCCATCTTTCCCAGAGGTCCTCGCGTTATTCTTCAACTCTCTGGCTGTGGTCCTGGCTGCCCTGTGTGCACTGTCCTGGGAGTCTACAAGAGCCGAGGTGGCTGCCCTGTGTGCACTGTCCTGGGAGTCTACAAGAGCCGAGGTACCACTGCTTTATTTGCACTACTGGGAGTGGCTCTCTGTTCCCTGCAGCTCAGCTCACACCATCCCCACCCCCTGGAATGCTGCCCTGCATTCCTTTCCAGCCTCTAGGGCTTGGCAGAAGCATTCTGCTTCCTAGTCCTCCTGCAGCATTTACAGAAGGGCAGGAGAAGTTCCATGTAAACGGGGGACGTATGCTGGGTAAAGACCACGGCAAACAGGACAGTAGTGTCCCATCCAAAAGGGGCAGCTACTGCTCACCTCTAGATGACTGTTGCCAGGCAGGACTACAGGTTCAGAGTTGCCAGATCCTCCCATTTTTCAAGAGGAGCCAGAAATTCCAATTTTTATGTGAAATCTCCAGATTTTTAAATACTGGCAACCTACTCAAGCTTCTTCAAATCACCTTACAGGGCCCAAGATAGCAACTTTGGAGGATGAAACTCCCAACTTCAGACTTAGGCATCTCATTCTTTGACAACTGTGCCACCTCCCATCCACCCAGGTAGACTGAGAGCTCTTTGAAAAGAAGGTCCACTTTTCTTTTTTCTTCCTGCCTACCCTGATCATATCTGGACAGATCCAGGGAGCTCAAATAGTTTGTTGACTACAGACTGATATGTTGATTGAGGGGTGTGAATCCATGAGTTTCTCCACGTTTCTAAAAACCATCTGGCACCCAGACACACTCTCTTCAACTGTCAACACACGCTGACAAAACAGAACTTGGGGACCTCAAAGCCCCATCCCTCTAAATTACACAGGGCTACAGGTCACTCCGAGATCAGAGGTCAAAATGCACATTAAAACAATGAGGATAACATTTAACAGCTGTTGAATTAGGCCACCATGTGTTGACTTTAGTAAGGCTAAACAAGATGCAATAACCCTGAAATGTTCAACTTTTTCTCATGGGAGGAGCTTTGGACTGGGATCTGGTACACCCAAGTTCACATCCTATCTCCACCTCTCATTAGTTCTTTTTTTTCTTTGTTTGTTTGTGTTTGTTTTTTTGAGACACAGTCTCACTGTCACCCAGGCTGGAGTGCAGTGGTGCTATCATTGGCTCACTGCAGTCTCAATCCTCCCACCTCACCTTCCTGAGTAGCTGGGACCACAGGCATGTGCCACCATGCACCTGGTTAATTTGTTTTGTGTTTTTTGTAGAGACAGGGTTTCACCATGTTGCCCCAGTCTGGTCTCAATCTCCTGAGCTGAAGTGATCCACCTGCCTCAGCCTCCCAAAGTTCTGGGATTACAGGCATGAGCCACTGCACCTGGCCATAGTTCTGTGGCTTCAGGCAAGTTACTTAACCCCCTTTGAATGTTGATGTCAGGTTCCTCCACTAAAAAATGGAGATTATGGCTGGGTGCAGTAGCTCATGCCTGTAATCTCAGCATTTTGGGAAGCCAAGGCAGGATCGCTCAGGGGTTCGAGACCTTCATGGGCAACATAGTAGTGAGACCTCATCTCTACAAAAATATAAAAATTAGCCAGGCATGGTGGTGCGCGCCTGTAGTCCCAGCTACTTGGGAGGCTGAGGTGGGTGAATAGCTTCAGCCCGGGAGGTAGAGGAAGCGGTGAGCCAAGATCATGCCACTGCACTCCAGCCTGGGTGACAGAGTGAGGCTCTGTCAAAAAAAGAAACAAAAACAAACAAATGGAGATTATGATGCCTACTTTAAAGAGCAAATGTGAGAGTTACATGAGATAATATGAGTCAAATTGCCCAGCCTACAGTCATTACCAGCCTACAGTCATTACCAGTCTATAGTAATTAATAAACATGTGTGCATTAACATGAGATGCCAGTAGCAGTATAAATTGGCACAACCATTTTTTAAAGCAATATATTTAAAAGCCCTTTCTTCAACCACTCCTGACACTTTATCCTAAAGAAATAACTCAGGGTGGGGGGAGAAGGGAAGAACTACAAGCGCTAGGTTTCTCAATATAGTATTATTTATCATTATAGAAGTCTGGAGGCAAACAGTCCAGCTAAATGGGGACATTCAATGGACTTCTAGAGTCAGTAAACATAATTATAAACAACATAACACACGTAACAACACCAAGCAAATGAAGCAGCATACGAAATGCTTTCTACATCCCAATGCAAGGGTGTAAAAATGTCTACTGCAGGCATATGGGCAGAGATGTGAAGAAGTCAGAAAAATTAAAACAGCTGTTGGGCTAGGATGATGAGCTTCGGAGTGCTTATTTTAAAAAATGCCTTCGCCTGATGCTATATTATTGTTTTTACAGTAAATAATATAGTGCGAGGGGAGTTTCATGGGGATGGAGGAGATGACAACACAGCTGGCCAACAGCAAAACAACTGCCGGCCAACGCGCCTAAGCAGGGAGGGGCCATGATGTCAACAAAGAGAACCGTGTAATTCAGAAGGGCAGGGGGAGGTGTTTGCACCCTGTCTGCCAGGCCCCTGCCCCAGCTTCCGTCCTGGCCAGCCTATGAAAACTGTTTCACAGTGCCCAGCACAAAGTGGGCATTCAGCCCATGATGGTGGCAGCAGCAGCTGCTGCTGCTGCTGTTAAAAACACTGGATTAGGCTGGATGCACTGGCTCCTGTCTGTAATCCCAGCACTTTGGGAGGCTGAAACAGGAGGATCCCTTGAAGCCAGGAGTTTAAGATCAGCCTGAGCAACAGAGTGAAACCCTGTCTCTACAAAAAAAAAAAAAAAAAAAAAAAAAAAAATATATATATATATATATATATATATATGTATATAAATTAGCTGGGCATGGTGGTGCAAGCCTGTAGCCCCAGCTGCTTAGGAGGCTGAAGCAAGAGGATCACTTGAGCCCAGGAGTTCAAGGCTGCACGCAGTGAGCTATGATCGTGCCACTGCACTCCAGCCCAGGTGACAGAGTGAGACCCTGTCTCTAAAAACAAAATAAAACAAAAAACTAAAACAAAACACTGGATGAGAAATCAAGAGATTCAAATTTTGATTCAAGCTCTGCCATGGACTCACTGTGTAGATTTGTACAAGTGGCTAAATCTCTAAATCTGAGTTTATTCATCTGTAAAATGGGAATAATCAACAGCCGTCATCATGAAACCTGGGTTCTTGACCCACTGTCTGATCACAGCCAAGTCTCTTCCCCTCTCTGGGTTTCAGCTTCCCCATCTGTACACTAAGGGGAGTGCAATAGAGATCCTCTGCGGAACCCTGTGCTATGATTCCTTTTATCCTAAGTGGCAAACCAGAACTGCCTTTGAAAGATTAAAAACACCATCATTTACTGGGTGCTTACTGTGTGTTAAGCGCTATACTTCACATGCATTTAATGCATTTCCCTGCAATTGTCTGCATTTAACCCAAAACACTGGAGGCTCCAAGGTTCAGGCTTTCCAACTCCTCTTTCTTCCATCTACATTTATTCCCTAAAAATCTAAGGACTGAATCGGGGATTCTCAACCTCAGCACTATGAACATTTTAGACTAGATAATTCTTTCTTATGTGGCTGTCTGTGCATTGTAGGATGTTTAGCAGCTTCCCTGGCCTCTATCCCTTTAGATGCCAGTAACACCCCATTGCCGCCACCCAGTTGTGACAACGGTTATGTCCTCAGTCACTGTCAAATGTCTCCTAGGAGACAAAATTGCCCCTAGTTGAGAACCATTAGCGTAAAAGATCTCATCCAACCTCAGGGCTTTAAATGCCATCTATACCATCTCCACACTGATGACTTTCAAATTTCTATCTGCAGCCCGAACCCCTTCCCTGAACTCCACACTCATGTATCCATCTGCTGATGAATATCTCCACTTGAATGTCTAATAGGGATCTCGAAGTCAACATTTCCAACACAGAACTCCTGATCTATGACACCCACGTCAAATCAGCTGCCACCACAGTCCGCTCCAGGAAATGACAGCTCCATCATTCCTGCTGCTCTAGCAAAACACCTTGGAGCCATCCTTGACTTCTATTTCCCTTTCTCTCATCCCATATTCAATCCATCAGCAAATGCAGTTAGCTCTGCCTTTAAAATAAACCCAGAATCTGACCACTTCTCCCCACCACCACCACTTCCACTCGGCTCCCAGCCATCACCACCTCTTAAGCAGATCATTGCAGTAGCCTCCTCCCTGGTCTCTGCGGCACCTTTGCCCTCCTGGAGAACATTCTCCACAAAAGGGCCAGAGTGATCCTTTTAAACAAAAGTAGATGATGCTCACTCCTGCTCTCTAAACTCTTCAGTGGCTCCCCAGCTCTCTCTGTGTACAACGGCTCTAAGTCCCACATCTGCAGCTCAACTTCAGCCTCTTCTCCTGCCATCTCCCACTCAGTCACTAACACAGTGACACTGGTCTCCTGGATGCCCCTTGCACGTGCCAAGCATTCTCCAGCCTCCAGGCCTTTGTGCTGGCTGCTCAGTCGGGCTGGTGCTTGCTTCCCCCAGCAAGCCCCCAGCTCTCTGCACGGCTCAGTCCCTCACCTCCTTCAGATCTCTGCTCAAATGTCACCTTCCCTTGAGACTTTTAAAAATAACAACCCTCCAGGCCCCACTCCCTGCTTTTCTTCTTCACGGCACTTATCACCATCTGACAGGCCATAAAGTCCTCCCTCGGTATATGCCAGGGATTGGTTCTAGGACCCCTACATATAACCGAATTCACACATATTCAAGTCCCATAGTTGGCCCTTCATATATACAGGCCCTAGAAACACTGGAGTTTTTTGTATTGCTGGTTTGTTTGTCTCTAGATAAGATCTTGATCTGTCATCCAGGCTGGAGTGCAGTGTGAAATCTTAGCTCACTGCAGCCTTGATCTCCTGGGCTCCAGCAATCCTCCTGCCTCAGCCTCCTGAATAGCTGTGACTACAGGCACATGCCACCACATTCAGCTAATTATTGTTGCTGTTGTGTTGTAGAGACAGGGTTTTGCTATGTTGTCCAGGCTGGTCTCAAACTCCTTGCCTCAAGCATTCCTCCCATCTCAGCCTCCCAAAGCACTGGGATAAAAGGTATAACCCACCATGCCCAGCCCGCAAATACCGTATTTTTGATGCACGTGTGAGTGAAAAAAAAATCTATGTAAGTGGATCTGCCCAATTCAAACCTGTGATGTTCAAAGGCCAACTGTATACTTCACTTGTTTACTCATCTATTATCTATCTCCTCTTGCCAAAATGTGAGTTCCAGGAAGAACTCACATGTTGGTGGCCTTTGTCTGTCCTGGTTATAGTCATATATCCCTACCAACCACAATAGCACCTCGCACGTAATAGACACTCAATAAGCATTCGTTGAATAAATCTTCAAACTAACCCTATATGGTAAATGTTATTATTCCCATGTTGTAAAACAGGGGGACTGAAGCTCAGAAAGGTTAAGTAACCTGACCCAGACCCCTTCACTAGAAAGCAATTCCCACTGGAACATTCTGACCCACCACTCAAGGGTCTCCCAAAGTGTGACATTAAACCAGATTTTAGACCTACCATCCAAGGAGTTCCCAAAGTGTGGCTTTAAACTGGATTTTAGATAATTCACAGATTGGCTTTTTAAAACACTTACGAATATTGATTAGCAACAAATAACATTGACCTAAACCTCACACTTTACCCAAAATAGATCATAAACTTAAATGTAAAATGTAAAACTATAACACTTTTAGAAAAAAAACAGGAGGCCAGGCGCGGTGGCTCATGCCTGTAATCCCAGCACTTTGGGAGGCCGGATCACCTAAGGTCAGGAGTTCAAGACCAGCCTGACCAACCACCTCTACTA
Organism: Homo sapiens; assembly: GCF_000001405.40. Taxonomy (NCBI): domain Eukaryota; kingdom Metazoa; phylum Chordata; class Mammalia; order Primates; family Hominidae; genus Homo; species Homo sapiens. Next base: position 29,266,198 of record NC_000001.11, on the reverse strand, counting down.
AAAATACAAAATTAGCCAGGCATGGTGGTATATGCCTGTAATCCCAGCTACTCAGGAGGCTGAAGCAGGAGAATCACTTGAGCCCAGGAGGCAGAGATTGTGGTAAGCTGAGATCATGCCATTGCACTCCAGCCTGGGCAACAAGAGTGAAACTCCGTATCAAAAAAAAAAAAAAAAAAAAAAAAAAACCCAGGAGAAAATCTTTGGGAGACAGGGATAGGCAAGGAGTTCTTAGACTTGATACCAAAACCACAATTCATAAAAGGGAAATTTTACAAATTGAACCTCATCAAAATTGAAAATAGTTCTGTGAAAGTCCATATAAAGAGGGTGAAAGGACAAGCTACTGGGAGGAAATATTTACAAACTCCACATTTAACAAAGGACTGGTACCTAGAATGTACAAAAAACTCTCAATACTTAACAACAACAACAACAACAAAAAGAATAATCCAATTAGAAAATGTTCAAAGACATGAACAGATGATGCACCAAAGAGGATATACAGATGGCAAACAGCACATGAAAAGATGTTTGTCCAGGTGCCGTGGCTCATGTTTGTAATCCCAGCATTTTGGGAGGCTGAGGCGGGCAGAACACTTGAGGTCAGGAGTTCAAGACCAGCCTGGCCAACATGCTGAAACCCCATCTGTCCTAAAAATACAAAAATTAGCCAGGCGTGGTGGTGTGTGCCTGTAATCCCAGCTACTCGGGAGGCTGAGGCACAAGAATTGCTTGTACCTGGGAGGTGGAGGTTGCAGTGAGCTGAGATCATGCTGCTGCACTCCAGCCTGGGCAACAGAGTGAGATTCCATCTCAAAAAAAAAAGAGGAAAAGAAAAGATGTTCGACATCACTAGACACTGAAGAAATGCAAATTAAGACCATGATGAGATATCACTACACACCTCTCAGGAAGTCCAAAATAAAAAATAGTGACAACACTAAATGCTGGCAAGGATGCAGAAAACTGGATCACTCATACGTTGTTGGTGAGAGTATAAAACAACACAGCCACTCTGGCAGTTTCTGATAAAACTAAACATGCAATCACCATATGACTCATTGATTGTACTCTTGAGCATTTATCCCAGAAAAATGAAAAGTTATGTTCATGCAAAAACCTCTGTATGAATGCTCACAGAAGCTTTACTTGTAATAATGAAAAAGTGGAACCAGCCCAGATGTCATTCAACAGGTGAATGTTTAAACAAACTGGCATTTCCACAGCATGGAATAAAAAGTAATAAAAAGTAATAAAAAGGAATAAACTACTGATATACACAACTTGGATGAAGGAAACTATGCTGAATGAAAGAAACCAATTCCAGTGCCAAGATAATTCAATAAGAATAGACTTTTCAACAAATGGTAATAAAGATCTACATACAAAAGAACGAAGTTGGCCACGCATGCCTATAATCCTAGCACTTTGGGAGGCTGAGCCAGGTGGATCACCTGACATCAGGAGTTTGAGACCAGCCCGGCCAACATGGTGAAACCCTGTCTCTACCAAAAATATAAAAATTAGCTGGGCATGGTGGCACGCGCCTGTAATCCCAGCTACTCAGGAGGCTGAGGCATGAGAATCGCTTGAACCTGGGAGGCGGAGGTTGCAGTGAGCCGAGATTGCGCCATTGCACTCCAGCCTGGGCGACAAGGGTGAAACTCTGTCTCAAAAAAAAAAAAAAGAATGAGGTTGGATCCCTACCTCACACCACATTTGAAAAATTAACTCAAAGTGGATCAAAGACCTGAATGTAATAGCTGACACTATAAAACTATTAGAAAAAAACACAGGAGTAAATCTTCATGACTGTGGATTAGGCAATGGTTTCTTAGGGATGACATCAAAAGCACAAACAACAAAAGAAAAAAATAGATAAATTGAAAACTTTCGTGCTTCAAAAAAAAACTATCAAGAAAAAGAAAATATAATCCACAGAATGGGAGAAAGTATTTGCAAACATAAACATCTGATAAGCATCTAGTGTCCAGAATATATAAATACTCCTTTTTTTTTTTTGAGACAGAATCTCAGTCTGTCACCCAGGCTGGAGTGCAGTGGCACCATCTCAGCTCACTGCAACCTCCACCTCCCGGGTTCAAGCGATTCTTGTGCCTCAGCCTCCTGAGTAGCTGGGACAACAGCCCACCACCACACCTGGCTAATTTTTGTATTTTTGGTAGAGGCTGGGTTTCATCATGTTAGCTAGGCTGGTCTCAAACTCCTGGCCTCAAATGATCTGCCCTCCTCGGCCCCCCAAAGTGCTGGGATTACAGGCATGAGCCACCACCATGCCCGGCCTACTCAGAATATATAAATAATCTTACAACTCAATAATAAAAAGACAAATAACCCAACTTAAAAATTGGTCATTTTTAACACTCTGAAGACATTTCTACAAAGAAGATATAGAAATGGTCAATAAGCACATGAAAAAATGCTCGATATATCATTAGCCATCAGGGTAATGCAAATCAAAATCACAATGAGATACCATTTCATATATACTAGAGTGCTTATAAGAAGACAGATAATAACAAGTGGTGACAAGGATGCAGAGAAACTAGAACCCTCATAGACAAGTAGTGGAAATTTAAAGTGGTACAGCTGCTTTGGAAAACAGTCCAGCAGTTCCTCAATGAATAAACACAGAGATATCTTATGATATATATGGTACATAAGAAAAATGAAAACATATATCAATATAAAAACCTGTACACAAATATAGCAATACTGTTCATAATAGCTGAAAAGTGTAAACAACCCCAATTTCCATCAACTGATGAATGACAAATAAAATGTGATATATTTGTATAATGGAATATTATTAAGCAATAAAAAAGAATGGAGTATTGATACATGCTACAATGAGGATAAACCTTGAAAACATCATGTTAAATGGAAGAAGGGTCAGGTGCAGTGGCTCACGCCTGTAATCCCAGCACTTTGGGAGGCTAAGGCAGGCGGATCACCTCATGTCAGGAATTCGAGACCAGCCTGGCCAACATGGCCAAACCCCATCTCTACTAAAAATACGAAAATTAGCCAGGCATGGTGGTGGGTGCCTGTAGTCTCAGCTACTCAGGAGGCTGAGGCAGGAGAATCCCTTGATCCCAGGAGGTGGAGGTTGCAGTGAGCCGAGATCACGCCACTGCACTCCAGCCTGGCGACAGAGTGAAACTCCGTCTTAATAATAAATAAATAAATAAATAATAAAATAAATGGAAGAAGCCAGTCACAAAAGATTATATATTATATGATTCCATTTATGTGAAATGTCCACAGAGAGGCAAATCCATAGGGACAGAAAGGAAATTAGTGGTTGCCTAGGGCTAGAGGTGTGCGAGTGAAATGGGGATGACTGCTAAAGAGTACAAAATTTCCTTCTGAGGTGATGAAAATGTTCCAAAATTGATTAATGGTTAATGGTTGACTCAATTAATTAATTGAGTTAATGGTTGTGTAACTCTGTCAATACAGTAGTCCCCCCATATCTGCAGGGGACACATTCCAAGACCCCTAGTGGATGCCTTAAACCACAGAGAGTTCCGAACCCTAGATAAACTATGTTTTTCCTATACATACACACCTATGATAAAGTTTAATTTCTACATTAGGCACAGTAAGAGGCTCACAACAATAACTAATAATAAAATAGAACAATTACAACACCACACTATAATAAAAGTTATACAAATGTGGTCTGTCTCTCTCTCTCAAAATATCTTATTGTATTGTACTCACCTTTTCAAGCCTCAAGTTGACCACAGGTAACTAAAACCATAGAAGGAGAAACTTCAGATACACGGGGACTACCGTATACTAAAAACCACTGAACTGTACATTTTAAGGATTGAATTGTATGAGATGTGGATTATATTGCAATAAAGCTGTTATCCAAAAAAAGCCAATTCTAGAGGTTATATACTCTGATTTCATTCATATAATATTTTTGAAACAACAAAATTTTAGAAAGGACAGATCAGTGACTACCAAAAGTTGGGGAGTAGAGGAAGAAAGGGAGGTGAATGTGGTTATAAAAGAGTCCTTAAGGGGATTGAACTATTCAGTATTTTGACTGTAGTGGTGAATACACAAACCTACACATGTGATAAATTGTGCAGAACTACATACACATATACACACACACAAACAAGTACAAGCAAAACCAGAAAAGTCTGAATAAGATCTGTGGTTTGTATCAATGTGAATATCTTGACTGTGATATTATGCTATAGTTTTGCAACATGTTACCACTGCAGAAAATAGGGTGACTTGCACAGAGAATCTTTCTGTATTTTTTTTACAACTGCATGTGACTCTACATTTATCTTAGTAAGTCCATTAAAAAAACACACTAAGCCAGGCACGGTGGCTCACGCCTATAATCTTAGCACTTTGGAAGGCCGAGGCGGGTGGATCACCTGAGGTCAGGAGTTTGTGACCAGCCTGGCCAACCTGGTGAAACTCTGTCTCCAGTAAAAATACAAAAATTAGCCAGGCATGGTGGAGCATGCCTGTAATCCCAGCTACTCGGGAGGCTGAGGCAGGAGAAGAATCACTTGAACCCAGGAGGCGGAGGTTGCAGTGAACCAAGATCGCGCCACTGTGCTCCAGCCTGGGTGACAGAGCAAAACTCTGTCTCAAAAGGAAAAATAATAACAACAACAATACTAAAGTCACAAAAAGAAAAACCTATTGTGTTCTCAATTTCTCTTCTGATTAAACAAAAAAGACCCTCATCTGGCACAGGTGTACCATCCTCCAACAGCTGCTTTGCCCTTTTTAACAAGGAAGAGCAGACCTCAGGCTCAACACCCAGACAAGAGAAACCAGCTAGAATGTATAATATACTTGTATTTGATGGTATTTAGTTGCTTATTTTATCTAGATGTAGAATTAAGAACACAGATTCTGGAGTCAGCCAGTCAAGAGTTCCAATCCCATCTCTGCCACTTACTAGCTGTGTGCTCTTGGGCCAGTCACTTAACATCTCTGTACCTCAGTCACATCTAAAATGGGTACGACAAGAGCACCTACATCGTGGTAGTGTTGTAAGTTTTAAATCTATAAATATGGGTTTGTGTGTGTGTCTACACACAGATATGTTTAAGTGCCTGACACAAAGTAAAGTATTAGCTATCATTATCTTTACCATAACAAGGGTTGAGGAAAAATCACAATGTTTTAGAAAGGTTTACAAGCACAGGCCACGCTACCTCTCGAATGCGCCCCTCCATAGCCCTGGGCCCACCAGAGACTGAGGCCAGGGGTAGCTGCTGCACCCACCTGCGCATTTGGTGCGGCTGATGAGGGGTGGCCCAGGGCGGCCAGTGCCGCCGTCTCCGGGACGCGTGAGCAGCACGCTGATCTCATACTCTGTGTCGGGGTCGAGGTGCCACAGCTTGTAGGTCTGCAGGCTGACGGCGTGCACCTCAGCCCAGGGCCCGCGCGCCATGCGGTACTCAATCTCCTTGCGCACGATCGGCCCGTCGCCAATGATGGAGTTGGTGTTGAGCTGGATGATGAGGTAGGTGGGGCCAGCACGCAGCAGCTGTGGGGGCGCGATGGGAGTTGGGGGCTCTGCGAGGAGATGGGGGAGAGGCGAGGCGGACCGATGCTGCTGTGAGACCCCAGCACCCAACTCTGAGTTCCACCACACCCAAATCCCTCTCCGTCCTCCTAGGGCCTCTCACGCTGCTACCAAGCCCTCAACCAGACCCGCTCTCCTACCCCCACTAAATCCCGGGCCCTAAGGGGCACCTGGCTCCAAAGGCTGACCCCGCCCTCGCCCATCAGCCCACAACCCCTCTCTCAGGCCCCTCCTAATCCCCCACATCCTCGCCTCCTGGAGCGGACCGCAGGCCAGCTAGGATCAACACAGAAGTCACACAGCCAGAACCCCACCCCTCTTTAGGCTCTCACCTTGACCCTGTCCGTCCCCCTCGAAGCCAGCCCCGACCCCTAGATCAGATCTCATCCCGGCTGGGCCACTGCCATTTCCACAGGCCCATCTTCAGATAGCGCCCCAGCGACACCCTGCCGGCCCCACCCCCCACGGCCACGCCCCCGGGCAGAGCCCGCCCCCGTCGCCGGCCCCGCCCCTCGAGGGTGAGGTCCCGGCGCTCCCCGGCGTCCACCAGCTGACCCTTGACGATGAGCTCCGCGAAGTTAGAGACGCCCGCGCCGCGCGGGGCCTGGGACACACAGCGGTACAGGTCCTGCTCGGCGCGGCTCACGGCAGCCAGCGGGAAAGTGGCCAGGAAGCGCCGGTGGCTGATGTGCCGCACGCCCGCCGCCGGCACCAGCGCCCCGCTCTGCCGCTGCAGGGAAGAGAGTGAGGGGGTCAGGGGCGCCTCGGAGCGAGGGGTCCCGATCTCGCTCTGACCCGGGCCCCATTTAGCCGTCCCTACTACACCGCGCGGACATAGGTTCCTGGAGCCGCGCTCTAACCTGGGGGAATGGGGGACCCAAGAAAGCGCAGAGCAGAGCTAGGGGAGGGCCGGGACGCTGTGCGCAGTGCTGGAGTATGAAGCAGGGACTCAGCAATCTGGGGGGAGTCAGGGCCAGAAGCAGCCACCAACCCCCTCCCACCCCGCCCCCAGCCAAGATCACCGCTCCCGCTCACTTGCAAGAGGAAGCGTTCGGCCTCGGCCGCTCTGCCCGCGGCCATGCACTGGAACGACGCGTTCTGGCCCGCGTTGACCTCCACGTCGCCCAGGCGGGAGAAGTGTGGGGCCTTTGCTGCGGGGTTAGAGCTGCATCGTGAGCTGGGCCTGCACCCCCTGCAGGCAGGAGCCGCGGCCGCCCACACCCCTTACCCCTGCGCCCCCAGTGGGCTGGGACTCACCGCAGGGGTAGCTGAGAAGCAGGATGTCATCTAGGCCCATGTAGCCCCTGCGGTCTGGGGAGATGAGGGCCTCAAACAGCACCTGGGGGAGGCGGGAGGGCCCCTATCATACTGATATTCCTCCAGCCTTGCCTGGGGAGGTGCCCACTTTCAGCTCGGCCTCAGCCTCCTCTGCCTCAACTAGCAGAGGTCAGCCCAGCTCACACTGACCCTCCCTCCCAAGCCAGCTAGTTGGGGGTGGGGTCCCAGCGCCCATAGTGAACAAGGTGGAGGCCAGTTTCCACCCAAATCCTGGACAGTTACCCTCAAGCAGCCAGACAGAGTTTCCAGGTCAGCACTGTTCCAACTCACCCTTGACCTGGGCCAGAGGCTATTCCTAGGAACAATGACCTCAGATGCTGAACCCAGACTGGCCCCAGACTGACCCCTGGCCTTGACCACAGGTTGCCTCTGATACTGAATGCAGACACATTCTAACTTCAGCCACTCATCTACTCCAACCTCAATTTGACATCCATCTGCCCCACCTCCAGGCACAGGCTGACCGCTGACTGAACCCAGCCCACCTGATATTCATTGGGCCAGAAAGTGCTGACAGCCAGCTCAGCCTGGTGCCACTGACGGCCGTGGGATCCAGTCATATTCCACACAGCACTGCCCAGGGGGCCCCCATTAACGCGCACGTAGACGCCCAGGGTGCCCGGGCTGTGCCCGTCCCGGCTGTACAGGAAGTAGCTGAACTGCACACAGTGGGTATCATTCTCGCTCAGGCTCTGGAAGATGACATGGGCTCGCTGGCCTGGGGCATGCTGGGAAGTGTTGACCATCAAGTAGGAGCCTGGAAAGAGAGGAGGAAGAGGCAGGAGATGAGGAGACCTCAGGGGAGGGACAGGGCCAGGGCAAGGGGAGCACTGAGGAGGACTCCAGGCAACGGGACCCACCAGGAGTCAGGGATTCTGAGTTCTGGCCCCAGCTCCACCTCCCTGGGTGAGTCCCTTCACTTCCTAGCATCTGTTTCCCACAGGAGACCTGGAGCAGTAAAAAACACACAAACCTGACTTTGTCAAAACCATTTAAAGGCTGGGCGCGGTGGCTCACGCCTATAATCCCAACACTTTGAGAGGCTGAGGTGGGTGAATCACCTGAGGTCAGCAGTTCGAGACCAGCCTGACCAATATGGTAAAACCCTGTCTCTACTAAAAAAACAAAAATTAGCAGGGTGTGGTAGCATGTGCCTGTAGTCCCAGCTACTCGGGAGGCTGAAACAGGAGAATTGCTTGAACCTGGGAGGCAGAGGTTGCAGTGAGCCAAGATCACGCCACTGCACTCCAGCCTGGGTGACAGAGCAAGACTCGGTCTCAAAAAGAAAAAAAAAATTATGGCTCCTTACAATCTACAGGTCACAATGCCCATGCCCAGCCTAACCACAGCTTTCCCCATGTTCTGAGCTATCCCTGGAGACAGGGACTAGGTCATTCATCCCTGGAGTCAAGAGCTTGGCACACAACAGTCCCTCAAAGGCCACCCCTTCCAAAGCCCTCCCTCTGCCTCCCACCCTGGGCTTCTCTCCTGCCCCCTGGGTCATTACTAAAGTGCCTGTGTGTCTCCCACCAGGCTGTGAGGCCTCAGGACGCAAGCTGAATGAATATGTAGAACAGAGATTGAATGAAAGGATTCCAACTTCCCTTCCAGCCCCCATCCCTGAGTCTAAATTCCTGGAATACAAATCCCCTTGACTTCCAACCTGGAGAAAGGCAGCCTGTCCCTTCCCCAGAGACCCAGGCTGGGTACTGGTGGAGTAGAAGTGGACTAGGCTGGCTCAGGACCTGGCGGGGGGATTTGGGCTTCCCAAAGGGCACCCGAAACCACCCAGCGCTGCCTCCTCCCGGGCTTGGCTGCCAGCCAACACAAGCTCACTCAGATCCCCGCTCCAGGAGGGCTCCCCAGGGACTCTGCTGGAGGCGATCTCATTCATCTCTGTAAGCTAGAAGCCCTATGGAGGCGGCTCCTGGATCAGTCCCAGCAGGGCAGTAGTAAACTAAACTCAAGTCCCCATCCCCACCCAGGAAGGGGCACTTCTCAACCCCCAACACACTCCCTCTTGGCCCACTCATGCTACTTCTCTCTCCTCTCCCTGCGAGCAGCTGTGTGCATCTTTCTCCCTCTTCCAATCTGACACTTTGTTCTTTCCTCCTCCTCCTGCTCCCTCTGCCTCCTCCTCGGCTCACTACATCCCTCCCCTTCTCTTTCATTTACTCCCTTTGTCCCTGTCGCTCTTCCTTCTCCTCTCTCCATCTCTGAGTGTGAATCTCCCTCCTTTCTTCTCCCTCCACCACCAGCTCCCATTCCTAGAATGTGAGAACCAGGAGGACAAAGACTGTCCATCTGGCTCACCACCACATCCTCAAGACCTAGCACAAGGCTCACACTAATTGCTAAATTCCCCTCTCCCCTTTCTCACTGGGTATGTCTCTGCTTGCACGTGACAAGAGAGGCAGTGTGCACTCAGGGTGGTCAGTACTATAAGAGGTGAATTCCAATCAGCTGCCTTGTACCTGACTGCCAACCATGTATCAGACTGAGGCTGGGCCCTGGGAATATGGAGAGGCCCACACGAGGTCCCTGCCATGGTGGGTACCTTTACAGATTATTTTCAGAGAAGGCAAACTGTGATACCCACTAACACCTGCAGAGGCAGAGATAAGTGCCCCAGGAAGGGCACAGTGTGAGCAAATGCACAGAAGGGGAGGCGGGGCAAGCCATGAGAGTCCGCAGGAGGCGCCTGTGCCAGGTCATGAAGGTCTTCTCTCCTAGTGGCTTCAAGTCCTGGCCCCACCACTGAGAATCTTTGCTGCCCCTCCCTGACAACAGATGCAATCTCAGCCATGACGTGAGCTAGGCAGTAAACACCCTGGGCACTAGTGTGATGGGGCAAAGGGAGTGGGCTTCAGGCTGTGGAATTTCAGGATTCACTCGGAAAGCCCATTTGATTTGTCCTCTGACACAGCCCTTATCAGTAATAAAGTTGACAATTTGGCCTTTATTTGTCTCATTCTTTTTTAATTCCCAGTTGATCCTGCATCCAGTGAAGAGCAGTACTAGTAATCAGGGCCCCCAAAGACCCTCAACCATAGCAATTAAATAACTGACCCCTGCATGCCACCCCTGTGCTCTGTACTTTATATGCATCATCTCATGACCCTCTGAAATGGAGTCCTGTTTGCCTCATTTTACAGTGAAGACAATGGAGGCTCAGATACGTTAAGTGACACTGCTGGTAAAGTGACTGGAGACAGGGTTTGAGCCCAGGTCTTCGTGACTCTGGAATGAGTGTTCTAGGGGCCATGATGAAAGCAGGAAGTCAGTACTAGAATCCATATTATTAGTCTCCTGACTCCCAGTCCAGAGCTCAGGATGACAAAGGTGCCCCATCTTGAAATAGGAACACAGCAAGGTAGAAGTCGAGAAGAATCTGGGACTTCCAGGAGGAAGAGGGCAGAGGAAGGAAGGTTTTATACACATCTAGTCCCAGTGTTACTGCTCTTTCAGCATCTTCAAGTCCTGGAGAGACCAGGATTCAGGGGCTCTTTGGGAGAAAAGAATCTCTGAAGAGAGCCTCTCAAAGATGGAGGATTTAGGAAGAACTGAGAGTGGGAGTGGTTTGGATCCTGAGCTAGGCAGCAAGGGGAGTAATTGGAAGTGAGTTTTAGCTCACAGCCATGAGGGCCTGCACTCATTTTACACACGAAACTAGCTGACATGCACAATTAGACAGTGTCCAGAGAAAGCCACATTCAGTGTCACGTATGTCATTAAAGATGCAAATGTAGATGGGGCCCAGAGAGGTTAAGTAATGTGCCCAAGGTCACACAGCAGGTGGGTAGAAGTGCCTCTGGAAGGAGAAGAAGGGGTAATGGCGATGGAGAGTAGACTTACCGTGGGGCAGGTCCGCAGGTGCCCGGGTGCCAGGGTGGATTCGCACTTGCTCCCACTGGAAGTCATCGTACTGGGCCTGGCTGTACTCGCAGGGCACTGCTGGGTCACTTGCCTCCTCGAAGGTGCAGCCAGCTGTGAGAGCAGGGCCTGGTTAGCCCAGGCTAAGGCAGGGCTGCTGGCCAGGAGGGCTCCTGGAGGGTAGCCCCACTCTCCCTTCTACCCAGGCCCACCTGCCCTCCTCCCTCTCTTCAGGCCCTTCCCCACACTGCTCCCTCCCTCTAGTGAAATTCTCCCTCCTCCACCCTCTCCCTCTACCAAGGTCCCCTCCCAATACCAAGATGTCCCTACACTGCCAACTCCCCCAGTACTTCCCAGGACCCCCCAACCACCACTGGCTCAGTCATCCATCAAAGACCCTCCTCAAAAACTAGTTATCAGGATTGCTATATTATTGGAACTTCACAACAACCCATAAGATCAGGAATAGAATCATCTCCACTTTGTGGATAAGGAAACTGAGACCCCAAAAGGCTGAGTGACTTCATTAGGGTCACGCAGGTCACTGGTGATGGAGGTGGGGTTTGAACTGAGATCTCCGGATTGTTACTCAGTGTTCTGTCACCTGCCCCTCTATCTTCCCATAGAGGACAGACAGTGGGCCCTGGGCCTGGCAGGACCATGCATGCCATAATCCAGCCCAATGAGATCTCCTTTAAAAACAACAGTTGCCGCCAATCCACTCAAGCCGGGCACAATGCTAAATGGCGTAAGTACAGAGCCTCGTTCAGGCCACGCGTTCTGAGTCAGGCACCACTATTTTTCCTACTTGACAGATGTCAATGGAATTCAGTCATTGCCCAAAGTCGGCCAAATTAGGTCTCTGCCTGCAGGAATGTGACATGCAAAAGCACAGTCATGTGTGGACTAGGCACATGTATGACTGACTAGATGAAGCAACTTCCCATGATTTGCAACCAGTACTAACAGTTGAAATGAGAAAGAGGGGAGGAAGTGAGGATTGAAATACATGTGAGTCCTTTGGTTGGTAATGAGGTCCATATATCTTAGTGAGTTCATCAAAGGCCTGAGCTGGTTGCCTGATAAACCTGAGAACACTATTGGTTCAGAAAGGAATTGCAAGCTTCTCCCTGGCACTCACTCCCAAACCTTAGTGTTTGGAGCCCCATCAGGAGCCTGAGGCATCAGAAACCCAGGAAAATGCCCAAGCAAGTGGCGAGGAAGCAAGCGCAAACCATGCCAGACCCTGTCCTGGGTACCTGCCAGCCACTGGTACTCCTCCCGATTTGACAGATGATGTGACTGAGGATCTGAGGAGTGAAGGGATTTGTCCACAGCACCACGTGGTGGATCAATGAGTGGGCTTTGGCATCACAGACTTGGGATCAAATCTTGACTGCAATTTGCCAAACCTTGTGACCAGGGGCAGGTGGCTTCTCTTTCTGAGCCTCTGTTTCCCTATCTGCACATAGGCTTGTTGAGGATTTGATGTAGTAGCCCACTTAGCACAACGCCTAGCATACTTAAGCACTCAGGAAATAGCAGCTCTTATGTGTACCATGCAAGTCTACTAGGGAACAGAGGTGGGATTTGAATCCATGTGGGTCAGATGATGAAGTCCAAGCTTCCCACCAAAAGAGGTTTCGATACCAGAAGGAGCAGACCTGAGCTGCTTCCCAATCTCAAGAAGAAGAGGGAGAGGTATAGATAGTTGTGATATTTACATATATTTGGTTAGTGCAAAAGTAATTGCAGTTTTTGCCATTTTTTTAAAGTAATGGCAAAAACAGCAATTACTTTTGCACAACATAATACATATTTATTTATATATATAAAACCCTTTGTACAGTCTTATGTTATAATGTTGGACACTTTAGGCCTCAGAAACAGGCCTCAGGAAACAAAATTTCTCTCTGACCTATTCCTGTCCTCCTTTCACCTGTCCAAGGCAGGGCTCTAATCTAATCATGGGTCATTCCAGAGAGGGTCCTGCCCCATACCCTAGAGGAAGGAATGCCACGGAAAGGCCAAGTAAAGTCTAAGCAGACAGGCCTTGCTGGGTTTAGATCAGGTGTTTTATGTGCAATCACATTTGTCCATCATGCTTATGTAAGGAAACCTCCGTAAATACCCAAAAGGACAGGGTTCGGAGAGCTTCCAGACAGCTGAACACATGGAGCTTCTTGGAGGATGGTGGGTCCAGAAAGGGCAAGGAAGCTCCATGTCCCTTCTCCCATACCTCACCCTATGCATCTCTTCATCTGTATCCTTTGCAATATCCTTTATAATTAACCAGTTAATGTGTTTCCCTGAGTTCTGTGAGCTGCTCCAGCAAATTAATCAAACTCAAAGAGGGGGTCGTGGGAACCCCAACCTGCAGCGGGTCGGCCAGAAGTTCTGGAGGCCCAGACTTGCGACTGGTGTCTGGAGGAGGAGGCAGTCATGGGGACTGAGCCCTCAACCCATGGGATCTGACTCTTGTGCTAGAACTGAATTGGAGGACACCCACCTGGTGTCTGCTACAGAATTAATTGCTTGCTTGGTGGTGGGGAGAAGCCCCCACACATTTGGTCACAGAGGCCTCCTGTGTTGATGACTGCTGCTGTGGTGGTGGGAGGGCAGAGGAAAAACACCGTTTGAGAGAGCTTTTCCCAAACAACAGCACCTGGGGAGTGAGTGCTATGTCACAGGCCCAGTGCTAGGCATCTTCACACGCAGCAAGCGACTTCACTTTTAGGAGGCTCTACTGTTTCATCTGCAGCTGCAACTCCTCTAGGCGGTGATGCGGATGATGTGAAGTAGCACATGAAAAACACACCCAGGCCAGGCGCGGTGGCTCACACCTGTAATCCCAACACTTTGGGAGGCCGAGGCAGGCAGATCGCCTGAGGTCAGGAGTTCAAGACCAGCCTGGCCAACATGATGAAACCCCATCTCTACTAAAAATTAAAAAATTAGCTGGGTGTGGTGGCGCATGCCTATAGTCCCAGCTACTTGGGAGGCAGAAATAGAAGAATCACTTGAACCCAGCAGGCAGAGGTTGCAGTGAGCTGAGATGGTACCCCTGCACTCCAGCCAGGGTGACAGAGTGTGACTCTGTCTCAAAAAAAAAAAAAAGAAAGAAAAAAGAAAAACACACCCAGAAGAGCCAGGCACAAAGGGGCTCCTCACTGCTGGGGGCTCCCGGTCTTCTCCTGAAATGGTGAGATGTGGGTGTGAGGATGGCACCAAGCAGTTGGGATGAAGTAACAGAAGACTCTTTCCAGAGCTGAGGCAGGACCTTGGCTGAGCTCTTTGGCTCTTTGTTTGAAAATCCCTGGTCAGCATCATACCCTATTGCCTGTAGGAGGTGGGTATTAACCCCATCTGTACCTGGAGGGCCTCAGCTTCCCCTGTAGAAAAAGACCCACAGTGCAGCAGAGAGAAAGAACATGGCAAGTACAGAGAGAGAGCATGGTGGTCAGGGAGGACTTCCTGGAGGAGGAGGCCAGCTGACTTCAGCTTGAGCTGGGCCTGCCCTAAGGCTCTTAGCCAAGGCCTCCTTGAGGTAGAGGGGTTGCCAGAAAGGGAAGCCCAGGATCTAAAGCCCTGGATGGGGTTCAGGCCTTTCCTGTTCCTTCACAAGTAACAAAGCCGCTGCCCTGATGTCTCACTCACCACCCTGGGGAGAGCCTGGGAGTGCCAGCCCCTTGGCTTCCTCTTGTTCATCCTGAGCCAGGCCACACGAACGGCCAGGACTCCCAGACTGACTAACCTGGTCAGAGTGACACCCAGACCACCTGACCTCAGTCACAGGAGCCCCCAGATAGACTGACAACAGTCCTATGATCCCCAGCCAGACTGATCCAAGTTGGTGACCCCCAAATAGGCCGACCTCAGCCAGCCTGGCTCCCAGCTGACTGTCCCTGTTGAAAGTGGCCTCTGCCTCATACAGATGACCCCCAGACTATCTCACTTCGGCCAGAATAACCATCAGACTGACTGACCCCAGACCTGCACACCCCAGCCACAGTGACCCCTGACCTCTGCCAAATGACCCCTACAACTGACCCCGGCCAAGGTGACCTCCAAGGAGTCACTCTGGATGGGCTGACTGACTGACCGCATCCAGAGTGATTCCTTTTTTTTTTTTCTTTTGAGATAGAGTCTCATTCTGTTGCCCAGGCTGAAGTGCAGTAGCATGATCTCGCTCACTGCAACCTCCAGCTCCCAGGTTCAAGCTATTCTCGTGCCTCAGCCTGCAAAGTAGCTGGAATTATAGGCACGTGCCACCATACCCAGCTTGTTTTTGTATTTTTAGTAGAGATGGGGATGTCACCATGCTGGCCAGGCTGGTCTCAAACTTCTGGCCTCAAGTGGTGCCTCCACCTTGGCCTCCCAAAGTGCTGGGATTACAGGCATGAGCCACTGTACCCAGCCTCAGAGTGATTCCTTAACCAGATTCACTCCCTCTCCCTGACCCATGTCCGTCTCTAGACCTGTGTCTCTGGGCCAGACCCAGTTCTAGCTCCAGCTCATAGTGGGTAACATCTCTGGGGACAGGCTCCCTAAGGAGAGCCCCACCCTCACCCCTTCCCCTGGTCCCTTGAGATGGGAATGGTCAGCTAGGAGCCAAAAGCCCCAAAGCCAAGTCCCAGCTCTGCTAGAGACTCAACTCCTGCTGGAGGCCACTAAATCCGACTTTGAGTTCAGAGCAAGAATGGTAGCAAGGAATCCTTCTTGACTCCATCAACACAGACATGGGCACAGACATGCACATATACACATCAATACCTCTATGAAGGGGCTGTGAATTACCACCATGACCACCTGAGCCGGTGAATCCTCAGCAACTCAGAAGGTAGGTAGTATTATTTTTGTCTTATTGTTAGTTTATTAGGTACTATTATTATTCCTAATTTACAGATTAAAACAGGCTCAGAGAGATACAGCTGCTTACTCAAGGCCATGCAGCTACAATGTGCAGAAGCTCAGACTTAAACCTCCTATCTTTATTCCAGGAGACTGGGCACAAACAAAACAAAGCCTGCCCTTCTGCTGGCCATAAGTGTTAATTCAGCTTCATTCACAGGGGATTTTTCCCTGCCAGTACAAAGCAGGTCCCAGGCTGGCACTATTAGAGGTACAAGGATGATGAAGACTCTGCCCTGCCCTCAGGGACCTCCTAGTCCCAGTGAGGGTGAGGAAGAGGGAATGAGGGAATAAGGGAAGAGTCAAGGCCACAAGAGGGGGTCCAGGGGAGGGGGCCAGGTAGAGGGGAAAGGCCTCCTGGAAGAGGCGGCATCTAAGCAGAGCCAAGAAGGATAGGTAGAGATGGGTGGAAGGATTTGTGGCAAAAGACCCAGGGGAGCAAAGCAAGGTGGTCAATAAACACAGTTTGTCCAGGGCACAGAAAGGAGCCCAGGTTGGCTAAAGCCATGGGAGCTATGACTGGAGGGAAGGGAGGTTGAGGCCAATCATGGAGGACCCTGAACGCCAGGGTGAGGAGCTGGGCCTCATTTTGAATTGAGAAGCCACAGTAGGTGTTTGAGTAGGAAAGTTTATCTCATCCTGGATTCAGATGAGATAAATGATATATCCTATAAGCCATGAGTAGGGCAGGTGGTGTCTCCAGAGAGCACAGCAGGATCCAGAGGGATCTTGGGACCAAGCCACCAAGGGGTCCAGAGTCAGATGTCAGAAACTGGTGAGGACAGGGGCCTCAAGTCCCCTTCCAGGATGTAAACGGCACACCCTCCAATCACACTCAGAGAGGTGCACAGCACACAACACACATATGCCCTGAGCCCCGCGCTCAGTGTTCACACACACTCCCTTTCTGCAGCCTGGGCCAAGCCTGGGGATGCAGCCTCAGACTGGGAACAGGGAGAATGCCTGCCCTTGGGCACCCCATCTCTACAGAGGCCTCCCTGAGAGGGTGAATTGAATCAACCCAAGACCCCCAAGGGCTCCCCCAGCCTCAGTTCAAACTGGCCCAGCTACATTCCTCAGCTAATCTCCCCAGTCTGGCAGGCGGTTGCCTGAGCAACCGTCAGCCACAATTTGGGAAGGCAGGGGGATGGTTTAGCCACATCCGGCTGGGCTCAGGATGGGGTGATGTAAGGGGCAGAGCTGCCTCTGGAGGAGTGTGGGAGGGGTCTCCCTGGTGGGAGGGGCTCCACACCTCCCCATGCATGTGTCCACATGCAGGTGTGCGTGTGAGTGTGTGCAGGTGTGCGTGTGTGTGTGTGCACACGTGCACTCATGGCTCTAAGATGACAGGACAGCCTGGTACTGAGTTTCAAGTATTCAAATGGGAGGCGGAAGACCGGGATCTTTTTCCCACTGAGCCTCTAAGTCCCTTTGTGACTTTGGGCAGGTGACTTGCCCTCTCTGAATCCTTACCTCCTCACCTGTAAAATGAGAGTGGGGACCGCTAAGGTCAGATGACCGGTTGCAGTTGCGTGAGTGTGCACGTGAGCAAGAGTCATCTTGGGGCAGAGGTGCATGAGGGTGGGCATGGGTGTCGGAAAGGGGAGGTCTCCCGGGCAGGCGCTGTGAAGCCGTGGGTGTATAGACGTGCATTTACAAGCAAAGGTACAGGGCATATTTAGTGGTAAGCCTGCACCTAAGGGGGAGGTGGGTGTGTGCAGTAAGGTAGATGGGAGTTGTGCATACGTGTATGTGTCAGTGTGAACACAAGCACTGTGCACCAGACTTTCCTCACACCAGACAGGGAACAGCACTCCATGCCCAATGCGGCTGCAGCTGCAACCAGTATTTTCTGAAGACACCTGGCAAACAGAGCCTGTTTGCAATGAGACTTTTCTGCCCTTTGGTTTGTCAATAGAACATCCAATTCCCAAGAGTGGTCCCAGGAGAAGCAAAACTTTTCCCAACAGGTTGCACATTTAGGGGCTGGGATTTCACCCAAGCCCAGGTACATGCCCAGTTGTGGGTGGGGGAATTCAAATACAACCCCAACAACAATACTGGACTATTTCATCATCCAAGGTTGTACCCCTATTCTCAGCAGCCCAGCCCAAGCCTGGAACCAACACTGGACTCACCCCTGACTTTCTTGCCTAACCCAGCCCCATCCTGGGTTCTCCACCCCAGCTACAGCTCCATCTCAGGCCTGTCTAATCCCTACCTCCTCCCTGCCTGAGGTCAAGGACCACGTCTCATGCATTTGAACCCCATCCCAAGCCCTGTGTATAGCCAACAGTGCCTGGACTTATTGACCCCATGATCCCAGCTAGTCTGACCCTCACCAACCACACCCAGCTCTAGGACCATGACTCCAGCCCAGAGGCCCGGCCCAGCCCACCTTGCTACTCTCCTTGCCCAAGTCAACTCATCTAGACCTAAGCTGAGGCTCCCAGAGCTGCCCGAAGAGCCCTGACAAACTGATGGGTCATTAATTGTAGTCAGGGCTGGGAGCAGTATGCCCATTTTCTAATCACCCAGGAGTCACCATAGCTGCAACCAGAAAGATCGCCCAGGGCTGGGCCACAGGGAAAGTTGAGCTAGCACCACCCACAGAGCCAACACACAGCCTGACAATGCCAACATCTTGCCATCTCCACGGAGAATGGAAGGAAACCAAGTACAGCAGGGGACCTTATGCCAGGCCCACTCCCCATCTCCCTGATCAATATGTGCTGCAAATCCCAGAGTTAGCAGTAGAGCTGCCACACTGGCAGTATGAGGGGAAGGCACAGGCCAGGGCTGGATGCCAGACAGAGGAAAAGGGCCGAATGGAGGACTATGTTGTGCAGTGGTGCAGTGGTGCAAAGAGTTCACAGATCTGCCCCACAGACACCCTGCGACATACGAAGACAGAGTATAGAGTAGAGGGGCATGGGGCTGTGCACAAACCCGAGCAGTGTGACGATCTGTACTTCATAAAGGTCCATGGAGAGAGGCCTCTGCTGTGCCACAGTGCAGTGTGTGGAGGGTGCAGTACAGCAGCTTTGCAGTGTAGAGACAGAATACTGTTATACAATGCAGGGAGCAGAGCCCACAGTGTGCACAGGCCTCATTACAGACATCTGGTACAGCATGGCAGAACTGGCCAGGGCCATGATGCACCATGGAAGTGCCACATCCATCATGGGCATGACCCAGAGCTGCACAAGGCACACCGCGCCACTGCAGTGCATTTAGTGGTACACTGGGCTGGCACCCAGTGCTACGTGATAGGTGTATGGAGGAATGCCAAGATGGTAAGTTTAAGCCTTACTAGTTCAAGCTTCATGCATTCTCAGGGGAAGGGTGTGTGCCCTGCATAGACATGCAGCACAGGCACACAGAACAACAGAGAGATAAGGGGATGGGAAAGGGGCAGTGAGTGAAGAAGAAACTGCAGGGTGCGGCAACCCAGCCTAGCATATAAGCCCAATAAATACAGTCCTGAGGAACAGAGTATGTGCAGACTCGAGGCATGGGTAGGAAGTGGCACAAAATGGAGTACAATTAAGATGCTGTGTGGAGCTGGGCGCAGTAGCTCATGCCCGTAATCCCAGCACTTTGAGAGGCCGAGGCAGGTGGATCATTTGAGGTCAGAGGTTTGAGACCAGCCTGGCCAACATGGTGAAACCTCGTCTCCAGTAAAAATACAAAAATTAGCTGGGTTTGGTGGCACATGCCTGTAATCCCAGCTACTCAGGAGGCGGAGGCAGGAGAATCACTTGAACCCAGGGGGCGGAGGTGGCAGTGAGCCCAGACCGCTCCATTGCACTCCAGCCTGGCCAACAGAGTGAGATTCCATCTTAAAAAAAAAAAAATAGATGCTGTGTGGAACCAGTGGATTCAACGCAAGGGCTCTGGGTCCCGCAATCCGGTAGAGTGCACACAACCCAACAGTGAACAGGTTCGTTGCAGGGTAGAGGCCCTGGGCAGTAATCCTGTGCAGTGCACGAATGCAATGTCAGATACTGTGCAGTGGTGCTGCCTTTGCAAACCTAAGCCAGTCCTGAAGCCCAAGAAAGTGGTCCCAAGCTGTACTATAGATATAGACTCCCTGAGTCATGTGCAACGTGGGGCAGTGAGGACACTCAATGCAAAGATGTTGTTCACGTAGGGCTGACAACAAAAACCTGGAAAAGGACGCCAGCCTACAGATACCATGGTGGTAGGAGCGTGAAAGGCCAGGACACCATAGGGGCAGCGTTTCAGCAGCAGTGGTGCAGTGCAAGGGCTGGGCCATGAGGCACATATCCAGTGCAGCAAAGCAGTGCACATGCACAGAAGTGCTATATGGGGCAAAGTGCACTGTTGGTACAATGCAACTGTGGAATGCAGAGGGGCCATGCCCAGAAACTCAGGAAAAGTTCACAGTCCTGATGCAATACTGACGTCCATGCAATAGTGCAGTGCAGTACAGAGATGCTGTGTGATGCCAAGATGCAATGTTGTGGTAGCATGCCATCTGTTGGCACGGTGCAGTGCTGCAATGCGAGGAGCTATGCCCAAACCCCAAAAGAGTCCATGTGCCCAATGCAATGTAGACTGCCTGGTGAGGCAATGGGGTGCAGAATATAAATGCTCTATGACACAAACATGCAATGTGGCCACAGAAAACCATGTGTTGATCTCAGACAGTGGTGCAGTGTGAGCAGCTCCGCCCAGAAACCCAGGAGAATTCACCTTCCCAATGCAACACTGACATCCAGCAGAGTGACACAGTATACAAGAGAGCAGCAAAGACACACACATGGCAGGACCATGGCAGGATCATGGCAGGATGGAGGCACGGTCCAATGGGACAATGCAGAGGCAGAGCATGCAGAAACTCAGGAGAACGCACACCCTCAATGCAATGCAGCAATCCCAGTGAAGTAGAGGGCTGAGACACAGGGCTGTGCAAGGAGGCTGGACCCAGGAATCCCAGACAGTGCACATCCAGAGCAGTCCAGAGCCTGGCACGCTGCAACAGTGTTGCTGGGAGGGTCATGATGCCTCCCTGTGATGCACTGGAGGAGAGGGGAGCTCAGATCCCTGGAAAACTCTCTACCTACAGCTCTGCCCGGCCACGCTGGCTCACCCCACAAGTTGGGGGCCGAAATCTCATCTGGCTTGTCTCCCTCCCTCCAACATCTTCCACCCCAGTGACTCTCCAAGGGCAAAGGCTGAAGCCACTGCCACCCACAGGATAGGCCATCTAGAATCGAGCACATTGTCCAGGTATTATAACTGAGCAGAATCCCAGCATGCTGGCAGGAAAACAATGAATTCAAATTCTGCTGGTAAAGCTCTCAGACAATTAAAGTACAGCCCCTGGCCCCCAGCCCAGGGCAGGACAGAGGAGAGATAGAGAGAAAGACCTATTATTGGATAAGGCCCTGGGACAGGGTGAGCAGGAAGTAGGATGAACAAGAGGTTAGGATGTCAGAGAAGAGCCAGACTCAATCAACCTGGCTAGGCACTCCCCAACCACCACCCCCGTCCCCACCACTATTACTCCCTCCCAGGCCTGGACTTCATCAGAAACCAAGAACAAACTTTTCTGGGCACACAGGATGACCGCACGCATGCAAATACACACATCATAACAGTGATCACTTACACAGTGCTTACTATGTGCAGGACCTGTTCTAACCTACATAATCATAACCATAAAACATATCCTCATGACAAACGCATGCAGTGTGTCCTATTATTATCCCCATTCCACAAATGAGAACTCTAAGGGCCCAGAGAGGTCAGTAACTTACCAAAGTATCACACAGCTAGAAGTGGTGGGCTTAGGATTAGAACCCAGATGGTCTGGGCCCTGAACCCATGCTCTTAACCACCACACGCTAGACAAACACATATTGACAGGCATGCCCAGCCACAAGTCCACATGCACGCTCCTGTAAACACACATACATACACATTCTAAGCAATGTATTTCCCACTCTCAGCTGAGACTCACCTGTCCTATCCACTAGGTTTCTGATAGCTCCCAGTTGTCACCTCTTATCTCCACCTCTTATCTTATCACCCACATCTCCTTGTTCTATCATCCACCTGTCCCCCAACCCTCAGTTGTTCCCCCAATACCGCCTGTCCCTTCACTGTCAGCTGTCCCATCCCCCAGGTATATCTTTCCCACCAGCTATCTTCTATCCGCCAGTGGTCCCCCAGGCCTCAGCTGTCACCCACCACAGTGGACATCTGACAGTGTGCTGCGGTTTTCCGTCTCCTTTTTCCACTAGTCTGGGAGCCCCCGGGGGCTGAGCTGTCACCCCACCCCTAGCTTTAATCTTGCCCTGTCAAATATCCTCAGCATCTCCCCTTCCTAACAGCCCCATCTCAATCTTTCTCCCCAGCTTCTGCCCTCAAACTCCCAAGCCTCAGCGGCCCTCCAAGCCCCCTTTCTCCTTGTCCCTTCTGAGTCATCACAAGGTCTTGTGGTTTGCATCTTGGGAATCTGCCCAAGACCTCCTGCGTCATCTGGAAGCAGCATCTTCTGAGCTGTCCCCCTCAGGGGTCCTCCCACAGTCATTCTGCAGGAAATGGCAGCCCCCAACCCAGAGCCAGAGGAGGAGGCATAGCCAGCCCACCCATGACTGTGCTGCAGAACCCCAGCTCCTGCATTCACCCCTCCAAGCCTTCCCTGTGCACCCAGAGGCATCGAGATGCAGCCACTTAGTGGGCATCTCCCACGTATAGGCCCTGGGGACCACAGATGACAAAGACACAGCTCAGCCCCTGGGGGCTCCCAGCCTAGTGGAAAAAGGAGATGGAAAACCGCAGCACATTGTCAGACGTCCACTATGGGAGAAATTTCACCAACTGCACCGGGAGAGGGCTGGGAAGGCTTCGCTGCATCAGTGACAATGGAGCTGAACTGTGAAGGCTGAACAAGTAGGTAGATCCCCCACCCCCACCACGAGGTGAGAAGTAGGGAGGGGCACAGTGTGTGCAAAGGTAGAGAGGTGTGAACTGGCATGGCAGGCTCCTGGATCAGCAATTTGCCTGGTGATTTGGAGCAGACAGCGGATAGGCAGGAGTGGGATCAGGGAAGAAAGGCATCATGTGAAGCTGCTTCAGAAAGAAAGGGCTGGTCATGCAGGGCCTCATGTGCTATGCTAGGGTTTGGGTTTTGTCCCCTGAGTTCTGGGGAGCCTTCAGCTTGGGACAAAGGAGTGGCAGCATCCTATGTCTGCCTTAGAAGCTTATTCCAGCCACAGGGTGGTGGAAGCATTAGAAACCAAAAGCCTGGGCCGGGCCCGGGGGCTCATGCCTCTAATCCCAGTACTTTGGGAGGCCGAGTCAGGCAGGTCATGAGGTCAGGAGATGGAGACCATCCTGGCTAACACAGTGAAACCCCGTCTTTATTAAAAATACAAAAAATTAGCCGAGCGTGGTGGCACGCGCCTGTAGTCCCAGCTACTTGGGAGGCTGAGGCTGAAGAATTGCTTGAACCCAGGAGGCAGAGGTTGCAGTGAGCCAAGATGGTGCCCCTGCACTCCAGCCTGGGTGACAGAGTGAGACTCCATCTCAAAAAAAAAAAAAGAAACCGAGAGCGTGATGGCAGGCAGAGTAGAGGCCAAGAAGGCTACCAGGCTACTGCAATAGTCCAGGCAAGATCTAATAAGGCTGCAGAGAAGGGGCCTGGATTGAACAAAACCTTTTGTCAAGAGCCACTGAGTCATGGTCCATCCAGACCAATTCCCCTCCCAGAGATGCCCAGGACTCACTGAAGGTGCTGCAGGCCGCCTCATGCCTCTAGACCAGTGCTGTCTGCAGAACTTTCTGAGAGGATGGAAATGTTCTCTGCCTGCATTAACCAGTACAATGAGAGCCACTAGCAACATATGACTCTTGAGGACTTGAAATCTGACTAGTGCAACTGAGGGATTGAATTTTTATTTTAATTAATTTAAATGTAATACCCATACATGACTCAGGAGCCACCGTATTGGAGAATGCAGGTAGAGGACAATTTCCATCACCACAGAAGGTTCTATTAGATAACACAGCTCTAGGCTGACCGTTGAAAAACAGAACTATCGGGGCCCCTTCCAAGGCTTCTGGCTTTGGAGTCTGAAGAGCGATCAGGAGGCAAGTCCCAGGGAAGGGGCTACCAGAGGTTGAGTTGGGTACAGCCACCAGGACATTCCCACCCAACACGTCCACACCCCTTGTGGACACATCCTGGATACATGGACACCACCATAGGTCACAAGGGCACCTCCACATCTAAACATACAAATAGACACATGAGGCCAGGCACAGTGGCTCACACCTGTAATCCCAACACTTTGGGAGGCCGAAGCAGGTGGATCACCTGAGGTCAGGAGTTCAAGACCAGCCTGGCCAACATGGTGAAACCCCATCTCTACTAAAAATACAAAAATTAGCCAGGCATGGTGGCGGGTGCCTGTAATCCCAGCTATTCGGGAGGCTGAGGCAGGAGAATCGCTTGAACCCAGGAGGCAAAGGTTGCAGTGAGCCGAGATCATGCCATTGCACTCCAGCCTGGGTGACAAAGCGAGACTCCATCTGAATAAAAAAGAAGAAAAGGCCGTGCGCTGTGGTTCACGCCTGTAATCTCAGCACTTTGGAAGGCCAAGGCAGGCAGATCACAATGTCAGGAGTTCAAGACCAGCCTGACCAACATGACGAAACCCAGTCTCTACTAAAAATACAAAAATTAGCCAGGCATGGTGGCGTGCGCCTGTAATCCCAGCTACTTAGGAGGCTGAGGCAGGAGAATCACTTGAACCCGGGAGGCGGAGGTTGCAATGAGCCAAGATCACGCCACTGCACTCCAGCCTGGGTGACAGAGTGAGACTCCATCTCAAAAAAAAGAAGAAGAAGAAGAAGAAGAAGAAAAAAAAAAAATAGACACATGGCACCCCACACCCAGACTCACTAACAACTGGATACTTCAATGACTGGGTCCCTGTTGTTTCATACACAGATACCCCCACCCTCAGATACCCGGACACTTGGGGACCCCTACAACCAGACACTCAGGCACCTGGCCAGCCCCATACCTGGACACAACACAGAGACACTCCCCACTTATAAATACCCACTAACCTGAGGACTCCCAGACACATGGATACACCCACCTCCAGCCCCAGGGATGCTGGGATAGCCTCTGTCTGCACACCCTGATCCTCCCACATGCTGGTACTGGGTTGTCCACACCTAGATAGCGAGACACCACCCATCCAAATAGCTCTGCACCCAACTCCAGGAATGTGATACTTGGATAGCCAGACACCCTTAGCACCAGGCTCCCCAGGGGTCAAAGCAGCTGGTTACCTCCCTACTCCAAACTCAGATCCTGCCACACCACACGATAACCAGATGGCTAGACACCCTAACAGGTCACATGTGTCCATGCCCCTAGTTACAATCCCTACACACCCCCCACTCTGACTGCCCAGATGCTAGAGTCACATCTGCACACACCTCAGCCAGCCTCCCCAACCCCATCTGCCAGGGCCACCACGGGATGCAGTTCTCCTCCCTTCCCTCCGGTGCACAAGCGGTGAGAACAGAGGCTGTGACCCCACCCGCCCACCCTAGGATCTAGGACTGAGGACTAAGGGAGGGTCTTCCAGGAAGCTTCCCTCCCTCTCCTAACACAGGGCCCTGCGGGCTCCCTCCCTCCTCCCCAGCCACTCACACAGACCGTTGAGACTCAACGTCTCACCAACTGCCAGGCCCCATCACAAAAGCCTGAGACTGGGGGCTGGAAGGGCCCTGCCAGCTGCTAGGGGTGGGGCCAGAGCCTGGGGGAGGGGCTGGCAGGCAGGAGGCCCGTTCCCTTCAGTCTCTTGCCAGGGACTCAACCTCCCCAACTCAAAGCTCCCAGATGACACTCTCAACATGGCCTTTTCACAACATAACACCATCCCCCACCCTCCAGGAATTTTCCAGATTCCTGGAGGGAAACCTGGTTCTTCAATCTCTACCTTCAGTGGAATCAGTGCACCCCCATCTGGCATCTCCACCTCTGAACCTGGCCCCCTTAAACTTTATTCTTTCAGGCCATATATATTTATTCAGACCCGGTGGGCCAGGCCTTGTACCTGGCACTAAGATTCAGAAGTAAACTAAAAACCCAGTCTCTGTCCTCAGCTCTCAGTCTGGTAAGGGAGACAGCACTAATAAACTGTAATTACAATAATTACAATGCTATGTAAAAATCCAATTGACCCCCACCCCCCGACTTCCTAGGCTAGGACAGGGCATCACCGAGGAAGGCTTCAGGGACTGGATGATGCTTACAGCTGAGAGCCCATCAAGTTGCAGGAGTTCACCAGCAAAAAGCTGGAGTTAGAAAGTTCTGCAGAGAAAGCACGGCTTGCCCAAAGGCCCAGAGAGGAGACAGCAGGCTGTGGGCATTTGGGTCTTTGGTAAGAAGGTCAGGCTGGCCAGATCATAGGATGCAAGGGGCAGTGACACAAAACAAGATGCAGCTGGACAGGCAGGCAGGAGCTAGAGCCAGCAACAGGGCCAAGGGATAAGGACTTCACCCTGAAGGCAATGGGGAGCCTTCAAAGGGTTTTAAACCCTTTGAGTTAAAATGTACTTTACAAAGATCCCTGGCACCATGAGGGAAAGAGGGAAGGAGGAGGCTGGAGTCTTCCTGCAGGTGAAAGATAGCTGAGGACGGACAGAAGGAGACAGATGAAAGAGTCTCTGAGAGGGCAGACAGGACGTTCCAGGATGCAGGAGGGCAACTAGGAAAAGGGGGGAGGGGGAGGAAGGAGGAGCACAAGGTACCCCCTGCAACTCTGGCCAACCCAGTCCTGCATGGAAAGGCCACCCCATATGCCCAGCTGAGCTGATGAAAATCATGGAAGGATGGTGGCCTGTCTCCATCAAGCACGATGCTTGCCCTAGGTTTTTTCTGACACCAGAGCTGGGCAGCAGGCTGTCCAGGAGCTCAGCGTCCCCACCTCGGCCACTGTCACTGCTTCCTGCTAAGTCCCCTCCCCTAGCCCCAGGGAAAAGGGAGGGATGCCCAGACAAGCCTTTATTGCCCAACCTGAAACCACTGGGCAGCCACTCCCTCATTCCTGCCGTCCACAACTCCTGCGACCAAAAGGACAAAATAGCAAGAACACAGCAGAATAAATAACTACCAGGTTTGCAAGGCTGAGAAGGCATCACACACCGCCCCTACCCGGAAGCTCCGGAGCCATTCAGGGAGCTGGGCTGACTCTGTCCAGACTGGGGACAAGGGGTATCACATCTATTCTACTTGGGCTTCTGAGTTCATCTCTAAGAATAACAAAGGGGGCCAGGAACTTTACAAGTGAGGTGATTTGCCAGACATCACATGAATAGCAAGTAGCAGAGGCAGAATTTGACACCTAATACCCCAGCTTTAAATCACAGCCTCTGTCTGGGGCTTTGCAACAACTCTCAAATCCATTTTTTGTTCCCTGGCACTCACAGACAGAGCCTTACTTTACAAGGTACTTGGTATCTACCAAAAGTGCCATACACCATTATCATGATGGCTATGAGGCAGAAGAGGAAACTGAGGCATCAAGAATGGGAGTAACCTGCTCTAGGCCTCACTCCCAAACTTCAGTTCCTGACAGTCCTCCTGCTGGCAGGGCTTGGGGCTTGTGAGTGTTCTTGAAATCAAAGCGATGGTGGTAGGAGCGGGGATGGGGCGCATACAGAACCCCGCGGGTTTGATTTCACGGTGGGAGAGGGAGGCAAAGTTGCCGCAGGACATGGGGGAGAAGTTGGGGAGGATGGGGTGGGAGGTCGCCTTGGGCGTCCTTTCGGGAACGGGGAGGTCAAAGCTAAAGCTGTGCCCTATGGCCCCGGAGCTGCAGGGCGAGGCCCAAGCGCTGGCCAGTGGCCGGCGCGAACGCTGGAGCCACAGGAGTTCCGGCCCGAGACACCGGAGCCAGCAGCAGGGCCGCGAACGCGATGCCGGGGAGGTCAGTTGTCTGCGGCTGGCGACCGTGAGGAAGCGGCTCCGCTCCAGCACGTGTCTCGGCTCGGATCCCGCCCCGGGCGTCTCCCGGCTACCCGGAGCCCGCGGAGCAGCCCCGCCGGTGGCGAGGGCGGGGGAGGTCACCCGGAGCAGGGCCCCGAAACTCCGCGGGAAGGGGCCGCGGTCTAGGATCCCAGGCCTCAGGGTGGGATGTGGAACACGCGCACGCACACACATCCGACACACCGTCCACACTCCGACGAGCACACGGACACACAAACACAGGCTCCGTATACATACATTCAGCTGCGCGCACACACACACGCGCACGCACACCAAAGACACCAGACTCCGAAACACACCCGGAGAACGCGACCACACAGCAGACAAGCGCGGAGCCACACGCTCACACTCACGCTCACACTCAAGCACACACCTGGCGGTCCCGGCCGGCCGGGAGGCCGCACAAAGTTGCAGGCTCCACCAAGGGAGTGTCCCGGGAGGCCCGGGCGTCCCCCGCGCGTCCTGCGCGCCAAGGGAGGGGGCGCCGTCCCCCGGCGGCGAGCCAGGCCCTGCCCGCGCCCGGACGTCGCAGCCCAGCCCGGGGACAGCCCCCGCCCGGCCGCCCGGGGCGCAGCCGCGGCCCGGCCACCGCAGGAGCGCCCGCCGGTCCGGCCCTCCCCTGCCCGCCCGCCGGCCCCTCGCTGGGGCCCGCTGGCCCGGGCGCCCCGCAGCCCCGGCGCCGCCTCGGATCAGCCGCCCGCCAGCGCCGCGCGGAACTTGCGAAACAACAAACAGTCCGACATGCCCGAGGCGGCGGCCGCGGGGCCCGGTCCTCCCCTGAGCCTCGGGCCCTGCCCGACCCGGGCAGCCCAGGGGGCGCCGCCGCGACAACTTGTTCCGGCCCAGCGCGCCACACACGCGCACACGCACACGCGCGCACACACGTCCTGCCACCGCCCCCTCGGGCGGCCCCGGGACCAGGGCACACTCGCAGCCGCGGCCCAGGCGCGCTCCACACTCGCAACATTCCTGGACGCGCAGCCAGCACACACGGACACATTCGCACACACTCACATCCGTTCCAGACTCGCTCCCACACACGCATTCCCGGCACACTTGGCATTCACTCGGACCCACGCGGCCCCCGGCAGCACACACCACATACCCTAGACACTCCCCACACGTACACAGCGCACGGACACACACGTTCCGGACCCGTTCCCACGCCTTCACACATGTACACGGATCTCAAAAGCACACACGCCACACACGCGTTCCCGGATCCACACTCAGGCGGGATCCAGAGAGCACCCTTGGCCACAGGCATAACACAAACACACAACCCACTCGCAGACACAAAACAAACAGCACTCCCGGCCAGGCATACAAAATGCAAACAAATGCAACACATTAGCAGATACAACTCCCGCAACACAACCAAACTCAGATGCACACACAACCCACTTGGCCACACAAACACTACACACTGGCAGACCCACAAGACACTCAGCGCACACCCAATGCCTCGATGCACACAACATTCACCCCCAACATACTCGCCGACACACATCACCTTTTCTTGCGCACAGAACTCACGGACACACAACATTCGCAGTCACGCAACACCCCGGGCACACAATCGCCCATCCTACGCTCAGACACACACAGGGAGCACGCTCGTAACGCCCGGTCACTCAACACTCACACTTTCTTCCGAGCTACGCCACGGGCCCCGAGGCTCGGCGGGGCAGGCTCGGTCCGGCCGCCGCGCGCTTACCTGCCGGAGTCTCGGTCTCCGGCGCGCAGAGCTGGAAGGTGAGTGCCAGCACGAGCGCCTGGGCACGGGCCATGGTTGGAGCGTCGCCGCCCGTCCCGGGGCCCGGCGCGGGGGACGCCGCCCCCGGAGCCCGAGCCCAGCCCGAGGCGAGCCGGAGCCCGAGCCGGAGCGGAGCGGCGCGGCGCGGAGCGGGACTGGCGCCGAGTCCAGAGCGCGAGCCGGAGCAAGCGGGGCGCTGACGTCAGGCCCGGCCGCGGGTTCGGCGGTCTCGCGGCGCTCCCTGCTGGCCACGGCGGGTGCTGCAGCGGGTCCGGCCGCCCGCTAGCCCTGGCGCGCCCCTCCCCCGCTCCCGCATCCTCCCCGCCATGAGGCCCCGCGGCTGGGTCTGGACGCCCACGGACGTCTCCACGGACCGGGCACCAACACTGCCAGGCGAGCACGCTCATGGCCCACGCCTAGCTCCCGTACAGCGCTCTCAGGGACGGTGACCCAGGGACACCCGGCCTCTGTCCCATCCGATGCCTGAATCCCTTGTACCTTGGCGCCTTCAAATGCGTGTTCTACATACCTCCAGGAACAGGGCGCTCATCACCTGGCCAAGAGCGGTTGTTGGGGCTTTGGAAACGCCGGCTTTTAGAAAGTTTTTCATTTCATGACGTGCAAGTCTACCTCCCTCACTAGCCCTCACTGGTCCTACTCTACCTTCTGGCTACACAGGTTAAATGTATTTGGGCCTCTACCCAGAACGAGCCCTCGCACTATGATCTGCAAACTCGTTGCTCATTACTATGTAAGACCAGGTACCTTCTATGTGTTTAACCCACATGGACTCATTTAATCATCATATATTAGGTATGCAATAATTATACTGCATAAATACTGTTATGCAACAGTATTTGACAGCACCGAGATTTGAATCAAAGTTGTTTGGTTTGAATTGAATAGGGGCTGAGACCTTCCTCCCATCTGGACACCTATTCATTCAACAAATATTTATTGGGGTCTATTCATTTATTCAACAATTACTATAGGCCAGGGTAGAGATATAAAACAGACAAAAATTCCCTACTCTCATGGACCTTACATTCCAGTGGGAAGACAAGAACAGTAAACAACCAAAAAAACAAAAACAAAAAAGCAAACCCTCTGGTGTACGTCCTTTATCACTGTCTCATACACCAGGAAATTTGGGGGTGGTGGGGGGACAGGGAAGGGAAGGGGAATTGTTGCAATTTCAAATAGAGTGCGGGCTATATGATGAGTTCATTATCTGTCTCCACCTCTAGAAATGAGCTCCCTTGGGAAAAGACTCATCTTGTATTTCCGTGCCCAGTATATGGCATGTTTTTATTATTTTATTTTATTTTATTTTATTTCAAGATGGAGTTTCACTCTTGTTGCCCAGGCTGGAGTGCAATGGCGCAGTCTTGGCTCATTGCAACCTCTGCCTCCCAGGCTCCAACAATTCTCCTGGCTCAGCCTCCCAAGTAACTGGGATTACAGGTGCCCACCACCACGCCCGGCTAATTTTCGTATTTTTAGTAGAGACAGGGTTTCACCATGTTGGCCAGGCTGGTCTGGAACTCCTGACCTCAGGTGATCCACCTGCCTCAGTCTCCCAATGTGCAGGGATTACAGGCGTGAGCCACCGCGCCCGGCCTCTGGCACGTAATTGATGCTCAATAAATACTGACTGGATGGAATGAATGAAAGGGAAATGGTCCTAGCCTTCATGAATCTTACATTCTATTAGGAGAGCCCAACAGCAAACATGTACATAAATATATCATTACCATCTAAGATATGCAAGCTAAAGGAAACGAGGGAGTATAATGATAAAGAACATAGGGAAGGGGCATCTCCTTTAGATAAGTGGTCCAAGAGGGCTTTGCTATAGAAGTGACATGGTGACATTTGAACTGAGACCTGAAGTATGAGAAGGAGCCAACCTCATGCAAATCAGTGGAGAGGAACATTGCAGTCAGAGGGGACAGCCTGTGCAAAGGCAGGAGCTGGTGGGTACAAGCAGCTGCAAGGAAGCCGGGCAGCTGGCATGGAGTGAGTCAGGGGCAGAAGGGAGCCAGGTGCAGCTAGACAAGTCAGCAGGGTCTGTAGGTCAGGCAAGAAACTATGAGCAAGGAAGGGGCTTGAGGTTCAACCCTAAGAGTAATTAATGGGAGGCCACTGAAGTGGAGTAATTAAGCAGAGGAGTAATAAGGAGTAATAAGTTCTGATCTCTGGGTTTTTTTTTTTTTGTTTTTTTTTTTTTACAGCTCCAGCTATAAAGACTGCTGAAGTAGGGAAAGCCATGGGCAGATGGGTCTGACCACTGGGCAGTGACACTGAACAAAGCGTAGGAGTTCAAGGTATATGTAGGCCCTCCCTGTGCCCTGCCCCTCCTAGCTGGCTTCATGCTGAGATGGACACACCTTGAAGCTGCCCTGGGGCTGGAGGAGGTATCGCTGGGTTGAGAGTTCCTGGGCTCTTGGTCTCCTCTCTTGTGAGAGCTGATGAGCTCCACACTGAGTTAGGAAAGGGACCAAAAGACACAGCAGGCAAGAATTAGACACAGATAATTAAATAGGGAGAGGGAGGCAGAAGCAAGAAGAAACCAAGGGGAAACCTTAGGGAAGAAACTAAGATACAGAGACGCTGGAGCAGAGAGGAGCCAGAGAGGCCCACCCAGAAAAGGAAACTCAAGGAGAGAAAACCAGTGAACAGAAGAAACAACCAAGGGTGCTGTTTGCAGAGGGCTCTTGAGAGAGCCTCAAAATAGGAGTTTTACCAGTGATCCCATTTTACGGGTGTGGAAACTGAGGTTCAGAGAGCATATGACACTTGCCTAAGGTGACACAGCTAGTAAATAGACGGCGGGCCCTAGATTTGAACCCAGATCTGACTGATTCCACATCCCTTTGCCCTTTGTGCAGGGGAAGATGGCAGAGACTATAATGGAGGGAGAAAGAGAACACAAGCAACAGGTAGACAGATGAGAAGAGGACTTTCTGCTTTACTTTTAAAAGACCACAAACTTCAGCCGGGCACAGTGGTTCACACCTGTAATCCCAGCATTTTGGGAGGCAGAGGCGAGGTCAGGAGTTTGAGACCAGCCTGACTAACATGGTGAAACCCTGTCTCTACTAAAAAAAAAAAAAATACAAAAATTAGCCAGACGTAGTTGCGGGCACCTGTAATCCCAGCTACTCAGGAGGCTGAGGCAGGAGAATTGCTTGAACCTGGGAGGCGGAGGTTGCAGTGAGCCAAGATCGCGCCATTGCACTCCAGCCTGGGCAACGAGCAAAACTCTGTCTCAAAAAAAAAAAAAAAAAAAAAAAAAGACCACAGACTTCTATAATCCTTGAGAGAAGAAGGAAGAAGGAAATTCCTGGCCTGGAGTGACCAGCCCAAATCTAGGGAAAAGGAGATGGCACCACAGACCGTTCTAGGCCATGAGGAAATTCAATTACCTGCAACTCATGGAATATTTATGACACCTACCCTGTGCCAGGCTCATATCGGGTGCTGGTGTTATGGAGATAAACCAAACATGGCTCCAGTCTTGCCTGGAGGGGAATAAATAAGAGACGATGTACTAAAGGCCATAACACAGCTCCAGGGAAAACACAAAGGCAGCAGCAGATGACCTAGGGAGTTTTGAAACATCAAAGAAATGACATCTGAACCTGGAGTTTCCGAGGCAGGGAACAGCATTTCAGGCAGAAGGAGTGGCCTGAATAAAGGCACAAGACACACTGGGGAAGACGGGTATCAGATGCAGCTGGATCACAGGCTATGCACGGTCCAACAGGAGAAGATGAAGCTGGAAATGCAGTGTGGGAGTCAGAGTGCAAAGAATCTTGAATGCAAGTCCAGGAAATTGGACTTGAACCCCTCAGTCAGTAGTTCTCAAACTATGCCCCTGCAAGAACCCAGATGGCCTAGACTAAAAGTGAGGGCTATTGGGATGCACAGGAGGCTAAAGTCCAGCCCCAAGGAGGAGGACTTGCTGGATGATTCTTCAGGCTTCCTGACTGGGCTCCCCAGAAATTCAGAGGAGCCAATTTGGTGAAGAAGAGAATGTCGACATCTCAATGTCACCTAGGGAGTCTTACAACAGAAGGTTACGTTGTACTTCCCAGTTCAAGTAAGCCTATGTGTCACTGGGGAAAAGGGTAAGCAGGACTGGTCATCGTGTGTGTGCTGGCACATAAATGTGGGGCCAAGCCTTTCCCCCACCATGGGACACCAACTTTCTCTAATAATAAAAACAAGTACAGACATTTAGTGAGCACATACTATAAGCCAGACCCTAGTCTGAGGGTTTTATGTGTGATATTTCTCATTTAATCACAATAACCCCCGATAATATTTATCAAATGCTTCCATGTGCCAAGCATTGTACTAAATGCTTCAAGTGGATAATATCTCACTTGACCCTCACAACAATCTTGAAACAGATAACTAGTATTCCTTCCATTTTAAGAGTAAGAAAGTGAAGACACAGAGAGGCCTGGTGACTTGTCCGAAATCAAATGGCTGGAAAATGGCAGAGCTAGGACATAAAGCCAGGTTTGTCCAAATCTAGCTCACAGTACTTTGCTGTGCTCTCTTCCTCAGAGGAAAGGCTTGGAGATGGCAAGCTTCAAGTCAATAAAATCCAGGAAAGGAACTCTTCCTTATCCTTCAAAGCCCTGGCTCAGTATCTTAAAACCTGTTTCCTGGGACACCTGCATCAGAATATTCTTGGGAGCTTGTAAGGATGTAGATTCCTGGAACCCCCATCCGCAAGATTCTAATTCAGTAGGTCTAAGATGGGACCTCGGATTATTTTTATGCACACAGAAGATTTTGAATCACAGGGCTGGCTCTAACAGCACCTCCTCCAAGAGCCCCCACCCCATCCCACCCCATCCCAGAGCACTTCTCTTCAGACTACAGCATTGCACTCTGGCACGAGCCACAGCTCGATCTGGGGTTTTAGTAATGTTCATGTCTTCCCTACACCAAAAATCAGACTAGATCCTTCATAGGGCTACACCTTTTTACAGGCATTTCCAGTGTTCCACTTAATCCCTTTCTACACTGTGAGCATTTTGAGAGAGGACCCTTCTCCTTGTGATTCCTGTCTTACATCTGAACAGAGTTTTTTACAATGCGTTCTCCCACCCACAATAGCATTCCTCTATTATTTCATCCAATCCTCACAACAATCCGGAAGGAGGCATATTATCCCCATTGTACCGATGAGAAAAATTCAGAGTTTCACCTGCCCAAGGTGGCCAAGCTAGGAAGTGGCAGGGCTAGGATTTGAACCTAAGTTTTCTAACTCCAAGCCCCATACTCCTGCCTCCACAGCAGCTTTCGTGTACTCTCCTCAGTGTAGGGAAGTAAGCTTTGCCTCCCTATGCCGTTACATGGTAGTGGTGATTAAATGAGATAATACCTTAAAGAGCCTGGCTCGGTGAGCACTCAATATATTATGTGAAGGGTAAACTGAGGCCAGGGAGAGTAAATATTTCCTCCAAATCAAACACCAAACTGCAGGCTGTAGACACGACTTTGGACTAGCCCCAGACTCTCCTTGTTGAGACAACAGCTTTGGCGGCCTCGCAAGCTCCGCACCCCCGGATCCCTCCGGGGCCCACACGCAGTCTAGCCAGGCGCCACCACTTGGGCAGCGAAGGAAGGAAACGCCCTTCAAAGGGACCAAGGGGGAGTGGTCACCCGGCGGGGCAGGGGCGGGGCGCAGGCGCGCGGTCGCTGGAAGATGACGTAGCCGGGGCGTCAGGCTCTGTGTTGGTTGGAGCGAGCATGTGGGTCTGCAGTACCCTGTGGCGGGTGCGAACCCCCGCCCGGCAGTGGCGGGGGCTGCTCCCAGCTTCTGGCTGTCACGGACCTGCCGCCTCCTCCTACTCCGCATCCGCCGAGCCTGCCCGGGTCCGGGCGCTTGTCTATGGGCACCACGGGGATCCAGCCAAGGTCGTCGAGTAAGAGACGGCGCCGAAGCCGGGGAAGGGGACTGGGGTTTCTGGAAGGCTTTAACACGAGCTGCGGACTGGGAAGAGAGGGACAGGGTCCGAGGAAGGGGGCAGAGAATAGCAAACCGAAGCCGAAGCCCAGGGCGTTTTTGGTAGGTCAGAAAGACCGTACTTGAAGGTAGCTGAAGACCCGAGAGGCAATTATCAGGGTATTAATGGCTGATGTTTATTGATCGAATATTGTGTCAGGCAATCCCTTGTTTAAATGGATGCTCTCATTTAATTGTCACAACAATGTTTTGGGGTAGTTATTGATTTATCCCCATTTTGCAGATGAAAACTGAGGCAGAAGAGGTAAAATCACTCGTCCAAGGTCACACAGCCAGTAAGTGACAGGGTCAGAATTCCAACCTATGTCTGACTGACCTGCGTGAGTTCTTACTATTATTATTATTATTTGGAAGAAGTTTTCAGAATACTTTTACATCCATTTGGATCTTCATGTGTCAGTAAAGAGTAGGTCATAGATCATTGTTTCCAGAGGGCAAGGGACTTGCCCAGAGTGATACCGCTAATAAGTGATTGGAACAGGAGACTGGAATCCATGGCTTCTGATTCCAAACTCATGTTTCTCTCCACTGCACCGTATATGCATCTTGGCTTGGTTAAAAAGAGCTGCTTTGGTGCCATACAGACCCAAGTATCTATATTTGGTCAAATACAGGCTCAACGTCTTAGTAGCTGTTTGGTCTTAGAGAAGTCATTCAACTTCTCGTTACTTTTATGACTTTGTCCTCCTCCTAAAATTCTGTTGGATCTTAATTCATGCTTTTTGCACGTGGTTGATAAAAATAGTATGTCAGTTGCCAACCATTGTAAATCTGCACATAAATAGCCATTCAGAAGGGCTATTGGGGCCACTGAAGTGGAGCTAAAGCAAAAGCACAGGTCTGGGAATCAAAATACTTGGGGTCAAATCCTTGTCCTAGCTTTGCATTTGGCAAGTTACTGAGGTTCTCTGAGCCTCGGTTTCATCATCTTAAAAAATGGAGACAGTACAGACAAAGTTCATAGTGGTAATCACCTAAGATCTATGTAGTGCTCTCCACCAAAAAACACCTGCATACTCTTGTGCAGTACCTTCTTTTTAACTCTTTGATTCCCAGCAAATAGTTTGATTATTTTCCAAAGGATGGGCAAATGTGGTATTACTTTAATGGTTAAAATTCAGGCTAGAGCTGGGCACGGTGGCTCACGCCTGTAATCCCAGCATTAGGGAGACTGAGGCGGGTGGATCACCTGAGGTCACGAGTTCTAGACCAGCCTGGCCAACGTGGCGAAACCCCATCTCTACTAAAAATACAAAAAAATTAGCCGGGCTTGGTGGTGGGCACCTGTAATCCCTGCTACTCAGGAGGCTGAGGCAGGAGAACCGCTTGAACCCAGGAGGCGGAGGTTGCAGTGAGTCGAGATTGCGCCACTGCACTCCAGCCTGGGCAACAGAGCGAGACTCTGTCTCAAAAAAAAAAAAAAATCAAGCTAGATGTTTTGACAGGTGGTGAGGATAAGCCTCAGATAAATTCAAGGTCATCCAATCAGCCTAGCCACATCCCGCATTATAGAAACGAAAAGAATGTCAAGAAGACACATCAGTCAGTAAACTCCAAATTGTATGTTGATCGTAGGTAATAAAGCATTGTGTCAGGGAAGACATCTCACTAAGGACTGCGTTGTAAGGAACTGGTACAGCTCTGATGAACACTCCTCCATTTCCAGGAATGTACCCCAAATGAGAACCATGTAGTGTCTCTCCCACGGACTTGTAGTTTGTGTCTGCAGCAGGACCTGCCACAAAACAGGTGCTCCTAAAATGTTAGTTCAATCTAAATCTAAATTTCCAAAAAAAGTGAACCTTTTATTAAGTTCTGCTGTGGTGATGAGGAAGGCCTGGGAAAGTTCAGCTGAATGCAGTTGCCTCCTAATTGATTCCCTCCTCTTGGAGAGCCAGAGAAGCTGGAACAGACCGGTCTGTTTGCAGATGCCACTTAGGAAAAAAAAAAGCTTCTATTATGTCCTTCTGTGGAACTTCAGTAATTTCCCTCTAGTTCAAAACATGATACTTCCAACCGGGCGCGATGGCTCATG
Source organism: Homo sapiens (assembly GCF_000001405.40). Classification (NCBI taxonomy): domain Eukaryota; kingdom Metazoa; phylum Chordata; class Mammalia; order Primates; family Hominidae; genus Homo; species Homo sapiens. The sequence continues at coordinate 29,228,594 of NC_000001.11, read as the reverse complement.
CCTGTAATCCCTGCACTTTGGGAGGCTAACATGGGCAGATCATGGCGAAACCCTGTCTCTACTAAAAATACAAAAATTAGCTGGGCATGGGGGTGCAAGCCTGTAGTTCCAGCTACTCGGGAGGCTGAGGCAGGAGAATTGCCTGAACTGGGAGGCAGAGGTTGCAGTGAGCCGAGATCGCGCCATTGAACTTTAGCCTGGGTAACAGAGCAAGACTTCCTCTCAAAAAAAAAAAAAAAAAGATACTTCCACAAAGCATTATATTCAACTTTGGCTTCACAGCACAGTCACCATTTGTAGTGCTTTTATTTTTTGTATTTGCCCACATAAAATATCAGACAGCTTTTATTTTATATATATATTTATTTATTTATTTATTTATTTTGAGATGAGATCATGCCATGTTGCCCAGGCTGGTCTTGAACTCCTGGGCTCAAGGGATCCTCCCACCTCAGCCTCCTGAGTAGCAGGGATTGCAGGTGTGTACCACCACACCCAGCTTGACCTGTAGTGCTTTTAGAAACTACCGTATGTATTCCTAGGCCCCACTCCTGAGGTACTTAGTAGGTCTAGGATGGCTTGGAGCTTCTGTTTTTTTCAAAGCTCTCCAGGTGACTCTGCTGCCCAGGCCAGGCTTGAGAACCACTGCCTTGTGGATACAGATTGTCAGACAAGCAGTAATTCTCTCCGTGCTCCAGAAGGGCAACTTTACTTTCTGACCCAGATTCAGGCGGCTTTACTTGTTCTCGTATGGACTGAAGCCAGAGACTGGGATTCTCTTTGTAGTCATGTCTTACAAGGTTTAGGGTAACCACACTGTCACAGAAAGAATCAGGTGTCCTTTACACATCCTGGTAACTGGCTGTCTGGGTCAGGTTACACCAGGTAGGGGTCATGGGACTACCTAGAGTCTGAACAGAGCATTGTCAGAACTAGTGTGGTTTGTGATGCTTGCGCTGTGGGCCACACCTCTGCAAGCAGGAGGGAAGGAATGAGGAACAGCCTTCTCAGGTCTGAATCCTCAAAAGGAGGCCTCCAGGTTTCTCCTGTTCTCACGTCCCTGTTTTCATTCCTGTTGGCCTCCAAACATTGCAGCTGTTCTCTCCTAAGCCATTTTCCCCTGTTGCTTAGTTTCTTTCCCTTTCTTCCAAAATGGGATTCCCTAAATAAGTATTTGGGCCTTTTTTATTTAAAAGATTAAACTGTAGATCTAAGTAAAGTAAGACTGTGCAGAAGAATGACAAACATTTGAGAAATTTCAGAGTTCTCCATAGCCACTGTCCCTTGTGCAGAGTTCTAGATTCCCTATCAGATAGTTCCCAGAAACCCAGGGGCCAGGCATGGTGGCTCATGCCTGTAATCCCAGCACTTTGGGAGGCCGAGGCGGGCGGATCACCAGAGGTCAGGTGCTCGAGACCAGCCTGGCCACATGTCGAAACCCTGTCTCTACTAAAAATACAAAAATTAGTCGGGCACAGTGGTGCATGCCTGTAATCCTAGCTACTCGGGAGACCGAGGCAGGAGAATCGCTTGAACCCAGGAGGCAGAGGTTGCAGTGAGCTGAGATTGCACCACACCACTGCACTCCAGCCTCAGCGACAGAGTGAGGCTGTGTCTCAAAAAAAAAAAAAAAAAAAAAAAAGATAGTTCCCAGAAACGCTTAGTTCTTCTCTTGCCTTCTTTTTTTCCTGAAAGTCCGCTCAGAACTTTGCCATTCTCTGGATCTTCTGGTGAAAACAGCTTTCATTTATTGTATACCTGCTGTATAGCAAGCATTGGACTAAATGCTCCCTGTATATTACGGGGTTTTAAAATCAAAACACTCCAGTTTGGTTATTATTACTTCCACTTTACAGATAAGGAAATTGAAGCTCAAGTAGATTGAAAGGCACTTATCCGAGATCTTACAGCTAGGATGCCCCTTCTTTATTAAAAGTCCTTGATATAGACATAGGCCTGAGGAAACAACAGCAGTCACCTCAAATGATTTCTTCAAATAAACTTTTTTAAATATTTTAAATAAAAAATATAGATGGGGTTTCACCATGTTGCCCAAGATGATCTCAAACACCTCAGCTCAAGCGATCCTTCTGCCTCAACCTCCCAAAGTCTCAAATGATTTTTGAGAATGAGATGGACTATAAAATTGGGAAAAAGGTCAGAAGAGAAGGTGAAATTGTAGGTCATTCAGGTAACCCCAAATTTCTACGCTGTAGAAAGGGCAGCCCCAATCCTGGGAAAGTTTAGAAATACCATTCTCTGTCTCCTCCCCTTTTCAGGATCCCGAGGCTTTTGTAAAACAGCATCCTGATCATCTTGGCTTTCTCACCTGCCTGCTGCTAGTACAACAATGAAACTAAGCTGGAGCTGGAAACCCGTGGACATATACCCGTTCTGTCTTTTTTTTTTTTTTTTTTTTTTTTTTTTAGATAGAGCCTGGCTCTGTCCCCCAGGCTGGAGTGCAGTGGTGCAATCTCGGCTCACTGCAACCTCCACCTCCCAGGTTCAAGTGATTCTCCTGCCTCAGCCTCCTGAGTAGCTGGGATTACAGGCGCGTGCCACCACACCCAGCTAATTTTTGTATTTTTAGTGAAGACAGGGTTTCGCCATGTTGGCCAGGCTGGTCTTGAACTCTTGACCTCAGGTGATCCACCTGCCTCAGCCTCCCAAATTGCTGGGATTACAGGCATGAGCCACGGCACCCGGCCTACCCATTCTGTCTTAAGCCAGATGGACTTTGGAGGAGCAGGTAGTGGGGCCCCAGTCTGTCCATTCTCACTATAGGGCACTGTTTACTCTCAGGAATTTCTTCTTTTTACAGTTAATATAAAGCAAAACTGCAGGTGACTTGATTTTTAAACCCACATTTTAGTACTTTGGGGAAAAAATAGCATTTTGGGTTTGGTGCTCTGTTTAGAGCTCTTTATTGTGGTCATGAATGGAGTGGGAACAGAAGGCATTGATATAGTAAGTTGGCCAGCATGTATTCTTTGAGAGTTTACTGAGTGCAAGGCACTGAGGGTACAGAGTTGAATCTGTTGTGGTCGTTGCCCTCAGAGCCTCACAGCCTAATCCAGGAGAAAGGCCGCCATAGTCCAGTGGGGTAAATGCTGTGATGGGATATGTTCAGAGTCCTGTGGACACCCAGAAGGGGGTTACCTAACCCCCTCGGGTTAGTCAGAGTGTTCTCTGAAGAGACAGGGTGTAAACTGAGTGCTCCAGAGATCCGGTGAGCAGTGTATGAGGAGAGAAAGTGGGGAAATGTCCCAAGCAGAGGAACCTGCATGTGCAGAGACCCCGAGGGAAGAGAAAACATGGTGTGTGTGATCAGTCCGTATTTGTTGACTGCCTACTGTGCACTCATGTAATCCTGTGAGAAAGGTGTCTGCTGAAACCAGCTCAGAGGGGACTACCCTTAGATCACAGGGCTCAAGCTTAAGCGGATTCCACATCCTATAACTCATACATTACCTTCCATCTGGCCTTTAGACTAGGCTGTGGAGTTTAGGGCCAAGCCCTGCTACCCTGGTTTTCTCACTGTTGCCTCTGAAGGTGAAAGCTGCAGGCACACCCCCTAGGAATCACACAAAAGACTGGGGTTTTCCCTCCGTCCAGAGAGTCCGGGAGGAAAGCTGCCCCTCGGAGCCACTCCAAGTTGTCTCTTGCCCTCTCCTAGCAGCTCTCTGGGATGAACTGGCCTTTCCCACCCTGGGTGAGGTGGGAGGGGTCCTCATTTTAGAGAAGGAAAAGCAAAGATGACACAAGGTGAACCTGTGACTTGGGATGTTTCTTGCCTGTGTTCCAGTCCCACCTCTGCCACTAATTATGGCAGTGAGGAAATCACGTTAGTCTCCAATTATCTTCAGTTACTCCTTGATAAAATGAAGAGAGTGACCAAGGTCAGCAGTGGTAAATATGGGTATGTGTGCTGTCCCCATGCAGACCTTCACAGTCCCTTTCTGTAGACCTCAAAACCTACACACCTCTTTATCACATTCTCCCCAGACAACGCTCTTCCTGCCAAGACAAGACGGGCCCTCAACATCCTTCTCAGCATAACACTGCAGCCATGGAAATTATCATGAGACGTGAATCCTCTTTGCTCCAACAATTGTCCGGCTGTGACAATTCTAGGAAAGTAACACAGGCATTGACTGCCTGCTCACCAATGGTTGTTCCAGCAGCCTCCAGGGAGCAATGATTTTGTTTGAAATCTGGGATCCTGGGCACAAGATGTTACCAAGGACCCCCTCTTGGCCCTTGGTTCATTACACAATCAATAGCCCTCCCAGCCTCCAGCCAGACAGGAGCTGCATGGTTGTGTTTTTACCTGTCAAAGAGATCCAAGCAGCTTGCAGGTAGGGACTGTGCCCCCAAGAGTTGGTCCTCAGCAAGTTGAGTGACAGACTGCAACTCCCTTGTAGTGGAGTTTCCCTGGTGTCAGCAGATGTAGCATATCATGGGGCCTGCAGACTTTCTGGTCCTCTTAGTTTAGGGTAAGTAGGGGATTGAGAAGGTTTCTTTGCCAACTGGGTAGAAACTTCCAGAAGTTGCCCTAAGTCTCTGATTCCTTCAGTTCAAAACAATTGTGCTAAAGAGCCAAAAAATGAGTCCTGAATGGTGGGAGTCCTGGAAGCCGTAAGAGGTGCAGGGAGGGTGTGGCTGTGTCCAGCACACCAAACCACCTGGAACAAAGGAGCTTTGCTCAGGCAAAGGAGCTCTCCCCGAGAGCCCAGGACTCCCTTAGTTCCCTGGGAGCCAGGCCCTTACAAGCTGCGAGCTGAGGAACTTCATTCCTTCACAATTGCCTAGTTGTGCCCTGCTTATTAATTATTAGTCAAATCCCAGAACAATGTACCTAGCACACCAGGCATTTCACTGAATCACAGAAGGCAGTTTGGTGACCAGGGGACCACAGACAGACTGGGGAGGACCACAGGAGGGTCAGTTACATTCACCCGGTGCCCTGTGATGACACAAACGTTCTTGATTCTGTACTAAGTCGGTGCCCTGTGATGACACAAACATTCTTGGTTCTGTACTAAGTAGACGAGAAAGTCTCTGGCCAGTGACAATTTCTCCCTACCTCTTCTTCCTGCTCAAAATGATATTGACCGTTTGATGTGATTGAGTAAAAGATGAAAGATAAGTACAAATGATTGCTAATTAAATGTGGAACGCAGGAAAGATATCTCAGCAGAGCTAGCTAATGCCCACCTTACACAGCAAGTATAACTGTGCCAGTCCCCAGGGTACTGGCCTCTTTTCCCCCCTCTCAAAAGGCTCTTTCTTCTGCCTGCTTTTGTCTCCCTTGTACTTCATATGGCATCACAGGTGTACAGCCTTGGCCTCAAAGGAGCCATTGTGACCTTATCCAGGCTGGGATCTGTTGATTGAGGACAGTGGCATCCCCTCGAGTTGCATGGCGCCATTACATTCACGGAGGACGTGAACGGTATGGGGGAAGCAATTTGAGATCTAGCCAGGCTGGGTTGGGTGCCTCATTTGTACTCCAAAACATAGCCACTGTTTCCTTTGGTGAGTTTTGTTTGTTTGTTTTTTTAAAGAACAGGGAAGAAATTGCTATCATTACACTAGAGGTTTAACTCTTGGAATTCAGACTTGGTCCCTGTTTTCCCTCCTGTCTCAGCAGAATGGTATCCTTGACAACATGGTTAGCACTGTCTGCAGGAACAGCAGTGTCTGTGGTATTGATGGCATTCCCTGGGGCAGGCCAAGGCTGGCCTCCCTGGTGAGAGGCAGCTGGACCCCCCCACCCCCAGGCTTGCAGCAAATGTGGGGCCAGCCCCCGACACCATCCACCTGTGTTTGCAGCTTCAACTTAACTTCCCATCTCCTAAACCCTCACCCCTGCTTGGCCCTCTTCACTCTCCTTCTCTCCCACTTCAGTGAATCTCAAATGGCAGAGCTGCTGGGCTTCCCAGAAGACAAAGAAGAGAACGAGGGGCCCAGAGCATCGTTTCTCAAACTGCTGTTTGGGGCAGGCTGTGCTGTGAAAATACTGTAATGTTCCCAGCCCACATTAAATCTGGAAAGCTCTGGATGACACAGGCCACATGGGTTTCTTTATTCCGGGACTTCTCAGAGCCTTTATGACTAACGTGTAGTCAGAATCTTAGAAAAGGGGCTTAGTAGGCAGCATTTCCCAAACAAATTGGATCGCAGGAAATACCTAACAGCCAGGTGCAGTGGCTCACACCTGTAATCCCAGCATTTTGGGAGGCCCAGGCGGGTGGATCATGAGGTCAGGAGTTTGAGACCAGCCTGACCAACATGATAAAACCCTGTCTCTACTAAAAATACAAAAAAAAAATTAGCCAGGCGTGGTGGCACGCACCTGTAATCCCAGCTACTCAGGAGGCTGAGGCAGGAGAATTCCTTGAACCCGGGAGGCGGAGCTTGCAGTGAGCCAAGATTGTGCCACAGCACTCCAGCCTGGGCGACAAAGCGAGACTCTGTCTCAAAAAAAAGAAAAGAAATACCTAACAGTATCTCCAAGAAAAATTCAGCACACACAGCGTAGTGAATGCTGGTGTAGGGTTCAACAGCCTGCATTTTGGAGTCTAGCTTAAGATCAAGACTCTTGAGTAAATTATTTCTCTGAGCCTCAGTTTCCTTTCCATTAAATTTGGGTGATACCACCCTCCACATAGGCATTTTGAGGACTGAACGGCAGTCAGTCCTCATGTATATAAAATGTTAAGCATACTTGGAGCTCAGTAAGCCATCGACATAAGTTGTCATTTCATTGTTCAGTGAAATCACCCAGAATAAGTTTTTCGACTCTCCTAGACTCCACCCACCCAGCCAACTCACAGTTCTGTATGTCTAGCCCTGAGCACTCTCTGCTCTGTATCCATACTGCAGGTCACCTGTGTCCCCTCTCCAAATCTACTCTTCCTTCCTCCCTAGCTCAGCATTCAGTTGTCCAAGCCAAAGGCCTGGGAGCCATCAAAGACTTCTCTTCCCTCCCGCCACATGGAACTGATCACCAAGTGACATTAGTGTCGCTTATTTAAGAGATTTTACATTATTGAATCCTCTCCATTCTCCTGGCTCTTATGCAGATTACACCTGTTGCCTGGTCTACTCCTGGGTCAGATTCTTTGTCATTCCCTCTGGCAGGAAAACCTTTTGTCTTTTCTCCATCCGCCCTGTAAATGCCTATTTATCCTTCAAACTATGGTATCCTTTCTTCCAAAGACCCTTTTCTAATCTTCTGTTTCCTTCCTCCCACCAGGCTAGACACTGTCAGCCAACCTCAGCACCACAAGCCTCCCTCTATTATAGCCCTTCTCCCAGTGTTTCCACGGATGGGTTCCCAGTCCATCAAGGCCCTGAGAAGGGGATTTTTTTTTTTTCCCCTGAGACAGGGTCTCCTGTTGCCCAGGCTAGAGTGCAGTGGTCATTCACAGGTGTGATGATGGTACACAATAGCCTTGAACTCCTGAGCACAAGCAACTCTCCTTCCTCAGCCTCCCAAGTAGCTGGGACTACAGGTGCGTGCTACCATGCCCACCTTTATTCATCATGAAACCCCTTGGCACAGTATCTGATACTTCGACTGTCCATAAATATTTGTTGAATTACGTTTACTTGAATTTTCCAAAACGTTGCTGTCTTCCTTTCAGTGACTCAGTGATTCTTTTCAGAGGTATAACCAGGGAATTGTTCCAGAGGTTTCCTTGGATATTCCTACAACTGATAACAGCTGTCATTTCTTCAGCATCTACTGTGTAGGTACTACCATAAATGCTTTACATACATTAACTCATTTAATCCCGTGAACTGAGTTCTCGTGTTATCCCATTTTACGGAGGAATATTCTGAGGTTTATCTAGCTGATAAATGACCAAGGTAGGATTCAAACCCAGGGCTGTCTGCTTCACTCAAGATCTGTGCTCTACCCATCATCTATGAACTGAGATCTACCTGTATTCTCATCTTGACCACGGTCATCTAGATTTTTAAGAAGTGCAGTGTCACTGCACGTGAGATGTGTATGCCTAGACTGAATGCTCTTAAGGATAATCTCCATCTTTATTTGAGCCCATCTTGCAGGAGTATTTTCCTAAACAGCCTAAAACGAGGAAGAGCAAGTTCAAATAGCTAAGTCCCTTTGGTTTGGGCCCTGCGCCTGATTTCCTAAATGACTGGCACTTTTTTTTCTTTTGAGACGGAGTCCCACTTTGTCGCCCAGGTTGGAGTACAGTGGCGTGATCTCCACTTGTTGCAACCTCCACCTCCCAGGTTCAAGCAGTTCTCCTGCCTCAGCCTCCCAGATAGCTGGAACTACAGGAGCACACCACCATGCCTGGCTAATTTTTGTATTTTTTTTTTTTTTTAGTAGAGACGGGGTTTCGCCATGTTGATCAGGCTGGTCTCCAACTCCTGACCTCAATTGATCCACCCTCCTCGGCCTCCCAAAGTGCCAGGATTACAGGCGTGAGCCACCATGCCTGGCCATGACTGGCAGTTATGCCACATTTTCTCACTAGTGAGAAAAGTTCGATCCCAGACATTTGCTCAACAGTGAGTTAAGACTAAAACTTCTCTGCCCTCTGGGAGCTCACAGTCTAACAAGGAGATAGCACATATACACATATTCTGACTGCAAAACTAGGTGATAAGTAAAAAGAGCTCTGAACTCAGAGTCTGAAAGACCTGAATCCAAGTTTAAATTTGTATCTGCAGTTCCAAAATCCTGAAAGCGCTGGAAACTGACAGGTTTTTTCTATAACTCATTTGAAGGAAACGATCTAACGAGGTTTTTATGTGGTCTTTATTCATCCCACTTAGCCTGAGTATTCCTACATTTTGCTGCAGAAACATTCATGTATCTGATCACAGGGTGCTACAACAGCCCCCATTGGGTATGTAGATAATACATGGCCCCAAGAGTTTTGGAAAAGGGATTGTGAACCTATGTCTTGTCCTGATCAATTGACAAAAAATGTATGAAATGGCTTCACAAACTAAACATTAGTAAACTCATATGAGATAGTCTTAAATAGCATGATGTATAATTCTGTACAATGGGAATACTGAGCAAGTGATTTTTTTTTTTTCTGGACTAGGAAGAGGGTCAAAAGATATCTTAAGGGAAGTAAACTTTGAACTGGGCCTTGAAGGGTGAGTTGAATTCCTCACTTCATAGAGAAGCTGTGGAAGAAAACATTCTGGGCTATAGGAAGAACGTATAGAAAATGTGCAGAAAAAATGTCTTTAAACAGCTTGAGCACATGAATTTTGTCAGCTTACAGAAAAACTCTGATGATCTGTGAAAATACAGGAGAGAAGCACTGTGGATAATACAAAGGGGCAGCTAGTCCGAAATCCATTTGCTCTGGGCAGGATTTTTCTTTTGAATGCAGACTTAATACACACATTGAGAGTGAAACATCACTATCTGGGCTGATGCCTCCTTGCTTAGTGCCCACCTGTTAGCGCTCCCTCCATCTCCCCATAAGGCAACGGCAGCCGGTCCAGCCTGTGCTCATTTCACTGCCCTCTGCTTGGTGTGGGGTCAGCCCCTTACCTGCTGGCTTCTCTAGATCACACTGCCAGGTTCAAATCAGGTCAGCCACTTGCTACTTTGTAGTGGCCATAAGCAAGTTGTTTACCTCTTAGAGCCTTTGTTCCTCAGCTGTAAAAGCAGAACAATAGTATGAGAGCTATTGTAATAGGAAGGCTGGCAGGTAAAGCACTTAGCAGTGTGCCTGACTGGTAAGCACTGAATAAACAGTAGTTATTACTATTACAAGGGCTCCCCGTCCTCCAGCTATGTGTAAATACATACATTCCTTAATTAAGTAGCTGGGACTACAGGCACACACCACCACACCTGGCTAATTTTTGTATTTTTAGAAGAGATGGGGTTTCACTAGGTTGACCAGGCTGGTCTCGACCTCCTGACCTCGTGATCCATCCACCTCAGCCTCCCAAAGTGCTGGGATTACAGGCGTGAGCCACCGTGCCCAGCTATTATAAAACATTTCTTCAAAATCACACTTTTACCACAAGATCAAGCCTCCAGTATAATTAAAAGGTCAGATTTCTGCAGGAAGTAGGTGGAATTACATCAGCTTAGTTGGGTGATACTGTTGCCTAATGCTAAAAACCTTGTTGGCAGTTATATGTGTCTTGGGTAAGTAAAAATGAATTACTACTTAATAAATGCATTTGGGCAGAGGGAAGCATTGCAAACATGAAATCTAAGGGGTGTGGAGAAAGAAAGAAAGCAGTCACTGGTGATTAAAAAGTCACAGGCCCCATGGGTCCAGTACACTGACCAGTAGTATCTGGTTGGCAGAGCTCCTTTTTTAAAAAGCTTTTTTGAAATAACAAAAGTAACACATGCACATTGCCACTTGGCCTCCCTCAAAAGCCTTCTTGCAGGTTTTGCCCATTAAGCAAAGTTTCACTGGGATAAAGATGTTGCCACCATGGTGTCCAAGACCCACCATGAGCAGAGGGACTTACCACTTAACATGGAAGAGGCTTCCAGAGGGGATCAGGTCCAAACCACCACTGCAACTCTGTTTTACAAATGGAGAAACAGAAGCCTAGAGCAGAGAAGAAACTTGCCCATGGTGACCCAGGCATCCTGCAGTGGAGCTTTATACCCAGGACCTTCAGCCCTCCACCCAGGGTCTTTTCTGCCAGACAAGAATCCTCCTCCAGAAGGGACATCACTCAGAGTGAATCACAGCCATCCAGGGAGTTCTTTGTGAACTACATAGGCCATCTCCCCATTACGCCCACACTCTGCAACTAACAGAAATATCTCCTCTCCCCTGTATATGTTAGGACCAAGAATAAAATCAAACATGTGGAGGACATGTCAGCTAGCCTGGGATTTCCAAGATACCCCGGTTGGTAAGAACTACTTGGGGTGCCCTCATCTGGAGATTCTGGCTTAGTAGATCAGAGGTGGGCCTGATAATTTATATCCATGAGCATACCAGGTAATTCTTATAACTAAGCGAGTTTTGGAAAACACAGGGCTCATCTAGGCCAGCAGAGGTTTCCTGTCCCAGAGTGGGCAGTGGGGTTGAAAGACCGGGCACAGTGGCTCACACCTGTAATCCCAGCACTTTAGGAGGCCGAGGCAGGCAGATCACGAGGTCAGGAGTTCAAGACCAGCCTGGCCAACATAGTGAAACCCCATCTCTACTAAAAAAATAAATAAATAAAATTAGCCGGGCGTGGTGGCAGGCACCTCTAGTCCCAGCTACTTGGGAGGCTGAGGCAGGAGAATCGCTTGAACCTGGGAGGCGGAGCTTTTAGTGAGCCGAGATTGTGTCACTGCACTCCAGCCTGGGTGACACAGTGAGACTCTGTCTAAAAAAAAAAAAAAAAACACTGTGGGTTTTCCACTTGCAGTTAATGAGAGTCAACCTCTATCCTATGTTGATTTCTTTTTTTTTTTTTTTTTTTTTTTTTTGAGACAAAGTCTTGCTTTGTCACCCAGGCTGGATGGCACAATCTCAGCTCACTACAACCTCTGCCTCCCACGTTGAAGCAATTCTTCTGCCTCAGCCACCCGAGTAGCTGGGATTACAGGCGCCGACCACCACGCCCAGCTAATTTTTGTATTTTAGTAGAGACAGGTTTTCACCATGTTGGCCAGGCTGGTCTTGAACTCCTGACCTCAGGTTATCCGCCTGTCTCGGCCTTCCAAAGTGCTGGGATTACAGGCGTGAGCCACCACGCCCAGCCTCCTGTGTTGATTTCTTATGGTACCTCTCTTTTATAACAGAACCGTAATTCCTGGGCACACATGGCAGCTCAGAAATGTTGCCTGACCTACTTTGAGGAGATGATTTGAGCGAAACACCCATTCTAGCCTGGATGACATGAACATCTCCGTTTGGCTTTGTGCTTAGACTCAAGAACCTGGAGCTAGCTGCTGTGAGAGGATCAGATGTCCGTGTGAAGATGCTGGCGGCCCCTATCAATCCATCTGACATAAATATGATCCAAGGTAACCTTGGTTTCTGTGGCTTATGTTAATTGGCTTTTTTGTTCAGCTGCCACCTCATTTTCATTCCTCCTCAGGTGTGGGTGTGAAATGCCTGTGATTAGCAGCAGCTGTTCTCCAGATGAGCCGTCTGCAGGCTGTGTCAGCCCTGTCTGGCCTCCCTTTTCTGGAATGTGTGGCTTTTTGAGAAGATTGCAGTGGGGAGTAAACTAAGCATTGTGAAGTGCCTGCGACATGCTGGTTTCATTTCATATGTTACCTGATTTTCATGATAACCATGAACACTAAAGAATATTGTCCCCCTATACAGACAAGCAAGCTAAGGCTCAGAGGTTGGTTAGGCAGACAGTCCAAAGCAGAGCCCAGATCAGGCCTAGGATGGCGTGGACTCAAGTCCATGCTCTTTCACTGCCCAAACATCACTGGTTGACCCTTTAATGCTCTTCTCCCTCAGGAAACTACGGATTCCTTCCTGAACTGCCTGCTGTTGGAGGGAACGAAGGTGTTGCACAGGTGGTAGCGGTGGGCAGCAATGTGACCGGGCTGAAGCCAGGAGACTGGGTGATTCCAGCAAATGCTGGTTTAGGTGAGTTTCTCCAGGTGTCAGCTGCCTATTCGTTCTTCCAGATCCTATTTCACCCACTCTGTCGGCATCCACTGATTGGCCGAGTGTACCTGGGTAATGCAGGGTTTATTTTTTTTATTTATTTATTTATTTTGAGACGGAGTTTTGCTCTTATTGCCCAGGCTGGAGTGCAATGGCGCGATCTCAGCTCACCAAAACCTCCGCCTCCCCAGTTCAAGTGATTCTCCTGCCTCAGCCTCCCAAGTAGCTGGGATTACAGGCGCCTACCACCACGCCCGGCTAATTTTTGTATTGTTAGTAGAGATGGGGTTTCACCATGTTGGCCAGGCTGGGTCTCAAACTCCTGACCTCAGGGATCCGCCTGCCTCGGCCTCCCAAAATGCTGGGACTGCAGGCCTGAGCCACCACGCTTGGCCTTGTTTTGTTTTTTTTTGAGACAGGGTCTCACTTTGTCACCTGTGCTGGAGTGCAGTGACGCGATCTCGGCTTACTGCAGCCTCCCAGGTTCAAGCGATTCTCCTGCCTCAGCCTCCCGAGTAGCTGGGATTACAGGTGTACACCATCACGCCCGACAAATTTTTGTATTTTTAGTAAAGAGGGGGTTTTATCATGTTGACCAGGCTGGTCTCAAACTCCTAACCTCAGGTGACCCACCACTCAGCCTCCCAAAGTGCTGGGATTACAGGCATGAGCCACTGTGCCGAGTCTGAATTTTGTTTATACATGGAGATGAGCCAAAATTCACTTCATGTGGAGGATGTAAAATGAGGAAAGACACAAAGGTGAGATTGGGAAATGGTGGAAAATCCATTGTAGCCTCAGCAGAGGGTTTGCATATGGGAGAGGATTGCACGAGTGAGAAAGAAGGCCAGAAAGGCAGGTTCAATCACGTGAGCCCAGGAGTTCTAGGCTACAGTGAGCTATGATCGCACCATTGCACTCCAGCCTGGGCAACAGAGTGAGACCCTGTCTATTTTTTTTTAAAAAGGTAGCTTGTGTCCACATGGGGTAAGGCCCTGCCCAAGCCAAGCTAATGAGTAGGATTTTGTTTGATATATTATAAGGAGTCATAGGTGAGTTTTGTTTTTAGCACTTAACAGTTTTCAAGGCACGTCTGTTATTGATCCTCACAGCAGCTACAAGAGGGAAGCAGGGCAGGTATTATCCATCCATTGGACATAAATTGAAGCTTGAGAAGTAAAGCCCTGGCCCAAAGTCAAACAGCAAAATGAGAGTGCCCACTGGATTCTTTCTCCTGGGTTCCCATTACACACCAGTGTTATGATCTTCTGGGTTGTAACTTACAGCGACCCAGCTCAAACTTGCTTTAAAAAAAGAAGTTGGGGCCAGGCGTGGTGGCTCACGCCTGTAATCCCAGCACTTTGGGAGGCCGAGGTGGTGGATCACCTGAGATCAGGAGTTCAAGACTAGCCTGGCCAACATGGTGAAACCCTGTCTCTAATAAAAATAAAAAAATTAGCCGGGTGTGGTGGCATGCGTCTGTAGTCACAGCTACCCGGGAGACTAAGGCAGGAGAATCTCTTGAACTCAGTAGGTGGAGGCTACAGTGAGCCGAGATCATGCCACTGCACTCCAGCCTGGGCAACAGAGTGAGACTCCATCTCCAAAAAAAAAAAAAAATAAGGCCAGGCGCAGTGGCTCATGCCTGTAATCCCAGAACTTCGGGAGGCCATGGCAGGCAGATCACCTGAGGTCAGGAGTTTGAGACCAGCCTGGCCAACATGGTAAAACCCCGTCTCTTCTAAAAATAAAAAATTAGCCAGGCATGGTGGCGTGCACCTGTAGTCCCAGCTACTCGGGAAGTTGAGGCAGGAGAATCACTTGATCCCAGGAGGCGGAGGTTACAGTGAGCCGAGATTGTGCCACTGCACTCCAACCTGGGCGACAGAGTAAGACTCCATCTCAAAAAAAAAAAAAAAAAAGAAAGTTGATTTGTGGAACTGGGAAGTGTAACAGAGTGAAAGCTTCGGGTTCAGCTAGATCCAGGAACCCCAGTACTATCAGAGTTGTGTCTCTCACTTGTTCTTAGATGAGATCTCCCCACATATTGATATAATCAAACCAACAAATATTTATTGGCCACTCTCTTTGTGCCAGGCACTGCTCTAAGCACTTCATGTATATTAACTCAATTGTTCCCACAACATGAGATGGATACCTCATCATTCCCACTTTGCAGGTGATATAACAGTAAATGCAGCAGAAAACTGTAAACTGTTAAGCAGTTTGTCCAAGGTCACCCAGCCAAAAGTGATGGAGTTAGAATTCAGATCCACTCTGATACATACCTCTCATAGATGGCCACCAGCAGCCTGAGGTTCATATCACCCTAAAAACAAACAAATGAGCATATCCTCCACAATCATGTCCAGCACAACCATATCCATCCCCCAGAAGGGCCCTGAATGGGCCTTGCCCATCCCTGAACCAGTCCCCTGGGGCGGGGTAGGGCCACTCCGGTTGCTCTGATTGAGTCTCTCACCCTCCTCTGTGATACAGGTGGGGCCTTGTGGTTGACAGCCCCAGAGATTAGGAAGGAGCACTTGTAGAGAGAAAAAGATACTAGGCAGGAAAAAAAAAAACAGTAATAGGAGTCTACTACAAGCTCTTTGCTTCTCTGAGATCAGGAAGGCTGCCAAGAATGGCTCCACCGTCTCCTACACCCACCTGGCGGTGAAGGAGCTCAGCCATTTGAGCAAATTGAGAGCTGCAAGGATTCACTGGATCCTGATGCCAGTGCTTCGGGCCAGCCCCCGTGCTAAGTGAAGGTCCTATCAAGGTGAGCAGACAGTTCCTGCCCTCAGAGTGCTCTTGGCTGGCAGTGGGAGGCCCAGAAATGGAAAAACAACACTTAATACAATACAGTATTACAAGTGCCATAATCACAGGATTGACACCAAGACAAGAGTCCTCTATCTTGGAAAGCGTTAAGAAAGGCTTCCCAGAGAAGTGATGCTTGAACTCAGTCTGGAAGAGCTGCTGGAAGTGCAGCCAGTGGGCTAGGTGAGGAGGGGCTTCCCAGGCACAGAGTGCAGCGTGTGTGAACGTAAGTGATGAGAGAAGGCACAGCACTGGTGGGGAACTGCAGGTAGCTCAGGGTGGCTGGCTCATGGGTGCGAGTGGGAGAGAAGTGAGATGGAGCTGGAAAGGTGGGGTGGGGCTGGGTCCCAGCGGTCCTGCATCCACGGTGCGAGGGGTACCAACAGAGAGTTAAGTAGAGGAATGATTTGATAGGATTTGTGCAATGCAGAGAATGGTCTGGAAACCATTGGTCTGGAAAGGCAGAGGGTGGAGGCAGAAAGCCAGTGAGGAGGTGGGCAAACAAGTCAGGCTTCAGATGATGAAGTGTGAGGGTCTGAATAAGACAGTGTCGTAGGGCTGGAGAAGAGGGCATGGAGTCAAGGGCTAAAGTAACAGGACTTGGCAATACTTTCAGTTTGGAGAAGAGAACAATAAAGGATGTCTGCCAGGTGTATGGGTAATTGTACATGTGGTGGTGGGGGTACCCAGAACAGGGATTCTTCCCTGGAGAAAAGGTGATTCTTTTGTTTTGTTTTGTTTATCTTTTGAGACAGAGTCTCGCTCTGTTGCCCAGGCTGGTGCAATCTTGGCTCACTGCAACCTGCAACCTCCACCTCATGGGTTCAAGCAATTCTCCTGCCTCAGCCTCCCGAGTAGCTGGGACTACAGGCGCCCACCACTACACCTGGCTAATTTTTGTACTTTTAGTAGAGATGGGGTTTCGTCTTGTTGGCCAGGCTGGTCTTGAACTCCTGACCTCAGGTGATCTGCCCGCCTCGGCCTCCCAAAATGTTGGGATTACAGGCATTGAGCCACTGCGCCTGGCCAGCAGGTGAGTCTTTTAAGCAAGGTGCCAGCCAGAGAGGATGAGGATTTTATAATTGTGAGGACTGCAATTAACTCAGTGTATTCAGTAAACATTTTGTGAGCATCTGCAGCATGCTGGGCTTGAGGACACAGCAGTGAACAGACATGGTCTTTCTTCTCGTGAAGACTGCCATTTAGTAAGAGTGGCAACTATTAAACAGGTAAGTTCTTAGTTGGCCACAGCTTGGTCATTTTTCATGGTTCTGAGCTGCCTAGCTGTTGCTAAGCCCATAGCCAGCCTTTTCCCACGTGCAGCCAATCCCAGGGGAGACCAGACCAGATGGTGTGGATAGATCTTTGCCAACTGACTTTCTCCTTGGGAAATATGCAAAACCTTCCTGAGGAAGCACAGAGCCGTAGAAAGTGCACTGGCTTTGGAATCAGGGGGCAAGTTCTCTTTCCAGCTCCGCTGTATGACCTAATTTAAGTCACAGCTACTTTGAGCCTCAGTTTTTTCATCTCGAAAATGGGACTAATTGTCACTGCCTAGCATGTCTCAGCAGTACTCAACTGAGAATATATGCAATGATCTTTGCAAATGCCAAATTTCTGTATGCATTAGATCAGGAGTTGGCAAATTTTTATCTTAAAGGGCCAAATAGTAAATATTTTAGGCTTCGTAGGCTATATCATCTTTGTGACTACCCAACTCTACTATCGTAAACAGCCACAGGCAATATATAAACAATTGAGTGAACATGGCTGTGTTCCAATAAAACTTTATTTACAGGACCAGGCATGGTGGCTCATGCCTGTAATCCCAGCATGGGAGGCCAAGGCGGGCAGATCGCTTGAGTCCAAGAGTTCAAGAATGGCCTGGGCAACTTGGTGAAAGTCCATCTCTACAAAAAATTAGCGAAGTGTGGCAGCGTACACCTGTAGTCCCAGCCACTGGGGAGGCTGACATGGAAGGATAGCTCGAGACCAGGAAGCAGAAGTTGCAGTAAGCCACACTCCAACCTGGGCAACAGAGTAAGACTCTTGTCTCAAAACAAAAAAAAAAAAAACCCTTTATTTACAAAAACAAGTGGTGAGGCAGATTTAGCCCACAGGCCACAGTTTGCTGACCCCCAAGTTCAACAATGGAGATGGTTAAGGGTCAGTTGCATATGACTGAGGAATTGGGAATCCTCAGAGCTAAAGTCTGGGAATTAGCATCATTAAAGGAAAACAATGTGTGTTATACACCCACTGTGTACTAGGCATAGTGATAGTCTCTGTACAAATGTCTTTAGTTTAATCTTCACACTATGACATAAGTGTTACTCTCTGCATTTCACAGATTAGGGAAATGGAAACTCAAAAAAGGTGAAGTGATCATTCAAAGTCACACACTAGTGAGTGGTAGAGCCAGGGTTTTTAAGCAGGTCTCTCCAACTTCAAGCCTAAGAGTTCTACTTGAAACCCTGAAAGCCCTTGTCTCTGACCACGGGTGCTGCCTCCCTCCCACCCAGAGTCTCTTGAGAAGAGGATTAGGGACTGCTAAGCCCCAGAAATCCATATCAAGGGTTGGATTTCCATTGTCGTGCCATAAGGGGAATTAGAAAATGCCCTGGATTTCATACATAGAAAGCCCTGCACTAAGCATTTGGTGCACGGTAGAGTACAGTAAGTGTTAGCTGAGATGAATGGGAACGATGATTTGAAGGCCAGTCCGGGGGAAGCCCACAGGATGCTGGGGCACTTCCTGGATTACAGAGGAATCCTCGCCTTTTCAGTCTCTTATTTTCTCAGCCATAGACCTACTCTAGGATTGACACAGCCTTCTATAAAAAGTGTTCCTGGGCCGGGTACAGTGACTCATGCCTATAATCCCAGCACTTTGGGAGGCCAAGATGGGCGGATCACGAGGTCAGGAGATCGAGACCATCCTGGCTAACACAGTGAAACCCCATCTCTACTAAAAAATACAAAAAAATTAGCCGGGTGTGGTGGCGGGCACGTGTAGTCCCAGCTACTTGGGAGGCTGAGGCAGGAGAATGGCGGGAGCCTTGGAGGCAGAGCTTGCAGTGAGCTGAGATCGTGCCACTGCACTCCAGCCTGAGCGACAAAGCAAGACTCCATCTCAAAAAAAAAAAAAAAAGTGTTCCTGCCTCCTGTCCCCAGTTCTTGGTCCCTAAAGCCCACATTGACATCCCCGTTTCCTATAGCACAGTTAGTGATTACCCAGGCTGCCCCCTGCTTCCCACAGCTGACCCACATAGGACCAGGACACCATTAGAATCCCAGCAACTGGATAGTGAGCAGGCATGCCCAAGAGCTTTGGAAGCATAGGCCAAGGGCCCCGAGCTGCCACTGTGACCAGATGCTGAGCCAACAAGGCTCCAAGCAATTTCCCTAAGGTGACACAGTGAGGACACTGTGGAACCAAGGCTGGAGTCTCTCTGACTCCAAAGCCTACCCTCTTCACCCCTTCTTCATACAAGATCCTGCCTGTGTGAGTGCAGACCCCTCACGCAGTCCTCACCAAATCCTATTGATTCTGTCTTTAAAATAGAACTCAAATCCATCTTCTGTTCCTCATCCCCACTGCCAAAGTCCCAGACTAGGCAGCCATCATCTCATACCTCGACCCCCACAAAGACCTCTGGCTTCCACGCTGCCCCTCCCCACTCCACAGTCTTCACCCAGCAATAAAGTGATCTTAAAGCATACATCGGATCATCTCAGTCTCCTCTTAAAGCTTGTTACAGGCTTCCCACTCACTCATTCACTAAAACAAGATCAGTTCTCCATACCACAGTGCTGAGGTCATGTTCTCATACCACAGGTTGTGACCCATTCGAGAAATCAATCTAGTGAGTTGCAAATAGCACTTTTTAAAATTAAAGTTGAGCAGAAAAGAATGAAAAATAGCAGAGTATCACACATAGTAAGGGTAAGTATTCTGTGAAACACAGGCTTGTGTTACACGTACATTCATGTATGTATATGTACGAATTCACAGTGGAACTCATGGTTACTGTGGGTCAGAATTCTGAAAGTCTAATATCACCTGCCCGGCCCCTGCTGCATCAGCCAGGCCAGCCATGTCTCAAGCCACTCTTCCCATCACTCTCCACCCTGCGGTGCAGCATCATCCCATCCCAGTCCTTTGTCCTGCTACAGCATCTCTGCATCTGCTGCATGCCCTACCTAAGATGTTCTTTGTGTGCTCTGAGACGGTAGCACCTCTATCCTTTCACTCTTAGCCTGTCACCTCCTCAGAGAAGTATCCTTGACTCCCATCTAAAGTAATTCTCTTGATGTTCCTGTCTCTTTATAATTTATCATTATCATATCTGCTTTTTTTCACCTGTTCGACTCCACTAGAATGAAACTAAGGAAACTGTCTGTATTGTTCAAGTGCCTGGGTGCAAGATAAATATCTGTAGATGGAAGGAAGGCAGCCCAGATACCCAGGTTCCAGCTCCAACTCTGCCTAGATAAGCCAGGGGGCTCTGGGCAAGTCACTTCCTCATTTCCTCCCCTGTTGCATGAGGGGTTCAAAGTCGATGTTCGATAAGGGCCTTCTCAGTACTGACATTCTAGAATTCTTTTGTCTGGAACTGGAATGTGGGCTGGGAGTTGATGCTCATTTCTTTCAAGCTTATAGAATTTTTCATTTCCTTATCTCATTTGATTTCTACAGTAGCTCCTGGAGGAGGCGAGTCAGGCTGTTCTTGCCTGTGCTATTTACACATTAGAGTAACTAAAACTCAGTGACAGGAATTTTCTCAAACTAGCAGAATAGCAAAACCAGGTTTGGCATCTGTGCTCTTGACTTCTACTTTTATGCTTTGTTGCCTAAAACTACCTGAGTCAGGCCGGGCGCAGTGGCTCACGCCTGTAATCCCAGCACTCTGGGAGGCCGAGGCGGGCGGATCAGCTGTGGTCAGGAGTTCGAGACCAGCCTGGCCAACATGGTGAAACCCATCTCTACTAAAAATACAAAAATTAGCCGGGCGTGGTGGCAGGTGCCTGTAATCCCAGCTATTCGGGAGGCTGAGGCAGGTGAATCGCTTGAACCCAGGAGGCAGAGGTTGCAGTGAGCCGAGATCATGCCATTGCACTCCAGCCTGGGAGACAAGAGCAAGACTTCATCTTAAAAAAAAAAAACATGTGAGTCAACCTGCTCTGGATGAGAAGAATGAGGACTGTGTAGGAAAAAGGGGGCTTTCTCAGCTTCTCCTGCCCTGGTGGTAATGTTACTACTGTCTTACCCTTAGATTGCAGCAGTTTGAGGTCATTAACTACCTGCACGGTGACATTAACTAAATCTAATGGTAACTCAGAGAAGCAGCCTCTCTGAATCGCCCTTACAATGGTATTTGGCATATTTTGTTTTGGTTTGTTTTTTGTTTTTTGGGTTTTTTTGAGACAGGTTCTTGCTGTGTCACCGAGGCTGGAGTGCAGTCACACAATCATAGCTCACTGTGTCCTTAAATTACTGGGCTCAAGCAATCTTCCCACTTCAGCCTCATGAGAAGCCGGGACTGCAGGGCATTATGCCCAGCTAATTTTTTTTTTTTTTTTTTCTGTAGAGACAAGGTCTCACTATGTTGCCCAGGCTGGTCTTGAGCTCCTGGCCTCAAGCAGTCCTCCCACCTTGCCTCCCAAAGTGCTGAGATTATAGGCATGAGCCACCACACCCCATTTTTACTACATGTTTAAGATAAGAATGACTGTCTATTTTGGGCCAGGCACAGTGGCTCATGTGTGTAATCCCAGCACTTTGGGAAGCCGATGCAGGCGAATCACCTGAGACCGGGAGTTCAAGACCAGCCTGACCAACAAGGCAAAACCCTGTCTCTACTAAAAATAAATAAATTAGCCATGTATGGTAGTGCATGCCTGTAATCCCAGCTACTCAGGGGGCTGCAGCATAAGAATCACGAACCCAGGAGGCGGAAGTTGCAGTGAGCCAAGATCGCGCCATTGCACTCCAGCCTGGGCTACAGAGCAAGACTCTGTCTCCAAAAAAAAAATTAAAAAGAATAACAATCTATTGTGCATAATTATCATGAGGACTCAGACATTCAGAGGAACGTCCAGATTTTCTTCTTTTTCTAAACATCCTGGATGCTATCCTGGATGCTTCCAGTGGATGCTACCCACTATCCTGGATGCTTCTTGGCCAAGGAGGGTGAGCTGGGGTTGAATGTGCACAGGGCTCCTTCCTTATGATCCTGGCTTCATCTTCTGACTCAGGAACCTGGCGGACCGAGGCTGTGTTCAGCGAGGAAGCACTGATCCAAGTTCCGAGTGACATCCCTCTTCAGAGCGCTGCCACCCTGGGTGTCAATCCCTGCACAGCCTACAGGATGTTGATGGACTTCGAGCAACTGCAGCCAGGTAGGAACCCACAGGTTGGGGGAGCAGGCCAGGGTCTCGCAACTAGGGTGCCACTCACATCCTGACCCCAAGGCCAGGAGAACTTGCAAGGTGGAGGTTTTGAGGGGGTGATGGACCTCTCACCTGGGTGAATGTTGTTGCTTTCACTTAGAAAGATGTTAGCTTGGTTCCTAGGAAACATGCTGAAACCTCATGAGGAGTACACTCTCGAAAACTGCTGCAGGGTCACATTCTCTAGAGCTTGGGATTGAATTCTGTCATTCAGCAAAAATGTGTTGAGCTGGGGCTAAGCTCTGGGATACAAAGGCAGACAAGATAGACACAGTCCCTATGTTTTCAATAAAATGCTGAACTTAGTGTTAATAATTCCACTCAGCGTTTACATAGCACTTTCCAGTTCACAGAAGTGCGTTGACAGGCATTATCCCCGTTGAGTGCATGAAATCTTCACAGCATTGCAGTAAGGTTGGTACCATCATTGGTTAAGAGCTCAAGCTCTGGGCAGATAACCTGGGTCTGACCCCAGGCTTCACCTTTCCCTGACTGTGAATTTGCCTCTCAAATCATCAGATTTTTCTTCTGTAAAATGGAGAATAAAGAACGTGGAGGGTGAAACACTACAGCATAATACTTCACACAGTGCTGGGCATACAGTGCAGAGACTGTCCGCTGCTTATATTCTTCTTCCCTTTCATAAATGGGAAAACTGAGGTCCAGAAAGGTAAACTATTTGCATGAGATCAGCCAGGGAGTAAATGACAGAGCCAAGTGTTTTTATTTGGGTTTCTCTGAAAGCAGAGCCTAAGACCAGCACTGGGTGCAGAGAGTTTGTTTGGGAAGAAGAAATGAAGGGGAGTGGGGAGAGTGAGACAGAGATGGAGGCAAAGCCCATGAAGCCCGGTTACTGCTGCGGGCAACTACTGCTCCGGCTGTTTTTTTGAGACAGTCGTGCTCTGTCGCCCCGGCTTGAGTGCAGTGGCGTGGGCTCACTGCAACCTCCACCTCTCGGGTTCAAGGGATTCTCCTGCCTCAGCCTCCCAGGTAGCTGAGACTACAGGTGCCTGCCACCATGCCTGGCTAATTTTTGTATTTTTAGTAGAAATGGGGTTTCACCATATTGGCCAGGCTGGTCTCTAACTCCTGACCTTGTGATCCGCCCACCTCAGCCTCCCAAAGTGCTGGGATTACAGGCGCGAGCCACCCACCCCCAGCCGGCCTGCTCAGTCTTGCTGGGGCCCTCTGAAGACTCTCAGAACCCACTGCAGAATTAACCCTTAAGGCCAGGCATGGTGTCTCATGCCTGTAATCCCAGCACTTTGGGAGGCTGAAGCTGGCAGATCACTTGAGGTCAGGGGTTTGAGACCAGCCTGGCCAACATGGTGAAAACCCGTCTCTACTAAAAATACAAAAATTAGCCCGGCGTGGTGGCAGCGCCTGTGACCCCAGCTACTCAGGAGGCTGAGGCAGGAGAATCGCTTGAACCCGGGAGGCGGAAGTTGCAGTGAGCCAAGATTGCACCACCGCACTCCAGCCTGGGCAACAGAGCAAGACACCATCTCAAAAACAAAACAAAACAAAACAAAACAAAAACTAACCCTTGAATGATGAGAGGCTGGGCCAGTTTTCCACTAATTCTCACACCCCATTGTTTAAGGGTCGCCCTAAGGGCATTAACCTCCTGGGCTGCCTCTGCACACCATGCACATCCATGCACATCCGTGAGCCGCAGTGGCTGTAGAACTCACCCAAGCCACCTCTCATACCAGCGAAGAAACTGAGGCCCACAGTTGTTGGAGTGTGATGAAACATGGTGCCCAGCCACTGTCCAAGGCCTGGCTGAAAGCCGATGCCAGTTCCCACAAGAGAAATATAGGTTTCTTGCAACTATGGCAGATGGTTCCTGGGAGCCTTTGGTGGAGAAAGCCAGTGGCTGTGACCAGGGACCTTTGCTGGAGTCCTAGTGCAGCAGACACTTTGTTTGCTTGCATCCCATGCCCTAAAGCCACCTCCCATTTAGGCTGCAGCTGTAGTAACAGATCTAGGCATTTCGACGCTGCCCACCCTAAGTACCCACTGCACACCTCTCCACTTTCCTGCCTCAAGGCTGATATGGCCTGAACTAGATCACTGTTGAATAAACTTAGGATCTTGACACATGGTAAGAATTACATTTTATATTGTGATCAGTTTATACAAATAGGAATATATATATAATGGAAACCAAAGTTTCGTGAAATACCCTTACTATGTGTGACATACTCTGTTATTTTTTATTCTCTTCTCAATTTTAACTTTAAAAAAAAAAGGTGCTTGCAACCAACTAGATTGATTCATAATCCACTGGTGGGTGACAACCTGTACGTTGACCCCTGGTGAAGACGAGTGGGCATTCTTCTTCCAGGAAGTCCTCTATCTCTAGTTTCAGCCCGTTGTGTGACAGATCCCTGCTGCCTCTCAAAAACCAGATAGCATTTCAAATTCAACAAAGCACTTTCCCGGACACGATGCATTTGACTCTAATCGGGGGCACTTTTTTTTTTTAATAGAGGGAGTCTCGCTCTGTCACCCAGGCTGGAGTACAGTGGCGCGATCTCAGCTCACTGCAACCTCCACCTCCCGGGTTCAAGCGATTCTCCTGCCTCAGCCTCCCTAGTAGCTGGGATTATATTTTAAGGGAAGGAAACTGAAGTTCACAGAGGTCATGACTTGCCCTGTCTGTTTAGTTACAATCATTGGTGAAACTGAGACTCATGCCCAGATCTGTCTCATTCCAGAGCCCACATTTTTCCCAGCATGTCACACCGCCTTCCCCAATGGCCAGGTCCAAAGCTAAACCTGGGCTTTGCCACAGAACTGTAGGACCCTGTTTCAGGGGCTGCCAGTTTCTCCAGCGCAGCTGTAATCCCATTTCAAGGCAGTGCACCTTTATTAAACACTGCAGAGAGGAATAGGGCATGACCCTTCCCTCTCAAGAAGCTGCAAGCTGTTGATAGAAATGGACCTATATACAATGAAGTGTAAGATGGGGCAGACCGTGGTATGTGCATTAATACAGATGCCCACAGAGCACTGTGGGAGCACATAGAGGGAACAATCCAGGAAGGCTTCATGAAGGCTGCACTTGAGCTGCGCTTCAAAGGATCTACAGGATTTCAATAGGAAGGAAGAGAGAAGGAGGGAAACATTGCAAACCAAGGAAATAACCTAAGTAAAGACTTGAGGACATAAAAGTTGGGAGGATGACGAAGGCTATAAAATATTTTACATAGCAGGGCAGGGTCTAAATTATATCCAGTGTAGATGCTGAGTTGCCAAGTCCTGGGAGGCATCGTGAGTGTTGTGGAAGTTTAGGAGGCATTAGGAGAACAGTGAGAAACAGTGGAAGGTCTGAGAAGACTCAGCAGCCAGGTCCTGGGTCCCTGTTGAGCCTGAGGACTCCCTTGCCTACAGAAGGATCCCCGGCTGGGAGCCTTTGACCTATTGCAGATCTATACAGGGCTTGATTTGGTTCTCTTCCTGGCTCCACAGGGGATTCTGTCATCCAGAATGCATCCAACAGCGGAGTGGGGCAAGCAGTCATCCAGATCGCCGCAGCCCTGGGCCTAAGAACCATCAATGTGGTCCGAGACAGGTGCGTGGGGAAGGAGGCTTCATCCCAGACCATGTCTTGGGTCTTTCCCACCTCCCATCCCTGCGGTGCCCAGTTGTCCACCAGAGGGCGCCCTTGCATAAGCATAAACTGGCTTTAGGCATCGCTAACAGTTGGCGGCTGAAACAGATGAGTCAGTCCTAAGAAATGAAGTCCAGCTGGCTTTTGGCGATAGGATGAGTGAATCTGACATGTAAAGAGAGGGCAGGAAGGAGGTGGAGACTGCCCTTACTGAATAGCTAAGACTTTCTGAGACTCTTGGCTTGTGATAACCTCATGTTTTCAAAACCCCAGTTGATATTTGGGAATGATTTGAGCTGTATTATTCTTTCTGTGAACTGTCTAACCCAAGGCCCCTTTACCCTTGCTTTTGTGTGGTACTTGGAAGTGCGCTAAATACAGACGTGAAGGAGACAGGGGCAGGTTTGTCATCTGTCTTTTACAGATGAGGAAACTGAAGTTTCAGGGAGCAGCTTGCCCTGGAAGACACAGCAAGTCAGTAATAGACTCGGTTTCCTCACTTACTCTCTTTCCATCATATCGTCCAGTTTCTCTAGGCCTCACTGTCCATGAATGTGGCTGTGGCTGTCATGGAAGCCCACTCTTAGTATAATCGACACCAGCTTCAGTTCCTCAGTTGTACTCGCAAAAATAATTCCATTTGCCTTAACCAAAGAGACCCAGAGCCACTCCTGGTCTAGACTGTGTATGTCCAACACTCTGAAGAACCACTTGAAAAGAGGGGGGAAGTGGAGTTTGTCCTTTCAGTAGAAGAAATCAGGAAGTTAAGTGACTTCTCCCTGGGCACAGATGGCTTCTAACACTATTGAGCTGTCAGGGCCTGTGAAAACCACCCAGTCTCACTCTGTTGCCAGTGAGGAGACAGCCAAGAGCTATTGAAGCTGCATGAAATTAGGTGGCTGGTCCCTGCTCAAGCCTGGCTTAAACCTAATCCCAGCTTCCTGCAAAAAGAAGCACGGGTTCTCCCAGCTGTGGCAGAGAGGTCCTGGGGGGCTTTGGTGGAAAAAGCTGGCAGATGTGACCAGGGACCTATGTTTGGTTTCCAGACCTGATATCCAGAAGCTGAGTGACAGACTGAAGAGTCTGGGGGCTGAGCATGTCATCACAGAAGAGGAGCTAAGAAGGCCCGAAATGAAAAACTTCTTTAAGGTACCTAGGAAGAGGGACATTGCCCCTCCAGTCCACGCACATCTCCCTGAAGAAAGTTGACATGCATTAGAGAAACTGGGGACTGGCCCCATTGTTCCTCTCTGGAAACCTCCCTTTGCCTCTTGGTTGGTTAAAGCCCATTCCCCCTAGCCAGGCGGCAGGCAGCACGCATTAAGTGCCCAGATGCTGGGAGGGAGGCATGAGAAACAGAGTTTAGGAAACCCAGTATGACTTGCAGTTTAAACGTTTGTGGTGGGCCGCATCAGCCCACATGTGTGACTCTTAGAACTGGCAGGAGAGGACCTGAGGAAACAGAGACACAGAAAGAGAAAGAAAAGAAGTAACCTTTCCCAACCACCTGCCTTACATTTTATCTGATGATTTCCACAAAAGCTTTTCAAAGGAACTGTTATCTGTTTTACAGATTAGGAAACTAAGACTCAGAAAAGAGGAAATGCTTAACCAAAATCATATAGTTTATAAGGGCTCCAGAGAGTCAGAGCTGGCCTCAGTCTCTCCGAACTCAAAGCCTCTTAACCTTCCAGAACCTCCACCCCACAACATGCCTAGTAAGTGACCAGACCCTCAGCCCCTTTTCACTGAACCATCTGGAGGAACCAAAGACACACACTCAAGAGCATGCGCTTCTTGCGAACATTTCTGAAGCAGTAGATCAGCATATATAATATCAGCTGAGTCAAAGAACTGAAAAGGGGGGCACACAGGGAGCTGAAACCCACCAAACTGCATGCAGATGCCCTTTGCCTATTCTTTCCCAGAGAAGATGAGTTCTGCCAGGTCCTAAAATGGACAACAGGATTAAGTTGCTACAGAAAAGGCCCTTCTTGGCTGGATGAGGTGACTCATGCCTGTAATCCCAGCACTTCGGGAGGCCAAGGCAGGCGGATTGCTTGAGTCTGAGAGTTTGAGACTAGCCTGAGCAACATAGTGAGACCTCTGTCTCTACAAAAAAACATTTTTTTTTAATTATCTGGTCATCATGATACTCATCTGCAGTCCCAGCTACTTGGGAGGCTGAGGTGGGAGGATTGCTTGAGCCCAGGAGGGTAAGGTAGCAGTGAGCCATGATTGCACCACTGCACTCCAGCCTGGGTAACAGAGCGAGACCCTGTCTTAGAAAGAAAAAGAAAAAAGAAAGAAAAGACACTTCCTAAGCAGAGAAAAAGGTGAGTTCAAAGGCATAAACACACACACATATACATAAGTACGTGCACGCAAACAAAGGCATAAACATCTCATTTACTCCCTCCTTTTAACACAGCACTTGGGCAAGCTTCAGACCCCATATGTAGAGCGGGGATGCTCCCTCACTGCACTTTTGTTGTTTTCCAGGACATGCCCCAGCCACGGCTTGCTCTCAACTGTGTTGGTGGGAAAAGCTCCACAGAGCTGCTGCGGCAGTTAGCGTAAGTCCCTTGGGCCTGCAGGTCCAGCTCGCCAGAGCTCTCCAGGTCTTTAGCTGGGAGGACCATCAAGTGACTGAGTCCCATCGCCAGTTCGAGCCAAGTCCAGGTCAGCACAATGTTGAGTGGAAACTAGGACCAAAGTCATCCAGCTATTTGGGCACTGGTTTCTCAGCCTTCCCCTTTGCAGATGACCAAAATTTTGGCCTATCCAGCTTTATTTTTCCAAGGGACCCCAGAAGTAGACTGCTAAGCTGCCTGCCATAGAGGAATAGTCAAGGATTTATAACCTAGGGATGTCTGAAAAAGTCACTTAGTCCTAACTTATTTAACCTTTCAAAATTTGTATTAGCTTTTAAAATAGATTCTAATTTTAAAGGTAACATTATGCTTATTACAAAACATTTTGAAAACATGTAAAAGTGCAAAGGAAAACTTAAGCATAAAAGTTTCCTGTTGGCTGGGCACTGTGGCTCATGCCTATAATCCCAGTAATTTGGGAGGCCAAGGAGGAAGCATCACTTGAGGCCAGGAGTTCGAGACCAGCCTGGGTAACATAGTGAGACCCCATCACTACAAAAAAAAAAATTAATTTTTTTTTTAAGTTACCTGGCCAGGCATAGTGGTTCATGCTTGTAATCCCAACAAGACAGGCAGATCACTTGAGGCCAGGAGTTTAAGACCAGCCTGGCCAACATGGCAAAACTCCATCTCTACTAAAAATACAAAAAGACTAGCCAGGTGTGGTGGCAGGCACCTGTAATCCCAGCTACTTGGGAGGCTGAGTCACGAGAATCATTTGAATCCAGGAGGTGGAGGTTGCAGTGAGCCGAGATCACACCACTCTACTCCAGCCTGGGTGACAAAGGGAGATTCCATCTCAAAAAAGAAAAAAAAAAGTTACCTATCACCCCACTACCAAGGGGGATAAGCCCTGTTGACAATATTAATGCATGTCCTTCCATTCTTCTTTCCCTTAATATAAGCTTCTAGGCCGGGCGCAGTGGCTCAAGCCTATAATCCCAGCACTTTGGGAGGCTGAGGCGGGCAGATCACGAGATCAGGAGATCGAGACCATCCTGGCTAACACGGTGAAACCCCGTGTCTACTAAAAATACAAAAAATTAGCCAGGTGTGGTGGCGGGCACCTGTAGTCCCAGCTGCTCAGGAGTCTGAGGCAGGAGAATGGCGTGAACCCCGGAGGCAGAGCTTGCGGTGGGCCGAGATTGCGCCACTGCACTCCAGCCTGGGCGACAGAGGGAGACTCCGTCTCAAAAAATAAAAATAAAAGCTTCTTGAGCTAGAGTGTGTGTAAAAAGACACTTCCTAATTAAAGCAGGAACCCCCTCAATAGTACGGATTCAGCTAGCGCATACTTGCTGAGCACTTACTAGCTACCAGGTACAGAGAGGGCTGCGACACTGATGTGCCCTCTGAGAATTCACAGGCTTGATGAGCAGGTGAGTCACGTGGCCAGAGCACTGTGGTGAGTATTCACCATGCACCAGACTGTGTGCAGCGCTTGACTTACCCTTCCCACAACCACCTAGACAGGGGGTGCAGTTCTAACCTCTGTTTTATACTTTTAAACAATGAGGCCCAGGCCGGGCGCAGTGGCTCATGCCTGTAAACCTAGCACTTTGGGAGGCCGAGGCAAGTGGATCACCTGAGGTCAAAAATTCGAGACCATCCTGGCCAACATGGTGAAACCTCGTCTCTACTAAAAATACAAAAATTAGCCAGGCATGGTCGTGGGTGCCTGTAATCCCAGCTACTTGGGAGGCTAAGGCAGGAGAATTGCTTGAACCCAGGAGGTAGAGGTTGCAGTGAGCCAAGATCGTGCCATTGCACTCCAGCCTGGGCTTCAGAGAAACAGTGTGTCTCAAAAACAAACAAACAAAAAAAAACAAGGCCCAAAGAGGTCAAGTACCTGTCCCAAAGTCTAGGCAGCAGGAGAGCCAGGCTTGACCCCACATTTGAGCACACCGCTTCAGCCCTATACCTGACAGACAACCCCTGCGGCAGACCTCAATCCCAATGTCATTGCAGGGGGAAGCGTTGTTACGGGTGTAGGCACTGGAGCCAGAATGGCTGGGTTCAAGCCCCTGCTCTGTGACTTACTAGCTGTGGGCCTGTGGAAAGTTAGGCAATACGTGAAAAACAATCCAGGCCTCCGTCTCTTCATCTGTAAAATGGGGGTTATATAAACCCTCTGCCTCTGAAGGGTGGTCTAACACGGGTCCCCAGCCCCCAGGCCGCAGACCAGTACCAGTTCGTGGCCTGTTAGGAACCAGGTCACGCAGCAGGAGGTGAGCGGTGGGTGAGCGAGCATGGCCACCTGAGCTCCGCCTCCTGACAGATCAGTGGCAGCATTCGATTCTCATGGGCATGTGAACCCTATTGTGAAGCACGCAGGGAAGGGATCTAGGTCCCATGCTCCTTATGAGAATCTAATGCCTGAGAATCTGAGGCGGAACAGTTTCATCCCAAAACCATCTCCCCCACTCCAGTCCATGGAAAAATTGTCTTCCATGAAACCGGTCCTGGTGCCAACAAGGTTAGGGACCGCTGGTCTAAAGGACACTGGGCGATATACAAATTGCTGTACAAATGACGGATGGACTTCAGCTTTCTCATCTCTAAAACAAGGTTGTTACGAGGATTCCCTGAGGCAGTGCATGCAAAATGCTTAGAACTGTGCCTGGCACATAGTAGAAGCCTGGTAAGTGTCAGCTAGTCTGATTAGATGAAGTGCAGCAGGGATACAGAAGAGAGAGGGCTTGGCTCCCAGGAGCTACTTTCTACAGCAGGTGGCAGTCAAGGGGCACTTAAGACCAAACTACCCAGCAGCCTCAGGGACAGAAGTACCTGCCCTAGGACAGCAGCTCCTTCCATTTGGTAGTTTTGAAAGTCTACCTTGTGTTGTCCCCAAATGTGCCTGAGGTCATCCTTAATCAACAGACTCCTAGAAGAGCCAGGGAGTGGGGAGGTGAACATAGGTTAAGTCAAGTGAACTCCAGGCTTATTCACTTAAAAATTATGTTAGCCTCAATCCTGTATGTCAGCTGACATGGGGGTGTGGGTGTCAGACAGCAGGTACTGAGAAGGCACCTCCTGCAGTGAGAAGATGCTTGTCATTGTTCCCTGCACCGTCCACATCATTCCTTATCTGTAGAGCTGTTTCCTCACGTTGATTCTTAGAATGAGCACTGGCAGATGAAGAGATGAGGTCTGGGCCATTTTCACTGCATCACCCTAGGTCGGACACCTGTAAGTGAGAGCAGAGCCAAGGCTGAACTCAGGCCTCGAGCTCATCTGGGGAGAGCATGTTTCTTTTCAGCACTTAATCAAAGCCTGACTGGATGGGTTAGATCAGTGGATTCCCAATCCTGGCTAAACATACAAGTCATCCAGAGCGGGTGTGTGTGTGTGTTTAATATACATTCTCGTCTCCTGATTCATTGAGTCTGGGATTGGACCTAGGAATCTGGTTTCTTGGTTGTTTTGTTTTGTGTTGAGATGGTCTCACTGTGTTGCCTAGGCTGGAATGCAGCAGTGCAATCTCAGCTCACTGCAGCCTCAACCTCCCAGGCTCAAGTGATCTTCCCACCTCAGCCTCCTGAGTGGGGCCACAGGCATGTATCACCGTGCCCAGCTAATTTTTTTTTATTATTATTTATAGACACAGGGTCTCACTATGTTGCCCAGGCTGGTCTCAAACTCCTGGGCTCAGGCAATCCTCTCACCTTGGCCTCCCAAAGTGCTGGTATTACAGGTGTGAGCTGCCATCCCCAGCATGCATTTATTTATTCATTCATTCATTTATTTTCTGAGACAGGGTCTCACTCTGTTGCCCAGACTGGAGTGCAGTAGTGCGATCAGGGCTCACTGCAACCTCAATTTCATGGCCTCAGGTGATTCTCCCACCTCAGCCTCCTGAGAAGCTGGGACTACAGGCATGCCGCCTTGCCCAGCTAATTTTCTGTACTTTTTTTGTAGAGATGGGGTCTCCTTTTGTTGCCCAAGCTGGTCTTGAACTCCTGGGCTCAAGTGATCCACCTGCCTCAGCCTCCCAAAGTGCTGGGATTATAGGCATGAGCCACTGCTCCCAGCTGGAATCTGTATTTTTCAACCTTTCCCAGAGATTCTGAGAGCAGGGTTTATAAAGGAACCAGGGTTGGAGTAGAAGCGCCATGGCAGGTTCAGGAAGGGCTCTGTCTCTGCCTTGCATCCACTCTTTGTTCTCTTTGGACTTTTCAGGCGTGGAGGAACCATGGTAACCTATGGGGGGATGGCCAAGCAGCCCGTCGTAGCCTCTGTGGTAAGCTGGGTGCAGAGGGAGGCATGCCTGGAGCCGGGCCAGACACCTCAGCCAGGCCACATCCCCTGGCACGACAGCTGTCTAAGCTTAGGCAATGCCCCGTTCCTGGAGGGGAGTCTGTACCCTTAAGCGGTACCTGAAGTTCTTGCCCTCAGAGCCCAGCATGTCCTTCCTGTGTCTGCAGAGCCTGCTCATTTTTAAGGATCTCAAACTTCGAGGCTTTTGGTTGTCCCAGTGGAAGAAGGATCACAGTCCAGGTGAGTGCATGGCCCAGTGCCAAGAGTCACAGATGAGGGCAGTGCCTAAAAATGGCAGCAGAAATGACCAGCTATTCTGAGCCCTGGAGGGGTGATTGGGTCCCCAGCCCCACAGAAGGATCAAAGAGAATAGCCTTAGTCCAGCTACAGTCAGCAAACAGTTATTGGACTAAACTGGGTTAGTCTTAGGGGCGCAGAACAAGACAGACACTGCCCCCGTCCTGAAGAGCTGACAGTGGGGAAAGATGGATAGCCAAACAGAGAGAATAGACTCTGGAGCCAGCCTGCCTGGGTTCAAATTCTGCTTCCACACTACTGGATAGAGGTTCTGCCTAGCCAGCAGTGGGACCTTGAGCAAGTTACTTAATCTCTGCCTCAGTTTAAATGTCCTAAGTTTAAACTCTTGTTAGCCGTGTTTGACAGAGGAGGAAATTGAGGTTCAGAGTGGTTAAGTAGCGTGCCCAAAGTCACCTCCCTGCAGGGAGGTATGAGGCACGATGTAAACAGATCATCTCCCTGTTCATCTCCTGGAGGACTGGCTCCCCAGAGCGGGATCTCCAAACTCAGGACAAAGAATAACATGGAGTTATCCAAGTGAAGGGGAGGAAGGTGGTGGCATGAAGGCAGTGTTTCAGGCAGAAAATATCGAAAATCACACGTGCAACTAGGCACTGAAGCGGTTCCGAGCGACCTGGAGCACTAGATCTGAGCTGGGGCTGGAAAATTGGGTGAGTGGGTTGTGACCAGGTTACAGAGGCCTTATAAACCTGATTAAGGCATTCAGACTCATGGGTTTTTTTGCTGTTTTGGGGGGTTATTTTTTTTGAAACAAGGTATCGCTCTGTTGCCCTGGCTGGAGTGCAGTGGTGTGGTCACAGATCACTACAGACTCAACCTCCTCGGTTCAGGTGATCCTCCCACCTCAGCCTCCCAAGTAGCTAGGACCACAGGCACACGCCACCACATCCAGCTAGTTTTTGTATTTTTAGTAGAAATGGGGTTTCATCATGTTGCCCAGGCTGGTCTCAAACTCCTGGGCTCAAGTGATCCACCCACCTCAGCCTCCAAGAGTGCTGGGATTACAGGCGTGAGGCACCACACCCAGACAAGACTCACGCTTAAAGGCAACTGAGGAGCCAGTATAGATGACTAGATTTGAAGGCTGAATGAATTTATGTCTATGGAAAAACACTTCTCAGCCGAGGCCTTCACTTCTCAACTTCCTGTACCATATAGGGTCCTTCGCAGGAGGCAGGCCCAGGAAGGGGATGTTGGTGGCGTCCGGTCGTGGGGTTCTAAGGGAGTCCTGGGCTCTCAGGGAGAGCTCCATTTCCTGAGCAGAGCTCAACTGTTCCACATCACTTGGCGTGCCAGGCATACCCACTCCCTCTCTGGGCCTCCTCTGGCCTCCCTGCCTCCGCCATCCTTTTCCTCCCACCATTCAGTGCTCCTGTCTCCACTGTGGCCAGGTTCTGTGAGTCTGTGCCATCTTAGCCACCACTCTGAAGGGTGGTCTCTGCCTGTCTGCCCCTCAGCCCCTAGAGCCGCTCCTATGTTCCCCTCTCCCCACCTTGACCTCACTGTCCTAAAGACAGGCAGGGACCAGGCTGCCTCCACAGCCACCCTATCCTTGGCACAGCCAGGACTCTCAAGGCTTTATTGGAGCTTGGTGCCAGCTCCTGCCCATAGGGCAGCCCCGTGCCACATCTCACCAAGCCCCAGCTGCTGTTCTCTTGTCTGATTTCCTCCAACCTCCCGCAGACCAGTTCAAGGAGCTGATCCTCACACTGTGCGATCTCATCCGCCGAGGCCAGCTCACAGCCCCTGCCTGCTCCCAGGTCCCGCTGCAGGACTACCAGTCTGCCTTGGAAGCCTCCATGAAGCCCTTCATATCTTCAAAGCAGATTCTCACCATGTGATCATCCCAAAAGAGCTGGAGTGACATGGGAGGGGAGGCGGATCTGAGGGGCTGGGTGCAGGCCCCTCAGTTGGGGCTCCCACCTTCCCCAGACTACTGTTCTCCTCACTGCCTCTTCCTATTAGGAGGATGGTGAAGCCAGCCACGGTTTTCCCCAGGGCCAGCCTTAAGGTATCTAATAAAGTCTGAACTCTCCCTTCCAAAAAGTAGAAGTCATCCCTGTCGAGAAGGACCAACACTGTGCACTGGTCAGCTCACAGCACCAAGAGGCCCCCTTCCTGCTTTTCTGTCATGTGTTCCCCCAGTAATCATTTTCTGACCACCCTGAAAGCAAAGCCTGGGTGGGTACTGGCAGTGCAAAGGCCAGTAGGCCACCATCCCTGGCCCCAAGCTGCACAAGCCCACAGACGAGGGTCCTGTAGAACAAACGCTTTGATGTGCTTCTCAGGTAGCCTGCGGCCCAGTCCAGGGCTTGGGGAGGATCAGCTGCATGGAAGAGTGAATGCCAGGCTGAGGTCATCAGGGCCCTGAGGAACTTGGACGTGGGGTCTTCACTCTCATGGAACTGCCCTTCTAACTGGAGACATAGACAATATACCAGTGGTTCTCAACCAGAGGCAATTTTACCCCCAGGAGACATTTGACAATGTCTGGGGATATTTCTGGCTATCACAGCTTATGAAGGAGGTTGCTACTGGCATCTAGCAGGCAGAGTGAGTGCTGCTGTTAAACCCACCACAGGACACAGAACAGTCTACTGCAACAAAGAATTACCCAAGGCCTGGCGCGGTGGCTCACACCTGTAATCCCAGCACTTTGGGAAGCCAAGGCAAGCGGATCACTTGAGCCCAGGAGTTCAAGGTCAACCTAGGTAACGTGGTGAAACACCATCTCTACAAAAAATACAAACATTAGCCAGGTATGGTGCTGTGCACCTGTAGTCCCAGCTACTCGGGAGGTTGAGGTGGGAGGATCACCTGAGCCTGGGAGGTCTAGACTGCAGTGAGCCATGATCATGCCACTGCATTCCAGCCTAGGCAACAGAGCAAGACCCTATATCAAAAAAAAAAAAAAAATCTAGCCCCAAATGTTCAATGTTCATGAGGTCGTTGATAAACCGTGCATTAAACAATCTCACAGTAATTACCATAGTGACTAATGCTGTAAAGAAGATATGTGGGGTGCTGTAAGAGCAGAATAAAGATCTTGCCCTAGGCCCCAGGGACAGGGGTATGCTTCCTTGAGGTGAAGTTTGAAGGTGGGCTCTCACAAATGAGTGAGCTTTATTCAGGCCGAGAGAAGAGCTTGACGTGACTTTTTGGTATTTGCTTCACGATTCATTTGCTCAAAGCAAAGAACAGAGGCTTCAGGGTGTCTCCCTTATCACCTGGCCCTCTGTACCCTGCACTCAGGAGCCTCATTCAGGACGTATTTATTGAGTGCCTAGTGTGTGCCCAAAGCTAAGGATACCAATGAAAGAAGTGCTGCTGGCCCTCAGGTTGCTTAGCCTAGTGCAAGATTGACCAGTATAGTATAATGATGAGGTCACTGACATGGAGGTGTTCAGAGGGCCTTGAGAGGACACACAGGGGCCCCAGTTCTGCCCGAGGGCATCAAGGAAGGATTCCTAGAGGAAGTGTCTCCCACAGCCAGTCTTGAAAACCGAGCAGGAAACTGCGTACCAAGCAAAGCCAACAGCACATGAGAGTTTAGAGGCCTGAGAGCCTGGCACTCAGGGAACTGCAGTCAAGTGTAGCTGCTGCCTTAGACGTGGGGGAAATGTGGGAACTGAGGTGGGAGACATGGGTGAGGTACAGATCACAAAGGACCATGATGTCAGGGCTTACCCTGAAGCCCTAGGGAGGCACCAAGGGATTTTAGGCAGTGGAGCAATATGGAAAAAACTGGCTCGGAATGTTTGTTTTTTTTTTTGAGACGAAGTCTCACACTGTTGCCCTTGCTGGTGTGCAGTGGGCGATCTTGGCTCGCTGCAGCCTCAACCTCCTGGGTTCAAGCGATTCTCCTTCCTCAGCCTCCCGAGTGGCTGGGACTACAGGTGTATGCCACCACACCTGGCTAATTTTTGTATTTTTAGTAGAGATGGGGTTTCACTATGTTGGCCAGGCTGGTCTTGAACTCCTGACCTCGTGATCCACCCACCTCGGCCTCCCAAAGTGCTGGGTTTACAGGCGTAAGCCACCACACCCGGCCAGAAGGTTTAATTGCATGCCAGTTTGAACATGGACTCCCAGCATAATCATCTTTTCTTTGGAAGCATCTTTTATGTCCGCTGGAAAAAAGGACTCAGCTTCAGCCTGGGGCTGGGAAAGGTCTGCATTGCCCTCTGGGGAATATTTGCCACCTTCTGGGCTCAAGATCAGCCCCAACTCTTTCCTGGTCCCTGTCCTCTAGGTTAGTGGGACAAGTGATTGTACAGATGATCAGTGCAGGCAAGTGAAAAAAGCCTTAGAAGGAGGGAAGGCTGCCAGAGGCCACAGGAGTAAAATTAAGATTAGGTTCTTTAGGCCAGGTGAGGTGTCTCACACCTATAATTAGACAGGCGTGCTGGTACATGCCTGTAGTCCCAGCTACTCAGGAGGCTGAGGCAGGACAGTCACTTGAACCTGGGAGGCGGAGGTTGCAGTGAGCTGAGATCACGCCACTGCACTTCAGCCTGGGCAAGAGAGAGAGACTCTGTCTCAAAAAAAAAAATAGGATTCTTCAAGGGGAATCCATAAGGTTGGGGTTTAGGGAGAGTGGTGAGCCTGAGTCCTGGTGAAGGAGCAGGCCCCTGGTGCCCACTCTAAGAGCAGGCATACAGGAATGTTTGTAACACCACGCTTCAAGATCTGGAGGAACGTGCAGAATGCCTGAGAACAGTGAAGGCAATGATTCCTTGTACCTTTAGGGGTCTGGAGGTGACATTTGGGCTGGTCTTCAAAGGATGATTATAATTTATTCAGGGAAGGGTGACAAGCATTACAGACGAAGAGAGCAGATTAGGCAGTTACAGAGACAGGGTATTTATGTTAGAACTGTCTCATTTTCTCCATTCTCTTCCTGAGAATTAAAACCTACAACTTTTAGGTGGGTACATGGCAGGCCGGAATAAACACTGTTTCTCTGCATCCCTTGCAGCTAACAAGATCTGCCCCCGCAAGTGATGTAAGCAGAGGTGTTAGGCGTCAGTTTCTTAGGAACCTCTTTTTTTTTTTTTTTTTTTTATTTGGAGAGATGATGGAGTCTTGCTCTGTCACCTACGTTGGAGTGCAGTGGTGCAATCTCGGCTCACTGCAATTTCCACCTCCCAGGTCCAAGTGATTCTCCTGCCTCAGCCTCCCGAGTAGCTGGGATTACCTGCCACCACGCCCAGCTAGTTTTTGTTATTTTTAATAGAAACAGCGTTTCACCATGTTGGACAGGCTGGTCTCGAACTCCTGACCTCAGGTGATCCGCTGGCCTCTGCCTCCCAAAGTGCTGGGATTACAGGTGTAAGCCACTGCGCCCTGCCCAGGAACCTCTTTAAAATATAGCAGGCCTGCATCCTGTACCTTTTTCTTCCCCTTCCCCTTCCACCCTCCTTATAGCTGTGGTACACAGACATGATTCCTGGAGTTTACCCAGCCATCTTTGACTACGGTTTTTTTTTGTTTTGTTTTGTTTTGTTTTTTTGAGACGGAGTCTGGGTGGCGCGATGTCGGCTCACTGCAAGCTCCGCCTCCCGGGTTCACGCCATTTTCCCGCCTCAGCCTCCCGAATAGCTGGGACTACAGGCGCCTGCCACCGCGCCTGGCTAATTTTTTTGTATTTTTAGTAGAGACAGGGTTTCACTGTGTTAGCCAGGATGATCTCGATCTCCTGACCTCGTGATCCGCCCGCCTCAGCCTCCCAAAGTGCTGGGATTACAGGCGTGAGCCACCGCGCCCGGCCTTGACTATGTACAGCAAGATCAAAGGAGCCTGGCTCCCTGACACCCAGAATCCCCAACTGCCCACCTCAGGACTTGTTTTACATGAGAAATAAGCGTCTGTTTTATTCAAGCCCCTAGTATTTGGGGTTTCACTGAACCTAATCCTAAGTAATACAAATTCAATGGTTTAACTTAGATTGAAATCAAGTCAATCTGAAGCCGAAAAAGGGAATCGTGGCAGTTTATGATTCCCAGCTAAGGAATTTGGACTTTATTGTGTTGGCAGTAAGGAACAAAAGATTTCTGAGACAGAAGATCAGAACTGTGCTTTGAAAAAAAATCCCTCCAGCAGTAGCCCGGAGGACAGTTTGGAGGAGGGAAGCACTAAAGAAAGATAAAATCAGAGACTCCCAGGTTCTGAATTTCAGGTAGGTAAGCCCACCCCGCCCCCTTCCACT
This sequence comes from Homo sapiens, assembly GCF_000001405.40. Lineage (NCBI taxonomy): Eukaryota > Metazoa > Chordata > Mammalia > Primates > Hominidae > Homo > Homo sapiens. The sequence goes on along the minus strand of NC_000001.11, from coordinate 29,189,654 downwards.
AAATGTCAAAGACCAACCAGGGGTTGCCGACATTTCAGAGGCCAACATTGGAAAGGAAACAGTGCCAAAAGAGAATTGGACTTAAAATGGATCCTCTCTTCTCTACTTTACAAGTGCAGGAGATTGTTTTTAATTTCAGACGGTCCGGGCACAGCGGCTCATGCCTGTAATCCCAGCACTTTGGGAGGCTGAGGCGGGCAGATCACTTGAGCCCAGGAGTTCGAGACCAGCCTGGGCAACATGAGGAGACCCCCCCCCAACCCATCTCTACAAAAATACGAAAATTGCCTGGGTGTGGTGGCTCACACCTGTAACCCCAGCACTTTGGGAAACTGAGGCAGGCAGATCACCTGAGGTCAGTTCCAGACCACCCTGGCCAACATGGTGAAACCCCGTCTATACTAAAAATATAAAAATTCGCCAGACACAGTGGCTCACACCTGTAATCCCAGCACTTTGGGGGGCCAAGGCAGGCGGGTCACCTGAGGTCAGTTCGAGACCACCCTGGCCAACATGGTGAAACCCCGTCTCTACTAAAAATACAAAAATTAGCCGGGAGTGGTGGTGCACGCCTGTAATTCCAGTTTTTCAGGAGGCTGAGACAGGAGAATTGCTTGAACTCAGGAGGTAGAGGTTGCAGTGAGTCGAGGTCGCACCATTGCACTCCAGCCTGGGCAACAAGAGTGAATCTCCGTCTCATACAAAAAAGTTAACATAGGCTGGGCGTGGTGGCTCACGCCTGTAATCCCAGCACTCTGGGAGGCAGAGGCAGGCAGATCATGAGGTCAGGAGTTCAAGATCAGCCTGGCCAACATGGTGAAACCCCATCTCTATTAAAAATGCAAAAATTAGCCGGGTATGGTAGCGGGCGCCTGTAATCCCAGCTACTCGGGAGGCTGAGGCAGGAGAATTGCTTGAACCCGGGAGGTGGAGGTTGTAGTGAGCCAAGATCGCGCCATAGCACTCCATCCTGGGCAACAAGAGTGAAACTGTCTCAAAAAAAAAAGACAAATAGGCATTACCTGCTAAAAAAAAGCTTGAGCGCACCTGAAGCCCTGCAGCTTCCTGACTCTGCCATCTCTCCCTGTCCTCTTCTGGGACCATCCACCCAGTGACTACCTATAGTTGCTGCCACAATATTGGTAAATGGAGGCCAGGCGCAGTGGTTCATGCCTTTAATCCTAACACTTTGGGAGGCCAAGGCAGGCAGATAGCCTCAGGTCAGGAGTTCGAGACCAGCCTGAGCAACATGGAGAAATCCTGTCTCTACTAAATTAATTTGTACTAAAAATACAAAATTAGCCGGGCGTGGTGGCAGGCACCTGTAATCCCAGCTCGTTGGGATGCTGAGGTAGGAGAATTGCTTGAACCCAGGAGGTGGAGGTTGCAGTGAGCCAAAATTGCACCACTGCATTCCAGCCTGGGCAACAGAGTGAGACTCCATTTCAAAAAAAAAAGTAAACTCCAAATCCTTCCCATGATCCTTGAGGCCCCTCAAGATCTGGTCTCTCCAGGAGTTCGAGGCTAGCCTGGCCAACATGGTGAAACCCCATCTCTACTAAAAATACAAAAATTAGCCAGGCATGGTGGTGTGCGTCTTTTTTTTTTTTTTTTTTTTGAGACAGAGTCTTGCTGTGTTGCCCAGGCTGGAGTGCAGTGGCACAATCTCAGCTCACTGCAAGCTCCGCCTCCTGGGTTCACGCCATTCTCCTGCCTCAACCTCCCGAGTAGCTGGGACTACAGGCGCCCACCACCACGCCTGGCTAATTTTTTTGTATTTTTAGTAGAGATGGGGTTTCACCATGTTAGCCAGGATGGTCTCGATCTCCTGACCTCATGATCCACCCACCTGGGCCTCCCAAAGTGCTGGGATTACAGGCGTGAGCCACCTCGCCTGGCCTGTGGCGTGCATCTTTAGTTCCAGCTACTTGGGAGGCTGAGGCAGGAGAATCGCTTGAACCCAGGAAGCAGAGGTTGCAGTGAGCTGAGATCGCACCACTGCACTCCAGCCTGGGTGACAGAGTGAGACTCTGTCTCAACAAAAAAAGGAAAAAAAATTTGATAAATGTGTTTTCTTGGGATATGAGATAATTACGCACACTTTCCTCAGGGGAAGACTGAGGCCGAGAAGAATAAAGCTCTTGCGGCCAGGCATGGTGGCTCACGCCCGTAACCCAGCACTTGGGGAGGCTGAGGTGTGCAGATCACCTGAGGTCAGGAGTTCGAGACCAGCCAACATAGTGAAACACAGTCTCTACTAAAAATACAAAAAAAATTACCCAGGCATGGTGGCTCATGCCTGTAGTCCCAGCTACTCGGGAGGCTGAGGCACGAGAATCGCTTGAACCCGGAGGCGGAGGTTGCAGTAAGCCGAGATCTCACCACTGCACTCTAGCCTGGGCAACAGAGTGAGACTCGGTCTCAAAAAAGAAAAGAGAAAAGCTCTTGCGTTAACCTGTGTGTGCCAGGCTGTACTTGTGCATGGAAACTCTCAGAACACCCACCAGCCCCATGCTTATTGTCAGGCACCATGCCCTGAGTAAAGCACTAGGCCAAGCCACAGCAGCTGGAAATGGTGGAGAAGAGAAGGCTCAGTCCTGGCACAACATCTGCTTGCATCTGAAGGCAGGAACATTCCTGGGAAGACAGCAGGGCTAGCTGAAAGGTAAGTGGAAAGGAGACATTGGCACCTTATGAAAGAGAAAAAAGAGATTCTTAGAAATTTCCTATGTCATTGAGATGTTAATGTCACCACTTTACAGAAGCAGCAGCCTCCCAGAGATGTGAAGTGAGTTGTTCCAGATCACACAGCAGGCAGCAGAGCTGGCACTAGAAGCCAGATCCCCTGACCATATCTGGTCACTACAGCAGACAGTCCCAATTCTTTTGGCTCCACAGGTGGCCTTGGAGGTCCCACTCTTCTCACGAGTCCTTGATTTTGTTCTTGACATGTCAACTGGAAGAGCATTCAAATTTCCCTGAGTCTGTGTCTCATGGGGAGGCATGAGAAAAAGGCAGAATCAGGAGGCCATTGAAGTAGTCCAGGTAAGAGATTATTTATGTATTCATTCAATAAGTATTTTAAACGCTCTTTATGTGAAAGGCACTGTTGTTAGGGGCTAGGGATAGAGCAGGAAACAAAAAACATGGCCCCTGAGACCAGCGAGCTTACATTCCAGTGGTGGAGAAAGACCATGCACAAGTAAATAAATAAACCAGGTAATTACAGACTGTGTAGTAAGTGTTGTGAAATATGACAAACAACACTTGAAATAAGGTGGACATGGAAGGCCTCAGGCCTGAATAAGAAGGAGCCAGCTGTATTCCAGGCAGAGGAAGTAGCGCATATCAAAGCCCTGACTGTGAACAGTCTGATGAGGCCTGAACTAGTTTAGGAAGTAGGAATGGAAAGAAGGAATGAATCTGTGAATATTTAGAAGGAATAATCAGAAGGACAGACTGAATGCAGTGGTTGAAGGTTGAACTTTGGCACCTCGCTGATGGTGGTGCCACTTGCATTGGGGAAGGAGGAGCAGGTTTTAGGGACAAGCATTTCCCCTCTGGAGGGCTCTCTTTCCCATCTGTACAATAGGTTAATATAACAACCAAGCTTAGTGCTAGGATTTTTGTTTTCGTGGTTTTTTGTTGTTTTTGTGTGTGTGTGTGCATGTGATGGGGTCTCACTCTGACATCCAGGCTTGAGGACAGTGGCATGATCACAGATCACTGCAGCCTCAACCTCCCTGGGCTCAGGAGATCCCCCCCATCTCAGCCTCCCAAGTAGCTGGGACTACAGGCATGCACCGCCATGCCTGGCTAATTTTTTTTGTTGTTTTTTCTGCAGAGACGGGTTTTTGCCATGTTGCCCAGGCCAGATTGCTAGTTCTTAAGAATGTTATGTTCCTCACACTTACTGAATTCCAAATGAATTAAAGATTATGGCCGGGCAAGGTGGCTCACACCTGTAATCCCAGCCCTTTGGGAGGCCCAGGCGGGTGAATCACCTGGAGTTGGAAGTTCAAGACCAGCCTGACCAACGTGGAGAAACCCCATCTCTACTAAAAATACAAAATTAGCTGGGCGTGGTGGCACATGCCTGTAATCCCAGCTACTCAGGAGGCTGAGGCAGGAGAATCACTTGAAACCGGGAGGCAGAGGTTGCAGTGAGCGGGGATCGTGCCATTGCACTCCAGCCTGGGCAACGAGTTAAACTCTGTCTCTAAAATATATATACATAAATTAGCTTGGCATGGTGGCACGGGCCTGTAGTCCCAGCTACTCAGGAGGCTGAGGCAGGAGAACCGTGTGAACCCAGGAGGCACAGGTTGCAGTGAGCCAAGATCATGCCACTGTATTCCAGCCTGGGTGACAGAGCAAAACTCTGTCTCAAAAAATAAAATTGAATTAAATTTAAAAAATAAAATAATAAATAGGAGGTTGGGTGCAGTGGCTCATGCCTGTAATCTCAACACTGGGAGGTCCAGAAGGGAGGATTGCTTGAGCCCAGTTGTTTGTTTGTTTCTTTTTTGAGACAAAGTTTCGCTCTTGTTGCCCAGGCTGGAGTGCAATGGCACAATCTTGGCTCACTGCAGCCTCCGCCTCCTGGGTTCAAGCTATTCTCCTGCCTCAGCCTCCCGAGTAGCTGGGATTATAGGCGCCTGCCACCATGTCTGGCTAATTTTTTGTATTTTTAATAGAGACAGGGTTTCACTATGTTGGCCAGACTGGTCTCGAACTCCTGGCCTCAGGTGATCCACCCACCTCGGCCTCCCAAAGTGCTGGGATTACAGGTGTGAGCCACTGTGCCTGGCCTGAGCCCAGTAGTTTAAGACCAGGCAGGAAAACAACGAGACTCCATCTCTAAAAAAGTAGAATAGGCTGGGCGCTGTGGCCTGTTTTTGAGATGGAGTTTTGCTCTTGTCACCCAGGCTGGAGTGTGATGGCACGATCTCGGCTCACTGCAACCTCTGCCACCTGGGTTCAAGCAATTCTCCTGCCTCAGCCTTTTGAATAGCTGAACTACAGGCCCACACAATCACACCTGGCTAATTTTTTGTATTTTTAGTAGAGATGGGGTTTCCCCATGTTGACCAGGCTGGTCTTGAATCCCTAACCTCAGATGATCCTCCTGCCTCAACCTCCCAAAGCGCTGGGATTACAGGCGTGAACCACCGCACCCAGCCACTAATTATTACTTTCAAAATAGATTTCTTGCCGGGCGCGGTGGCTCACGCCACCTCACCTGAGGTCAGGAGTTTGAGACCAGCCTGGCCAACATGGTGAAACCCAGTCTCTATTAAAGATACAAAAAAATTAGCCAGGCGTGGTGGCACATGCCTGTAATCCCAGCTACTTGGGAGGCTGAGGCAGGAGAATTGCTTGAACCTGGAGGCAGAGACTGCAGTGAGCCAAGATAGTGCCACTACACTCCATCTTGGGCAACAGACCAAGACTCCATCTCAAAAAAAAAAAAAAAAAGCCGGGTACAGTGGCTCACGCCTGTAGTCCCAGCACTCTGGGAGGCCGAGGCAGGCAGATCACGAGGTCAGGAGATCAAGACCAGCCTGGCCAACATAGTGAAACCCCTTCTCTACTAAAATACAAAAAAATTAGCCGGGCGTGGTGGCAGGTGCCTGTAATCCCAGCTACTCTAGAGGCTGAGGAAGGAGAACGCTTGAACCCAGAAGGCGTAGGTTGCAGTGAGCTGAGATCGCACCGCTGCACTGCAGCCTGGGCGACAGTGCGAGACTCAGTCTCAAAAAAAAAAAAAAAAAGTAGAATAAATAAAAATTTAAAAATAAAATCCAGAATCAAAGAAAAATAAAGGATGGATAAATTGATCCCATAAATATCTAATGTTTTTGCATGGCTAAAAAACACTCTTGGCAAAGTCAAAAGTCAACAAATGGAAAAAATATTTGCAACTCATTTGACAAAGAGCTGATTTTCCTAATATATAGTGAGCACCTATGAATAAGAAAAATGGGTAAAGGATATACACAGACAGAAATAGGAAAATATATCTCAAACATATGAAGAAAGACTCATATCTCTGCAAAATATGATATTTGCAAATTAAACCACTTGGAGATAACATTTTTCACCTCTCAGATTGGCAAAGATCAAAAAGTTTGATAACACGGTGTTGATGAGGATATGAGGAAACAGCCACTTAAGGGGAATTGAGCAATAACTTATCAAAACTCTGACCCAAATATCCTATTTCTAGGAATAGATGATATATATAGAGAGAGAGAGAAAGAGAGAGAGAGAAATGCAAAGTTACTGCAGCAGTGTAATAACAAAAGGTTGGAACTTATTTCAATGTCCTTCACCAGGGCACTGGCTAAATAAATTACTGTGTATAAAATGGTATGAACCATAAAACTAGTCCTTTTATACTCTTAAGGAATGATTTTCAAAATATATTTTGTGTAGAACCATATGTATAGTATCCTACTATTTGTTTTATAAGGGTAAATTAACCTCCTAAAGGACATTTCAGAAACTGCCTCTGGGAAGAGAAACTAAGTGGCTGGTGGACAGCGAAGACTTTTCACTGTGTATCATTTGAACCTTGAGTTATCCTTTCAAAATATTCAAAAAACAAAAACAAGCAAAGAAACAAAACCCTTTATGGTTCTAGGTACATGGCGTTAGTGAGAAGGGAACCAATATTTATTGAGCTCTTACCATGTTTCAGACACTGTTCCAAGTACTTTCACATACACTACCCCATTTAGTGACCTGTGTAATCCTTGAGATGGGTATACATTATTCTAATTTTACAGGTTAGAAAATAGACTGGATAGGCCAGGCGCAGTGGCTCACGCCTGTAATCCCAGCACTTTGGGAGGCCAAGGCGGGCGGATCACCTGAGGTCTGGAGTTTGAGACCTGCCTGGCCAATATGGTGAAACTTCCTCTCTCCTAAAAATACAAAAATTAGCCGGGCGTGGGGGCGGGCGCCTGTAGTCCCAGCTACTCTGGAGGCTGAGGCAGGAGAATCGCTTGAACCCGGGAGGCGGAGGTTGCAGTGAGCTGAGGTCGCGCCACTGCACTCCAGCCTGGGCGACCGAGCGAAACTCGTCTCAAAAAAAAAAAAATAGGTTGGATTGTGGTCAAGTAATTTACTCGGCGTCATGCCTAGTCTAGCTCCAAAGCTCCAGCCTTCTCCGCTTCTCACACTGCTTCTATTTAAGCAGTGTCCTCTTAAAAATAATACTGGTCTCATTTATTGGGCACTTGATATGACAAAACTACTAAGTGCTTTATGTACGTATTCTCATATAATTCTCAAGACAACTCTGGAAGGTAGGAACTACTCTCCCCCTTTTACAGAAAAGATAAAGGAGGGTCCGAGACATCGCGCGTAACAAGCCCAAGGTCACGGGTACACAATCGTTTGGAAGCTAGGTTTGATTCCAAAGCTCCAGCTCCGAAATCCAAACCACACCCGGTTCAAAGGACAAAAGCACAAACGCTCGCTCGCTGGGCTCTAGGAGGTGCGGACACTTCCGGGGGAGGGGCGAAGCCAGCTGGCTGCGGAAGGCGGTGCAGGAACCCCTTTGGCGAGCTCGCGCGAGGACGTGCCGCAGCGCCGCCTGTCGATCACCTTGCCCCGCCGCACGTCGGCGCGCCCCCGGGCAAGCTCCTCCCCCAGTCCTGGCCGAGCGGGAAGCGAACGCGCGCTCTCTCCGGTTACCTTCCGCCTCGGGGAAGGGCGGGGGAAGTGGAAGCGCGCGCTCGCGAGCTGCGTGCTCGCGTACGTCGCCGGGGTTCGGCTGCGTCCGTCCCGCCGCCCGCCCGTTGCCGCCGCCGCCGCTGCCGCCGTGCTCTCGCTTTGCCCGCCGCCGCCTAAGGGGGGCTGGGGCCGGGGCCAGCCATCACTGCCGTTGCCGGGATGCCGCGGGTGTACATCGGCCGCCTGAGCTACCAGGCCCGGGAGCGCGATGTGGAGCGCTTCTTTAAGGGCTACGGGAAGATCCTGGAGGTGGATCTGAAGAACGGGTGAGGAGGGCGAAAGAGGGTCCGGCCGGGCGGGGACAGACCCCATAGGTGGTGGGGAGGCCGCGGGGACGGGAGAGGGACGCCTGGTCCGCGCGGAGCGGCTACCGGCCTGGCCAGGCTCCGCCATAGTGGCGGCGCCTCGGGGGCGCGGGTAGGCCCCGGTTCCCACTGCGCCTGCGCGGGTGGGGGTGGTGGAGGCATAATGGGAGCTGTGCTGAGGCCCTGAGTGGGACGGGGAGAAGGAAAGCCCGAGTGGGGCTGGTGCTCCGGGCAGGGGGGCACAGCTCCAGGGCGCCCGGGAGACCTGGGTTTTCCCTTCCTAGGCCCGGAACTGGGGCCCTATTCGTTTCTGGGTAGACACCAACCTTTCCCGCTCTGAGGACTACTGGAAATAAACAGGATTTCCTGCTCCCTTTCACCTCTTGCCCGGTCTCATGGATCAGACGGTCACAGCGCCGTCTTCCCCGAGGACTGGAGCCTTGGAGGGAGGCCCTTTTTAGCCGTGTGCCACGCTTTTTTGGGCGGGAGACTCCAGTTTGAGTAGTCTAGTGACAGTTTCGAAAGTATCGTCTTGCCGTGCTGAAAGCCTTCACCGTTCCCTCTGCAAGAGTAAATTAAAGTCTTAACTTCTTATCTTTAAGACTCCGTGCAGAGTTTCCACGCTGTGGTTTCCGTTTTCCAACTTACCGAAAAATTGCTTGGCCGTTGTAGAATTTGTTAGGAGAATAGTGGCCACCCTGGCTAGTATCTGCGTCTGGTTAACGCAGACGGAGACGAAATTGTTAACTTACTGCCTCCCCCAGAGTATGATCTATTACTTGTATTCTTAATCTACTTCGGCAAAAATAGTGCCAGCATGAGCTACAGGTTTTAGGGAAAACTGTTGAGGAATCAGGCCTGGAGAAAATACTCAACGGGGAAAACTGGGAACCAGATGTTAGGTAGGGCTTGGAAGGCATGGATATAAAATTAAAAGGACTGGGGTGACATTTTAGGGCACTAAACCTTGGGTGTTAGAGAACTCTTGGCTTAAAAAAGAAACTCTACTTTGCAACAGTTGTAATATAGCTACCGTTTACTCCCCAGGGTTATACTAGTAACTGACACCTGAAACATTTTGAAAGTTACCTAAGTATGTTTCACGTATGAGAAAACTGGTAGCTACCGTATTCTCAAATGATGATTTGGGTTTAAAAAGCCATTTCAAATTAATTATTAGAATCGTTTTCTTTCTGAGGACGTCTTTAGTAAAGTACTGATTTCTTTTACAGTAAAAGGCTTTAAAAACTACTCCTTTTCTACAGTAAAACGTTCAGTTCTTAAGGATATATTGAAGTGGCGGGTAGACGTTATTGTATACATACCATATATGTGAAAGTTGAAACTCCAGTTTTTTTCAGAGCCCAGCTAAATTGACAGCATAACTAACTTTTGTGGACAAAGTGTGGATTTTGAAGCCAGCCAGGCCTAAGTCAAATCCTGGTTCCACCACTTACTACGTATGGGCAAGTTACTTCTCTGAACCTGGTTGTTCATTCATGTGGAAAAGGAAGATTAGAGATAATAAATGTAAAGCATTTGGCTTAGGCAGTAAGTGGCAGCTATAATCAGAGGGATGAGGAAACATCTTTGCTTGTTGGTGTTTGATAACATAAAGCGTGTTTGGTGAGGTCTTTTCTAATGTTACTCAGGTGATAGTGTGCAGGAAATGACAAGACTGTTAATGGGAAACTGATTCATCAACCAAATGTATTGATAACCCATCAACAAAATGTCCACCACTGTGCTAAATGAATTGGGGGAGGAGGCAGAAAACAGTTCTGCTCTTGAATAAATTAAGCATTATGACATGTGCACTTTGAATTAAGAAATGTTTGCTTTCGCTTTAAACTCTAGTAAAACTTGGAATGATTTGCTTGAAAAGATGTGTTGAAATGGCTTTGAAGAATAGATTAGAGCTTGAAGTGAAGAAATTTAGGTTTCTGGGAATAGTATATGTCGTAGTTGGGGCTCAGGCATGGTGACTTGTGCCTGCAATCCCAGCTGAAGTGTGAAGATTACTTCAGGCCAGGAGTTTGAGACCAGCCTGACCCCATCTCTAAGAAAAAAATTTTTTTAATTAGCCACGCGTGGTGACACTCGCCTATAGTCCTAGCTACTTCAGAGGATGAGGCAGGAGGATCACTTCAGCCTAGGATTTCAAGGCTACAGTGAGCTATGATTGTGACACTGCACTCCAGTCTGGGTAACAGCAAGACCCCCATCTCTAATAAAATAAGTACAATGCTGACTTTTTTTGCTTTTTGATGAATAGGGAAAAAATATTTTTTTAATGTCATAATTGGTGTTGAAGACATGGTCCAGTAAGAAGCAATTATGAAAAATAATAAACAATCTAGCATGGATCAAGCCTTATGAAGAATCTAGAAATTTAACAACATAAACCAGAAACAACGACTATTAGATTTTACACTAAAAATTCGAAATCAATGAGTAGGAATTCAAAGGCTCTGGAAGGAAGAAGTGAGCAACCCAAAAGGAAGATGGAGCGATAAGAGGAAAGAGCCTTTCAGGACCCTAAATACCTGGGTGGTTTTTTTAAGGAACTGTTCATTCTTACAGTTATGCTGCCAAACCATGATATGCATGAAATGTCATTGAAAGTCAAGGTTGAAATGAAGTCATTTTAGAGTTTCAAAGACAGGTATGACAGTCACCAAACAGCACACAATATGACCTCCTGGCATCATTGAGGAATCATTACAGAGGAAAACGACTTCTGGGAAGAAGACCAATGGTAAAGATGTATTTCAAGCAAAAATTGCCTGTATGGCAAAAACGCTGGAGAGTCTGAAAGGAAGGAGTGAGTACAAAAGAAAAAGCATAACTTAGCTACGTATGTAAGCTTATAGTCCCCTAGCAGAAGGGCAGTGGATCTCCCTACTGGGAAGCATGTTTGAACATATCTAGATTGTGATTAGTAATTGAAACTCAGAGGCCGGGCGCGGTGGCCTGTAATCCCAGCACTTTGGGAGGCCGAGGCGGGCAGATGACGAGGTCAGGAGATCGAGACCATCCTGGTTAAGATGGTGAAACCCCGTCTCTACTAAAAATGAAAATAAAAATTAAAAAAAAGTAGCCGGGCATGGTGGCAGGCACCTGTAGTCCCAGCTACTCGAGAGGCTGAGGCAGGAGAATGGCGTGAACCTGGGAGGTGGAGCTTGCAGTGAGCCGAGATCGTGCCACTGCACTCCAGCCTGGGCGACAGCGAGACTCTGTCTCAAAAAAAAAAGTAATTGAAACTCAGAAACAGATTTTGGATGCTTTAGATAGGTCTTTGAAGAATTGCTGGAGTTCAGATTTGTAGAAGTGAGATGTATCAGTAGATATGTTAGGCTGAAGGGTTGTAAGTTAAGTTTAGAATTAAGGCATAAAATGCTTGTCTAGACCGGTCACGGTGGCTCACACCTGTAATCCCATCACCTTGGGAGGCCGAGGTAGGTGGATCACTTGAAGTCAGGGGTTTGAGACCAGCCTGGCCAACATGGTGAAACCCCATCTCTACTAAAAATACAAAGATTAGCTGGGTGTGGTGGTGGGCACCTGTAATCCCAGCTCCTCTAGAGGCTAAGGCAGGAGAATTGCTTGAACCTGGGAGGTGGAGGTTGCAGTGAGCAGAGATTGCATCACTGCACTCCAACCTAGGCAACAGAGCAAGACTCTGTCTCAAAAAAAAAAAAAAAAAAAAAAAATCTTGTGTAATAGGAAGATGACCAAATAAGGAAACAAATGAGTTCTTCAAAGGAGATTTAGTGTTCAGGAAAGGATTCTATGGACCCTGAGAGGGTTTGGAGAAGAGGTGTGTAAGCAAGAGTTCATTGCCTACCGTTTTATTACACCAGGCATCGCTAATGTAGATTGCCACTGTTCTAGAGAACTTTTTGAAAGATGGTTTGGGACCACAAATACAACGAAGATCTCCCAGGATCATATAGACCATTCCATTTCCCATTAAGGTCTCCTACTTTTCTACCCGCCCCATAAACTTCAAGAGTCACTGCAAGGGCCTGGCACGGTGGCTCACACCTGTAACCCCGGCACTTTGAGAGGCCAAGGCAGGCAGATCACCCAAGGTCATAAGTTCAAGACCAGCCTGACCAACATGGAGAAACCCCTGTCTCTACTAAAAATACAAAGTTAGCCGGGCGTCGTGGCACATGCCTGTAATCCTGGCTACTCGGGAGGCTGAGGCAAGAGAATCACTTGAACCTCAGAGGCATAGGTTGCGGTGAGCCGAGATCCTGCCATTGCACTCCAGCCTGGGCAACAAGAGCAAAACTTCGTCTCAAAAAAAAAAAAAAACAAAAAGAGTTACTGTAGGGAAGGGAGGGGCAGGAATCCTAGATGCACGTCAAGGAAGCAACAATATTAGCAGCACTTGTTTATACCCTTTCAGCTCTGTGGTAACTTTTGTTGGCTTTGATTGTATATAGATTTTATTTTTTATAATAAGCCATTTCATGTAAAGTGTGAAAGAATTTTGAGTACACTAGTTGCCCTTTTGTCATAAAATCTTGTGGTTTTAGTCAGATCTTTATATCTTAGCTTTTCCATATTTTAGTTAATGAGTAAAACTTACCACATATTAAGATTATTTTGCCTGTCTAGTAGCTAGAAGGATAAACCCCCAGATCATTGAAATTTATAGTTTTATTTTTTAGTTCAAGTCATGAATTAAAACTCTCAAGGGAAACTTGGATTTAAACTTCAGAACCTGCGTTTCATGGAACAGTGAAATCATGAATAGCCTGAATTTTCAGGGGATGTTGTGGTCTGTTTAGTCATGCTATCTAATTATTACCAGAAAATTTTTGTTTTCGCCCTTGTTTAATGCACCATAATTTTTTTAATGTGGAGTTCAAGACTCTTCGAGTGAGGCAGGTCGTTGTTGTGTATGTCACTGCTCACTGGAGGGCATTATTAAGCCTTAGATACTGAGAAGAATTACTGCCAACCCCAGCACCTACACAGGGATTTTTCTCTTTTGACTCCTGAATTCTTGACAGATTAGGAAGTATATAGTTAGTTTAATGTTCCAGGTTGCTGGTTTCTGGTTAGATGAGCTGTTACAGTATTTTTTTCTTTTTTTTTTTTTTAAAGTTTTTAGTTTTTAATTCTCCCAAGGCTTCTCCCAAGGCTCTGTCATTCATCGTTACCGTATTCTTAATCATGAGAGGGATTATCTTCACCCACCACCAAGTGGCAGAGAAGTGCTTTATCATTTTTATGATAATGCTATAACTAATGAGTGACAAAAGAAAAAGCAAACACTTTGCCTTTAGGAACCCTACCACCTATTTGTTGTTTTTTTGTTTTTTGTTTTTTGTTTTTTTTGAGATGGAGTCTTGCTCTGTCGCCCAGGCTGGAGTGCAGTGGTACAATCTCAGCTCACTGCAACTTCCGCCTTTTGGGTTCAAGCAATTCTCCTGCCTCAGCCTCCCAAGTAGCTGGGACTACAGGCGCGTGCCACCACGCCCGGCTAATTTTTTGTATTTTTAGTAGAGACAGGGTTTCACCGTGTTAGGCAGGATGGTCTTGATCTCCTGACCTCATGATCCACCTGCCTCGGCCTCCCAAAGTGCTGGGATTACAGGTGTGAGCCACCATGCCCGGCCACCTTTTTGTTTTTAAGCCCTTCTGCCAGCCTCAGAAATAGCATCCCATTTGCACTGGCATGTACAAAGCATTAGAGTCTATGTTAAGAAAAGGAAGACATTTGGTTCTGGATTAATTTTAGGATTATCTAAGAAGAGGTTAAAACAAGTTTTGTTTAAAAGCGTGTTTGAATAACTCTCTTTATGTATAGTTAAAATTAAAGACCCACTCTTAATTTTCAAAGTAGCACATATTTATAATTGGAAATTTTTTTTTTTTTTTTTTTTTTTTTTTTTGAGACAGCGTCTGGCTCTGTCGCCCAGGCTGGAGTGCAGTGGCGCAATCTCGGCTCACTGCAAGCTCCGCCTCCTGGGTTCACGCCATTCTCCTGCCTCAGCCTCTCAAGTAGCTGGGACTACAGGAGCCCGCCACCGCTCCCGGCTAATTTTTTGTATTTTTAGTAGAGACGGGGTTTCACTGTGTTACCCAGGATGGTCTCGATCTCCTGACCTCATGATCCACCCGCCTCGGCCTCCCAAAGTGCTGGGATTACAGGCGTGAGCCACCACGCCCGGCCGGAAATTTTTTTTGAGATGGAGTCTCTGTCTGTTGCCCAGGCTGGAATGCAGTGGCACAATCGTGGCTCACCTCCCAGGTACAAGCGATTCTGCTGCCTCAGCCTCCCAAGTAGCTGGGATTACAGGTGTGCACCACCACCCCCGGCTAATTTTTGTATTTTTTGTAGAAACGGGGTTTCACCACGTTGGCCAGCCTGGTTTTGAACTCCTGACCTCAAAGTGATCTACCTCACAAAGTGCTGGGATTACAGGCGTGAGCCACCACACCTGGCCTATTATAATTTTTTTATATGGAGAAGGACCAAAATAATCCAAAGATGTAACTCTTTGCATTTTGGGTTTTTTAGTTTTACTTTTTTTCACATACAGGTATGGGCATGTGCACGCACGCACTCTGTCTCTCTTCTTTTCTTTTTTTTTTTTTTAATTAAAAAACCCACCGGCCAGTTGTGGTGGCTCACGCCTATAATCCCAACACTTTGGGAGGCCAAGGCTGGCAGATCACAAGGTCAAGAGATTGAGACCATCCTGGCCAACATGGTGAAACCCTGTCTCTACTAAAAATACAAAAATTAGCTGGGCATGATGGCGCACGCCTGTAGTCCCAGCTACTCAGGAGGCTGAGGCAGGAGAATTGCTTGAACCCAGGAAGTGGAGGTTGCAATGAGCCTAGATCGGGCCACTGCACTCCAGCCTGGTGATGGAGCAAGACTCCATCAAAAAAAAAAAAAAAAAAACCTATCTCCTGCACAGTCTCTCCCTTTTCTTATGCCTCTCCTGACTCCTTTTTTTTTTCCAAACTTGGAATCATACTATAAGTTATTTTATAATTTGCTTGTTTCACCCTAACAGCCTGATCCTTTTCCTTTGTCATTAAGTATTCTCCTACAACCTGGTTTCTAATGGCTACATAGTACTCCAACATACATATGTTATTTAATGGACATAATCAGAACCATGTTGCAAGGCATTTAGGTTATCTTTATTTTTGTACTATTTTATGCATGTATAATACTGTTGAATATCCTTTATATGAATTTTTGTATACATTTCTTTTTGCCTTAGGGCAGATTCCTGCAAGTAGACTTTGGGAGTCAAAGCATATACACATTTTAATGCTTTTGCTAGCTATTCCATTACTCGGTAAATTAATATTTACGTTTCCACCTGCGGTGTTTAAGAGCTCCTATTTTTTTTTTTCTTTTTTCTTTTTTTTTTTGAGATGGGGTCTCAATCTGTCTCCCAGGCTGCAGTGCAGTGCAGTGGCATGATCTCAGCTCACTGCAACCTCTGCCTCCCGGGTTCAAGCAGTTCTCCTGCCTCAGCCTCCCAAGTAGCTGGGATTACAGGCGCCTGCCACCACACCCCGCTAATTTTTGTATTTTTAGTAGAGACACAGTTTCACCTTGTTGGCCAGGCTGTTCTCAAACTCCTGACCTCAGGTGATCCGCCCACCTCATCCTCCCAAAGTGCTGGGATTACAGGCGTGAGCCACCGCACCCACCAAGAGTTCCTACTTTTCTGAACAGTGCCCTTTATTATAATTTTTTAAACTAATTTTTTCTAATTAAAATGTTTAGAATTATATATGAGGAAATCATTTGGCAGCCTTTAAGGCTTGTCTATTTAGCCTATCAAGCATAACAAATTCAAGAACTTTTTGGACCAGGTGCGGTGGCTCACACCTGTAATCCCAGCACTTTTGGGAAGCTGAGGTGGGCGGATCACTTGAGGTCAGGAGTTTGAGACCAGCCTGGCCAGCATGGTGAAACCCCGTCTGTACTAAAAAGACAAAAATTAGCTGGGTATGGTGGCACTTGCTGTAATCCCAGCTACTTAGGAGGCTGAGGCAGGAGAATCGCTAGAACCCGGGAGCCGAGATTGCACCATTGCACTCCAGCCTGGGCAACAGAGTGAGACTCCATCTCAAAAAAAAAAAAAAAAAAGAAAAAAAAAAAACAACTTTTTAGGCCAGGCGTGGTGGCTCACACCTGTAATCCCAGCACTTTGGGAGGCCGAGGCGGGCGGATCACGAGGTCAGGAGATCGAGACCATCCTGGCTAACATGGTGAAACCCTATCTCTACTAAAAAAAAAATACAAAAAAAATTAGCCGGGCCTGTTGGCCTGCGCCTGTAGTCCCAGCTACTTGGGAGGTTGAAGTAGGAGAATGGCGTGAACCCGGGAGGCTGAGCTTGCAGTGAGCCGAGATCGCACCACTGCACTCCAGCCTGGATGACAGAGCAAGACTCTGTCTCAAAAAAAAAAAAAAAAAAAAAAAAAGCCTTTTTGACTCATTAGAGAATAAATGTAGGTTAATTGTAGATCATTTAGATATTATGAAAGCATAAAGTGAAAAGTATCATTAAGCATCCTTTTAAGATGGGTGAGGTTTTACGTGCAATTTTGTGTCACGCTTTTTTTACTTAATTTATCTCATGTATTTTCTATTACATTAAAATCTTCCTTATTAATGGCTTCATAAAATCCATTGTATGGCAATATTATGACTTACCCAACCATTCCTCTTATATTGTCTACCTTTTTTTTGGTCTCCTAATTCTTGCTGTTATAAGTAACCCTGTGATGGGTATTATGTGCATAAAACTTTGTTTGCATTTTTATTATCCCTGAGTACATATGGATTCCATGAAATAAAATTCATGTGTCACAGCAGGAGTGAACATATTCAAGTATCTCAGTGCATATAACCAAATAACTTTCCAGAAAAGCTACACCAGTTACACTTAACACCCGCAGTGTATGAGCATGCCCGTGTGATGGGCACTTCAACAGCATGGAGTACCCCTGTTGTGTTTGCTGGCCAGGCGTGGTGGCTCACGTCTGTAATTCCAGCACTTTAGGAGGCCAAGGCGGGCGGATCACCTGAGGTCAGAAGTTCGAGACCAGCCTGACCAACATGATGAGACCCTGTCTCTACTGAAATTACAAAAATTAGCTGGGCATGGTGGTAGGCTCCTGCAATCCTAGCTACTCGGGAGGCTGAGGCAGGAGAACCGCTTGAACCCGGGAGGCGGAAGTTGCAGTGTGAGATCACACCATTCCACTCCAGCTTGGGTGACAGAGTGAGACTCTGTCTCAAAAATAAAAAATAAAAATAAAAGATGCTAATTTACCAAGTGAAAAATAATCAGGAAGTTTTTCTTGAATGAATAATAAATAGAGATAGGACTATGAATTAAGTAGCATTCTGTCATTGTTTTATTAGTAATATAACTATTACAAATGTGATCAAATTTTTTTTTATTAAAAGTCACTTTTTAAAGTCAACTTACCCCCCAAAAAAGTGTATTATTTTTTTCCCCCAATATATGGGGAATTTAATTTTTTTCTGTCATTTTGAAAAATCAATGCCAAGAGATAATACCATATTGAGATTTTTGACCAAATGTTAACAGCGTAAATTGCCCTGGTTCAAGACCTCCACTCCTTGGTTCTTGGTCCCTTCAGTTTGTGGTATGAATAAACATCATTTGTAATTATTTGACTAAGTCATTTAAAATCCCTGTTCTTCAGTTTAATATACTGTTTTGCTCCTCCTTTCTCATTGAGGTACTGTATGAATTTAAGGGCCATACGAAGTATTTGTCCCTTCTTAAAAGATAGGCACAGGATATAGACTCGGTAATAAAATGTGGTTTGGGTTTCTAGTATTTTTTTATGCTTCCAGGTACCCAGAACCGCAAATTTTACTTTGAGCTCCTCAGAAGAAAGGTGCTCCAGGCATCTGAGAGAATACCGTTGGGGTGATACTTACAAATTTGTAAGCTAACACTGAAATCTTAAAACTTCCGAAAATATTAATGCATTTGTATGACTTATTTTTCAACTGAGTATGTCAAAGTACTTTATGAACAAGTGTTGTCCCTAGTTTGTACTGATGGGGAAACTGAGGCATGGGGTGATAAGGTGACTGGCCCAAGGTTACAAAATGAGTTATTGACAACTCCGGAAATAGAAGATTTTTTAAATTCCCATACTAGATACATGTGGGCATTGACATTCAAAGCTTCCCTCATGCTATTTCCTTTAGTCCTGTCCTTTGGGGATTGCCTCTGAGGGTGAGAGGGTAGTTCAGGTTTCCGGGCTTGTTCAGCCTTTAGTCTCTGTAGAGGCTTCCAGCAAGCTGACAAGTTACTGCCAAAAGTGAGACAGATGGTATTTTTTATGATGTTGTCCTTAGTTGGAGACTGCTAGTGATTCTCCTCCTCAGGCTACTCTTTGAAAAGCTGTAAGGTGGTATCAGCTTTATCGTGGTTGGCTGAGGAAGGATTTGTACAAGTAAATGTTCTCTGCCTTATTGTCATTCCTAGGGCCGTCTGGTCTTATAGTACCCTGAAGGTGAGGGATTAGATTATGCTCTGAATTTGTATGCCCATAGTTTGAGGAAATGTTTTACTTGAGTTTTCTGTGTGTTGAGATGAAAGTCTCCCAGGCTAAAGATTTCTGAACTGCACGCAATGTCTGAAGAAGCGCTTGAAAGGCACTTTATTTCTCCCAGGTCCCCAACCATGGGTTTAGGTTTTTATGCCAGAAAGGGGACCTTCATGAACAAAGACCCCCAAGACCTAGAGAGAAGAGGAAGTCTGAAAGAGGGAGGTTTGAATTCAGCCTTCAGGAATGAAGAGGGCAGACAGAGCAGGAGGCTCAGGCAAGGGAGTCAGGAACCACAGACCAGAAACATGGACTTGGAAAGGTTTTCATGTAATTGAAATGAAGCTATTGATCCATCCATTTTAAAAGAATTTGAAAAATTCATTAAAATACTTAATTAGTGGCATCCACTAATTAATAAAAGCATAGGGAGTGGCATCTTTAACCAAAAATGAAAATGAAGAAACAGACTCCAGCCCAGGGACCAGGGGCGATTATGAGGGACATGGTGCCTCATACAGCCAAGATGATCCAAGAGGCATCATCTTTAATGAAGCTTTAACACCTGGCAGCCTGCTCATTGTGTTGTTTAAGAGGTAAGTATGAACTGGTTTTGTTTGTAGCTTTTGTGTGGAATCAGGTAGTGCTGTCTGCAGAGTGTAAACCTTTATTTCTTTAAGTAGGAATAACAGATAAAGTAATTCTATATTAAATCCCAAGAGTTTTATTCTAAATTGGTAATGTGACTTTCATCTCTCGAGTTTTTTCAAATCGTTTTTAATTTGTGGTTGAGTCTTCACGAACTTCTTGTCATCAGGCAATAGTTGATTCCCCTTTTTTGAAAGCTTTCAATTTCATTTATCCTTAGTGTTGAAAAGTGTCAGAAAATTGAAATGGACACAGATGATTGTATCTGCCCTCCCTTTCAGGAAAGCCATGTTGACTTTAAAATATCAAAAAAGAAAGTTCAGTTATGATTGCAGGGGGTAATGATAGTTTGATCCACAAACTATTTGCAGTGTAAAAGTGAAATACCTTAGCTGACTTAGTTCATTTTTGAAAGTTTTGAATAGCTAAAACAAAGTTGGCAAATAGGCTCATAGAGTAGTTACAGAGTAAGACTAAATTCATATTTGATGCAGATTCCTCTCTACCTCCCATTCTGGGAGGATTTAGTTTTACTGTTTGGTGTTTAGGATAATGATTGTTCTGTTTTTCTCACCCTACTATGTGAATATATATTCTGTTAGAGATGGGCTGTTATCTGCAATGTGGACTCAATACCATGGGCTTGAGTTTGGTTAGTTCATCATTAGAGATTTTTTTTCAGCAGTTGGTTTACTTTATGAGAAAGGATCATGAGTTTAATTTTCCCACTGATATATTTGTGTTCTCATTGCTGAGATATAAGTTTCTTAATGATTTGTTACCTTTTTCTATTTTCCTAGACTAGTATTAAAATTTTGATGGCATATGGGTTTGGTTCCACTTGTAGAGAATAAATGTTCACAACTTACTGGTATTAGCACACACACATCACATGCAGAAATGGTGTTTTCTTGCCACTTACTCTTTCTCATAAGATGCTTATATTCCTGTGGGCATTTGTCTTCCACACTACAGCACATAATTTGATGAAACTGATTTTCTGTGCAAGAGCTTGTGTTTCTCCAACTCTGGTTTTATGGACCACTTTTCATTGGTATATAGGAGGCGGTTAAAACGTGGTGGTAGAATGCAGGTTTTAGGTTAGCTGGGTGTGAAGAATCCCAGGTCTTTGGGATAGTCTTGGCAAGTTACTCAACTCCTCTAAGTTAGTTTCTTGATCTGTCAGATGACAGTAAACCTCAGAGTTGTGAAAATTAAATGGATATAATGTGTGTAAAGCACTTAGCATAATGCTTTATACATCGTAAAACTTTCAAAAATAGGAGTAGTAATTATTACAAAGAAATGTGAAGAAGAGTCCTAGTGGGCTGCATGTTAAAAATAGTTTTTAGTTAATGAAAATTAAATCACATCTTAGATGTTTATCATCTGCATGGTACTTTTCTGGTTGCTGCTTTAACCTTTGTATAGTTGAAAGTCTGTAAACTTTCTAGTATTCTTTGATTTCTGGCCCATTTCCCTCCTACCATTCACGCTTATATTTTTTGGTTCAAGTCACCATTCCTTGCAAAACTAATTAAATACATTCCTAAATACATAATATTGCCAATATTCATTCACATCCACCACGTCTAGATCCAAGTCTTCATCTTCTTTATGCTGGTCTAATTTTTGCTGAGCCTTAGAAGCAAAGACAGACTCCGGGGGTTGATATGGGACCTCCAGAATGGGGATTGCACAGAATAATCTTATTTTTCCTCTATTCTTCTAGTCTGTTATGTTCTGAACCCACACATGTTTTCGGAAGGACCAGATGGCTGACACTGGCTAATGGGAACCAAAAGACGAGTGAAAGTAACCTGGTTGTCACATACCCCCAGCTTAGAGGTGCTTCACCCTGCCCCAAGGTCAATTTCTTTTTTCTCTAGAGACTTTACCCCATTATATCAAAAACCTTTACTACAGCCTGACTTTATCTGATGTTAGAGTATCATTAAGTCAAGCAGCAGCATTTATTGAGTGAAAAAAGATTGTACACAGGACTGGAAGAGAAGCATCTGCCTTTAAAATACAGTAGAAGGCCGGGCATGGTGGCTCATGCCTGTAATTCTAGCACTTTGGGAGGCCAAGGCAGGTGGATTGCCTGAGCTCAGGAGTTCGAGACCACCCTGGGCAACATGGTGAAACCCTGTCTCTCCTAAAAAAAAAAAAAAAAAAATTACAAAAAATTTGCCGGGCATGGTGGTGCACACCTGTAGTCCCAGCCACTCTAAAGGCTGAGGTACAAGAATTGCTTGAGCCCAGGGTCAGAGGTTGCAGTGAGTGGAGATCGCGCCGCTGCGCTGCAGCCTGCGCGACAGAGCGAGACTATGTTTTTTTTAAAAAAAAAAAAAAAAAGGAATTAGAACCTTGTGGTTTAGAGCTGGGATTTTTAGAGTCATGGGTCTGGGTTCAAATCTAGCTCCTTCACTCATGAGCTCCTTGAAAATGAGCAAGTTGCTTACTCCAAGCCTCAGTTTCTCATTGTAAAATGAGAAGAATAATAATACATTCTTCACATTTGATATACAAATGGATGAAATATTATGGATAAATTATTTACTGTGCCAGGCACTGTGCTAAATAGCCAACAGATATTAGCCTTCGTTTTTCTTAGTGAAGAGCTCATAATCAAAAGAGAAGGTAAGCACAAAGACAAAAACAAGACTTAAAAAGCTACAGAAACATGACTGGGCACAGTGGCTCACGCCTGTAATCCCAGCACTTTGGGAGGCTGAGGCGGCCATATCACAAGGTCAGGAGTTTGAGACAAGCCTGACCAACATGGTGAAACCCCGTCTCCACTAAAAATATAAAAATTAGCTGGGCGTGGTGGCGTGTGCCTGTAATTCCAGCTATTCAAGAGGCTGAGGCAGGAGAACTGCTTGAACCTGGGAGGTGGAGGCTGCAGTGAGCCAAGATTGTGCCTTTGCACTCCAGCCTGGGCAACAGAGCGAGACTCCATCTCAAAAAAACAAAAACAAAAAGCGTAAAATTGAATAGAAGTGCTAAAGCTAAAGAAAGTCCTAAAATAATTGGAATAGGCAAGTTTCTGAGGCTTCATGAAAGAGGTAATTCTCAAGCATATGGAAGAAGATTGATATAATTCAACTTGTGTAGTCAAGGTGTTCCAGGTTTAGAGAGTGACATAAAGATACTTAGGAGTCGTTATAGACTTCTAAACAAAAAAATGATTTAGTAGCTGACTTTTCCTGACACAATGCAAAAGACAAGTTGACTAAGTAAAAATAGCTCTAGCCTAGAATTACATAAATTAATCCAAATGGTAGAGACAGCCCTGAAGGCCCAGCAAATGAGAAAACTGCAGAACTTGGCAGTAGACCCAGTGGGTAACCAATAAGATATAGTCAGAAGTGATTACAAAGGTGTTGGGAGCAAATTAGATGGTCAAGGGATCCGGAAGAGAGAAATCATGAGGTAGGTTTTCTTCTTTGAAGGTGGGGAAAGATCAAGTGCAGACTGAGCTGTGGCCAACGTTTGCAGACCAGGAATCCACACTAGCTCTAATCAGAGAGCCCTTGGTGTGCGGGAACTGCCAGTTTGCCGACGTGAAAAGAGTCCCAGACTGGGTAATGGTGAGCCCTGAAGTCGCACCCCAGCTCTGCCACTCAGTGAGCACGGGTAAGTCATCCACCTCCTCCAGGTGGCCTTGATGGCCCTCCCTCCTCTGAGACTAAAGAGAGGCCACAATGCCCAGAGCAGCCTCCTTCCTGTCTCAAGAAAGGAAAGGATCTCAGGAACCCATTTCATGTGGTAGCAGCTTTTAGTTGTGGGTTGTAAACAACCCTCTGTTGCCAGGAAAGTCAAATTGCAACCATAATCACTGATCCTGAGCAGTAAATGTGACATTGGTTAATTCTTCTGTGAGGGCCTGAACGCTGGTTCCCTGGAATGTTGCAGACCTTTGGAATCGGGGCAGTTACACTGTTCTCATTCACAAGCTTTTCTCTGAGTTGGCCTCTTCTGAGCACTAGAGTTGGTTGCAGAAGTGTCTTTCTACAGTTTGCCAAGCACTTTATGCAGACAGCAAGAATTACCGTTTTTTTAGTACTGTCCTATCAGTGTGTCCTGACTTTTTACCTCATAAGACCAAGTTGGCTGAAGCATAGGACATCACTGAGTGCTTTGAAACAAAGCTGTTTGATTCCTGTTCACTGAATGCCATTTCTTTCAGGGTAGATTTAAGGACTTTCCCCTTAAAGTACAGTGCTACTGACTCTAGATTGAGGGTTCAAGCCACCCCGTGGGTTAACTTCAACAGATGAAAATTTTTCCTTGGCTACAGCAACATCCCTAATCCTGACCAGCCATGGAGAGGTTCGGTTCTTACAAGGAAAATGAGTGAATGTGGGAATGGCTCACCACATTGTGAAAACAAAACTCACATCCTGCTGATGGTTGGCTGAGGACTGTCATGTCCACATACAAAGAAAAGCATGTGGCACAGTTTTAGGACAAAGGTGAGCAGAGATCCACCGTGGAAAGGGGCATATTTTCTTATAGAGAGACCATCCAAGGCATGCCCCTCGGTAAGCAGTGTTGGTGGGTGACCACGGTCACACGCATGGAGGCTTGCTTTCCCCTGCTCCTCATACCCACTCCCTAGCAGTTTCTGGTATTGAGCACCCCCTTAGTCATGCCTTGCCCAGTTAGCCATTGATCAGCCTGTTTCCAGAGCAAGCCATGGGTATTAGATTGCAGACAGGACTTAGTCTCCCTGTTCAGTGAAGATGTTTGGAATACAGAAGTGACCCTAAGCTGTTCTGAAAAGAGTTGAGGTAAATCCTATTCAGTAGAACATAACAGAGCAAAGGGCAGACTTGGTGTTTGGGACCATTGGTATAGGCTATTAGGATCAGAGAAAGGATATTTAGCAAGGATACAAACTCAGATAATAATTCTTGCCTGAAGAAGTGTGGTTAACATTTCAAAAGTTGAAGTCTTAGAGTACCTTAGTTTTAAAAATACGTCATTCCAGTTCTACCTTTTCAGAATTATGACTGATAACCTGAGCAGTACATCAGCTATTGAATGACGAAGATGAGCGCATTGGCAATGGGATAAGAATGGACTAAAGTTTAGAGCAGCCCATGTAATTCAGTGTGGCTTTTGTTTGTGGTATCCAGATACCTGTCTATACTTGGTAAGACTCATGGTGCCTGCCTTTTTTTACAGGGAAAATGACAGCAACTTCCCCTCATTCTTTTGACTAGGTTTGTGAGGATAGAATGTGACCAGAGGAAAATAGTTTTGGTAAAGACAACACAGTGCTTGGGATCAGACGAATTTTGGATTTCAGGGTTTTTTTTGGGATTTGGGAATGTTTGTATTGTACTTAATGGTTGAGCATTCCTAAACAAAATCCAAAATGTTCTGATGAGCAAATTTGAGCATCTTGTTGCTGCTCAGAAAGTTTCGGATTTTCGAGCATTTCAGATTTTGGATTTTCGGATTCAGAATACTCAACCTATTGCAGAGAAACATTAAAGAAAGGAGTTTCTTCTCTTACTTGAAGGGTGTTGTGTATTGAATAGTGAGGTCATGCTTTTTATTCTTTCATATGCATAGGGGAGGAAGATTGAAAGTGTATCGCAGGGCTCTTTGTGTTTCTGTCAATCCCTGCTGTGGAGGGGTTTTTACATTTGTCTTAGATTCTTTCTCCTGAATTCCTGCATCCTATGAATTATTGAAAGGTGTTCTTTGTTTTTAATAGAGCAGAAGAGGAAGGATTTCTGCTGTTAGAATTAGAGAAATTTATCTCTTGGGTTGTTTTGTGAGGCTTATTCACAAGTCACACCAGAGATGTATATACATATATGTACACACGTGCATACATATAATAGTATGTATACATGCATGTGTGTATTTTATATTCCTTTTTACTCTGACAGAGGATTCAAAAGGAGATTGCTTTCTGAGAAAAGAGATTTGTTTCACGTTACTTGCTGCAAAGCACAAAGGGAGTGTTAAGCTTGGCTTTAAAAGGCTCTAGTGTTAGTTACCAGGAAGAGCTTTACTTTGTTGAAGGCACTAATTAATTCAGGAACAGTTAAAAGTGTTTAAATGAACTAAAATTGGGACCCATACATAAAAGGTATTTTAGATGATAAAAATGTATCCCTTTTCATCTGTTGGTGTCTGGTGGTACCATCCTAGTGCAGGCATGTCAAATTTTAGAGTTTAAATTTTCCATTTTTGAAGCCCAGCACAGTGGCGTGTGCCTGTAATCCCAGCTACTTGGGAGGCTGAAGCCGCAGGATCCCTTGATCCCAGGAGTTCAAGTCCAGCCTGGATAACATATTGAGACCCCATCTCCATTGTTAAACCAAAGGAGCACTAATTTTAACACTTAACCTGTCATGCTTTTGATGTTAGTCGAAGCCTTGGAGATATGCAGTATACTTCCCTCATTTCATGAATAAACTAAGACCCAGAGAAATAAAATGATTTAAATTTGCTCTTCAAAGTTTGTAGCAGAACCAAGACTAGAACCCAGGTCGGTTCTTGCTGCTTCAGTCTTAATAGTTAGGGAGTTTCAGCCCTGGTGTCAAACCACAGGTTTGAATGCCAGCTCGGCGGGGTTTTTTTATGCAAGTTATTTAATATTCTGTGCCTTGATTTCTTCATTTGTAAAACAGAAATAATAGTACCTAGCTGATGGGTGCTATGAATATAAACTACGATACCATTGCTTAATAGAGAGATTGTTTAGTCAGAGGTAACATTTTATTTTTATTATCTAGTCTTCTGTCTTAATTTATTTCTATCTTATTCACTCTATTTATTGAATGAAATTAAGTCATTCTTCAAGTAAAGCAGACTTGGTAGAAACAACCACACTGATCTGCTCTTTGCTTTATTCTCAGAACAAGAGTCCGTATCAGATATGGTTTGTTGTATGCGAAGATGTTTGTTTTAATCTTCCAAACCCACTCAGCATGTCAATGGCAGAGAGAAGTGACAATCAGATGCCTGATTTGATCCTTGAACTGAACTTTGATATGTTTCAAATAGATTTTTTCACAGAATAGTAGCCAAAATTTTTCTGTAAAATAAATTTAATCTCAAGTCAGCTAATTTAATAAATGTTTTGGATACCCCCAAAACAGGCTTACCAAGTGACCCACTTGTTGGAACTTTTTAGAAGTAAATACTGGGGGAGGTTTGTAGGGATTTTTCTGTAACATTACCAGTTGTCCCTGTAACTCAAGGAAGTTTTATTGGCAAGATATGCCTTGCTTCATTCTCAGCTTGCAAAGAAAGATTCATCTGTCGTAACATTAATTTTTATTTTTAAATTAACCTGCCTCCACTGAACAGATTGTCACTGCTTTCTCTGAAAGGTCAGGATAAGTTCTGCATATGAGCCTTGGAACAGGGTGATCTTTGAGTCTGGGAGAATGTATTACCATGTAGGTCTGACAGAAGCATCACTTGCCATCAGCGGCCACTGGGCTTTCTATTTCAGTTGACCTGCAGAGCTTAGGATGTTGCATTCTGTGACCACCCCCTCTGCCCAGTAGTTGTAACCCTTCACTATTTTGAGGAAAACAGTTGGTATTTTCCTGTGGTTTGTTTAATCCTCAGGATTCGGTGATGTCCTTCTAAGATCACGTTAGATCAGTCCTGGTCATTCAGTCATTGAACAGTGCCGAGCCAGAGTATGACTCGAAGGGAGTGGAGGCCATTCCATCACGCCCAGGCCAAATGTCCCTCCTCCCTCCGCATGGCGTCAGGCTCTCACATGGTGCCAAAAGCAGTGATGCTGTGGACAGAGGAGACTTGGGACTGGTCTTGACAATTAAATTCAGGAGGGCACTTTTGTTGTTGTTATTGTTTTGAATCCATCTAGAGATAAACCAAAGTAGAAAATAGTTGAGTTGGTTTTTTATTTGCCTTAAAAGAAAAATTGTCTCTGAAAATAATAGTATAGTTTTCCTAATGACCCATTCTATCTAAGAAAGGAAAAAGCAGCTACATTATATTATCTATTAATAGATTTTTAGTCACTGTAAAGCACTTTTGAACATAGTAAGTCAGGGATTTCGAGAGGCTTTACTTGCCTTTTCTAAGATAACAGCATGTTCAAAATCCTTCTTATTAAGCTGCTCAGCAATTCTAGCCTATGGAAGCGTGAAACTATGTTTTAAAGACTTCACAGCCCATAAATTGAGCCAGGTGGCTTCTGAATTGTGTTACTGCAAGGCACTTCCTGTTAAATAACCGGGTGTGTCTGTGTTAATTTTTTTTAATGGAGTTGACATTCAGTGCCACTCAGACATTTCAACATAAAAAACCCTCCAACGTTGTTACCTACACATTGTAACCTAGCACATTGTCACCTTGAGAGACTGTTGTATGAAAGGAACTCTTTAGTAAAGGAAAAATTCCACAATTCTGAGTTCTCACTTATTTAACATGTTACTGAGTATAGCATCACATTCTAAAGAAACTGGAGGCCGGGCGCAGTGGCTCACGCCTATAATCCTAGCGCTTTGGGAGGCCCAGGAGGGCGAATCACCTGAGGTTTTGAGACCAGCTTGGCCAACATGGCAAAACCCTGTCTCTACTAAAAATACAAAAAGTAGCCAGGCATGGGGGCGTGCGCCTGTAATCCCAGCTACTCGGGAGGCTGAGGCAGGAGAATCACTTGAACCCAGGAGGTGGAGGTTGCAGTGAGCTGAGATCGCACCACTGCGCTCCAGCCTGGGCGACAGCGAGACTCTGTCTCAAAAAATAAAATAAATAAATAAATAAGTAAACTGGAATCATTTTTTGTCAGCAGGCTGAGTGACCCTCTGACAAGTCTTGTAACTTGTTTGTAGTGTCAGTGTGTTTAAATGCAGAGGAACACTAGTCTGTGTGCCCGTGTACACACAGCCTTACTAGAGTTTAAAGAAATTGCTTGTAACTTTCCTTTCTGATTAGTTATGATCAATAAGATGGTTTTGGTTTTTAAATATAGGCAATGGTCACAAAGCTGGACTTTTCACAGCTGTGTCAGACCAAACTAAATATTTCTTGAAAACATAATTTACAGGGCATTTGTATAACCTTGCTTATAAGTATCTTACAAATTTTGCACTTTAGCTATATAAATTGTACTCTTTAATAGGCATTAGTAGGATGGTGGGGGTTCTTTTGGTTATATGTTAAGCCACCAAACCTCTTGGCTGGAAAAGATGTAGCAATACCATTTAAAGAAGTTTGCACGAGTTGTATACAGATTTCAGAGAATTCCATCCTATTCTAAAACTTCATGGAAATGAATTTGGAATCTCACAGGGAAGTAAACAGCTCCAGTCTTTTTTTCACTGATAATCACATGTGACAGATGTGTTTACGTAGAGGAACAGGAACCTTAAAAAAAAGTTTTTTACTTTCACATGATTCAACAGTTATTACACAGTGCCTGAATGTAGGTCTAATTGTTCTCTAAGATACCACTTTTAAAGCTAAAAAAGATGAGTTTTATGTGGTGTTTGAAAGAGCGTTATATGTCTTGTAGCATTATATATTTTGGATTCTTATACCAAGCATCCCTGTCTTTGCAGTTGCCACCAACTACTTGGGAAACAAAAGAAGTGTCCTGTGTATGTAGCCAGCCTCCTCCTAGAAAGATAGGAGTCTACTTTGAGAAGTCTCCCTACCTCTTTCAGTGCCTGTTGGCACAAAGCAAAGTGGTTTCACCTGAAGAGAAGACAAAGTTGATCCTTAGTTTGCAAAATCCACCTAACCTTTGCTAAGCATGAACCTCATTGCTTTCTCTTTAATGTTAGTGAAGCTGGATGTCAAAATGGTACCAACCAGTATTTTCTTTGCTCTCTTCTAGATATGGTTTTGTGGAGTTTGATGATCTGCGTGATGCAGATGATGCTGTTTATGAACTGAATGGCAAAGACCTTTGTGGTGAGCGAGTAATTGTTGAGCATGCCCGCGGCCCACGGCGAGATGGCAGTTACGGTTCTGGACGCAGTAAGCATTCAAAGGGCATACTTTTATCAGTAACGTGCTTTTGTTATCATGCTAATTTTTAAAGTAATTAATTGATATTACATTTAAACGTATTGATGTTTAAGCTATTTTGTAAATTATGTATCTTTTTTAAAAATGTAGAATTACAAATAAGCCTTTGATAATGTTTAATTTTAATTAAACTAATGACAATTTCTTGTTTATAATACTTTATAAATATGTTTAATGATGTGTGTTTGTGTTGTTGTTGTTTTTTTCTCTGTAATGCAATTGTTTAACATAGATTTAACAAAGACCTCAATGTTTTAATTAAAAGAATCCTTTGAGGCTAAGATGACTGCCTGTTCCATTTGCTGACCTTGGGTTACCTTTCCATGCGTGGCTCTTTGAACCATTGTGGCCCTTGGCTGACCAAAAACAGGAAGCCATGTGACGACCGCAACCTTTCCCCATTAGACCTGGGTGGTGAGGATCCCAAGGGTTAGACACAGATGAGATTAAACTGAAATAGGTGCCTGAAAATCTTTTTTTTTCCATATAAAATATTCACAAAATGTTTAATCACTGTGAGTAACACCAGTAACTGATTTAGTAATTTGGTTACTTATTTCTAAATTGTTAAATTGTTAATAGTTTTAAATTTATGCATGTTAATCTTAAATGCAAATATTAATGAATATGTATACTTACAACTTTTTAAATTAAATGTTTATATTTAGCTGATTGCTTCTTTAAAAATCTATTTTAGAATTAAGGGTGGGAATAGAGTTAAAACGTGCTATTGTTTGGGGTGGGGGTAAATAATATATTTAAGGGGGGGTGTGTGCTGTGTCATTTTTTTTCCTTTTCTTCCACTGAAATAATCTTATTTATTTGAACCTTCCAAAGGTGGATATGGTTATAGAAGAAGTGGCCGAGATAAATATGGCCCTCCTACTCGCACAGAGTACAGACTTATTGTGGAGAATTTGTCAAGTCGGTGCAGCTGGCAAGACCTAAAGGTTTGGGCCCCATTAACCTTTTGGGGTAAGGTTGGGCAGGAGTTAAAGTTGGGAAACAGGTAGATTTGTGCAGGCCCAGGCATACACAAAATACAGTGTTATATGTTTGAAAGCCTGCACAGAGCTGGAAATAATTAAAGTGCCATATGAGTACAAAATATATCAGAATTATATTCCTGCTATACATTGTGGGACCATCATTCTAAGGACACATTTGTGAGTTTGGTTTGGTTTGGTTTGGTTTGGTTTGGTTTGGTTTGGTTTGTTTGAGATGGAGTCTCGCTGTGTTGCCCAGGCTGGAGTGCAGTGGCACCATCTCTGCTCACTGCAGCCTCCGCCTCCCGGGTTCAAGCAATTCTCCATCTCAGCTTCCTGAGTAGCTGGGATTACAGGCACCCGCCACCATGCCCGGGTAATTTTTTTGTATTTTTAGTAGAGACGAGGTTTCACCATCTTGAACTCCTGACCTTGTGATCCACCCGCCTCAGCCTCCCAAAGTGCTGGGATTACAGGCGTGAGCCACCGCGCCCGGCCTGATTTTGTTTTGTTACAGAGTCTCTGTTGCCTAGGCTGGAGTGCAGAGGCACAATCATGGCTCAGAGATTGGTTGTCACTATGTTACCCCGACTGGTCTCGAACTCCTGGCCTCAAGTGATCCTTCAGTCTCAGCCTCCTCAAGTGCTGACATGACAGAAACCTGGCCCAAATGTGTGATAACGAAATTTCTCTCTGTAAAGAATGTTTGAAACCCTGTCTCTACTTAAAAAGATACAAAAATTAGCCGGGCGTGGTGGTGGGCACCTGTAGTCCCAGCTACTTGGGAGGCTGAGGCAAGAGAATTGCTTGAACCTGGAAGGTGGAGGTTGTAGTGAGCCAAAATCATGCCACTGCACTCCAGCCTGGGCAGTAGAGCAGGACTCTGTCTCAAAAAAAAAAAAAAGGGTTACAAGAAGATGGCAGTGTAGCTACTCACCAGTCAATAAAATGGTTGAAACCATCAGTGTTTCCTGCAGCATTTGCTATAACATGCAAATTCACATCAGCTTCAGTGTGTATCCTTACTGGTGAAATTGACAATCTGACCCATGTTTTTTCATAAGGTTTTTGATGGAATATTTGTCCTGAAAGAGGTTTGGTGTCAAGAATTAAGATTCAGTGCTAATGTTGGCCATCCAGTGTACTGGTTCCAGCTTTTTTTTTTTTTTGAGATGGAGTCTCGCCCTTTCGCCTAGGCTGGAGTGCAGTGGCGCCATCTCAGCTCACTGCAACCTCCGCCTCTGGGGTTCAAGTAGTTCTGCCTCAGCCCTCTGAGTAACTGGGATTACAAGTGCATGCCACCATGCCCGGCCAATTTTTGTATTTTAGTAGAGGCGGGGTTTCACCATGTTGACCAGGCTGGTCTCGAGCTCCTCCTGACCACAAGTGATCCACCTGCCTTGGCCTCCTAAAGTGCTGGGATTACAGGCGTGAGCCACTGCACCCGGCCCCACTTATTGACAACAGTGTTTTTAATCTCAATAGGAAGAAAAACTTACTGAGCAGTATCATAATCTGAATGGTCTTAGGAGGATGCATGAAACAGGTTTTGTTTTCTGTCTCCCTTCTCGCTTTTTTTGGCCATATTTAAACAAGTCATCTCTAGCCAAATGAGTGAAGTGTATTTAGGTTCAGGAAAGAATAGTTAGGAATCCTTTACATTTGTATAGTTTAATTTAAAGCACTTTTTTGTTTTTCTTTTTAAAATTTAATCCCAGCAACCTTCAAGTAACATGCAGAAGAGCTGGGACCAGGACTCCTGACTCCCAGTCTGCTGTTTTTTCAGGTGCATCATGCTTATCGTCAGCACCGTAGCAGACCTTTACTGAATGTCTGCCAGCAAGATTCTGCTTGCTGAAGGAATGACTCCAGTATTCTGAGAGTTAGGGATTGAACATCATGGGTAGAAACTGGAAAGCTACTCTCTTCATCAGTAGAATGCTAACTCGTCATGTAGTGCCACTAAATGTAATATTAAATTAACTTCTTAGAAAACCTCTTAATTTTTTTGTTAGAACAGAGCTTAGTTACTGTTGGGGGAAAGGCTTATGGGGTGCCTGTATAAACTGGCCATAAAAATATGGGACAATAAATTGTGCAAAGCCACAAGAGGCCTCTTGTGGGAGGAGGAAAGCCTTATCACCATTATGTTCCCATGCTCTCAGCAAGACTTGCTCTCTTATCCATAAACACTGTGTTCAAGGAGAAAGACACTCCTTTGAAGCACTGGAATGTGGCCAGACATGCAGGCTCCTAGTTAAGCTCGCTCCCACCAGCTACTCTCCGATAAGTTAAAGATATGCTGTCTAAGCACAAAGGAGATTCATTTAAACTGCCACTGCTGTAGATTACGTGTATGACGCACTGCCTTCCTTTCAGCACTGCCTGCCTTTCACCGTTTCGTCCTGAATGTCTGCTTCTTAGATCTAAGTGATTGTACTCAGTAAATAGTGTGGAGACCAGAACTCTGAGCCTTTTGCAGCCTCCATTTTGCAATTGGCCCCCTGGCCCCCACTCTTTATGCACTCTTAACCTCTCTCTTCTCATTCCTTCGTCGCCACCAGACTTTGGGTACCCTACGGGTGGTGTTGAGGCTGGTCCCCAACAGTTACCACCCTTAGTTGGTTCTACATGTCTGTACCTTCAGGCAGTTCCACTCTCAGGAAACGAGAGTAATAGATAATTGAGCAGATTTCCTAGCTCTCAAGGTGGCCAACCTGAATAGAATCCTGGTTCTGCCACTAAGGTCACTTACATGACCCTTAGCAAGTTACTTACATCTTATGCCTCATATTCCTCAACTATAAAATGGGGTTAATACTAATTTCTACTCAAGGTTATTGAAAGAATTTAGTGAATTTTATATATAAAAAGCCTAGAACAGTTTCTGGCACAATGTATGTTAGCTATTTATCAAGGAAATGCAAAAATAAAACAAATTAGGGGATATTAGTAGTTTAAAAAATAAATTTTTTTTTTTTTTTGAGACGAAGGTCTTGCTCTGTCGCCTGGGCTAGAATGCAGTGGCACAATCTCGCTCACTGCAACTTCCACCTCCTGGGTTCAAGCGATTTTCATGCCTCAGCCTCCCAGGTAGCTGGGGTTACAAGCGCCTGCCACCACGTCTGGTTGATTTTTGTATTTTTAGTAGAGACAAGGTTTCACAAAGTTGCCAGGCTGGTCACAAACTCCTGACCTCAGGTGATCTCCTGGCCTTGGCCTCCCAAGGTGTTGGGATTACAGGTGTGAGCCACTGCACCTGGCCAAAAATAAATTTCTTTTTGTTCTGTTTTGTTTTGTTTTTTGAGATGGAGTCCCGCTCTGTCAGCAGGCTGGAGTGCAGTGACACTATCTCGGCTCACTGCAACCTCCTAATCATATCTCCTCTTATTTATATAATGCTTTAGCATTTGTCTAGGACATTAGTTGTATTCTCTCATTGAACCATAGGAAGTCCTCAAAGAGAATGAGGAAAGAGGCCTGTGGTATTGAAGGGACATGATGGTTATAAACAAATAATTTGTCACTATAAGATTTAGAAAATGGGCTGGGCACAGTGACCCATGCCTATAATCCTAGCACTTTGGGAGGCTGAGGCAGGTGGATTGCCTGAGCTCAGGAGTTTGAGACCAGCCTAGGCAATATGGCAAAACCCCATCTCTAATGAAAACACAAAAAATCAGCTGGGTATGGTGGCGCGGACCTGCAGTTCCAGCTGTTGGGGAGGCTGAGGCACAGAATCACTTGAACCTGGGAGGCAGAGGTTGCAGTGAGCCGAGGTCACATCACTGCACTCCAGCTGCCTGAGCGACAAAGCAAGACTCTGTTTTTTGTTTGTTTTTAAATTTAGAAGATGATAGCTAACTGAAAACTTCTATATTCACACAAAACTTTATTTTTTTGTTTTGAGGTAGGGTCTTGCTCTGTACCCCAGGCTGGAGTGCAGTGGCATGATCACGGCTCACTGCAGCCTCAACCTCCTTGGGCTCAGATGATCCTCCCACCTCATCCTACTGGGTAGCTGGGACCACAGGCGTGTGCCACTACACCTGACTAATTTTTTCAATTTTTGTAGAGATAGGGTCTTCTGTGTTGTCAAGGCTGGTCTTGAATTCCTGGGATCAAGCAATCCTCCCGCCTCAGCTTGTCAAAGTGCTGGGATTACAGGCATGAGCCACCACACTTGGCCCCAAAACTTTATTTAAAGGAACAATTTAATGTGTATTTATTGTCTCTCCCACCCACCTAATATGGCTGGTGCTTTAAAGAACCTCAGTACATGATTGATGGGTAGATGAAAATATTTAAGAGTAAACTTTATTCTGCGGAATGCTGGCATTTCTTAAAGGAAAAATTCACTCAGATGATTGCATTAGATATTTTAGCAAAACATATCCTAATGTAGTCACACTTTTTTTTTTCTTCAGGATTATATGCGTCAGGCAGGAGAAGTGACTTATGCAGATGCTCACAAGGGACGCAAAAATGAAGGGGTGATTGAATTTGTATCTTATTCTGATATGAAAAGAGCTTTGGAAAAGTTGGATGGAACTGAAGTCAATGGGAGAAAAATCAGATTAGTTGAAGACAAGCCAGGTTCCAGACGACGCCGGTCCTACTCCAGAAGCCGGAGTCATTCAAGGTACTGTTGATGTCTTTTGTGTGTTGGAGCTCATCATAAATTCATTAGTGAGCACATAGATAATTTATTTACATTTTCCTGTTGAGTTCTTAATAACATGATTCCATCTGGTTCAATAACTTAGAATTTTGAACTGAACATTTATTTGTAAAACTCTTGAACTCTTAGGTCATGAGTACAAATAGAAGTCCCTTCTCTTAGAAATCAGAGGCCTTGCTCACGCCTGTAATCCCAGCACTTTGGGAGGCCAAGGTGGGCGCATCACAAGGTCAGGAGTTCAAGACCAGCCTGACCAATATGGTGAAACCCCATCTGTACTAAAAATACAAAAATGCTGGGCGCTGTGGCGCATGTCTGTAATCCCAGCACTTTGGGAGGCCGAGGTGGGTGGATCACCTGATGTCAGGAGTCGAGACCAGCCTGGCCAACATGGCGAAATCTTGTCTCTACTAAAAATAACAAAATTTAGTTGGGCGTGGTGGGTGCCTATAATCCCAGTGACTCGGGAGGCGGAGGCAGAAAAATTGCTTGAAAATTGCTTGAACCCAGTAGGGGCAGAGGTTGCAGTGAGCCGAGATTGTGCCATTGCACTCCAGCCTGGGCAACAAGAGCGAAACTCCATCTCAAAAAAAAAAATGGTGTGGTGGCGCACGTACCTGTAGTCCCAGCTACCCAGGAGGCTGAGGCATGGGAATCGCTTGAACCCAGGAGGCAGAGGTTGCAGTGAGCCGAGATCGCACTATTCCACTCCAGCCTGGGCGACAGGGAGACTCCATCTCAAAAAGGGAAATCAGAGGCCGGGCACAGTGGCTCACGCCTGTAATCCCAGCACTTTGGGAGGCCAAGGCGGGCAGATCACCTGAGGTCAGGAGTTCGAGACCAGCCTCAATATGGAGAAACCCCGTCTCTACTGAAAAAATACAAAAAAATTAGCTAGGCGTTGGTGGTGCATGCCTGTAATCCCAGCTACTCGGGAGGCTGAGGCAGGAGAATTGCTTGAACCTGGGAGGCGGAGGTTGTGGTGAGCCAAGCGCACCGTTGCACTCTAGCCTGGGCAACAAGAGCAAAACACCGTCTCAAAAAAAAAAAAAAAAATGGAAATCAGAGGCCACCTTTCACATTTCTTCTTGGGACCCCTAGATCCTACTACCTTGGTTGATGGCACACATGGCAATTTTGTCTTACTTAGCACCTGAACAGGCCAGGCACTGGGCTAAGCATTGGAAAGGCTTTGTAAAGAAGACAAATGGCCAGACGCGGTGGCTTACACCTGTAATCCCAGCACTTTGGGAGGCTGAGGCGAGTGGATCACCTGAGGTCAGGAGTTCAAGACCAGCCTGGCCAACGTGATGAAACCCCATCTCTACTAAAAATACAAAAGTAAAAAAAAATTAGCCAGGCATGATGGCACACGCCTGTGGTCCCAGCTACTAGGGAGGCTGAGGCAGGAGAATCGCTTAAACCGGAACCCAGGAGGCAGGGGTTGCAGTGAGCAGAGATCACTCCACTATACTCCAGCCTGGGCGACAGAAAGAGACTCTGTCTCAAAAAAAAGACAAATATGGTCCTTGCCCCCCTGAAACTCAGTCTAGCGTAGAAGATGAGTATTGAATAAACCGTGCTATTGTGACAAGAAAATGCACACAGCACAACTAGTCTAGAGAGCTGGCAACAGCTTCCCTAAGGACATGCTGTAGAACTGAGCCCTAATGAATAAGGCAGAGAGATGGTGAGCAGAAGAAAATGCCTTTCTTTCTTTCTTTTTTTTTTTTTGAGACGGAGTTTCTTTC
This sequence comes from Homo sapiens, assembly GCF_000001405.40. NCBI lineage: Eukaryota > Metazoa > Chordata > Mammalia > Primates > Hominidae > Homo > Homo sapiens. Next base: position 29,152,905 of record NC_000001.11, on the reverse strand, counting down.
ACTCTGTCACCCAGGCTGGAGTGTAGTGGCACAATCTCGGCTTACTGCAACTTCCACCTCCCGGGTTCAAGCGATTCTCCTGCCTCAGCCTCCTGAGTAGCTGGGATCACAGGTGCACACCACCATGCCTGGCTAATTTTTGTAATTTTAGTAGAGACAGAGTTTCACCATGTTGGGCAGACTGGTCTCGAACTCCTGACCTCAGGTGACCCACCCACCTCGGCCTTCCAAAGTGCTTGGATTACAGTCTTGAGCCACCGTGCCCGTCGAGAAAATGCCTATCTATCTAACAGAAAAGGGTGTTTCTGAAGGCCTGGGGGCAGGAGAAAGTTTTCCAGAGTAGAGAAGCTAATATAGAGAGGTAACGGGAGGAGAGTGGCTTGAGATAAGGCAGAGAAGGACCAGATATACTGACCATTAGGCCAGAGCAAGAATGGAAGAGTAGTGAGAAGTCACTGGAGACTTTTCAGGTTTTGTTATTTAGGTCTTTTGACTTTTTATTATGGAAAATTTGAAATTTATATATGAAGCATTGGAGAACTCTGAATTGCACCTCCCACTCCTCCAGCTTCTGTAGTTTTTATTTTGCCAGTCTTGTTTCACATCACCCGCTCCTGCTGCATTGTTGTAAGGCAAGTCTAGACATCTATCATTCCATCTGCAACTGCTTCAGTATGTATCTGTAGTATTTTAAAAGAAACCATGATAACATAGCTAGCAAAATTAGCAATAATTCCATACTATGATGTAATATCTAGGTTGTATTCCAATTTTTCAGTTGTTTGTTTGTTGTAGAAATGGAGTCTTGCTATGTTACCCAGGCTGGTCTTGAACTCCTGGGTTCAAGCGGTCCTCCCACCTCAGCCTCCCAAAGTGCTGAGATTACAGACGTGAGCCACTGCACCCTGCCCTAGTTGTCTCAAATAGGTATTTTTGCAATTGGTTTCTTCAAACAAAAGTTGAAAGAATAGTTAATGAACACCTGTATACCCTCCTCTGGCTTTAACAGATAGCATTTTGCCTTTTCTCTCTTTGTATGTATGTATTTATACAAGCACACTGTACATTTATTTTGTTGTAGCATTTGAAAGTAAGTTGTAGAAATTATGATACTTTGCCCCTAAATACTTCAGCATGTGTCTCCAAGAATGAGGATAACCACAGTTCTGTTTTTTCACCTAAGAACATTAATAGTAATTCCATCTAATTACTAAATGCCCAGGCCATATTCATGTTTCCCCAGTTACTCCATGGATGTCTTTATAGCTGGGTTTTTTCTTAACCGGGATCTAATCCAGTCATGTAGTACAAGGGGTTTTTAGGTAAAACCTAATGTAGTCAGGCTTTTAGTGTGGAGCAGTTCCTTCATGACATTTATTTTGCTTAGGTTTGGGTTTTTTTGTTTGTTTGAGACGGACTCTTGCTCTGTCGCCCAGGCTGGAGTGCAGTGGCACCATCTCAGCTCATTGCAGCCTCTGCGTCCCAGGTTCAAGCTATCCTACTGCCTCAGCCTCCCAAGTAGCTAGGATTACAGGCGTGAGCCACCACTCCTGGCTTATTTTTCTTAGTTTTTTAATACTCACATTCTGTATTTATCTGTTTCTTCTTAGTATCATTGAACTTGTATCTTATCCCCTGAACTTCCTATATACTGGAAGTTAGGTCTGGAGAGGTGTGATTGAGATGCAGGTTAAACATTTTTAGCAAGAATACTTCATAGGTGATGGTGCCTGGGCAGCTTTGAAAGTTTCCCTCTTTCTGTCATAATGAGATGGTCTAGGCCCATCTTTGTGTACTACTTCCTGCTTTACGCCTGGAGTCAGTCATTTTCCCAAGGAGTCCTGGTTGGTAGAAAATAAGAATCTACAGTCTGGATGCATTAAAAAAATTTTGTAAAGCTTGGATTGTCGGTCTCTTTAAAACAGCTCTCGTCACAGTGAGTTGAATAGATCGTAAAGGGGAAAAGTATACACAGAAAGGCTGGTTGTTGAACAAGGGGAGAGATAATGGTGGCTTGCCCAGAGAGGCAGCAGCAGAGGTAGAAAGACCGAAGATCAGGAGGCATGATCGTGGGTGTGTAAGGGGATAGGGGAAAGACGGGGGAGTCAAGGATGGCTGTGATTTCTGTTACGAGGAACCATATGAATAACAGTGGCATCAGTGCACATAAGGAGCCCAGCAAAAGGAGCCGGCATCGGGGACAGTTAGAATTTCAGGAGCTGCTAAGAGGTTCAGGTGAACCATCCAGATGGAAGGTTTGCAGGTGACTTCATCTGTGGACCTAGAACCCAAGAGAGAGTTTGTGCCTGGACACAGCCAGTGCTGTACATATTGAAAATCTTGGCCGGGTACGGTGGCTCATGCCTGTAATCCTGGCATTTTGGGAAGTCGAGGCAGGTGGATCACCTGAGGTCAGGAGTTCGAAACCAGCCTGACCAACATGGAGAAACCCCGTCTCTACTAAAAATACAAAATTAGCCAGGCGTGGTAGCACATGCCTGTAATCCCAGATACTTGGGAGGCTGAGGCAGGAGAATCGCTTGAACTCAGGAGGTGGAGGTTGTGGTGAGCCGAGATCGCGCCATTGCACTCCAGCCTGGGCAACAAGAGTGAAACTCCATCTAAAATATATATATATAATATATATAGTCTTGATTGATGCTCATCAGCAGCCTCTTGTCAGCAAGTATTAAAAAATATTTTCTCCCCCTAGGTCTCGCTCTCGAAGCAGACATTCCCGTAAGAGCAGAAGCCGAAGTGGCAGCAGCAAAAGCAGTCATTCTAAGAGTAGATCTCGGTCCAGGTATGTCTTCCATGTTATAAGTAGAGGTGGTCAGCAGGGAATGCCTGTACCCTGTCTCACTTTTTTTTCTTTTTTTTTTCAAAGAGACACTCTGTCACCCAAGCTGGAGTCCAGTGGTACAGTCATGGCTCACTGCAGCCTCACCTCACTGGGCTCAAGCAAGCTTCCACCTCAGCCTCCCAAGTAGCTGGGACTACAGGCACATACTACCACACCCAGCTAATTTTTTAATTTTTTTTAGAGACAGGGTCTCACTATGTTGCCCAGGCTAATCTTAAACTCATGACCTCAAATAGTCCTCCCAGACTACTGCGATTACAGACATGAGCCACTGTGCCCAGCCTCACTTGGATTTCAATCATGTGACCAGTCTTCCTGCTTTTCCAGCTTCTTTTTCTTTTTTTTTTTTTTTTTCCCCCCTCAAGACAGAGTCTCGCTCTGTCGCCCAATCTGGAGTGCAGTGGCGCGATCTCGGCTCACTGCAACCTCTGCCTCACGGGTTCAAGCGATTCTCCTGCCTCAGCCTCCTGAGTAGCTCGGTTTACAGGCGTGTGCCAGCATGCCTGGCTAATTTTTGGTATTTTTAGTAGAGACGGGGCTTCACCATGTTGGCCAGGCTGGCTCTTGAACTCCTGACCTCGCGATCCGCCTGCCTTGGCCTCTCAAAGTGCTGGGATTATGGGCATGAGCCGCCGCACCTGGCCAGTTTTTCCAGCTTCTGATTGGCATTGTGAGGGTTCAGAAAACAATCCTCAGCCAGTGCCAGCCATGCTTTATATTGGGGGGTGTAACTCCACATGTATGCCCTTTGGTCTTTTTATCTCCTGATTAGCATGAAGTCACATGTGACACAAACAGTATCCCATGTCTCCTCAGGTCGGGCTCCCGCTCCCGGAGCAAGAGCCGGAGCCGGAGCCAGAGTCGGAGCCGGAGCAAGAAAGAGAAAAGCAGGAGCCCCAGCAAGGAAAAGAGCCGCAGCCGCAGCCATAGCGCTGGCAAGAGCCGCAGCAAGAGCAAAGACCAAGCTGAAGAGAAGATCCAAAACAATGACAATGTCGGGAAACCCAAGAGCCGGAGTCCTAGCAGGCATAAAAGTAAGAGCAAAAGTCGGAGCAGGAGTCAGGAGAGGAGAGTGGAGGAGGAGAAGCGAGGGAGTGTGAGCAGGGGCAGGAGCCAGGAGAAGAGCCTCCGCCAGAGTCGGAGCCGGAGCAGGAGCAAAGGGGGCAGCAGGAGCCGGAGCAGGAGCCGCAGCAAGAGCAAGGACAAGAGGAAGGGCAGGAAGAGAAGCAGAGAGGAGAGCCGCAGTCGCAGTCGCAGCCGCAGCAAGAGTGAGAGGAGCAGAAAGCGAGGCAGCAAGCGAGACAGCAAGGCGGGCAGCAGCAAGAAGAAGAAGAAGGAAGACACTGACCGCTCCCAGTCCAGATCTCCATCCCGCTCCGTGTCAAAGGAGCGGGAACATGCCAAGTCTGAATCCAGCCAGAGGGAAGGTCGAGGAGAGAGTGAGAATGCTGGCACCAATCAGGAGACCCGGTCCAGGTCGAGATCCAATTCCAAATCGAAACCAAACCTTCCATCAGAATCACGCTCCAGATCAAAGTCAGCTTCAAAAACCCGATCTCGGTCCAAGTCTAGATCCAGGTCTGCTTCCAGATCGCCCTCCCGATCTAGATCTAGGTCCCACTCAAGGTCCTAACTGGCTATGGCCACAGCTGGAACTACCCGAGAAGTCTTTTGTACATGTTTGGTAGCCGTAGCACAAGTGATTGGAGTAGAACATGTCACTGCTGTACATTTTTAACTCCCCTAATGGTGTGTCTATAATTGTTAAATCTAAGTGCTTCCTCTCAGTAAAGCCTCCTGGCACCAGGCCTTCCTGCTCGACTGAAAAAAATTTTCTCTTTGAAAATCCCCTTTTACTCATGGCCCACAGTAGAATATCCAAAACGCCTTGGCTTTCAGGCCTGGCCTTTCCTACAGGGAGCTCAGTAACCTGGACGGCTCTAAGGCTGGAATGACCACATAGGTAGGTATGGTGAGTTCAACCATTTTTGCTCTTGAATTGATGCCCTTCGATGTATGCCATTTAGTGAAAGTGCTAAGTCTTAAGTTTCCTACCACTTTGGTTTCATATTTTTGGACTTAACAAAGTTGTGAATAGCACAGTCGAGGAAAATTGATACCTGCAGTAACCCATAGGAAATAAACTGTAGAGTTCCATATTCTGGTATTGTGATTATATTGTTTTATATTAAAAAAGAAAAGAAAAGAATTTTTTTTAATTTTATTTTTCCCCGTCTTGCAAAGTATAGTGACCCCTGTTTCCATTAAATTTGAATAAAGACTATTTTTGCTTGACAAAATTTCATGGTGTTTGAATTGAAGTTGTACTTTCTGATATATCTTGATATGTCTTTTCTTAGCATAAAAAGTTCATGTGTAGGCCGGGCACGGTGGCTCACGCCCGTAATCCCAACAGTTTGTGAGGCTTAGGCAGACGGATCACAATGTCAGGAGTTCGAGACCAGCCTGACCAACATGGTGAAACCCCGTCTCTACTGAAAATACAAAAATTAGCCAGGCATGGTGGTACACGCCAGTAATCCCAGCTACTCAGGAGAATGAGGCAGGAGAATCGCTTGAACCCCGAGGGGTGGAGGTTACAGTGAGCTGAGATCACGCCACTGTACTCCAGCCTGGGCGACAGAGCGAGACTCCGTCTCAAAAAAAAAAAAAAAAAAAGTTCATGTGTAATGACTGTTTTGTTCCTTGGGATCACCCATCTTAGGGAACCAACACGTTCCTAAAGGATTTTTCTCACCAACAGAATAAAGGCAGGTTTCCGAGGAATTTATCATCCTTTCTCTTAAGAAACGTATGGCCAGGCTGATGAAGAATGAATCAGTTTGGAAACTTGGAGCATTACCAGATGAGTTGTTCATGAATATAGAGTTCTGTGCTGTTTGTCGAAATTGCCATGAATCTGCGGTATCATGATCTCATCACATTAAGATCTGAACTAATCAAAAACCAGGGGGAAAAAACTATACTGGACTTTTTTTTTTTTTTTTTTCCTGAGACAGTTTTGCTCTTGTTGCCCAGGCTGGAGTGCAGTGGTGCAGTCTCAGCTCACTACAGTCTCCACCAACCAGGTTCAAGTGATTCTCCTGTCAGCCTCCCAAGTAGTTGGGATCATAGGTACATGCCACCACTTCCGGCTAATTTTTGTATTTTTAGTAGAGACGGGGTTTCATCATATTGGTCAGGCTGGTCTCGAACTCCTGACCTGAGGTGATCTGCCCACCTCAGCCTCCCAAAGTGTTGGGATTACGGACATGAGCCACCGCGCCTGGCCTACTGGATAACTTTTGTCCTAATTATTCTTCCACTGCTTGTTTGGCCTAGCTCTCTAGGAGGTACCAGAAGTACAGTGGTTCCAATCTGGTCTCAGCCCTTGAGGGACTGTTGAGGGGCATCACAGCAGGGAGGATGCTTGAGGGCTTTCATTACATGCTGCAGCAAAATCTTGGGAAAGGAGATTCACTTGACTGCTGCCTGTGAATTTGTTGGGGGCTGTCCCTAGGCTTAAAACAACTGTCCTGTTGCTTCCTATAGACCAAAATCTTCGAATGCATTGGAAATACGAAAGTAGAGTGTCTCTTGCCCTCCTGGAGTTTGTGATCTAGTTGCTAGTGATGAAGGCAAAGTGGATATTCAGAGAACAGAGTCAGAACTTCATCTGGGATCAGAGGTAGCACTTAAGCTGAACCTTTTGGGGATGTAGGGTGGGACGCATTCCTATTGAAAGCCTGTGAGCATGGCTTTCATGGAGTTGGGAAAGCACAGGGTACTGTGCCCAGGAAACGTGGAGTTTGATACTGGAGAGTTAGAGTTTAACAAAATGGATTGTGTCATAGAGGGCCATGGATACCAGGAAGAGGAATTTGACCTTTATCCTGTAAGCACTGGGTAACATTGAAGGTATTTGAATAGGAGGGTGCGGGGAGTAGGGTTATGCTTCTAGACCTGACAGCATTGTGAAGGATTGGATGCAGGGAACCCAATAGTTCAGGGCATGCAACCCCAGATGATACGGGGCCTGCTTGATCAAAGCCATGATAGGAGGGAGCAGAAGAGGCAAGATTAGCAAGACTTGGCAAATGTCCTGGCAAAGGAGCTATCGGAAGCAGTCACAGAATGATGAGGCATCATCTGAGGAATGGGGAAGATGACAGGGGAAATTAGTTGAGTTTTGAAAACGTGTAATTTCAGAAACAGACGAGGCAGCCAAACCAAGGAACCTCACTCAGTTTCTGGAGAGTTTCCCAAACCTTTTTCTGGGCCCATTCTCGTGTCATCATGACAAGGTGATGAACCTAACCAGTAAAATTCCCACTGCCTCAGAGGATCTCATGCTGGTCTCCAGTGATGACGATAATTTATTATTCCGATTTTATCCCTATAAGGATAGGGATGTTTGTTGCGGCATTTTGTTTCTTTCAGGTTTTTTTTGTTTGTTTTGTTTTGAGATGGAGTCTGGCACTGTCACCAGGCTGGAGTGCAGTGGCACGATCTCAGCTCACTGCAACCTCTGCCTCCTGGGATCAAGCGACTCTCCTGTCAGCCTCCTGAGTAGCTGGGACTACAGGCACGTGCCACCACGCCCAGCTAATTTTTGTATTTTTAGTAGAGATGGGGTTTCACCATTGTTGGACAGGCAGATCTCGATCTCTTGACCTCGTGATCTGCCCGCCTCAGCCTCCCAAAGTGCTGGGATTACAGGCATGAGCCACCGCGCCCGGCACGCCCGGCTAATTTTTGTACTTTTAGTAGAGACAGGGTTTCACCATGTTGGTCAGGCTGGTCGCGAACTCCTGACCTGGTGATCTGCCTGCCTCGGCCTCCCAAAGTGTTGGGATTACAGGCGTGAGCAGCCGCATCAGGCATGTTTATGTAATTTAATAAACTTGCCAGGCCCGGTGTCTCACACCTGTAATCCCAGCACTTTGGGAGGCCGAGGCAGGCGGATCAGGAGGTCAGGAGATAGACACCATCCTGGCTAACATGGTGAAACCCCGTCTCTACTAAAAATACAAAAAATTAGCTGGGTGTGGTGATGGGCGCCTGTAGTCCCAGCTACTCAGGAGGCTGAGGCAGGAGAATGGCGTGAACCCGGGAGGCAGAGCTTGCAGTGAGCCCAGATCGCACCACTGCACTCTGGCCTGGGCGACAGAGCGAGACTCTGTCTCAAAAAAAAAAAAATATTGAAAATTTAATAAACTCGATATCATGAGCATTAAATGTTTAAGGCACATGGATTCTAACCAAATAAGTTCAGCACTGTGTTAATAGTGGCAAGGAAATTCCATGTGTACACAGACAGGACCATTGGTCATGTTTTTCCCAGCAATTTTTGAATGCTTTTGTGTTGGATTCTGAATGAAAAGAGGATAAATCAACAAGAAAGATGGAAACTCTCATCTATTGAATTCTGAATGTGCACTGGAGAAAGAACACTGGGTATTTTCATGTTCATTTTTCATTTTGTTTTCACAGCTTCTTGTGTTCACTATTGCTGGGCCCAATTGCAAATGAGACTAGTATGATGTCCCACCCCCCCGCCCCACCTTATATTTACATTTGGAGTGCCTTCTGCGTAGGCCAAGCACTGTTCTAGCCTCTGGGGATAAAGTATGAACAGCAAGGCTCCCCTCCCATGGAATGTATGTGTTACTTGTAGGACTGGTGTCACAGGGATTAGTCCATGATGATCTCAGTACTGAACACCTGTGAACCAGATAGTGCTTGGTGAGCATCAGTCAGTGCTCACTGTGTAGCAAATCATTCCAAGGGACTCTCCTGCCACCTCTTAGCCATTCACAGTCCAATGAAAGGCCTTGGGTAACCAAAAGGAAGACCCTAAATTTGATTCATTTGCCTACCAGCACCTACTATGAGCGAGTTGCTTTTATCTACATTACATTATCCCATTTTAAAAGATGAAGACCAAAGCTCAGAAGTGGAGTGATTTGGGGCCAGGCGCGGTGGCTCACACCTGTAATCTCAGCACTTTGGAAGGCCGAGGCGGAAGGATCACAAGGTCAAGACATCGAGAGCAACCTGGCTAACACGGTGAAACCCCGTCTCCACTAAAAATACAAAAAAATTAGCCGGGCGTGGTGGCGGGCACCTGTAGTCCCAGCTACTCGGGAGGCTGAGGCAGGAGAAAGGCGTGAACCCAGAAGGCGGAGCTTGCAGTGAGCTGAGATGGCACCCATCATGCACTCCAGCCTGGGCGACAGAGCAAGACTCCGTCTCAAAAAAAAAAAAAAAAGAAGTGATTTGGTCGGGCATGGTGGCTCACGCCTGTAATCTCAGCACTTTGGGAGGCCAAGGAAGGTGGATCACCTGAGGTCAGGAGTTCAAGACCAGCTTGGCCAACATGGTGAAACCCTGTCTACTAAAAATACAAAAATTAGCTGGGCATGGTGCGGGGTGCCTGTAATCCCAGCTACTCGGGAAGCTGAAGCAGGATAATCATTTGAATCCGGGAAGTGGAGGTTGCAGTAAGCTGAAATCCCGCCATTGCACTCCAGCTTGGGCAACAAGAGTGAAACTCCCTCTCAAAAAAAACAAAAAGTGGCCGGGTGCAGTGGCTCATGCCTGTAATCCCAACACTTTGGGAAGCCAAGGCAGGCAGATCACCTGCGGTCAGGAGTTCGTGACCAGCCTGACCAACATGGAGAAACCCCGTCTCTACTAGAAATACAAAATTAGCCAGGCATGGTGGCACATGCCTGTAATCCCAGCTACTCGGGATGCTGAGACAGGAGAACAGCTTGAACCCGGGAGGTGGAGGTTGCGGTGAGCCAAGTTCACACCATTGCACTCCAGCTGGGCAATAAGAGAAACTCCATCTCAAAGAAAAAAAATGAAATTATTTAATCAATGTAGCACCGCTAGTGACAATGTGGGATACATCTCTAGATTTTTCTGATTCTCTCCTAAAATGTCATTATTTGTGATAGTTACAGGAAGACATTTGAAGTCTTACAAGTGAGTTAATAACAGCTAAGATTTGAACCCAGATTGAAGTCAAGGCAGGATTTCTACAGGACAGAGTCTGCTTTCTTCAAGAAAAATATCTTCAAGTTGCTGCAGAACAATGCCACTAGCCCACTGCTGTAAGTATGTTTTAATTGTTACATCATCATCTGATCAAGACTCAAAGGTCTGCCTGGGAGTACCGGAAGAGTGAAGAGAAGGAGGTTGGCTCAATTTAATTTCCTCAGTGGAAAACGATGCATTAATACTGCACTGTTTGTGTGAAAATGTACACAATAGGAAATTTCCCAAAAATAGGAAGCAGCCAGAGAAATACAAAAGTCCACTATAATCTACCCTTTTGGGTGCTCAAAATCTACACATACCCTTCTCCCCATAATTATCCACCTGGCCCCCAAAATGCAAGACAAAAAGAGGAACAAAGAACAATGAAAACAGTAACAAATGTAAATATTAGGCTATTTCTTTCATGGCTAAATGTCAATGGCCTAAATAAAAGACTGTCAGAGTAGGGTTTGTTTTTTGTTTGTTTGTTTGTTTTTATGAGTTGGAGCCTTGCTCTGTCGCTCCCAGCCTGCAGTGCAGTGGCAGGATCTCGGCTCACTGCAACCTCCGCCTCCTGGATTCAAGCAATTCTCTTGCCTCAGCCTCCCAAGTAGCTGGGATTACAGAGGCCTGCCAACATGCCCAGCTAATTTTTTTGTATTTTTAGTAGAGACGGGGTTTCACCAGGTTGGTCAGGCTGGTCTCGAACCCTGACCTCAGCTAATCCGCCTGCCTCGGCCTCCCAAAGCGCTGGGATTACTGCTGTGGGCCACCGTGCCTGGCTAGAGTAGATTTTGATAAGCAAGACCCGGCGTGGCGTGGTGGCTCAAACCTGTAATCCCAACACTTTGGGAGGCTGAGATGGGCAGATCATGAGGTCAGGAGATCAAGACCATCCTGGCTAACACGGTGAAACCCCGTCTCTACTAGAAACACAAAAAATTAGCTGGGCATGGTGGCCTGAAGGTTTTACTTTTAAAAAGTAAAAACCCACTTGTACACAGACATGGACCGAAAGTAAGGGGCTAGAGAAAGACATACCATGAAGATAATCAAAAGAAACTTGGAAGGGCCTGGGGCGCGGTGACTCACGCCTGTAATCCCAGCACTTTGGGAGGCTGAGGCGGACAGATCACCAGGTCAGGAGTTCAAGACCAGCCTGGCCAACATAGTGAAACCCCATCTCTACTAAAAATACAAAAATTAGCCTGGTGTGGTGGTAGGCACCTGTAATCACAGCTACTCTTGAGGCTGAGGCAGGAGAATTGCTTGAACCTGGGGGGTGGGGGTTGCAGTGAGCCGAGATAGCGCCACTGCACTCCAGTCAGGGTGACAGAAAGACTCGTCTTGAGAAAAAAGAAAAAAAAAGAGCCGGGCACAGTGGCTCATGCCTGTAATGCCAGCACTTTGGGAGGCCAAGGCAGGTGGATCACGAGGTCAGGAGATCGAGGCCATCCTGGCTAACACAGTGAAACCCCGTCTCTACTAAAAATACAAAAAAGTAGCTAGGCAGGGTAGTGGTCGCCTGTAGTCCCAGCTACTCGGGAGGCTGAGGCAGGAGAATGGCATGAACCCGGAAGGCAGAGGTTGCAATGAGCCGAGATCATGCCACTGCACTCCAGCCTGGGCGACAGAGCAAGACTCCGTCTCAAAAAAAAAAAAAAAAAAAAGAAACTTGGAGTAGCTATATTTCAGACAAAGCCAATTCAGAGGAAGGAAAATTGCCAGGAATAGAGTGGCATTACATAATGGTAGAGGGGTCAGTTCTCTAAGAAGATAGAAAAATCGCCAGGCCCAGTGGCTCACACCTATAATCCCAGCACTTTGGGAGGCCGAGGTGGGTGGATCACCTGAGGTCAGGAGTTCAAGACCAGCCTGACCAACATGGTGAAACCCCGTCTCTACTAAAAACACAAAAATTAGCCAAATGTGGTGGCACAGGCCTGTAATCCCAGCTATTTGGGAGGCTGAGGCATGAGAATCACTTGGACCCAGGAGGCAGAAGTTGCAGTGAGCCCAGATCACGCCACCACACTCCAGCTTGGGTGACACAGTGAGACTCAGTCTCGGAAAAAAAAAAAGATACGAAAATCTTCAATTAGCTTATGTGCCTACAGCAAAGCATCAAATGTGTGAGGCAAAAACAGACTAGCAAGAAGAAAGACATTCACTGGTGCAGGCAGAAAATTAGTAAGGACATAGTTGAACTGAACAGTGCCGTAAACCAACTAGAATCTTTTTTTTTTTTTTTTTTGGAGACAGAGTCTCACTCTGTCGCCCAGGCTGAAGTTCAGTAGCGTGATCTCAGCTCACTTCAACCTCCAACTCCTGGTTCAAACGATTCTCCAGCCTCAGCCTCCCAAGTAGCTGGGACTACAGGCACCCGCCACCACCCCAGCTAATTTTTGGGTTTTTTTGTTTGTTTGTTTTTGTTTTCATTTTTTTGAGACAGAGTCTTGCTCTGTCGCCCAGGCTGGAGTGCAGTGGCGCGATCTCGCTCACTGCAAACTCTGCCTCCCAGGTTCACGCCATTCTCCTGCCTCAGCCTCCCGAGTAGCTGGGGTTACAGGTGCCCGCCACCACACCCGGCTAATTTTTTGTATTTTTAGTAGAGACGGGGTTTCACCGTGTTAGCCAGGATGGTCTCGATCTCCTGATCTCATGATCCGCCCACCTCGGCCTCCCAAAGTGCTGGGATTACAGGCGTGAGCCACCACACCCGGCCCAATTTTTGTATTTTTCTTAGAGATAGGGTTTCACCATGTTGGCCAGCATGGTCTCGAGCTCCTGACCTCAAGTGATCTGCCTGCCTTGGCTTCCCAAAGTGCTGGGATTACAGGCGTGAGCCACCTCTCCTGGCAACCAGCTAGATGATTGACATTTATAAAATACTTCATCTGTTGCTGCGTGTGGTGGCTCATGCCTGTAATCCCAGCACTTTGGGAGGCCAAGGCAGGCAGATCAAGAGGTCAGGAGTTTGAGACCAGCTTGGCCAGCATAGTGAAACCCCATCTCTACTAAAAATACAAAAATTAGCCGGGTGTGGTGGCACGTGCCTGTAGTCCCAGCTACTTGGGAGGCTGAAGCAGGAGAAATGCTTGAACCCTGGAGGCAGACGTTGCAGCAAACCAAGATTGCGCCACTGCACTCCAGCCTGGGCGACAAAGCGAGACTCTGTCTCAGAAAAAAAAAACAGATAATTTCCTCCTAAGGTAGGAACAAGGCAAGGGTTGTCATTTCTTATCCTCCTATTCAACATCATAGTGGAAGTCCTAGCTAGTGCAATAAAACAAGAAAAGGGAAAGCAGGTATACACATTGGAAAGGAATAAATAAAATTGTCTTTGTTTATGGAAAACATGATCATCTTTGTAGAAAATCCCAAAGAGGCTGGGCTCTGTCACTCACACCTGTAATCACAGCACTTTGGGAAGTTGAGGCAGGCTGATTGCTTGAGCCCACGTGTTTGAGACCAGCCTGGGCAACATGGTGAGGCCCCATTTCTATAAAAAATACAAAAATTAGCCGGGCTTGGTAACACCCACCTGTAATTCCAGCTACTCAGGATGTGGAGGTGGGAGGATCTCTTGAGCCCAGGAGATTGAAGCTGCAGTAAGCCGAGATCACGCCAGTATACTCCAGCCTGGGTGACAGAAGGAAACCTTGTCTCAAAAAAAAAAAAAAAGGAAAAATTGCACACATAAGAGGAGTGAAAGAGAAGCAAACCCAGCACTTGCACCTCTTGGTATAGACCTACTAGAAGTGTGTAGGCCAGGTTGGGCACAAATGACTCGAGCACAACATATCCTGACCACCAAAACCAAAAACAACCTGTAAGTCTTTTCAACAGTAGAATGGACAATTGTGGGCTGGGTGCAGTGCCTCACGCCTATAATCCCAGCACTTTGGGAGGCCGAAGCGGGTGGATCACCTGAGGTCAGGAGTTCGAGACCAGCCTGGCCAACATGGAGAAATCCTGTCTCTCCTAAAAAATACAAAAATTAGCCGGGCGTGGTGGTGCATGCCTGTAATCCCAGCTACTCAGGAGGTTGAGACAGGAGAATCGCTCGAATCCGGGAGGCGGAAGTTGCGGTGAGCCAAGATCGTGCCATTGCACTCCAGTCTGGGCAAGAAGATTGAAACTCCATCTCAAAAAAAATAAAGGCTGGGCACGGTGGCTCACGCCTGTAATCCCAGCACTTTGGGAGGCTGAGGCGGGTGGATTGCCTGAGGTCAGGAGATCGAGACCATCTTGGCTAACACAGTGAAACCCCGTCTCTACTAAAAATACAAAATTAGCCGGGTGTGGTGGCAGGCACCTGTAGTCCCAGCTACTAGGGAGGCTGAGGCAGGAGAATGGCAGGAACCCAGGAGGCGGAGGTTGCAGTGAGCCAAGATCACACCACTGCACTCCAGCCTGGGCAACAGAGCGAGACTCTGTCTCAAAAAAAAAAAAAAAAAAAAAAAAGGACAATTGTGGTGTATTTATATAACAAAGTGCTATGTATTATAGCAATGGAAATGAACAAACTTCAGGTACATGAAGGAACATGGGTGAATTTCACAAACAAGAAGCCAGACACAAGCATAGCTCCACACACAGAAATTTCAAACAGGCAAAACTATATGACAGCTGTTTAAAAAACTAAATGAGGGGCCGGGCACAGTGGCTCACACCTGTAATCTCAGTGCTTTGGGAGGCCAAGGCTAGAGGATCACTTGAGACCAGGAGTTCTAGACCAGCCTGGGCAACAAAGCAAGACACAGTCTCACTTTTTCTTTTCTTCTTTTCTTTTCTTTCCTTTTTCCTTTCCTTTCCTTTTTTTCTTTTGTTTTTTCCTTTTTTTTGACAGTCTTTCTTTATCACTCAGGCTGGAGTGCAGAGGTGTGATCTCACCTCACTCCAATCTCTGCCTCCCGGGTTCAGGCTATCCTCCCATTTTAGCCTCCTGAGTAGCTGGGACTACAGGCGCCCGCCACCACGCCCGGCTAATTGTATTTTTAGTAGAGATGGGGTTTCACTATGTTGCCCAGGCTGGTCTCCAACTCCTCAACTCAAGTCATCTACCTGCCTCAGCCTCCCAAAGTGCTGGGATTACAGGCGTGAGCCAACAGGCTCGGCCAAGACCCTGTTTCTTAAAACTAAACTGTGGTATTAGAATCAGAATAGCACACACTTCTGGATAGAGGGAAGAGGTGGCACTTGGAAAGGGACATGGCGGGGGCTTTCTGGGGGTGCTGGCAGTGTTCTAGTCTTTGCCTGGTGGGGTTCATACCAGGCATTTGCTTCATGATAGTTTAATCAGCCAGACCAGGCAGGCGGATCACCTGAGGTCTGAGTTTGAGACCAGCCTGGCCAACATGGCCAAACCCCATCTGTACTAAAAATACAAACATTAGCCGGGCATGGTGGCGGGCACCTGTAATCCCAGCTACTTGGGAGGCTGAGGCAGGAGAATTGCTTGAACTCAGGAGGCAGAGGTTGCAGTGAGCCTAGATGGCGCCACTGCACTCCAGCCTGGGCAACAAAGCAAGGCTCCATCTCAAAAAATAATAATAATAAAAATATCAGCTGAACGTTCAAGTTTTTTTTTTTTTTTTTTTTTTTTTTTGAGACGGAGTCTCGCTCTGTCACCCAGGCTGGAGTGCAGTGGCGCGATCTCAGCTCACTGCAAACTCCGCTTCCCGGGTTCACGCCATTATCCTGCCTCAGCCTCCTGAGTAGCTGGGACTACAGGCGCCCGCCACCGCACCCGGCTAATTTTTTGTATTTTTAGTAGAGACGGGGTTTCACCGTGGTCTCGATCTCCTGACCTCGTGATCCGCCTGCCTCGGCCTCCCAAAGTGCTGGGATTACAGGCGTGAGCCACCACGCCCGGCCCTGAACATTCAAGTTTTATGTAATTTCCTGGAGGTGTATTATATTCACAATAAAAAGGGTTCCAAAGTGGGGTACAGTGGTGCATTCCTGTAGTCAGAACAACACAGGAGACTGAGACAGGAGGATCGCTTGAGCCCACCTCGGCCTCCCAAAGTGCTGGATTACAGGTGTGAGCCACCGTGCCCGGCCCTTTTTTTTTTTTTTTATCAGATAGAATATTTGTCCTTAATTCACACTTTCCAGGAAACCCTGATGTTTCTTAGAGAGTCTATGAAGAACTCTGGGATAGTCCTAAGGAAATGCAAATTAGGACAACCCCGCGGTATCGCGTTACACCTGGTATCTATTATGAAACCCAGCGCACAGCCAGGCTGTGACCGTGAACTCCACTCCCACACTGCTGCGGCGGCCAGAAATCACTGGCAGGAGCTGCATGAGAACTCCCACTCCTGGGCATCTATCCTGAGGTGACAACTCAAAGAAAAGTGCTCCAAGTACAAAGGTGTTTAAACTGGTGTTATTTATAACAGCAAGAAAAGTGGAAACCATCCAAGCCTGACACCAGGGCGGGCTGGTGGATCCCCCAGGGTGCCACTCCACAGCCACCGGGGTTCACGCACAGCAATTACTTTTCCCTACTCCTGAATTTACTTCCAACCGCACATACACCAGCAACTACAACGTAGACAACAAAACATTGTCGCTTAGCCACCACCAAATTGGACTGTAGATTCTTTTTTTTTTTTAGATGGAATTTCGCTCTTGTTGCCCAGGCTGGAGTGCAGTGGTGTGATCTCGGCTCACTGCAACCTCTGCCTCCTGGGTTCAGGTGATTCTCCTGCCTCAGCCTCCAAAGTAGCTAGGATTACAGGCGCCCGCCACCACGCCCAGCTAATTTTTTTTTTTTTTTTTTTTTTTAGTAGAGATGGGGTTTTACCATGTTGGTCAGGCTGGTCTTGAACATCTGACCTCAGGTGATTCACCTGCCTTGGCCTCCCAAAGTGTTGGGATTACAGGCGTCAGCCACCGCGCCCGGCCTGTAGATTCTTTCAATGATCTTTTATTCATGTTAATTTTTCCTCTCAAGCATCTCTTGGCAAGAGGAATTAGCAAAGAGGTTTGAAAGGTCTCTAGGGGCATCGTTGGCAGTTCTCCCAAACCAGAAATTTTCGAGGACCAAGTGATGTTGCAGAAGCATGTTGAACAAGCACTTCAGGCAGGGGGTTTCGCCTCAGTGATCAGAGGTGCTGGCGTCCCTGGGAAGAAAACCTTCAAGACCTCCAACCATCTGAGGACATTTTCTCCACATCCTTTTGGCTGTCTCTCCTGACTGTATATTACAGACATAAAATGTCTTTCAAAATATCTGTAGAAGACCAAACAAAGGATCTAACATGGACTGTGCACCGAGCACACGCCAGGCGTGAGTCGGGAGTTTCACACATTGAGTTGAGTGCAGGTGAGGACACTGGAGATTCTAGGAGTGGTATGGCTGTCTCTATTTTCTTGCTGTGTGACCTTGAACAAGCTACTTAAACTCTCTGGGCCATTGCTTCCTCACCTGTAAAATGGGAATAATTCATACCTTTACCTCCCAGCTCTGTGTAGAGAGGGCTCTGGAGTCAGATGATTTGGCCTGTAGTCCTGATGCTGCCCCATACTCTGTGTGACTTTAGCAGGGGGTCATTTCACCCCCGAGGCTGGAAGCAGAAGGTAGCTCTGTACCTGCTTCACCTGCAGGAGGTAAGGCCAGTGGCTTTGTGCAGGGCTGGCTTAGAGAGAGCGGGTGACAACTCCTGCCTGCTCCAGGCTGCCCAAGTGCCTTTCCTGCCCCTTTCAGGTTCATCCACACCAGCTCCTCCACTGCCACTGCCTCCTGAGGTCCCCAGCTCCCTCCTCAGAGCCTTGACACTGGAGATGGAGGTATCACCTTGGGGACCCCGACTGCAGCCTGCCACCTCCTTGGTCGCCTCCTCTGTAAAATGACCCGCCAAGCTACACTGATGCACAGGCCACCGTGCATGTGGGGGCAGCTGGCTGCTTTCTGAGCCTCCCAGGAAGGGGCTGGTAAATGAGGGGGCTCCCTGGGCCTCTTGTCCCCCTTTGCAATGGCAAAGCAGTGATCACAAATGTCCAAAAACATGTGACCTGATAAAGAAGCAAACTTCTAAAGGCCTGGGCTGGACACTCACCTAAGAAGCAAGGCCAGGCAAGCTCCTGCCGTGGAGGGTGCAGCCCACCGTGGCAGCTCGTCTAGGGCCAGATTGGGCTTAGACTCAGGAAGTCCTGGGTTGGAGCCCGGCTCTAACATTTCCCCTCGGGTTAAGTCCTTTTGTATGTCGGAGCCTCCGTGTCCTGTCCGTGGGGCAGGGACAAAGGCAGTGCTGCCCTCACTGGGCGTTAGAGGAGTACCCGGGACCTTGTTGGAGCCGCACCTAGCAGGGTAAATTTGACTCGATTCCCACGCCACGCTCCGATCGGGCTTGGCGCCATGCGGTTTAGCCACAGCGTTTTGTGGGTCCCCACCCCGACCGCTCCCAGGGGTTTTCTTTCTGTCGCAGGCCACGGACTGTTTGCAAGAGGGCGCATCCTTGAATCCTGAGGCCCAGAGGGGAACACGTGAGCGCCCAGGGTCCCCGAGTGTGGAGGCAGCGGAGAGCCGGGCGGGGTGCCTGCTTCCCTTCGCTGAACGCGGCGGGGCGCGGCCTCACGGCCAGGGGTTGGTCCGGGCCTCGGGAGGAGCCCATTCGCCGCCTCCCGCCTCCGCCGCCTGTCCTTGGGCCTCGCTGCCTCCCCCGGCCCTGGAGACCGGGGTCGCCCCCTCCACCTGGGGCCTGCCCTGCAGGATTCTCACCGGGAATCCCAGAGGTCCAGCCTCTGCTTTCCTTCCCAGCGACGCGCAGCTCAGTATCTCACCAGCAGTGCGATTTGTCACCAAATGGAAGAGCCGTGTCCCCGTGGTGTCTGTGGCAAAGACTCCGAGTTGTCTCCCACATGGCCACGCACCCTACTTGAGAAAAAGGGCGTGCTGGATGAGCGTTCTGGGTGTGCATTCGGTGCCTTGCAATGGTCTGCAGACTCGGGAGAGGGAACAGCAAGTGTCTTCAACCACCAAACAGGGAGAGTGCCACACCCGAGGGAGGGCAGAGCAACAGGAAGGAGAGGGCCAGGGCCTCCCTGCCCACTCGGGACAGCTACTGCTCCAGCTGCAAGCGAAGACTAACTCCCCTCTCTCTTGCTCTAGCAAGAACCCGCTCTCAAACTACTCTGGCAGCATGAGCCAGGCCCATTGTTCTGTAACTGGCAATCATCCCATTTCCAACTATTTAACAAGAGCTTACTACGGCCTCGAGTACCAGGCTGTTGGCAGTGGGTTACACTGGAGTAACAAGTCACTCCAATCACAGTGTTGCACGGTGCACGCAGTTTCCCTCCCTCCCTCCCTCCCTTCTTCCTCCTCTTCTCTTTCTTCTTTCTTTCCCTTTTTCTTTCTCCTTCCTTTTTTCCTTCCTTCCTTCCTTCCTTTCTTCTTTCCTTCTCCTCTCCTTTCTCTTTCTTTTTTTTTTCTTTTTCTTTTTTTTTTTTTGAGACAGAGTCTTGCTCTGTCACCCAGGCTGGAGTGCAGTGGCACAATCTCGGCTCACTGCAACCTCCGCCTCCTGGGTTCAAGCGATTCTTCTGCCTCAGCCTCCCGAGTAGCTGGGACTACAGGCACCCGCCACCACGCCCGGCTAATTTTTTGTATTTTAGTAGAGACGGGGTTTCACCATGTTGCCCAGGCTGGTCTCGAACTCCTGACCTCGTGATCCAACCGCCTCGGCCTCCCAAAGTGCTGGGATTACAGGCATAAGCCACTGCGCCCGGCCTTTCTCTTTCTTTCTTCCTTCCTTCCTTTTCTTTCTTTTCTTCTTTCTTTCTCCTTCCTTTCTTCCTTCCCTTCCTCCCTCCCTCCTTTCTTTCTTTACTTTTTTTTTTCTTTTCTTTCTTTTCTTTTTCTTTTCTTTTTTTTTTTTTTTTTTTGAGACGGAGTCCCTCTGTTGCCCAGGCTGGAGTGCACTGGCACGATCTTGGCTTACTGCAACCTCTGCTTTCCGGTTCTGGCAATTCTCCTGCCTCAGCCTCCCGAGTAGCTGGCACTACAGGCATGCGCCATCATGCCCGGCTAATTTTTTTTTTAATTTTTAGTAGAGACAGGGTTTCACCATGTTGGCCAGGCTAGTCTCAAACTCCTGACCTCAGGTGATCCACCCGCCTTGGCCTCTCGAAGTGTTGGGATTACAGCCATGAGCCACTGGGCCCGGCCCCTCCCTCCCTCCCTCCCTCCCTTTCTTTCTTTTTCTTTCATTTTCTTTCTTTATGTTTCAGAGACAGGGCTTTGCTATGTTGCCCACGCTGGTCTTGAACGTGTGGCCTCAAACTATCTACCCGCCTCAGCCTTCCAAAGTGCTGGGAGTACAGGTGTGAGCCACCATGCCCAGCCAAACACACATTTCTTGGTGTCAGCCAGGGCTGGCTGTTGCCCTGCTCCCCCTCTAAGGCACACCTTCCAACACAACAGTGCTTTTTTCTTAATTTACAGTGGCAGCGGTGGTGCGGGGGAGGGCATATATGTAATTTCCTCAATGGAGGCTTCTCCTACCCCATGTGCCTTGCTGTGACCTGTGACCTATAAGCCCTCCCAAAGGGAGAAGTGAGAAGCAGATCTTCATAGGACCCTCCAGCCTCACTCTTCTGCTGGACACACGGGTGGCAGGTGAGTGCCCACAGTCCCACTTCCAGCCAGCAGCCCTACTTCAAGCCCTTGGATCACCCAACTCCCAAGGTCCAGCCTGCGCACTCCCTAGGCTGCCAGTCACTTGCAGGGACCCCCATCACCACCTCCCAGGCTTCTGAGAGAATCCACGTGTCCAGCCTGTCCAGGCTTCCTGACCCTGTTCTCTCCCTCCCTCTAGTCCTTAGCTGATTGGACTGGAGATAGATGTCTGATCCAGGCTGAGTCCACTGGAACATTCAATAATTTGAAAAAGCTGGGAGCGGTGGCTCACATCTGTAATTCCAACACTCTGGGAGACTGAGGTGGGAGGATCGCTGGAGGCCAGGAGTTTGGGCAACATGGTGAGATCCTGTCTCTAGAAAAAAATACAAAAGTTAGCTGGGTGTGGTGGTACATGGCTGAGGTCTTAGCTACTCTGACTGATGTCAGAGAATCGCTTGAGCCCAGGAGGTTGAGGCAGCAGTGAGCTGTGATTGCACCACTGCACTCCAGCCTGGGTGACAGAGCAAGACCCTGTCTTAAAAAAAAAAAAAAAGAATTTGAAAAAGGCCACAGATATGAGGTAGAACATCAGAGCTCAGTTAATAGAAGCAGAAATAATAACAATAACAATAAAGGCAGCTAAGGTTTATCCGGCACCTCTGGCAGGGCTCAGCGATCTCTGACGACCCTCTGAGATGGGTAATTGGCAGGTAGTCTTGAGAGGTGACAGCATGCTGGCAGTCCTCACAGCCCTCGCTCGCTCTGGGCGCCTCCTCTGCCTGGGCTCCCACTTTGGCGGCACTTGAGGAGCCCTTCAGCCCGCCGCTGCACTGTGGGAGCCCCTTTCTGGGCTGGCCAAGGCCGGAGCCGGCTCCCTCAGCTTGCGGGGAGGTGTGGAGGGAGAGGCGCGGGCGGGAACCCGGGCTGCGCGCGGTGCTTGCCGGCCAGCGCGAGTTCCGGGTGGGCGTGAGCTCGGCAGGCCCCGCTGGCTCTGGGCAGTGAGGGGCTTAGCACCTGGGCCAGCAGCTGCTGTGCTCAATTTCTCGCCGGGCCTTAGCTGCCTTCCCTCCGGGCAGGGCTCGGGACCTGCAGCCCGCCATGCCTGAGCATCCCCCCTCCCTCTGTGGGCTCCTGTGCGGCCCTAGCCTCCCCGACGAGCGCCGCCCCCTGCTCCACGGCGCCCAGTCCCATTGACCACCCAAGGGCTGAGGAGTGCGGGCACAGGGCACGGGACTGGCAGGCAGCTCAACCTGTGGCCCCGGTGTGGGATCCACTGGGTGAAGCCAGCTGGGCTCCTGAGTCTGGTGGGGACTTGGAGAACCTTTATGTCTAGCTAAGGGATTGTAAATACACCAATCGGCACTCTGTATCTAGCTCAAGGTTTGTAAACACACCAATCAGCACCCTGTGTCTAGCTCAGGGTTTGTGAATGCACCAATGGACACTCTGTATCTAGCTACTCTAGTGGGAACTTGGAGAACCTTTGTGTCCACACTCTGCATCTAGCTAATCTGGTGGGGACGTGGAGAACCTTTGTGTCTAGCTCAGGGATTGTAAACGCACCAATCAGCGCCCTGTCAAAACAGACTGCTGGGCACTCTGTAAAATGGACCAATCAGCAGGATGTGGGTGGGGCCAGATAAGAGGATAAAAGCAGGCTGCCTGAGCCAGCAGTGGCAATCCTCTGGGGTCTCCATAGCAATCCTGTGGGGTCTCCATACATATTGTGGAAAATTTGTTCTTTTGCTCTTTGCAGTAAATCTTGCTGCTGCTCACTCTTTGGGTCCACACTGCCTTTATGAGCTGTAACACTCACGGGGAAGGTCTGCAGCTTCACTCCTAAAGCCAGCGAGACCACCAACCCACCAGGAGGAGCGAACAACTCTAGACGCGCCGCCTTAAGAGCTGTAACACTCACCACGAAGGTTTGCAGCTTCACTCCTGAGCCGGGAAGACCACGAACCCCACCAGAAGGAAGAAACTCCGAACACATCCGAACATCAGAAGGAAAAAACTCCGGACACGCCGCCTTTAAGAACTGTAACACTCACCACGAGGGTCCACGGCTTCATTCTTGAAGTCAGTGAGACCAAGAACCCACCAATTCCGGACACAGTTTGAGGCAGAAACAGGCCAGAGAAGTGAAGCGTCTGCCTGAGGTTATGGGGGCATGCCTCCTGAAGCAGTCAGCTGTGGCTTCTTCCACTTTTGGTGGATGAGTCTTCACCCCAACCCCTGAGGCATCTGGATAGGGCCCAGGGCTGCTTCCTTTCTGGTCCCTAACAGCCAGCCCAGAGGATGTGGCTGAAGAGATGCAATCAGTAGCCTCAGTCTCACACTCTACAGGGGGGAGAAGCGAGCACCAGCTGAAGGCCAGAAAAGCCATCCCTCAACTGTGCTGTGTTTGCTGCTACCAGAGCTGAGGGGTTTGATCCTAATAGCCCTCCATAGAGGAGGAAACAGAGGCATAAAGAAGTAAACTGGCATCCGGGCGTGGTGGCTTATGCCTGTAATTCCAGCACTTTGGGAGGCCGAGGAGGGGAGATCCCAGCACTTCGGGAGGCTGAGGCAGGAGAATTGCTCAAACCTGGGAGGAGGAGGTTTCAGTGAGCCAAGACAGTGCCATCGCACTCCAGTATAGGCAACAAGAGCAAAACTCCATCTCAAAAACAAACAAGTAGTCTGGACCAGGTGCGGTGGCTCACACCTGTAATCCCAGCACTTTGGGAGGCCAAGGTGGGTGGATCACATGAGGTCAGGAGATCGAGACTAGCCTGGCCAACATGGTGAAACCCTGTCTCTGCTAAAAATGCAAAAATTACCTGGGCGTGGTGGCACATGCCTGTAATTCCAGCTACTCGGGAGGCTGAGGTAGGAGAATGCTTGAAATCAGGAGGTGGAGGTTGCAGTGAGCCGAGATCACGCCATTGCACTCCAGCCTGGGCAACGAGTGAAATTCCATCTCAAAACAACAACAACAAAAACTACACCAGGTGTGGTGGCTCACACCTGTAATCCCAGCATTTTGGGAGGCTGAGGTGGGTGGATCACCTGAGGTCAGGAGTTCGAGACCAGCCTGACCAACACGGTGAAACCCTGTCTCTACTAAAAATACAGAAATAGCTGGGCATGGTGGCCCATGCCTGTAATCCCAGCTACTCAGGAGGCTGTGACGGGAATCGCTTGAACCTGAGAGGCGGAGGTTGCAGTGAGCTGAGATCGTGAGCGCAGTGAGCTGCACTCCAGCCTGGGTAACAGAGCGAGACTCCATTTCAAAAAAACCCAAAACGAAACAACAACCCCACCACACCTGCTTCTGACCTTGGCTCTGCCACTGACCAGCTGTGTGACCACAGACAGGGCCGGACCTGGTGAAGCTGTTTCCACATGTGTGATACAGGTGAGTGCTGTGCCAGGCTCACAGGAGTGTCTTGTACTCTGAAGTGATGGGTACAAAGGTCCTGGTAGCCAGGGCAGCTCGGTGAGATGGTGCTGTTCCTACTGTTATCCCTCCACCAAAGGACTCAGGCAGGAGGCTGGCATCACCCTGTCCCACAGGAGGGTCTCATCTCCTTGACCTTCCCAGCTTTACCCAGGCTCTGCCTCTGCGTCTTCTCTGGGCTACAGAAAGCCATGGAAATGGGGAGCTCATTCTCCCTCAGGCTTCTCCAGGAGCCCAGATTCACCCAAGTCAGAGGTTTTATGCAGTGGGAGATGGATTTGGGGTTCACATTTCAGGACCATTGCCCTCTAAGATCCTGAGTCCCAAATAGGACTTTGTGACCATGGGGCTTGAAGCCCAACTCCACCATTCCTTAGCTGGGTCACCCTGGGCAAGTCATTGCCCCTCTCTGGGTATTGATTCTGCCCTTATATAATGGGGCATTGAGACCGGGATTCTGGATTCTACTTTCCAATCATCTCTCCCTGAATTGCAAGCCAGTCCTACCTGCAAAGGGCTCATGACAGAGGCAGGGGTGGCAAGAAGGGCTGGGACTTGCCCAGCACCCAGCGGACGACTCAGCAGCAACAGCAAAACCAGGCTATGCTCTCCCCTTTGAAGCTGGGCTCCAAATTCTTAGTTGAGGCTGTGGTGTCTCTGGATAGGAGCCGTAAGGCACAGTGTCCAGAGACCACCTTAGCAGCAGGCTGTGTCCTCTGAGCCCTTCCAGCCACCCTGAGACAACGACTGGAGCCCAGGCAGCCCAGATGGGATGTTCCTAAAGTGGGGATGAGAGAAAATGAATTTGCAGGCCCCACTGTTCCATGGCCCGGAGAGGGACGGACATGCAGG
This sequence comes from Homo sapiens, assembly GCF_000001405.40. NCBI lineage: Eukaryota > Metazoa > Chordata > Mammalia > Primates > Hominidae > Homo > Homo sapiens. The sequence goes on along the minus strand of NC_000001.11, from coordinate 29,128,065 downwards.
AGGCAACAGCCATTCCTTCTGCGAGGTGGCTTCTGGAGAGGACACGGAGCCTCAGGTTGGCAGGGGCTTCGGGGTCACTGAATCAGGTTTCCTGTTTCCACAGAGAAGGTTAGGGGAGAAATGTTCATCCCCTGGTCCCCAGGGGACATCTCATCCAGGCCTTCCAAGTTCAGAAGTGGAGTCCAGGTCACACAGATGCCAGGGCAGATTCAGGAAGGGTCCTGGCCTCATGGGAGCAATCAGTGTCCCAATATTGAGGCCACTAGCAGCCCACACATCTGCACATTCACAGGGCCTAACCAAGCAGTCCTGGGGAGGGTCCCTCCAAAGAGAAGTGGGCACTGATCAGCCTGGCTGTGCCTGTGGGCAGGTCGCTTTGCCTCTTCCAAACCACATATGTGAACTGGGCATAGCACTGACCTCCTGGAGCTCTCAAGAGAATTAAACAGGACATCTGGGAAAGGGGGCCCTTCCCTCCTCTGCCACCCCAGTGACCCCAGGGAAGGTTTCTACCCACCCCAAACACTACCCTCTGTACCTGAAACGTCATGATCAGAAGAGGGAGAGGTGTTTGCTGGAACCCACTTTGTGCCAGGCACTCAACATGTGAACCCTTTCTTAAATTTTTTTTTTTTTTTTGAGACCGAGTCTCACTTTGTCACCCAGGCTGGAGTGCAGTGGTGCCATCTCGGCTCACTGCAACCTCCGCCTCCTGGGTTCAAGCCTATATACCTCTTCTCTAAATCCTCTCAGGGTCCATAGAATCCTTTCCTGGACACTAAGTCTCCTTTGAAGAACTCATTTGTTTCCTTATTTGGTCATCTTTCTATTATACAAGCTTTTTTTTTTTTTTTCCTTTTTAGACAGAGTCCGCTCTGTCACCCAGGCTGGAGTGCAGTGGTACCATCTTGGCTAACTGCAACCTCCACCTCCTGGGTTCAAGTGATTCTCCCACCTCAGCCTCCTGAGTAGCTGGAATTACAGGAACCCACCACCGCGCCCAGCTAATTTTTTTTTTTTTTTTTTTTTTTTGAGACACAGTCTCGCTCTGTCGCCCAGGCTGGAGTGCAGTGGCACGATCTCAGCTCACTGCAAGCTCCGCCTCCCAGGTTCACGCCATTCTCCTGCCTCAGCCTCCCGAATAGCTGAGACTACAGGCGCCCACCACTGTACCCGGCTAATTTTTTGTATTTTTTAGTAGAGACGGGGTTTTACCGTGTTAGCCAGGATGGTCTCGATCTCCTGACCTCATGATCCGCCCACCTCAGCCTCCCAAAGTATTGGGATTACAGGTGTGAGCCACCGCACCCGGCTAATTTTTGTATTTTTAGTAGAGATGAGGTTTTACCATTTGGCCAGGCTGGTCTCGAACTCCTGACCTCAAGTCATCCTCCCATCTCGGCCTCCCAAAGTGCTGGGATTACAGGCATGAGCCACCAGGCCCAGCTTCTTTAAAAAAATTTTGAAACAGGATCTCACTCTGTCACCCAGGCTTTGCAATCATGGTTCACTATAGCCTCAAACTCCTGGGGTCAAGAGATCCTCCTGCCTCAGTCGCCCGAGTAGCTGGGACTATAGGCATGCGCCACAGTACCTGGCTAATTTTTAAATTTTTTTGTAGAGACAGGGTCTTGCTATGTTGCCCAGGCTGGTCTTGAACGCCTAGGCTCCAGTGATCCTCCCTCCTCAGCCTCTCAAAGTGCTGGGATTACAAGTGTGAGCCACCGCACCCGGCCACAGGTGAACTGTTATTTAACCTTCAAAACAACACTGTGGGGTAGGTATTATTTCTCCCTTTTTACAAATGAGGAGCCTGAGACAGAGAGGAGTCCTTTCTTTCTCCTGCTGTCTGGGCCAGGGCACCTGGCATGGAGATCAGGAAGGTATTCGGGCTGAAGGAGACACAGGCCTGCACACCCTCCTCTAATGGGGATGGCCAGCTGTGGGCAGACACTGTGCTGGGCACAGGGCTCCAGGGATGAGCAAGACAGACCTAGTCCTGCCCCCTCAGAGTCATGGCCAGTGGGGACACAGACAGGAAACAGACTCCACTCCCAGTGGGTTCAGTTTGCAGGTGCACAGGGAAGCTGCTGGTGTTGTGAGGGTGTACAACAGAGCAGGAGAGCGGGTACTGACCTGGTCTGGGGGCTGGGGGAAGGCCCAGGGTCTGAAGGATGTGTAGAAGGTGGCAAGGGCACGACCAGGGGGTAAGTGTTCCTGCCGGAAAGCAAGGACCAACCAAGCCCTGAGGGAGTGTAAGAGGCCCGGGGCCAGTTCGTGGAGACAAGAAGAGATTTCCAACTCGATTTGGGGAGTCACTGATGGTTTTAAGCAGGTAGTGGCAGGCTCAGATTCAGAGTGGAAACCCTTGCTGCCTGTCTGCAGCGCACTAGGACACGGGGAGGCAGGAGACCATGGGCTCCAGGAGGAGCCTGGACGCCGGAGCAGGACAGTGGCCATGGGAAAGGGAGAACGTGGCTGGCCCCAGATGAAAAGAGCAGGGCCCCCAAGGCTCTGTGAGTGGGATGAGAGGGGGAGAGGAAGGGGCCAAGGCTGACCCCGTGCTTGGGTGGACAAAGGGCCCTTCACAGAGCTGGAGGCAGGGGATGATCGAGGGGCCCAGGGAGTCAGACTAGAAGCCGGGCTTATTGGAGGAAGAGCAGTGGGCTGGGAGAGGCAGGCATGGAGTGGGATTGAGGGAGCCCAGGGGTGGGAGGGAGAGCTGGGAGGCGGAGGTGCGACCGCGGTGGGGTCAGTGTGCGGGGAGTGGACGAAGCGGAGGATTGATGGGGGCGGGGGTCCCAAGCAAAGATGCTGGAGGGAGGCCTCCGTGGAGCGGACCGAGACCTCAGGAGCCTCCAGTCGGACTGGGGAGGCAAGAAGGAGGCCCTGGCTTCGATCTCGCACACGGCCTCGCAGGGATGAAGCCCGGGAGCCGAGGCTCGGTCTTCCCCACTGTGGTCCCTCTGGTCCGCCCGTTACCTCACCGACCCCCCGAGGGGGCTTTTAAGAGCTGGAAGAGGGGGTCCCGGGGGGCACTGATGCACCCCCACTCTCCTCCGCCGACCCAGAGGGTGGGAGCTCAGGTTCAAGGCCTGGCCTGGCCGTGCGGCTCCGGGACCCGGCTCCGCCCCGCGTCGGGGGGTGGCCCCGGCCCCTGGCCCGCCCCTTCCTCGGGTCCCCTCCCTGTCCGCGGCGCGCAGCCGGGTCTCATTAGCGCCCCTCCCCCCGGCTGCGCGCCGGGGGTCTCCACGGCCGGGGGGAGGGGCGGGCCTTAATCAATCCTAGGCCGGAAATTCCTCCCGGGGGGCCCGGCCTGACCGCTGAGCCTGGAAATCGGTCGCCGCCTCCCCCGAACCCGCCCCCCGCATCATGGAAACTGGGCCGACCGCCGGCCGCCCTGGCTCCCCCGCTCTGCATTCCTGCCTCCAGGGGCGGGAGGGCGCGAAGGCCGGGCCGCCCCCTTCGGGCTCGCCGGCGGGGTCGCAGCTCTCAGCACCCTCCCCGTTATTGGGAACAAGCCCGCTCCCCCACTGGCGAAGGGGCGCCTGTTCTTAGGAGTACCCGGCGGCACATCCGCACCCCGTCCGGTCCTTTCAGCTACAAGGCCCGCCCCTCCCCGGGCGCTGCTTTCGCTGAGGGCTTTGCGGAGTCGCCCCGGGCTGGCCCTTGGCGTCTGGCTCTTGCCTCTCGGCATCTTGCGAGGCTGAAGCCTTGGTGCCCATTGCACAGATGAAGTCCGCGAGGTTCAGCGACAGCAAGGGCTGCGGGACCGGGGCAGAGCAGGGACTCGGGCCGCCTCCTCCTGGAAGCTCCCCGGGCGCCTGGGATGAGGGGCTCTGGGAAGCGGGGAAGGACGTGCGGGTGTCGGGGCTCCTGGGTCCCGGGTCTCAGTTTCCCCATGTAGGAAGGGGTCGCCTTTGTGGGCCTTTGCGACCGATGTAAGCTGGGGGTGGGAGAGTGGGGATGGCAGAACTCGGGCCACGGGTGCCCGGAGTCACCAGGCGCGCACAGGGCGCCTACCTGCGATCCTTTGACCTGAGCTGCCGCCTTTCAGCGGCGGTGGGGCCGGGCCCGGCGCGGGTCGGACGGTCCCGGGGGCTGGAGGCGGGGCCGGGGCGGGGCTGGGGCCGGGCCGTGGAGACCCGGGCGGCTCTGGAGCCTCCGCGCGCGGACTGGGACCCGGACCCGCGCGGCGCTGCGGCGCCAGGTGAGCCGAGCTGGGGTCCAGGGGTCCGCACTCCACTTTTCCCAACTTTTCGTTTGGTCCCTCCCTCCCTCCCTCCCTCCCTCGGTCAGGGCCCCTGGGGGCGGGAGCGCGGCCCTCCCGTTCCCCCAGGCGGGAGTGTGGACGCGGGCGGTGGCGGGACCCTGGAGTCCTGGGGACTCGGCCCCAGCATCTTCTGTCGGGCTGTGCGCTGTGTCCCCAAGTTTCCGCCTCCCTGGTGTCCCCAGCGTCGGCCCACTACCTCCACGGCTCGGGGTCTCTGAGCGTGTCCCCATGTCCCCACTCTGCTTGTTTTCGCTTCCCTCGCGGCAGCGACGCGCGGGGCTCCGGGTGACCTTGCTGGAGCCGGGGCTGAGAGCGCCAGTTCTGGCTTGAAGCGATGATCGCTCCTCCGGTTGCGGGCTGGGGAAAGGGCTGCAAACTCAGGGACAAGGAGGGGATGGGCCTCGCTTCCTCCTGGATACTCCCGTGGCTGTCCTGAGAGGGGTCTAGGGCTGGGGCCCCGGAGCCCGGCGTCGGACCTGGCAGAGCCCCCGCCTAGTGCGGGGTCGGGCAGTCTCCCCGGCCTCCCTGGGCCGTAGTTGCAATCTGTGAAACCAGGCTTTGGACGCGGGAGAGTGGCGGCTCCCTGCTAGGCCCGGGCCTTGAGCGCTCCAGTCGGAGGCAGGGATGGGTGTCCTGCTTTGAGGTTTGGGGTGCAGATGGGGCGTGGGTCGGGGAGCAAGGCCGCCTCCCCGAGGTTTCGGCTGCGGGCTCCAGCGCGGTGGTTCTTTAGGAAGCGGACGCGAGCAGTGAGGACGACCCTGGACAGCTAGGCCCTGAGCCTCCTCTCCTGCGGCCTGGGGCGCCTGGGCGGGGGCCGCGTCTTCTCCCTCGCCCTCCCTTTCGTGGGGGCCACACCGCACGCAGCTCGGCTACTCCTGCTGGGCCCGGGATCCAGGCCACAGGCCGCAGGCAGGGCGCGGCCAGCAATCGGGAGGGCTTAAGCTGTGCGGCCCGGATCCCGAGGCGCAGGGGCGGTGCTGCTCTGACCGGGCCACGGGCCACGGAGGCCTCGGGCGGAGGAGGCGGGAAAGGAGGCCAGGCGGCGGGAAAGGGGGATGATTCATCCGGAGGAGCCCGAATTGGAAACGTCGCAACCTGGGAACAGCCTTGCCCGGGCCGACGGGGGAGCCGGGAGGGCATCCGTCCGGCGGGGCCCAGCGCCCGGCACCGGCACCCCCGCCTGCTGCCGTGGCCCCAGCACGACCGCTGGGGGAGGGAGAGGCCTCTCATGCGTGGACTTGATGGAAATCTTGGGCGAAGTCGGCGCCGCCTCTCCTCCTCTGCCTGGCTGGTCTTGATCCGAGCGGTCTTCCCGGTGTCTAGCTCAAGTCGCTCCTGCTGCAGCTTCGCTGCGGGCGGAGGAGGTCTGGAAGGAGGGGGCGGGCAGGGAGAGGCTGGAGCCGGTGACGCCCCCTCCTCCCGCGCTGCGGTATGTAAAGCACAGTAGGGGGGAGGTGGGGCCCGGCGAGCGACCCCTGCGGACCTGGGAGGCCCGAGCGCCCCCGCCCCATTTGCTACGGTGCAGCCACGTGCGGGGGTGGGGTCGAGCCCGGGAGGTACTTACCCTGGAGACGCGGCAGCTGGGGGCCGCACGTTTCCCGAGGCCCAAGACCCGCGGGCTTGCGGACCGGACGCAGGCGGCAGATTTGCAGCCCGGGATGCGCCAGGGAACAGCCTGCGCCCCCCTCCCTCCTCTCCGCCCGCTGGCCGGGCCAACTCCGGCTTCTGCCGCGCGTGCCTGGCTCGGAGCTCCGCTGCGGAAAACCCGAGCGCGGGCGGCTCCCCGCCTCGCCGCCCGGGAAAATCCGGGGGTGGCCGCCAGGGATCTCCAAGCGGCCTGGGCTGGGCGGCCGGAGCTTCCCTCCCGGATTTGCGCCCCGAACCTGGCGCCCTGAAGCTAGAGGCCCGTCGGTCCAGTCCTTGCCTCCCATCTTCTCTCCGCAGAGCGCCCAGACGACGGCGAGATGACGGCCGGGAGCCCCGAAGAATGCGGGGAGGTGCGGAGGAGCCCCGAGGGCCGCGTCTCTCGCTTGGGCCGCCGCCTGGGCCGCCGCCGGCGCCCGCGCTCCCCGCCCGAGCCTCTGCGGGTGCGGGCGCGGCTGCGGCTGCGCTCGCCGTCGGGGGCGTTCGCGGCGCTGGGGGCGCTCGTGGTACTGGTGGGTATGGGCATTGCAGTGGCCGGCTACTGGCCGCACCGGGCCGGGGCCCCAGGGTCCCGGGCCGCCAATGCCAGCTCGCCCCAGATGAGCGAGCTGCGACGCGAGGGTCGCGGCGGGGGCCGGGCTCACGGCCCGCACGAGCGGCTGCGGCTCCTCGGGCCGGTGATCATGGGCGTCGGCCTGTTCGTGTTCATCTGCGCCAACACACTGCTGTATGAGAACCGAGACTTGGAGACGCGACGGCTCCGCCAGGGGGTGCTGCGGGCCCAGGCGCTCCGGCCCCCCGACGGCCCGGGCTGGGACTGCGCCCTCCTTCCCAGCCCCGGCCCTAGGAGTCCCCGAGCCGTAGGCTGCGCAGAGCCAGAAATCTGGGACCCGTCCCCGCGTCGGGGTACTTCACCCGTCCCGTCAGTGCGGAGTCTGCGTTCAGAGCCCGCTAATCCTCGCTTGGGGTTACCTGCCTTGCTCAACAGCTACCCGCTGAAGGGCCCCGGGCTGCCCCCACCCTGGGGTCCACGGACGCAGACTGGCCATGTGATCATCACCGTGCAGCCGTCTGGCTCCTGCATTGAACATTCCAAGTCTCTGGATCTGGGCCTTGGGGAGCTCCTCCTTGGGGCCCCAGCAGCTCGGGACTGTGCTCACCGAAGCTGGCCACGGCTGGACCGCCTCAGTCTTGGGGGCTATGCCAAATTGGGAGGAGGAGGGGACTTGGGGGCCCGGGTCTGAAGAGAGGGGAGACAGCCTGCTCTGAGGCTGCAGCATGGACCATGCTAATAGGACCAAAGGACCAGGAGTCCCAACGTCTAATAGATGTTTCAGTCACATCCCAGGCTGGGGATGGATGCTCTGACCACAGCAGCTGTGAAGGGCATCCTGACCTGCATGCGGGCAGAGAAATGCCAGCTGCACCAGGGCTCAGTGAGCTGGAGAGGGTGCGTTTCACTGTGGGGTGTGGAGGACTCGCCTCAGGAATTTCTTCAGCCTCTGTAAGTGGCCTTAGCCCTAACAGGGCTGGAGGTCCAGGCCAGGGTGACTGGGAGATGTACCCAGTGTCTTGGCAAACCCAAGAAAGTGGTGGGCAAGGGCCCCTAAGACTGGGAGGTAGGTTGGGATGTTACAGGCTGGGGCAGGCTCCCTCCAAGGCGGCACTGGTGATGGAGTGTGGGGCCTCTGGGAAGATGGACCACGGGATGAGACTCTCCACTGCCATCTGGGACGGGGACTGAGCCTTGAACTCCTACCACCTCAATCCCTTTCTTCCCTCAGCCATCTGGGGTATATCCCTCTAGAGCTACACTACTGCCAATGCCTTCATACTGAGTTCTGGGCCCTTCTGCAAATAAGTCTGAGAAGCCCCTTCTCTCCTTCCTTTATCGTGGCCTATGCTGCAGAATCTCACTGCAGCTGGCAAAAGGCATTGGCCAGCTCTCAGAAATCCCTTTACTCAACGTTGAAGCTGCATTTTGGTCAATGTGGGTAACTTACTTTAGAAAATGACTTGAGTTTAGGTCTCCCCCACCCATATTTAATTTTTCCCAAGTTGCTGGTAGAAGAGAAATTTAAAAGTGGATCAATCCTCACAGAGAGAGTTCTTTTTGTTGTTGTTTATTGAAAAAAATGCAATACAAGAAGCAAGACCAAACAGATATCTAAACACTACAACCACTTCTACTACGAAAGGCCAAAACAGCAGACTTGATTATTGCCTGTGTAGTCTAAAGATTCTGCCAATCTGATTCTGCTGCCCGAGTTCCTATTTTTTCAAGAAATGTAAACAACTACTTGATATGATTCATAATTTTAAAAAAAATTTACAAAGCTCCTTCATTTTTGTCACCAAAATAATACATTTGAGAGAGATTTGTAGAAACAACCAGCCTGGGGCTGAGATCCTGGGCAGAAATTTCCCGTGAGCATCAAAAGGCGTCAGTCAGGCCGCAGCTCTGGCTCCAGTTCCCGAGGTTTGTTGTCTCCTCACCCCCAGCTGCCAAGCATCCCCCCAACACACACTGATGGGCCCAGCGGTGGAGGGGGGGGTGGGGACGGGGATGGGTCACGGGGCCCTGACGGGTCCCGCAGTTAGGCTCCCTGAGCCCTCGGCTTATAAATACAGGTCTTGCTTTGTGGGTGGGTGCCAGAGTCCTCATGTGGCTTGGAGGAAATCTTTATTTCTCAAATTAAAATAAAATTGCAGCGAGAGTTGTTACTGTGGTGTGTCTGAGTCACTCTAGGAAAACTGTTGCCAAGTTTCTGACCCTGGAAATGTAATTCTCTTCCCCCTCCTCACCATTTCTACCTGGACAGAGTCTGTTTTTCTTCACACAAACACACATACACACAACTGCAGAAAGAAAAAAAATCCAAACAATTGCCAAACCCCAAGAACTGTTGCCAGAGATGGAGGAAAGGGGAAGAGGCCTGGAAGGACACCCATCTTGCTGGGCTTGTCCAAATCTATGGCTTCTAAGAGCCTGAAAGGCATTAGAGCTCTTTTCATCCAATTTACAGACAACGAAGCCGAGAGAAGTGAGTTGGTGACAGAGCTGAGGGAAACGTTTAGGCCCCCGATGAACGGTCCTGTGCTGTGAAAGCTGCCACACTGTTCTAGATCACACGGAATATTCAGTGGGTTAGTTTTTAAAGGGACACTCAGTGCCCTCTGCCTTTTCCCCATCCTCTTCGTTCCACAGGTCTGGAAGCCCTGGTAGCTCTTCCTACAGGCCATCTGGCCATCAGGCAGTGGGCATGCACTACATGTTCGTTTGATGTAAGCTGCATTTCTTGTCACCACTCCTGGCAACACGACCAGGCTTGGGCACTACCCCAAAGCCCACCTTTCAGACCCTCTGCCCACAGCCTATAATTTTGTTCCTGAGATAGGACAAGCTCTTTCCCCTAAGCCTGTCCCACGTCCCACCTGGGCTCTTTCCCTCCCTCCTGTTGTTCATGTCTCACATGGGTACCAAAAGAAAAATGCACACACCCGAAATGAGTTCAAACCAGCCGAAACAAAACTCAGGCAGTGGAGACTTTGGACGGTGTTGGGAGAAGCAGCTTTAGACATTTCTCTTGCTCACTGCCCTTGAGCCCCAGTGACTGCTGCCCGATACCCACTGTCTATTTTAGGAAGCTGGAACTGGGATTCTAAGGAGCCTTGAGGCCAATGTGTTTGTGGGAAGCAGTTGGAAGGTTAGAGAAGTTCTGTTAAATAAAAATGCCCCAAATCGGCCGGGCGTGGTGGCTCACACCTGTAATCCCAGCACTTTGGGAGGCCAAGGTGGGTGGATCACCTGAGGTCAGGAGTTCGAGACCAGCCTAACAAGGTGAAATCCCGTTTCTACTAAAAATACAAAAAATTTGCTGGGCGTGGTGGTGTGCGCCTGTCATCCCAGCTACTTGGGAGGCTGAGGCAAGAGAACTGCTTGAACCCAGGAGGCGGAGGTTGCAGTGAGCCGAGATCGCGCCACTGCACTCCAGCTTGGGCAACAAGAGCGAAACTCCGTCTCAAAAAAACAAAAAACTATGCCCCAAATCCTTACCAGGAATTAGGGCATCATCTTCACTTTCAAAAATCAAAATGAAAAAAAGGAAAACTAAGCCCCAAACCCACCACAAAATCAAGCCTTCAAAACCTGACAGACCTCAGCTGGTGAGTGGGAATGAGCAGGGCTGGGGCTTATACCCCTTGTCATGTGGTGTCTTGTGGGGAGAACGGCTCCTAAAAGTCAATTCCTTGCTCTAGAAGGGTGTCCTCAGGCAGGTTCCTGTTGAGAGAAGAAAGGTCAAAAAAGAAAAACCCTTCTCTGAGCCACATTCCTTGTCATTTGGGATGAAAGAAAGGCCCAGGATCAGACAGAAGTAACCCCATTCCCCTGTGTGAAGTGCACACTCTCAAAACTAGAAAACCTTATTTTAAAAACCTCATTAACTTTCCTTCCCCAAATCACCACTAAAAATGTTCCATTAGAGCTTTTGGCCCAAAGTGCCTATTTTTCTGTGAGATTTGGTCTCCTGAGATGGGAGCTAGGGGGAGCACTTAGCTGAGCCACTGCTTCTGATGAGGTAAAAGGGTAGCTGGAGAGGTGAAGGCCACGGATATGTTCAAACATTCACAGTATCAGATATCTGAAGCAACTTCCATGTCTTTGACCCAAAGAAGCTCCAAAAAGAAAGCAGGAGGGAGAGGGGAAAAACAATACTACATTCTCAGCAGAGGGCTCTGCCTTACCAAAACCACCCGCAACAAAGGAACAGGGGCATCTTTCCGAGGTCTGTGGATCAGGGCTGGTGCCCTCCCTGGCATTCTGATACACTCACATCACTGGCTCTGAGAAAGGGCTGGTTCATGAAGTTTCTGCCATCATCCAAAGGGGATAAGACTAGGGAGAGACGCGGAAGTCCCACTAAGCTGGCTTTGGCTTCCAACACAGCTGACAAGAGTCCTTGGAGGATTTCCCGAAGAATTCCATGGACCCTGTCAGTGTCTGTTGGGGTTGGAAATAAATGGGCAGAGAGGCTAGGCTGAAGGGGTTACAAACCACCCAATTAAAAAAACCCCAAAACTCTTAAAACAGTCTATAGAGTGAAAAGTTGAACAATTCTGATATCCTAATATAGAAAAAGCTCTTCAAAAGGATCAATGAGATCTAGAAGAATCTCTTGGTATAAACTCCCAATAGAAACTGAAATTAATTTTCTGGTGATTTAGAATAATCTTGAAAGTCTGAAGTCTGACTATGGCAGGTTAGCTTCTTTATCATTTTGCTGGTTTCTCTTGGATGGGAGAAGGGCAGAGTTGGGGTAGGTTAGTTCCTAGAGAAAACAAAGAAGCAAAATTTAAAATCCTGCAAAGGAAAAAGCTTCCTAGTCCCATTGCCAAGTTCCTGTGGCCATCAGTGACAATGGGGATGTGAGCAGGTTTACAGGGCCTGGTCCCACCTAGTGAGATTGGTGGCTTCTTCAAGTCTTTTTAAAATTACTTTTAGGCATGAATTTATCTGGATCCCTGGTTCCCAAAAAGCAGCTTCCCTGCTCCCAGCTCTCTACTCTGGTCTCAGAGCTTCAGCCATTACCTCCCTGCTCTGCATGCCCACCCATCTCCAGACAGCCTGATCCTGCTCTTCTTGGTTTTTTCTCCTCTGGCTTTCCCAGGTTCTGGCTCAAAGATACCTGTGACTGGCCAGGCGCGGTGGCTCATGCCTGTAATCCCAGCCCAGCACTTTGGGAGGCCAAGCCAGGTGGATCATTTGAGGTCAGGAGTTCGAGACTAACCTGGCCAACATGGTGAAACCCCGTCTCTACTAAAAATACAAAAATTAGCTGGGCATGGTGGCACATGCCTGTAGTCCCACCTTCTTGGGAGGCTAAGGCAGAATTCCTTGAACCCGGGAGGCGGAGGTTGCAGTGAGCTAAGATCATGCCACTGCACTCAAGCCTGGGTGACAGAATGAGACTCCGTCTCAAAAAAAAAAAAAAAAAAAGAGAGACCTGTGACAGCAGCAAGCAGAGCAGTAGAGAGAAGAGAGGGGGAAGGTGAAGTGGATCTCCAGCAGGATGCATGAAGACTCAGAGGGTAGCTGGGGGCTTATATCCAAGTTTGGGTCCCTCCTCTTACCCAATAATGCTGGCACTGCTACAGGCTGCTTTAGTTGGAGCCAAATACTTAATTTCCTATATCTCCCACATCAGCCTCTCGTCTGCCTTTATCAAGTCCCAGGGTGAACACCTCTTTGTGGGGATGGGCTCCCAGTGTGTCCGAGGGTCCCATCCAGAGCCCTCTCAGGCTGGGACTGTGGGCACCCTCAGCCCCAGCAGGAACGCCCAGTACCTGAGCTCACTCATCAGCAATCTCGGTCTCCTGGTGGACGACCACCTTGGTCACTGACATGTCTGGGTGCTGCTCCTTTGCCTCCTTGATGGCTTGTACAAGGACCTACAAAAGACAGAAACAAGGGCAATGAGGCAGAAAATAGCCTGATGGCGAAGGAAGGCAGTGGTCATCATTTCTCTGATGTTCTGACAGATCCAATACTCCTGTCTGCAGTACCAGGGCAGCTTTAGGCTAAGCCAAGCTGATAATTACCTTACCCACCCTATCCTGCATAGGGAGGCTTCTGGACTGATAACACAGGGACAGGGAAGGTTAGCGCTGTCTTCTAGGAACTGGAGAGGGACTTCGGGGGTCATAGCTGTATCTGTTATATGATCCTTTATTTTTTTTTTATTTTTTGTTGTTGTTGAGATGGAGTCTCGCTCCGTCACCCAGGCTGGAGTGCAATGGTGCAATCTCGGCTCACTGCAACCTCCGCCTCCCAGGTTCAAGCAGTTCTCCTGCTTCAGCCTCCTGAGTAGCTGGGATTACGGGTGTGTACCACTACGCCCAGCTAATTTTTGTATTTTTTGTAGAGATGGGGTTTCACCATGTTGGCCAGACTGGTCTCGAACTCCTGACCTCAAATGATCCACCTGGCTTGGCCTCCCAAAGTGCTGGGATGACAGGTGTGAGCCACTGCACCTGGCCTATATTATCTATTATACCTATCTATTATCTATCATTATACCTGGAGGGTCTGAGAGGATTCACTCAAGATGTGAATCTAAAGGACAAAACAACATCTGTGTTCAGCATGGGTAAGTGGCAAGTTCAGGACGGGAGAGGAAAGTAAAGAAGTGTGCAAGAAAAAGGAAGAGATGTCCTTGGCCAAAGTAGAAGAAAGGAAGGAAGAGGACAAGGGACTGTTATATGCCATGCACTAGCCTAAGTACATTACTTATTACTTAAACTCTATTAAGTTATAATTTATTAATAACTATATTGTTATTAAGATAATAACTATTATCATTACTTTTTACTTAAACATGACAACTTAGTGCATTAAGGTAATGTAATTTTTTGCATTTTATAGGTGAGGAAACTGAATTTCAGTAAAGAGCTTACTGTTTCATAGCTAGTAGGTAGTGAAACAGGGACTTTTTTTTTTTTTTTTTTTTTTTTAGACGGAGTCTCACTGCCCAGGCTGGAGTGCAGTGGTGTGATCTTGGCTCACTGAAACCTCTGCCTCCTGGGTTCAAGCGATTCTTGTGCCTCAGCCTCCCAAGTAGCTGGGGTTACAGGTGTCCGTGACCACGTCTGGCTAATTTTTGTATTTTTAGTAGAGACAGTGTTTTGCCACCTTGGCCAGGCTGGTCTCGAACTCCTGACCTCAGGTGATCCACCTTGCTCGGCCTCCCAAAGTACTGGGATTATAGGCGTGAGCCAACGCACCCAGCCGTGCAATAGGGATTTTAACTCAAGTCGATCAGACTTTCCTCTTTACCACACTGTTGTTTAGTTTCTGAGGGGGTCCCTGTTTGAGGATCTGGAGGAGCTTTGATTACTTTAGAAAAGCTAAAGAGAGCAGAGGGAAAGTCAAAAGAGCAAAAACACCATCCTCTTTGGGCTGCAGTCTCTGAATTTGCAGGCTCCCCTATGGAAAAGGACTCAGCTAGAAATGACCAGCTGACTACTCACCTGGCTCTTAAGAACCATCTCTAGAAGGGGCAAGGGAAGAAGGAAAACCCTCTTCTGGTCTCCTGGCTCTATGAATGGCATTCTTAGAACTACCACCTCTGTGGGCCCCTGACCATCCTCCCTGATCCTGTTTGCCCAACCCATCTGCTCACACCTCAGGCCCAGCTCAAGTCTTCTCTTTGTGACTCTGCCTCCGCCCACCTCTCTATGAAACCTGCTGCTCCACACTGCTTCTCCTTAACAGTTCTTAAAGTGCCTCCCTCGCCAGCCAGAGTGTACCATAGCTTACCCCTTCCATGCACTCTCAGTAACTAGAAAACCTGAGGGACACTGGAGCATCTCTCTGAGCTACCAAGTGTGTTTGGCCCTTATGACCCTGGAAGAAACCTGTGATCATCCTTATTTTACAGATGGTAAAACTAGAGCTCAGGTTGGTAATATAAGTTGCTCAAGGACATATAACCAATTAGGTCGCAGAGTCAGGATTCAGCCCAAGTCTGTCTCACTCCAAACCTCAAACACCTTTCACCGCATTGCTTTTGCTGTCTAGTGCAGACTGAGCACGTAGCAGGGGCTCAGATCACACCAGACTGAGTGGGTGGGTGCAGGCTTCTAAAGCAGCGGGACCCACTGAGCTGGGCCAACAGGCTGCAAGATATTTAGGCTTTGCAGCCTTGTTTCTGGGACCCTGTGTCCACTATTCTCAGCTGTAACTCTCAACCCTGCCTCCAAGGGAACTGCCAGCACTGTAGCTCAGTTTTTCTTTTTTTAAAGGCACTCAGCATATCAGCATAAAAAGGCCACAGAATTATTGCTCCAGCAACCCAGTCAACGATTCCAGAAGCATTTGCATGCAATCTCTTCCACCCCCTCTTCTCTGCAGCTTTACTGTTCTAACCTCACCCAGCAGAGAACTGGGAACATTAATCCTGACCTTATTATTTGCTAATTGCTTGCAGCACACAATTAGCACCCAATTAACATAAAAATATAGAATTTTAGCACTCAGGCCCAGAAATTATCTAGATCAACCCACTCTCTTTTAGGAAAGGAGAAAAAAATCAGCGGAAAAGTGATTTGCCCAAGGTCACACAGCAAGTTAGAGATGTAGGGCAGAAAACAAGTTTCGAGTCTGCTGGTGTCTTGTCCACCATACTATGCTCCCGCTCGTGTCTTCTCGGCTGTTACAGCTCTCTAAGGGTAGGGGCATGCTTCCCTTTGTTTTGATGTTGTCTAGCATGGGTTCAGGTACCTTTACCTTCGGAATAACAATAGCTCCATTTAACTGAGCTCACCATGTGCCACCAGCTGTTCATCCAGTATTTCACCTGATTCTCACAACAACCCTGAGAGGGAGATACTATCATCTTCATCTTACAGATGCAAAATGGAGGCCCAGAGAGTTAACAGCTAGAATATATTAAGAACCAGCAATTGAATCAAGTCTTGGAATCCAAAGCTCATGTTCTTTCCATTACATTTCCTGGCTCCTCAATCTGTGGCCTCCATCCCACAGGCCTCTTACTTTGATTGTCTTTGTCTTTCTTCTCAATTAAGAGCTAGAGTGGCCAAAGAGGCTTTTTGCAGATGAAGATGGCAAACAAACTCCTGTATTCATCGGTCTTCCTGCCCAGGGACCCCTCCCAGGCCCAGATCTCTTCAACATTCCCACCTGATCATGGTCAATATCAGCATCTCCTGTGATCACAATTCTCTTTTCAATACGTGTCTCTGAAATCCCACCTTTTACAGTCTGGAACCAAAGAGAAGATGTCATATGAGATCAGCGATATAACAAGAATTAAAAAAAAAGAAAAAGAGGCCAGGTTTAGTGGTTCACACTTGTAATCTCAACACTTTGGGAGGCTGAGATAGGAGGAATGCTTGCGGCCAGGAGTTTGAGACCAGCCTGGGCAACATAATGAGACCTCGTCTCTATTAACAAACAAACAAACAAAAAAAGAAAAATAGCAAAGATTATTCCGAAAGCTCCACTCCAAATTTTAATCTACTGCTGGGTACTGCAAAGGACAGCTTTCTAACCTACTTGTCCAAAATCTCAACCAGACCTGCTACTTCTACTCCCTTGTAGAGTACACTTCTACTCCCCTGGATTATTAAAATCTTTGTTTTTTTTTTTTTTTGAGACAGAGTCTCGCTCTGTTGTCCAGGCTGGAGTGTAGTGGTGTGATCTCGGCTCACTGCAACCTCTGCCTCCCGGGTTCAAGCAATTCTCCTGCCTCAGCCTCCTGAGTAGATGGGACTACAGGCACGCACCACCATGCCCAGCTAATTTTTGGATTTTTAGTAGAGATGGGGTTTCACTATGTTGGCCAGGCTGGTCTCAAACTCCTGACCTTGTGATCCACCCACCTCAGCCTCCCAAAGTGCTTGGATTACAGGCGTGAGCCACCACATCCAGCCTTGATTACTACAATCTTTTTTATTTATTTATTTATTTATTTTTTGAGACGGAGTCTTGCTCTGTCGCCCAGGCTGGAGTACAGTGGTGCGATCTCGGCTCACTGCAAGCTCTGTCTACTGGGTTCACACCATTCTCCTGCCTCAGCCTCCCAAGTAGCTGGGACTACAGGCGCCTGCCACCACGCCCGGCTAATTTTTTCTATTTTTAGTAGAGACGGGGTTTTTTGTCAGCTAGGATGGTCTCGACCTCTTGACCTCGTGATCTGCCCGCCCCGGCCTCCCAAAGTGCTGGGATTACAGGTGTGAGCCACCGCGCCCAGCCTGGATTACTAAAATCTTTATTAAGCTAAACAGAAAGTCACAATTCTGTATTTACTTTCTCCTTTTTCTTCCTCCTGAATACCACAGAAATCTAGCAAGTAAACAAAATAGGACTTTCTGTGCTCTTCTCTCATACATTTCTGTTTTAGAGACTGGATACTGATGCTATACATTTTAATTGATCATTTTCTTTTTCTTTTTTTTTTTTTGAGATGGAGTCTTGCTCTGTTGCTCAGGCTAGAGTGCAGTGGCATGATCTTAGCTCACTGCAACCTCCGCCTCTTGGGTTCAAGTGATTCTCCTGCCTAAGCCTCCCGAGTAGCTGGGACTATAGGCGTGTGCCACCATGCTCGGCTAATTTTTATTTTTTTAGTAGAGATGGGGTTTCGCCATGTTGGCCAGGCTGGTCTTGAACTCCTGATCTCAGGTGATCCGCCCGCCTTGGCCTCCCAAAGTGTTGGGATTACAGGCATGAGCCACCATGATCATTTTCAAGAGGAAAAAAATCTGAAGGCTATGAACAAATATGTCACACAGCTTGAAACTGGGCTCTTGTATTTTAAAGCATTTTCATATTATTGATGTCAAAAGGTCCTCACATAATCTCCTGAGGGTGAGTAGATTTCTCTTTCTGGTAGATGAGGAAAACCAAGGTCTAGACACATTAAGTTAACTAGTTTCCAGTCATCTGTGTATTGATGAGAGAGCTTGGTCAAGAAGCTATATTTCTTACCTATTAAAAAAAGTATTTTCCTCTAGTGTTACAGCAAACATCGATTGCCTCTGATTTTCTGGGGGTAGTTCCAATTTTAGATATTTTCTCTCTCTTGCTTCCTATAAACTACATTCTAATAATTCCAATATTTCAGCATCCAAACAAGTTCTCATGGCCTTGTCCCTGGAATGCTGTAAAAATTCTTCCTCAGACCCAGAGTTCTGATTTTGGGCTTGGAAAATATGGTTGTATAAAAATACCAAAAATAATTTCCCTGAAGCTGACTTTTTGTTTTGTTTTGTTTTTACAGAGATAGGTTTTAGGGTCTTGCTCTGTCACTCAGGCTGGAGTGCAGTGGCATGATCACGGCTTACTGCAGCCTTGATGCCCTGGGCTCAAGTGATCCTCCCACCTCAGCCTCCCAAGTAGCCGGGACCACAGGCATGCGCCATTATGCCCAGCACATTTTTTTTTTTTTGTATTTTTTTGTACAGATGAGGTTTCACTATGTTGCCAAGGCTAATCTCAAACTCCTGGGCTAAAGGGATCCACCTGTCTCAGCCTCCCAAAGTACTGGAATTACAGGTGTGATTACACCACGCCTGGCCCCTTAAGTTAACTTTCTATTGAGATAGAGTCTGCTCGCTCACCCAGGCTGGAGTGCAGTGGCGCAATCTCTGCTCACTGTAATCTCTGCTTCCTGGGTTCAAGCAATTCTCCTCCCTCAGCCTCCCGAATAGCTGGGACTACAGGTGTATGCCGCCACACCCGGCTAATTTATGTATTCTTAGTAGAGACGGGGTTTTACCATGTTGGTCAGGCTAGTCTCGTACTCCTGATCTCAGGTGATCCACCTGCCTTGGCCTCCCAAAGTGCTGGGATTACAGGTGTGGGCCACCATGCCTGGCCATGCTGACTTTTTAAACTTACTTCCACAGCCAGACAGGGGACTCACTGACCAGAGAGACAGATGTGTAAAGAGAACAACCACACCTACCTTTAGGAGACTACTAAGTAGGCAGGGATACTCTCAGGGTATCTCCCTAGATTTATTGCTGGGGAAGGCAGCAGGGCCTTTCCATCCAGGACTCTTTGAATAATGTGGCTTACTAGGGATGGAGCTGAAAATATTTGCTTATGGACTAGGGTCCTTCTTGCAGAGAGGTGGCAGCAAGCTTAGCCTGCCCCTGGGTTCCATAAAGAGGTTCTAGCTGGTCTGTTACCTTGGTAATTTGAGTTGTGGTGGTGCTGCTTGGGGTCTCAGATGTGATAGTTTGAGCTGTCAGCAAGACTCCTGGGTCCAAGTCTCCACTGTTGTCGTCAGTCTGCAGAAGAAAGCATGGCTCATCATCATGCCTCTCAGGAAGACTGGGCAAATGTTGCAGGCTGCAGCTTTGCTCTTCAGCTGCACATTCTGATGCAAAAATCTCATTCCCTTAGAATGACCTCTTTTTTTTTTTTTGAGACGGAGTTTCACTCTTGTCGCCCAGGCTGGAATGCAGTGGCGTGATCTCAGCTCACTGCAACCTCCGCTTCCCGGTTTCAAGCAATTCTCCTGCCTCAGCCTCCTGAGTAGCTGGGATTACAGGCATGCACCACCACACCGGGCTAATTTTGTATTTTTAGTAGAGATGGGGTTTCTCCATGTTGGTCAGGCTGGTCTCAAACTCCCCACCTCAGGTGATCCGCCTGCCTCGGCCTCCCAAAGTACTGGCATTACAGGTGTGAGCTACCGCACCCGGCCAGGGTAACCTCTTTTTTTTTTTTTTTTTCAGGGTAACCTCTTAACAAATAAAATAAATTGGGCCATGCTCGGTGGCTCATGCCTGTAATCCTAGCACTTTGGGAGGTGTAGGCGGGTGGATCACCTGAGGTCAGGGGTTTGAGACCAGCCTGGCCAACAGAGTGAAACCCTGTGTCTACTAAAAAAACAAAATTAGCCGGACGTGGTGGTGCTTGCCTATAATCCCAGCTACTCGGGAGGCTGAGGCAGAAGAAATGCTTGAACCTGGGAGGTGGAAGTTGCAGTGAGCCAAGATCCCGCCACTGTACTTCCAGCCTGGGCAACAGAGTGAGACTCTGTCTAAAAATAAATAAATAAAATAAAATAAAATAAATTCCCTGGGCACAAAGTTCCTTCTAAGAAAGTTGGATGGGTATAGTTTCCTTAGCACTGAGTCAGTGACAGGAATGGATCAGAAATAGGAGGCAGGGGCCGGGCACGGTGGCTCAGGCCTATAATCCCAGCACTTTGGGAGACCGAGGGGGGCAGATCACCTGAGGTGGGGAGTTTGAGACCAGAATGACCAACATGGAGAAACCCCATCTCTACTAAAAATACAAAATTAGCCGGGTGTGGTGGTGCATGTCTGCAGTCCCAGCTACTCGGGAGTCTAAGGCAGGAGAATAGCTTGAACCCAGGAGGCAGAGGTTGTGGAGAGCTGAGATTGCGACATTGCACTCCAGCCTGGGCAACAAGAGCGAAATTCTGTCTCAAAAAAAAAAAAAAAAAGAAATAAGAGGCAGGAACATAGCCACAGGTCAACATTAGTGACAATAATTAAGCACATGTATAGCATTTTATAGTTCACAAATGCCTTTCAAACATTAGCTTTTTTTTTTTTTTTTTTTTGAGATGGAGTCTTGCTCTGTCACCCAGGCTGGAGAGTAGTGGCGTGATCTCAGCTCACCGAAACCTCCACCTCCTGGGTTTAAGCAATTCTCCTGCCTCAGCCTCCTGAGTAGCTGGGAATATAGGCACGCGCCACCACGCCCGGCTAATTTTTGTATTTTTTTTTTTTTTTTTTTTGAGATGGAGTTTCGCTTCTGTTGCCCAGGCTGGAGTGCAATAGTGTGATCTCGGCTCACTGCAACCTCTGCCTCCCAGGTTCAAGCAATTCTCCTGCCTCAGCCTCCCAAGTAGCTGGGATTACAGGCGCCTGCCACCACGCCTGGCTAATTTTTGTATTTTTAGCAGAGATGGAGTTTCACCATATTGGCCAGGCTGGTCTCGAACTCCTGACTTCGTGAACCGCCCACCTCCACCTCCCAAAGAGCTGAGATTACAGCTCTTTGAGCCACCGCGCCCAGCCGCTAACTAATATTTTCTTCAGCCAAGACCAGTCATCTACTTTAGATTCAGACTCAACTAATATTTATTATACTCCTACTATGTGCCAAGCATATAATTCAACTGTTGTCTCAATTATGCCTCTCAATATCTGAGGGAGGAACCATTATTATACACATTGTACAGTTAAGAAAACAGAGCTCCAGAGAGGTTAAGAATTTGTCCAAGACTCTAATGGGTGTTTGAACTAGGACTCAGGGCAAGAAACTCCCTGTTTGAAGTCTGGGGTTTGGGTCCCCACTCAGACAGTAACCAGCTGTGGAACCTTGGGCAAGTCACTCTGACTTCTCTGAGCTTTAGTTTTCTCATTTATTTGATTTTTAAATTTTTATTTATTTTATTTTTTGTTGAGAGGGAGTTTTGCTTTTTCCCCAGGCTGGAGTACAATAGTGGGATCTCGGCTCACCGCAACCTCCACCTCCTGGGTTCAAGCGATTCTCTTGCCTCAGCCACCCAAGTAGCTGGGATTACAGGCGCATGCCACCACACCTGGCTAATTCTGTATTTTTAGTAGAAACAGGGTTTCACCATGTTGGCCAGGCTGGTCTCAAACTCCTGACCTCAGGTGATCCACCCTCCTCAGCCTCCCAAAGTGCTGGGATTACAGGCGTGAGCCATTGCACCCAGTCTAGTTTTCTCATTTATAAAAGCAATACTGGGGACTGGGTGCAATGGCTCACACCTGTAGTCCCAGCACTTTGGGAGGCCAAGGCAGGCGGATCACGAGGTCAGGAGTTCAAGACCAGCTGACCAATATGGTGAAACCCCATCTCTACTAAAAATACAAAAATTAGCCAGGTGTGGTGGCAAACGCCTGTCGTCCCAGCCACTCAGGAGGCTGAGGCAGGAGAATCTCTTGAACCTAGGAGGTGGAGGTTGCAGTGAGCCAAGATTGTGTCACTGCACTCCAGCCTGGGTAACAGAGGAAGACTCCATCTCAAAAAAAAAAAAAAAAAAAAAAAAAAATCCCAGCTACTCGGGAGGCTGAGAGGTTGCAGTGAGTTGAGATTGCGCCACTGCACTCCAGCCTGGGCAACAAGAGTGAAACTCCATCTCAAAAAAATAAATAAATAAATAAAATAAAAAATAAAAGCAATATGGGAATATGTGTTCTGCCTACACCGTAGCACTGTTGTGAGCATACAAAGAAATTATACAAATAAAATTAGCTTATAAATTGTTATAACATGAATTTGCATGCCAGAAGGGCTAAAGCTTTTTGAAGAACTCCTCTATAAACCTGTGACTCTATCTTTATCTACCTCCTGCCCGCTCCCTCTAGTCTCTTTTCTGTCTCTGAAGAATGCTAAAGATGCAGGAGACACTGTTATGTTTTCCTACTTACCCTGTTCCCATACAGGGCCTGTTTTCCTTGATCCTCTTACCAATGTTTCCTCATACTGGTCATTTGTCCTATGACCCAGCAATTTGACTCTTAGATGTTTACTCAAGATAAATGAAACGCCCACAACAAGATTTGTGGCCAGGCACGGTGGCTCATGCCTGAAATCCCAGCACTGTGGGAGGCCGAGGCAGGTGGATTGCCTGAGGTCAGGAGTTTGAGACCAGCCTGGCCGACATCATGAAACCCTATCTCTACCACAAAATACCAATAAATTAGCCAGGCATGGTGATACATGCCTGTAGTCCAGTTACTCTGGAGGCTGAGGCAGGAGGATCGCTTGAACCAGGAGGCGGAGGTTGCAGTGGGCTGAGATCATGCCACTGCACTCCAGCCTCGGCAACAGAGCCATACTCTGTCTCAAAAAAAAAAAAAAAAAAAAAAAGATCTGTACATGAACATTCATAGCAGCTTTATTAATATTTTCCCAAACTGAAATTCATCCAACTGTCCATCAACAAATGAATGGATAAACAAATTGTGGTATATTCATTCAATGTAATACTATTCAGCAATAAAAAAGAGGGAACTACTGATTCACATAACATGGATGAATCTAAAAAATATTATATTCAGAAAGAAGGCAGACACTGTTGGGTACGGTGGCTCAGGCCTGTAATACCAGCACTTTGGGAGGCCAAGGTGGGTGGATCACCTGAGGTCAGGAGTTCAAGACCAGCCTGGCCAACATGGTGAAACCCCGTCTCTACTAAAAATACAAAAATTAGCCAGGTGAAGTGGTGGGCACCTGTAATCCTGGCTACTCAGGAGGCTGAGGCAGGAGAATCGCTAGAATCTGGGAGGTGGAGGTTGCAGTGAGCTGAGATGGTACTACTGCACTCCAGCAGCCTGGATGACAAGAGTGAGACTCCAATTCAAAAAGAAAGAAAGAAGCCATACACAAAAGTGTACTACTGTATACTTCTACTTACATGAAGTCCAAACCAGGCAAAACTAAGCAATACTGATAGAAAGCAGAGCACTGGCTGCCTAAAGGGGTAGAAATCAGATGGAAAAGGCTATGAAGCCAGTTTCAGGGGTAATGTTCTGTATCCTAAATGTGTCTTGGTTACACATGTATAGCCATTTGTCAAAACCAATCAAATTGCTAGGCATGGTGGCTCACATCTGTAATACCAGCACTTTGGGAGGCTGAGGAGGGAGGATTGCTTGAGCCCAGGAGTTCGAGATCAGCCTTAGCAACAAAGTGAGTCCCGTGTGTACAAAAAATTAAAAAATTAGGCCGGGCACAGTGGCTCACACCTGTAATCCCAGCACTTTGGGAGGCCGAGGCGGAAGGATCATGAGGTCAGGAGTTCGAGACCAGCCTGACCAACATGGCGAAGCCCTGTTTCTACTGAAAAAAGAAATACAAAAATTAGCCAGGCATGGTGGCCCGCACCTGTAATCCCAGCTACTCAGAAGGCTGAGGCAGGAGAATTGCTTGAACCCGGAAGGCAGACGTTGCAGTGAGCTGAGATCATGCTACTGCAGTCCAGGCCAGGTGACAGAGCGAGACTCCGTCTCGAAAAAAAAAAAAAATTAAAAAGTCACATGTAGTGGTGTGCGCCTGGAGTCCTAGCTACTCATGAGGCTGAGGTGGGAGGATCACTTGAGCCCAAAAGGTCGAGGCTGCAGTGAACTGTGGTCATGCCACTGTAACTCCAGCCTGGGCAACAGTGCGAGACCCTGTCTGTGCATTTCACTGTATGTAAATTTTACCTCAAACACACCCATATACACACATAAAAAACTACACGTAAAAACTATCCCCTCTGACCATGTTTTCCAAAGCACAGAGACTGTGAATAAATAAAAAAATGGTGCTCCGGCTTACTTATCCAGCAAGATAATAAAAGCAAAAGTAGAAATAGTAAATAAATAATAACAATTGCAAATGAATATCTAGTGCTTATTATCTGCCAGGCACTTTGGAAACATTTATGTGCATTAATTCATTTATTCCTGACAACAATCCTATGAGGTACAACTATTAGCCACATTTTACAAATGAGGAAACTGAGGCACATGGCGATTTAGTAATTTGACTGCACACTAGTGACAGGGCAGGTTCAAAGCCAGGAAATCTGACTCTGACTCGAAAGTCAACACTCTTCCCCACTCTACCCCACTGTCTAGCATAAGTAATAAAAAGCAATGTGGGCCGGGAGCAGTGGATCACGCCTGTAATCCCAGCACTTTGGGAGGCCAAGGCGGGCAGATCACCTGAGATCAGGCATTCGAAACCAGCCTGACCAACGTGGCAAAACCCATCTCTACTAGAAATAAAAAAATTAGCCGGGCATGGGGGCGCATGCCTGTGGTCCCAGCTATTTGGGAGGCTGAGGCTGGAGAATTGCTTGAACCTGGGAGGTGGAGGTTACAGTGAGCCGAGATCGCGCCACTGCACTCCAGCCTGGGTGACAGAGTGAGACTCCATCTCAAAAATAAATAAATAAACAAACAAACAAATAAAATAAAAAGCAATTTGTATCTTGACTGTCTTAAGCCTGGTTAAAATGAAATAAAGGCAAATGTTTAACAACGCAATATAATAATAGCTACCATTATGAATAGCTAATAAATACCAGGCAAACATTGTGCTTATTTCAATAACTTGATCACAGTATTTTTCAGAAGAGAAAACTAAGGCTCAAAAAGATAAGGGACTTGCCCAAGGTCACAAAACTAGCAAATGTCGGAATTAAGACCTAAGTCACTCTAATTCCAAAGCCCACGGGCTCTGTCAAGAATATCACGCTGCCTTTATATTTCTCTAATATGTCAGGATATTTTAAAATGACTGCTTCCATTTCCTTTTTTTGTAGGAGCTACCTACACCCACACCACAGGGACTTCTGTGGTCAGTGTGGCTCTAACTTTTAAAACAATTTATTTTGAACCATTTAAATTTTGGGGGCGCAGGGTGCGGTGGTTCATGCCTGTAATCCCTGCACTTTGGGAGGTCGAGGCGGGCTGACTACTTGAGGCCTGGAGTTTGAGACCAACCTGGCCCACAAGGTGAAACCCTGTCTCTACTAAAAATATAAAAATTAGGCTGGGTGCGGTGGCTCACACCTGTAATCCCAGCACTTTGGGAGGCCAAGGTGGGTGGATCACCTGAGGTCAGGAGTTCGAGACCAGCCTGACCAACATGGTGAAACCCCGTCTCTACTAAAAGTACAAAAATTAGCTGGGTGTGGTGGTGGGTGCCTGTAATCCCAGCCACCTGGGAGGCTGAGGCATGAGAATCGCTGGAACCCAGGAGGTGGAGGTTGCAGTGAGCCGAGATGGCACCACTGCATTCCAGCCTGGGCGACAAGAGGGAAACTCTGTCTCAAACAAAAATAAAAATAAAAATATGAATATAAATATTAGCCAGGTGTGGTGGCATGCACATGTAATCCCAGCTACTCAAGAGGCTGAGGCACGAGAATCACTTGAACTCGGGAGGCAGAGGTTGCAGTGAGCTGAGATCATGCCACTGCACTCCAGCCTGGGCTACAGAGCAAGACTGTCTCTAAATAATAATAATAATAATAAAATAAAATTTTTTGGCTATGTCTATGCTATAAAAATTTTAATACTTCAAAATGTTTTACAGTGAAAAGTCAGTTTCCCTCCCACTCCTGACCCGAGTCCTGCAGTCTCAGTCTCCTTCATCAGGGGCCACTATACGTTTTGGTTGTTGGTTTTTTGTTTTGTTTTTTAGTACCCATTCAGAGAGAGTGTATTGATATACAAACCTAAACACACATAGCTGCAATATACATCCCTTCTCCCCTCCATAAACAGTACCACCATAGTGCACCATGCTTGTTCACTTACCAATTTATCATGTAGCTTGTTCCCATCAGAAGCTTTTATTAAAGGCCACACAGAATTACCTTAATTGGATGTACCATAATGTATTTAACCAGCTCTCCACTGATGGACATTTAGCTTGTTTCCATGGTAGTGACAACTTAAAGGGATTCTGCCATATGAAGTAATTATTTCCTATATCCTCTGGCTAATAGCGTGTACAATTTTTAAGTAATTTCCTATTCCTTTCTTTTTCAGTCCCCTTCACTGCCAAGACCTATTCATTCATTTCTCTGTCTCTCTCGACTGACACATTTCTTTTTTCTTGTTTCCTCAGACACTTCAGTTCTTTACAAGCATTTCTCCAGAGATGTTCTAGTCATATTCCTGGTCCCAGACCTCTCCCTACTTTATTTTGTTTTTTTGATACAGGTCCTCACTCTGTTCCCCAGGCTGGAGTGCAGTGGCACAATCACAGCTCACTGCAGCCTCGAACTCCTGGGCTCAAGGGAGCCTCCGCCTCAGCCTTCCGAGCAGCTGAGACTATGGGTGCGTCCACCACGCCTGGCTCATTGCTTCAATTATGCCACTTTGTTAGTATCGATAAACTTTACGCAACCTCTCATTATTTGTTTATTTATTTACTTATTTATTTTTGAGATGGACGCTCGCTCTTTCACCCAGGCTGGAATGCAGTGGCATGATCTCGGCTCACTGCAACCTCCACCTCCCAGGTTCAAGCGATTCTCCTGCCTCAGCCTCCCAAGCAGCTGGGACTATAGGTGCACGCCACCACGCCTGGCTAATTAAACTCTCATTATGTACCAAACTCAAAATCTGCACTCTAGACCACGAAAGAGAGAATAGGGAAGCATACTGACACTAAGTGTCCATAAACATGCCCAGTGCTTTGCAGACATCATTTCACCTAATTTTCCTCCAAAGCTTGCAATGGTCAGTGGTATTATCCCCACTTTACAAACAAGGAAATACAAGCTTAGAGAGATTAGCAACTTGCCTAAGGTTACCTAGTTGGTACCTACCTGATTGAGCTAGGATACAAATTCTATTTCTCTCTTTCTCTTTTTTTTTCTTTTTTTGAGATGGACTTTTGCTCTTGTTGCCCAGGCTAGAGTGCAATGGCGCCATGTTGGCTCACTGCAACCTCCACCTCCCGGGTTCAAGCGATTCTCCTGCCTCAGCCACTCGACTAGCTGGGATTACAGGCATGCACCACCGTGCCCGGCTAATTTTGTATTTTTAGTAGAGATGGGGTTTCACCATGTTGGTCAGGCTGGTCTTGAACTCCTGACCTCAGGTGATCCACCCACCACGGCCTCCCAAAGTATTGGGTTTACAGGCGTGAGCCACTGCACCCGGCCCTCTTTTTTTTTTTGAGACAGGGTCTTGGTGTGTTGCCCAGGCTGGAGTACAATGGCATGACTCTAGCTCACTGTAGCCTTGAACACCTGGGCTCAAGAAATCTTCCCAACTCAGCCTCTGAATAGCTGCAACTACAGCTATGCCACCACACCCAGCTAATATATATATTATATATATTATATATTTAATGTGTAATTATATATTAATTTACATATTTAATATAATTATATGTTGTATTAAATATATATTATAATTATATAATTTAATATGTATAATTATAAATATATATATAATATTTTATTTATATATATATAAAAGAGATGGGGGTCTTACTTTGTTGCCCAGGCTGGTCTGGAACTACTGGTCTCAACAGATCCTCCCTCCTCAGCCTCCCAAAGTCACTGTGACCAACCCTAATTCTCTTTTTTCTAATTGCAATGCACGTGCTTTTATTTTATTTATTTATTTATTTATTTTTTGAGACAGAGTTTCACTCTTGTTGCCCAGGATGGAGTGCAATGGCGCCATCTTGGCTAACCGCAACCTCCGCCTCCCAGATTCAAGCGATTCTCCTGCCTCAGCCTCCCGAGTAGCTGGGGATGTGCCACCATGCCCAGCTAATTTTTTTGTATTTTAGTAGAGACGGGGTTTCTCTATGTTGGTCAGGCTGGTCTTGAACTTCTGACCTCACGTGCTCCGCCTGCCTTGGCCTCCCAAAGTGCTGGGATTACAGGCGTGAGCCACCACACCCAGCAATGCACATGCTTTTAAATTACCAAGCCACACTGTTTCCTAAATGGAGATAACATCATCCAGTTCATGGTGAGGTGAGGATTAAGTGAAAAGATTTATGTGAAAGCACCTAGCCAGAACTTCACATGGCTATCTCTTTCCCATCATTCAGACCTCAGCCAAAATGTCACCTCCTCAGAGAGGAATTCCCTGATTATCCTAGTCTCAAAGCAGCAATCTTTCATGTAATCCCATATTGTCTAACTCTTTACCCCATTTTAGTTTCCTTATAGCATTTACCACTGTCTGAAATTTACTTATACATTGTTTATGTGCTTTATTGCCTGTTTCTCCTAACTAGAATGTAAGTTCCAGAGGGTAGGGACTATGTATACCTTGTACATTGCTTTGGCTTAATATTGTGAACACTCAATAAATATTTGTTGCAGGAATGAAATAACAGCTCAGTTTATAGAGGGAACTGTTTTTCTTACTTTTGGCTTCTGTGAATAACAAAAGAAAAACAATTCAACATAAATCAATTCTAGTCCATTGAAACTACCAAAAGTGAGAGACATTTTACTGAAAGTGGGAAGTAAAAAAATTTTTAGCAGGGCATAGTGGCACATCTTGGGAGGTCAAGACAGTTGGATCCTCTGAGCCCAGGAATTTGAGATCAGCCAGGGCAACATGGTAAAATATCGTCACTACAAAAAATTAGCGAGGTGCAGCTGTGCATGCCTGTAGTTCCAGCTACTTGGGAGGCAAAGGTGGGAGAACTGCTTGAGCCTGGGAGGTCTAGGCTGCAGCGAGCTAAGATCATGCCACCTGCACTTCAGCCTGGGCAACAGAGTGAGACCCTTTCTCAGAAAAGAAAATTTGGCCAGGCGTAGTGGCTCACCAGTAATCTCTTCTTCTTCTTCTTTTTTTTTTTTTTTTTTAATGCAGTGGAGCAATCTCGGCTCACTGCAACCTCCTGTGTTCAAGAGATTCTCCTGCCTCAGCCTCCTGAGTAGCTGGGATTACAGGTGCCTGCCATTACACCCAGCGAATTTTTGTATTTTTAGTAGAGATGGGGTTTCACCACGTTGGCCAGGCCGGTCCTGAACTCCTGACCTCGTGATCTGCCCGCCTCGGCCTCCCAAAGTGCTGGTATTACAGGCGTGAGCCACTGCACCCGGCCACCAGTAATCTCTCCTAAAAAGAACTATAATCCCAGCACTTTGGGAGGCCGCGGCAGGCAGATCACTTGAGGTCAGGAGTTCGAGACTAGCCTGGCCAACATGGTGAGCCCCAACTCTACGAAAAATACAAAAATTAGCCATGTGCACATGACTGTAGAGGCTGAGGCAGGAGAATCACTTGAACCCAGAAGGCAGAGGTTGCAGTGAGCTGAGATCATCACGCCACTGCACTCCAGCCTGGGCGACAGAGTGACTGAGACTCCGTCTCAAAAAACAAACAAACAAACAAAAAACACTTAAATCCTCATAACACCATGAAGTAGATATTAACGTCATGGGCAGAGGAGATCAAGGCTCAGAGATATTCAATTACTTGTCCAAGTCAGTAAGTGGAGGAGCCAGGACTTGAACTCAGGTTTTTTCAGACCCAAAGCCCATGTTCTCAACCATTACACCAGACTGCCTTATGCAAATGAATTGGGTGGATATAAGCAATCAGATCTAAGACAATTTTGCTTTAAAAAAAATTTAGGCCAGGCGTGGTGGCTCACGCCTATAATCTCAGCACTTTGGGAGGCCAAGACAGGCGGATCACGAGGTCAGCGGATCAAGACCATCCTGGCTAACACGGTGAAACCCCGTCTCTACTGAAAATACAAAAAAATTAGCCAGGCGTGGTGGCGGGCACCTGTAGTCCCAGCTACTCGGGAGGCTGAGGCAGGAGAATGGCGTGAACCCGGGAGGCAGAGCTTGCAGTGAGCCGAGATTGCGCCACTGCACTCCAGCCTGGGCGACAGAGCGAGACTCTGTCTCAAAAAAAAATATTCAGATGGCGTTTCCTGGGCTCAAGAGATCCTCCCACATCAGCCTCCTGAGTAGCTGGGACTACAGGCATACACCAGTGTGCTCTGCTCAATTTTTTGCTTTAGATAAAGTAGTCTGGGACCTTCTTAGACCAGTAATCTCTTCTAAAAAGAACTGCCCCAGAAAAACCTGGTATTCTTGGCGATAAATGACTAGAAACTCTGTGAAGAAAGGTTATTAATTTTGTTTGCAGCCTTTGGTTCTGAAGCATCAAAACATGTCCTACCTGGGCAGCCTCATAAGTGATGGTCTTGGTCTCAGTGTGGACAATAGGGACGTCTTTGGTTGGGATTTCACTTTTCACAGCATTGGCATTATCTGAGATGGTGACAGTTTGTGTCTTCACCAGGGGAGGCTGTGAAGCAGTAAGGAAAGAGTTACTAGAGTATTTCTGAAGGCAATGGAGAAGTAATCTTCTGACACTGATCTGATCAAAGTGTTAGCTTTAATTAAGTACAGAGCTAGCTCAATCTACAAAGGTGTTTACCCTGCCTAAGACTTCGACAGTATTCCAAAGTAACCCTGACAAGGTGTCAAATCATGAGGGATATTAAAAAGCAGCATTACTGTAATCACTTTCATAAGCTTAATGGAAAGCTGTAAGAGCAGACAGTTATGATTGGTGATATAAAACACTTCAGACTGACCTTCAGAATTTGAATATAAAACGATTTGCCAAATAGCAATCACTTTGATTTGTCCTTGTGTCTGTACCATTATAATTAAGAAAATCAGCCACATTTCCTCCACTAAGTACGAATGGTACATGAAACAGCAGTGGCAATGGAATGCATTACCCTCGAATTCATTAACTTCTTTCAAATCAATGTCAGAGATTCACTTTGGAGTTATTGAGAAGAGACAGTATTTGGAAAACTGGAAAGAAAAAAACAATCAGTTCTACCACCACCTGGTGATTAATCCCAGAATTTCAGAAGAATGAACATTAGTGGAATACCAAAGGCCTTCTTGTCCATCTGCTCACCTTCCCCAGGAGTATAAATCACACTGAAACTACCATTTGATTGTAATAAGGTTAAGTGGCCAACCACCTTAGCATAGGAAATCAGTGCCTATGATCCTGAATGCTCTTGTGGGTGGGGTCAGTGGGAGTGGTGGGCTGCACAATGTGGCTGCAGTACATAAATTATTTGGGGCCTGAAATCTCATAAGAAGATGAGTTGCCCCTTTAATTAAGAGTATTTGAATTTTTTAAGCATGGTCTCAGAACACTGAAGCCTCCTCACCACAGAAGTCACCGCAATTCACCTCTTTCCATAGCCCACACTTGAGCAAGGAAAAGATGAACACACTTAACCAGCTTCATACTGACAGCTGGAGTTTTGTTAAGTTATCAGAGAAGAAAGCATTTCTAGCCATGCAGTTAATTGCTCTGAATGAATTTCTTTGGCACAATCAAAGGCTTTTAGTCTGTGATTTTGAAAACAGCAGGGAGGCCACTACCCTCACCATACCACCACCACCTCCTCCACAGGACAGATTCTGGCCCTCTTCCAAAGACAGTCATTAGACCTGCATCATTGAATAAATTACTACCTGGAAACTTCGAATGAGGGTGGGGAACTGGTTACCCACATGAAAGTCAAGAAATGATCCATTTTGTTTTCCAGGTGGCTCTCCTGGTGTAACATGTTCTTCACTACTCTCTGCCTTTTTTACACCAGGTTGCAGCTGACAGGAAGCTGGTGTTACTGAGAACTTTAAGGCACTGGCCTGTTCCTCCACTCCTATACATCCCCCAGTTGGGCCTCTTGGCATCTCCTTAATATCAAGATAGCCAGCTGCCCCCTCCTCCTTCTCTTCTGTCTCCTTGCTGCTTATGGAGAGGGAGCCAAAGGCAAAGCTTTGCAGAGACTCCGACGAGGTGGTCATCTGGCTTTTACTAGGAACTACCGAATGCTTGGGACCCTCCCATTCAGAGTCAGGGTTAGTAGATGGCCCCTTTGTCACGACAGCCACCTCCTCTGTGCGAATGCCATTTATACTCTACAAATGAATGAACAGATACAAAAGCAAGAAGATTAGGTATAAGTGGGAGAATGAACTCTGAGAATCAACAATGATTTTTGGAAGCCTCAAAAATATTGCTACTAATATAAACTAAGAATCTTAGCTGATAACATGGTCAAAAGGAAGAGCTGCTGTTCACTACACATTATCAGCAGCTTAAGCAGTTCCAACCTAAGTTTGGTCCTATTTCTATATCATTGTTAATCTGAAAAACAATTATCCAGCAATTTATATTCCTATGGTCTTCCTTGTGTTACTTAAAGGAGTTACTTTGTCATTCCTAAATGCCTAAGTTATTACTATGCACAGGACACAATGCAATTTGTGCATCAATCAAAATATATTCTTTTTTTTTTTTTGAGACAGGGTCTCACTCTGTCACCCAGGCTGGAGTGCAGTGGCCTGACCATAGCTCACTGCAGCCTTGAATTCCTGGGTTTAAGGGATCCTCCTGCCTCAGCCTCCAGAGTAGCTAGAACTACAGGTATGCTCCACCAAAACCTGGCTAAGTTTTACATGTTTTGGAGAAACAGGGTCTCACTATGTAGTCCAGGTTGATCTCAAACTCCTGGCCTCTCATAATCCTCCCACCACGGCCTCCCACAGTGCTGGGATTACAGGTAAAACATATTCTTGAGGAACCTAATCAGGTTGAAAAATGTTTCATATTTCCAAACTGTATGTATCCTCACACTAGCCCTGCATGGAGAAGCTAAAATCTAGACTAGTTGTCAGGGAGACAGAAGTTGAGTACATCTAGCACAGGCTTACTTCAATCACTGTCATGGCATCAAACATGATATCAAAAATGGTGAAATGTTTCTTTGTAAACAATTAAAATGACCCAGCAGCTGAGATGTATTTCTTCACAGATGAATGACACAACACCTCCAACCTCCAAGAGAAATAAATTCCGGAAACACAAGAGTTCCCTCCTGGGCCAAATACCTCACTCCACAGGAAAAACAGTTCTAAAGCAAGTAGAGTCACCACTCTGTATCTGTGGGTTCTGCATCCATGGATTCAACCAACCATGGATCAAAAGTATCTGGAAAAAAAATTGCATCTATGCTGAACATGTACAGACTTTTTTCTTGTCATTGTTCCCTAAAGAATATAGTATAACAACTATTTACATAGCATTTATATTTTATTAGGTATTATGAGTAATCTAGAGATGATTTAAAGTATTCAGGAGAATATGCATAGGTTATATGTAAATACCATGTCATTTTAAATCCAAGACTTGAGCATTTGTGGATTTTGGTATCCAGGGGAGGTCTTGGAACCAAGGCCCCACAGAGGATGAGGGACCACTGCACATGGAAGAGAATGTGGAAGAGAAGATACCATCCCAGTAGATGGACCTATTCCTAAAGTTAAAAGAAAGGTGCTCTAGGTGGAAGAAGAAGGAATTCACACTAGTAGGAAATGAATTAGTCATTTGAAAAATAAATAACCTTGCCACAAAAAGAATAAAACACCTAGGAATGCCAGCTAACCAGGAAGGTGAAAGATCGCTACAACGCTACAGTAACCAAAACAGCATGGTAGGCTGGGCATGGTGGTTCATGTCTGTAATCCCAGCACTCTGGGAGGCTGAGGCAGGCACAGATCACCTGAGGTCAGGAGTTTGAGACCACCCTGGCCAACGTGGCAAAACCTTGCCTCTACAAAAATACAAAAATTAGCTGGGCATGGTGGCATGTGCCTGTAGTCCCAGCTACTTGGGAGGCTGAAGCAGGAGAATTGCTTAAACTCGGAAAGTGGAGGTTGCAGTGAGCTGAGATCAAGCCACTGCACTCCAGCCTGGGTGATAGAATGAGACTCGGCC
Source organism: Homo sapiens (assembly GCF_000001405.40). Lineage (NCBI taxonomy): Eukaryota > Metazoa > Chordata > Mammalia > Primates > Hominidae > Homo > Homo sapiens. Next base: position 29,094,296 of record NC_000001.11, on the reverse strand, counting down.
TCAAAAAAGAAAAAAAAGAAAAAAAATAAGAAAACAACAACAACAAAAAACAAACACCAGCATGGTGTACTGGTATGAAAATGGACATATGAAACAGAATAGAGAACCTAGAAATAAGGCCACACACCTACAACTATCTGAACCTCGACAAAGCTGACAAAAACAAGCAATGAGGAAAGGAAGAATTCTCTATTCAATAAATGGTGCTGGGATAACTGACTAGCCATATACACAATATTGAAACTGGATCCCTTCCTTATACCATATACAAAAGTCAACTCAAGATAGATTAAAGACTTAAATGTAAAACCCAAAACTAATAAAAACCCTGGAAGACAACCTAGGCAATAGCATTCCGGACATAGGAACTGGCAAATATACATATATATTTGGAGACAGAGTCTCGCTTTCTCGCCCAGGTTGGAGTGTAGTGGTGTGATCTTGGCTCACTGCAACCTCCGCCTCCTAAGTTCAAGCGATTCTCCTGCGTCAGCCTCCAGAGTAGCTGAGACTACAGGTGTGTGCCACCACGCACGGCTAATTTTTGTGTTTTTAGTAGAGACGGAGTTTCACCATGTTGGTCAGGCTGGTCTCGATCTCCTGACCTTGTGATCCACCCACCTCGGCCTCCCAAAGTGCTGGGATTACAGGCATGAGCCACAGTGCCCAGCTAAGAACTGGCAAAGATTTTATGATGAAGATGCCAAAAGCAATTCACAACAAAAGCAAAAATTGACAAATGGGATCTAATTAAACTTAAGAGCTTCTGCACAGTGAAAGAAACTATCAATAGAGTAAACAACCTACAGAATTGGGGAAAATATTTGCAAATTATGCATCTGACAAAGGTCTAATATCCAGCATCTATAAGAAACTTAAACAAATTTACAAGAAAGAAACAACTCCATTAAAAAATGGGCAAAAGGACATGAACACTTTTCAAAAGAAGACATGCATGTGGCCAACAAGCATAAGAAAAAAGGCTCAGTATCACTGATCATTAGAGAAATGCAAATCAAAACCACAGTGAGATACCATCTCCCACCAGTCAGAATGGCTGTTACTAAAAAGTCAAAAAATAACAGATGCTGGTGAGGTTGCAGAGAAAAGGGAATGCTTACACACTGTTGGTGGGAATGTAAATTAGTTCAACCACTGTGGAAAGCAGTGTGGTGATTCCTCAAGGAGCTAAAAACAGAACTACCATTTGACCCAGCAATCCTATTACGGGTATATACCCAAAGGAATATAAATCGTTCTACCATTAAGACACATGCATGTGTATGTTTATTGTAGCACTATTCACAATGACAAATATATGAAATCAACCTAAATGCCCATCAATCGCAAATTAGATAAAGAAAATGTGGTATATATATACCATGGAATACTATGCAGCCATAAAAAAGAACGAGCTCATGTCCTTTGCAGGAACACAGATGGAGCTGGAGGCCATTATCCTTAGCAAACGAACACAGGAACAATAAAAGCAAATACTGCATGTTCTCACTTATAAGTGGGACCTAACTGATGAGAACACATGGATACAAGGAGGGGAACAACAGACACCAGGGCCTACTTGAGGGTGGAGGGTGGGAGGAAGGAGAGGATCAGAAAAAATAACCATTGGGTACCAGGCTTAGTACTTGGGTGACAAAATAATCTGTAAAACAAACCCCCATGACACGAATTTACCTACATAACAAACCTGCGCGTGTACCTAAAATAAAAGTTAAAAGAAGAAAAAGAAATAACCTAACGAAAGCCAAATGTTATGGCAAGTGACATCTGCATGTGCTCACCAGAGAGCTGTATATAAGCCACTTAGGCATGAAATCTTGGTAAGAGCCTTTGACCATATTACAAACCACAGAGAAACAATAAAGAAAGGAAGAAGGTGTTCCTGGCCAGGCACGGTGGCTCACGCCTGTAATCCCAGCACTTTGGGAGACTGAGGTGGGCGGATCACCTGAGGTTGGGAGTTCGAGTCTGTCCAACATGGAGAAACCCCATCTCTACTAAAAATACAAAATTAGCCAGGCGTGGTGGCGCATGCCTGTAATCCCAGCTACTCGGGAGGCTGAGGCAGGAGAACTGCTTGAACCTGGGAGGCAGAGGTTGTGGTGAGCCAAGATCATGCCATTGCACTCCAGCCTGGGCAACATGAACGAAACTCCGTCTCAAAAAAAAAAAAAAAAAAAAAGAAGGTAAGAAGGTGTTCCTATGAGTAAACAATACAGTTTGAACCAGCTTACACACTGTAGTACTCAAATCAATGTTATAGGTATTATATTAGGAAAATCACTGCTGCTCCTTAACTTGTAAACCAGCCTCCATTGTGATGAATATTAACCAGGGCTCCATAAAGGCAAGGAAAGACACACTGAACACAGGAACTTCAGGCCAGCTTCACTCCCAAGCCATTTTGAAACATGCAACTCAAAAGCGTCTCAAACTGGCACTAGTTGAATTCATATTAGGTAGATCTTTCATTGGCTGATAACAAATATGACTTAGGATATGAAAGATGGAACTGAAAGACTGACAACAAGGCTGTCTCTGTCTGCAAATGTATCTGAGATACAGCAATTATTCTTGACAAGAATGTATGAATTTCCTCATATTTAACATGAAAATAATACTTGGTTTGACTTATAGGGTTCTGAAGATAAAATACAATAATATACTGTATATGAAACCATATTGTAAATTCTAAAGTACTATACTTATTTAATTCAACCAACCAATGAGCAGAGCACCTATAATGTCCTAGGGTCTGGGGGACACTAGAATGAATTTGTCATATTGTTAAGATGCTATGCTACTTTCCAGGGCACTTATCTCACTGTTTCTTTTGAGTCAGGCAAGTGGCTATAGAGCTGTCCAAAAATAGATCAGCTGGTATTAAACAAATAGGCTTTCTGAAATTGCTACATGCTAGTCCTAGCATTGTGAATAGCTATCTAAACCCATTCACATGGAGAGGAACTTTGGGCTTCTTCAAATAATTTGTCACAACTGAGAAGGCTGATTAATAATCAGACAAATACCTAAGATAATCAAGTAAGAGCCAATTTTGTGCCAGTTTGTTCAAGTGATAAGTAGTAGTCTGTCATCAAGAAGCTATTTGTGAACTAAACATTACTTAGGCCAGCACCACCTGACCCAAACTTGCCTACTGCTGAGTTAAATTAGACAGAACAATCTCTTTTTTTCCAAAGCATGTGTAGAAGACAACAATGATAAAAGCCCTAGCCACAGTAATTTCAACTCAACAAATATTTACTGAGCACCTAACATGTACTAGTCTTCAGAAATAAAAGAAAAACATAACAGTTGGGTTGGATTACCATTTATAGCACACTCACATATGGTCAAATCAACTTCTCAAGTTGACACTGTTATCCAGATCTCCAGGACAACACAGACAATTATTTGTTGAGCATCCTCCCAGGGGTGTAGAATGCAACATGTTGCAAACTAAACTCATCTCTGCTGCTCTCTGGGCTTCCCACCCCAACTTCCTCTATCATTTCTTTTCTTTTTGAGACAGGGTTTCGCTCTTGTTGACCAGGTTGGAGTGCAATGGCGCGATGTCAGCTCACTGCAACCTCTGCCTCCCAGGTTCAAGCGATTCTCTTGCCTCAGCCTCCCGAGTAGCTGGGATTACAGGCATTTGCCATCGCGCCCGGCTAATTTTGTATTTTTAGTAGAGACAGGGTTTCTCCATGTTGGTCAGGCTGGTCTTGACCTTCTGACCTCAGGTGATCCACCTGCCTCAGCCTCCCAAAGTGCTGGGATTACAGGAGTGAGCCACCACATCCGGCCCCTCCGTCACTTCTATCATATTAGTAGAAGGCATCTCCATCCATCCATCCAATCATCCATGCCAGAATTCTGAGAATCATCTTCAACTTCTTCCTTACATTTATCCGCTAACCCCCAGAGATTATGTCATCAAGGCATTTTTATTCCATTTTAATATCTACTTTATCTATTTGCTTTAATGTTTCCCTCATCAATTCCCACATTTACTACCTTTGTTCAAGCTCTTCGCCCAGGCTGGAGTAGAGTGGTGCAATCTTGATTCACTGAAACCTCCACCTTCTGGGTTCAAGTGATTCTCTTGCCTCAACCTCCAAGTAGCTGGGGTTACAGATGCGTGCCACCATGCCCAGCTAATTTTTGTATTTTTAGTTGAGACAGGGTTTCACCATGTTGGCCAGGCTGGTCTTGAACTCCTTACCTCAAGTGATCTGCCCACCATAGCCTCCCAAAGTGTTGAGATTACAGGTGTGAACCACTGTGCCCAGCCTGTTAAAGCTCTTAGAACGCCTCATCCAGATTACCACAAATGCCCTCAACGGTTTTTCTTCTTTCCTTTCTTCCTTCCTTCTTTCTCATCTCAAACCTTCCTTGAACGTGTCCTCTATTATGCTGCTAAAGTGCTTATTTCTAAAATTAAACACTGAAAATTCAGTTTTCTAGTTTAAAACCCTTCACTGGGTTTTAGTAAGACAGAAAATACTTTAAAATCTGACCCTTACCTCTCTCTCCAGCTTCATCCAGCTACAACTCCACATATATCCTTCTCCCCATTACTCCAAAACTATTTGTATTCCCTAGGACAGAGCATCTTTCTATTATCTCTGTGCCTTTGTAAATCTTATTCCTTCTGCCTGGAAGTCCACACTTAGCTCAACTGTCATTTCTTCTAGATTTTCCTTGGCTGCCTGAAGTATGTTTAGATACCAGTCCTCTTTGGTTCCCATTGTACCCTGTCATCACTGGCATATTCATCTGTCTTTTCCATTAGCCTATGAAATCCTTGGGGGATGAGAACTTGTTACTGTCTTACTTAGCTCTCTATCTTTCTTGTACAGTTTTTGGTATGTAATAGATGCTCAGTAAAAACGTGTTGAAGGTATGTTAGGTAAATCCAGGTCACTTGAGAACTTCTTCTTTGTCCTGTGCTATTCTGTAACTAAAATGTTTAGAAAAGCATGTTTAGGAAGAAATAAACAGTGGCTCATTTGACCAGACTCATAGTCTAGTCCAGCATTTTATCTCCTCCATCAGTAAAATAAGAGAAAACTAATATTTTTGTATGTTTACCATGTGCCAGGTGCTGTGCTAATCACTTGAGCATGTTTTTTCATTTAATTATTTACAGTATAATTATGAAGTAGTCATTATTTCTATTTTATAGATGAACAGATGAGCAGCTAGTGTTTAGACTCAGATCTATCTCTGGTTCTAAAGCCCATCTTCTTCCCATGACACCAGAAGGTATTTCAAGTAGGACCAAAGCACATGTCCTATTTATTTTACTTATGTATATATTTATTTTTTAGACATAGGCTCTCACTATGATGCTCAGGCAGGATTCAAATCCCTGGGCCCAAGGGATCTTCCCATCTGAGGCTCCCGATTAGCTAGGACTACAGGCACATGCCAGTGTGCCCAGCTTCAGGACATGTCCTATTATGCTCAAAATAACACACAGCAAACCCGACTTTAACTTTGAGACATACAAACAGCGCCCAAACTCCTCTTAACAGAGTCTGTTCTGAGTGGCTGACACTAGATTTTTACATATAAGAAGGCTGAGAAGCCAGAAGACAAGACTGGCCAGAAGAAAATATAAAGTCTCCATGACACAAGACACCCAGAATTTGGCATTTAATATCAGTAAAGAATTCTGACAGTGTTGTTGCCTTTGGCTGTGACCATCATCAAGGGCCATTGGATTATATAAGACTGCAACTGCACATACCAAATTAGCCTGAAAACTTTAAAGGGATCTTCTCAAGTAGAAGATGAATATATGGCTGTGTCTGAACCATCCTCAGTGACAAAAAGGCAAAGCTGAGACTTAATGTGATTCAAAGGTGTTAATCTAGATGTCGCTTACCTGAACTGATGGGGAATCTGTAAGAAAAAAGATGCTGGCCGGGTGCAGGGGCTCACACCTGTAATCCTAGCACTTTGGGAGGCCGAGGCGGGTGGGTCACCTGAGGTCAGGAGCTTAGGACCAGCCTAGCCAACATGGCGAAACCCCGTCTCTACTAAAAATACAAAAATTAGCCAGGCGTGGTAGCGCACGCCTGTAATCCCAGCTACTCAAGAGGCTGAGGAAGGAGAATCGCTTGAACCCAGGAGGTGGAGGTTGCAGTGAGCTGAAATCGTGCCACTGCACTCCAGCTTGTGCGACAGGAGGGAGGCTCCATCTCAAAAAAAAAAGAAAAAAAGAAAAAAAGAAAAAGGAAAAAAGATGCTATGATAGAAAGATTGGCTGCCTATATATATAAAGTACTGCAATGATATCTAGTTGGTTTTAATAATATGAAAAAAAGAATATTAGACAAATATTTAACTGAACAGAAACATTATTTGAAGATTCTCAATTTCATTTAAAAAGTCAATGGCTCCTGCTAAGTATGATAATTCAGTATTTTCTTTGTTTTGGGGAAGAAAACAAGATTTTTTTTCCTAAAGGCTTTCTCTCAAAAACTATTTATGCAAAGGGATTATGTCTCAGAATCATCAGACCCTGATTATATATATGCCTTTATGAGTTATAAATTACCCCTTTTTTGACCTATGAATTCCAGATATTATTAAAAGCAGGATATGGGCCGGGCGCAGTGGCTCACGCCTACAATCCCAGCACTTTGGGAGGCCAAGGCGGGTGATCATCGGAGGTTGGGAGTTCGAGACCAGCCTGACCAACATGGAGAAACCCCGTCTCTAATATAAATACAAAATTAGCCAGGTGTGGTGGCGCATGCCTGTAATCCCTGCTACTCGGGAGGCTGAGGCAGGAGAATTGCTTGAACCAAGGACGTGGAGGTTGCAGTGAGCTGAGATTGTGCCATTGCACTCCAGCCTGGGCAACAAGAGCAAAACTCCATCTCAAAAAAAAAGCAGGATATGGGTGTTTTATAGGTATTTTGCTGCCACTCCAACAAATGCAATCCAGAGTCTATTTCTTTTCAGGTTATTTTTGAAGTAAGGATTTACATATTTGAAGAGACTATCAAAAGAACCACAGTTGGCTGGGCACGGTGGCTCACACCTGTAATCCCAGCACTTTGGGAGGCCAAGGCGGGCGGATCACAAGGTCAGGAGATGGAGACCATCCTGGCTAACATGGTAAAACCCTGTCTCTACTAAAACTCCAAAAAATTAGCCGGGCATGGTGGCGGGCGCCTGTAGTTCCAGCTACTCAGGCTGAGGCAGGAGAATGGCGTGAACCCAGGAGGCGGAGCTTGCAGTGAGCCAAGATTGTGCCACTGCACCCCAGCCTGGGCGACAGAGCAAGACTCTGTCTCAAAAAAAAAAAAAAAAAAAAAAGAACCACAGTTAAGCTTACAAGAGTGTCTTATCCTTTAAGAGATCAAAGTGAAAATATATCCTGAAAATTTTTCTAAAATTTTGCTACATAAGAGCCATGTATGAGTACCTGTGTAGTAATTTTATCCCCACACATTTAGTCACTTGTTCCCCACTTAGTGAAGACCAATTTTACCTTTTAGTGGCAATAGAAAAACAACTCCTTTCTCTATTAAAAGGAAGAAAACACACTGCTATTGTCTCATTTTATCTTTCTATATAATTCAAAGACTAAATCCTCCTCTTGATCAGTTATGCTTCATTTCTTAGCCATTTAAAAATTATATTTTCCAATGTGTATAAATATACACATGAAAAGGATCTTAAGGTGGCCGGGCGCGGTGGCTCATGCCTGTAATCCCAGCACTTTGGGAGGCTGAGGCGGGTGGATCATGAGGTCAAGAGATCGAGACCATCCTGGCCAACATGGTGAAACCCCGTCTCTACTAAAAATACAAAAATTAGCTGGGTGTGGTGGCATGTGCCTGTAGTCCTAGCTACTCCGGAGGATGAGGCAGGAGAATCGCTTAAACCTGGGAGACGGAGGTTGCAGTGAGCCGAGATGGCACCACTGCACTCTAGCCTGGTGACACAGCAAGACTCTGTCTCAAAAAAAAAAAAAAAAAGGAAAGACAAAAGATTTTAAGGTGTACTAAAATATTAATAATCAAGGGATTGCAAACGATCTTTTTGTTTGTGGTTTTTCTCTATTTCCTAACCTTTCTAAAACAAGTATGTATTACTTTGGTAATAAAAAGTGATTATTTTCTTATGCAAGCACTTGTATCTGGTTTCAGTAGTGAAATGATCTTTAAAACCTGAAGAGTCTAGTAAACAATTTATGCAGAAAGTGCTAAAAAATCCTTAACATCTTCCAAGCCTTTTAAAAACAGTAAAAAATAAGCCTTAATAGGCTTCTAAAAGAAAAAAGTAGTTAGAGGAAAGAATTATAAGCTAGTAACTGGTATGTAATATAAAAGTTCTCTTTTATAAGGGGAATATAATATTAAACCTTGGTAATTTAGTTAGTTGGTTTTGAAAGTCAAAGTCAGCTGGGTGAGGTGGTTCACGCCTTTAATCCCAGCACTTTGGGAGGACGAGGCGGGCAGATTGCTTGAGTCCAGAAGTTCGAGACCAGCCTGGGCAATATGGCAAGACCCCATCTCTACCAAAAATACAAAAAATTAGCCAGGTGTGGTGGTGTATGCCTATATTCCCAGCCACTAAGGAGGCTGAGGTGGGAGGATCACTTGAGCCTGGCAGGTGGAGGTTGTAAACTTGGGGTAAAAAAGAAAAGAAAAGAAAGTCAAAGTCAATGATGATGAATTTAATATATCTGTATAACTGGTGGAAAAGAAATACTTCAAATTTAAGTTGTAGCTTCATTGTATTTTAATGTTTTCTGATTTAGAGGTAGAAGCGATATTATCAGGAAAGTGATTTAAAATGTGGTTTTTGGCCAGGTGTGGTGGCTCACGCCTGTAATCCTAGCAATTTGGGAGGCTGAGGCAGGCGGATCATTTGAGATCAGGAGTTCGAAACCAGCCTGGCCAACATGGTGAAACCCCATCTCCACTAAAAATACAAAAAAATTAGCCGGGCATGGTGGCGGGTGCCTGTAATCCCAGTTACTCAGGAGGCTGAGGCATGAGAATCACTTGAACCCAGGAGGCAGAGGTTGCAGTGAGCCAAGGTCATGCCACTGCACTCCAGCCTGGCAACTGAGTGAGACTCCAACTCAAAAAAAAAAAAAAAAAAAAGAAGATCAAAGTATTTCCAAAACTGATCTAAACAATAACTTTAGGTTAGTGATATACACTATAGATTGATTCTATCACATCACAATTCATATCCAGAATGATTTATATTTCTTAAAATATTACTTTTTGCAAAGTAACGTGAACCAAAGCAATAAAGACAGGAAGTCCCTACATGGTGTTTCTTGAACTCCTGAAGTGGGCCAAGCCTATGGATTTAACTAAAATTGGGCTTCCTTTCAGCTTTTGTTAGCAAGTTCTCAAACAGGTCCTCATTATATTTTAGAGAACATCACAACTTTGAAGAAAGAAATTGTGACAGGAGAATTAAAATGGGTATACTATGAGGCTATTTCATAAATATTCCCGAACCAAGATCCTCAGGAAGAATACCATTTATAATGGATAGTTTTGGGATACATACTGTCTGTTAAGAAAGAAAATAGAATATTTCTGATTAGTCACACAATTTACAACTATTTTAAAATGTCAGAGATTTATTACTGTTTCTAGCCTCAAAGCTTATCTTTCTATATTGCTATTACCCACACATTTGCTCCTTGAAATTACTAAATTTTCCTCAAAATGAGAGTCTGAGATTTAGCATATACCTCTGCAGTCACTTTACACAATTGTAATCCCCAATCCACTACATCCGTTAAGCTATACCATTGTTTTCCACATTATCTTCATTTTATTTTGCATTCTGTCAAGTAAAATGAGATTTAAGGCTGGCCTTGTAAGTACTGCTTAATGATATAACCAATGCTGTAATCAGTCACCATCATCTGTGCAATGACTTTGTGGCTTGCTGAAATGCAAATATGTGAGGAAAATTTAACACATAAAACTTTTATTAGTGTTTCTATACGTCTGGGAAAAGTGATTCATTAAACTTTTTAATAAGATTGACATAGATTGAGAAAAAGAAGTTTTGATAAGTAAAAGGAAGTGAACAGAGATGGCAGTGGGAATAGGGGATGAGGGTGCACAGACACACATACACCCACAGAGCACATTACCCTTGCTTTGCAAACCCAGTAAGAAATGCTTTGCAGTGCAAATGACCACAGAACCAGCAGGAATCGAGGTTATCTTGCTAAGCACAGAAGAAGATACCCAGCAGAAGAGTCCAGCTCCTGGTTCTTAACTAAAGTAAACAATAAATATCATAGTCACTTAAATTATCAACAATGTATTTAAGTAATACCCCCAGATGGTCTACAACATGCAAACTAAAAAATGTAGAATTTAATCCTGATAAGATCAGTTAATTGCGAGTGCTTTGCTTCTATATTCTTCTCTTTAACAAAACATGACAAGATTAAGTCTCAGCAAAGAATGGCTTTAAGTGCCTAGGGGAAAACCTCTTAAGAGCAAAACATATGTCTTTATACATTAATATTAATATTTGTAATTTCCTATTTTGAAAAATTATATCAGCATTTCCCTAGGTTGTATAATAATCAGTAGGCACATTAGCCTGATGATTAAAACAATTTTTTTTAAGTTAAAACAAATGCTTTTAAATGGGCACTTGCAATAAAAGATAAATCAGATGTGGTAATGGCTTCTTTTGCAAAAGCCATGTGTAAACAGCACATAAAGATGACAAGTCAAGCAGTAGGAGCCCATTCTTCAGCCAAAAAAGGAAACAAATGAAGACAGAAGAACAAAAATTACCGAAAGGAGAAACATCCTCTGGTTCCCACCCCCAAAAGCTTGTAAATAATAGTTTTGTACAGTTTCAGTGGACAACTCAGGCCACTTAGAAGTTTGAAAAAGGACATTAGAATCACAAGCACTCAAGATGGGGATAAACTAACAACAGAGTAACCATGGGCTAGCAAAAGGTGATGTTAAAATTCTGTCTTTCCTTTCTAGTGTGACATTCTTTATCATGCAATACATTTCTCTTCATTCTAATTTTTCTCTCTTGGATGTACCCTCTCTCGCCTTTTTTTTTTCAAGGTTGTATGCTATTAGTTTCTAGCTAGAAATATATCCTTATAGTGCTCACTAGCTTCTCCATGAAACTCAGAGTCATTTTCACAGTCTATTGCTATTCTCTGGTATATAAAGATTACATTTGTATAAAATCTGGATAAAGGGGCTTATTCCGGAAGATGTGGGCCTTTACTAGAGTTGATAAAATTGCTTATGATAGGAAAATAATTCCACAATGCAGCCTCTCACAAAGGACAGCAAATGAAATTAGCCAATGATAATTATCTGTCAAACATTGTTTTTATAATTTCCTAAATAGTGCTGTTATTAGATTATCCCCAGAATAGGTGAACGTAAAAGCAAACAGCTTCAAAATCCATGCCGGATGCAAAATTTTAACTATTAGGTAATAGAAAATTTTGCCTTTACACTGCACTCACCAGCAAGGACTCCACAGATCAAATGAGTGTTCTCAAATCTGAATAGATCTACAGAGGTCAAAGTGCTTGGGCAAATATTAAAGGTTATACTAAGCATGTCTAACAGACCAGAAGCGTTTGGTGGTCAGTTTTATTTCATTACACTATGAAGGGTAGGGGTGGAGGGATGAAGGTGGAGAAAAAGGAGCTATGACCAGTACAAAAACTCTGAAGTTAGAATGGAACAAAATTGAATTTGTTTGGCTGGATTTCACAGAAGTCTCAGTTCTAAAAATTGATTAAAGTCATAATAAGCATTTAAGAAAATTTGATATCTAGAAAACAGTTACCTTGAGGTTAGGCCCAGTGGCTCACGCCTGTAATCCCAGCACTTTGGGAGGCTGAGGTGGGCAGATCACTTCAGGTCAGGAGTTCGAGACCAGCCTGACCAACCTGGTGAAACCCCATCTCTACTAAAAATACAAAATTAGCCAGGCGTGGTGGCGGGTGTCTGTAATCCCAGCTACTCAGGAGGCTGAGGCACAAGAACAGCTTGAACTCGGGAGGCGGAGGTTGCAGTGAGCCGAGATCACACCACTGCACTCCAGCCGGGGTGACAGAGTGAGACTCCGTCTCAAAAACGAAACAAAACAAACAAAAAACCCAAGAAATAGTTACCTTGATTCTACAGAACCAATGCAACAGACAGCTATTATTATAGAAAATTATTATTGAATATTAACTAGCTATGTTTTATCTTCTTGAGAAATCGTATAATAGTGAAAATGGCTTTCTGTGTTAGCATTTTCAACAAACTCATAAAAGAAACATGGCTTTGGAGAAATACTACAAAGTTATTTTACTTAGATCACAAGGTACATACTTTGAGCTAGTAAATAGACCACTCTAAAATGTGAAGTGTTAGGTTTTTTTTTTTTTTTTTGAGACAGAGTTTCGCTCTTGTTGCCCAGGCTGGAGTGCAATGGTGTGATCTCAGCTTACTGCAACCTCCGCCTTCCAGGTTCAAGCAATTCTCCTGCCTGAGCCTCCCGAGTAGCTGGGATTACCGGCATGTGCCACCACACCTGGCTAATTTTGTATTTTTAGTAGAGACAGGGTTTCTCGATGTTGGTCAGACTGGTCTCAAACTCCCGACCTCAGGCGATCCACCCAGTTCGGCCTCCCAAAGTACTGGGATTACAGGCGTGAGCCACAGTGCCCAGCCGAAGCATTAGTTTGAAATAATCACCTGAATAATATAATAAAATCTAGAGCTGTGAGAGTTAAGAGAAGGTTTACCCAAGGTGAAGTAAGAGATAAAGTGATATACCTTCTGTCGATTTCACATTACAGGAACAAGCTCTCCTCACACCCACATACCCACACCCACACCATTCTTCACTTTTCAGTAAGATTAGAGTGGCAATACTGAAGAGTTATTAACTACAAATTTGTACAGTGCTTTTAAAAAGCCCATAAAAGACAAATTCATCATACTAAAATGTTTCTAACAGATGTGACAACTACATCTGTTGTAGTGACTAATTAAATTGGTTAGAAAAAAATTATTTTTAAAACTTGGCATAGTCAAATTAGTTCAAAGCTGATTTAAAATAACATTCTGAGAACTGAATGCACACCAGTAGGTTGTCTCTGTCTTACGACTAAGCAAAAGACAACTAATTATTGGGCCACAGAGAAGAGTGAATATAAGGAAAAACAAGAGAAAGACTAGCTGACAGCAATCTCTTGCTGATCGGCTGAAAACAGAGGTTCATTTGGATTTTTTTGGTAGTAGGTCTATGAACAGCATTATTAACTCCTACTTCCTTAATGATTAGTAGCAACCAGAATCACATTTGCAATAAATAAGATTTATTCATAAGTTTACACATTAACAGAGCAAATAATGTGAGAAAAATATCAAAGAAAATGTCCCAAAGGGACTAAAGATTTCTTAGGCTTAAATATCATGCTGAATTGTTAATGAATAATTAATTTACTCAGCTAAGTATTAGAGCAAAAGGAGCCTGGCCAAGGGAAATGAAAGAAACATGTGCATAGGGATTTATTAGAAAGTACTTCCGCAAAACCAGGCTCAGTGGCTCACACCTGTAATCCCAGCACTTTGGGAGGCTGGGGAGGGTGGATGGCCTGAGCTCAGGAGTTTGAGACCTGCCTGGGCAACATGGTAAAACCCTGTCTTTTAGCAAGGTGTGACACACACCTGTGGTCCCAGCAACTTGGGAGGCTGAGGTGGGAGGACTATTTGAGGCCAGAAGGTCGAGACTTCAGTGAGATGTGATTGCATCACTGCACTCCAGCCTGGGAGACAGAGTGAGACCCTGTCTCAAAAAAAAAAAAAAAGAAAAAAAGGGGCCAGGCACAGTGACTCACGCCTGTAATTCCAGCACTTTGGGAGGCCAAGGTGGGCGGATCATTTGAGGTCCAGAGTTCAAGACCAGCTTGGCCAAAATACTAAAAATGCAAAAATTAGCCGGGTGCGGTGGTTCGCGTCTGTAATCCCAGCTACTCGGGAGACTGAGGCAGGAGAATCGCTTGAACCCGGGAGGGAGAGGTTGTAATGAGCCAAGATTGCGCCACTGCACTTTGGCCTGGGCTACAGAACGAAGGTCCGTCTCAAAATAAATAAATAAATAAATAAATAAATAAATAAATAATGTTGCTTTATCTTATTCTGACTTATTGGTAAATACTGCCCAAAAAAGCTGTGAATTGGGGAATTCTCCTCAGAGAAATATATATTTTTTTCTTTTTTTTGAGATAAGAGTTTTGCTCTTGTCGCCCAGGCTGGAGTGCAATGGCACAATCTCAGCTCACTGCAACCTCCGCCACCCAGGCGGAGCAATTCTCCTGCCTCAGCCTCCCGAGTAGCTGGAACTACAGGCCCGCGCAATCATGCCTGGCTAATTTTTTGTATTTTTAGTAGAGATGGAGTTTTTCCCATGTTGAACAGGCTGGTCTTGAACTCCTGACCTCAGGTGATCCTCCCACCTCAGCCTCCCAAAGTGTTGGGATTACAGGTGTGAGCCACTGCACCCAGCCACTAATTATTACTTTCAAAACAGATTTCTCGCTGGGTGCGGTGAGAGGCTGAGGAAGGTGGATCAACTAAGGTCAGAAGTTTGAGACCAGCCTGGCCAACATGGTGAAACTCCATCTCCACCAAAAATACAAAAATTAGCCAGGCATGGTGGTACGTGCCTGCAATCCCAGCTACTTGGGAAGCTGAGGCAGGAGAATCACTTAAACCTGGGAAGTGGAGGTTGCCGAGATCGTGTCACTGCACTCCAGCCTGGGTGACAGGAAGACTCCACCTCAAAAAAAGAAAAAAAAAAAAAGGTAATAATTAGAAAGAGGGACACTTCTAAGACGTTTTCTGTAGATACCCAATCTTAAATTTATACCAGCGCTTAAAACACTAAAGTATACCAAAAGCTCAAAGTAAAAATCATTTTTCTGGCGGGGCGAGGGGGCTCATGCCTGTAATCCCAGCACTTTGGGAGACTGAGGCGGGCAGATCACCTGAGATCAGGAGTTCAAGACCAGCCTGGCCAACACAATAAAACCCCATCTCTACTAAAAATACAAAAAATTAGCTGAGCGTGGTGGCAGGCGCCTGTAATACCAGCTACTCTGGAGGCTGAGGCAGGAGAATCACTTTAACCCGGGAGGCGGAGGTTGCCGTGAGCCGAGATCGCACCATTGCACTCCAGCCTGGGCAACAAGAGCGAAATTTTGTGTCCAAAAAAAAAAAAAATCATTTTACTTTCTTTACCATGTTCATTATATATCTCTAAAACTTGGCTAAAGAAAAGGTGAATTTGGGAATTGTGGTTTCTTTATTCTTTAGGGGGAAATGGAGGCAGATCCTTAAAACAAACCAAATGAAGGGGATATCTAGGATCATCACTGAATATAAGACCACAGTTAACACAATGCAATTTGGAAAACTGGCAGAAACGGGGTGCTGTGGTGGTTACAGTACATATTTTATTATTTATTTTTTGTAGAGACGGGGTCTTGCTCTTGCTTAGGATGGAGTACAGTGGCATGATTATAGCTCAGTGCAACCTCAAACTCCTGGGTTCAAATGATCCTCTTACCTCAGGCTCCCGTGTAGCTGGGACTACAGGCATGCCATCATGCCCAGCTAATTTTTTTTTGGTAGAGATGGGTCTTGAGCTCCTGGACCCAAGTGATCCTTCTGGCCTCAAGTGATCCTCCTGCCTCAGCCTCCCAAAGCGCTGGGATTACAGGCATGAACCATCACGCCCAGCAGTATGTATTTTTGATTACAGTTCAGGTGTACCCTGACTGCTTAATAGAAATGAATGTCTCATCTTTTGTTTTCCATTTCTAATCATAAATAAAGACAAAAAATACTTTGACATTGAGTGAAGATGCTAAGATCCCAACTACAATTCTCCAAAACAGTACAAAGGCAGCAAACATAATAAACCACTTTTCTGGTCTGTACCAGGGGTCCTCAAACTATAAGCAGCAGGCCAAATCTCACCCCCTCTTTTTCTTTTTTTTGAGACGGAATCTTGCTCTTTCACCCAGGCTGGAGTGCAGTGGTGCAATTTTGGCTCACTGCAATGTCTGCCTCCCAGGTTCAGGCGGTTCTCAGTCTCCCGAATAGCTGAGATTATAGGCGTGCGCCACCATACCTGGCTAATTTTTGTATTTTAGTAGAGACAGGGTTTCACCATGTTGGCTAAACTGGTCTCAAACTCCTGACCTTAAATGATCTGCCCATCTTGGCCTCCCAAAGTGCTGGGATTACAGGCGTGAACCACTGCACCCAGCCACCCTCTCCTTATTTTTCTATTGCTATGAGCTAAGAATGGTATTTACATTTTAAAATGGTTAGGAAACTAATAGAATAATATTTAGTAATATGTAAAATTATACAAAATTTAAATTTCAGTGTCCATAAATAAAGTTTGATTGGAGCATAATCACATTCATTTTATGTGTTATCTATACTACTTTCACTCTACAATGGCAAAGCTGAGTGGTTGTGACAGACCATATAGCCTGCAAAGCCTAAAATATTTATTATTTGGCACTTTACAGAAAAAGTTTGCCTACTCCTGATACTCCAAATATATCAAAACCCATAAGAGTTTGATATAGTTGATGTTTCTATATCACGTAAAACACAAGAAAAAGTGTCAAATTGCTCTCTGCAATGTATTTTAGATAAACATAAATGTTCCCTTTATGATATCACACTTATCCGAGATGACTTTATTTATACAGATGTGTACCCTATTCTTAGTAATATGTTCTAGAGTGAGAATAGCTCATTATTACCTGTGGTAAATACATAAGAGCTTTTTTTTTTGAGATGGGGTCTTGCTATGTTGCCCAGGCTGGACTGGAATTCCCAGGCTCAAGTGATCCTCCTGCCTCAGCCTCCCGAGTAGCTGGGAGTACAGGCTTGTGCCACCAAGGCCAGCTGGATAAGAGCTTTTAATTGAACCAAGTTACAAGACATTAACAATAGAAACTGACACCTACCATAAGGGTATACTAGATTCCTTGAATAAACAAGGGACCATACTACAGGATTAACAAGAGAGACAGTGGCTTCTGGGCTGGATACAGGCTTTCTGGATTACCTGCATATAATGATTGGGCATAAGGTGATTAATTTGGCACAAATTTATGTGCCAGTACAAGAGATTCTATGTGAAAAGTTATTTATCCATCGCCACCTGTGATTAATCATTTAATTCAGTGAAACAAATATTATTTGTTATATTCAAGGCAATGTGGTAAATGGGATACAAAGGTTATAGATTGGCAAAATCAAGGCCTATTTTTATTTAAAATTTTTTTAGAGACAGTGTCATGCTGTGTCGCCCAGGCTGGAGAGAAGTTGTGTGATCATGGCTCACTGCAGCCTTGAGCTCCCGGGCTCAAGCAATCCCCTGCCTCAACCTCTTCAGTAAGTGGGACTACAGGCATGAGCCACCGTGCTTGGCCTAAAGAGCCTCTTACCTCTGAGAATCTCATAGTTTTGAGGAGAAAGGCACAAAAGAGATGTATTAACAACACTTCAAATATTTATTATCACTTTTTCTGGTGGGGTATAAATCATAATCAGAATGTTAAGCAGAAAGTACATTTCCATAATTTTATCATCACACTGGTATAAACTGAATCACTTGGGGACAACTCCAGTATGTAAAGGTTACTCAGACTGTCACAGAAGGAAAGCAAACTTAGAATGCAGGCTTTGGTAGTGTGCTTCCTCAAAATATAACACTGATACTATCTTATCAACAGATTCTGGGCTACATGAAACTCTCAAAGCTAGAAAACTATCCCACCTCTACTCTTTTATCTAAAAAAATTCCAAAGCCTAAGTTATCTATGAAGAAGCTGGGACAGCCAGAAATTTCAAAATTTTTTGGAGAGAGAATGTCAATTTATAGGGACATAAAGCGGAATAATCCACAGTGGGCAACACAGCCAGAAAGAAAAAGCTGTTAAAACAAGGGAAGTTAGAAAAGAAGAAAGGAGGATGACATGCTAGGAGGAAGACTGGAATAGATCTGAATAGCAGATGGTAACTTGTCTGAGGGTAAGAATAGTGACTAGTTTCAACATGAGAGTTACCTTTAAGTATGTGAAGAAGTAATGTGGAAAAAGATAGAAAATTCTTTAAAATGCCTCTGTTCAGGATCAGTGAGTGAAAGCTACAGGGAAACAGATTTTCACTTAATATATGAATGATTTATATACAAACTCAGAGCTGTCCAAAGATGTAATATGTTATCTCAGGAGATATTGAAACAAAGACTGCAACACTGGCCTCCAAATCTCTAAATGATATTGCAGAGAAGAGTCAAGCACTGGAAGAGAGAGGAATTGAATTAGGATCCTATCCAATCCCTAAAATTCTGATAATGCTGACTCTTTGCATCCTTGTAATATATAATAGAGTACTTTGCTGGTGGGTGACAAATTAAATAAATAAATAAAATGAATGGTGGCCATGTTATCCCCTTAAATATTTTTCTATGTGTTTTATTGAGATAGGATCTTATAAATATGAAGACTTTTCTTTGAAGAGGTAGTAGATAAGAAAATGAGAGGCTCACCTGCCTTTGTTGATTTTGAGACAAGAAAAGATAGTTGAGACTCTATGCCTTCCCCTACCTTTCAATCTTTCAAATGTCAGAGTTATTCTATCATTTACCCAAAACAGGATTCTATGTTAAAGGGTAAGACACTGCTGCCTTCTAGGATTTTTCTTTTTTTTTGAGACAGAGTCTTGCTCTGTTGCCCAGGCTGGAGTACAGTGGCGCGATCTCAGCTCACTGCAACCTCCACCTCCTGGGTTCAAGCGATTCTCCTGCCTCAGCCTCCTGAGGAGCTGGGATTACAGATGCCTGATACCACACTCAACTAATTTTTGTATTTTTAGTAGAGATAGGGTTTCACCATGTTAGCCAGGCTGGTCTTGAACTCCTGACCTCAGGAGATCTGCCCACCTCGGCCTTCCGAGTGCTGGGATTACAGGCATGAGCCACCACACCTGGCCTAGGATTTCAATCACAAAAGATTTTTTTTTTTTTTTTTTTGAGACGGAGTCTCACTCTGTCGCCCAGGCTGGAGTGCAGTGGCGTGATCTCGGCTCACTGCAAGCTCCGCCTCCCAGGTTCATGTCATTCTCCTGCCTCAGCCTCCTGAGTAGCTGGGACTACAGATGCCCATCACCACGCCCAGCTAATTTTTGTATTTTTAGTAGAGACGGAGTTTCACCATGTTAGCCAGGATGGTCTCGATCTCCTGACCTTGTGATCCGCCCGCCTCAGCCTCCCAAAGTGCTGGGATTATAGGCGTGAGCCACCGCGCCTGGACACACAAAAGATTTTTAAAATTCCTAAAGTGTGTTTTCTCCACAATGTTATCTATACATTTAGTTAGGCTATTATTCAAGTTATTTGGCTTTTAGCCTGCATTTCTGATATGTGGGAACAAACTACTTTATCTTCCTTTTGTCTTTCAAGTTCTAGGATGATAGGAGTTTTGTTTACCAAAAGGAATCCTCCATGAATTTATAATTGTTGATCATAGCCACTGCTCTTCCTCTAGCCTAACTTTGTATGGCTTCCTAACTCTAATCCCATACCTTCTTAACCATTTCAGGTATGCTTTCATAGATCTGCACCAATGTGTTTCTTTTTGTGTCATATTCTGCTACAGTAAAAGGAGATACTAAGGCATGAGGAGTAACAGCTTCAGAAATGAGAGTGGCCTATTAATACTATCCACTAAAGTGTAGAGGAAGCAGATATGGTAATGCTACATGCCACACAAAACAGATTAATAAGAAGTTGTTGTAGTTTCTAGTACCAATATTACAAACGGTGTAATTTGAGTATATGAAAAAAAAGTGAAGTTTCTATGTATAATAAAAACAATATAATAGTCTTTTTCAAAGCTGCAGAGAATGCTATAGTTTGGGATTTTATAATTCCTGTGAAGAGGAATATAAGGGAAGGCAACTCTGTCAACAAATTTTGTATGTCTTTACTGTATTCAAAACCCTTGCCGAAAAAATAAAAGCAACAATGAGACCATGTCTCATATTAATTTTGCCCTGTTTTCCTTTTGTAAATACATGATCACTGGGTAAAGCACAAGTGTAATTTCTGCTCCATAATACCTTCTTAAAATTAATTAGATCTCTAATGCCTCATGTGTCCTATAGGCTTATCTATAGGAAGTACTACAGGCTTATCTATAAGAAGTATTACAGAAGTGACTTAGGAAACTAGGAGAAAGTGAATTGGGTTATTATATCCAAAGAAGTTTCAGAGTAAAATTTATAATATTTAATAGAAAGAAATGTACCAGGTCCTAGGATGCCAACTGGAAATCTATTCCATGTATAATATCCAGTCTAATCTTAATCAACAGAGTCAGCATCTTTTCCCTTCAAAACTCTTACTGAAGATGTAAATAAGTAGAAAACTTGACCCATGCAAACAATTCCCTTCATATTGCAAGTGTTAGCATGAAAGAAACTGGCTGAAAGAGAGGCCCAAAATATAGATGCTTGGTTTATTTTCAAGTATGATCCACTCTAATCATACCATTTGGATAAGATGAATTTATTAAGAGAAGGATAAATTTGGAAAATTAGTAAAGTGGTCAAATATCAATAAGGAGTAGATGGAAATAAACAGCTATTTAACGACTTACTTTCAAAATAAAAAGAAGTTAATGTATGTTTTTGTGTTTTTAAATTTTCATCTTCCCAGCTCCCAAAAGACCAAGAATTGAACGACAACCAGGGTCTCTGGTTCCTGGAATTTATTACGTATTCATTCTCATGAAGTAGGTTTGTCTCCACATTACTAGGTGGAAATCTGGGCACCAAGTAGTTAAGTGAACCTCTCAGAGTCACCCTAGAAATGAATAATGACAAAACCAAAGCAAAAACCCAAAATATTATACTGGTCTGTATTGATACCTTTACTCCAAATTATTTTTTATTTATCAGCTTGCCATTAAGAAGCTGAATCAGGGTAACACCAATATGTATTAGAATTTGCCTCTGGTACTGAAAATGAAGGAAGGAAACCAAGACTATTTACACTTTTTTTTTTTTTTTTTTTTTTGAGACAGAGTCTCACTCTGTCACCCAGGCTGGAGTGCAGTGGTGTGATCTTGGCTCACCGCAACCTCTGCCTCCCGGGTTCAAGCGATTCTCCTGCCTCAGCCTCCCAAGTAGCTCGGATTACAGGTGTGTGCCACCATGCCCAGCTAATTTTTGTATTTTTAGTATAGGTGGGGTTTCACCATGTTGCACAGGCTGGTCTCAAATTCCTGACCTCAGGTGATCTGCCCGCCTCAGCCTCCCAAAGTGCTGGGATTACAGGTGTTAGCCACCACGCCCAGCCCATTTACGCTTTATGTTGCAAATATTGGCAGTGTTACCTTTAGGTAATACAAAGCTGGAATGCCCAATATTTTTCCTCTGATAATTGTGATGGTATCTTTTGAGTCTGCATTGGTCAGCTTCATCCAATACAAGGGCTTGGCCATTCTCCTCTTAATCATTCTTACCCTATTGATAGAAGAAATGGCCTCTCCTTTGACTCTCAATAAAGATCTCCGAGGACTCTTGCTGCATTTCAGAAAACTGAAAAGTATCATTGGCTTAGACTTTTAATGGACTTGGAATAACTCCAATACAAAGAGAAATAAAATTCAGGGTGAAGTTTACAATAGTAATTAATAAAAAGCTGTGTATAAGGATGAAAACTGGAAATTCAGGAATTATAATCTGAAACAGTTATAAAAGTATAAATAAAGTTCTGATTATTTCCTTTTAATTCCTTAAAAAAAGATTTAAAATAATCTAACCAATTCTATAGTCCAATTTGTTATTTCATTAAGGGAAACTCTTGTATCTTTATTTCCCAGATAAAAGAGAGTACTCATGATTATTACTTTCTGTGGTAGAGAACAGCTTTGTAATATTTCAGGTCCCTCTTATTATGAGTGAATCAATAAATATACTTATTTACAAAATATATATTATAAATAGACATAGCCTGTGACATAAAAGATATATACGCACACCAAATTTTAAATTTTAACCTGGTCCTTGCTTCTTTTTCCATTTCTTGGGAAAGCCTATAATGACAGCGTAGCAGTTTTCAGGAAATAACAGATAATTATTTCTACATGTCTCCAGAGACAAGAGAACAATATTGGTAGATGTTGAAGGACAAAAGATTCTTGTCTTTACTGTTCTCTTTTTTTGCTCTAAGAGGCCATCTTCTCAAAAACAAAAAGTCTTGTTTAGAAGTTTCATCAACTGAAAAGCATTGAGAAGTAAAACAAAGTATAATAATCTTAGTTTGATAACCCTATAAACTCAGATTTCAAAACAAATATTTGAGACATTAACCAAATCATCCATATTGGTACATTCAAGTGCCATAAAAAGCAAGCTACATGCAAGGTTTCTTCAATATTGAGGTAAAAAATAACAGGTTAGGCATGTGAGTTGTCCTGAAGAGAGAGAGAGTGCCCACATTTACTTCAGGTAAGTCTTAGAAGTCAACATGCAAACAGAGGACACATACTTGTCACAAGTGAACTTGAGGTCACAAAGCCATTGATTAAAAACAATTGATTTCAACACAAGTAC
The DNA here is from genome assembly GCF_000001405.40 of Homo sapiens. Classification (NCBI taxonomy): domain Eukaryota; kingdom Metazoa; phylum Chordata; class Mammalia; order Primates; family Hominidae; genus Homo; species Homo sapiens. Next base: position 29,071,569 of record NC_000001.11, on the reverse strand, counting down.
ACGAACAAACAGGTCTGAAGTATATCAGGAAAACAAAGTATATCAATATATATTTTAAGCTTAGCAATGGCTAACTATTGCTGCTAGCAATATAATTAGTAAAGCCATAAAGAAGTAACACAGTATCTTAATTCAGAGAAGGGTTTATGTACAGATCTTGAGTAAATCTGTGTTCCAGACTTTTAAGGATAGGTAGAGTAGTCTGAGAATTTCAGTCCTGGCTGGAGGCTAAGGGGCACCAGCACCATTTTCCTTAAACCATATCAACACTCTACTTGTGAAAAGATGGCATTTAATCTTTGAAGATCTCTTCTATACACCAGGCAGGAAAAAGTTGTCTGTCCCTGTACAGCTCAGAAATACTCATAAAAAGGCCACAGAAGTCAAAAGCCCTTTTCCAGAAAAGACTTTTGTTTATACTGGTTTGATATCCTAAGAAAAGGAGTGGTTATGGATTTGTAGATTAAAACGTTATCATTTTAAGGCTTCTGAAAGGTTAGCGAGTTGAAATTTTTTCTTAAACTATGAAGCCCATGCCAAACAAATGACTATAGAGGATTAGGAAAATATTCCATCAAATGTATCTAGAGAGTATCCTGGTTTGTGTGAGATATTGGATAGGAAGACATAACAATAGTAAACAGTAAACATGCAGGATAAAAGAGTTAAAGCTTTTGGGAAGATTACCAACCTGCCATATGCTTAATTCTGATTTGTTTAAATTTGTTAAACTTCAATGCAGAAAAGCTGGCTTTGGGCAGTCCATTGCTACTCCTTTGTACCCCACAATACATACTCTACAAAGAGTAACATTTGACAGAAAAATGATCACAAGAGCTCCCCTAGGATAGTGAACTATCAAGATCAGAGGGCATCATACAGCAATAACACAGTTGAAGCCAAGGACAGAAGTTCAATGGTCTTGACATTTCAGATGAGCACCCTGTTTTCTGATCACAGAAAGACCAACCACCAAACAGCCAACACAAGGATCACGAGAAAAGACATCATGAAAGGAATACGAGGAGATGGAAAAGTACTAAAGTAGAGGTGGCACTTTTTGAGAGACTTGTGATCCTCAGGGATTGGAATAGAAACCTTGGGAAGAATTTCTTCATTTTCTTGCTGGGGCAAGGCTCTTTCAGTAGATCTTTCTTGCCTTTTAATTTTCTCTTCATCCTGTACTAACAGAGCACGTTCCTGTGTCTGCTTTCACAGTAGAAGATCAAGAAAGACAGAATAAGATGAACAAAATGACAGATGGAAAATGCTCAAAAATGATACTTGGGGATGTGCAAAGGATTTGGAAGTATCTTTTAGACACTCTTCATTTTAGCTTTACTTTATTTTGGCAATTTATCCTGGCAAAGTTTCTGTAACACAATAGGGTGCTCAATAGATACCTTTTTGAGTGAGTGAACATTAGAACGGAAAGTTCAAGGAATCACTGGCTTTCCCCTTGCTATGTTATTTATTCTTCCTTTGAGGATATTCACATATGAATTTTAGGTCATTTTCTATTACTTTGGTGCTGCCAATCACTAATTGGGCAATGCCAATAATGAAGCATTCTCCTTGCCATCATAAAAGTTATTTTTGGCTGAGCGCAGTGGCTCACGCCTGTAATTCCAGCACTTTGGGAGGCCGAGGTGGGCGGATCACGAGGTCAGGAGTTTGAGACCAGCCTGGCCAACATGGTGAAACCCCGTCTCTACTAAAAATACAAAAATTAGCTGGGCGTGGTGGCACATGCCTGTTATCCTAGCTACTCAGGAGGCTGAGGCCGGAGAATTGCTTGAACCCGGGAGGCAGAGGTTGCAGTGAGCTGAGATCGCGCCACTGCACTCCAGCCTGGGGGACAGAACAACAGTCTGTCTCAGACAAAAAAAAAAAGTTACTTTTATTACAAATATAATGGCAGAATATAAAAAGTAATCCTTATATCTCTTCATATAGACTTTAAAAACAACAGTTTTAAAAGCAACAGTTCATTCAGTATAGCAATTAGTTTTTGCTCCAGAAATAAAAAATCTTAATCTTATACATTTTAAAGATTGCAAAAGAAAAACAAAAAGTATAAAAGTTTATAATGTCCCTCCAAGGTTCACCAAAACAAATAAATAATAATGACCATCATGAAGGTTTATACATTACTTTAAGCAAATGCTTTAGACACTTTTAAAGAAAGTTTTTTCTCCCCAATTGTCCAATTGAGAAGTTTTTATTCCCCCTGCAATTTCTGTACTCTGCTATCCATAGTCAAGACAGATGTTATCTATGAAAGGAAAAACTTGGCTCTAAGTTCTCTCAGTTGAGCTAGCCTTCTCTGATCAGTTTGGAAGTTCAACACTGGTTCTTTGCACACCCCTAAGTGATATGTATCAGGGAGAAAGTAGCTAGGGGACTGGTCAGCAAAAAAGAAAAAAAGGAAAAGAAAGGATGCAAAATTATGATGATTTTTGAAAGAAAATAAAGTGGGAGAAGAAAGACAACATAAAAAGAATAGGGTATAATTAAATTCATTTTCTCTCTGAAAACATATTTATATCTTCATGCAGCTTTTCAACCAGCCATGCGCCGAAATAAGCAAATCGAAAGCTGCAAAAGCTGCAGCAGTGGAAGTGTTATGTGTTAGGCCGAAAGGCTGTGGGTGTGAATTTACTAGTATAGCCAAAAGAAAAAAAGGTATTCAGCAGCTGTTGTTCAGTTCTGGGGGGATTATCTGCTTAGTGCCATGACAAGAGCAAATTCTGATTGAGAAGCACAAGTCATAACAGCAGCTTTACCTCTGGCCCACCAACCTTTCTTTCCGAGGGTAGGACAGAAGTTTTCTTCACCTGGTCATACACAAATTATATAAAATTCAGTTGCCTTGCAATGCAACAACAATACCGTCAAAGGTGGAAGAGGTATCCCCAGAGAATGGAAATAGTATCCCAATTGTTAAAGAAAAAGTAAGATATGCCAGAAAGTAGAATTACCCAATATTAAAGGTCACCATAATACAGTGCTTATTTATTCCACTATTCATTTACAGGGGTAATAGCATAGAGCTAAAATTGTTCAAGTACTCCCATGGATATTGTTTAGTTTATAAAAAGTTATTTCTTTAAAGTACACAGAATGACATCACCATTCCCAAAACCAACCCTGAGAAGATTTCTGAAAGGTTTCTATTAAAAGATGTAAGATATTTCCTGGAAATGGAGACTAATTCAAATTTACCCAGCCTCATCCAAGAGAGGACCAAGTTACTTTTTCAAAGTAGTCGAGTATCTTTTATTACTTGCACAGAGTCAAAAAGAAAACTTCTAGAAAATACGCAGTTATAGTTTGCAGATAGGGTTAACTGGGTGAAATAGCGACAAGGCATTTTCTTATGGAGTCACAGACTTACAGAATTTTAGAGTTAACAGGGACCTTAAAGATCATCTACTCCATAAACTAAGGCCCAATATGATAAATTACTTGTTCAGAATTGTTCATTTAGGCTTTGACTAGCCAGACCCTCTAAATCAAATCAAGCCACAACCAGAAATACTAGACCCTTTATGACTCTTGTTACTACAGATACATCAAAATTAAGTATCCTACTGACACTGAAAACAGTGGTCTTGCCTAGAAAGCAGAGTTATTGTCTCAGTTCAGGATACATGCTCTAGATTTAGAACACAAAACTAAAGTCCATTTATATCAGAAAATGGAGGCTGAGAGGACAGTGAGTAGGAAACAATAGCGTCCTGTCATCCCTGGTAACTCTATTTAGCTGCCCATTACTCAGGTATTCTCCAGCCTTATTTGTGAAACTGTTCAGCTCTGTTTGGAGAACTGTTAGCCAATTTTAGTCACACTTTGAAAAATACAAAAAGTACCCTTTGTGAACCAATTTTTTTTTTTTTTTTTTTAAGACGGAGTCTTGCCGTTGCCCAGGCTGGAGTGCAGTGGCGCGATCTCGGCTCACTGCAATCTCTGCCTCCTGGGTTCAAGCGATTCTCCTGCCTCAGCCTCCCAAGTAGCTGAGATTACAGGCGCATGCCACCATGCCTGGCTTTTTTTTTTTTTTTTTTTTTTTTTGAGACAGAGTCTCGCTCTGTCGCCCAGGCTGAAGGGCAGTGGCGCGATCTCGGCTCACTGCAAGCTCCGCCTCCCAGGTTTACGCCATTCTCCTGCCTCAGCCTCCCAAGTAGCTGGGACTACAGGTGCCTGCCACCACACCTGGCTAATTTTTTGTTTTTTAGTAGAGACGGGGTTTCACCGTGTTAGCTAGGATGGTCTCGATCTCCTGACCTCGTGATCCACCCGCCTCGGCCTCCCAAAGTGCTGGGATTACAGGCGTGAGCCACCGTGCCTGGCCCCGGCTAATTTTTTTGTATTTTTAGTAGAGATGGGGTTTCGCCATGTTGGCCAGGCTGGTCTCAAACTCCTGACCTCAAGTGATCAGCCCGCCTCAGCCTCCCAAAGTGCTAGGACTATAGGTGTGAGCCACCAAGCCCGGCCTGTGAACCAACTTTTATCACCTTCTCCAGTTCCAGAAACTAAATAATAATTTGGATAGTTTACCATAAATTCTGAAAATTTAAAAAAAAAAAAGTTTTAGCTGGGCACGGTGGCTCATGCCTGTAATCTCAGCACTTTGGGAGGCTGAGGCGGGTGGATCACCTGAGGTCAGGAGTTTGAGACCACCCTGACCAACGTAGTGAAACCCCATCTTTAATAAAAATATAAAAAATTAGCTGGGCGTGGCGGCAGGCGCCTGTAATCTCAGCTACTAGGGAGGCTGAGGCAGGAGAATCGCTTGAAGCCAGGAGGTGGAGGTTGCAGGGAGCCAAGATCGTGCCATTGCATTCCAGCCTTGGCAACAAGAGTGAAACTCCATCTCAAAGAAAGGGAAAAAAAAAGTTTTAAAATTATTAAGACATCATTTTACTTTTTTAAACTAGAATTGCTATTGTTTTGGGGGAAAAACAAGCACATAATTTTTAAATCATAATCACTTATTGAGTCATTGTGACTATATAAATATTTCACTTGTACTGACTAAAGATAAAAACTTTTGGGGTATATGTTCATGGTAACTTTCAAGATATTTTCATTAAATGTTTAATAGATTCATTTATTCAGATGTAGGATTTCTTTTTTTTCTTTTTTTTTGAGACGGAGTCTCACTCTGTTGCCCAGTCTGGAGTGCAGTGGTGTGATCTCGGCTCACTGCAATCTCCGCCTCCCAGGTTCAAGTGATTCTCCTACCTCAGCCTCCTGAGTAGCTGGGATTACAGGCATGTGCCACCATGCCCGGCTAATTTTTGTATATTTAGTAGAGATGGGGTTTCACCATGCTGGCCAGGCTGGTCTCGAACTCCTGACCTCATGATCCGCCCACCTCAGCCTCCCAAAGTGCTGGGATTACAGGCGTGAGCCACCGCGCCCGGCCCAGATGTAGGATTTCTAAAATAGGTAATGACAATAACAGAAAAAGAAGAGCCCCTGAAAGGTATCTCTGACCTCTAATTGTGACTATCTTACAAAACAGTGTATTAAAAGTTTAATATTACTCATAAAGATAAAATAAATCATTTTTCTTTTCCTTTTTTTTTTTTTTTTTTGAGACAGGGTCTCACTCTGTCACCCAGGCTGTAGTGCAGTGGTGCAATCATGGCTCACTGCAGCCTTGGTCTCCTGGCTCAAGCAATCCTCCTGTTTCAGCCCCCTGAGTAGCTGGACTACACAGGTGTACACCACTATACCTGACTAATTTTTGTAGAGATGGGGTTTTGCCATGTTGCCCAGGCTGGTCTTAAACTACTGGACTCAAGTGATCTGCCTGTCTTGGCCTCCCAAAGTGCTGGGATTACAGGCATGAGCCATGGTGCCCAGCCCATAGTTTTTCTAAAATTGAAATACAATCATTAATATTTGGAATTCTGAATTCTCTGGCTTAGGGGCCTCCTTGGTTTACTATATAATTGTGGGGAACCAGTCCAGATATTTCTAAGTTGTGCAAATGTTCAAATAAAGCTTTTTAAAAAGACTAATGTCTTTCCTATTTTGACCTTCCTAAATTTAGTAAACTTTCTAGTCCCTGAAGGCACAGTTTGAATACAAATAAACCTCTACTGGCTTATGGTCAGTTTATAAACATACATTAGCCAGAAGCATGTAGCTGCAGAGACAGTTCTCAGAGGCTAATCATCTACTGGTGGCTCCAAATAGCTCCTATAATTGCACTGGGTAGCCTACCTGACTTAAAAAAAAATAAATATTTGATTACAAATGCCTTAAAGCAGCAATGAATATAGTGAGGCACCAAATCCAAATTTCAGCTCTAAGCTTTCTCTCAGATACAGAATATTAATACATAAAAACATTTATTCCCTCCATTTTCACAATTGGTCATGTGGACAAAGTACTCACTCCTTCTCCTGTGGGGATTTGCCCATTGATGTTAAGAGTTCGGAAGGGTGAGTGAGTGGATAAGCGTTTATCCCATTCACTAGGCCGTGGTTCTGGTACAGACTCCATGAAGTTCTTTTTCAGCTCACTGATGCTGGCATGATGTTTTTTGATCTCCTCTTGACTCTTGTCTAAATCCTACAGTTGAAAGGACAAAGATGCAAAACAATACACAATCAGGACAAAGAACATAATCAAGGGCAACCCGTCAGAGACTGGGCACTGGTAGAAAACATACCACATCCAGGACAGATGTTACTAATCTGCATTCAGATTATAAATATACAACATGGTATATTTGCTTGCCTTTTTTTTCTTTAAATAAAGTGCTTTTCTTAGAAGCTGTGAAGTATCACAACTCCATAGCTGTTAGCAGTTATATAACCCATAAAGAACTCACGCCTTAATTTATGATTCTTCTTCCCATTATGACACAGCAGCAGATCTCTAACTTCTCATCCCAAGAAGGTAGTTCCACAACTCAATTAGCCTCAGCTTGATAAGAAATTATTTTAGGCTCAGCTTAGGAGGATGGAGATAGCAACAGATAAACAAACTGTTTAATGAAGGCATGGTGAAACATACAACTTCCACCATTGGCTGTCTTGTCTTGTTGAGTTGCAAACATACAGTATCCTTCTATTTCTACCTGGAGATGGTTTTACTTCTCTATTACTAGGTGGCTGTTTCTGCTTTTTAAAAAACAAGAATAGCCCTTTTTTGATGTAAGAATTTATTACTGAAATTCCTAGTTAAAGGCTCCAGAGCAGACTGTTACTACCTCTGAAAAATCACTCAGAGGTACATAATAAAATGACTTTTTTTCTTTGTCAACAATATGCACATAAACTAAACGCCTTAGGCTTTCTAGCTTCTAACAGCTTCACTTCATCACTTAGTACAGCTCAAAACAGGGACTTCTTGCAATAACCTTCAAAGGATTGAGAGTGAGTTAACAAGAGTTCACCAAATACCTTATATATCTCCTTGACAATTTAAAATAATTCAACTGTTCCAGCAGATTAAATTTTTTTTTTAATTTTTGTGGGTATATAGTAGGTATATATCCTAGCAAATTTGAATACTGGGCAACCTGAGGTACAGGCAAGCTATTAAAGGGATATTCCAGGGAGAAATGAATGAAGCTTAGGTTAATAAAGCATGAGTTAGAAATAATATTCAGGTTTATGTAAAAGGAGGTATATAACAACTTTCAAAAAGGGGACTTGGCCAAAAATAGTATGGTAAATATAACTTGAAGACAAAAACTCAAATGTTCTTTGTCCAACAATACTTCAAAAAACCTTAAAAGATCTATGCTTGAGATCAAAACATGTGGGAGCCCATCACTTGATGACTGTAAAAAATTCTGTGTTTATTATATATCAAGGCAGCTTTGTATCCAAGAAAAGCATAATGCTAAATACATCTCCTAATATGCTTGGTGAATTTTGGATTTAGTCTTTCTTTTTTGGCTCTGTAGGAAACAGCTGTATTGGGGTAAAAAATTATAATTCATTTAAATAAAATTTTGCTTAAAAGTTTTTTCTGAGGGTAATACAGGTTTTAACTAAATAAAACTTTTTCAAAAGCAATGTCAAAGGGAAAACAGCATAAGAAGAATAATCAGTGAGACGATTTTGATTCTGTAGATATTCATTCAGAAAATTCATTAGTCTATTCTTTTTATTTTTGCAAGACTGAACCATGTATACCTGCTTTGAGATCAAACAGAAAGCTAACTCCAAAAGGGCAATCCTATAGCTATCCCAGAAGAGCATGTTTTGCTTGCTGGGATGAAATGTGAATATATTTTATGAATATGGACTTCACTATGGGGGAAACAACAGTTTGCACTTTTCTTCTGGCTGAAAGCAAGAAAAGCATGTCTAGTAGCTAAAGAAAAGCATGAACAAGCCCATTCAAAGACCCAGTATTGGACTGAGCAACCAGACCCACCAGGCATGTAAGGTCCTGTGACCCAGCTCCTCACTGGAAATTAAAATCTGTTTGGGCCAAGAACAACCTAATACATTTGGGAGGGTTAAAGGTGTGAATAGAGCAAAACAAAAATAAGCAAGAGATGCTATGTAAAATGATAACTCTCTTAGTTAACCTCTTAATGTAAGAGACTTGTAATTTGCTACTCTTCTTGCCTAGCTTCGGATTGGCTTGGAACCTGGGAAAATAAATGTTTTGGTAAAACCAGTAGCTTCTGAGGGAGCTTTCTCCATCCTTCTTAGCTGGCTTTGTTGAAAACCTGTGGGGGCACAGAGTAAAATTAAGATCTCAAAGGGACCTGTTCCAAATAGAATTTGTCATAGACAACTTGCTACAGGTTCTCTCTGGGAGATGGAGGAGGAGGCGGTAGATCTAAAAATGAACTCGACCTTATTTGTGCCAGAACAAAGCATTAGTGGGGGCGGGGTAGGAGAAGGGGGAGGAGGGATGCTTAAAAAAAAAAAAACCTGCTGGAGTGACAGATAACTTGAGAGAACTTCCTTACAGGGGAAAAAACTTCTAAAGAATGATGGCCAAATTACTTTGGCTGTGTTCAGGTTAGACACTTTTTGATGCCTATCACTTCATAATTTTAGCAGCAATCAAACCAAACACTTCATTAAATATAAAATGTTCTCAAAAGGCAGTTAGTGGTTTTAATTTCCAAACACACTTATTTAGAAATCCCCTCTCAGGGCTGTCAATGAAATGCTGAGGGAAAAACACATCACACACAGGGACTTTGTGAGTCTCAGAAGCCATAACACACCTCATGGAACAAATGACAAATATATGATTGGTACTGCAGGTTCCAGTTAAGAGGAAGCACTGAAGACGAACTAGTCAGGAAATATGCATGTTTAGAATTTCAAGATGTTACACTGCCAAATAAAGGAAATCAACTGACCTTCACTATTCTTCCTAGTCTCTGAAGATGGAACTACTCAGGTCTGGTTTCAGATATGGGCTAAAACAAAGAGATCCAGTTGCCAAGTTTGAAATATCTGAGGGTCCAGCCTCGAAAAACTTCATGTTAAATGAGACAAAGATATGTAAAGCACTTGGTATTTCACCCACCACGCAATACATGTTTAATGAAGGCTGGGCATATTTTTTTCTCAGAGACTTTATACATAACAAGTACTCAAAATACAGGTATTGACAAGGAATAAGATGAGGTTTAAATAATTATTAGAGGCTATATATTAAGCCAGAGGTCTATCTAGTTTTTAAAGTTTAGGTTGGGTCCAGTGGCTCATGCCTGTAACCCCGGTACTTTGGGAGGCTAAGGCAGAAGGATCACTTGAGTCCAGGAGTTTAAGACCAGCCTGGGCAACATACTGAGATCCTGTCTCTACCAAAAATTTAAAAATTAGCTGGGCATTGTGGCATGCACCCATAGCCCCAGCTATTCAGGAGATTGAGATGGGAGGATTGCTTGAGCCCAGGAGGCTGAGAGTGCAGTAAGCAGTGATTGAGCCACTGCACTCCAGCCTGGGTAACACTGTGAGACCCGCCTCAAAAAAAAAAAAAAAAAAAAAAAAAACAAAGGCCAGGCGCAGTGGCTCACGCCTGTAACCCCAGCACTTTGGGAGGCCAAGGTGGGCGAATCACGAGGTCAGGAGATCCAGACCATCCTGGCTAACACAGTGAAACCCCGTCTCTACTAAAAATACAAAAAAATTAGCCAGACAGGTGGCGGGCGCCTGTAGTCCCAGCTACTTGGGAAGCTGAGGCAGCAGAATGGCGTGAACCCGGGAAGCGGAGCTTGCAGTAAGCTGAGATCACGCCACTACACTCTAGCCTGGCCGACAGAGCGAGACTCTGTCTCAAAAATAAAATAAAATAAAATAAAAATTTTATATATATATGACCAATGTTGAATATAATGGGAAAATAATCTTACAACTCCTATAGCAGACAGCATGTTGCTATTTCAGAGTGCAAAACAGTGTAGTTTAATAGAGTTGGACAGATCCTAACTCACATCTTGGCTTTCCAGTTCTGGGACTACAGGGAAATTACTTAATCTCTTTGAGGTTCAATTTTGTCATCTTTAAAATAACAATCCCATACCCACAGGCCTGTTTTTATGATTAAACCATCTTATAGTAACTACTTATTAAATGCTAGGCTCCCCTCTTTCCTTCTTATATCTTACTTCCCGCCCCTCCCCGACAGTTCTTCTGTCATTTTTCTATTATCTCCAATATTTTAAGTCCATTCTGAATTCCCTTCTTTTTCACACTCTCTTAATTCAGAAAATGAAAGAATAGTGCAAATTTGCATCTTGGGACATATGGAAGTTTATACTCTTGGAAAATTAAAGGAACTTTTAGCAATGGTGTAGAATTTTCTAAAGGTGGGTAAAACAATGGAACCATGAGAGGTAGAGGTAGTCCCAATCATATATTTTTCCAGGTAAGTATGACAGATAGAAACTAAAAAGAATCAGAAGGCGAGATGTTTGCATATCTTCATGTTCACCAACATGCAAAAGCATTTTAAACCTAAAGTCCCTTCATGCAATTGCATGCAAAACCAAATGCAGCACAGAATGAAGAAAAGGGGATCAGCAAAGAATGCAGAAGGTTCCAGGCAACCAACTGAAATAAGCTTCAAGTTCATACAAACCTCCAACATTAAATTGCTATGTCTGATATAAATGTTTTCACCATCTAGTCTTTCTCTCTTTTTCTGTGAAAATGAAAGGGGGGAAAACAGAAAAGCATAAAAAATTAAAATGTTGTTCTTGCGGGAAAAAACTGAAAATTGGCAAACCAAAAAATATTTAAAAATAAATGTCCACAGCGCAGCATATGCCAACATGAAATGGTCAGAGAGTCACACGGACACAGAACATGATTACCACAAGAAAATGATGACCTTTTTCATGAATGATGAAAGAATGTGATGATGTTATTTAAATAGACAGTGCTCCTGGCTTCATTGGCTTCTTATGTAACAAGCTGTTTTATCTTCATTTTTGAAATTGAACTGTTTGAGGGTTACCTTAAAATATATGACTAAAAAACGCTGAAACTCCATGTATCATGGAGTGAAGAAATGCTTTAAAAACATTATTTAGCTTTTGGGATGTATTTTATACTTAGTGACACTGCAGTATCTAGATCTCTAATTATAAAATCTAATAAAAGATTAGATCTCTTTTATAAAAAAGATCTAAGAAAGATTATCATTTTATACATGATCAGCCAATAAATATACTCAGTTAACTGATTCAGACTGATTCATCCCACTCTATAGATGAAAAGAATGAGGCACAGAGAAGTCGGCTGTACACAGTACTGGGAGTTGCTGCTACAGTGGGTGTTTTTTTGGAGACAGGGTCTTACTCTGTCACCTAGGCTGGAATGTAGTGGTGCAGCTGTGGCTCACAGCAGCCTTAACCTCCTGGACGCAAGTGATCCTCCTGCCTCAGCCTCCCAAGCAGCTGGGACCACAGGAGTGTATCACCATGCCTGGCTAATTTATTTTTATTTTTTGAAGAGATGGGGTCTCCCTATGTTGCCCAGGCTGGTCTTGAACTCCTGGGCTCAAGGGATCCTCTTGCCTTGACCTCCCGAAGTGCTGGGATTACAGGTGTGAGCCATCACAGCCAGCTATGATGGTTTTCATTTTATGATAAATGTATATAAAATATTATCAATTATTCCAAGAATATGATGTCATTGTGAAATAGTTCTTATAAATTTTTAAATACAAAAGATAGGTTTGACTCTCACTGATTATTTCATTTTGCTTAAAAACATATTTTGCTACTGAAAAGTTTAATGAAACTTTTCAACATATAGTACAGGATTATGGTTTCTTCAGTTTATGTAAATATATGTGTATATCTGTCACCCAGGCTGGAGCACGGTGGCACGATCTCAGCTCACTGCAACCTACACCTCCCAGGTTCAAGTGATTCTCATGCCTCAGCCTCCCAAGTAGCTGGGATTAAAGGCGTGCACCAACACGCCTGGCTAATTTTTGTATTTTTAGTAGAGACGTGGTTTCACCATGTTGGCCAGGCTGGTCTCAAACTCCTGACCCCAAGTGATCCTCCTGCCTCGGCCTCCCAAAGTGCTGGGATTATAGGTGTGAGCCAATGCTCCTGGCCCATATCCATTATTTGAAACTATTAACAACTCCTGATTAAAAGAAATCAATGAAAAGAATGGATCACTGTCTTTTTAATGCACTGTAAGTCAGCATGGGTGAAATGGCAATGTAGTTTTGTGAAAGTGAAAAATGGCTAACCTTCCTCATTCTTATCAGATCTTCAGTTTTTTCTGCAAGCTTCTGTTTTGCCATAATTTAAAAAAGAAAGAAAAATGATAAAATGTTGCTCATTGAAGTTTGTTTGAACCTTCATTTTATAATTTTTTTAAGGAAAAGGGAGTAAGGGAGAAGAAAAAAACTGAGGGGGTGGAGGGAAAGAGGAACAAGTGGCCTATTGGCACAAACCTGTGTTTGGTCACCATTTGAGGTGGGTACTGTCACCTCGATGTGGGTTTTTTCCACCTACATTTAAGAAATAAAAGTAGTAAAAACATTTTAGGTTAGTAGGTTTCTATGAATAGTGTTGTTTCCAAATAAGCTGCATCTTTAAGCTGGTTGTGAAATACGCTGATACGTAATCATCATGATGCAGTCTTATGGAGGGTGTTACAGGGAAGGATATTACTCCCAAAAGTCATCTGTGTTTACCATCACATTTTCAAGGCTGAAAAGGTAATATGGATATCCAAATTATCAAAAAAGAAAATTAAGGTAAGTATTCTATTGATGAAGAAAATATATTTTTATACTTATTTATAAAAAAGTACCCACTAAAAGAATAATTTAGGCTTATTTAATGCAATAGCCCATGTTTTTGTTTTGCCTTTAAAAACTGATCTGGAAATACTTTAAATAACATTTAAAAACAAATTTACATATGAAGTTATCAACGTATGACATATATGACAGGAAGAAAAAGAAAATCTTTAGTTAAAACACACATGTAATAAACCACATATGACACCAAACTAGTAAACACAAAGGATTTTGTTAGTTGAACAATATACTTAAAGAGGCACTTCATTCTTCAGTTTATTACACAACAAAACATTACAATAAACCCAATTTAAATTGTAACTGACACATGAAATTACTCCCAGGGCTGGCTTATAAACAAGCACATGCAGGATTCAGCTGCAACATTCAACACACTGCAATCTCCTCTAGGGAGGTGGAGCCTATGTGTTTGGTAGAAGGGCAAGATTCATCCTTGATATTAATAGCAGAAAGGGAATAGCTAAGGTCTCCTGCCTAGCTTTGAAATACCTTTAGTAACATCATTTTATACATAGAAAATGGAGCAATTATTTAAAAAAAACAGACTATTAAGAGGGAGCATAATAGAGGGAGCAATGCCCAAAGCATTGGATATTTTAAATTAAAAAATTGATTATTTTTACTAAGGGCTAAATCACTTTGTATCATTAAGTTCTTTACAGAACCTCATCAATCTGTGGTGTTGATATTCTTTTTAATCACACTAAGCAGCATTACTTTGGAGTATAATGTCATTGTGCTATTTTCCCTAGACTGAGTCTAAAAAACCTAAGAGAGCACCAAAATTAGTGACACTGTCAAGTGTTAAGTTAAGCACACCCCATTACAGCACTTTAACTACCAGGGGTAATTAACGGTTTGGGGTTATTTCTTTTTCTTTTTTTTTTTTTTTTTTTTTTTGAGACAGAGTCTCACTCTGTCGCCCAGGCTGGAGTGCAGGTGCGATCTCGGCTCACTGCAAGCTCCACCTCCCGGGTTCACGCCATTCTCCTGCCTCAGCCTCCCAAGTAGCTGGGACTACAGGCACCCGCCACCATGCCTGGCTAATTTTTTGTATTTTTAGTAGAGACGGGGTTTCACCGTGTTAGCCAGGATGGTCTCGATCTCCTGACCTTGTGATCCGCCCGCCTCAGCCGTCCAAAGTGCTGGGATTACAGGCGTAAGCCACTGCGCCTGGCTGGTTTTGGGTCATTTCTACTTTGAGTCCCAGCATACTTGCTGTGTGGTCATTAACAAGTTTTTTTTACCCCTCAGAGCTTAAACTTCTTATGGACAAAATGGAGATGATGTCTTCCCAGAATTGTACATTTAGCAAACAATAGTGTTAAATTATTTTACAAAGCTTAAATTCCTTGTTCAAGTGAATAATGACTTCTTTTTGCTTTGGATCTTTATCAATCCAATAGCAGAAAACTGAGAGCCTCTACTTCAGTTTAAGAATTGAGGCCAGCCGGGTACGGTGGCTCACGCCTGTAATCTCAGCACTTTGGGAGGCCGAGGTGGGCGGATCACCTGAGATCAGGAGTTCGAGACAATCCCGGCCAACATGGTGAAACCTTGTCTCTACCAAAAATACAAAAATTAGCTGGGCATGGTGGCGGGCACCTGTAATCCCAGCTACTCAGGAGGCTGAGGAAGGAGAATCGCTTGAACCTGAGAGGCGGAGGTTGCAGTGAGCTGAGATCGCACCATTGCACTCCAGCCTGGGTGACAGAGCAAGACTCCGTCTCAAAAAAAAGAATTGAGGCCAAGTAGCAACAGTAGTTCTGTGTATGCCCCTACACAGAACATTAAATGAGATAATATACATGGGGGAGACAGCACCTACAGGTATACTGGCAGAATATATCTCATTAAAATGCCAACAAAAAGCTATCTCTATCTGGCACCAAACTAATGTCAGATAATGAAATTTACAGTTACAAGGCTACTTTATCACTACTATTGCTTTATATAATAAATATGGCTTCAAGTAAATGCCATAGTTTTTTTTTTGTTTTGTTTTGTTTTGTTTTGTTGTTTTTTGTTTTTTTTTTTTTTGAGACGGAGTCTCGTTCTGTCACCCAGGCTGGAGTGCAGCGGCGCGATCTCGGCTCACTGCAAGCTCCGCCTCCCGGGTTCACGCCATTCTCCTGCCTCGGCCTCCCGAGTAGCTGAGACTACACGCGCCTGCCACCACGCCTGGCTAATTTTTTGTATTTTTAGTAGACGGGGTTTCACCATGTTGGCCAGGATGGTCTCAATCTCCTGACCTTGTGATCCGCCTGCCTCGGCCTCCCAAAGTGCTGGGATTACAGGCGTGAGCCACCGCGCCCGGCCCTTTTTTTTTTTTTTTTTTTTTTTGAGACAGTCTTGCTCTGTTGCCCAGGCTGGCGTGGCGTGCAGTGGCGCAATCTCAGCTCACTGCAACCTCTGCCTCCCAGGTTCAAGTGATTCTCCTGCCTCAGCCTCCCAAATAGCTGGGATTACAGGTGTCTGCCAGCAGGCCCAGCTAATTTTTGTATTTTTAGTAAAGACGGGGTTTTGCCATGTTGGCCAGGCTGTGATCCACCCGTCCTGGCCTCCCAAATTGCTGGGATTACGGGCGTGAGCCACCGTGCCTGCCGCCATAGTTATTTTCTAACTGCTATGTATAAAATCAGCTCAGAGTCACCCTTAATTCTGCCACCACTATTACAATAATAAGTTATCAGAGGTGGCCTTCAGTCTCATTTCAACACAAGTATCTCGAATCATATATTTATGTAGAATTAATTGGCAACAAAGACCCCCTATTGGCACTTAAAATGGAAAGCATATACCAGGTAGTGATCTCTTCACTCTGCCAAGTTCCCAAGAGCAAAGGGAGCCTATTGTTGAAGGTATTTATGTCTGTGTTATAGGCAAAAAGGAGAAAAAGTGAGTCAGCAGAAAGCCAGAGGAATCTTAGCCACTAGGAAGATTCCCCTGACAATTCCAGTAATCCAACACTTTTTAGTTAGTATAACAAATAGAGGGATAGTCAAAAGTGCCTGGTGAGATATTCTAACATTAAGAACTGAAGAGGTAGTCTAACATTAAACAGGCATTGTTGACAGTGAACCTGATGACCAATGTCATAAACATTTGGCTAGGTACAAAAATGTAAACACCTACCATTCACTCAATCTGTTTTTCTCTCTGGACTCAAGGTAGTCCCAAATGGACAGTAAAACTGTATGTCATATTTAACAGTTTATTTATTATTATTATTTTTTGAGACGGAGTCTTGCTCTGTCACTCAGGCTGGAGTGCAGTGGTGTGATCTGGGCTCACTGCAACCTCTGCCTCCCAGGTTCAAGCAATTCTCCTGCCTTAACCTCCCCAGTAGCTGGGATTACAGGCACCTGCCATCATGCCCAGCTAATTTTTGTATTTTTAGTAAAGACGGGGCTTCACTATTTGAGACAGCGTCTCACTTTGTCACCCAGGCTGAAGTGCAGTGGGCGATCTCGGTGCACTGAAGCCTCTTCAACCTCTCAGGTTCAAGCTATCCTTCTGTCTCAGTCCCCCAAGGAGCTGGGACTACAGATGTGCGTCACCATACCCAGCTAGTTTTTTTATTTTTTGTAGACATGGGGTTTCACCATTTTGCCAAAGCTGGTCTTGAACTCCTGGGCTCAAGGGATCCGCCCGCCTTGCTCTCCCAAAGTGCTAGGATTACAGGTGAGAGCCTCCACACCTGGCCTAACAGTTTTTTTTTTTTTTTTTTTTTTTTTAATATAATCAAAACATAGTTAGACTGTCCACTGCTCTAGAGATAAACTAGATATTGATCTGGCTCCAAAAGAACAAGGTTAATCCATCTGCCAAAGCGAGAACACTTACTAAGATCTTATGGTTAAAAAAATTTTTTTTAATTTCTTAACAGACATATAAAAATGTAATTCTTCTTATGAAGACTGCTTCTCATAATTCCTGTTGCCAACAGCAAGAGCTATATTTATTTCAATAAATCTGAGCTAGCACTTCGATTCCATCACGGCTTAAATGTGTTTACAAAGCTTAACATATAAAAGGTCAGTCTAGTCACTGTCTAGGAAATCTGCTAATTAAATTGGTGATTTTTCAACACAGTGCAGTGACTGTGGGTGCAATTAACTCAGAACCATAGGCAACTCAGCAGTACAACCTCTCCTACATAATGAATCTTCTCCTTTTTGTAAAGGTACTTAAGATTTGAGCAACCACACAGATGCGCTTTATGTAATACCAGTTCTTTGGAAATGTGCATACATCCATCTTAGAAAATAAAATTTTATTTTAATCACAATAGCAGAGCTTAGTCTTAAAAAGCAATGTGGAGATTCCTTCTAGATGAGTAAAATTATTTTAAAAAGCAGAGGATCAATCATACTGGTGTGTTTTATAAGATCATTTAAAAAAATAATAGTTGGGGCCGGGCGCGGTGGCTCATGCCTGTAATCCCAGCACTTTGGGAGGCCGAGGCGGGCGGATCACAAGGTCAGGAGATCAAGACCATCCTGGCTAACACGGTGAAACCCCGTCTCTACTAAAAATACAAAAAATTAGCCGGGCATGGTGGCGGGCGCCTGTAGTCCCGGCTAATCAGGAGGCTGAGGCAGGAGAATGGCATGAACCCACGAGGCGGAGTTTGCAGTGAGCCAAGATCGCACCACTGCACTCCAGCCTGGGTGACAGAGCGAGACTCCATCTCAAAAAAATAAATAAATAAATAAAAATAATAGTTGGGTCAAGGAGTGGGTCACCTTATAACTTCTGAGATAGCTTACAGTCTTACTGACATAACTCTACGAAAATATTTTATAGGTTCATGGGAGACATCTTCATTTAGAAAGAATGAAGAATAACTTTGTTGAGTCTATGAGAATAAGCAATTGCTTTGAAAACGTTCCTGGTCAAAAAGTTAAGGCCTCTAAATCAGAAAGTGAGTTAGCTAGGTATTTGGACTGATGACATACCTTCCATGCTTCTGTGGGCTCTGGCTCAGCTTGCTCAGGTGGCTCGTCTTCCTTTTTCACTTCAGCCTTCACTGTTTCCTTCTGTGCTTTAGGGACCACTGTTTTTTTAGCAGAGGCATCTAGGACGCCACCTTCTGCAACCTGACCCTGAGTAATGGCAGGTGCAGAAGTGGGCCGAGGACTTCGGTCTGCCGAATCGACAGCTGCTGCTATGTGAGAAAGGGAAAAGGGAAGCATAAGTAAAGGCCAGAGCTACTGTATTATTTCAAAGTCACCAGGCAAAATAATTGTGAATCCAGGATACACACGAATGTTAGAGTGTGTAGTGGGCTATCACACAGAGGGTAAAAAATAAATCATTAGTGCTCTGCCAGGGAACTGATAGCAACAAGGAAGTTAAATGTACCCTCAGTAGAAAGGCTAAAATGTGTTAATGATCATGTTCCATGAATGCTGAATTCAGGGGAGACAAGATCAAAGAAAAGAAATAGAAAATCCATTTATCTCGTAATTTTAGTTTCAAAAACCTGCAATGTTGTCTATGGCAGGAAAAAAAGGGTTAACTAAATGTGATTTCTTCCATGAGGCATTTTAAAAATAAAGATGTGTTCATTTTTAGGTTATTTCAGGAACCTAAAAATATATTGTAAGAAAAAAGAATTAAGTCTGATTTCTTCTGTAAGCCTCCTTGGAATGATTACAAAATAACTTGATAAATGGCTCTTCTGGTAAGACATGAACTACTTTCTGATGCTTGTAAGGACAAATATTTGAACCAGATGCTCTCCCTTTTAATAATAAATCATTTGATTAAAATAACACAAATTCAAAATCTTTGACTGTCAGTCCTCAAACCTAAACAAAAATATCTTTTGAGTTCTGTCCTACTATCTCTCAGCCTTACCAATTTGTATTACAGCTCTTATTCTCTAATATGTTTAGGGCAGTGGTTCTCAACTGGAGTAAATTGTCCCCAGAGAATATCTGGCAATGTCCGGAGACATTTTTGGTTGTTGTAACAGAGGAGGGGAGAGACGGGAGGTACTGGCATCCAGTGCATAGAGGCTGAAGTTACTGAGGTTGAGAAACCTTAATTTAGGGGAAAAGTTGTATAGACTGTTTTAGAGAGAATAAACTATACAGACTTATGATAAAATCTTGATCTTTTCAAAGAGCCAATTGTTGTTTTGGAATATTTGGTATCTAAGTTTTAGACAGCTTACTTCAAAACAATCACTCATACTCTTTTTATGGTTTTTATGTTCATTCTTTCAGGGATATAAAACATTTACACTTTGTAATAAAACTTCACTTATCTGACAGTATCTAGGAATGAAAGTGTTTTTGTGCATGATTTAGTATTTCTGATAACATATTGTTATCCTCTTTTGTACTGAGACTTTTTTTTTTTTTTTAAGATGGAGTCTTGCCCTGTCGCCTAGGCTAGAGTGCAATGGCATGATCTCGGCTCACTAGAATCTCCGCCTCTCAGGTTCAAGTGATTCTCCTGCCTCAGCCTCCCCAGTAGCTGGGACTACAGGCACATGCCACCATGCCTGGCTAATTTTTTGTATCTTTAGTAGAGATGGGGTTTCACCATGTTGGCCAGGCTGGTCTTGAACTCCTGACCTCAAGTGATCTGCCTGCCTTGGCCTCCCAAAGTCCTGGGATTACAGGCGTGAGCCACCGCTCCCAGCCAAGACTCTTATATTTTAATCAATTTGCATGGAAATCAATAATTTTTATTATAGACTTTCCTGCATTCTTAAACTGACTATAACTGAACATGATTCATCCTGAAATTTTTAGATTTGTAAACTGTAAGGATCAGATAAAGGAATTCCATGAATCTGAACAGATAAAAACTTTAAATTCCCAACTACTTCATACAACAATATTAAGAAAGAAATGCTTGGCCAGGCACGGTGGCTCACACCTGTAATCCCAGCACTTTGGGAGGCCGAGGTGGGCAGATCACCTGAGGTCGGGAGTTCGAGACCAGCCTGGTCAACAAGGTGAAACGTCGTCTCTACTAAAAATACAAAAATTAGCCAAGTGTGGTGGTGGGCGCCTGTAGTCATAGCTACTCGGGAGGCTGAGGCAGGAGAATCACTTGAACCCGAGAGGCAGAGGTTGCAGTGAGCTGAGATCGTGCCACTGCACTCCAGCCTGGGCAACAGAGCCAGACTGTCTCCAAAAAAAAAAAAAAAAAAAAAAAAAAAAACAGAAAAAGAAAAAGAAAGAAATGCTCATTACTCTGTCATAATTTCCAATGAAAGAACTAATTCCTTAGCGGATATATAGGAAAAACAGCAGAAATTCAAGAATCCCCTTTATCAGCCAGGCGTGGTGGCTCACGCCTATAATCCCAGCACTTTGGGAGGCCAAGGTGGGTGGATCACGAGGTCAGGAGATTGAGGCCATCCTGGCTAACACAGTGAAACCCATCTCTACTAAAAAATACAAAAAATTAGCTGGGCGTGGTGGCGGGCGTCTGTAGTCCCAGTTACTTGGGAGGCTGAGGCAGGTGAATGGCCTGAACCCAGGAGGTGGAGCTTGCAGTGAGCCGAGATCGTACCACTGCACTCTAGCCTGGGCAACAGAGCAAGACTCTGTCTCAAAAAAAAAAAGGATCTCCTTTATCTTTCCATGAAAAATCTGCGGCCTCTTGCACAGATTGCTACTACTGGGTTAGTAGTAATAACTCTGGATTAGCACAGAGCTACTACTAATGGGTGCTTTAAGCAGTCACTGCAAGAGTGGCAGATGGCAGACCAAACCTGACAACACAGGGGAATGTGACAAAATATTTTGCTCACAGTTGTGTTTAAGTATCATTATACATGTGTATTCACACCTCCTCTCAAAGAATTAATTCAACTATGCCTGGCATCATAGAAACTTAGCCCATGCTTTCACCATGTGTTATTTTGCCACTTGTCTTTGGTTTCAATCCAGTACTAATACTGCAGAGCCAAATGATTTATGTCTTCAGCATTCCTAGCCTTGGCAATCTGTACTGTATGTGGAAAAGAAGGTATTAGTGTGGAAACTGACAGAAACAGAGTTCACAGATTGGAAAAATAATAACATTACAATAAAAAGCTCTGGCTGTGAAAGGCTGCGTGGAACAGAGGCAAAAGCCAAATCACGAGTCTTAGGCCCACACTCAGTCACATATAGTAGTGTGCCTAAGGCGTGGAGCTTAATCTTACAAACTTTAGTTTAATCATCTGTAAAATATGGAAGATATTAACTCTATAATATCATGGTAGTGATCATGGCTTTTTTTAACAGCTTTTTTTGAGATACAATTCACATACCACACAGTTCACTCATTTAAAATATATAATTCAATGCTTTTTAGTATATTCACAGTGTTGGGGGTAAGGATTGCTTTTTAAGATGTGTGGGTCTTCAGTTTTATTAATTCAGCTGTTAATATTTACAAGATTTTGGTGCATATATAGACAATACATAACTTTAAAAATCCAGTATCTCCCATATCTGAGGGTCTACATAAAGAAAAATGCTGATGGTGACCCACTAACTTCAATACTATATTGCTCTTGGCTGACAACAGAAACTTAGATAGTTATATACTACAGCAGTAAAGAATAAAATTCAAACCATCAGACTGAGTAAAGGCAAACAACTTCTACTTCTAGCTGTTATTTACTAGCACAATTTCTGCTAGTATGCGGTAGGGTGGTTCTTTTATCAGAGGACCACATAAATCATTTGTGTCCTCTGATACAATGTTTGTTTTTCAAGACAAAAAACAAAAAAATCAGATGATGCTCAGGCCCACTCTAGTGAGATGAGCTATCCAAGAGTGAGGCTTGGGCATGTGTTTTGTTTTAAAGCTCCAAAGGTGATAAGGATGTACACCCCTGGCAAGAATCACTGTAACCACTGCTCACTGAATGGATGAACTACCTGGTTGTGTGGCCCTTTCTTTTGTGCTCCAGTTTCCTCATGAGTAAAACTGTAATTCCTAAATGTTTTCTCTTATTGACTAAGTTGCTAGTATTAAATAGGAATACATGGAAATGGTTTGAAAAGCAAAAAGTGCAAGAAAAATATAATCTTTGTCATCATTATTAGCTACGCTTGCAACTTACTACTCTATCATAAAACTGGGATCTGAACCAGTTTTGGTACTCCAGCTGGTGAAGCAGATGCTCTAAGCACCACACATAACAGAAGAGGAAGGGAATGCTCATTTTTATCATTAAAATAAGACCCCTTATAAAGCAATTCTTGTAAAAGTTTCCCTGATACACCATCTCTAGCTTACAGAGTTATATTAATCTTTTGAAAAGGGAGGGGTGACTCAACGGGAAAAAGTATCTTTTAAGGAGCACAGAGAAGTATCTAAGGAAAGGAGGGAAAAATAGTTACACAGACATATTTCCACTTTTTATACTATAGTACAAAGAGAAAAATAAGACATTTAAAAACAGAACTACAAAAAAAAATTGTCCTATTCAGTTTATATGCACTTCAGATACTTAAAAGATAGAACAGTGCCTGGAACATACTAAGTGCTCAAGGAATATTGACTATTAACTTTTATTCTACTCTTTCTAAAAAAAAGAAGTCATCATGGTGAAGAGTAAAAAGCATGGGCCTAGGAGAATTGTCCCGGATTCCCTTCTAATTCTTTCCAACTAGCTATGTAACCTTAGGCAAGTCACTTACATTCTAAGGTTAAGTTGTAAGAAATAATGAACATTAATGAGTATCTAGTTCAAGAATTTTTTTTAAAAAAGCTCAATAAAAGCGTAAAGAAAATAATAGGCCGGGCGCGGTGGCTCACGCCTGTAATCCCAGCACTTTGGGAGGCTGAGGTGGGTGGATCACCTGAGGTCAGGAGTTCGAGACCAGCCTCAACATGGAGAAACCCCGTCTCTACTAAAAATACAAAATTAGCCGGGCGTGGTGGTGCATGCCTGTAATCCCAGCTACTCGGGAGGCTGAGGCAGGAGAATTGTTTGAACCTGGGAGGCAGAGGTTGCGGTGAGCCGAGATCACGCCATTGCACTCCAGCCTAGGCAACGAGAGCAAAACTCCGTCTCAAAAAAAGAAAATAATAAAGATATCAGCTGGCATGAGTTAAACTATATATAATAGGAAAAAAACAACAAAACCAAAAGTTGGTTCTTTGAAAAACTTAAGACAATTACTTTGTACCCCATAAATATATACAATTATAAATTGTCAGCCAGGCTCGGTGGCTCACTCACGCCCGTAATCCCAGAACTTTGGGAGGCCGAAGCAGGTAGATTACTTGAGGTCAGGAGGTAGAGACCAGCCTGACCAACATGGTGAAACCTCGTCTCTACTAAAAATACAAAAATTAGCCGGGCATGGTGGCGCATGCCTGTAATCCCAGCTACTTGGGAGGCTGAGGCGGGAGAATCGCTTGAACTTGGGAGGCAGAAGTTGCAGTGAGCCGAGATCACGCCATTCCAGCCTGGGCAGCAAGAGTGAAACTCCACCTCAAAAATAAATACATACATACATACATACATACATACATAAATTGTCAATTTACAATATAAAAAAGAAAAGATTAATAAAATCAATATACCTCTACCAAGGCTATTCGAAACAAAAAGGTACAACTTACCAATATCAGGAATGCAAAAGTGGACCCTGCTATAGTTCTTACAGATATTGAAAAGATACCCAGCTTTATGTAAATATATTTGGAAATTTAGATAAAATGCACATTTCCTAGAAAAACACAACTAGGCCAGGTGCGATGACTCACACCTATAATCCCAGCACTTTGAGAAGCCAAGGTGGGAGGACTGCTTGAGCCCAGGTGTTCAAGATCAGCCTGGGCAACACAGTAAGACCTTGTCTCTACAAAAAAAAAAAAAAAAAATTAGCCAGGCGCGGTAGCGTGAACTTGTGGTACCAGCTACTCAGGACGCTGAGGTGGGAGGATCATTTGGGCCTGGGAGGTCAAGGCTACAGCAAGCTATGACGGCACTACTGCACTCCAGCCTGAGAGAGCTAAGACTCTCTCTCCAAAAAAAAAAAAAAAAGGAAAGAAAGAAAGAAAAAAGAAACACAATTTATCAAAACTGAAACAAGAACTAGAACATTTTAATAGTCCCTTATCTAATAAAGACACTGAATCTGTAAGTAAAGAACCTCCCACAGTGAGATCTCTAGGACCAGATATGGCTTCATAGGCGAATTCTTCTAAACAGTAACAAAGAAATGACAACAGTCTTTAACAAACTCTTCCAGAGAACAGAAAAAGAAGGAATTCTTCTCAATTTATTTTATGAGACCAGCATAAACTCGAAACTAAAACCTGACCACAACATTACAAAAGGAAAATTATAGGCCTATCTCTCTTATGAAAATAGTTGTAGAAATCCTAAAACAATAAAAAAGAAAAGAGTATTACGACCAATTCGAACTTACTCCAAAAATTCTTAGGTCGTTTAAAAATTGAAAGTAAAAATAATATACCACATTAACATAAAAAGGAGAAAAATCATTTTATTATATCAACTGATGAAGTAAAAAGCATTTGATAAAAGTAACACTAATTCACAATTAAAATGTGTAGGAAACTAGAATGACAACTTCCTTATATGATAAAGAAAATACCATATAAGGAAGCTTGATGAAATACTGAAGCTTTTGCCCTAAAATTGGGAAAGATGATAGTTATTAATGCTTGTATTCAGCATTACATTGGACGTTCTAGCCAGCAACAAAGCAATTAAAGAAATTAAAAATGCGAGATGGAAAGGAAGACATACAACAATCATTATTTTCAGTTGATGTTGAGTACACAATAATGTATACCCCAAATAATCCACAGATAAACCATTAAAATTAATAATAAATTTTTTAGGGCTGGGTGTGGTGGCTCACGCTTGTAATCCCAGCACTTTGGGAGGCCGAGGTGGGTGGATCACGAGGTCAGGAGTTCGAGAACAGCCTGACCAACAGGGTGAAACCTCGTCTCTACTAAAAATACAAAAAATTAGCCGGGCATGGTGGTGGCGTGCACCTGTAATCCCAGCTACTCAGGAGGCTGAGGCAGGAGAGTCACTTGAACCCAGGAGGCAGAGGTTGCAGTGAGCCGAGATAGTGCCACTGCACTCCAGTCTGAGTGACAGAGTGAGACTCTGTCTCAAAAAAAAAATAAAATTAAATTAAAAAAAAATTTTTTTAGTAAGATTACTGAGTATAAGGTCAAACTAGAAAAATTAATTGTATTTCTATGTACCAAAACAATTGAACAAAAAATAAAAAATTTAGGATACCATTTATTTTATTTTGTTTTATTTTATTTTATTTTAGAGACAGGGTCTCACTCTGTTGCCCAGGCTGCAGTGCAGTGGCACAAGCACAGCTCACTGCAGCCTTAACCTCCTAGGCTGAAGTGATCCTCCTGCCTCAGCCTTCCATGTAGTTGGGACCACAGGTGTGCACTACCATGCTCAGCTAATTTTTTTTTTTTTTTTTTTAGAGACAGGGTCTTGCCATGTTGCCCAGGCTGGTCTTGAACTCTCAGACTCAAGCGATCCTCCCACCTTGGCCTCCCAAAGTACTGGGATTATAGGCATGAGGCACTGCAACCAGCCAAAAACCAAAAGATACCATTTAAGATAGCAAACGATGGCTGGGTGTGGTGGCTCACTCTTGTAATCCTAGCACTTTGGGGAGCCAAGGTGGGAGGATTGCCTGAGCCTGGGAATTTGAGACCAGCCTGGGCAACATGGCAAGACCCTGTCTCTAAAAAAAAAAAAAAAAATTAGCTGGGCATGGTGGCATGCACCTGTAGTCCTAGCTACTTGTGAGGCTGAGGTGGGAGGATCACCTGGGCCTGGGAGACTGAGGCTGCAGTGACTTGTGATCGCTCCATCGCACTCCAGCCTGGATGACAGAGTGAGACCCTATCTAATAATATTAATATAAAATAGCAAATGACATCAAATCTGTAAGAATAAATCTAATGAAAGATGCACAAGTTACCTACACCAAAAATCACAAAACATTACTGAGAGAAATTAAAGGAAACCCAAACAAAAGGAGGGTTATAGCATGTTTGTGAATCAGAAGACTCAATATTATAATACCAATTATCTCCAAACTGATCCATATAATCAACTAAATCCCAATAAAAGTATTAAGACTTTTTTAGTGGAAATAGAAAATCTGATTCTACAATATATAAGATAACGCTAAGGGCTAAAAATAGCCAAGATAATCTTAGAGAATATTGTTAGAGAATTTAAACACTTATAAAAGCTAGAATAATTAAGATAGTGTGGTATTGACACAAGGGTACACAAAGATCAATACAAGAGATTAGAGAGACCAGAAATGAACTCCCAAATTTATGGTCACCTGATTTATAACAAAGGTGACACTGGAATGCAGTAGGGAAAGAATGGTATTTTATTTTATTTTATTGTTATTTTTGAGACGGAGTCTCACTCTGTCATCCAGGCTGGAGTGCAGGCGCGATCTCAGCTCACTGCAACTTCTGCCTCCTGGGGTCAAGCGATTCTCCTGCCTCAGCGTCCTGAGTAGCTGGGAATTCAGGCATGTGCCACCATGCCCAGCTAACTGGCTAATATTTTTGTATTTTTAGTAGAGACAGGGTTTCAACATGTCAGCCTGGTTGGTCTCGAACTCCTGACCTCAAATGATCCGCCCGCCTCAGCCTCCCAAAGTGCTGGGATTACAGGTGTGAGCCACCACATCCAGCCAATATTTATTTATTAAATACACTGTAGCAAGAACTGTGGTAATTACCATGAAAAGTTAAGACCATACATCTTAAAAAAAAATTCAGAATATAAATGTAATAAGGCAGTCAAGATGTGATTTCTGTAAAGCTTTCTAACTTGTTCAAGGTACCAAAGCTCATTAACACTTGACTCTTTGGTTATCTTTGCTATCAGGAAAAGACAATACATCAGGCATAGTATCTATATAACCATGAAACTCCATTTAGCAAGGAAAGCCATGGAACATGCTATCAGACAGACCTGGATTTTTGTCATAGTTTGCAACTTACTGTCTGTGAGATGCTGAACAAGTCACTTAAACTTTCCAACCTCAGTTTTCTCACCTGAAAAATGGGGATAAAAAGATAATTCCCCACACATAAGGTAAACTAGAAGTAAGGTGATTTACTGGACAAGGAGGGAGATGCCTGATATTGTTATCTGAATATGGCAAAGACATGAAGATTAAATGATTATGCCTCAAACTTAACTTATCCACAGTAGGAGTTTTTATTTTCCATATCCCCAACTCTGCTACTCTCCCAGATTTTCTCATTCTACTAAATGATTAAGCCAAGCAATAAAACTTGAGTTTCTTTTCCTTATCATCTCCAATACTTAATTTGTCAGCAATTCAGTCAGCCCTATCTCCAAATGTATCCCTGACTACTTTTCCCTGTCTTTGTTGCCAACACTCAAGTCCAGGCTGTCCCAGACTCTGCAACAGCCTTCGCCCTGCTTTTCACTGACACTTCAATGGACTATTCAGCTGTCAGCGATCTTTTAAAAATGGGATTCAGATTGCATCACTCCCTCTAATAGCTTCCCAGTGCAAATGAAATACAATCTAAACTCTTTACTGTGACCCACAAGGCCCTATACAATCTGGCTCCCACCTACTTCTCCGACCTCACTTATTTTGTACTCCTCGCCCCTTCATTTTCTGGAATCTAGACCTATGCTGTCTGATATGTGAGCTACACACCACATGTGGCTATTTAAATTGGAATTAAAATTCCGTTCCTCAGGCACATAGCCACATTTCAAGTTCTTAGCTTAGCAGCTATTGGCTGCTGAACTGGATATCACAAAATGAAAGATTTCCATCAGCACAGAAAGGTCCATGGGACAGCACTGCTCTAGACACATGGCAAGCTCATTCCTACTTTCAGGACTTTGTACTTGCTACTCCCTCTTCTGCAAGGCTCTTTCCCCAGATTTTGAGATGGCCGGCTCCTTCACATAATTCAGGTCTCAGCTCAAATGAAGCTCCTCAAAGAAGCCTTCTAAATTAGATTGGACCATCCAATCTGAAATACTCCTTAATTTCCCCCATCCCCAGATAGTCTATATCCCTCATCCTGTTTTATTTTCTCCACAGCATTCATCACCATCTGAAATTATTTTGTTTTATTCTTCTTTGTTTCCAATGACAGAAGGTAAGCTCCATGAAGGCAGAGACTATGTTTGTGTGCTCACGGCTGTATCTCTAGTGACTGGAATACCATCTGGCCCATAGGAAAAATTGTTGAACAAAGTAATAAATATGTATCTGAAAGAACATGAGTTTTGGAGTTAAACCAACCTGAATTTCACTCTTAGCACTTCCATTTACCAGATGTCACGTCTTATGAAAAGTCATTTTAATCTCCAAGCCTAGTTCATAGTGTTTTCATGAAGATTAAGACAAAGCATGCAACATGCCTTGTATTGTTACTATTAAAACAGCCCCTCAGGAGAGTAGAAAAACACCAAAAAAAAAAAAGTTGGGGGGTGTCATGTCTATAATCTCAGCACTTTGGGAGGCTGAGGCAGGCAGATTACTTGAGGCCAGGAGTTCAAGACTAGCCTAGCCAACATGGTGAAACCCCATCTCCACTAAAAATACAAAAATTAGCCAGGTATGGTGGCACATGCCTGTAATCCCAGCTACTTGGGAGGCTGAGGTACGAGAATCACTTGAATCTTGGAGGCGGAGGTTGCAGTGAGCTGAGACTGTGCCACTGCACTCCAGCTTGGGTGACAGAGTGAGGCTCTGTCTCAAAAAAAACAAAACAAAACAAAACAAAAAAAACAAAAAAGCATGACTCACAGTATGGAAGCACAAAAGTCCTACTGCTTAGGTGATCTTTTTTCCAAATGTGGCTGACCCCTTCCTGATTCCTCTAAATTAAGGACATATGCTCTCATAATGCCTTGTTTCTTCCACTATGATGAATATTATAATATCCTCCATTAGGTTAAGAATTGAATGAGGGCAGGGACTCTCACTATAATATCTCTTGCACCTAGCTCATTACCTAGCACAAGAGATGACTAAACTATGAAACCAAGAGGAACATTGTAAAAATGATCTTTTCACATTCTATTATAAAATTTCCTCACATCATGGAAAGAAATACTTGCTCAATTAGTAGGGAACTTCCAAATGGTGACTATGGCTGCTGTACAATGGTCTACATATCTCATGAGAGGGTCTGCATACATCTACAAACCAGAATATAGTAGCATGGTTCCAGATGATACAAATGTTACAGCCAGAAAAACAGCATCTTAATGATAGCTAACATTTTGTGGGGGGAACTCATTAAGTGGCAGCCATTGTGCTAAATACCATACATATGCCACCTCATTTATTCCTCATGAAAACTCTTTGAGGTAGTATGATACTATCATCATCTCCATTTTACAAATGATAAAACTGAGGCACAGAGAAATGAAGTAATTTGCCTAGGAACATAGCTCATAAATGCTAGGGTTGATATTGGAATCAGGTCTGTCTGATTCCAGAACCCAAATCCTTAACCTGTTCTATTAATAGATGGTTCTATTAAGATTAGACAATTAGTAAGATCCCTTTCATTTTACCACTGAGCTTCTTTTTTTTTTTTGAGACGGCGTCCCACTCTGCACACTATATATGCACATAACAACATGTATCTTGCTTTTACAGTAGATAGCATAGGCTTGTACACTGGTAACAAATAATAAAGGTAATCAATAATACCCTATTTGGATTATTGCCTTCTGAACTTATATCTTTTACTTTATTTTATTTTGAGACAGAGTCTCACTCTGTTGCCCAGGCTGGAGTACAGAGGTGCCATCTCAGCTCACTGCAACCTCTGCCTCCCAGGTTTAAGCAATTCTCGTGCCTCAGCCTCCTGAGTAGCTGGGATTACAGGCGTGCGCCACCAAGCCCAGCTAATTTTTGTACCTTTAGTAGAGGCAGGGTTGCGCCCTGTTCGCTAGGCTGGTCTTGAACTCCTGACCTCAAGTGATCCTCCTGCCTCGGGCTCCCAAAGTGCTGGGATTACAGGCATGAGCCACCATGCCCGGCCCTTCTGAACATTTATTTATTTATTTATTTATTTATTTATTTATTTATTTAATTTATTTATTTATGAGACACTCTCACTCTGTCTCCCAGGCTGGAGTCCAATGGCGCAATCTTGGCTCACTGCAGCCTCCGCCTCCCGGGTTTAAGCGATTCTCATGCCTCAGCCTCCTGTGTAGCTGGGATTACAGACGTGCGCCACCATGCCCAGCTGATTTTTGTATTTTTACTAGAGACAGGGTTTCACCATGTCAGCCAGGCTGATCTCGAACTTCTGGCCTCATGTGATCCATCCACCTTGGCCTCCCAAAGTGCTGCGATTATAGGTGTGAGCCACCGCACCCAGCCTGAATTTTTATTTATTAGCCACTCTTTTTTTAGTGACATAAGGAACTGAATGTAGCTTATTACCTCGTTTCAGTAATGGGCTCAAATGCTAACTTAGAAGATCCTCCCACAATATATCAATTCAGACAGGTCTTCTGTCAGTATATACAATCACGAAATTTGTGTATTTCCTCCCTATTTTATTTAAACATTTGGAGACTCCAACAATGGGATATTGGAGTTTCCTATCCATAATTGCCACGTGGCAAACTTCTTTTTAAATTATTCTTGTATGGCTGGGCATGGTGGATCACACCCATAATCTCAGCACTTTGGGAGGCCGAGGTGGGTAGATAACCTGAGGTCAGGAGTTTGAGACCAGCCTGGCGAACATAGTGAAACCCTGTCTCTACTAAAAATACAAAAATTAGCCAGGAATGGTGGCACACGCCTGTAATCACAGCTACTCGGGAGACTAAGGCAGGAGAATCACTTGAACCTTGGTAGGCAGAGGTTGCAGTGGGCCGAGGTTGAGTCACTGCACTCCAGCCTGGGCCACAGAGTGGGACTCCATCTCAAAAAATAAAAAAATTAAGAAAAAAAAAAAGATTGTTGTAGTAAGGCAGACCCTTTTCCTCTTTTCTACTATAGAAAATAGCTATTATTTATTTATTTATTTTTTAGAGACAGAGTCTCACTTTGTGGCCTAGGCTGGAGTACAGAGGTGCACACTGCAGCCTCCACCTCCTGGGCTCAAGCTATCCTCCTGCCTCAGCCTCCTGTGTTACCAGGACTGCAGAAAAATATTAGCTATTTTTAAATGCTAAGAGGCCTTCAGTTCAGCATACTACATTAGATTTTTACTCTCTGGTAGAGATTCTGATAGATTTAGATTTATAATTCTAATTCTGGTACTGTTTGATCCACCACTACCTAGCAGTGGAACCATGATCTAGTCACTACTCTCGGAATCTCAATTTTCCTTTTCTTAAGATGATTCTATTAAGATTAGACAATTAGTAAGATCCCTTTCATTTTACCACTGAGCTTCTTTTTTTTTTGAGACAGAGTCCCACTCTGTCAGCCAGGCTGGAGTGCAACGGCATGATCTCGGCTCACTACAACCTCTACCTCCTGGGTTCAAGCAATTCTCCTGTCTCAGCCTCCCAAGTAGCTGGGATTACAGGCATATGCCGCCACGCCCAGCTAATTTTTTGTATTTTTAGTAGAGATGGGGTTTCACTGTGTTGCCCAGGCTGGTCTCAAACTCCTGAGCTCAGGCAATCCACCTGCCCTGGCCTCCCAAAGTGCTAGGATTACAGGTGTAAGCCACTGCACCAGGCCCAACCCTGAGCTTCTTTAATTCGGTTCTCTTATAGATAATTGCACTTCCTTTATCTTTCCAAATGAATTATGATCACAAGAAATCATTAATATTCAATACAAACCTCCATCGAGGCTCCGGGACGCCCGTTTACTTGCTGTACGCTCGAAGTGTGGGGCAGGCCTGTCAATTAGAGCACTAGCTTGCCTGGTCTGAGCTTGAGTCCGGCCACTGTATCGAAATTTGGATCCTAGCGCAAGAAATTTGCTTTTGGGAATGGTGTCTGTAGATGTCAATCTGGGGGGAAAATCGTAATAGTCATATTATTATATATTCATCTTATTATTCTAAAACTGTAAAATTAAAAACAAAATCAAGAATAAAAAAGTTTCACAATTCTCAGGGTTTCCATATAGTTACTAAGAAATTTTCAATCAAGTAATCATTATTTTAGTTCTTTGTCATTTCTCAAAGCAACCAGTTGGGACCTATATTAATTTTATTTATAGCTCTATAGAAAGGGCCTTACAGTTTTCAAAATGTTTTTACAGCACTGCAGTATTTTTACTACATCCTTATAATGTTTTCCCCATTTTATAGATATAGGAAACTGAACCTCAAAAAAGAAGTTACTTAAGGTCACACAGCTGTTAGGACATTGGGCAGTAACAAAGTCGAAGCCCAGAGCTCTTTTTCCACTCTCCTGGAATGACAGTTTTGTCAAATGCACTCCAAACTCAATTAATGCCTGGTAATCTATTTAACAGGTTATTTGGTGTATTTTTAAACTCAGTTGGGAACCCCATCTTTTTCCTATATGGTACTCTATGTACTCTTTGTACCATACTGAATTAAAACAATCTATTTCTATGCTGGTCTCCCCTATAAGACTGAATTCTCTAGGAGTAAAGAACAAAGACCATGGCTTATTCATCTTTGTGTTTTTGCTTCTGGCATAGTGCCTGGCATAAATATGATATCCAATAAATATTTGTTGAATAAGGACATAAATTACTACATCAAATACTACCAAAAAGAGAGTATTTTTCCCTTTGAGGTAATTGATTTCAATTCAGCAAACATATACTTTTATGTAAGGGAGCATTAGATTTTAAGGTATTCTCTTATTTTGATGCAATGGATTTAAATATGCCATCCTACAAGTAAGTATACTGGCTGCAGCTGAAATCTATACCACAGTTATTAGACATTCAAAAATCACTTTTTTACTCCTCCTTGCTCTTTTTAAAAAATTCTACTTTTGTGGTTTGATTTTAAAGAAGGAGAGATGATGAAAGCATA
The DNA here is from genome assembly GCF_000001405.40 of Homo sapiens. Lineage (NCBI taxonomy): Eukaryota > Metazoa > Chordata > Mammalia > Primates > Hominidae > Homo > Homo sapiens. The sequence continues at coordinate 29,038,248 of NC_000001.11, read as the reverse complement.
AATAAATGTGTTAATGCCAATAATTAAGATTCTTTAATTGGGTGTAAAATGTACCCTCATGTTTTATTTTGAAATAATTGAAATATTAATTTCCTTGAATTTTCTTCTCGTTGACTGTGCTATAGTGCTATTATATGAAAATATAAATAGAAGGAAAAGATATCAGGATTATCTCTCTCTCTCTTTCTCTTAAAGAATCAAGTTTATTTATGAATGAAATGACGTGAGGCCTGGGATTTGCTTCAAAATAATCTCGGAAGTAGGGGGAAGGAGTGGATAGGGATATAGAAGAAACAAGATTGGCTTTGGGGTGATAATTATTGAAGCTGGGTGATAAGTACAAGGGGATTTTATTGTACTGTTGCTACATATGAAATTTTCCATAATAAAGAAACGTTCTTAAAAAGGCAAACTGGGCCGAGTGCAGTGGCTCACGCCTGTAATCACAGCACTTTGAGAGGCCAAGGCGAGTGGATCACTTGTCAGGAGTTCGAGACCAGCCTGGTCAATATGGTGAAACCCGGTCTCTACTAAAAATTTAAAAATTAGCTGGGCATGGTGGTATGCATCTATAGTCCCAGCTACTTGGGAGGTTGAGGCATTGCGCCACTGCACTACAGCCTGGGCAACAGAGTGAGACTCTGTCTCAAAAAAAAAAAAAAGGCAAACTGATAAATAGCCAACTTTCCTTTCAATACAAGTAATTACTTGTCTAAGGTCTGTCTTCTCTACTAGACTGGGTGTTCCACCAGGAGAGAGACTAGAACTATCTTGTAGTATATTCCCAATGCCTAACATGGTGCATACAAGAAGGGTAAGCACATAGAAAATGCTTGGTAAACGAACTCAAGGGGTTAATAATATGGCCTCTTGGCACAGTGGCTCACGCCTGTAATCCCAGCACTCTGGGAGGCCGAGGCGAGCAGATCACTTGAGGTCAGGAGTTCGAGACCAGCCTGGTCAACGTAGTGAAACTCCATCTCTACTAAAAATACAAAAAATAGCCAGGCGTGATGTTGGGCATCTGTAATCCCAGCTACTTGGGAGGCTGAGGCAGGAGAATCACTGGAACCCAGGAGCAGTGAGCCAGGATCACAGACTGCACTCCAGCCTGGCAACAGAGCAAGACTCCATCACAAACAAACAAACAGCAGAGGAAATACTTTCTTCTGTCTTCTGATTATCGGGTACTATTGGGCTTCAAATATGGTTCTGTGTGCTCCCTTTCTGGGTTTCATTAGAGTGAAGCTAACAATCAGCTTCAAGGTTGGCCAGGCACGGTGGCTCACACCTGTAATCCCAGCACTTTGGGAGGCCGAGGTGGGCAGATCATGAGGTCAGGAGATCGAGATCATCCTGGCTAACACAGTGAAACCTCGTCTCTACTAAAAATACAAAAACAAAAACTAGCTAGGTATGGTGGTGTGCACCTGTAATCCCAGCTGCTCAGGAGACTGGGGCAGGAGAATTGCTTGAACCCAGGAGTAGGAGTTTGCAGTGAGCCGAGATCCGCCACTGCACTCCAGCCTGGGCGACAGAGCGAGACTCTGTCTCGAAAAAAAAAAAAAAAAATCAGCTTCACATCTTTAACCTTATAGTATAAAAGCTCCACAAAAAGTAGTCAAGCATTGCTTAGAGAAATTCCATGTGGAAAAAAAAATTAGCAAAAACAAAAAAATAAAAATTCCGTCCGGGCACAGTGGTTCATGCCTGTAATCCCAGCACATTGGGAGGCCAAGGCAAGTGGATCACCTGAGGTCAGGAGTTTGAGACCACCCTGACCAACATAGTGAAAGCGTGTCTCTATTAAAAATACAAAAAATTAGCTGGGCATGATGGCGGGTGCCTGTAATCCCAGCTACTTAGGAGGCTGAGGCAGGAGAATCACTTGAACCCGGGAGGCGGAGGTTGCAGTGAGCCGAGATCGCGCCACGGCACTCCAGCCTGGGCAACAAGAGCGAAACTCCGTCTCAAAAAAAAAAAAAAAAAAAAAATCACACGTGGAGGTAAGTGAGGGTAACTCCCCTTAATCGGACTGACTTTAGCTACAATTAATGCAATCCCAGAGTCCCTGGTAAATACAGGTTCCCATTCCTTACTCCTCTCTTCCTTCTACCATACACAGACAGGTGCTTTGGAAATGTTGAGGCATACTTTTCAACCCAAAGGGAGAGAAATGGATTCATTTTGTCTTGCTTAAGATGATCTCACCTGAGCTAAATAAAAGAGTGCCAGTCATACAATGAAAGGAATTTTAATAGCAGGCTTAAAATAGAAACGTTATAAATAATTTATCCTTGAAAAATACTTAAGTGAGAATAATACCTGAAAAACGTGTGATGTTCTACACAGACTTTCCATAATTTCTTAGCTGCTCGGTAACTGGGAAGTTTGAATCCGATGGTACTTTCATACTGCTCTTGCTACAAAAACACAAATAAACATGGGACATGAAGTATTACATGTGATACAGTACCAGATTACAGTGATACAGTACCAGAGAAATATGGTGCCACAGAAGAGGCCATTGTTACCAATTTAAGGACATAAAATGTCATTTGGAATTTTTTCCTACTTACTGAAAGAAATTCACTCACTGAGGGTGGCTTTTTCCAAAGCAAGAAAGCCAGGGAATGCATCTCATATAATTTAAGCTTTTTTTTTTTTTTCCAGAAAACACACACACATTCATTATACATTTTTCTGAGACACAATTAAGTCACCTCTTGATTGTCCAGACACTGCTTTTCCTTAGTCACTATCTGCATTTGGGACACTGTTCAATGAACAGGGAATGGGATATTGACCAAGTCCTCCAATCAATCAATATTATTATGCAATAGAAATTAGTAATAGGAGCTAAAGATTTTAGTTCAAGCCAGATTTTTAAATCAATTTTTTAAATTGACAAATAAAAATTGTACATACTTATCATCTACAACATGTTGTTTTGAAATATGTATACCTGCCAGGCACGGTGGCTTACGCCTGTAATCCCAGCACTTTGGGAGGCCGAGGTGGGCAGATCACAAGGTCAGGAGTTCAAGACCAGCCTGACCAACATGGTGAAACCTCATTTCTACTAAAAATACAAAAAAAATTAGCCGGGCATGGTGGCACGCGCCTGTAATTCCAGCTACTCAGGAGGCTGAGGTAGGAGAATCACTTGAACCTGAGAGGTAGAGGTTGCGGTGAGCTGAGATGGCGCCACTGCACTCCAGCCTGGGTGACAAAGCGAGACTTCTTCTTCCAAAAAAAAAAAAAAAAAAAAAAAACAACAAACAAACAAACCCAAGAAACACGTATACATTGTGAAATGGCTAAATTGAGCTGATTAACATATGTATTACCTGACACACTTATTATTTTTTTGTGGTGAGAAAACTTAAAATCTAGTCTCTTAGCAATTTTTCAAGAGAACAATACATTGTTATTAATGATAGTCACCATGTTGTACAATAGATCTCTTGAACTTATTCCTCAGATTCTTGAATCATTAAATATTTCTTTTTTCCTTTGATTGATCATTAATTTATCTAGATTCCTCTTATACTGAAGCAAAACATATTCTCCCAGGGTTACTAGAAACACTGTCCTGCTGACCTCTTGCCTCTTTATTTCTACTTTAAGCATATTTTATAAGATGGAAAGGAAACTGACATTTATTTTGAGTGCCTACTATTGCCAGTAACACTATGATTAGATAATATCATCTATATTTTTAGACATGAAGAAACTGAGGTCAGAGAAGTTATTTGCTCAGACTGACAGCTATGAAATGACAGAACCAGATTTTTACCCTCTTCACCATACCATGCCACTGCTAAATCATCTACTGCTGCCACAATACTTTTTCTCAAAATCCTGTTGTTCCTGATTGCCTTCTAAATAAGAATTCTACATTTTTAGAAGCTAAGGATTTCCCATTTTCATATTAACGTGTGTGAGGGATGAGATTCTAATTTGCTGTTATATTCCTAGTCCCTAGAATAGTGTCCAACACAGGAAAGCTCTCAATAAATATTTGTTGATTGAATAACTCTTGAATTTGAAATTTTAAGGGAAGACACTGACTGCTCTGTGCTAGGCATAGGTAAAATAATTATGGTACAAAATAAATGCTTCTATGGTAATCCCTATCCAAGATTTTTAAGGCTCCACATCCAGAATTTGCAGGCACAAATAATTAGCCATTATTCACCAGCAGATGGTGATATATACACACAAAAGCCACCTTAGGTTAGTATCATTTCCTATATAGAACTTACACAGCTGTCATCTCATTTGATCTTCAAATAACTATGATGGAGAAGGTATTATCCTGCCCAAATGACAAGGAAGCTGAGCCTTAGATTTGTCCAGGTCTTTTGCTTAGTATGTGGCAGAAAAGAAGTCAGAACTTTTTAAAAAACTTTAATTCCTACTTAAACAATTTTATGCTATTCCATAATGGCTCTTCAATACAAAAGTTAAATTTGGCCAGCATTAGTATATCCCCAAACCAACTAATAAATGAATTAACTGGTACAAAGTTGAACATCCAACTCTTATTAAAAATCTAGAACTTGGCCCTAGAACTCACTCTCAGTAACCACGAGAAGCTATGCATACAAATAAATTTTAATTATATGAGATAAAGGATTGGTGATGCCAAACATGAGTAATTTATCCCTATAAATAATTTTAAAATCTCATGCTACTCAATTTAAAAATATTTTTCCATTAAGTTTTTGCTTGGCGTAAACAAGGAACAAATGTATCAGTCCAAGTTTAACTTTTTGCAATGGTATATTTACTTACAAAAAGTGAAATGTCCAGAAGACCAGTAGTAAGGAAAAGAAGTAGCATCACAGGACTGATCAACTTAGAAAACGGAATTATCAGCCCTTCAATAGTTAACTATAGAGAGACTTCTCAGATGACTTAATAAGGAAAATGGAAATGTAGATATTTCAGATACAGACTGTGTCTGGTTTGGGAGGAAGGAAATATAAATTCTGTACCTCTCCAGGCCGAATCTTGATGAAAAAGCTACTACGTTTATAAGAAATCTTCAGCACTTTGGGCCAAGGGAAGCGGTTAATTCTCAGCTTATCTTTGTAAACCAGAAGGCCACTAGAGCAGACACCTAGGATGATATCTACTCCTTCCAAGTCCTGAAAAAGAAAAATGTTAGGATTTCAGTCTGGAGCAAAGTACTCAATACACTGTTGACTATTACTAGATAATCTGAAGATAACAACCAAAAACAGTTACAAAACATACAATGAAAAATAAAGCTCAGCCTAACAGTTATAATTTATGGACCTATTATGTTTAAATCAGCAGTCATGACTTCCTGGAGAGCAGGGCTTAGAGCTATGTATACTACCAAATATACACGCACAATTATTAATTCTTGTTTTTTTATGATAAAGTGTTAACAGCTCCAGAAATGATGTTAAATGTAGGAGTTGACTCTATTCCTATATAAACTCAGCATAAGACAATCTTAGGTTCTTAAAATTGATGTTAAGTATATTAAATTAAAAATATGATCCCTAAGTCAAGAAGTTACATTAAGGCACAATGAAATCATATTTATATGCCTCTTTATTAAAGACAACTTTAAAAAATTAAATATGTAATATTAATCATCTATGTCTATAATTCAAAGAAAATAAATTTCACCTAAGTTAGTCCCTACAGCTAACAGTTTGTTTAGCTAAGTAATCAAAACACAAAGTTAAATGCTTCTTGACTACTCTTTCCCCCAAAATGAGTATAGAGAAATATATTAGTGCCTACACGTGTTATAACAGAGAAGCAGGAATTACATACAGTTCCAATTCAGTGACTATGTAACTGAGAATTTCCCAGAAGATGCCCTCTTAAATTTTTAAAGCTTGTGGGTATAACTACATTTCACTTTGGAGAAACAATTTGCTTTACAATATTTGGGAAGGGAACATGCTGCCTGACTCCATCAATACCTGAATTGACACCAGCTTCCAGCAGGAATTGTGAAGCAAAATCTAACCATTTCAGTTTTAGAAACATACCTAATCTGATGTACTGATCTTCCTACAATATACTTTAGAGATTCATAGAAGTTGTAGTACCCAGCCCAAAATAATCCAGAACAACTTTTTTCTTTTTTTTTTTTTTTTTTAAGACAGAGTCTCAACTGTCACCCAGGCTGGAGTGCAGTGGTGCAATCTAGGCTCACTGCAGCCTCTACCTCCTGGGCTCAAGCAATCCTCCCACCTCAGCCTCCTGAGTAGCTGGGACCACCAAAGGCACGTGCCACCATGCCTGACTAATTTTTTGTATTTTCTATGGAGACGGGATTTCACCATGTTCCCCAGTCTGGTCTTGAATTCCTGAGCTTGAGCGATCGGCCGCCTCAGCCTCCCAAATTGTTGGGATTACAGGTGTGAGCCACCACGCCTGGCACTGGACCTCCCCAGCAACTTTAGTAGCTGAAGAAGAGAGAAGTAAGGAGACTTTCCTTAAGGATTCATTCTGTTAGGCTGTATTAGGTAGAACTAGGATTAAAGCTCAAGTTTCCAGGGCCCTACCCAAGTGGTTTTTGAATGAGCCACTGTGGTTCATTCAGTGTGCATCAGAACAACCTGGAGAACTTAAAATGGATTGCTGAGCTCCACCTCCAGAGAGTCTAACTCAGCAGGCCTGGGATGGGGCCTGAAATGTGCATTTCTAACAAGTTCCTAGGTGATGTTAAATGTTGCTGGCTCAGACACCATACTTTGAGAACCACTACTCTAGGCCAGTGGTTCTCAGATTCAGGCATGAATTAGAATCATTTGGGTGCTCATTAAACCAAGACATTCTAGAACCTCGCCTCCAAATTAATTCCATACATCTGAGAGAAGCTCAGGGATCTACATATTTAATGAACATCCTCAGTGATTCGATGTAGGTGATGCTGGCTGTGAAACAGGACTTGCTGCCCACTGCTCTATATTTTCAAATGTTACTGCATGTTAGGAAAATCAATTTCTTTTTCTCTAGGGGCTATCTTTTGATCTTAACAGTAGCTTGGATATGAAACTTTATTCTGAGGGTGGAATTGCTATGGGGCAAATTCAATTGATACAGTTGACTGATTTAACTGATACACTTAAAATGCTAACAAGAGGCCGGGCACGGTGGCTCACGCCTGTAATCCCAGCACTTTGGGAGGCCGAGGCGGGCGGATCACGAGGTCAGGAGATCGAGACCACGGTGAAACCCCGTCTCTACTAAAAATACAAAAATTAGCCAGGCGTGGTAGCTGGCGCCTGTAGTCCCAGCTACTCAGGAGGCTGAGGCAGGAGAATGGCGTGAACCTGGGAGGCGGAGCTTGCAGTGAGCCGAGATCATGCCACTGCACTCCAGCCTGGGAGACAGAGCAAGGCTCCATCTCAAAAAAACAAAACAAAACAAAAAAAAGCTAACAAGAAGTACTATTTCTCTCTCTTTTTTTTTTTTGAGACGGGGTCTTGCTCTGTCGCCAGGGCTGGAGTGCAGTGGCACAATCAGGGCTCACTGTACGCTCGATCTCCTGGACTCAAGTGATCCTCCCGCCTCAGCCTCCCCAGTAGCTGGGACTACAGGCATGAGCTGCTGTGCCCAGTCTACTATCTCTTTTGAATGTTTTAAAATACCCCAGATGTTGTTAAAAAGTATTATATGACACAGATGTGATACATACATAACAGACATGTATCATATAATATCTTCCACATGCATATTAATAAAGGGCAAAGTTATCATTACCTTTGCTTTATGAAGATCAACTCCATACATAGACAACTTTTTGGCATTCTCAAGAAACTCCAAGTCAGCCTGAGCTGGAGTCATGGACCTTTGATAGAATAAAAACATAAAATTCTTTCAGTGTTATAGTGTCATCATTTACAGTAACATTTATATATTCACTGTATTTTAAACACATGAACATATACATACCACTATATTAAGATATATTTCCTAGTCCTGAAAGTAGGTTATTATGGAACAGAACCCATCACTGCCTGTATCTAAATAATTAAAATATACCTTAGAAAAAGACAATGTGAGCAAACAAAAAGTCACCAAAAAGCTGCAAAAAAAATTTTTTTAATCCTACTAAACAATTTCCTTAAAGCTATTTCATCTATCATTAGTTCTGCCCCCTTCTCTTCACTCTTTTTCTCCGACATACATAAGCTCCTCCCGCTAATTTTTCTTGCCAAGGAGATGACCAAATTAAATCCTCAGAGGGCATGGTGTAATTTACAATATCCTCTTATAGCTGCCTTTTTCTCTCCATACCCCTGAATTGAGTTATGGAAATTAAACAAGAGGGCAGCTGATGTTACTTAACTGAGGACTCTTAATCGGGGCAGGCTTGATGAAAAGAAAATTTCTGGTAACAGATGGTGTCCTGCCCACTGATATAAACAAAATAAACTGGTTCACGGAAGCACATAGATAATGGGGCTGTTTTCTCTGTTATTAATATGTCTTCATTACCAGGCATATAATGAATTAGATTTGTTTGAAAACAGTCAGTCTCACTGTCTAAACACTCGCTGTGACAGTCTTTTCTTCTCCTCTATAAATTTCCCGTCTTTTGAAAAGTGTTCATGAGCTGTTATATAGAGCTTTCAAAGACAAAAATATCACTCCTAATGCTGCACAATTCAGACCAATCAAGTATAACTTAACAGTAACAATAATGCAGGCACATCCCCAAGGAAAAAACAGTAAACGCCAGTTTCCCATAAGACTGCCTCAAGCTACAGAAAGCTGCAGGGGTCTCTTCATTTCACAAGGAAAAGTCTCTTCCAAATCCATCTGTCTTTACCCTAATTAAAAGGACAAAGGATTCCTTGGAACAACAACCACCAAAATATGTATACAACAGGAGACAGGGTGCAGATTTGCTACTGATTTAGCCTTCATGAACAAACTTATTTTCACAAGCACTGAAGCATCACACCTAATTCTATTTATTAATGAACCTGAAATTGAAGATTAAAAAAAGGAGAATGGGAAAATTAGCCCCTTATGCAAGTCTGTATATTCAAGTCATTAAAAACATTTCAGGAAAGTTTTGTAGTTTTTAATTTTTTTCCATCTAAGTTACATTTTTTTCTAGTTAACATTACTCCTATTTTATGTTTCTGTTGTTGTTACTGTTATTGACGAGATGAATTTTAGAATTTTTTTTTTTTTTTTGAGACAGGGTCTCACTCTGTCACCCAGGGTGCAGTGCAATGGTGCAAACACAGCTCACTGCAACCTCCACTTCCCAGGCTCAAGTGATCTTCCCACCTCAGACTCCTGAGTAGCTGGGTCTACAGGTGCATGCCACCATGTCCAGCTAGTTTTCTTATTTTTCGTACAGAGGGGGTCTCAGTATGTTGCCCAGGCTGATCTTGAACTCCTAGGCTCAAGCCATCCTCCAGCCTCAGCCTTCCAAAGTGGTAGGATTACAAGCGTGAGCCACCACTCCCGCTGAATTTTAGGATTTTGAAGCTGGAAAGGAGCTTGAAGTTTAAAGAGTACAATAATTTCATTTTGCTGTTGAAGAAACAGGTTCTCAGGGATCACATTACCACAGGCAAGTTAGGACCCTTAGTTGAGACAGCAGACTTAAGTCAAAACTCAAGTCACAATACTTGGGCTGGAATCCAGGCTTCAGTACTTGTAAGTGGCCAGCCAGTGTCTCCCTCCATCTCCTCTATAAAACGAGAATCATAATAATGCGTATTTCTAGATACTAGGATAGGCAATGACTTTGTTTTTGCTGAATGAATGAATGTTACTATTGGGATCGAAATGAGATGATGGTTGTAAAACTGCTTTATAGACATGAATAGTTATTATTGCAGCCTTAGCTTTCTGATAGTCCAGTGGTTCATCTACACACAAATCATAAAATTAAGAGACACAATTTGGATCACTTGAATTTGAAGACAAATTTTAAAACATTAAGTAAAGCAATTATGATAAAATCTTCCCTATACTCACTCCTCCTACCCTACCCTAAGGGACATTAATAGGGTCAATCAATTTGAATACAGATTTAAATTTCACAGTATGTAGTTACATGCTTCTATAAATAAGCATGCTTTAAAAAATAAGGAGAGATCAGGCCTGGCGCGGTGGCTCACGTCTATAATCCCAGCACTTTGGGAGGCCGAGGCAGGCGGATCACCTGAGGTAGGGAGTTCAAGACCAGTCTGACCAACACGGAGAAACCCCGTCTCTACTAAAAATACAAAATTAGCTGGGCGTGGTGGCGCATGCCTGTAATCTCAGCTACTTAGGAGGCTGAGGCAGGAGAATCACTTGAACCTGGGAGGCAGAGGTTGTGGTGAGCCGAGATTGCGTCATTGCACCCCAGCCTGGGCAACAAGAGCGAAACTCCGTCTCACAAATAAATAAATAAGGGGAGATCTTTAAAACTTGTTAGTTGAAAATAATATTTATATTTGAAGTTTGGCTGATGTTTGCATTTAAAATTTTTTACCTAATTTTTAGCCAGGCTCAGTGGCATGCACCTATAGTCCTAGCTACTCTGGAGGCTGAGACAGGAGGATTGCTTGAGTCTATGAGCCTAGGCGACATAGAGAGACCTTGTCTCAGCCAGGCGCGGTGGCTCATGCCTATAATCCCAGCACTTTGGGAGGCCGAGGTGGGCGGATCACCTGAGGTTGGGAGTTTGAGACCAGCCTGACCAACATGGAGAAACCCCATCTCTACTAAAAGTACAAAATTAGCCGGGCGTGGTGGCACATGCCTGTAATCCCAGCTACTTGGGAGGCTGAGGCAGGAGAATCGCTTGAACCTGGGAGGCAGAGGTTTCGGTGAGCCGAGATTGCGCCATTGCACTCCAGCCTGGGCAACGAATGAAACTCCATCTCAAAAAAAAAAAAAATGTTGAGAGACCTTGTCTCTAAAAAAAGAAAAAGAATAATTTTAGCTGGGTGCAGTGACCTGTAGTCACAGCTACTTGGGAGGCTGAGGCAGGTAGATTGCTTGAGTTTAAGGCTGTAAGTGAGTTACAATCACACCTGTAAATAGCACTGCACTTCAGGTTGTTCAGGTTGCACAACATAACAAGGTCCCTTTACAATTCTTAAAAAAATGTAATTCTAACTTAAGAATTTTTTTTTTTTTTTTGAGATGGAGTCCCACTCCGTTGCCCAGGCTGGAGTGCAGTGGTATGATCTCGGCTAACTGCAACCTCTGCCTCCTGGGTTCAAGTGATTTTTCTGCCTCAGCCTCCCAAGTAGCTGGAACTACAGGCACCCGCCACCATGCCTGGCTAATTTTTGTATTTTTAGTAGAGATGGGGTTTCACCATATTGGCCAGGCTGATCTCAAACTCCTCACCTCGTGATCTGCCCAACTCAGCCTCCCAAAGTGCTGGGATTAAAGGTGTGAGCCAAAAAAAATTTTTTTTAAGAGACAAGGTCTTGCTCTGTCACCCAGACTGGAGTGCAGTGGCACCATCATGGTTCACTGCAGCCTTGACCTCCCAGGTTCAAGTGAACTCTTGGGCTCAAGCAGTCAGCCCACCTCAGCCTCTGAAAGTGCTGGAATTACAGGCATGAGCCACCATGCCCAGCCTTAAAATTTCAATTTATTTATTTATGTCAGTATGGACTCACGAATTTTCATTTTATTCAATGCAGTATATCAATTATTTTCCTTATCTATTTTGATGCTTAAATTGCCCCAGATTTGGTAGTGGGAACCTCTCCAAGCTGGATTCTGTGTCCTTCTGACCATTTCCCATCATTCTTCCAGTACTTCCTTCTGACACAATGTAGAGTTAGAGTATGTATCTGTGTATGTATCTACCTTTTTACATCTATATTTCTATATCTACCTATCTATATATTGGAAACCACAAGTTCACATTGAAGCCTCCAGTTTTAACGCAATATCCTAACAGGGTTCATTTTAGTTTCTCCCTTTCCATAATTTGTGTCTCACTTTACTGACAGTGAGAAACCTGGCTCCCATTACCCTGAATACATTGACTAATTTGATCAATCCCTCTGTATAATCATATAATCTCTCATTGCAGCCACAAACCCCTACTGTATGTGGATGTCCTCCTCACTCTACTTGAACCCTGAATTCCCCATTCTGGGCTACTCAGCACACGTGGATGTCCTCCTTACCTCACCAGGGTTCTGACTGCTGGTGTGGGACCATCTCTTCACCCTGCTTAGGCTTTGACACTGTGCATCAAGCACCACCCTGTATGGATGCCCTCCACATCCTGTGTAGGCTTTTCCCCCACATGGATGCCCTTCTTGCTCTGCTTGGCTTCTGAAACCCACCACCAGGTGCCCACACATGACTACCATCCTCATCCACTTGAGCTCTGACTCTTCATGCCAGGCTGCCCTCCAACCCACGGACCCACTCCTCACTCTGCTTAGGCCTCAATATCCCAAGCCAGACTGCCCCTCTGCATGGATGACTACCTTGCTCTGCCCCACCTAATGTTGCCAGAAAGCTTTATCTGATTATAAAAATCATACACATTCACTGTATAAAATTTGGAAAATATCATTAAAAGCATAGAAAATATATAATCTCACCACCCACAGACATCTGTGCATGTTAACACAACACATATATTTGAAAGATTAATATCACAAAATAAATTATTTTTTGCCTTAAATTTTAATGATCAAGGTTTTCCCTAAAATTTCCAAGACCTTTGAGCGTCATAACAAACCAGCTGGGAAGAGATTAGATACCTCTAAACCATTAAAAGTACTGTCTTGAATTTTTTCAGTACCACCTAATAATTTACTACTTGTAAGTACTGCAGCTTACAAAAGTACCTGACCAGGAAGCTCCGGCACTGGTTAAAGCTCATTAAAAAGAGAAGTTACAATAAAGTTTCCCTGCATTTATTTCAAGCAAGTGCAATCAGGATAGAGCTATTCGGTGTGTTCCAGTGTTATGTGACTCCCTTTTAATAATGTTTGTTATATCTCCTAATTAAGGATTGTGATTTCAAAGAATTAAGTGGGGGACAATAGACAAGTTTACATACCTTCCTAATACCAATAAATGGAGGGCAATTAATTTTAAAGCTTGATTTGCTAGTGTAAATTTAAAGTGTTAATTATAGCTTTAAAATCCCAGTCTGGGCAAAGGGCCACTACTAAGGATTCCATTTATGCAGGCTGTCTTCTATCTGAGAAGTGCTTGTACTGCACTTTCCAATGCATAGTAAAATGCATATGCCTCAGTGGAAGTTTCTTTGGATTAGTTAAAATGCCATGTTGTTGGACATAATTAAATTGTTCCTTTGGGTTTGTGAGGGTTGCAAATCTTTCCAAAAAGGAGCAAGTAAATTCCAAGATGACAGACTCCTAAATGTTCTGGTCACGGCGATCCATTATTGCTCAATTTCTACCACATCTCTAACAGAATATCAGCTGAACTATATCCATTTGTCCCTTGAGATTGTTTCACCTAATTGGGTTTACATTCTGATAAAGGTTAAAACTAGTTCTCCAAACCAAGACACATACATTCATCACTTGTGAAGTGAGGATAAGAATTTTTTTTTATTTATATTTATTTATATTTTTTATTTATTTATTTTTTGAGACGGAGTCTCGCTCTGTCGCCCAGCTGGGGTGCAGTGGTGCGATCTCGGCTCACTGCAACCTCCGCCCCTCCAGGTTTAAGCAATTCTCTGCCTCAGCCTCCGGAGTAGCTGGGATTACAGGCGCGTGCCACCAAGCCCGGCTAATTTTTTGTATTTTTAGTAGAGACAGGGTTTCACCATCTTGACCAGGCTGGTCTTGAACTCCTGACCTCGTGATCCACCTGCCTCAGCCTCCCAAAGTGCTGGGATTACAGGTGTGAGCCACCACGCTCGGCCTTTAATTTATTTATTTTTAGATGAAGTCTTACTTTGTCACCCAGGCTAGAGTGCAGTGGCATGATCTCGGCTCACTGCAACCTCCGCCTCCTGGGTTCAAGCAATTCTCCTGCCTCAGCCTCCAGAGTAGTTGGGACTACAGGTGCGCGCCACCATGCCCAGCTAATTTTTGTATTTTCAGTAGAGATGGGGTTTCACCATGTTGGCTAGGATGGTCTCAATCTCTTGACCTCGTGATCCACCTGCCTTGGCCTCCCAAAATGCTGGGATTACAGGTGTGAGCCACCGTGCCCAGCCAAGAATTATTATTATCATAGCAGATATTTGAACTCTCACTATATACTGTCATTGTACTAATCACTTTATATAAATTTTCTGATTTAACAATTAGAAAATTCACATTATTGCCCTTATTTTTCAGATGAAAAAACTGAAGCTTAGAGAGCTTAAGTAACTTACCAAGAGGCACACAGTTAACAAGGAATGGAGTCTGAATTTAAAGAAAGGCTAACTCCAGAGCCCAAGATTTTAACTATGGTGCCCTATTGCCCCAACTCAGTGGTTCTCAAACTTTTTTGATCTCAGGACCTCTTTATTCTCTTAACAATTATTGTAAAAATTATTGAGGACCCTAAAGAGCTTTTCTTTCTTTTTTCTTTTTTTTGAGACGGAGTTTTGCTTTTGTTGCCCAGGCTGGAGTACAATGGCATGATCTCGGTTCACTGCAACCTCTGCCTCCCGAGTTCAAGCGATTCTCCTGCCTCAGCCTCCTGAGGAGCTGGGATTACAGGCATGTGCTACCATGCCCGGCTGATTTTGTATTTTTAGTAGAGATGGGGTTTCTCCATGTTGGTCAGGCTGGTCTTGAACTCCCGACCTCAGGTGATCTGGCTGCCTTGGCCCCCCAAAGTGCTGGGATTACAGGCATGAGCCACTGTGCCCGGTCAAGAGCTTTTCTTTATGTGGCTTATAGCTATTTGTATTCACTATATTAAAATTGTTTTAACTAAGGAAAATTTAAAATGTTTATTAAATTTCTAAAAAGTAACAGTAATCCAGCCAAGCACGGTGGCTTACGTCTGTAATCCCAGCACCTTAGCAGGCCAAGGCAGGCAGATCACCTGAGGTCAGGAGTTCAGGACCAGCCTGGCCAACATGGTGAAACCCTGTCTCTGCTAAAAATACAAAAGTTAGCCAAGTGTGGTGGCAGGCACTTGTAATCCTAGCTACTCGGGAGGCTGAGGCACGAGAATCACTTGAACCAAGCAGGCGGAGATTGCAGTGAGCCGAGATCACACTATTGCACTCCAGCCTGGGCGACAAGAGTGAAACTCCATTTCAAAATAAAATAAAATAATGGTAATCCCATTACTTTTTAACATAAATAACATAATTTCTGAAAAATACCAATATTTTCTGAAACAGTGATGAAAAGGTAACTTTGCTTTACATATTTACAAATCTCTTCAATGTCTGGCATAGAAGACAGCTGAATTCTCCCAACTGCTTCTGCATTCAATCTGTTGCAATATATTGATTTGGCAGTATGTGAAGAAATCTGATCTCACACAGACATGTAGTTTGAAAAGGGGTGACTATGAATTTAAAACACTCTTTTTTCTTTTTTTTTGAGATGGAGTCTTGCTCTTGTCGCCCAGGCTGTAGTGCAATGGCACGATCTTGGCTCACTGCAACCACCGCCTCCCAGGTTAAAGTGATTCTCCTGCCTCAGCCTCCCAAGTAGCTGGGATTACAGGTGCCCACCACCATGCCTGGCTAATTTTTGTATTTTTAGTAGAGACAGGGTTTCACCATATTGGCCAGGCTGGTCTCAAACTCCTGACCTTGTGATCCGCCTGCCTCGGCCTCCCAAAGTGCTGGGATTACAGGCATGAGCCACTGCGCCTGGCCTAAAATATTCTTTTCTGGTATTACACTAAAACTTATCAATGGCAGTTTCTTTTTTTTTTTTTTTTTTTATTATATCAATGGCAGTTTCTTAAAGATAATTTTCAATGTGAAATGTAGAAACTTATCAATGAACTTTTTGTACTGTTACATTAAAATCCATTGGTCTATCTTGCATTTTGAATGGATCTTTTACCTGTGCATGATTTTTTTAACATTGTGCATTTCTAATCTGAAAAATACTTGTTCACCAAGTTATGAAAATCTTCCAAACCTTGATATAATATGTGTATAAAAAAACACATTCATTAAAATAACCACTGACCTTAGCAGAAAAGTCTTTAAAAGCTGTCAAGATCATGGGGATATATAAAAGTTTTCCAAAATTCCAATTTTTACCAGAAAGCTTGAATTTTGTCATTAGCAACAAATACTGTCAGTTGCTTTCCTAAAAGTACTAGCTCATTTCATTTTTGAGAAAATGTGTGTCAAATAACCGAGTCCGAATAATCATAGTTTGTCATTTTTTCAAGAAAACATGGTGTTTTATAGAAAAGATGGCCACCGGGCGCGATGGCTCATGCCTGTAATCCCAGCACTTTGGGAGGCCCAGGCGGGCGGATCACGAGGTCAGGAGATTGAGACCATCCTGGCTAACACGGTGAAACCTTGTCTCTACTAAATATACAAAAAATTAGCTAGGCGTGGTGGCTGGCGCTTGTAGTCCCAGATACTCAGGAGGCCGAGGCAGGAGAATGATGTGAACCCGGGAGACGGAGCTTGCAGTGAGCGGAGATCACCCCACTGCACTCCAGCCTGGGCGACAGAACAAGCCTCCGTCTCAAAAAAAAAAAAAGAAAAAAAAAGATGGCCAATTCAGCTCACAACTCAATTGCACAAGTGCTTTTCCTTGAGACAACTGTTGTGCTTCAGTATGCAGCAAAAATGCTTTGTGTGTACTTCCCATCTAATCACACAGAATATTAAATAGAAATGTATTCAAGACTTAATAAAATTAATACTTTTTGCTGCTTCGTTAGGAAAATTCTAAGGTAAGCTGGCTTTCTTGCACTTCCAGCTGCAAGTGCATGCTGGAGAACAATATAGTGACTCTTAGTACAGTTTGCTCCAACTGCCTTGATTTGTGCCCCACCCATTTCAACAGAGTGAAAAAAGCAAATAACATCTTAGCATTATTACAAAAATAATTTTGACTTCATGGACCCCTTGAAAGAATCTTGAAGATCTCCAGGGTCTGTAGACCACCTTTGAGAACCGTTGTCCTAACTCAAAGGGTGGTTATAAAGATTAAACGTGATGTTTTACATAAAGTGCTTATCATAGTATCTTGCACATAATAATAGATGCACAATAACTGGCTACTTATTATGATTATTATGTAACAATTCTATAAAGGAGAATCAAGCATTGGATGAGAGACTATAAGTCCTCTCAAACCTGAGATTCTATTATGATCAGATAACCATTAAAAGACTCATTAGGCCGGGCGCAGAGGTTCATGCCTGTAGTCCTAGCACCTTGGGAGTCTTGAGGCTGGAAGTTTGAGATCAGCCTGGACAACATGGTGAGACTACCATCTCTACAAAAAAATTTAAAAATTAGCTGGGCATGGTAGCACACACCTATAGTCCTAGCTACTCAGAAGGCTGAGATGAGACGATCACTTGAACCTAGGAGATTGAAGCTGCAGCGAGCTATGATCACACCACTACACTACACTCTGGGCAACAGTGACATTCCATCTCTCTTTAAAAAAAAAAATCAGAGACAGATTTCAAGTATCAATCACAATCTGACATCATCATTTTCTGCGGTTCAGCTCTATGGCAGCAGTAAAATATTTTCTTTTACTATTTTACTGATTGCCCAAGGGTTATATTATAACTAATAAAAAATATTTTTAAATTATTAGGTAATAAAAATAACATTTCCCTACAGTATTGACATTCTAATTAATCAAATTATTTTGTTTCTTTCCAGTACTTGCTTTTCTATGTATATATGCATATATTTTTATATGTCCCTATTTTTTATATATGTAAATGTTGAGAATCATAACCAGAATATAAATAAAAGTGCTGTAATCCCAGCACTTTGGGAGGCCGAGGCAGGTGGATCATGAGGTCAGAAGTTCAAGACCAGCCTGGCCAAGATGGTGAAACCCCGTCTCTACTAAAAATACAAAAAATTAGCCAGGTGTGTTGGTGGGCGCCTGTAATCCCAGCTACTCAGGAGGCTGAGGCAGAGAATTGCTTGAACCCGGGAGGTGGAGGCTGCAGTGAGCCAAGATTGCACCACTGCACTCCAGCCTTGCCAACAGACCAAGATTCCATCTCAAAAATAAAAATAAAAAATAAAAACAATAAAAATGTATTCAAAGACAATGTAACATGCTTAAGTTATAGTCATCAACAAGTTGAAAGTGGTGTATTTAGTGACTCCAGACATTGGTACTGGAATAAGTCAAAACTTAAAAAGCAAACGTGCAGTTCTCTTTGGAAATAGTGTGACCCCAAGAGAGATGGGTAACTCTTATAAGACTACTGCTATGTAGGTTGTAGACTTTAAAGTCCTTAGTATGGTCCTCATGACTGAGGTACCTGAACCTACAGGGGCAATAACGCACCTAGAATTCAGACATCTTAAGTTACAGCTCTCTCATTTGAAGCATCCCAATCCATGCAATCCTATTCCAACTACCCCAAGGAGAACAAGATGGCTCAATGGCTGGAAAGAATAATTTTTACTATCATGGCAAGCCTACCGACACCACTCTTTGGATTTCTCTTTGAGCAGTGTGATCCTTTGGAACTTTGCAACCTAACTCATGCTAACGTAACTTAGGGTACTAATTCAAGGCCAAGGTCAGATTTTCACATTAATATGCTAAGGCAGTTTACAGAACTAAGCTATAGCAAGTCACTCAAGTAACAATGAATGTATGAGGAGGAAGAAACACAAATTATTCTGGCACTTTAATATTAGCTAATATTTACTGAATTTTTTACCACATGAAAGACATTGTGACATTGTATTCAGTATTTTACACACATCACCTTTCAATGGTGTGATCTCAGCTCATGGCAGCCTTGACCTCCCAGACTATCCTTCTACCTCAGCTACTTGCCACAGGAGTGCTCCATCATGCCTGGCTAATTTTTAAATTATTTGTAGAGATGAGGTCTTGCTATGTTGCCCAGGCTGGTCCCAAACACTCGGGTTCAAGTTATCCTCCTGCCTCGGCCTCCCAAAGTGCTAGGATTTCAGGTGCGAGCCATTGTGGTCAGCCCACAATACCTTTTCTAAACCTAGCAGTCCCCCTAGTTTCTCTGAGGTGATAATCTCCATCAGAAATATAAGAAACCTGAGGCTCAGAGACATTATAATTGAAAGACCTAAGGTCACAAGGTTGGAACCAACGTCAAGATTTCAACCCAGCTCAGACTGACTGTAAACTCTTGTTCTTGATCACTTGATAACTCCCAGCATTACCAATCATTTTCATGTATAAAAGCAGTATAGTCAGTAAATTTAATAAAGACTTTTAAAAATACTTCCAAGAGTTTCACGGGCCCTCTGAAATCTATCCATGTATAAAGATCTCAAATTAAAAACCCCTGCTCTAAGGATCTCAAGGTACCTAATGCAGCATAATTAGCTTTAAATCTGATAAAAAATAAAAGGTAAGGAAACAAAAATAATAATAGCTGCCATTTGCTGAGCACTGAGCCAGCCACTGTGCTAAGTGCTTTACATATATTACCTCATTTAGTTTTCACCCTACAATGCAATGCCTATTACTCTGATGAGAAAGCTTAGATTAAGAGAGGTTAAGTAACCTGCCCAAAGTCAAACAGTGGAGGAAACTGACTCTTTCTATGGCACCATGATCCCTCTTAGGCAAACAATGAACCAATACCATGTTGTGTTTAAACTAATCGCCAAAACAAACACCGAACAAACCCTGGAGACATATTCACCTGTATGACTTATGCAGTTCCATGACCTTCTCTTCAAGTTCCTTGGTCTGATTCGGGGCCAGTTTAAAATCACTAACATAATCCACGCCATGGAGTTCTGGGTCGTAGTCTCCCAGTTCAGACTGGATGGTGTAAGAACCTAATAATGCTAAGGTTGCAAAGGAACAGGGCAGACGTCCTGCAACTATGTCCTGCCGAAGCTGAAGACATAAATAATATCTACAGCCAAAAGAGAAAAATGTTATGTCAGCAACAACAACAACAAAATATAAAGAGAGAAAAAGGAGAAAAGGGGAGAAACAGAAAGGGAGAGAGAGAAAAAATAAGGACACAGAAGAAAAGAAAGCAATTAAGTAAATATGAGATAATAATAACTTCAATCTAGGTAGTTGGTATATGGTAGTTCATTGCGCTATTATTTCTCTCTGTGTGTTTGAAATTTTTACATATTAAAACTTAAAAAAAATACTGTAACTATATTGGACACATTTAGAAAGAGGAAAGGTTGGAAAAGTCTAAAGGAAGTAATGAAACTACTATTTTTTTAAGTATACTAAGTACCACAGATATATAAATTATCTCACCTAATCTTCACACACACACATAAAAAAAACTTGTGAGGTAGGTATCATTGCCAGATTATAGATGAGGAAGCAGCTCAGAAGCTTAGCGTGCTCGGTGTCAGGTAGTAATGAAGACTGGCTCCAAAACCAGGCCCTTTCTTTTCTATCACATTGCTATGCCAAGTGTGCAGATATAGTCCTTCATATACAAAGATGACATTACTGACATTTTCACTAGGATATAAATATTCTGGTGTATTTTCTCTCCAAGATGAGTTAAGTCGCATGCAGCTTTCTACATACTATTAGCCACCTTGTAAGACTAATCCCATCTGTGTGCTAAACTGTTGGGAACTGCACAGTTTGCAGTTAAAACAGTTCAGTCCAACAAACCAAATGAGTGCCTTACCACGCTGACACTTTTCTCTCCATCAGTGTAACGTTCACACCTATGGCCCTGACTTCCTTACCACGTGTTCTAACTGACTGAGTTCACCAATTCAGACAGTTTTACCAAACAGGAAAGTATTATTAAATTGACAATTCCTAAATTAATTAGAATCATATCTTTGCTTCTATTATAAGATATTAAATAACATTTTGCTATAATTAGTCATAACGTACATTTTTTTAAATGTCAGAACAATGCCAAACAAGGCACAAAAATTTTAAACTCCTCTAAAATGTAAATAATTAGCAAAGATTTTTAGAAATGTGTTTTGTTTTATACATAAGCCTAGACGGAAAAAGATGATTAAGTAGCAACTCCAAAAGACAAATATTACTGTGAAAAAGAAATAACCAAAGGAATCTTTTAAGGCAGAAATCCGGCATCTCAACTTCAAGAATGTACTGAGGATGACTAGATGACAAATAATAAGAAAAAATGGCATTGACTTTGTATAGAACTTAATAATCAGATTTTTAAAGAGGTTAGTCTATTCTCTTATTTGAGAGATATGGAAACTATCTAGGCCTAAAGACTGTAAATCTGCCTGGAATCAGATAGTTGGCAGCAAAATCAGAAATAGAAAGCAGTTACTCAACAACCAACAGTTTAATTTAAGAAACATTTGACAAGCATCTCCTGTGGATAAGACCCTATGCAAGATGTCATGAATATAAATATGCACAGTAGTACTTATAATATATTGATTTTCCATTTTCTTTTTTAGTTAATATTTTTATAGAATCCAATAAAAGCCATTTTCTTAAAAGACATCAGTAGGCTGTTTTTAAAGAGCGCAGGATTTAATAAATTAGGTGGGCTCCAAGGAAGATTCAGTT
This sequence comes from Homo sapiens, assembly GCF_000001405.40. Lineage (NCBI taxonomy): Eukaryota > Metazoa > Chordata > Mammalia > Primates > Hominidae > Homo > Homo sapiens. The sequence goes on along the minus strand of NC_000001.11, from coordinate 29,016,592 downwards.
CAGGGGATTAAGTACTTCATCAAACATTTTAAAAGGGAGATAGGAAGAAATAATAACACTTAGGCTTTCAGCTTTTTTGATACCTATAAGAAGGAAGATGGTGGGGCCGGGTGCAGTGGCTCAAGCCTGTAACACCAGCACTTTGGGAGGCCGAGGCAAGCAGATCACCTGAGGTTAGGAGTTCAAGACCAGCCTGGCCAACATGGCGAAAACCCGCCTCTACTAAAAATACAAAAAAAAAAAAAAAAAATTAGCAGGGCGTGGTGGTGCACATCTGTAATCCCAGCTACTCGGGAGGCTGAGGCAAAAGAATCGCTCGAACCCAGGAGGCTGAGGTTGCAGTGAGCCAGGATCGTGCCATTGCACTCCAGACTGGGCGACAAGAGCGAGACTCCGTCTCAAAAAACAAAAAACAACAACAAAAAGAAGGAACATGGTGGGAAAGGAGTATGAAAAGAGACCCCAAAAAACAAACAAAAAAAACAGTAGAGTCATTTTACCACTATATTTGTGTCTTGCCCTTTGGAGGGTGCTGGTAGAAGCCCTGCCCACAGCTTGGCATAATATCCATGATAAGCAAGGCCAGTTCCCCTGCCAATTTCCTGATACTTATGATACAGGTCACAGATACTCAAGGCTTTTAGATTCACTTATTTGTATGCCTGCCTTGAAGTGACCAGAAACTTTCAATCCTAGGCTACTTAATATCATTATTTTTCTTCAGTTCTGAATACGGAATTAGCAGAGCTTATGGTGGTAAGAATTACTGTCTCATCATACACATTATTATATGATAAATTACATATTTAACTATTACTTATTTACCTTGTTATGTCTTCTGTTAACTGTGCTGGGTCAGGTGGATAAAACTTTACATTAAATGTAAAATTCCAAGGGACACCTATAAAAATAAACACAAAAGAATTTTACGTTTATACCTAAGTTTCTAATTGTTGGAAGTACCTCAAAATATTCAAACATTTCTCTTTTTCTTTTTCTTTCTTTTTTTTTTTTCTTTGAGACGGAGTCTCACTCTTGTTGCCCAGGCTGGAGTGCCGTAGCGTGAAGCGTGATCTAGCGTGATCTCTGCTCACCACAACCTCCACCTCCCAGGTTCAAGCGATTCTTCTGTCTCAGCCTACTGAGGAGCTGGGATAATAGACATGCACCACCACGCCCGGCTAATTTTGTATTTTTAGTAGAGACAGGATTTCTCCATGTTGTTCAGGCTGGTCTCAAACTCCCAACCTCAGGCGATCCACCCGCCTCGGCCTCCCAAAGTGCTGGGATTACAGGCATGAGCCACCACGCCCAGCCTACATTTCTCTTTTTATATTAATACATCTTTAAATATTTTCATGCTTGGTGGATAAAGCAATTTTTTAAAAAGAAGAAAGTTGCTTAGATATCACTTAAGGATTTGTGCTAGAGGATCTCATTTTTTTGCCTGACTTAATATAATCGTTTGATTTATAAAGGATTAGAACTACATAAACAAGGCTGGGCACAGTGGCTCATGCCTGCCATGCCTCACTTAATGACAGAGATACTCTGAGAAATGCTGGGTCTACAGGCATGTACACAACACTCAGCTAATTTTCAGATGTTTTGTAGAGACGGGGTCTCCCTATGTTGCCCAGGCTGGTCTCAAACTCCTGGGCTCATGCGATACTCCCACCTCAGTGTCCCAAAGTGCTGGGATTACAGGCATAAGCCATCGTGCCTGGCCTAAAATTAAGAGATGAAATAAATGTATATATATTGATATGGATAGCACTCCAAATTATGTTAAACAAAAAAGATTGGTTGCATATTTATATTAAAACACACGTTCACGTGTGTGTGTCTATATACATTCAGACCAGCCAGGTGTGGTGGGTTACACCTGTAATCCCAGTACTTTGAAGACTGAGAAGGGAGGCTCTCCCGAGTCCAGGAGTTCAAGGCTGCAATGAGCTAGGATTGTGCCACTCCACTCCAGCCTGGGTGGCAGAGTGAAACCCCATCTCTAAAAATATATATACATATTTAAAATATATATCATATATTATTACACTCAGACCATCTCTGGAAAGAGCACGTTACCATGGTTGCTTCCAGGAACGAAAACTGCATGACTAGGACAAGGAGAGAAGGGAGATTTACCTCGTACTATACTCATATGTATCTTTTTATTTTATACCACATATTTATAACATCTATTTTAAAAATTAAATTTAAAAACTACATATAACATACTTGTAATTTTTATTTATTTATTTTATTTTATTTTTTTCAGACGAAGTCTTGCTCTTGTCCCCCAGGTTGGAGTGCAATGGCATGATCTCAGCTCACTGCAACCTCCACCTCCCAGGTTCAAACAATTCTCCTGCCTCAGCCTCCCCAGTAGCTGGGATTACAGGTGCCTGCCACCATGCCCAGCTAATTTTTGTATTTTAAGTATAGACGGGGTTTCACCATGTTGGCCAGGCTGCTCTCTAACTCCTGACCTCAGGTGATCCACCTGCCTCGGCCTCCCAAAGTGCTGGGATTACAGGCGTGAGCCACTGCAACTGGCCATATACTTGGATTTTTAAAATGCAAAATGTATATATGCCTAGAAAAAAATATTGCAGATTATATCAGTTTAACAGTGATTATATCCAGAGGACAGGATTTAGAGGACTCTTACATTCTTCATGATAATTTCCTACAATGTTTAAATTTCTTACAATGGGTATATATTACTTGTGTGATTAAAAAAAAAAAAAAAAAAAAACTTAAGGGCTGGGCGCCGTGGCTCACGCCTGTAATCCCAACACTTTGGGAGGCCAAGGAGGGTGGATCACCCGAGGTCAGGGGTTCCAAACCATCCTGGCCAACATGGCGAAACCCTGTCTCTACTAAAAATAATACAAAATTAGCCAAGTATGGTGGCACATGCCTGTAATCCCAGCTACTTGGGAGGCTGAGGCAGGAGAATCATTTGAACCTAGGAGGTGGAGGTTGCAGTGAGCCGAAATCACACCATTGTACTCCAGCCTGGACAACAAGAGCGAAACTCCATCTCAAAACAAACAAATAAACAAACAAAAACACAAAAAACAAAATTTAAAAAACCCCCACCTTTGCAATAAATGTCATTCTTCTCTTTGGCTTAAAAAAATGTTTACAGTTTGATTCTCTATTAAAGTTTTTGTGAGGGACATGGTGTTTTTCTTGTTTTGTTTTGTTTTTTTCCCCCATGTTGAAGAAAGCGTTTTTATCATTCTGTAATTTTTTTTTTTTTTGAGATGGAGTCTTGCTCTGTCGCCAGGCTGGAGTGCAGTGGCGCGATCTCGGCTCACTGCCACCTCCGACTCCCTGATTCAAGCAATTCTCCTGCCTCAGCCTCCTGCGTAGCTGGGATTACAGGCATGCGCCACCACACCCAGCTAATTTTTGTATTTTTAGTAGAGACGGGGTTTCACCATGTTGGCCAGGATGGTGTAATTTTTTTTAACTGAAAAATATTAAGGTTCCTTTTCTTAGCAAGATTTTTTTTTAAATACCCAGGAAGATAATCTACTAGATATTCTTTTTTACTCATCATAAACTCTGTTAACTTTTTCTCTTAAAGAATCTTCTTGGATAATCATATGTTCCTAATATTTCATATTAAAAGTATTTTCATTGAAAGGAGCAAGGAGTTATATTTTTCTTGTGGTGTCTCAAATATTCTGAATATTTGTTTGCTCTGACTTGCATTTTAAAACGAGCTTTTATAGGTAGAAAGCAAATACAGAGAGTTATCAGTCCAAAAGAGTATTTTGTTTCTTCCGTTAAGAAAACTAAACAATTACAAATAGGGTCTAAAGAAAAACATTTCACCATAACAAAAGTGTTTTCTTCTAAGAAACAAATGAAAAGTAAAGTTTGTTTTCAGGTGAGTGTTAAAACTTACTAATCATGATAAATAACAACTATTGCATTTCCTGGAAGTTTCTTCAAAACTAAACTAAAAGGACAGGTAGTCTTAATTAGCCATTGGGCCTGGAACTGCAAAATACTAATCTGTACTTTTTTCAGCCCAGAAATATTTATCCCAGGACACCAGTCTGATCAGGGTGTAAAGCGGGACTATACATTAGAGTTAGAGCTAGGAGCAAAGCCACAATGTCAGAAGGGTCAGTGGCAAGCAATTCTTGTCTTTCCATTCTTTTTTTCTTCCACAGTCCTTTATACTGCAGTTTGGAAGAGGACTGTTAAAAGGGATGAAAACAACCATAAAGAGGAAAACATAAAATTTATAATGCAATAGTTCAGAACAATTTCAAAGGAATAGGATACGGCAGCAAACTCCTAGTAGGCAACTGCGGTTTCAAGTCACTACCATTTTGAGAACTGACTCCCATATCCTTTTTCTTTTCTCATCTTTGTTCTTTTCCACCTTCTGTTACTCTCAACTCTTCCTATCTTCCCCAACTTTGCCCAGTTGTAAAAAAAAAAAAATCAACAAAATCTGACCTACATCTCAATAGTATCCACCTCTGCTATATTTTTCTATTATGGAATCTCCTCCTTCCAGGAGAAGGCTTTATCTCGATTTCAAAGCAATCTGCAGTAGTCAGGATTCTAAAGTGACTGACTCACAGCCAGAAATGGTTGGAAATCCTCTGACCTACTAAAAGAAAGAAAGAACTATAAAAAGAGCTATATCCACTTACCACGAACCTGCTTTTTTATTTCTTTGGCGGAATCCAGCCATGTCTGTAAAAAGGAGAAAAGGCATTCACACAGAGCTCCAAAACACATAAACAACAGAGTACTGGAAGCAAGATCACTGACTATCTTCAAATAGTGCCTCCAGATCAACCTGCATTTCCTTTGATAGTCTTTGCATTAATTTCACAAAGCATAGTGATTTTGAGCAGACAAAAAGGGACCCTGACATTTGGGTTGAATATTAGCTCCACTACTTCCTGGCTGAGTGACTTTAGGAAATCTGTACCTCAGTTTCCTCATCTATACAATGAGATATTGGTAGTAGTGCCTACTTCATAGTGTTACTGTGAAGATAAAATGAGTTAATACATGTAAATATATTAGTAAACAGCAAATGCTAAGTAAGCATTGGTTATTTATATTATTCTATAAAGACTAGTAGATAGCTACAACCAGAATTAATTGACAGCATCCACATTTTATTTTCCCCTCCAACCCTGACCTTTAGTCTCCTTCAAGTTTTTTCTTTTTTTTTTTTTCTTTTTGAGAAGGAGTCTCGCTCTATTGCCCTGGCTAGAGTGCACTGGCACAATCTCAGCTCACTGCAACCTCCGCCTCGTGGGTTCAAGCAATTCTCCTGACTCAGCCTCCCAAGTAGCTGGGATTACAGGTGCCCACGACCACACCCGGCTAATTTTTGTATTTTTAGTAGAGATGGGGTTTTGCCAAACATGTTGGCTAGGCTGGTCTCAAACTCTTTTCTTTTTTTTCTTTTTTTTTTTTTTTTGACAGAGTTTCACTCTTGTCGCCCAGGCTGGAGAGCAATGGCGCAATCTCGATGTCAGCCCACTGCAACCTCCGCCTCCCGGGTTCAAGTGATTCTCCTGCCTCCGCCTCCTGAGTAGCTGGGATTACAGGTGCATGCCACCATGCCATGCCCAGCTAATTTTTGTATTTTTAGTAGAAATGGGGTTTCACCATGTTGGTCAGGCTGGTCTCCAACTCCTGACCTCAGGTGATCTGCCCGGCTCGGCCTCCCAAAGTGCTGGGATTATAGGCATGAGCCACTATGCCTGGCCAAAGTTTTCTATATCAGCACAGTATTCAGTACATGGCTTGTGCCCAGTTAACGTTTACTGAATGAATAAATATTTTGTTTTCCCAAACTACTCTTGCCCACGCCAATCTTGTCCTTCACTGTTCTCCCACTCCACTTAGAATCTGCACACCACTAGGCTAGGGCTCCTCAACCCATGGTAGACCATGCAAAATAAGGGCACTGGAAAAGAACCTCACCATTAACATCTTTCATAGGTCCCTTTGAGAAATGTTTAAAGACAGAAATTTCTAAATTTCTAGAATTGTTTAAAACATTTTAATGGAATACAAGATACATGTCGAAAAGTACATAAAACATAAGTATAAAGATCAATAAAATATCAAAGTGAACATATAAGAATTATAACATTACTAGCACCTCAGGAGCCCCTCTCTTGCCTCTTCCTAATCCCTCCCCTTCCCTTGTCCAAAAGATTTAAAATTGAATTTCAGTGGCATTTTATTTATTTATTTAGACAGGGTCTCGCTCTGTGGCCCAGGCTGGAGTTTAGTGATGCAATCTTGGTTCTCTGCAACCTCCGCCTCCCGGGTTCAAGCAATTCTCCTGCCTCAGCCTCCCGAGTAGCTGGGATTACAGGCAACCACCACCATGCCTGGCTAATTTTTTTGTATTTTTAGTAGAGATGGGGTTTCACCATGTTGGCCAGGCTGGTCTGGAACTCCTGGCCTCAAGTGATCTGCCCACCTCGGCCTCCCAAAGTGCTGAGATTACAGGTGTCAGCCACCGTACCCAGAGACAGTGGTATTTAGAAAAAAGGAGTAAGGTGTCCCTTCCTCACCCTCTACCAACAAGGGCAGAGCATATGGTGACTATCCCATTTGCCCTATTGAAGGAATGGGCTTGAACACCACATTTTAAAAATTGATTATATACTACTTTGACTATTATATAATCATTACAACAGACAATAAACCTAAGAGTGGGGACTAGTTTTCTTTTATACTCCCACCACAATTAAACCAGAAAATTAATATATATAATAAATGCCACATATTATTAAATTGTTCTAAGGTATAAAAATAAGCACATACTTGTTTAAGCCTGTCAGAAAGGCGTGACCTGGGTGTTTTCTCCTTAGTCTTTCATTTAGACTAAAGAAAATTTTTAAAAAGTTGCCGTATTTTCAAAGGCAAAGGAAGACTTTAAAAGCACCAACTGAGTTTCATGAAACCTCTGAGAACCTTGGTTTATACCATGCAATCCAGAACTACTACCACTTTTTACCACTTTGGAGTAGGTATTTCTTACCATAGAAGACTCATGTTTTCCATTATTTTAAGAGAATCTCCCTAGGTAAGCTGAAGCTGCCAAGTTCCTTCCAGGGATTCTATGAACCATTCTGAGTCTGTGCGAGAATTTCTACTAACTTGACATAGGGAAGGCAAACCCACTTTTGTGTCAATCATATAAAGACTCCAGGGTATAAGCTACCATGTAGAATAAATTGTTGTTGCTTCAATTACCTACACCTCCAAATCAAAATCAAAAACAAAATCTTCTGGAGATAATAAAAATCAATGTGTACAAGAACAGGTACTTTTATGCTCAATTTAAATTGTTTAATTTCCAGCATTTTAGTTAGCCAACAAATATTTGAGGAATGCTTCCATGTGCTAGGCACTGTGGTTACAAAAAAAAAAAAAAAAGAAGGATTAAAAACTAGCACTGGTCCTTAGGGAGCTGTCATTCTAATCAGGAGGCAAAAAGAGAACAATCAGTTTGTTCGAGGAGGTGTGACAATTACAATGATAAAAAATATGTGCTAGTGCTATGATAGAGCATAGGGTATTCTGAGAGCACAGAGGACATGCACCAAAATGGTTTAGAAGTCAGTTAGGAAATGTTTCTTAATAGAATGTCTGGGGGATCTAAATGGAGTCTTGAAGGACAAATGAGTTAGCCAGGCAAAGAAGAAAACGAAATAATTAGAAAGGCACAGAAGTATAAAAGTGACTGCAATACACCTGAGTTGCTGCATGTGGTTCAGCATAGCTGGAGCACAGAGGCAAAGAGGAGAGATGTAAAACTGAAAAGAACAGTAAGGACCAGACATGGAGGGAGAGTATTCCATGCTAAGAACTTAGACTTTATCAAGTTCTTAGCAAGCGGGAGCCATTGAAGGATTTAAAATAAAGGAGTGACATCAATTAGAGAAAGCATGACTGTAGCCAGGGGGACCAGAAAAGACACTGTTGTTGAGAATGATAACTGTGGTCCAGCAGAATATAATGGTTAAGGGTACAGGCTTTGAAGTCAGACAGTCTTGAATTCCAATCCTGCCTCATCCTCTCTACCATTTAGCAGCTGTGTAACCTTACATAAGACAGTGTTTCTGAGCCTCAATTTTCTCATATGTATAATTGGGATAAAACTACCATCCTCACAGAGTTATTGCAGGTTAAATTATTTGATGTATACTAAAAGCACACAGCCAGTATTCAATAAATGGTACTGATATTGATCAAAAGGGTCTGATGGGATAAAGTCTATGGGACAGAGGAAAAAAAATTAAGAGTTAAAGCTATTACGATTTGTGACTAAGTAAATGGGATGTAGGGGAAGGATGGGCTCATGATGAGGGTTGGTAAGGTATAGTGGTAAAGAATAATTCTCAAGTTGCTGGCTTGGGCAACTGGGTGGATGTGGCACTATTCACTAAAACAGGAAATACAGGGAAAGGAACACATGTTATAAAGGAGAAAAAAATAGCAACAAGAAACAACCTACATGTACATCAACAATTGAATGAATAAATTGTAATATATTTAAATAGGTATATGTTTAAAGTATCTTTGGAAATCCAAGTGGAATATTTCATAGAAAGCTGTATAAGCAGGTCTGGCACTCAGAAAAGAAATTTGGACCAGATATACATTTGGGCACCTTCCTCATGTAGGTGGTAGAATGAACCCATTAAAGAAGATTTAAAAATCACCCAAGGAGTATGTATTAGAGTGAAAATAAAGGGGGAAACTTGGGGAACACTTGCATTTAAGGTATGGAGAGAGAACAAAGAGCTGAGAAGTAAATTGAGGAGAAGAGACTATAGTGGTGAGAGAAAGACAGGAAAGGCTGGTATCACAGTATGTAAAGGAATAGGAAGTTTCAAGGAGGGAGTAATTAAGATCATCAATACCGCAAAACAGACAAGTAACATGAGGATAAAACATGTCAGATTTATCTTGGTAAGAACAGTTTCAGCAGAGCAATAAGGGCAGAAATCAAAATGCAATGAGTTATATCAAGTGCAGATGAGGACATGGCACAGCTGAAACTTTCGCTTATTACTTGTGAGAATGTAAACTGGTAAAACCACTACAGAAAACTGTTTGATAGTATCACTAAAGCTGAACATATGCCTTCTCTAAAATCCGTCAGTCTCACACCTAGGAACATGTCCAACAGAAATGTTTACGGTGAGATGTATACCAAAAGGCACCTACAAGAATGTTCCTAGCAGAAGCATTCGTAAAAGCCCCAAACTGTAAACAAGCCAAATGTCTATCAGTAGTAGAGTACATAAAGTGTGGTGTAGTCAAGCAATGAAATATTATATTATACAGTAACGAGGCCGGGAGGCTGAAGCAGGAGGATCGCTTGAGCCAGGGAGGTGGAGGATGCAGTAAATCAAGATCGTACCACTGCACTCCAGCCTGACAACAGGGTGAGACCCTGTCTCAAAAAAAAAAATTATACAGTAATGAGAATGAACTATTGCTATTTGAAACAGCATGAATGAATCTCAAAAACATCATAATGAATGAAACCAAAGAAACCCTACCTAAGAGAAGACACTGTATGATTTTATTTATGTAAAGTTTAAAAACAGGCTAAAGTGATTGATGGTGATAGACATCAGGATGAAGTAACTTTTTTTTTTTTTTAATTTTGGGATAGGGTCTCACTCTGTTACCCAGGCAGGAGTGCAGTGGCACAATCTCGGCTGACTGCAACCTCCACCTCTCCGGCTCAAGCAATCCTCCCACCTCTGACTCCTGAGTAGCTGGGACTACAGGTGCTCACCACCACACCTGGCTAATTTTTTTGTATTTGTAGGGACAGGGTTTCACTATGTCGCCCAGGCTGGAGGAAGAAGTTACTTTTGATGGGGAGTGGGGAGGAGTAACAACTGATAAGGGGTTGGAGGTAGTGACTGGAAGGGACACAATAGGGGATTTTAGAGTTCTGATAATGTTCATTTTTCTTATCTTGGGGGCGTTTATACAGATGTGTTCACTTTTAAAAAATTCTTTGGCCGGGCGCAGTGGCTCACACCTGTAATCCCAGCACTCTGGCAGGCCCAGGCGGGTGGATCATGAGGTCAGGAGATCGAGACCATCCTGGCTAACACAGTGAAACCCTGTCTCTACTAAAAACTCAAAAAAATTAGACGGGCTGGGTGGCGGGCGCCTGTAGTACCAGCTACTCAGGAGGCTGAGGCAGGAGAATGGCGTGAACCCGGGAGGCGGAGCTTGCAGTGAGCCAAGATCAAGCCACTGCACTCCAGCCTAGGCGACAGAGCGAGACTCCGTCTCAAAAAAAAAAAAAAAAAAAATTCTTTGGGATGTATATGTACGATTTACACCTTTCTTGTGTTATGTTAAGCTAATATGCAGTAAGGCAATAGAGAATAATATATGCAAACCAATTTCTCAAAGAGTATGGTTACAGCATAGAAGAAAGGGTTAGAGCTAGAGGAAAAAAGCAGGATCTTCAGATGTCCCCTAAAATAGTAATTCTGAATAATCTAGTTCTATTTGAATATTTTCAGTGGTATGGATTCTTTTTGAAGAGTCCATTTTATCAATCATATCCTGAGAATTAAATATATTAACACTTTAAGCAGAATTTAAGCTTGTGCATTAAAAAGAATTATATTCCTTCTCTGGCTTAAAAAACAACTTTCCAAATAATATAGAGATGAAGAGCAGCAATATCCTGATATAGATCTTCATTCATTTGGCTAAAGTATTACCCGTCTCCTATGGGTTCTTCTTTCAAAACACCTTCTTACAAGTGGTTTCTTCTACTTGGAATACTCTCTCCCTCCTTCTTCATCTGGAAGATTCCTGACTGTCTCTTATAATTCATATCTGTTATTATCTTCTCCAGAAAACCCCTTCTGACTCCCCATCCATGTGGGTGTCCATCTTACTGCTATTGCCTAGTCAGTCTGGGAGCTCCATGAGGAAAGAGACTGTCTTTTATAGCTCTGCCCAGCACAAGGCAGATACTATTTGAATAATAAATGTTTATGAATGAATGAACAAAGAATAGATGAATGACGCTACTGAAGTAAACCAGGATAGATTAATAAAGTTTCAACTACAGAAATGGCATTTAAAGAGGTAAAATGAATAGGAGCAGACATTGTTTGGATGTGTATCCCCACCCAAATCTCATGTCAAATTGTAATCCCTAGTGTTGGAGGTGGGGCTTGGTGGGAGATGACTGGATCATGGGGGTAGATTTCCCCCTTTGGTGTTGTTCTCATGATAAGAGTTCTCACAAGATCTGGTTGTTTCAAAGTACATAGCATCCCACCCCCTCTTCCTCCTGCTCTGGCCATGTAAGATGTGCCAGCTTCCCCATAGTCTTCTGCCATGATTCTAAGTTTCCTGAGGCCTCCCCAGAAGCTGATGCCACCATGCTTCTTATACAGCCTGCAGAACCATGAGCCAATTAAACCTCCTTTCTTTATAGATATTTCTTTATAGCAGTGCAAGAACAGACTAACACCTTTCATATCTTCGGCAGCATTTACAACCTTAGGTCATAATGTTTTAAAAAAAAGAACTCCATTCCCCGAGTTAGTCATCAGCTACCCTTATATGGAGGTCCTAAAACCCCCACGCATACACATAAGAGATTTATACAAATCCTTGTCTTTTGAGGTAAAAGACTTTTGTACAGCTCCAGAAGTCTATCTGTCTTAACTCAAGGAATAACCTTATTTATGCTGCTGTTAGGATGTTGACTTCAAATCACTGCTCCAAGTTATGTTATAGAAACTCTAGAGCACAGGTAATTCTAGGTCTCATTCTTTAAGTACTAAGTTAAAACACAAAAAATAAGAAACAAAACCCCAAAAAACCACATTTAAATTCATTAGAGGTGTTGACCCAAATCTCTGTAGCAAAAGACAAGATAACAAATGCAGCCTCCCTACTCTGCAAGTATATTTACAAAATTCCCCTTCGTCTTTCTAATTTGCCAGACAATAAAGATACAACCATGACTGCCACTTGCCTTCAAGGCCAGTCATGAATCAATGAGAATCAATCCTTTCAGATGACTATAAACTAAATTACTCATACTCTTTATTTAATAGTCACTCCATTGGTGTTTGCTCTTTGCCTGTGAAGGTGAGCAAAAGACTTCTGTTTGACTGATGATCTTTTCAGACTGATTATCTGACTCTAAAGGTAAGAAAATTCATCCACACAGAAAATGGATGGAAAAAGACAATGACTATATACCATTGAATTGCATGTAGTCCTAATTTAAAATTCTCATTATTTACCAGAAGAGCACAAGTTTTCTGCTTAGAGATGAAATTTGGAGGGAGATGGAATTAATGTAAGTGACTTCTCTCCCAAGGAAAAAATCCTTGATCCATTAATAAATAATTATAAGCAGGAATAAAATATAGGAAGCAACTATTTAACTGACAATTTTGATTCATAGTGGCAACAAATCTCTCACAGAACTATAGAAGTTTGCTTCTGGGCTGGGCGCAGTGGCTCATGCCTGTAATTCCAGCACTTTGCGAGGCAAGGCAGTTGGATCACCTGAGGCCAGGAGTTCAAGACCAGCCTGACCAACATGGTGAAACTCTGTCTATACTAAAAATACAAAAATTAGCTGGCTGTGGTGGTGGGCGCCTGTAATCCCAGCTACTTAGGAGGCTGAGGCGTGAGAATCGCTGGAACCTGGGAGGTGGAGGTTGCAGTGAACTAAGATGGCACCACTGCACTCCAGCCTGAAAGAAAAAGAAGTTTGCTTCTTACCGCTTTTCCACTTGTCTTGCCAGACCCTAGCAATAGGCCCATTATCACGCAGTCAGTAGGAAAAGGGAACAAGCAAGCCACTCCATATGAGGGAAAACTTTCCTCCCTGCTAAATGTACTCAATTGTCTACAAACAAAGCACAAAGCTCTTAATGACAGAAGTTACATATACAAAGGACAAATCTTTACATATACAAAAAGAAGACACCAGAGAATGGAAAGAACAGAAAACAGTTGTCTCTCATTGTATTATGGCTCACATTTTTTTTCTACAACATAAACTAATTCTGTAGAGGAAACAAAAAAACTACAGATGAAATGTAAAAATCAAGGAAAGGAGTAAAAAGCTAAAGAAGAAAATAACTTAGGAAGGGGCAGCAGGCAAGGAGCTACAGGAGTAAACTGACTGTGCAACTAGAGGATGTCACTCTGCCTTTACTCACTCTGTCACGCTGTGCTTCAGTTTCCTCATCTATAAAATGGGGGGATGAGCCCCCAGAGCCTGTATAGCTCTATTACCTTCTGTATTTTCAGAATGGCGGAAAACTTAGATGACCATGATTTACTATGAACTTTACTGATTCAATCATTTCACAAATATCTGTGTACTTCTAGAGAAGGTCTTATCTAGAAATTTGGCTTATTGACAGTACATATACATGGACTGATAGTGTTAAACAAAAATTATGGAAGGCCATTGTTTTGGTCTAAGCTTCTTCACTGGCTCCAACAGATCAGGCCAAACAAAAATGGAGTCACTCATACTAAATACCACATAATCAAACTGAAACCTAAAGGAAGTGGGTAGATGCTAAACAGACCAGTTTTTCCTGAAAACAGGAGATTCCAGTCTACCTGAGTCAGTTTAACAAGAAAGTCCTCTCTGCTTTAGCATTTAGAAGAAAAGTAACTTGATGTAAACTAATCAGCTTTTTCCTATTACTTGGTTTCCTTATTCCTACCTTACAAAACCCACTGTTCTGCCATTGCTTATTGGGAGCCCTCATTCTATTTTGTAGAATGAAGGCTGCCTAATACATGAATCACAAATAAAAGCCAATTAGATCTTTAACTAAATTTGTTGTGATTTTATCTTTTTCCAATAGCTAAAATAAAGCCATATAGTCTTGCCAAATACAATCAATTTTAAGTAAAAGATACACTGTTCTTTTGTACATCCTACCTAAGAACAGGTAGAATATTCAACCCGAAGGATGCTCCAGAATGCATCTCTAGATTATGACACATAAATCTTTTCTTTTAAAGCCAAGGCCTTGATTAATTGGTAATTTCATTTTAAAACAATAATACTATCTTTTTTTTTTTTTTGAGGTAGGGTCTTATCCCTGTCACCCAGGCAAGTGCAGTGGTGTACTCATGGCTCACTGCAGCCTCACCTTCCCAGGCTCAGGTTATCCTCCCACCTCAACCTACCGAGTAGCTGGGACTAGAGGTATGTGCCACCACACTCAGTTACTATTTTTTCATTTTTGGTAGAGACAGGGTTTCACTAGTCTCAAAACTCCTGGGCTCAAGTGATCCACTTGCTTCTACATCCCAAAGTGCTGGAATTACAGGTATGAGCTACCATGCCCAGCCAATAATACTATCATAATAATAATGATAACACCTTATTTTTATTGAATGCTTACTACATGTCAAGCATGATTCTACATGCTTTCATACAGATTATCTCATTATCATTCCCATTTTACCAATGAGAAAACAGAAGGACAAGTAACTTATCTAACTTGCAACTAGTATGTGGCAAAGCTAGTCTCTCAAGTGTAACAATATGTCTCACTCTTTCAATAAACATTTGTTGAATGCCTACCACATTCAGCCCAGGCAATATGCTAAATTAACATTCTTTAGGAAATCAGTCTGGTAAAAAATAGACGTGGGCCCAGAACAATAGATGAAAATCAACCCACACCAAGATATATAATTGTAAACTCTCAACTTCGTAAGGACAAGAAAAAAGAAAAGATCATACTCGCTTGATTGTGTAAAGGAGGAGGGAGACGAACAAAAGTCATACAAAAGATCAAAAATCAAAATGGCTCTGGCCTTTTCAAGAGCAACACTGGAAACTAGAAGACAATGAAGCAATGCCTTCAAAATTCTGAAGGCAAATAATTTCAAGCCTAAAATCCTATACCCAACAAAATTCAAAATCAAATGAGAAGGCAGAATAAAGCCATCTTTTCAGACATGTAATGTCTCAAAAACGATTACATCCCATGTACCATTTCTGAGGAGTAGCACTCTATCAAAACACAAAGAAAACCAAGGAAAAAGGAAACAGGAGAAACATCACAGGAAAGAGGCAAAGCACATCCCCAGGATGATAGTGATGGGAGATACCAGGGACAGCTGTATATAAAACAGACTGTGATACCCATCCAGACTAGACAACTGTGACTTAAGAGACAGCATGATTTTTTTTTGAGACGGGATCTCGCTCTGTTTCCCAAGCTGGAGTGCAATGGCGTGACCTCGGCTCCCTGCGACCTCTGCCTCCTGGGTTCAAGCGATTCTCATGCCTCAGCCTCCCGCATAGCTGGGATTACAGGCATGTGCCACCATGCCTGGCTAATTTTTGTATTTTCAGTAGAGATGTGGTTTCACAATGTTGGCCAGGCTGGTTACGAACTCAGGTGATCCACCCAGTTCAGCCTCCCAAAGTGCTGGGATTACAGGCATGAGCCACCACACCCAGCCAAGAGACAGCATATTAAGGAAGGCCTGCCATCACTAAGGTGTTTTTGCTACTGTACTGACCCTTTAACTTGACAATCCTAAGATGAATCTTCCCCAGATTCATTTTTGTACAAGATTTACCTGGGCCATGTGCTAATGAAGTTCCTACTTTCCCTTCCATGCTCTGCTTCTTAGATCAGCTAAGGACTCTCGTTTTAATTAAAAATAAAAATTAAAAAAAAAAAACAACACTCTGTTTTGACTTACTTCTGAGCTGGAGGTTTACCATGATAAACTTAGAAGCATAAAATATAGAGTAGCCCATTCCCTTTGACAATGTTCCCGCTGGATGTCCTATAAGAACCTGGTCCATACAGACCTGTCGATGCCCTGACTATGATAAGGCCAATTTTTCCCAGGATTCACTTGCCCACTGACTTCCCCAGTAGGGGCTCTTATAAACTATCAGGGAAGTTGAAGCCAGATTATGATTCAGAGGTACCAATTTTTCTTTTCCAAAAATACTTACAGGGAAATAATGCCCTTTTCTTACACAGCCAGGTTTGTACTTTGTTATTAAGCTTTTATATTAAGCACTTTTAACAACACTTTACACATAAATATATAGGTGAACATAAATAAAGCAATTTAACATTTGCTCATTAAAAACTAATTACGGTTGGGTGCAGTGACTCACGCCTGTAATCCCAGCACTTTGGGAGGCCAAGGCGGGTGAATCGCCTGAGGTCAGGAGTTCGAGACCAGCCTGGCCAATATGGTGAAACCCCATCTCTACTAAAAATACAAAAAATTAGACAGGCATGGTGATGCATGCCTGTAATCCCAGCTACTTGGGAGGCTGAGGCAGGAGAATTGCTTGAGCCCAGGAGGTGGAGATTGCAGTGAGCAGAGATCACACCATTGCACTCCATACTGGGTGACAAGAGTGAAGCTCCATCTCAAACAAACAAAAACTAATTACAATAGTGGCAAGGCATAGTGGGTCATGCCTGTAATTTAGCACTTTGGGAGGCTGAGGCAGGAGGATTGCTTGAGCCCAGGAGTTCAAGACCAGCTTGAGCAACATAGTGAGGCCCTGTCTCTACAAAATATAAAAGTTTAAAAATTGGCCAAGCATGGTGGTGCGTGCCTGTGGTCCCAGCTACTTAGAAGACTGAGGTGGGAGGATCGATTGAGCCCGGAAAGCAGAGACTGCAGTGAGCCAAGATCGCACCACTGCACTCTAGCATAGGCAACAGAGTGAGACTCTGTCTCAAAAAAAAAAGTGAAAACCACTATAAAGAAAATAAACTTGGTGACAGGACAGAATATAAATCCCAACAATGGTGAAAAGTTTTCAGTGTAACTGAAAATTTTTGTCCCAACGTGGGCCCTAGAAGCTCAACTGTAAGCAGAAATTATTTCTTCTGCTGAATGGCTTTAGATGAGCCAGCTTCTAGAAATGTATAAGTATGCTTAGATCACAGAAAAAAATATTTCCAGCCATATTAAACACGTAGGTACTTGGTGACTTTACATGCCAAATTAAAGGATTCTTAATTATTCTCAAATCAATCTGGGTTTTTTTTTCCCCACAATGTAACTATTCAATTTCTGGGAATCAAAATTATCTCACTGAGCTTACATAAAACACTTTTCAGAGTATTTCCCTTGATTCATGGGAGAATTTTCTTTTTTCTTTTTTTTGAGATGGAGTCTCACTCTGTTGCCCAGGCTGGAGCGCAGTAGCACAATCTCGGCTCACTGCAAGCGCCCCCTCCTGGGCTCACGCCATTCTCCTGCCTCAGCCTCCCAAGTAGCTGGTACTACAGGCGCCCGCCACCATGCCTGGCTAATTTTTTGTATTTTTAGTAGAGACAGAGTTTCACCGTGTTAGCCAGGATGGTCTTGATCTCCTGACCTCGTGATCCGCCCGCCTCAGCCTCCCAAAGTGCTGGGATTACAGGCGTGAGCCACCACACCCCGCCAATTCATGGGAGAATTTTCTAGCTCACAGTTGTAGAAAGTTTTTCACTGTAGTTTTGAGGGCATTGTTTTGTTTTTAAATTAACTTCAATGTTCCCTTACTAATGGGAAATAGTAGTTTCAATTAAGGCTAGACTTTTTCAAATTATTCATTGAAAAATTATAGTTGTATATATTTATGGGGCAGAAAGTGATGTTATGATTTTTTAATACAATGTGAAATGATCAAATCAAATGAATCAAACTATCCATCACCTCAAATATTTGACCTTGTGATGAGAACATTTGAGATTTACTCTCTTCGTGATATTGAAATGTACAGTACTCAAATATTAGCTATATTTACTAGTACAAGCTAGTTTGAGCCCTAAGGGAGACAAAGTAAAGGTTAAGTCTTTAAAGAATAATATTAACCTAGTGCTCAAACATAGTTCTGTTTGAGTTAGTAGTCATTCATAGAAGGAACAAATTTTTGTAAACTACTAGGTATAGTCTAGAAATAGATTTTGTTTAGGAAAAGGATAATTCCATGTCTTCTAGTTTGCATTATCTAACTCACACAACCTAATCTACAATTTGCAGATGTTGAAGGCTGCTGCCCTTCAACTTTTCTTAATAAACTGAAATCATCTTGGAGAAAGGATGAACTTAAATGGCTTAAATTCAGTGTCTACAAGACTCTCTCCACGATTCCCCACTTTACACCCACCCCGCAACCTGGACGTATACCTGTCCAGATTCATCTGTTACTCTATTCCTCATATCCTATGTTCAGCCAGGCTAGATGGCTTTCAGTTCCTGAACTGTCAGTCTCTCAACTCCAGGTCTTACACAAGCCATTCTCTCTCCACCTCACTTGCTCATTTTATCCTTCAGGTCTCTCTCAGCTAAGGCATCACCTCCCCAGAGGAGACTTCCCGGGCCATACTCTTCCCTGACAACCTGTATTTCCTTTTGTATAGCGCTCATCAAACCAGTAATTAATGTTATCTTCATAATAAACTGGAAGTTCCAGAGGGCAGGGACCATGTCTACCTTATTCACAGCTGCATCCATATCATCTAGTACAGCACCTGCAAATACTTGTTAAACTGGACTAAAGCTTTCATCATTATATTTATGTTAAATATTTGCAATTTTCAATTAATTGGCCCAGGAAATAATTAAAGTGTTCTGAGGTAAATACCTGACTTTTAACCTTTCTTCCCTCCTCCAAGTCCATTCTTTTACCTCCTTCAAAAGTTAACAATGGTTTCCTTTTAGGTTGGAGGAAATGTCAGATTCATCGTTATGACCGTTTCAATAATATTGGGATTTTATTCTGTTTCATAATGTTGCTTTCAAATTATAATTATATATCATAATTATATTTAATTATGATATGTCATTATAATATTAATAACAGATCATCCATTCAACAAATATTTGTTATAAACCTATGCATTAGATACAATACCAATTGCATAATATATTAAGTTATTGACATCTACAGTACTTGCTAATCAGTGCATCATACCTCTTTATTTTCCTTGCCTTGTAAAAACATACAATATATACTTTATTTCAATGATGAAAGAATACACCAGCAATGGTCTTTCCTTTAAAATGTTAATTCTAGAAGAAAAATAGCAGGAAAATCTAAGAAATAAGAGTAGACAGGAATAACTCTAAGAACACTGGCTTAGAGAAGCAGGTATAGATACATTCTTAACAACAAAAGAATTAAAATAAATTTTTTGTCAGCTTCTTAAATTGCAAGCAGTCTCCTCACCTTAGAGGTTGCGTTATCCCAAATGGCTAGACCAAAATAGTCTTCTTCCAAAAGATTGAGATGCTCACATACTCGTTTAAGCAAATCTTGTCCCTTAGCATGTTTCTGCAAAGATATACGTGACTTAGTTGAGTTGAGGTTTCTTCTTCTTTTATTTTTTCCCCAAAAGAGATGGGGATTCACTCTGTTGCCCAGGCTGGAGTACAGTGGCCTGATCATAGCTCACTGCAGCCTCAACCTCCTGGGCTCAAGTGATCTTCCCACCTCAGCCTCCAGAGTAGCTAGGACTACAGATGTGCACCACCATGCCTGACTAATTTTTAAAATTTTTTGTAGAGAGAGTCTCATTATGTTGCCCGGGCTGGTTTTGAACTCCCGGGCTCAAGTGATTCCCCCGCCTCAAGTGATTCCCCCGCCTCAGCCTTCCAACGTGCTGGGATTACAGGTATGAGCCACTGCACCTGGCCTGAGGTTTCTTCTTATTTCTACACCCATCATGAAATAAAATAAAATGTCACTTTCCGATTTCTTCTTTCATCTTTGGTGATCAACAAACTTTCAGGTGGCTACATAGTTTAAGCAGAAAATATGATTTATAAAATTCCTGTTCTTCAATTTGTCAGTTTACATATGTAATACACATATACTAGTTTAGAAATTGTGTTACAATTCAAAGCAAAATTCTACCTTCCTTCCATCTCATATTCCCCATCTCCATCCTACACATCACATTCTTCATTTTTGGTGCAATATATCCTGTAGCATGCTATGAGCAACTGTCAGTTACCGTGACTACTTAAATTACTGAATCAACTGTCCAGAGTGACATTTAATTGTGGCTGTGGAAATCATTAGACTCTATCATTTTCAGACCAAATGTCCCAAAGAAAATGAGGTATGCCTCAACTCCCTACAATCTCTTTCAGAAAAATGAATAAAGTAAAATTCTAGATAGCCAACAGACACTACCTGTTGAAGTGGCTCCTTCAGTGGTGCTAGGAATAATTTTCTTAATGTTTCTTAACCTAGAAAGTCAAACCATTCCCAAATTTGGGTTCTTTTACTCCTATTTATAGGAAGAAAATACCCTAACTTAAAGACTGAGATTTAGTCAGAAAGTCCTGGCTCCTCCATTTACTAGCTAAACAAGCTGAGTAGATTCAATTAACTTTTCTGAACATTAGTTTGCTCAGCTGTGAAATGATAAGAATATTTACACTCATCCTACCTCTTTATTGGAATTGTTTAACAATAATCAAATATGTGAATGTCTTCTGAGAAATATATATGAAAATACTTCAAAAAATTAGAATCATTTTTTGGGCAAACATATATGACATGTCCTCCTCTCAATGAGATGAGTTATTTTTAATGACTATTAATAATTCACATAAATGTTCATTCATTGTCAGTCTTAACTCATCCATATCAAATAATTTTCTTTTTTTCTCCCATGTTTTCATTCTAAATGACAGAAGATGATTTGAAAATGCTTCATGTATTTTCCCTAATCCCTTATTCATAATTCTAAAATCCAAATGGCAAATTTTGACTTGAACTGTAAAGAGACTATTTATAATCTTAATTTATCCACCTCAGAATGAATCTTCATATCTTTTACCATAGAAATACTATGTCTGATCATGTGGGTGCTGCTACAGACACTGCTGGGTTTATTATAAAATATGCAGAATATGTACTTATTCCCTTGCTAAACTCCAAAATATTCTGAATTCTAGTTTTTATTTTGTTTTGTTTTGAGACGGAGTCTCACTCTGTCGCCAGGCTGGAGTGCAGTGGTGTGATCTCAGCTCACTGCAACCTCTACCTCCTGGGTTCAAGCGATTCTCCTGCCTCAGCCTCCCAAGCAGCTGGGACTACAGGTGCGTGCCACCACACCCAGCTAATTTTTGTATTTTTAGTAGAGACGGGGTTTCACCATGTTGGTCAGTATGGTCTCGATTTCTTGACCTCGTGATCCACCTGCCTCGGCCTCCCAAAGTGCTGGGATTACAGGCATGAGCCACCGTGCCCGGCCTCAAAATATTCTGAATTCTATGACACATCTGTCCCCAAGGGCTTCATATATAAGAGATCCATATCTGGATCTTGGTCTGAATGGGAAGAATAGGTGTAAAATAGCTTTCCCCATCTCTAAATTAGTTAGTGCAAGAAGCAGAAAAAGCAGACCCTAAGGCTCTAGTTAGGTGTATAGTACCTGTTTCAAAGTACAATTACATCTTTCTTGATTTCCTTTTTAAACTTAGAGAATACCTATTAGTAAATATAGCATAATATTTTAGATGATTTGTGATTGAACATATTTACATTTGCAAATAAATAATGTGATTAAGAAATAAGGCTGGGTGCGGTGACTCATGCCTATAATCTTAGTACTTTGGGAGGCTGAGGCAGGCAGATCGCTTGAGCCGGGGAGCTCAAGAGTAACCTGGGCAACATGGTGAGAACCTGTCTCTACAAAAAATATAAAAAATTAGCCAGGTGTGATGGTATGTGCCTGTAGTCCCAGCTACTCAGGAGGCTGAGGTGGGAGGATCACCTGAGCCCAGGAGGTTGAGGCTGCAGTGAGCTGTCACTGCGCCACTGCACTTCAACCTGGGCAACAGAGCAAGACCCTGTCTCAAATAAATAAATAAATAAATAAATAAATAAATAAATAAATAAAATAGTTTGTTCCACATATATGTGAATTACACACTTTGTCAATAAAAGCTGTTACTAGTAACAATTGCAATTGCTTATATATCAAGCATATCATAATAAACAACTACTGTTCCAGTTTGAAAAATATATAGTTAGTAGATTTTTTTAAAATTTCAACTTGCTCTGGCCGGGCGCGGTGGCTCAAGCCTGTAAACCCAGCACTTTGGGAGGCCGAGGCGGGCAGATCACGAGGTCAGGAGATCGAGACCAGCCTGGCTAACACGGTGAAACCCCGTCTCTACTTAAAACACAAAAAACTAGCCAGGCGTGGTGGCGGGTGCCTGTAGTCCCAGCTACTCTGGAGGCTGAGGCAGGAGAATGGCGTGAACCCAGGAGGCAGAGCTTGCAGTGAGCCGAGATTGTACCACTGCACTCCAGCCTGGACGACAGAGAGAGACTCTGTCTCAAAAAACAAACAAACAAAAAAAAAATTGTCAACTTGTCCTGAAGGAGCAAAAAGAGTAACTGAATAACTCTGATATTTTTCTTCAATCCTGATTCAATCACTTATTCTTTCAGAAAACAGAAAATTTTAAGAAATGGCATTTACTGGACTTAAAGACTTACTCATCATCTTCCCATAATCCCACCTCCAGAAAATCACCATTAATACTTCCATCTACAGAAATAATCATTAAAGGCCGGGCGCAGTGGCTCATGCCTGTAATCCCAGCAATTTGGGAGGCCGAGGTGGGCAGATCACTTGAGGCCCGGACTTCAAGACCAGCCTGACCAATATGGTGAAATCTGTCTCTACTAAAAATACAAAAAATTAGCCTGGCATGGTGGCACATGGCTGTAATCCCAGCTACTCGGGAGGCTGAGACAGGAGAATCACTTGAACATGGGAGTTGGGGGCTACAGTGAGCCAAGATCATGCCACTGCACTCCAGCCTGGGTGACAGAGCAAAACTCTGTCTCAAAAAAAAAAAAAAAAAGAAAAAAGAAATAATCACTACAGTGAGTCTTATCGTGGGCAAAATCACCACTTACGCAACTCTAGATGAAACCACCTGTAAGAGTTCTGATTGTTGGAAATGAAAACATACTCACCTCCACAACACATTCATAAACTGTGTCATCCAACAAAGAAACCTTGCAGTGCATGTTCCTGTGTTTTCTGATTGGTTTTTGGGAAGCTTTTAATTCTGTTTCTGCTTTTGATTGAGGGCTTTCTTCTTTTACTTCTATTTTGGAGCACTCTTCAAGTCCTTCTCCTTCCTTAATTTCAAAATCTGGATCTTCTCTGAGTTCTTCCTGAGCAGGCTACATATCCATGACATCGCCAAGTCAGTAATAAACACATTTCACAAAACATGCTGTATATGCTTTTACCTATAATAATCTTACCAATAAAAGCATGAACTAAAACAAATATAGGTGACATTAATATTAAATATTTTTCTATAAAAAATAGTATGATCCCCCAAATGCCCTAAAGACTTTGTTATTAAAACTTCTCAGGTAGAATCCCATCAAATCAATAAATGAAGGTCTCAGGTAAACCGGAGGATACCAATCCATTGCTCTCAGCATTATATATTCTTCCTGACCAAGCCATTACACGGTATTATTAAAGTTTAACAAAAACGTTATTGTCTCTGCCCATGCTCCTCAATTTTAGCAATGTAGCCTTACAAACTGCAAAATAAGATGTGACTTGTTACATATTCTAAATTTTAAATTAATTTTAATTCTAAGAGAAATGCTTGGGACCAATTTCACATCATTAAGCAAACATGTAGTAGGCTAAAAATTTTAACTACCAGCTAACACCTTTCTACCCAATATTAATCATGTTAAATGCAAAGAAGAGTCAATGAAGGAAGAGTTTCCTGGTGCAATCTTAAATTATCCCCAAATAATACCGATAAGTAGGATAACATTTTTGGTATACATTTTTTTTTGAGACGGAGTCTCACTCTGTAGCCCAGGCTGGAGTGCAGTGGCGCGATCTCGGCTTACTCCAAGCTCCGCCTCCAGGGTTCAAGCGATTCTCCTGCCTGGGCCTCCTGAATAGCTGGGACTACAGGCGCCCGCCACCACGCCCAGCTAATTTTTTTGTACTTTTAGTAGAGATGGGGTTTCACCACGTTAGCCAGGATGGTTTTGATCTCCTGACCTCATGATCTGCCCGCCTCGGCCTCCCAAAGTGTTGGGATTACAGGCGTGAGCAACCGTGCCTGGCCGGCATACATTTTTACTTTTACTTTCAACACAACAAAACTACCGACATATTTTTATCTAAACCCGACTAATTATTTTCTTTTAAAAGAATATGTTACTTCCTTGTGTAACAGCTGGAAAACAATTAAAAGAAAAAAAGAATGCATGGTTGACAATTAGGAAAAAGAAATTAATTATTTGACTCCTGCATTAAATACTGGAAGTAATCTAAAAGACTCCTTCCGATCTTTCATGACCCTCTCACTGCAACCTCAGGAAGTCTCTTCACTGGCTATCCTATCTATCTATGCCCGCTCTACTGTCTTTCATATCAGTACTCTGGTGGCTTTATAACTTATTACAATAAATAATTATTTTTATTTGCTACTTTTTTGTCTTCTCTATTAAAGTCCACAAGGGTAGAAATCATGTCTGTTTTATAATAATAATAATACCAAACATTTATACAACAATTACAATGGGCCAGTCACTATTCTAAGAAAATTACTTATGTGAACTAACTCAATCCTCATAACTACCCTGCGAGGCACGTAGTATTATTATATCCCCACTTGATAGAGGGAGGATAATAGTACCTGGCCTGCAGGGTTGTAAAACAGGCCAGAGAAATTAAGTAACTTGCCTAGGATCATACAATTAATAAGTCACATACCAGTCTGGCTTCAGAATCCACGATTTGTTTTTTTTGCTTTTTTTTTTTTTTTTTGAGACAAGAGTCTCACTCTATCACCCAGGCTGGAGTGCAGTGACATAATCATGGCTCAATGCAGCCTCGACCTCTCAGACTCAAGTGATCCTCCCACCTCAACATCCCAAGTAGCTGGGACTACAGGAGAGCCACCATGCCTAGCTAGTTTTTTACTTTTTTGTAGAGATGGTGTTTCTCCATGTTGCCCAGGTTGGTCTCGAACTCCGGGGCTCTAGTGATCCTCCTGCCTCAGTCTCCCAGAGTGCTGGATTTACAGGCATGAGCCACCACACTCAGCCCCAAAATCCATGATTTTAAACCTCTTCACCATATTGCAGTTTTTATTTACCAAGGTATATCCAGCCTAGGGCCTGGCACACATGGTAGGTTTTCAATAAATATTTGTTGAATGAATAAACAAACATTAAAAATTTACATAGGCTTCCAAAAAATCCAAGCTACTCTGGATGAAGACTGGTACAATCCTATATTTATATATATTATACACTTAAATGTAATATAAATATATATTTATATATTTATAATATAAAGCAAACACGCTTTTTAAAAAATTCTGGATAAAAAAGAACCATTTAAATAAAATCCTATTACATATACAGAAACATGGTTAGGCAAATAAACCTTTATCCAGACGACTCTGATCCACAAGGTTTTGACTATAAATATTAGTTTCCAAAAGGCCTAAAATAGTTTGTTCTTTTAAATAATATCTCCTTGAAATTTTACTAACAATATCGTTTCTTTTTCTCCACATGAAGACAAATAACCTACGGACAATTTATTTCAATTCGGAATTAAATCTTAATGAATGAGATTTTAGTTAAATCTAAAATTAACTGTCCATCATCTGTGTCAACTTGAGTACGAATCTATGAACTTTAGACAATGCAGACAAGTTCTGATTCAAATGTTAACTAAAACAAGATATGGATTTTCCCCTATATAAAGCTGAAGGAGAAAAAAGCAGTTAAAAACCCCTTGAGGCCAGGCACAGTGGTCATGCCTGTAATCCCAGCATTCTGGAAGGCTGAGGCAGAAGGATTGCTCGAGTTCAGGAGTTCAAGACCAGCCTAGGCAACAAAGCAAGACCGTCTCTACCAAAAAATTTAAAAATTAGCTGGGCATGTGGCATGCACCTGTAGTCCCAACTACTCAGGAGACTGAGATGGGAGGATAGCTTGAGCCCGGGAGGTTGAGGCTGTAGTGAGCCATGATCACACCACTGTATTCTAGTCTGGGTGACAGAGAGAGACCCTGTCAAGAAAGAAAGAAAAAAAGAAAATAAATAAAGAGGGGGAAGGAGGGAGGGAGGGGAAAGGAGGGAGGCAGAGGAAGAGAGGAAGGGAGGGAGGGAGGGAGGGAGGGAAGGAAGGAAGGAAGGAAGGAAGGAAGGAAGGAAGGAAATTTGAAAAACTCTTGAAAGTACCAGGCTTCCTGAAAGATAATGTAATTTTTTTTTTTTTTTTTTGAGATGGAATCTCGCACTGTCACCCAGGCTGGAGTGCAGTGGCGTGATCTCGGCTCTCAGCAAATTTTCCTGCCTCGCCTTCCGAGTAGCTGGGACTACAGGTGCCCGCCACCACGCCCAGCTAATTTTTTGTATTTTTTGTAGAGACAGGGTTTCACCATGTTGGCCAGGATGGTCTCAAACTCCTGACCTTGTGATTCGCCTGCCTCAGCCTCCTAGAGTGCTAGGATTACAGGTGTGAGCCACTGCGCCCGGCCGATAATGTAATTTAATTCTTTTGGTATTCCTAAAATAAAATGTTATTAAGATATGAATGGTTTCTTTGCCTTTACTGTTTGTGTTTATTTACTAGCTAACATTCATTGAGTATTTATTAAATGCCAGGCAATGTTTTAAGAGCTTTTACCGGTTTCACTCTTTTAATCCTTTCAATCCCAAATGAGGTGGATATTATTATCCCCATTGTACAGAGGAGGAAACTGATAAAGTGAAAAGTGTCACTTTTCTTCGATTTGAACCCTCTAGTCGGATTCTATAGCTTGCATCTTAACTATTACAGAACATAGTAAATCTTGTTTTCAACCTTGTTTCACTAACAGCAAGTGTGCAATTATAATTTTATCCTAAATTTTACCCTCAGCACTTTGAATATACAAGTAATAGTTCTAGAAATACATGTAATATTCTAATAAGACTCTAATAAAACTATGGAGTCCAAATCTCAGACCTATAATAGAAACATGTAGGACTTTTACTTTTTTCCCCCCAACACTGTCAGAGTTCTAGAAGGACTTACACTTTTAACGATGCAGATAATATTCACATGCTTCAGAAATAAGAAGACTCTGAAAATAATTCTTAATTGTAATGGTGAGGCTGAAAATAAATGACATTCTCAGAAAATAGTCTGAGTTACAGTACTAATGTTTTCCCATTTTTTGGGACAAATAAACTCACAACTCGTGTTTAGTTTAACAACACTATGTCACAATTAAGGCCCCAGACTAATATACATTACACAGGTGATAGAAAGAGCTAGACTTCCTCATCTGTATCTTACACTCTGTGGCAATATGCTCTAGTTAAAGAAGATGATCAAAATAAGGTAGACATGACTTGAATCTATCACATACCTTCAAAGGGCTTGAATTCATCACACAGCTTTTAGGAAGATTTACGTAAAAGAACCACATCTGCTGATAACCGTCCTGTTCCTAATAATTCCACAAAAATGAACTCTAAACCATCTCATCTTTCTTTTCCTCTCTCATGAGAAATCTTCAATTTGTTCCATTATTATAATAAAATGATATATGGGCTGAACACATTGATTTGATACTTTTTTTTTCTCTACTATTCTTTGATTTATAAACAGTAAATGGACAGGCATGGTGGTACACACCTGTAATGCCAGCTGCTCAGGAGGCTGAGGTGGGAGGATCACTTGAGCCCAGGAGTTTGAGATTAGCCTGGGCAAAATAGCAAGACCCTTTAATACATATAAAGTGTAAGTAACTGTTTAAAAAGTAAGTTTCCAATGACTACATTAATTTTTTTAGAGTAGAAACTATAAGCCGGGCATGGTGGCTCACGTCTGTAGTCCCAGCACTTTGGGAGGCTGAGGTGGACAGATTACCTGAGGTCAAGAGTTTGTGACCAGCCTGGCCAACACAGCAAAACGCTGTCTCTACTAAAAATACAAAAATTAGCTGGGCATGGTGGCCAGCGCCTGTAATCCCAGCTACTCGGGAGGCTGAGGCAGAAGAATAGCTTGAACCCAGGACGGGGAGGTTGCAGTGGGCCGAGATCACACCACTGCACTCCAGCCTGGGTGACAGAGCAAGACTCAGTCTCAAAAAAAAAATAGAGTAGAAACTATAAAGCTTTATGATGCTACTTATCACTATCAATGCCTAAGTCAACTAGCTAGTAAGAAATAAAACCAAGTACTTTTTTTATCCCCCCGTTGTTGAGACGGAATCTCATCCTTGTTGCCTAGGCTGGAATGCAGTGGCACGATCTCAGCTCACTGCAGCCTCCGCCTCCCGAGTTCAACTTCTCCTGTCTCAGCCTCCTGAGTAGCTGGGATTACAGGCACCCGCCATCAGGCCCGGCTAATTTTTGTACTTTTAGTAGAGACAGGGTTTGGCCATGTTGGCCAGGCTGGTCTCGAACTCCTGACCTCAGTTGATCCGCCTGCCTCGGCCTCCCAAAGTGGTGGAATTACAGGCATGAGCCACCGCGCCCAGCCCAAATACTCTTAAATGAAAAATAAAGTGTATAACCTGCCTTCCTTTGCCCACCTCCCATATCCACACATCCTTACCTGTGTTTCTGCACTGCTTAATGAATGAAGATCCAAAGATGGGTCTGTTTTGAGTTCCGGTTCAGGAGCTGCAATTGGGGCCTTTAAAATGATCTCTTCATCAAGACTGGTTCCAAATTCTATCTCTTTCTGACCTCCTTCACCTTTTTCTTTATCTGACTCTACTTCTTTGCCTTCTTCCTCGGACACCTGAGATTTGGGCCTTTTGAGAAACGAGGAGAATAGTCGTGAAAGTCCTCTGCTTTCTGATGTCCGCTCCTTGTTCTTGGTCAAGTCTTCATGTGTAGGAGTGTCTCCATTAGAAGCTTTCAGCTTCTGTTCACACCAATTATCTCCTTCAGCTGCTGTTTGACAAGATTCCTCCTGCTGAGGTTCTTGTTGGCCTGAGTTTATGGCTTCCTCACCCTCTTCCTTCTGTTGGTGCTGTGAATTTTCGGCCTCAGTCACTAAACTCTTCTCTGTTGTCATGATGTTGCTATTAAAAAGAAGATAGAAAAGGGGGGCTCTTATAAGCAAAACACATTACTGTTGGCAAAACCCTAAACCCTAAAAAATTAATATACTTAGGTATTTAATTGCCAACAAACAGAATTCAAACCCATTAAACATGAGACTTTCCATTAAATTACAAAAATATCTTATCTACACATCCTGAATAAAATATTAATGCCTTGAGTCACTAAAGATATGCACACAGAGAGAGTAGCTTAAAATAGTACCCACGGAGGCCACCTTAGTGAAATACATCACATATTAAATCCAATGCCTAGAACTGTATACAGTAAATACAGTTTTATCCTTCCTTAAAAAAGGACTGTGGTTTAGTGTCCTTTGAGGGTATCAATCTGAAGGTGTAGGATTTGCAGGAATTATTCCCTGCAAAATTCTCCACACACCAAGAGACGATGAAATTTAAAAGTTCCCCCAGTCTTTATTGTTCTTTTTCTTTACATTTCTTAGGATGCAGAGACTTCTCTATTAAAATTGCAAAAGTAAAATTCTGATAGTTTGTTGTAAGACTGGATAACAGCAACGACAAATATACAGTTGAAATACTGCAAAAAATTTCCTTAGGTTTTCATGTTACAATTCCAAATTACAACCTCTTTCAGAGGTATCCCTTTTTTTTTTCCTTTTTGTGGAGAATGGGGTCTTGCTATATTGCCCAGGCAGGTCTCGAACTCCTGGGCTCAAGCTATCCTCCCGCCTCTGCCTCCCTAAGAGCTGGGATTACAGGCGTGAACTACCGCACCCGGCCAGAGGTATCCCATTTTAAGCTCTTTCAGTCTCTTTTTTCTCCTGATAAACATGATTTTGAAAGCTCAGAATTTTTAAGAGTAGGAAGTGAAACTAACAATAGAGAAAGGAGATAGAGAAGAAAAACTTATAAAGCAAGTGTTGATTCACTCGTAGGGGAGGAGGAAAGAGCAGGCAGCTGACCTTACATATTTCAAACATCTTGGCTTCTAGCCTCTTGATCTCAAAATCCCAGTATTATAAGTCAAGCTTCACAATAACAGCCAACGAGCATTGTCACGTCTACTTTACTAAAGAATAACCAACACACGTGGGGACTTTGAAAACACTGGGCAATGAAGTCGACTATTGATGACCTTATGCTTTGATTCACTGCTATCACTAAAAGTACTTCTTCCCATCACTCACAAAGCAGCATTTACATTGTCTTCTCATCTTCTCTGTATTAAATAAAGTAATTAAAAAATATGCAGCCATAAAAAATGATGAGTTCATGTCCTTTGTAGGGACATGGATGAAATTGGAAACCATCATTCTCAGTAAACTATCGCAAGAACAAAAAACCAAACACCGCATATTCTCACTCATAGGTGGGAATTGAACAATGAGATCACATGGACACAGGAAGGGGAATATCACACTCTGGGGACTGTGGTGGGGTCGGGGGAGGGGGGAGGGATAGCATTGGGAGATATACCTAATGCTAGATGACACGTTAGTGGGTGCAGCGCACCAGCATGGCACATGTATACATATGTAACTAACCTGCACAATGTGCACAGGTACCCTAAAACTTAGAGTATAATAAAAAAAAATTTTAAAATAAAAAAAAAAATTTTTAAGGCTAGTGAGGTGAAGCAGTGGGAGTCGAGAAGAAACAAAGACATCTATAACTGGTTGTGATCAATTAGCTGTAAGCACCACTGCACCAGACAAGCCTAAATGAAGTAACTTTATCTGGATGTTAACAATCTGAATGAATGAACAAACTATATTTAGCTCATTCCCTCTTCAGGCCCTTCACACTTGCTGCTCTCTCTACTTACACTGCTCTTCTCCTGCCTATTTGAAGGCTGGTCTCCTTCATATCATTACTGTCTTATGCCTTAGGAGGCCTCCCTACATAACCTAGCTGAAGTATTGGCCTTCATGCCCCCAGATACCCTTACAGGACTACTGCACTTATTATCTGTAATTATTTTGTTAACATATTTGTTTACCAGTTTATTGTCTTTCTTCCCTCTCTCCAGCTAAAATGTCTTTCTTCCCTCTCTCCAGCTAAAAGTTCTATAAGGACATGAACCTTGACATATTTTTTTTTTATCATTGTATACCCAATGCCTAGAACAGTACCTGACACATAATAGGTATTAATAAAAGTTTTAGGCCAGGCACAGTGGCTCACGGCTGTAATCCCAGCACTTTGGGAGGCCGAGGCGGGCAGATCACCTGAGGTCAGGAGTTTGAGACCAGCCTGGTCAGCATGGTGAAGCCCCGTCTCTACTAAAAATACAAAAATTAGCCGGGCATGGTGGCAGGCGCTTGTAATCCAGCTACTCAGGAAGCTAAGGCAGGAGAATCACTTGAAACTGGGAGGCGGAGGTTGTGGTGAGCTGAGATCATGCCATTGTACTCCAGCCTGGGCAACAGAGCGAGACTCCATCTCAAAAACAAAAAAAAAGTTTTTGGGGGCTGGGCATGGTGGCTCACGCCTGTAATCCCAGCAATTTGGGAGGTCGAGGCAGGAGGATCACTTGAGCTCAGGAGTTCAAGACCAGCTTGGGCAACATAGCAAAACATCGTATTTATAAAAAATTTAAAAATTAGCCAGGTATGGGTGGCATGTGCCTATAGTTCCAGCTACTTGGGAAGCTGAGGCAGAAGAATCACTTGAATCCAGGAGGCTGACGCTACAGTGAGCCATGATCATGCCACTGCATGCCAGCCTAGGTGACAGAGCAACACCTTGTCTCAAAAAAAAAAAAAAACCTAAGTTTTTTAAAAAAATGAATTGATTTCACTGAATATATCTGATAAATACAAACTGCAAAGGCATTCTCTAAATTTATTCAAGTAAATTTACTTCAAATGCATGATACTAATTGATTCATTCAACAAATTCTTATCAGGCACCTAGCACAGGACTGATGCTACGTGCTAGAAATACAACAGTAAACAAAACAGTCAAGGTCTATGTCATCATGGAGTTTACATTCTTGTTTCAACTTTAACCAGTATAATGAAAGAAAAATTCAAAATAAATTTTGTTTAAAACCACTATTGATACAGACAAAGGGGCAGAGAAATTCTAGGCAGAAAAGGACGGGTCTCTGACGAAACCCTACCCTCAAACAGAAAAGCATGAGACTGCAGCCCAAAGTGAGACTTTATATCCCTGTTTTCCCACTGGAATGTTGCCTTTTCCTAAACCACCCATGGCCCCACCTCACCCCATCCTGTGCCTATAAAAACCCCAGACTCAGCTGGGAGGGAGGAGAAACAGCTGGATGTTGGAGAGAAGCAGCTTGACTTCAGAGGGATAGCTTGATGGTGTAACTTCAGAGAAGAATTCGGCTGGAGATGGCTGTACTTCAGAGGAAGATAATCTACCCACCCCCGGCCCCTTTTCAGCTCCCCTTCCCGCTGAGAGCCACTTTCATCAGCAATAAAATCCCCTGTATTTACCATTCTTCAATTCATTCCTGTGACCTCATTTTTCCTGGACACCGGACAAGAGCACGGGAGCCATGTGTGCAGATACAAAAGGCTGTCACACTGGCCCTCTGACCTCACTGGCAGAGGGCAGCACCTCACTCAAAAAGGCAAAGGGCCCACTGAGCTGCTAACACTTAAGCTGTTCGTGGATGGCATGTCGAAGCTAAAAGAGCACTGTAACATGCCCTCTGGGGCTTGGAGGGATGCAGATACTGCCCCCTGGATACTGCTGTGAGGCCCGCGTGGCCTTGAGTACTGCAAGCACCAAGGCAGTCAGCTCGTTCCAGCGCTTGTGCACTCCAGTTCCCACCTCGTTCACTCGCACGCTCCTTCCCACAAGGAGTTGAGAGTGGCAGGCTCAGTAAACAAGGTACGCCTGTCACAATTCCCATGAAGAGGTCAGGCAAATATCCTGCTTCACTATAAGGGGTCTGATTCAATAGGTCTGGAAAGGGGCCTGAGATTCTACAATTCTAATAAGATGTTGCCAATGCTGCTGGCCCACTGAGCACATTTTGAGTAGGAAGCACAGAAAACCACCATTACAATCACTTTGAGAACGTACTGCAAAATGCCTAGAAACAAAGACTATAAAAAGCTGCTTTTAGCAAGTGGAATATGAAGAGCAGGAAATACTTGACACAATAAGTGCTCAACAAATAAATCCTTGTTAATTAATGAATGAAACAAATGATGCAACACATTAAATGTGAAAAGTGAACCATTAACATTTTTAAAAACTCTTTTTGGCACTTAATCAGACTTTGTAATCTTTAAACATAGAGTATGGCAAATCCAAGTTTCCTACCCAGCTGTGACAAGTGCCCAGATTCAGTGTTCTGGGTATCTCCATTGATAATATCTCTGTGCCACATTTAGGAAGTAATGATTAGGACAGGAGCCAATCATAATCCTGAAAGATATAGTCCTCAATGGCATAATCCTGAGTGTTGAAATCCCAAAAGACCAAAATCCCAAAAATATAATTCTGGAAAAAGGAATTTAAAAAAAAATTTAAAGATATGTATTTACATTTTTAAGGGGGATTTATTTGAGAAACATAAAAACATAACAGAACACTTCATAGGCTACTTTACATGATAAAATAGGCAAAAACAACATACATATTTTGCAAGCATAAACACTTGGGTATACTAATGACAGTCATACAGGTATAAGTTATGAGCAGACAAGGTGTATTCATAAAAAAATAGCTTATATAACTGCAGTCATCTGAAATACCACGACAAACAACCTAAGTCTTAAGATCAATCAAAAACCATGATGGGCTTTTTGCTGTAGGCCCGAGTGGTTGCTGCCGAAATGGGCAAGTTCATGAAACCTGGGAAGGTGGTGCTTGTCCTGGCTGGACGCTACTCTGGATGCAAAGCCGTCATCGTGAAGAACATTGATGATAGCACCTCAGATTGCCCCTACAGCCATGCTCTGGTGTCTGGAATTGACCACTACCCCTGCAAAGTGACAGCTGCCATGGGCAAGAAGAAGATCACCAAGGGGTCAAAGATCAAGTCTTTTGCGAAAGTTTGTAACTACAATCACCTAATGCCCAAAGCCCGACGAGAGGCCAAGGTCAAGTTTGAAAAGAGATAAAAGACAGGCAAGAACAAGTAGTTCTTCCAGAAGCTGTGGTTTTAGATGCTTTGTTTTGGTCATTAAAAATTAAAAAGAAGCAGCCATAAAAAATGATGAGTTCATGTCCTTTGTAGGGACATGGATGAAGCTGGAAACCATCATTCTCAGCAAACTATCGCAAGGACAAAAATCCAAACACCGCATGTTCTCACTCATAGGTGGGAATTGAACAACGAGAACACATGGACACAGGAAGGGGAACATCACACACCGGGGACTGTCGTGGGGTGGGGAAGGGGGGAGGGATAGCATTAGGAGATATACCTAATGCTAAATGACGAGTTAATGGGTGCAGCACACCAACATGGCACACGTATACATATGTAACAAACCTGCACATTGTGCACATGTACCCTAAAACTTAAAGTATAATAATAATAAAATTTAAAGAAAATAAAAAATAAAAATAATAAAAATAAAAATTAAAAAGAAAAAAAAACCATGATGGGCTGCCACCACATATTACAGTTGCCCAAAGAGCATTTTACATACATGCACAATGCTTACACACGAAGTCAATGTTGTGAAAATGGACCTTGTGGAGTCAAATTTGCAAATATGCGAAAAATGCATAAAACACATTCGAACTCTCTAAAAGTCTTGACACAATTTATACCTCCAGTAATGGAAATGATGTGAAGATGAAATACAGAGCACAGCATATTGTAAAAAATAATGCTGGCAATTTGAACAAGTGGGGAAAAAACTTTTAAAAACTAAAAAGAAAACTCAACATATGAAAAAGTATATTACAGCAATAGATTCTGGGCAATTGTGCAGAGGCGGTCCATAAGAGCAGGCAGACTTTCACAATCATTTATATTTTGAAGTCTTACATCACCACGAATAGCTGCTTTTTTCCTTTTAGAGCATGGCTCTCCTCAGAGAATACATTCACATTCATTTTATACATGGTGCTGCTCTTTTTGAAATTCTTCTATGATTCGACATACATGGACATGAGCATTTCCTGTTAAATTTTCCCATCTTTTGTGTTATGCATATATGTTGTTTTAGGCATGCAGAAATTTGTTTCACAAGTACTCATATGCAGACCATAAATTTGGTGGAAACAATACTGGTGATCAAACAGAAACACCATTGTGTGTCTTCTTATCCTACTGTGCACGTAATTATTTTTGAACCAGTCGGTAACTTCACTGGTTTCTTCAGACAGATGCAGTTTTAATTTATTAAAAGCTCCTGGAGGACAGGCACGGTGGCTCACGCCTGTAATCCAAGCACTTTGGGAGGCTGAGATGGGCAGATCACCTGAGGTCAGGAGTTCGAGGCCAGCCTGGCCAAAGTGGTAAAACCCTGTCTCTACTAAAAATACAAAAACTAGCTGGGCCTGGTGGCGGACGTCTGTAATCCCCGCTACTCGGGAGGCCAGGCAGTCGAGGTTGCAGTGAGCCGAGATTGCACCACTGCATTCCAGCCTGGGTGACAGAGTGAGACTCTATCTCAAAAAAAAAAAAAAAAAAAACTCCTGGAATATCATCAGCTGGAAGGAATGCCAATGCAGGCAAATAATACACTTTAAAAATAAAAATAATGCACTTTTTTTGAGACAGGTTCTGACTCCACCCAGGCAAGAGTGCAGTGGCACAATCTCGGCTCACTTCAACCTCAACTTCCTGGGCTCAGGCAATTCTCCCACCTCAGCCTCCCAAGTAGCTGGAACTACAGGTACACACAACCATGCCCAGCTAATTAAAAAAAAAAAAATTTTTTTTAAAGATGGAGTTTCACCATGTTGCCCAGGCTGGTTTCAAACTCCTGGGCTCAAATGATCCTCCTGCCTCAGCCTCCCAAAGTGCTGGGATTACAGAAGTGAGCCACCATACCTATAATGCACTTTATTTTTTTTCTCAACCCTCCCCTAGTGACATCATAATGTGCTTTTTAAATTTTTTAAATGTATTTTATTATTTTATTTTTTTGAGACAGGTTCTGGCTCTGTGGCCCAGGCTGGAGTGCAATGGCATAATCTCAGCTCACTGCAACCTCCATCTCCCCGGCTCAAACCATCCTTCTACCTCAGCCTCCTAAGTAGCTGAAACTACAAGCACGCACCACCAAGTCTGGCTAATTTGTTTTTGTATTTTGGGGACAGATGGGGTTTCACCATGTTTTGCCAGGCTGGTCTCGAACTCCTAGGCTCAAGTGATCTTCCCGTCTTGGCCTACCAAAGTGCTGGGATAATGTGAACCTGCCACAATGCACTTTTAAACTGAAACTTTCATCCTTGCTGTATTGTGTGGCCAATCCATTCATCTGAATTTTCTGCCAAATGCATTGGGGTTGAATGGAACAAAGTTTATTCATAACATTTTGAAATTCACTTTTAGAAGCCTTGATTGCACCTCATTCCAAATCTGTCATTATGGTTCGGGGATTCAATCAAAATCCATTTTCTTCTGCCAAGTCTGCCAAATCTTCAAATAAACATTTATAAGGTGTTTCACTTTTTCCAGTCACTAATACATAAACTAGTAGATTAGTTCTAGAATTTTCAGATTCAATGGGGGCATGAATTGTATACAAGTGATTAAAAAAAAAAAAAGTGAGGACAGTTTCAAAAGTACCATCCATTAGCCAAAGTGAAGCATGTGCTAGTTTTGCTATATTAGATTTAGTGGTAAATATAAGAAGTCTATCCTCTTTGACAGTCAAATCCCTAATCAAGAATAGTTCACCATTTAACATGTTTTGCAACAGTGGAGGAACCTCAATATCGACAAGTGTATTTGGTTCAGAAGGTCACCGAGCTTGTCAAATTCTTTTTATTCTGTAATGAAGGGTGTTTTTTAAAGGCAAGTATGAAGGGGCATGTGTGAAGGGGCAGTAGTCGTACACAATTGAATATAATTTGGCAGGGGAGATCTCTTGTATTTTTCGCATGCATTTTCAATTCTTGTATGGTCTTCAAAACACTCACCGCACTTGTATTTGGAGAGTGGTTGTGGTCTACAAATTTTGTAAGTATATGTGGTCCATTGGAAAGTTTTGGTATTGCTTGGCCATTGCAGTTAAGCAATACTCTGCTTTCACAGCAGCAATAATAATTAGCTTTTAAACTTTTATCTTTCACCACTAAGTAGCCTCATACACTTAACTTATCACAGCCTTTCTGTGAGGAAACAATTTCACAGATATTTCATTGTGTTGCAAGTAAAAGGAATGACATTCAGCTTCTCTAATATCAAATCTGTATTAGTCAGGGTTCTCCAGAGTGACAGAACCAATAGGATATGTATATAGATACATGACAGAGGATTTACTAGGGGAATTGGCTCACATGATTGTGGTGGCTGAGAAGTCCCACAACAGGCTGTGTGCAAGCTGGAGACTCTAGGATGCCAGTGGCATAGCTCAGTCCAAGACTAAAGGCCTCAGAACCAGAAAAGTTGATGGTATAACTCTCATCCTCAAGACCTGGAGGGGCTACTGGTATAAGTCCTTGAGTCCAAAGGCTGAGAAGCCTATAGTTCTGATGCCCAACACAGCAGAAGAAGTCTGTCCCAGCTGTCAGAGACACGTGTCTTCTCTATTTGTTCTTTCCGGGCCCCCCAGCCAATTTAATGATACCCACCAAAAATGAGGGCAGATCTTCCCCACCTAATCCACAAGACTTACACACTAATCTCCTCTGGAAACATCCTCACAGACATACCCCAAAGAATATTTTACCAGGTTTCTAGGTATTCCTTAATCCAGTCAAACTGACATCTCCAAAATTAAGTCTATAAGTCTACCCCTTGTCCACTTGGCATCTATATGCATCTCCTTAAACCATATTTAATTTCCAAATAAACACAACAAAGTAATAGTTCTGCCTAACATGAAGCAACTACCCTGTGATTGTGATTTTGGGGATTGTAGACATTAGGGATTTTAGACTTCAGGGATTTAGGATTCAGGGATTTTGATCTTTCAGGATTTTAACATTTCGGATTATGGTGTTTAGGATTGTGTCTTTTGGGATTATGATCCAAACCCAATTAAGACATATGAAGAGTTAGAGGATAACATCTATGAGTACAGAATTGAGACATTTTGCCACATAATGGGACATATGTAAAAAACAAGCCGAACATAAGAATAAATGAAAACATAATTAAGGAACAGGCACAGAGGTAGAAAGGCAAAAGAATTCTACTGAAACCAACTTCAGTTAATACCATACATTAAATGCTAGAAAACAATCAGGAATTCAAACAATGCAGTATCCAGCAAAGATGCTACAACTCAGTCTATACAAGAAAAAACATAAAAATGAATGATTAAGGAGAGTTTGCATCTATGTTCTTAAAAAAAAAAAGAGAATATAAAATGAAACTGATAAAGCTCACTGATACTTTCAGTTAGCTCTGAGGTTAATATGAATTAAACAAATAAATAAATAGCAAAAAGAAAAAAAAACCCTATGGATCACTTACTAAAAGCTCAAATATACTTCTCTAGACAAATGCCATGCAGTCATGTTCTTCCAGACAAATGCCATGCAGTCATGTTCCTCGTGTTACAAATGATAGGACGGGTACAGAGGAAAAGATATAAAGAAGTCAAGCAGCAAAAACAGGATAAATGCTCTACAAACAAGCTCTTCCTATGTAAATGACACTATTTTCATTCTGGATATAAAATCCAAAAGGAGGTATCCATTTACTTAATGTCAGAAAGAGGTCTTTTGATTTAAACAAACAAACAAACAAAGAATCTACACAACACTGAAGAAAAAGTGACGAGTTACCGTTCCATCTCAATCCTAATCCTCAAAACCCTATGAATTACACCCCATCTGGTATCAAAGATATACTTGTTTTAAAAGTGTGCATCTGTTAATTTCAGACAAATCAAACCTTTAAAAAAAAAAAAAAAAAGAAAAACATACTGAACAGACTGAAAAGACTGAATGGTTATCTTTCATTTTTTTTTACATCTCTGTAACATTGAGTCAGTGCTCCATTAATGCTTCTTGAGTTGAAAACTTCACAAAAACATTGCAGTTTGGCAGCATTAATAAAATTTCCTTTATAATCACCATTTAGGGATGAAGTTTGATGATTTAATTCTAGGTATTACTCTTCAAATTAGCTCACTGAGAAGAAAAAAAATAAAAAACCACTGGGCACAGTGGCTCACACCTGTAATCCCAGCACTTTGGGAGGCCAAGGCAGGCAGATCAACTGAGGTCAGGAATTTGTGACCAGCTTGGCCAACATGGTGAAACTCTGTCTGTACTAAAAATACAACAATTAGCTGCACATGGTGGTGCACACTTATAATCCTAGCTACTTGGGAGGCTGAGGCAGGAGAATGGCTTGAACCCAGGAGGCAGAGGTTGCACTGAGCCAAGATCCCACCACTGCACTCCAACCTGGGCAAAAGAGTAAGACTCCATCTCAAAAAATAAATAAATAATGCTTTGAGGGAGGAGTATAGATGTCAATAGAAAGAGACTTGAAGTGCAATGGGCAAAGGGAATTCCACGCAGAACCAGTATTATTAAGAACATTGTAAATCCAAAGAAACTAGTAAGAATTCCAGACTAGCTGAATAGGGCTACAACAGGGCAGCAGGGGGAGATACGGTTAGAAAAGAGCTACCGTTTAAAATTCCATGGCCAGGCACGGTGGCTTACACCTGTAATCCCAGCACTTTGGGAGGCCAAGGCAGGAGGATAGCTTGAGCCCAGGAGTTTGAGTCCATCCTAGGCAACATAGAAAGGCCTCGTCTCTGCAAAAAATAAAAAATTAGCCAAGTATGGTGACATGCCCCTGTAATCCCAGCTACTTGGGAGTCTGAGGTAGGAGGATCACTTGAGCCTCAGAGGTCAAGGCTACAGTGAGTCATGATCCTGCCATTACACTCCAGCATGGGTGACAAAGTGAAACCCTATCTCTCAAAAATAAAAAAATTAGATTCCAACAGTAACAATAATAATAGCAGCTAGCATGTATTGAATACCTAAATGCCACACATTATTCTACATGCCTTAAACCACTCTACAAGGTAGACATTCTCATTTCCCAGAAAATAAACTCTGGGTGGTTAAAAAATTTGCTTCAGATCATGGAGTCATGCATTAATGAAACCATTAAACATGGTGATAATTCTGTTGTAAATTATCAGGCTAGTATCTGTCTCTGTAAAACACAGTACTTCAGATGCTTCTACCTCAGAGATGCTTCTCTGTTAACTAAACCCCTATCTGTTGAGAAGTTATGCACAGACTATTCAATCTGGCTAAGACCACCTCTATTTCTACCAGTTTCAAGTTCCCCGCCCATGTACATATTTCTTTCTTTCTTTCTTTTTTTTTTTTTTTTTTTTTGAGATGGAGTCTCACTCTGTCACCCAGGCTGGAGTGCAGTGGCGGGATCTCAGCTCACTGCAAGCTCCGCCTCCCGGGTTCACGCCATTCTCCTGCCTCAGCCCGCCACCATGCCCGGCTAATTTTTTGTATTTTTATTAGAGACGGGGTTTCACCGTGTTAGCCAGGATGTTCTCGAGCTCCTGACCTCGTGATCCACCCATCTCGGCCTCCCAAAGTGCTGGGATTACAGGCGTGAGCCACCGCGCCTGGCCACATATTTCTTCTTTTACTCTTTCCAGAGTGTACGTGTAGAATGAGACAGGAAGAGACAGGCAAAGACACATTATGAAATGACTTGAATATCATGCTAAATTGTTGGGACTTGATTCCTGAGAGCCACTGAAAGCTTTTAAGTAAGGAAGTAGATAAAGTGGAGGCAGAAGAGGCTAGAGACAGAGGGAAATTCAACAAATGACTGGGTAAATTCAGGTTATCAGTGAATATTCACAATGGGAATCCCTAGGGAAGCTGAAATCAATACTGAGCAGAGAAACTTGAAAAGCCTTGCAACCAAGGTTTAAGAACTCCTGCTGCCCTTAGTTTCTCTAGCATATTCTCACTAGCACACTTCTTATTAATCCAGGCAGTTGCATATCAGATCCTAAAGGCATTTTTATAATATACCTCCTTTAGCCCACTTTGGTAAATGGTAATAGAACCAAAATAAGGCCGGGCACGGTAACTCACGCCTGTAATTCCAGCACTTTGGGAGCCTGAGGTGGGTGGATTACCTGAGGTCAGGAGTTTGAGACCAGCCTGACCAACATGGTAAAACCCCATCTCTACTAAAAATACAAAAAAAAATTGGCCAGGCACGGTGGCTCATGCCTGTAATCCCAGCACTTTGGGAGGCTGAGGCAGGTGATCACCTGAGGTCAGGAGTTTGAGACCAGCCTGACCAACATGGAGAAACCCCATCTCTACTAAAAATACAAAATTAGCCAGGGGTGGTGGCGCATGCCTGTAATCCCAGCTACTTTGGAGGCTGAGGCAGGAGAATCTCTTGAACCCGGGAGGCGGAGGTTGCAGTGAGCCAAGATCACGCCACGGCACTCCAGCCTGGGCGACAGAGCAAGACTCCATCTCAAAAAAAAAAAACAAAAACAAAACTGAAAAACTGAAATAGAGAAGAGAGATTAATATCTTGCAAGTATCTCAATAAAACATGTCCAAAATTAAATTCTTAATTCTGTTTTTCCTGTTCCCATAAGTGGCTCAATCATACCATCCAGTATCTCAAAGCAGAATCCTAAGTGCTGTCCTTCTCTTAGCCTTCTCCATTTCCCTTCCTAATCAAATCCATCTGTTCATCGTATACACTCTACCGCCAAAATATATTTAGAACCAGTCTATTTTTCAGCTTCTCTACTGCTTTTATGTTTGTATGAGTCTTCTTCACTTCTCACTTAAATTACATACTAGAATGATTTGAATTTTGCCTACCTCACTAACCTCTACCCTTGGAGGTTACCCAATTTGACAATAGTTCACACACTAAAAAGGATCTTAAGTCCTTGACAGAACATGCCCCAACAGAAATGAAATTCTAAAACAGCTTACAATCTTTATCTGCATTTCTAGACTTATAGTGACCAGAGCATTCCTATGCTAAGTAGTGGGGCTACTCTAGTAAGAAAGACAAACTTAGTCTCTGACCTCCTGGATTTGATTCTCTATCCAGAAGACTGTGGACAGTAACAGCCCCTCAGTTCTCAGTATTTATATTGCATCTTAAATCTTACATTCGGTTCTGAGCAATCTATTTTAGAGAGAAAAAATCTGTCAGAGCTAGAAGATAATGATGCAATTTGAAACCACGTCATAAAACAAATAACTGAATGATATTGGGACCTTTAGCCTAGAAAAAGAGAATTCAAAGCAGGAAAATGATTGCTGCTCTAACAAATTTCAAGAGCTGCTGAATTTCATGTGACTCCTAAGGGCAGAATTCATTAGCCCACAGAAATTACAAAGACATAGTTTTCATCTAAATAAAGTAAAAGGAAGAAATTGCTAATAATTAAATGAGCTGCTTGGGAAGAGTGAGATTATCATCAAAAATATTCACTCAAGCTGAATGCCCATCTGTTGTAGATGCCAGAGAGAGGATTCTTCTAGTACGTGGGTCCTTACATTAACTGAATTCTCAGGTCCTTACCAATGCTAAGATTTTACAAATAGGAAGGAAGAAAGAAAACAAATGGGGTTGGGCACAGTGGCTCACAGCTATAATTCCAACACTCTGGGAGACCAAAACAGGAGTATCTCTTGAGACTAGGAGTTCCAAACCAGCCTGGGCAACACAGCAAGATCCTGTTTCTAAAAAAATAAAAATAAAAAAAGTAGCCGGGCATGGTGGTGCATGCCTGTAGTCATAGCTATCTGGGAGGCTGAGGCAGAAGAATTGCTTGAGCCCAGGAATTTGAGGCTCCAGTGAGCTATGACTGCACCACTGCACTCCAGCCTGGTTGACAGAGCAAGACCCTGTCTCTGAAAAATAAAAATAAA
The DNA here is from genome assembly GCF_000001405.40 of Homo sapiens. Taxonomy (NCBI): domain Eukaryota; kingdom Metazoa; phylum Chordata; class Mammalia; order Primates; family Hominidae; genus Homo; species Homo sapiens. Next base: position 28,973,390 of record NC_000001.11, on the reverse strand, counting down.
CAAAAGGGACATTAGAATAGTTATACAATGGATTATTTTTTAAAGGCTATATTATTTCTCCCCCACCCCCAATATCCCCAAGGACACCAGAGAAGGGCTATATTATAAACTCAAGAGTCACCATTTGGATTAGGAGAATAAGGGGGTAAAAGCAAAAGTAAAGGATAATAGGCCCTTTTACTTCCCTAGTCAGAGGACAGAAACTAGTGACATTCTTTCAGACAGAAAGAAAATATGTTCAAGTATGAAGGTTTCAAAACTATGCTAGAAAACAGCTTCTTTCCTGATAAAAATCAATCCCCCAAAACCACAGGAAAGTATCTTTCCTTTCTAACTCAATTTAAGTACACTAATTAGCACCTCTAGAATAGGATAATCACCAATGTGGTCTTTGGATGAAAATGGTAATTTAAAATTTACAAAAGAGTTTCTTCAGAATTCTTCCTCTATCCTCTTGAAATTATTTGAATGTTAAATTACTCTTTATGAAGCCTTGCAGTGGCTCACACCTGTAATCTCAGCCCTTTGGGAGTCCAAGGTGGGAGGATTGCTTGAGCCCAGGAGTTTGAAACCAGCCTGGGCAGCATAGTGAGACCATGTCTCTACTAAAGGAAAAAAAAAAAATTAGCCAAGCATAGTTTCATGAGCCTGTAGTCCCAGCTCCACAGGAACGTGAGGTGGGAGAACTGCCTGAGCCCAGGAGTTGGAGGCTGCGGTGAATCATGATCACACTACTGCACTCCAGCCTGGGCAACAGAGCAAGACTCTGTCTAAAAAAAAAAAAACTGCTTGCCATACTGAGTGAATCAGGAATGTCACTGAGCATGATCATGCTGTTTTCAAAAACTTGGTTTTTAATTTAAGTCATTTCTATGGTGACTAATACCGCTGAATCAACTCATTCAAAGATATTTTTAAATAAACAAACTCTTACTCATCTTCTTCTAAGAAGATGAAAACACATTCTTTACTTCTCTAGAGAATTCAGGCATATACTTAAAAGATGTCTGGATATAGTCTAAAAGTGTACCACCTGGGCCCAGGCCCTCCCAGAAAATACACTACTGGATCAATGATTACTGAGCATCAATGAGGACAATGTGAAACAAAAAAAATTCATCTCCACCGAATTGAGTTTTATTTCTTTTAAGTGTCAAAGTGGGCTGGGTTTGGTGGCTCAAGCCTGTAATCCTAGCACACTTTGGGAAGCCTAAGCAGGCAGATCACTTGAGCCTAGGAGTTCAAGATCAGTCTGGTCTAGACAACATGGTGAAACCTTATCTCTACAAAGGATACAAAAAATTAGCTGGGCATGGTAGCGTGCACCTGTAGTCCCAGCTACGGGGGCAGGGTAGGGGTGGGTATGGGGTGGTGAGCCTGAGGTGGGAGGATCAGCTGAGCGCGGAGGTCGAGACTGTAGTGAGCTGTGATCGCTGCACTCCAGACTGGGTGACAGAATGAGACCCTGTCTCAAAAGAAAAAAAAGTGTCAAAGTGTATTATTTTAGCCATTCTAGATGGAAATCTTTATGAAATGGATTATATGCTTCCTTGTTTCATTTTTTAAATCTATAGACCATAATTGAGTCGTTATTGATTTAGTCATCATTATGAACCTGAATTACTACGCAGTGCTAATGTCCTCATAGGCTACTGAAGTCTATAGTGATGATTAGCTCTTTCAGAAAGATATCTGAATACTGTGCTTTTTTATTTTTTGTATCTGCCTTTATTAGGTTTCCTATTTGCTCATTTGAAGAGTTAACTCACATTTCTTGCTGATGTCAAAGTGGCCTGCCAACAAGCATCTTCCAATGTCTCTTCTTCTAATCTGTTATTGGCTAATCTACATTGATTCAGAAACCAGATAGCCAAGTGTGTTAAAATTTTGTTTAAAGAGTAAATGCAACCGGGCGCGGTGGCTCATGCCTGTAATCCCAGCACTTTGAGAAGCCGAAGCCAGGTGGATCACTTGAGGTCAGGAGTTCAAGATGAGCCTGGTCAACATGGTGAAACCCAGTCTCTACTAAAAATACAAAAATTAGCCAGGCATGGTGGCAGGCGCTTGTAATCCCAGCTACTTGGGAGGCTGAGGCAGAAGAATCACTTGAACCTGGGAGGCAGAGGTTGCAGTGAGCCAAGATCGCGCCACTGCACTCCAGCCTGGGCGACAGAGGGACACTGTCCCAAAAAAAAAAAAAAAAAAAAAAAGAAAGAAAGAAAGAAAAAAAAAAGATTAAATGCGGCCGGGTGTGGTGGCTCATGCCTGTAATTCCAGCACTTTGGGAGGCCAAGGCAGGCAGATCACATGAGGTCAAGAGTTCAAGACCAACCTGGCCAACATGGTGAAACCCTCTCTCTACTGAAAATACAAAAATTAGCTGGGCGTAGTGGCACGCGCCTGTAATCCCAGCTACTCAGGAGGCTGAGACAGGAGAATCGTCTGAACCTGGGAGGTGGAGGCTGCAGTGAGCCGAGATCGCACCTTTGCACTCAGCCTGGGCGACAGAGCAAGACTCCATCTCCAAAAAAAGAGAGTAAATGCTAAGGAAGAGTAAGACTAATGCTTCACATTACTGGACAACTTCAATGCATGGATTTTATGAAATCACTTCTAGCTCTTCAAGTACCACATAAGCCTAAAGTTTCCATTATATTGTGTCTAGTTGAGGCTATAAGGTAAGTGACCTTCAGATCAATCACACCATGACTATTCTCTTTCTTTCCAAGTTGAGATTAAAAGTCTTTAATGCCATTATTTATATAAGGTGTTGTATCCATATAAACTCTCCCGGAAAACATAAAACAATGGAATAATTTAGCCTGAAAATGTAACTGAAAGGAAGGAGAACCACACATAAAATGCTTACTAGCCTTAAAAATTTCAAGGTAAATATAAACAAAGCCTGAAGATTTCTAGCTACAAAGGGGTTTTAGTTAAGAGTATGGAACTTTCCTTACTCTCTTATTTTTAGTTTCTTAGAGCCAACTCAATCTAACAATATTTACTTTAAAATTTTGAAACTCAAATACCATAAGACTATTTTAGTAAATTTCACTTTAACCAGAAAACTACAGTAAATTAACTATCAAATATCATCTAGTAAGAATACAAGTGGGAATCACAAACATGAACTGGATCATGGATTGTTTTAGCAGATACTCTGGAAATTGGAATAGATGCAGCAGTTGTCTCTTACCATTGTTAAGTATGAAAAATATACTACAGGCCACCAGAAAATATAATACTGGCACAGAGACAAGATTTAGTACCAGTTTGAATATTTCAAATAATCCGCTATTTGCTGAAAGTATTCAATAAAATTATTGACTAAGCTTGATGACAGTTTTCTCTCCCAGAAAAGCCTCTACTATGGGACTGAATTCTGAGCAGTAAACAATAATTTTTTGGTGATGTGAACATATCAGAAACTTTAGCAGAGAATAATAATTTCACACAGTTTTGTTTTTTGTTTGTTTGTTTGTTTTTTGAGACAGAGTCTCGCTCTGTCGCCCAGGCTGGAGTACAGCGGCACGATCTTGGCTCACTGCAAGCTCTGCCTCCCAGGTTCACGCCATTCTCCTGCCTCAGCCTCCCGAGTAGCTGGGACTACAGGTGCCCACCGCCACGCCCGGCTAATTTTTTGTATTTTTTTAGTAGAGACGGAGTTTCACCGTGTTAGCCAGGATGGTCTCAATCTTGTGACCTCGTGATCCGCCCGCCTCAGCCTACCAAAGTGCTGGGATTACAGGCTTGAGCCACTGCGACCGGCCAATTTTTTGTATTTTTAGTACAGACGGGGTTTCACCGTGTTAGCCAGGATGGTCACGATCTCCTGACCTCGTGATCCACCCGCCTCGGCCTCCTAAAGTGCTGGGATTACAGGCGTGAGCCACTGCGCCCGGCTAATTTCACACAGTTTTTATGCTGAGAAAAGAGGTCACAGTCAAACACGTAAGCTTACTACAAATAAATTCTAAAAACATTTAAAGAAAAGTAAGACATGGGCTGGGCGTGGTGGCTCATGCCTGTAATCCCAACGCTTTGGGAGGCCAAGGCAGGTGGATCACTTGAGGTCAGGAGTTCGAGACTAGCCTGGTCAACATGGTGAGACCCTGTCTCTATTAAAAATACAAAAATTAACCAGGCATGGTGGTGGGTGCCTGTAATCCCAGCTACTGGAGAGACTGAGGCACAAGAATCACTTGAACCGAGGAGGTGGAGGTTGCAGTGAGCTGAGACTGTGCCACTGCACCGCAGCTTGGGTGACAGGGCAAGACTCTGTCTTAAAAAAAAAAAAAAAAAAGTACGGCATGATTGCATGTCCAAAGATTCTATAAGAATATAGAACTTGTTAGGATAAGGCAATTCTAGAAAGCGAAGTTCATTTAGTTTGTGTTTTTTTTTTGGGGGGTGGGGGGTTTTGGAGGCAGAGTATCACTTTATCCCCCAGGCTGGAGTCCAGTGGTGCGATCTCAGCTCACTGTAACTTCTGCCTCCCAGGTTCAAGTGATTGTCACGTCTCAGCCTCCTAAGTAGCTGGCATTACAGGTGCGCACCACCATGCACAGCTAAATTTTGTATTTTTAGTAGAGACGGGGGTCTCACCATGTTGGCCAGGCTGGTCTCGAACTTCTGGCGTCAGGTGATCCACCCGTCTCGGCCTCCCAAAGCGCTGGGATTATAGGTGTGAGCCACTGCGCCCGGCCTCATTTAGTTTTATAATTGCAGTTTTTGCCATTGAAAGTAACGGCAAAAACTGCAATTACTTTTGCATCAACCTAATACATTTCACAGTTTTATATTAAGTGTCAGGTTCTTTTCTAAGCCCTGGGAATATGGCAGTGGAATATTCTCTATACAATCATAAATTTTTAGAAAAACATGAGGAAATATGGCAGTGGAATTTTCTCTATACAATCATAAATTTTTAGAAAAACATGAGGAAATGATTAAAGACAGTCATGAAGAGTGGGGATATTATAAGGACATATGTACAAAAACAGAGTTTTGTTTGTTTGTTTGTTTGTTTGTTTTGAGATGGAGTCTTGCTCTATCGCTAGGCTGGAGTGCAGTGGTGTGATCTCGGCTCACTGCAACCTCCACCTCCCGGGTTCAAGAGATTCTCCTGCCTCAGCCTCCCGAGTAGCTGGGACTAAAGGAGTGCCACCACACCCAGGTAATTTTTGCATTTTTAGTAGAGACAGGGTTTCACCATGTTGGCCAGGATGGTGTCGATCTCTTGACCTCGTGATCTGTCCACCTCAGCCTCCCAAAGTGCTGGGATTACAGGCGTGAGCCACCGTGCCTGGCCAAAAACGAAGTTTTAAAAACAGCCTTGCAAAGGAATATCTACAAAAATAATGGCCAATAGTCTGGCCAACATGGTAAAAACCTGTCTCTACTAAAAATACAAAAATTTGCCAGGCGTGGCGGTGCATGCCTGTAATCCCAGCTATTCAGGAGGTTGAGGAATGAAAATCACTTGAACCGGGGAGGCAGAGGTTGCAGTGAGCTGAGATCACACCACTGCACTCCAGCCTGGGCGACAGAGGAAGACTCAAAAAAAAAAAAAAAAAAGACAAGGCCCATTAAAGAATGGAGCTTAAAAGAAAAAAAAGGCTGGGTTCAGTGGCTCACACCTGTAATCCCATCTACTTAGAAGGCTGAGGTGGGAGGATCATTTAAGCCCAGGAGGTGGAGGTTGCAGTCAGCTGTGATCATGCCACTGCACTCCAGCCTCGGAAACAGAGTAAAACCTTGTCTCAAGAAATGAAAATTAAAAATTAAAAAATAGAAAACTGCTGAAAATGAAGGGGGAGAAAGAAAGGAAGGTCGAATTCATACTACAGCTTGAGAGAAAAACAGAATAGTGTTAACATGGGTCAGAAGCAAAATTACCAAAGGTTAAATATCCCCAGATCCTTAAACTGTTCCTCACATTAAATAGTTTACCAGTTCCTCATCATTCTAGACATCCTCTCCCAAACAGATTCCAAAGTATCAGTAACTTTCTTTTAAATGAGGTACCTGGAACCAAACACATTTTCCTGAAGAACTGAAATCATAAAAGGGCCGAGCGTGGTGGCTCACGCCTGTAATCCCAGCACTTTGGGAGGCCAAGGCGGGTGGATCACGAGGTCAGGAAATCGAGACCATCCTGGTTAACATGGTGAAACCCCGTCTCTACTAAAAATACAAAAACTTAGCCGGGTGTGGTGGCGGGCACCTGTAGTCCCAGCTACTCAGGAGGCTGAGGCAGGAGAATCGCTTGAACCCTGGAGGCAGAGCTTGCAGTGAGTAGAGATCATGCCACTGCACTCCAGCCTGGGCGACAGAGTGAGACTCCGTCTCAAAAAAAAAAAAAAAAAAAAAAAGGTTCTCATATGAATCTATCTTTATAACCTGCTTCTGAACTGAAAACTGAAGTTAGTTATCAGTAAAGGAGGTAGCATGATCCTACTAAAAGTACAGTTAGATCATCCACTGACCAGAAACCCTCCAAAGACATTTCCTGCCATTCAGAATAAAGGGCAAAGTCCTTGCAATTGCCTGTCCTGTTCCAGCCACCTGGGTCTCCTCGTTGTTTATTAAACATGGTAAGCATGCTATTTGCCAGGACCTTAGGATTTGTGGTTTCTTCTGCCTGGAAGACTACCTACCTCCCAGATGCCACGAGGCCTGCTTCCTTTGGGTTTTTACTCAAATACCACCTCCAGTGAGGCTTTCCTTGGTCACCCTACCTAAAATTGGAGGCCCAGCTGCACTTCATTCTCCTGCTTTATTTTTCTCTGTAGCACTTAACTACTCTTTAATGACATACTATATGGTTTTTACTTGATTTGGTTTATTGTTTGTCTACCCCCACTAGAATGTAAACTCCATTGGAGCAAAGGATTGTGCTTGTTTTGTTCATTGTTTCATCCCTGTTGCCCAGAATGTTGCACCAAAAAATATGAGTTGAACAAATAAATGAACAAAAGAAAGACTGATTTTGATAAGTCCAAAGGCCAGAAACTACTTTCCTCATAATAAAAGATGTGAACGAGTCATCTGGTGAAGGGTAAAGAAATCAACAGAATCTAGATATACCCAAGAAGGAATACAAAATGCTTACTTACATATCCAAGGTACTAAGATACTTCAGATGTAGATATGCTAACTGTAACTTAATTACAAAATAATTTTTTCTTTTTTTTTTTTTGAGACGGAGTTTCACTCTTGTTGCCCAGGCTGGAATGCAAAGGCGCGATCTCAGCTCATCTCAGCAACCTCCGGCTCCCAAGTTCAAGTGATTCTCCTGCCTCAGCCTCCCAAGTAGCTGGAATTACAGGCTCCCGCCACCATGCCTGGCTAATTTTTGTATTTTTAGTAGAGATGAGGTTTCGTCATGTTGGCCAGGCTGGTTTCTAACTCCTGACCTCAGGTGATCCACCCGTCTCAGCCTCCCACAGTGCTGGGGTTACAGGCATGAGCCACCACGCCCGGCTTACAAAATAATAATTTGCTAAATTATTGTGTGCCAGCCAAAAGGAATTAATAGTCATCCCATGTGGCAGTACAAAACTTTGAAAACGCTAAAGTTTATTCCAAGTATTTTCCTTTCTAGTGTAGTCTCTAACAAAGGTAACACTGAAAGGAGATCAGAGTGAAGTGCATCACTACAAATGGTAATGAGTTTGAAATCCCTAAGGGCATTCAGTTCTGGGTCAGCTCCCAGGAATCTGAGTCCAGAGAGAGGCAGTCCTACCCATTCCCACCTAACCTCCAGGTCATTCTTCATTTATATGTGCTCTGAAAAAAAAATGAGGTTGTGTGTGTTTCAATGGTGTTGAAAAGATCATGAGCCAAACAAGAGACTCAAAAACCCTGTTACCTCATTCTGTGTCTATACCTGATTCATTCATCTTCTTTCTCTTTGATACAGTCTCCAGACTTACACCTTATTCTCTTAAGTAATAATACCCTATACTAAACCCCAACAGGAAATCAGTTTCAAAAAAGTTCTAAAAAAAAAATTATAAAATGCTTTCCTGGGTTACTAGGTTCTATGAAAACATTAAAGCAATAAAATAAAATTCTCATTGGAGGCCTATGAGAATTACAAGATCAAAAAAAGGTTTTTTCCCCATAATTAAACAACTAAATATTTTTCTTTTTTCTCCTTTGAGGAAGATGATAATTAAAGTTTTACCAAAACTACAAGCAATATTTAAAAACCTATTCACTAATTCAAAAAACCCCATGCAATAATTAAATAATTACTGAATTCATCATAAATGTTCACTGAACATATAATATTTTAGGCACCAAGATAAGAGCCAAGGTTGCAAAAAAATAAGATGTGGCTTCTACCCTCAAAGAGTACACAGTCTATTTTAAAAATCAGGCAAAAGCAAGCAATTATATAGTAATATATGCAGAGAATAAGCAGAGCAGAGTCAGAGAAAAGGCCTTTGATATACAATCTGAGCTAAGCTTTAAAGGATAAGTAGGACTAAGTTAGGTGACGAAAGGAGGAGAGGGCATGATCAACTGGATAAGCATCTAGAAAAAGCATGTGCACCCGAATGGCAAGCAGCACAAAGTTCACTATAGCTGGAGTATAAAATATAGGATGACAGAAAACAATGGAGGTTGAGACTGGGTTGAGACCAGGCAAGGGTAGATTAGGGAAAGCCTGCTTTTGCAATGGTCAAGAATTTATACCTTATTCTCTGTAAAACAGGAAGCCATTAGAAAATTTTATTTATTTATTTATTTTATTTATTTATTTATTTATTTGAGACAGAGTCTCACTCTCACTCTGTTGCCCAGGCTGGAGTGCAGTGGCACGATCTTGGCTCACTGCAACCTCCGCCTCCTGGGTTCAAGTGATTCTCCTGCCTCAGCCTCCCAAGTAGCTGGAACTACAAGCGTGCACCACCACACCCAGCTAATTTTTTTTTTTTAGACAGAGTCTCACTCTATTGACAGGCTGGAGTGCAGTGGCATGATCTCAGCTCACTGCAACCTCCGCCTCCCAGGCTCAAGCAATTCTCCTGCCTCAGCCTCCTGAGTAGCTGGGACTACAGGCGCACCACCACATCCAGCTAATTTTTGTATTTTTAGTAGAGACGGGATTTCACCATGTTGGACAGGCCACAGTGGTCTCAAATTCCTGACCTAAAGTGATCGCCCGCCTCAACCTCCCAAAGTGCTGGGATTACAGGCATAAGCCACCCCACCAAGCCTGCCATTAGACGATGTTAAATATGGAAGTACCATAGTAAAATATGTGTTAATGTGTGTGTGAGAGAGAACGGATACAGGAAATAGAAATAGACTAATAGGAAGCTCTCCTAACAAGTTTGATGAAAGATCATGAGAGCCTGAATCAAGGTTTGTTGAGATGGAAGAAAAGGAGAAGGATTCAAGAAGTACTGAAGAAAGACAGTATGACAGAGTGGATTATAGCACCAGCTTCAGAGTCAGAAAAAAGCACTAACTGAAGGATGACTGTTCTGTTTTTAGAAAAGTTGACGCGTCTATGGGATATCCAAAATAGTTTAAATGTGCTAAAAGTCATTCTGAGTCTTCAAAGACAATGTTGAGTGTAAACTCACGGTGTAACCCTGGGTATATAAGCTGGTCAAACCAGGGTTATAATGAAGCATCACAAAATCTTAAACCTCAATGAGACTGATAAATCATCTGATCAAGTGGTTCTTTTTGTTGCCATGAACGATCTGAGAATCTAATGAAAGCCACAGACCCTTTCCTCAGAAATGTTCCAAAATAAAATTTTGCAACAATAGGTTAAGAATCTCCTGACCCATTCTCCTCCAGAGGGACTATGAGATAAAATTAGGCTGAGTTACTGCTCATCAGAGGCAGAGCCAAAACCCAAACCTAAGCTTCTTAACTCTCAATTCCATGTTATTTCTCCATTGTTACCAGAAACTTGAAATGATTCTTTCAGATTTACATTTTATTTAGTTGGTCATACAAGGCTAAAATCACACACAGACACACACACACACACACACACACACACACACACACACGATTCTGATTTTACTGAATGTAGCTTGTAGCCCTCATCAGGCTTTCCAGATCCAATGGCATTTCTCAAAAGTCAGTTGTTTCCCATTCATGCTAACAAAATTGGCACTCAAAATAAATAGAAGCATTGATGGTGGATTATTTTCATTTGTTTGTTTTTGTTATTGCTTTTTATATGTATATATAAAAAAACAAACTTGTTTTATTTTAGAAAAACTGTTCATCCTAATGGGAGCTGGTTTCGTTAAGAGTAATGAATGTAATTACAATTTAGTTCAATTAAGACTACTGTCACTCACCAAGCACAAGGCACTAAGAATGCAAAGATATCTAAAAATCCCATGGTCATCCATTAAAAGAAAAAATATAAATGTCTAAAATGTTACACAAAGGAATAGAGAATATCTTTATTTTTATTATTATTACAAACACTCATTTAATTTTACCTTATTAAAAAAACCATAAAAATCTGTGGTGAGAGAGAACCCCACACCCAACTACTGACAGTTCAACACATACTGCGAGCCATAAATGCTCCAGCAGCTACATAAACAAAAAGTTATGGGGACCTAAACTGAGGGGCAATGGGGTTTGGATTCTGACAGACCTGAGTTCTAACCCAGTCAAATCCAAAGACAGAAAGTTCTAACCTAGTCAAATCCAGAGACAGAAAGTTCTAACCTAGTCAAATCCAGAGACAGAAAGTTCTAACCTAGTCAAATCCAGAGACAGAAAGTAGATTAGAGTTGCAGGGGCTGGGGAAAACCAGAATGGGGAATGACTGCTAATGGGTACAGAGTTTCTTGCTGGGGTGACAAAAATGTGCTGGAATAAGATAGTAGTGATAGTGGCACAACTTTTGAATATACTAAAAACCCCAAGTTACACATTTTAGTGTACAGTGTAGAATTTATGGTATATGAATTATATAGGTTGATGCAAAAGTAACTGCGGTTTTTGCCATTAAAAGTAATAGCAATTATGGCCGGGAGCGGTGGCTCACGTCTGTAATAATCCCAGCATTTTGGGAGGCTGAGGCAGGCGGATCACCTGAGGTCAAGAGTTCAAGATCAGCCTGGCCAACGTGGTGAAACCCCGTCTCTACTAAAAGTACAAAAATTAGCCGGGCATGATGGCGGGCCCCTGTAATCCCAGCTACTCAGGGGCCTGAGGCAGGAGAATCGCTTGAACCTGGGAGGCGGAGGTTGTAGTGAGCCAAGATAGCGCCACTGCACTCCAGCCTGGGCAACAAGGGCGAGACTCCATCTCAAAAAAAAAAAGTAAAAGCAATTACTTTTGCACCACCCTAGTATCTCCATTAAAAAAAAAATCCAATATCAACTAGAGAAATCAATTTAGGAATAAGAGCAAAAACCAACTTAAAATTTAACGGCAAATACACTAAAATTACTATTGCCAAAAAAGCTATAAACCCATGATGGGTTTCTATATAGAGGAGGAACCAGTTTGCTCTCCTCACAAAAGAAGAGAAAATTGATGGGAGTTTCCTCTAAAGATTTAAACTGTACTGTAAAGATTTATTCCACTCCTGGATCTGGAAAGGAAGAATCAAACTTGAGTGATGATAGTAATTTGCATTGGCATAAAGTTGAATTTTTCATTTTTATTTTTGTGAAGGTATGAGAATCATAGTGTTAATATATGTATTCCTGAGAAATGTATTACATATTCCCACACACATGGAAGGACATGACTTGGTCATCAGTGTTACCTCATTGTTCAAGTAGAGAGAAGAGATATTATCCCCATGTTATCAAAATAGATACAATTTCAGATGAGTAACATCACCTATTCAATGTCCTACAGTGGCAGGACTGGGACTATAAACCGGGTGTTCAGATTCCCAGCCTGGTTTACTTTCATTACATCAATGATCTTAAGCTTTAGTGTGCTACTTTATCCTTTATTCAACAACTCTATCACTCAACCACTTATTAATTCTTATTAAAGTACAACGTAATAAACCAGGACACTCTCGGAGAGCACTTAACACCTTATTCATGTAAGGTGATTTTTCTTAAAACTGCAAATGCCATAGGAATTAAAAAGCACTATAAAACACATATTTATTATATAGGAAAGCCCCTTTTGGCCCTCATTCAGAGTCCCTTTACCTTTGTTTTTTGCCTAATTCTAACAAGTTTGTTTGTCAAATGTAACAGATGAATTTAAAGTAGAAGGGGTTATGATTCTTCTAGATACATACAATGAGTAAAGAAACAGCCTAAAAGAAAGAAAGAGACACATCAAAATCCAAAGTGATAGCCATCTTTTTTTTTTTTTTTTTTTTTGAGACAGGGTTTTGCTCTTGTTGCCCAGGCTGGAGTGCAGTGGCACTATCTCGGCTCACTGCAACCTCCGCCTCCAGAGTTCAAGTGATTTTCCTGCCTCAGGCTCCCGAGTAGCTGGGAGTACAGGTGTCTGCCACCATGCCTGGCTAATTTTTTGTATTTTTAGTAGAGATGGAGTTTCACCATGTTGGCCAGGCTGGTCTTGAACTCCTCACCTCAGGTGATCCACCCGCCTCGGCCTCCCAAAGTGTTAGGATTACAGGCGTGAGCCATTGCGCCTGGCCTGGCCTTCTTTTTTTAAATTTTTTTGCGACAGGATCTCTGTCGCCCAGGCTGGAGTGCGGTGGCACAATCTCAGCTCACTTCAGCGTCAACCTCTCAGGCTCAAATGATCCTCCTACCACAGCCTCTACAGGAGCAAATCACCACACTAAGCTGATTTTTTTTTTAAGTTTTTTTTTTTTTTTTTTTGTAGAGACGAGGTCTCACTACATTGCCCGACTGGTCTCAAACTCCTGCGCTCAAGTGATCCTCCCACCTCAGCCTCCCAAAGTGCTGGGATTACAGGCATGAGCCACTATGCCTGGCCAGTTATAGCAAACTTGACCATTTATTGTAGGGGTAATAAATCCTATATAGCTCAAGGTTCTTATTCATAATAATGCAGTCTCCCTAATAAAAGGATGACTCAATTCCAAATGCTTTATTCAAGAAAGCAAGGAAGGACTGGATATAGTGACTCACACCTGTAATCCCAACACTTTGGGAGGCCAAGGTGGGTGGATCACTTGAGCCCAGGAGTTCAAGACCAGCCTGGGTAACATGATGAGACGCCCCACCTCTACCAAAAATAAAAATTTAAAAAATTAGCCAGGTGTAGTGGCATGCACCTGTAGTCTCCGCTTCTGGGAGGCTGAGGCAGGAAGACTAACTACTTGAGCCAGGAGGTCGAGGCTACAGTGGGCAGTGATTGAGTCACGGCACTCCAGCCTGGGAAACAGAGTGAGATCCTGTCTCAAAAAAAAAAAAAAAAGAAAAGAAAAAAAAAGAAAGGGCCTCAAGAAGGGGCTCACGCCTGTAATCCCAGCACTTTGGGAGGGAGGTCAAGGCAGGCAGATCACTTGAGGCCAAGAGTTCAAAAACCAGCTTGGCAAACGTGGTGAAAACCATGTCTCCACTAAAAATACAAAAAAAAAAGAAAAGAAAACTAAAGAAAAAAGAGAGCAAGGAAGAACATAGCTCCCATTTTCCCAAATTCAAAACCTTAAATTCTTCTATTCCCCTTTTTGTTAAAAATTAGTTAAACCCAATCACTTGCCAAATCCTGTCAAGTCTACCTCTACCTCTGCATTTAACTATATGTTTCTATTTTTACTGTTTCTGCTCTAATTCACTCGACTATAAATAACCTATTTCCAGTCCCTCCTGCTATAAATGTTTTCTCTTCCAAACAAAGATTTAATCCTATCACTCTTTTATTCATCAGTTAACAAATATTTATTGAAAGATCAAACTTTTGGCTGGGTGCGGTGACTCATGCCTGTAATCCCAGTATTTTAGGAGGCCGAGGCGGGTGGACTACTTGAGGTCAGAAGTTTGAGACCAGCCTAGCCAACATGGCGAAAACCCATCTCTACTAAAAATAGAAAAATTAGCCAGGCGTAGTGGCACAGGCCCGTAATCCCAGCTACTTTGGAGGCTGAGGCAGGAGAATCGCTTGAACGCAGGAGGCAGAGGTTGTAGTGAGCCAATATTGCACCATTGCACTCCAGCCTGGCAACAGAGCGAGACTCCGTCTCAAAAAAAAAAAAAAAAAAAAAAAGATCAAACTTTTAAAGGCTCCGTAGTAGCTACGGTATAAAATCCAAACTCCTTTCCCATAGCACCCCAGCTTGGCTGTGATCTGCCCTCACTAGTCTCTTCTCCCACCAGCCCCACCTAGAACTACTTGCTGCTTCCTAAAACAGCCTGCACTTCCCTGCATCTGCCTTCTTTATAATACCCCAAGCCTGCATCTCCACCTGCTGAAATTCTAACCCTCCTTCAAAGCCCTGCCCACACGCCATGTTTTCCATGAATTTTATTTCTGTAATCCTTACAGTCAGAATTAATCCCTATACCTAGACATCTTTATTTACTTAAATATTGGACAGCTTTGCTTAAATATCCAATTCATTATTCTCTTTTTTCTTTCTTTTTTTTTTTTTTTTTTTTTGGAGACAGGGTATCCCTCTGTCACCCAGGCTGGAGTGCAGTGGCACAATTATGGCTCACTGCAGCCTTCACCTCCCAGGCTCAAGCAATCCTCCCACCTCAGCCTCCCGAGTAGCTGAAACCACAAGTGCATGCCACATGCCTGTGCTCAGCTAAATTTTTGTATTTTGGGTAGAGACAGGGTTTCACCATGTTGCCCAGGCTTGGTTTCAAACTCCTGACCTCAAGTGATCCACCCGCCTCGGCCTCCCAAAGTGCTGGGATTACAGACGTGAGCTACTGTGCCCAGCCCCATTATTTTCAGCAGTTACACGGTATTCCACTATCTAAATGCCACAAGTTTGACTCAAAGGTAACACACAATTTTTTTTTTAAGACAGGATATCACTTTGTCACCCAGGCTGGAGTGCAGTGGTGCAATCTCAGCTCACTGCCACTTCAATCTCCCAGGCTCAAGCAATCCTCCCACTTCAGTCTCCCCAGTAGCTGGGTTACAGGTGCATGCCACCATACCCGGCTAATCTTTGTATTTTTGATACAAACAGGGTTTTACCATATTGCCCAGGCTGGTCTCCAACTCCTAAGCTCAAGGGACCAAGCCACCATGCCTGGCTCATTAATTTTTTAAATATAGAGAACATTAAAATAATCCTGTAATCCTACTAACCAGGTAATATCTGTTGAAGCTTCTTTTAAATAAATAAAAGTAGGGTGCAGTGGCTCAACACCTATAATCCCAACACTTTGGAAGGCCAAGGCAGGAGGATTGCTTGAGGCCAGGAGTTCGAGACCTGCCTGGTTAACATAGCAAGACTCCATTTCTAAAAAAAAATAATAATAAATTAAATTAAATTAAAAAGTAACACATGGCCATGGTTAGAAAATTCAAACAGTATGGAAAGGTATTTGCTGGAATTATAACAGTAATTTCAACTAAGTAGAAAGTAAAGAGAATCAAACTAGAGGAGTATGAAGACGGTATAAGGAATTGGAGGAGAAGCACAGGTTCATAAAACTGTAAACTTCACTGAAATTGATTTTTTCCCCACAGCAAAATAGGCCATTTTTAAAGACCAATTCTTAAAAACAATGGCCCAGTATAAAAATATTTTAGCTGGAGGGGCATGGTGGCTCACATCTGTAATCCTGGCACTTTGGGAGGCCAAGGCGGGTGGATCGCCTGAGGTCAGGAGTTTGGGACAGGCCTGACCAATATAGTGAAACCTCGTCTCTACTAAAAATATAAAAATTGGCTGGGTGTGGTGGCATGCAACTGTAGTCCCAGCTACTAGGGAGACTGAGACAGGTGAATTGCTTCAACCCAGGAGGCGGAGGTTGCAATGAGCCAAGACTACGTCACTGCACTTCAGCCTGGGTGACAGAGTGAGACTCCGTTTCAAAAAAAAAGTTTTAGCAATGTTTCTGTCAGGCAGATTGAACATTCTTTTTCCTTTCCTTTTTTATTATTTTGACAGTCTCTACATATAGTGGAGGAAAAATGAATTATCTAGAAGCAATCATTATTGGCAAAAATCAATGGGCATCCCCATGAAGATGCCTAAAAACTACTTCTAATGTTCTCTTACTTCCCCTGCAGAGTATTCCTCATGAAAAAGGATTTTACTAGGTAGTGTGGTACTATTCTGCCAAAACCAGATCTGACAGATGTTAGCCATACCTACAAGATACATGGCCTATGCCAACTTAAGCTTTAATGCAAAAGCTTCAAAACAGGGCTGACTTACTCCAGATTCAACCACAATCCTATTCACTCTTCACATTACATGCAATCTAGTCTTTTTTAATGTTTTCTTCATGTCTTGCCTATAGAATTATTTTCACTATTTCAAGGCTAAGCTCAAGTTGCAGCTCATGTAGGAAGCCTTTCCTAAACTCTAGCACTCAGTGATTTCTTCTTGAAATTTAGACAGCTTCTTTATATCATCCAGCATTACATTAAACTCTACTGTGTCCTCTATTATTTCATGTATATTGCTAGACTGCAAGCTCTTTGAAGGTAAGGTTTATCTGTATTTGAAATATCTGTATCTCCCACAGTACCTAATCAGAAGAACTGTATAGTAGGTGCTTAATAAATAATATTTTAGATGATTCTTACTCTGAATTATTCTGTAGTAATATAAATATTAAAGTGTTACACATAATTATCTAATAATGAAATTCCTAAGGTTTACTTGTGGTTTTGTGTTGCATAAAGGCTATAATATAATACTGAGTACAGCCCAACAAAGATTAATTTGTCAAACAACTTTCCAAGAGACAAATAACTCAACCTACAACTGTTCTCTAGTTTCAAGAAAATGTTCTTGTTCTTGGAGACCTACAGTATAGATGTGCTGAATAAGCCAGCAGTTATTTACTTTCAATTCTTCAAAACTAATTTTCCATACAGCTGTGTTTACTCACAGCATGTCTTATTTATGCTGGAGGTGTAAAACAGCAAAGCCCAGTTCTCTCTCTCTCTTGCCTTTGTTGCCTTTGTTATTTGCCTTGCTGCAGTTTCCTAGCCACAGTTGTAATTAGTACCCAACAGAGATATATACTTTTCTAATAAAGAACAGCCTACCGCACAATGACATGTATACACACACAGCCATGTGTGTTCCTAGCGAATTAGGAATATTTTACACATGCAAGACTTCAAAGGCTTTTAATAGCTAAATGAGAGTACTTTACATGGCAGCTGCAACTGACTCACAGCACTGACTGCAGATTGATTCATCCCTTTCTCTTACTGCACACACATCTAATTGCAAAAAAGGAAACAACTCATTTGAGATTAAGTAGAATTATGCATATGGTCCTAAAGCAAACCTTTGTTAGTAAACTGCATTTGTCAAGGGAATTTCTTCTCAAATTATCACAAAAGTTATAGTGTTTATTATATAACAGTTAACTATGATTTTTCTGAAAAGTCATTGTTTTCAAACAGATTAATTAGTACTTCTTACGGTAGTTAAAACAGACAACATATACAGTATATATGCAGGCTGTGGATCCTATTCTCCATTCCCTTCACTGTCCAGTCTCCTCTGACTCCCACCCAGCATCATCTCTCACTCAATCTTCTCCACAACCTGTCATTAACCTTGTCAAGTTCCCACCTATACCCACTCAGTAAACGGAGGACAGTCAAGTAGAAAAATAGATCATCAGGGCTGGGCGTGGTGGGCTCACGTCTGTAATCCCAGCACTTTGGGAGGCCAAGGTGAGCGGATCATGAGGTCAAGAGATCAAGACCATCCTGACCAACATGGTGAAACTCCGTCTCTACTAAAAAATATACAAAAATTAGCTGGGCATGTTGGCGTGCACCTGTAGTCCCAGCTACTCGGGAGGCTGAGGCAGAAGAATCACTTGGACCCGGGAGACAGAGGTTGCAGCGAGTGGAGATCACGCCACTGCCCTCCAGCCTGGCGACAAAGTAAGATTCCGTCTCAAAAAAAAAAAGAATAAAGAAAAACAGATCATCAGATTGTCAAGGAAAAACCAAGAACTTACTTGTTAAACATTTCATTTACAAGTATAATTCAAATAGGAAGATAAGACTTGTCCCTTCCCCACTAGGGCAATACGAAGGAAAATTCCTTAGTTCTTGTACAAATACCCATTGTAACTGGCCTGTGTACTTGCATTATTAGCAAGTGGTAACGCTAGTAACAATAATAGTCAACCTACTTCCCTGAAAGTAGAGGCCATGGACTCTTGGAGGCTTTCAAGTTTATCACAGGGGTTCAAAAGTCACATGCACCAATACTGCTTGTAGACTGAATAATGGCTCCAGCTACTATTTTTCAAATATATGTAGATGCTGTTGTGATTAATAAAATCAAAGCACATTTATTAATAAAAGATGTACTGATTTATAATAGCTTTATCATGTGTTCTGCTAATCAAGAATTATTAAAATTATAACTCGTATCACACGAACGGGGTCTACATAATTAATGGTTACTAATTAAGGTTGGAAATCACTTCATCAGACTGGGCTTGAATTGGAACTATGCCTAAGTCATCTTTTTGTTCCCAGTGACATATAGGGAATGTGCTTTTGAACTAAACCAAACATGCCTTAAACATGGTGGCATGAAATCAACCATCGGCATGTTTTTCAAGTCAGTGAAAGATTTTTAAACCCTAAAATTGGGAGACTTGTGAAGTGTAAAGTAGAAGTATTAGTATATTGTGTGAAGTTTGAGCCTTTCCTTAAAAAAAAGTTACTTAAGAACTAAAAATTTCTTATACACTAATTGGCATGTCTCCAAAAACGACTGAAATGTCATCATTCATTATTGGCTCACACATACATTGGCTAATGGAAAGTTCAGGATCTAATGCTAAACAAAGGGGTTCCCTGATTTAAGGAACAGCAACCTCAAACCAAACTATTTTCAATTTTCCTTTGGGAAAAATTAATAATCTTAAAATAGCAGTTATCTTTGCAGCAAGCAAGAGCATTAATACTGATTTTCCAGGACAGGTGCCAATAGCTCTTTGTTATTTAGCACTTTTCTTTTACTTTGCCCTCTACAACAATGATAAATAGCACAGTATAAAACAATGAATCCTTCCTAACCATGTGCCTAAACAATATTAGAAGTCTTTTAACATTTTGAAATGAATAATGAATGAGCATTTCTTGGGAAATATGGAGGAATAAACTATAAATAATTACAGCAGCAGTTCTCACCTGGGGTGCGCATTAGAATTGTTATGGAACATGTTAAAATATAGATGCAGAGGCCTCTGACTGGCATCTTCAAGAGTTTTTTAAAGCTCCAAAGGTAATTCTAATGCAGATCCTTGAACTTCAGCCTAATAGTTCTCAAAGTGTGGTCCCCTAACCAGGAGCACTGATATCACCTGGGAACTTGCTAGAAATGCAAATCTCAGACTCGACCTTGACATATGGAATCAGAATCTCTGGGGATGATGTCCAGCAATCTGTCTGCAAGCCTTCCAAGTGATTTTGATAAATGCTTAACTTTGAGAACCTTGGCTTCGGACCCTGGTGTCCATCCATTCTTTATTAACTACGTAAGATGAAAATGAGATCTAACTAATACAAATAAATTGAAAGCATGTTTTTCTCACTAAAAAAAGTTTAGTTTTGTCTTATCATTAAATTAGTCTAATGTCACCTTCATTGGAAAACGGTTCAATTCATCAGGTTCTTGGATCAGGCATGCATGCATGTATGCATTCATACATTCATTCAGAGACCGGGTCTTGCCCTGTCAGCCAGACTGGAGTGCAGTGGCATAATCCAGGCTTCCTTTTTAAACACAAATGTGTCCAGATTAGGCAAGAAATCCAAAGTTAACATGCCATCTTGTCTATGTTTCATCTGGTCCCTGGGCAGCAGGGATTTCTCAAGTCAGCTGATTAACTGCAACCCTTGAGACAGCAAAAGGCCCGCATGGTTTTCCTTCTCAATTTTAAGATTCAATTATGTGTAAATTCAAATAATTTACAGGAAATACAAAAAAAAAACCAAGAAACCTATTAAACTCTACCATGGAACTGAAATCAACAAAATCCAGACTGAGTAGAAATTCTACAGGATAAATGATCCAGTTTCTTCAACAAACACATTATAAGAAAAAGAGAGAGAGAGATAAGAGTATACCTATGGACTGAAAGAAACTTAAGAGACATATCAATCACTTGCAATATGTAGACCTTGTTTCAATTCTAATTCAAATGAAATTACCAAAAAAAAAAAATTCCATTTGAGACAACTAGAAATTTGAACACTAAATAGATATTTGGGCCGGGCGCAGTGGCTCATGCCTGTAATCCCGGCACTTTGGGAGGCCGAGGCAGGCGCATCACTTGAGGTCAGGAGTTCGAGACCAGCTTGGCCAACATGGTGAAACCCCATCTCTACTAAAATACAAAAATTAGCTGGGCGTGGTGGTGAGCGCTTAATCTCTCACGTTGTTTCCAGGAAAAGACAAGTTAAATCTCTAGCTTCATCTAAATTTACGCAAGAAATTTACAAAAAGAAGCAATGGGCAAAAATGGAGAAAAACTCCTAGATAATAGCCCTTGTCTGGAAATACTTATCTTCCATAATATATATTATACACATAATTGATAACCTAACACCATCATTGTGGTTACAGTATGTTTAAAAAATACATTATTGAAGAAACATACCAAGAGTGGTTATCTTCCTATGGAGGAATGTTTCCCTTTCCCCTTTTCTGTATTTTCCAGATTGACTAAAATGAGCATAAACCACTTTTTTTTAATTATTATTAATTTTTTTGCAATGGAGTTTTGCTCTGTCGCCCAGGCTGGAGTGCAGTGGTGCCATATTGGCTCACTGTAACCTCCGCCTCCCGGGTTCAAGTGATTCTCCCACCTCAGCCTCCTGAGTAGCTGGGATTAAAGGCAGGCGCCACCATGCATGGCTAATTTTTGTATTTTTAGTAGAGACAGGGTTTCACCATGTTGGTCAGGCTGGTCTTGAACTCCTGACCTAGTGATCCGCCTGCCTTGGCCTCCCACAGTGCTGGGATTACAGGCGTGAGCCACCGTGCCCGGCCGCACGAACCACTTTGATAACTGACAGAAAAAAAAAAAAAAGTATCTCCTCACTCCAGGAAGGGATAAAATTTTATTTTACTATATCAGGTAGTAAATTATAAGCATAAAGTCTCATTACACAATTCAATTTGACCCAGTTTAATACAGGCTATATAATTCTGTTTTTCCTCTAACCCTACCCTTGCTTATATCCCCAATATGAATTAGACATATTTTTCTCAGTTCCCCTAACAAGTGAGGAGGCAAGGTCACCCCTGACTCTCCATAGATTGAAATCAAGATCAAACAGTAACACTAATTTTCAAGCCAATTCTTAGTTTTCTTAAGTATAGTGATCTCCTGATTTTTATTTATTTATTTATTTTGAGACAGGGTCTTGCTCCGTCATTCCCAGGCTGCAGTACGATGGCACAATCAGGCTGCAGTACAATGGCACAATCACAGCTCACTGCAGCCTCAACCTCCCAGGCTCAAGTGATCCTCCCATCTCAGCCTCCCAAGTAGCTAGGACCACAGGTGTGTACTACCATACCTGGCTAGTTTTTGTATTTTTTGTAGAGACAGGGTTTTGCCATGTTGCCCAGGCTGGTCTCAAACTTGTGAGCTCAAGTAATCCTCCTGCCTCTACCTCCCAAAGTGGGGGGATTACAGGCATGAGCCACCACGCCCAGCCTGATCTCGATTTCAAACAATGTGCATAGTACCTTTTTCCTGGACAACTTCTGTCTGCCTAGGCCAAATTCCCTTAGTAGATATCCTCTCACTTCAAGTCTTTTCTGATTTGCTTCTACTCCATTACTGTAGTCCCTTCAGTCTCCTGCTCCAATTCCTCCAACACACATCACATTTGTGTGTGTGTGTGTGTGTGTGTGTGTGTGTGTGTAAGACACAGGGTAAATGTGTAAGAGTTGGGGTTGTTTTTTTTTTAATGGGGTCTTATGTTGCTCAGCCTCTTAACTGTGACTACAGGCCCATGCCACTGAACCCAGCAGAAGTCAGCTTTTATAGATATATTTTCTCAATAATTAAAAACCAAAAGCCATAATACCATCCTTGGTAAATTGAAGAGGGTTATATATCTTCACCTGGCCTTGATATAATAGCACAGAGGGCTGGGCACGGTGGCTCATGCCTGTAATCCCAGCACTTTGGGAGGCTGAGGCAGGCGGATCACCTGAGTCAAGAATTCAAGACCAGCCTTGGCCAACATGACAAAACCCCATCTCTACTAAAAATACAAAATTAGCCAGGCGTAGTGGCACAGGCCTGTAATCCCAGCTACTTGGGAGGCTGAGGCAGAAAAATTGCTTGCACCTGGGAGGCAGAGGTTGCAGTGACCCAAGACTGCACCACTGCACTCCAGCCTGGGCAACAAGAGCAAAACTCCGTCTCAAAAAAAAAAAGTACAGAAACTGCTAGGTGCCTGTTCAAGATGTCTCTTCCCTCTTGGGAGGCTGCCTCTATCTGTAAAGAGAGGTAGGAAATGTGGCCTTTTAGTTGGAAACAATCTGCTCTTAATTATATGGGGATTTTTGTTAATAAGAACAAGCTACTCAAGAGGCTGAAGGTCACAAGATGGCTCTTCTGTTACCCAGCCAGCCATCTGTGTTCTAAGCAAGAAGGGAGAGGGGAGGCCCTTTGGCCTTCTGCCTTTCTCCTGCTCCCTTCAGAACAGTAGCCATATGTTAAGGTTGGCAGAGCATAAATTTAGGAGACTGGGACCAAGACAGTTTTTTATTAACATATACATACATTTTACTCTTCAAAATAGATGTATGCCTTAAACATTCACACTAAAATAAATCCCAATTATACTATATATAAAGCCTGATTGTGGACACTTACTATAGAAAGACAAAACGACTTACTGCTAGAGTCTGGTCCTAAAGTTAAACAAACATGGGTTTGAACTTGTTCAGCCACTTGCTATCTATGTGGCTTCTTGGATACATAACATCTCTAAGCCACAGTTTATTAAACTGTTGATAGTTACAGGTTGTTCTGATTATTAAATTAAATGCTATCATATCTTGTAAGGCTGAACATGTACTCTATGACTCAGCAATTCTACTCCTAAGTATCTACCTTAGAGAAACTTTGAGATGCTTACACACACCTACACATCCAACACACTAACACACACATGTACAAGGAGACATCACAGGCATAGACAAGAAGACAGGTACATGAATGTTCACTGTACCACTGCAATGTCTATTATCAGGAAAATGGATAAATTAATTATGAAATAGTCATACAATGGAATATTATACCACAGTAAAAGTAAATTAACTGAAGCTATATGCAGTACCATAAATAAATGTCTTAAAAATAACAGAGTGGGGCCAGGCACAGTGATTCACGCCTGTAATCCCAGCACTTTGGGAGGCCGAGGCGGGCACATCACAAGGTCAGGAGATCGAGACCACCCTGGCCAATATGGTAGAACCTCGTCTCTACTAAAAATACAAAAATTATCTGGGTGTGGTGGCATGCACCTGTAATCCCAGCTACTCGGGAGGCTGAGGCAGGAGAATCGCTTGAACCCAGGAGGTGGAGATTGTGGTGATCCGAGATTGCACCACTGCACTCTAGCCTGGGTGACAGAGCGAGACTCCATCTAAAAAAAAAATAAAAATAAATAAATAAATAAATAACAGAGTGGAAAAAAGGAAATAGCAGAATTCAAAATATACCATTTTTATAAAGCTCAAAACCAAGCAAAACTAAACAATATATTTTTAAAGATCTATCTGTTGTAATATATATCTATATATAGTAATACAGAGATGGTAAGTTTTTTTTGAGACAGGGTCTCACTCTGTCACTCATACTGGAGTGCAGTGATGCCATCATGGCTCACAGCAACCTTGATCCAGGCTCCAACAATCTCCCACCTTAACCTCCCAAGTAGCTGGAACTACAGGTGCACACCACATGCCTAGCTAATTTTTAAAATTTTTTGTGGAGATGTGATCTCACTATATTGCCCAAGCTGGTCCCAAACTCCTGAGCTCAAGCAGTTTTCCCACCTTGGCCTCCCAAAGTGCTGGGATTACAGGTATGAGCCACCAAGGCTGGCCTAAAATTATTTTTTAAATAAATGTGAAATACAAAATGCTCAGCAGCAGTTATCTCTGAAGGGAAGGCAGGAGAATGAATGGGGGAAGAGAGCACTGGTAGATTCAACAGTACTAGTATAGTTCTAGTTCTTAAGTTGGATGGTAGGTTTATAGGTGCTACTTTAATATTACACTTCCTAAACTACATTTTATGTTTCATAGATTCTTTTTTTGAGATGGAGTCTCGCTCCGTCACCCAGGCTGGAGTGCAGTTGGCGTGATCTTGGCTCACTGCAACCTCAGCCTTCTGGGTTCAAGCGATTCTTCTGCCTTAGCCTCCCGAGTAGCTGGGACTACAGGCACGCACCACCATGCCCAGCTAATTTTTGTATTTTTAGTAGAGACAGGGTTTCACCATATTGGCCAGGCTGGTCTTGAACTCCTGACCTTGTGATCTGCCCGCCTTGGCCTCCCAAAGTGCTAGGATTACAGGCGTTAAGTCACAGCGTCCGGCTCATAAATTCTTTTTAATGAATCAAATATCACACAAGCATATAAAAATAGCGTAAAAGGATACTAAGCACAGATTTACATCACTTAAAAAGGACACTCCATTCTTGCTATCCTCCAATAGTTGCTGCTTCACTTTCTTTCTTTCTTTTTTTTTTTTTTTTTTTGATACGGAGTCTCCTGTCGCCCAGGCTGGAGTGCACTGGCGCGATCTCGGCTCACTGCAAGCTCTGCCTCTCGGGTTCATGCCATTCTCCTGCCTCAGCCTCCCGAGTAGCTGGGACTACAAGGGCCCGCCACCGCGCCTGGCTAATTTTTTTGTTTTTTGTATTTTTAGTAGAGACGGGGTTTCACCGTGGTCTCGATCTCCTTACCTCGTGATCCGCCCGCCTCGGCCTCCCAAAGTGCTGCGATTACAGGCGTGAGTCACCACGCCCAGCCTGCTTCACTTTCAATAATCCATTCTCGCCACTTAGCACAAGTAAATTCAGTACCATCCTAAGCAGCTTTCTAAGAACTGTTGTTTGAGTATGTTTCAAACTTTTCTTGAAAAAACAAAATCCCCAAATGATTTGAGATATATTAGATATAACTTCTACAGTATAAATAGTATAAAGGCTTAAGTAGACAATGTCCACAAGTATGTTTTATACAGAATGAGGGGAATGTT
Organism: Homo sapiens; assembly: GCF_000001405.40. NCBI lineage: Eukaryota > Metazoa > Chordata > Mammalia > Primates > Hominidae > Homo > Homo sapiens. The sequence goes on along the minus strand of NC_000001.11, from coordinate 28,948,002 downwards.
TAAAAAGAACATGAAAAAAAAAACACCCATTTCAATTTGTAGCAAACCAAAATGCATTCTAGTCAGTAGACTAACATAACTGAAAGAATTTCGCTGGTTAGCAAGAACTAATATAAAATTCCTATAATAAACATTAAAGTGGCTAAACTATTCTGCGGTATATCTAGAATAACTGCTGTTTGTTTGTTGAGACAGTCTCACTCTGTTGCCCAGACTGGAGTGCAATCTTAGCTCACTGCAACCTCCGACTCCTGGGTTCAAGTGATTCTCATGCCTCAGCCTCCCGAGTAGTTGAGATTACAGGATGTGCCGCCACACCCAGCTAATTTTTGTATTTTTGATAGAGACAGGTTTCATCATGTTGGCCACACTGATCTCAAACTGCTGGCCTCAAGTGATCCGCCCACCTCGGCCTCCTAAAGTGCTCGGGTTATAAGAGTAAGCCACCACACCCCGCTGAATAACTGTATTTTTAACGGCATCCAAACACTAGACTTCCCTGGTTGCATCTAATAAAAAGAAAGCCATTTGCCCTCAAGAGATTAAAAGGCCGTTTGTTTGTTTGTTTGTTTGTTTGTTTGTTTGTTTGTTTGTCTGAGACGGAGTCTCGCTCCGTCGCCAGACGGGAGTGCAGTGGTGCGATCTCCGCCCACTGCAACATCCGCCTCCCGAGATCAAGCGATTCTCCTGCCTCAGCCTTCCGAGTAGCTGGGACTACAGGCGCGCGCCACCACACCCAGCTAATTTTTGTATTTTTAGTGGATTTGAGGTCTCACCATGTTGGCCAGGATGGTCTTGACCTTGTGATCCACCCGCCTTGGCTTCCTAAAGTGCTGGGATTACAGGCGTGAGCCACCCAGCCCGGCCAAGAGATTCAAAATTAAGCAACAAGTTTAAAGTTACACTGATCCATTAATTTGGCCTTCCCTTGCATATCTGGTGCTATTCCATTCTCGTTTCTGAATAATTAGGTACCCTGCCTTATCTCCCTTTTTGTGGTTCCACCATGCTCTGCATATTTAGCTCTATGCACAGGATATTTTCTTTCAGTCATAATGTAGGTTTCTCTCCCTCTCTCCTTGTGTATGAGTTTATTTCATCCCACATTAAAAACATAAAACATCTGACATATTTGCTAATACCTTGTTTGCCCTTATGAATGTCTTTAATACATCAAACAGCATGAACCAGACCAGTGAACCCTAGGGCAGCCCTTTGATATTTAAACCAGTCAGCTATCTTCTTCATAATTTTATCTTTATTGGTCAAAGTGACATGCTAAATATTGAAGCAGGGAGGAGTATAGGTATGAAACAAAATGCAGTTACTACTTCAATGAAATGAAAAATAGAGTCGCTATTTCAAGTAATCATATGTTATTGAAGTTGCAATTATTTACGTGTTACAGAAATCCTAAAATTTTTTCTACTGGAAATCAGTAGACCAAAATAAAAAGTGGAATCTAAAATATAAAATATCCAAAATTGTCACATTATGTCTAGTTAATCCTAAATTGTTTACATCCACATTTTGCACAGTTCCAATCCAACTGATGATAGGTGTTATAGCAGGAGATTCTTTTTTTGAAAAAGAGTTGGCCAGGTGCAGTGGCTCACGCCTGTAATCCCAGCACTTTGGGAGGCCAAGGCAGGTGGATCACGAGGTCAGGAGATCAAGACCATCCTGGCCAACACGGTGAAACCCCTTTAGCACTGCAAGGTGAAGGTTGCAGTGAGCCGAAATTGCGCCATTGCACTCCAGGCTGGGCGAAAGAGCGAGAATTCATCTCAAAAAAAAAAAAGAAGTTGAAGTAGACAATGTTAAGGTTCTTCTCAATCACAAAAGTATTTTTTTTTTAGTAAAAAGGAATAAACATTTAGTAAAAGAATAAAATTGTATACGTTATCAAATATCCAAATCTTTGTCAGCAGCGTTTTCACTCTTATATTCATTCATTCACAGTATGGATCTGAAAGGCATAAACTCACTTTTTTCAAAGATGAATTTCCCATACATCATACAATGTCTACTTTCCTATCACAGTTGGGATACTCTGGCTAGTTCACAAGTATAACAGCAGTCTGAGGCCACCTTGCAAAACCAGGCTATATTAACCAGCACTACTACAATGTTTCTGGCAAATCTTGACTAATGTCAATCTAATTCAGCTAGCCCAACAGAATTTTGTATCACTGAAAGGAAATTTATTTTCTAGTTTTGTTGCCAAACCTATGTAAGGAATCCCACCAAAATACACAAGAGAAATAAATATTCAGTGGCTAATATACAGTATTCTGACGTTAGCCTCACAATCCACATCAATCCATTAACTTTGGCCCATTTCCTAATTTAAAGAAAATTTTAAAACAGAATATTAAACACTTATACTTAATATATTCACTGCTCCACAATACCTTCCTTCCTTTAGAGTTATGAAACTCCTTTTTTTCCCTTAGGGTGATGCTATGGTTGCAGTATAAAAGTTACATTTAACACTATTTGGGGTTGGTGATATAGCTCATTTTAAAAATTATCTATTTAAAACCTCTCAACTACAGATACCAAGTAGTTATTATTAACAAACATTAACTGAACTCCTTTATGTGACAAGGACATCAATAAAGAGAATATACACCGTCTTTATCGATATAACACCCACCCCTCCAAATAAAAGGAGGAGAATTATGTCAGAGGTGCATTTCTCTTCAGGAACACATATTATCTGTATGTAATTTTCACCACCAGATAATTAAACAAGTAACAACAGAGACTTCACTGGAATAAGGGCAATTATAGCATAATTCAGTTTATATCATTATTAGTAAGAACAATTTTAGATGGTAAAGTATTACCTCCAAATTTAAAGATTTATAAACAGGATTATATTCTGGTTCTTTTTTTTTTTTTTTCTTTTTTTGAGACACGATCTCACTCTGTCACCCAGGCTGGAGTACCATGGCACGATCTCACTGCAACCTCCGCATCCCAGATTCAAGTGATCCTCCCACCTCAGACCCCCAAGTAGGTGGAACTACAGGCGCACACCACCATGCTCGGCTAATTTTTTTGTATTTTTGGTAGAGATTGGGTTTTGCTACATTGCCCAGGCTGGTCTCAAACTCCTGAGCTCAAGCAGTCCTCCCACCTCGGCCTCCCAAAGTGCTAGGATTACAGGCATTACATTACACACCTGTAATCCCAGCACTTTGGGAGGCTGAGGCAGGTGGATCACTTCAGGTAGGGAGTCTGAGACTAGCCCAGCCAACATGGTGAAACCCCTTCTCTACTAAATACAAAAATTAGCCGGGCGTGGTGGCACATGCCTGTAATCCCAGCTACTCGGGAGGCTGAGGCAGGAGAATCACTTGAACCCAGGAGGCGGAGGTTGAAGTGAGCCAAGATGGCACCACTGCATTCCAGCCTGGGTGACAGAGCAAGACATCTCAAAAAAAAAAAAAAAAAAAAAAACCAGATCTGAGAGTTTTATGTTTAATTATTGTGAGTACACAGTAAGCATATATATTTATGGGGTATGTGAGATGATTTGATATGGCATGCAAAATGAAAGAAGCACATCATGGAGAATGCGGTATCCATCCTCTCAAGCATTTTTATCTTTTGAGTTACAAACAATCCAATTACATTCTGTTATTTTTAAATGTACAACTATAATTGACTATAGTCACCCTATTGTGCTATCAGATAGTAGGTCTTATTCATTCTTCCTATTTTTTTTAACCAATTAACATCCTCATCTTCCTCTCCTCCCAGCCCCCGCCTCCACACTACTCTTTCCCAGCCTCTGGTAGCCATCCTTCTCTCTCTGTCCGTGAGTTCAATTGTTTTGATTTTTAGATCCCACAAATAAGTAAAAACATGAGGAGTTTGTTTTCCTGTGTCTGGCTTATTTCACTTAATGAACTCCAGTTAGTTCCATCCATATTGTTGCAAATAACAGGGTCTCATTCTTTTTATGGTTGAATAGTACTCCAATGTGTATATGTAGATTTTCTTTATCCATTTATCTGTTGATGGACACTTAGGCTGCTTCCAAATCTTAGCTATTGTAAACAGTGCTGCAACAAACATTGGAGTGCAGATACCTCTTTGTTATATTAATTTCCTTTCTATTGGGTATATATCCAGCAGTGGGATCACTAGATCATATGGCAGCTCAATATTTAGTCTTTTGAGGAACCTCCAAACTTCTCCAAAATGGTTATACTAATTTGCATTCCCACCAACAGTGTACAAGGGTTCCCTTTTGTCCACATCCTTGCCAGCATTTGTTATTGCCTTTGTCTTGGATGTAAGCTTCTCGTTGTAGTGTGTTTGTTTTGTTTTTTTTTTTCCTGAAACGGAGTCTCACTCTATCATCCAGGCTGGAGTGCAGTGGCACGATATCAGCTCACTGCAGCCTCCGCCTCCCAGGTTCAAGTATTTCTCCTAGTCTCCCAGGTAGCTGGGACTACAGGTGCGTGCCACCACACCCGGCTAATTTTTTAATTTTTTAGTAGAGACAGGGTTTCACCATGTTGGCTAGGCTGGTCTCGAACTCCTGACTTAAGGTGATCCACCCACCTCAGCCTCCCAAAGTGCTAGGATTACAGGCATGAGCCACAGCGCCCGGCCTCATTGTAGTTTTGATTTGCATTTCTCTGATGATCAGTGATGTTGAGCACCTTTTCATATGCCTGTTTGTCATCTGTATATCTTCTTTTGAGAAATGTTTATTCGAATCTTTCACAAATTTTTTGACTCGATTAGTTTTGAAATCTTTATTTCCTTCCTTAGAATCAAAGGAACTGTTATTATGGAAATTTTTTACCAAATTAACATATTTTGCTTGTTTCACTGGCCAGAGTTGAAACCCACACTCCTGGTATATAAGTAGGAGAAGAACTTTTTCTTATATCTTTTATTCCAATAAACTGAGTTAATATTCCTATTATAATTTAAAATGACAGTAAGATTTCCCAATGGAATCAAAATGTTGGGGGGAGGGTGGAGCTGGAGGAATGAAATCCACAAAGCTCCATATTACCTCACATGATATTGTGATACAGTAAGAAATATATATTTGGTCTCTGGTCCTGGCACATACTTCCTAAAACCCTTGGAATCTCCAAAGTGCTAAGGGTCTCTGTGAATACTAATGAATTGAGTGATGGCTGGGGTTCCAGGATAGCCTTAGGATGGGGGCTGGTTGCCAGGGGAACCAACCATGTGATTAGAGGGTTAGAACTTTCAGTGCCACCACCACCACACAATCTCCAGGGAGGGTAAAGGAGCTTTAGGTTGAGCTGATCACCCATGTCCCATGATGTAATCAATCAGGACATAATGAAGCCTCCATGAAAAATCAAAAGGACTGGTTCAGAAAGTTTCTGGATTGCTGAACACATGTAAGATCGTGGAGGTTGGTGTGCCCAGAGAGGGCAAGGTAGCTCCATGTCCTTTCCCCCATACCTTGCCCTATGCATTTCTTCAACTTTGCTTTTCATCTGTATTCTCTGTAATATTCTTTCTAACAAATGGGTAAACATAATTAAAGTGTTTCCCTGAGTTCTGTGAGCCCCTCTAGCAAACTGATTGAACCCAAAGAGGGGGTTGTGGGAACCCCAATTTGGAGCCAGTTGGTCAGAAGCACAGGTCACAACCTGGGTCTTGTGAATAGCATCTGATATGAGAGACAGTCTTGTGGGACTGAGCCCTCAACCTGTGGGATCTGATGCTATCTCCAGGTAGATAGTGTCAGAATTGAAGTGAATTATATAGGACACCCAGCTGCTATCCTTTGGAGAATTGCTTGGTTAGTGTGTGGGAAAAACCACGCCACACATCTGGTGTCAAAAGTGCTGTGATGACTATGTGAAAATAGGAAAAACATTTTGGTTTTTGTTATCTCTGTACTTTTCCAAATAAAAAATTTATGAAAAGAAAGAAGGAACATCAAAATATTTATAGTATTAGCATTAATAGGATTACGGGTAATTTTTAGTTTTGGTCTTTATACTTTATCGTTCAAATTTTCTACAACTCTACAAATTTTCTAAAATTTGTAAAGTCAGGGAGAAAGGTTTTTGCTTTTTTTTTTTTTTTTTTTTTGAGACAGAGCTTCACTCTTGTTGCCCAGGCTGGAGTGCAATGGCACCATCTCAGCTCACTGCAACCTCCGCCTCCTGTGTTCAAGCGATTCTCCCACCTCAGCTTCCGAGTAGCTGGGATTACAGGCACGCACCACCACCCCCTGCTAATTTTGTATTTTTAGTAGAGACGGGGTTTCTCCATGTTGGTCAGGCTGGTCTGGAACTCCCGACCTCAGGTGATCCGCCCGCCTCGGCCTCCCAAAGTGCTGGGATTACTGGCGTGGGCCACTGTGCCCGGCCTGAGAAAGCATTTTAAATCACTTATTTATGTGGATTTTCTTTACAGAAAAACTATCTGTTAATAAATCAGTACTACAGCTTAGGTAACATTTGACAAATATTTCTTATGACTCAGTAAAAATTCACTGTAAACGTTTCTTCTTCCGAAGGATACTCATCTTACAAAACCTGCCTAGAACTATACCTCGTTGGACTTATACCTCATTTTTCCCCATTATTGGTTTTTTATTTTTTGAGACAAGGTCTCACTCTGCCACCCAGGCTGGAGAGCAGTGGTGCAATCACAGCTCATTGTAGTCTTGACCTACCAGTCTCAGGCGATCTTCCCATCTTAGTCTCCCGAGTAGCTGGGACTACAGGCAAGCACTACCATACCTAGTTTTTTTGTTTGTTTTGTTTTTTTTTTTTGGTAGAGACAGGTCTCAGGAGGCTAATCTCGAACTCCTGAGCTCAAGTGATCTACCCACTTCAGCCTCCCAAAGTGCTGGGATTACAGGCATAAGCCACTGAGCCTGGCCCTTCTTCATTATTTAACTTCACATTAAATGTGATGATAATGTGATATTCTGTTTAATACTGTGAAATATGTTCTGAAAACCAAATTCACCATCTACTGATTTTTTTAATGTGCTTTCCATACCCTATACCTCAAGGTAATAAATAGGTGATCAAGACTTTCAGACATGAAAAGTTCCCAGTAAGAAAAGTAAATGTCAGTGCTTTCGTTTTCTTATCAAGCAACACAATGGATATCCTAATGCATATTTCCTGGCATATAACATGTCAGACGATTGTAAACATTTTCTTTTGGTCACACAACATACATCCAAACTCTGGATGTTTTTGTTTCCCTACTTAGGACTAGGATAACTCACCTCAAAATTAAATATAATTGCAACCAGTCTAGAACAGTTTCCCCAACAGACTTGATTTCCAAGAAATATTAATTTTTTTTTCTTTTTGACACAGAGTCTCGCTCTGTCGCCCAGGCTGGAGTGCAATGGCGCGATCTCGACTCACTGCAACCTCCGCCTCCCGGGTTCAAGTGATTTTCCTGCCTCAGCTTCCAGAGTAGCTAGGATTACAGGCGCCCGCCACCACGCCCGGCTAATTTTTGTATTTTTAGTAGAGATGGGGTTTCACCATGCTGACCAGGCTGGTCTCAAACTCCCGTCCTCAGGTGATCCGCCCACCTCGGCCTCCCAAAGTGCTGGGATTACAGCCGTGAGCCACCGCCCCTGGCGAAATACTAATTTTTGCACCTATCAAACATAATATCAAAACTGGTTACTTCAACCATTTCCCAAGAAACACTTTACTATCTGATTTCGTATATTTTAACGTTAGTTATCTAAGTTTAATCAAGGCACTTCTAATAATTATTCTGAAAGTAATGCCCAAAACAGTCATTTAAAATCAAGATTTAAGCTTTCTCCCTGATGTACGATTTGTTTAAGAGCTCTGGTAGTTTGGCTACAAAGCTGGCTACCAACAACTCCTCCTATCAAGTGTTACAGTCATGAATGAGGACCAGCCTTCTCAAGCCAGCCCCCAGATGACTGAAGCATCCAAGTTGAGGCACCAGACATCAAAGCAAGGCCATACTGGATCCTCCAGCTCCAGCCCACCCACTGTTAACTTACGCCACATGAAATTGATAAGCTGCCCTAGTTTCTATCACATGGATCAGAAATAAGCCATTTTCACAGAGCCCTGTCCAAAATCCTGATTCACAGAATCACAGAAAATAAAATAGCTATTATTTTAGATCATTAAGTTTTGAGGTGATTGTGTAGCAATAGATAACTGATACTAGGGCATTCTGATTCAAAAACATAAGAAAAATATTAAGATCTTTAAAAAGCACTTGAGGCCAGGTGCGATGGCTCACGCCTGTAATCCCAGCACTTTGAGGGGCTGAGGTGGGCGGATCACCTGAGGTCAGGAGTTCTAGACTACCCTGGCCAACATGGTGAAACCCCGTCTCTACTAAAAATACAAAGTTAGCCGGGCGTGGTGTCAAGTGCCTGTAATCCCAGCTACTCGGGAGGCTGAGCCAGGAGAATCGCTTGAACCCGGAAGAAGGTCATTGCAGTGAGCCAAGATCGCACCACTGCACTCCAGCCTGGGCAGCTGAGACTCCGTCTCAAAAAAATAAATAAATAAAAATAAAAAATAAATAAATATAGACACAAAAACCCTCAACAAAATACTAACAAACCAAATCCAGTGGCTATAAAAAACAATTACATACCATGACCAAATGAAATTTATCCCAGGGATGCAAGATTGGATTAACATACAAAAGTCAATCAATGCACTACACCACACCAATAGAATAAAAGACAAAATCCACATGATCATCTCAACAGACACAAAAAAAGCATTTGAAAATACCAACATCCTTTCATGATAAAAAATCACTTAACAAACTAGTAATAGAAAGGAATTTCCTCAACCTGATAAAAAGTATCTAAAAAAAATCCACAGCTAGCATCAATACATCCTGTAACAACATACAGAGCAAGGCTGAAGGTTTTTATCCTAATGTCAGGAATAAGACTAGAATGTCTACTCTTACCACTTCTATTCAACATTGCACTGGCTATTCTAGCCAGGGCAATTAGGCCTAGAAAAGAAATTTTTAAAAAGTATCCAGATTGGAAAGAAAAAATAAAACTATCCCTATTTGCAGATGACATAATCTTGTAAATAGAAAATTCTAAGGAATCCACACAAAAAAAACTACTAGTTCTAACAAGCAAGTTAACCAAGGTTGCAGGATACAAGATCAACATTCAAAAATCAGGACAGTTATGGTGGCTCATGCCTGTAATCCTAGCACTTGAGCCCAGGAGTTTGAGACCAGCCTGGGCAACATGGCGAAACCTAGTCTCTCAGAAAAATTTTAAAATTAGCCAGGCGTGGTGACATATGCCTATGGTCCCAGCTACTCAGGAGGCTGAGGTGGGAGGTTTGCTTGAGCCTGGGAAGCAGAGGTTGCAGTGAGCAAAAATCGCACTACTGCACTCCAGCCTGGATGACGCAGCCAGATACTGTGTCAAAAAAAAAAAAAAATTCAAAAATCAACTGTATTTCTATATATTTGCAATAAATAATCTGAAAATTATAACTTAAAAAATTCCATTTAGCATGCAAAATAATGAAATACTTGGGAATAAATTTAACAAACAAAGTACATACAAGATTTGCATTGAAAACTATAACCCATCAATGAAAGAAATTAAGGAAGACCTAAATAAGCGGAAAAAATCCCATGTTCATAGATTAGAAGACTTCACGTTGTTAAGATGGCAATATTCCCAAATTAATCTACAGATTCAGTGCAGTAGACATCAAAATCCCAACTACCTTTTCCACAAAAATGGACAAAACTGATGCTAAAATTCATATGGAAATACAAGGGATAGCCAGAACAGCCAAAACAATGTTGAAAAATAAGACCACAGTTAGAGGACTCACACTTACCAATTTCAAAGCTTACCACAAACCTACAGTAATCAAGACAATGTGGTACCAGCATAAGGATAAACACGTAGATCAACGGAATGGAACTGAGAGTCCAGAAATAAACTCATACATCTATATCCAGTTGGTTGCAACAAGGGTGCCAAGACAATTCAATGGAGGAAAGGAAAGTCCTTTCAACATATAATGCTGGGACAACTGGACATCTACCTGCAAGTGAGTGAATCCAGACAGACCCCTGTCTCACCTCATATAAAAAATTTAATTTGAAATGGATCAAAGATATGAATGTAAGAGCTAACATAAAATTCCTAGAAGAAAAGATAAGACGTAAATTTCCATGATTTTGATTTAGGCAATGATTTCTTACATATGATACCAAAAACAACCAAAAATTTTTTTATAAATTGGACTTCAAAATTCAAAACTTATGGCCAGGCGCGGTGGCTCACGCCTGTAATCCCAGGACTTTGGGAGGCCAAGGCGGGCAGATCACGAGGTCAGGAGTTAAAGACCAGCCTGGCCAACATGGTGAAACTCCATCTCTACTAAAAACACAAAAATTAGCCGAGCATGGTGGCCCATGCCTGTCATCCCATCTACTTGGGAGGATGAGGCAGGAGAATCACTTGAGCCTGTGAGGCAGAGGTTGCAGTAAGCCTAGATCGCGCCATTGCACTCCAGCCTGGGCGACAAGAGCGAGACTCTGCCTCAAAAAAAAATAAATAAATAAAAACTTTTGTGCTTTAAAATGCGTCAGAAAAGTGGAAATACAGCCTAAACAACAGGAGAAATTTGCAAATTATATGCCTGATAAAGGTTTAGTCTATGGAATGCATAAAGTACTCTCACAATTCAAAGACAAATAACACAATGTAAATGAGCAAAGTACTTGAACAGACATTTCACAAGAGAAGATACACAAATGGCCAATAGCACATGAAAAGGTGTTCAACATCATTAGTCATTACGGAAATGCAATTCAAAACCCCTATGAGGTACCATTTCACACCCTTTAGGATAGCTATAATTTTTTTTTACAAAGGAAAACAAGTGTTAGTAAGGATGCAGAGACATTGGTACCCTTATGCACTGCCTTTAGGAATGTAAAATGGTGCAGTCACTGTGAAAAACCATGTGGCAGTTCTCAAAAAGTTAAACATAGAATTACATATGATCCAGCAATTCTACTCCTAGTTACATATCCACAAAAACCAAAAACACATATTCAAATAAAAACTTGTTTATGAATGTTCATAGCCAGCATTATTTATAATAGCCAAAAAGCACAAACAACACAATATCCAGCAACTGATGAAGGGATAAACAAAATGTGATATACAATAGAATATTTTTGTGTGATACTACAGTGGAATATTATTCAGCCATACAAAGGAATGAAGTACTGATACATGCTACCACATGGATGAACCTTGGAAACATGCTAAGTGAATGAAGCCAGACATAAAAGACCACATATTATGTGATTCCATTTATGTGAAATGTTCAGAATAAGCAAATCCATACAAACAGAAAGAATGGTGATTGCCAGAGTCTGGGGGGATGGGGAAATGTAACTGCTAACATGTAAGGGGTTTCTTGGAGTAATGAAAATGTTCTGGACTGAAATAGTGGTAATGATGAATATACTAAAAGACCACTGAATTGTACATTTGAAAATGGTAAATTTTATATGTAAATTATATCTCAATTTTTTTTAGGATACAAGTTAGGGGATAGGGCATGAAGCAGCTGCATATGTGAAAACACTGTACAAAGTGAGAGAAAGCCAAAGATCCAGCTCCGTCTTTGCCATCACTTAGTCAAGTCACTCCACATCTTGGGGCCACAGTTTTCTTATCTCTAACTGAAGAAATAGGCCAAATGACTTCTGAAGTCCCTTCTGAAGTTTTAGATTGTGCTTCTAATTTTGACTATTAATTACCAAGTACAAAAAACATACAAGTCTAATAAATGCAAAAAGCTAGAGCACCCTAAGATAAGAATGAAGAAAGTGGGAATTAGACTTGGAAGGCCAGAGAAGAAAGGGCAAATAAATCATGCCAAGGTTAGAACAGCGTAAGAAGGATATGAGAGACAAACTTTTAATAATGAGAAGTATACTAGGTGAGGCAAAGGAAGCTAGGCTAAGGATATTTGATCAGATAAGCAATAATAAACTACAGTAACTTTTTTTTTTTTTTTTTGAAACAGAGTCTCGCTCTGTCACCAGGCTGGAGTGCAATGGCACAGTCTCGGCTGACTCCAACCTCTGATTCCCTGGTTCAAGCGATTCTCCTGCCTCAGCCTCCCGAGTAGCTGGGATTACAGGCATGTGCCACCACGCCCAGCTAATTTTTGTATTTTTAGTAGAGACGGGGTTTCTCCATGTTGGCCAGGATGGTCTCGATCTCATGACCGCATGGTCTGCCTGCCTCAGCCTCTCAAAGTGCTGAGATTACAGAAGTGAGCCACCATGCCTGGCCTACAGTAACTCTTAAGGAGAGAGATTACCTACTCGATGGAAGCTCTATTTGAAGAAGATGAGTATGGCAAGATAAACTGGAATGAATATGGCAAAAGGAAAAAGACTAGAGGGAAGAAGATCAACTAAGCAGTTATAAGCAGTTAGTGCGTAGATCTTGGGGGGGGGGGGGTGTGTGTGTGTGTGTGTGTGTGTGTGTGTTTTGAGACAGGATGTTGCTCTGTCTCCCAGGCTGGAGTGCAAATGGCGTGATCTTGGCTCTCTGCAACCTCTGCCTCTCAGGCTCAAGCAATTCTTGTGCCTCAGACTCCCGAGTAGCTGGCTACAGGCATGCGCACCACAGCACCGGGCTAACTTTTTTTGTATTTTTGTGTAGAAACAGCGTTTCGCCATGTTGGTCATGCTGGTCTCGAATTCCTGAGCTCAGGTGATCAGCCTGCCTCATCCTCCCAAAGTGCTTGGATTACAGGTGCAAGCCACTTCACCTGGCCAGATCTTGATTTATTTATTTATGCTTTTTCTTTTTTTGATACAGGGTCTCACTTTGTCAACCAGGATAGAGTACAGTGGCATGAACATGGCTCACAGCTGCCTCAACCTCTCAAGCTCCAGCGATCCTCCCTCAGCCTCCTGAGTAGCTGGGACCACAAGGATGCGCCACCACCCCTGGCTAGTTCTGTTCATTTTTTGTAGGGACAAGGCCTCACTATGTTGTCCATGACTCAAGCAATCCTTCTGCCTCAGCCTTCCAAAGTGCTGGGAGTACAGGCGTTTGAGTCACCGTGCCTGGCCAGATCTTGGTTTCTAATGCCATTATCCAATAAAAGGAATGGGGACTCCTTGGAGAAATGACTGATTCTAGGAGCCGGGCAGGAAATATGCAAGATGAGCCTGGAGCATTTTGTAGTACCACAAAGTAGGAAAGTATTAAAATACACACACACACACACACACACACACACACACACACACAATGTCAAAAGAACCAGAGGCCAACCAAAAGAGCACCTGATGGCCAAAGCTGGAACAATTTGAGCAACAAAATAAATGAAGTAATACTGGATTAAAACCCAAAGTGTAAAATAAATATCCATATCAGTATGACTCCACACTGATATAAATGATTGAACAGATGAGGAAAAATAAAGTCTCTGATGCAGAATTACAAATAATTTGTGTAGATATTTTGCCCTCAAGGAGGTAGAGTACAACTCTCCACTCCTTAGGTGTGGGCTATGCATAGTGACTTTCATCTAAAGAGTACAGTATGGAAAAGGGGGGAAAGTATCTTTACAGCAGAGAAACCTGATAAACTACCTTAAGACCAAGGTCAACATCAGTAGTGATAAGTCATATTGATAGGATGTACCCTTGATAGGAAGTAATGAGAATGATACTTTACCTCTCTGGGTCTTCCTCCCAAAAACACATTATCAAGTCTAATAATGACAAAAACATCACACAAATCCCAACTGAGGCAATCTTACAAATATCTGACCAACAACCCTCAAAACTGTCAAGATCATCAAAAACAAAGCAAGTCTGAGAAACAATCACAACCAAGAAAACTGTAAGGAGAAATGAGTACTAGACATAATGTGGTATCCTGGATGGTATTCAGGAACAGGAAAAAGACATTAGGAAAAAAACCTGAGGAAATCTGAATAAAATATGAACTTTAGTTAACAATAATGTATCAATATCAGTTTACTAATGTTAAAAATATACTATACTAATATATTAATAATAGAGGAAACTGCAGTGTGGGGTATATAGGGACTCTGTACTATCTTCACAATAAATCTGTAAATCTAAAACCGTGTGTGTGGTTTTTTTAGACTAGGTCTTGCTTTGCCCAACATGACATACTGAGGACACATCACCTCTGTATTCTTCCCAAAAATCTACTATCTAATCGTGGAAAAAAATCAGACAAACCCCGACTGGCATTTTGTAAAACACCTGGCCGATACTCTATGAACGCATCAATGCTATGAAATGCAAGGAGATACTATCACAGATTGGAGGAGACTAAGGAAGACATAACCACTAAATGCAATGTGATAGCCTAGATTGAATCCTGGTCATCCTAGGTGACAATAAATTATGACTTGTGAAAATCTGAATAGGATGAAAGTTTACCACTACCCTAACCACAATAGAAGAGAGTTCCAAATCCAATCACAGTGCTGCACATCAGTTTTGAAGTCAGCTAAACATTGAGTCTTAGCACCCTCAGTTACTAGCTTCATGACCTTAGATAAGTTACCTCTCCCAGTCTGACTTTATGATTCATAAAAGGAAAATACCACCAGCTAAGGTGTGTTATTGCTGTAAGAATATTAAGCAAAGTGCAGTAAATCTTACTTATTTCTCTCTTCCTATCTTTTCTGCTTTTTGAGCAGAACAAGACAGACTCAAAGACAAATGTTGCCATCTATTTATCATCAAAATATAGTGAACACGGCAAATATGTTTGATCCAAAATGCTTTTCTGTTGCTGCCCTTTATTGATTCAAGCTCAAATGTTAAAGAAAAAAATACATAAAGACAAAACTTTTTCAAAAAATTAAATATACAAACTAAATATACCAAATATATTCAACTCAAATATATTCACAATACTAACAGTATTGGGCTCTCAACATTTAAATTGTCAACTGAGGTATTTAAAAATCTAACAAAATGTCTATACGTGTCTTTGTAAAACAAGAAAATCCTGGAAAAAAGCTTTAGTTCTTCGGTCACTAACTACTCATATTTCTTTGTTCTACTTGTAAACCCTTGACCTCCAGAAAGCTACCCCAAAAATAAAACAACGAATAATATTAATGACAAATATCAAGGCCATACTATCACAGAGCAAGTTTGCTTCTAAGTGATTTGCAGAGCATATGGTCTTTTAATATTCTACTTGATTTTCACTACCAAAAGAAGAGATGAAGAGAATTAGAGTTGACATGGAAGAGAAAATGTACTGAGAGCCTGACAAAACAAGAATATCTAGTCTAAAACTTAACAGAGGAGAAAGATCTTAGACTGAAAATATATAACTAGTTTGGCCTGTTTTTCATCTCCACATTAACAATAACATGAATTATTTGGGAAAAAAAAGATATCTGCTTTTTTTTTTTAAAGGAGGTAGGAGAGAAGCATAAAAAAAAAAAAGGAGAAAAAGCAGCAGCTTTGGCTCCTGGAAGAAAAGATAAAAATATAGAGGCCAGGCATGATGCTCATGCCTGTAATCCCAGCACTTTGGGAGGCCAAGGAGAGTGGATCACCTGAGGTCAAGAGTTCGAGATCAGCCTGGCCAACATGGCGAAACTCCATCTCTACTAAAAATACAAAAATTAGCCAGGTGTGGTGGCACCCACTTGTAATCCCTGCTACTCAGGAGGCTGAGGCAGAAGAATCACTTGAATTCGGGAGGCGGAGGCTGCAGTGAGCTGAGATAGTGCCACTGCACTCCAGCCTGGGCAACAGAGCAAGACTCCATTTCAAAAAAAACAAAAAACAAAACAAAACACTACAAGTTTCTAGTTGAACATTAAATCCAAGAAAATGATTCACATGAAGCAACTTATAATAACCAAACAATTGCAATAAATGCTTAAAATATAGACTAGGCATATTACAACCTCTTGGTTCATCTCTTAAGATTACTTACTATGCAGAAGTAGATTTACTGTTAAAATAAGCTTAAGCTCAGGGCCCTCATTTGTACTGGCCCCTGCCAAGGCCACCAAGCTAAAAGGAAGACTGAATTATCTTTGTGCTGTCTCTATTGAAAATATTACAAAGTCATTGGTCGGGCGCGGTGGCTCACGCCTGTAATCCTAGCACTTTGGGAGGCCGAGGCGAGTGGATCATGAGGTCAGGAGATCGAGACCATCCTGGCTAACACAGTGAAACCCTGTCTCTACCAACAATACAAAAAAAAAAAATCAGCCAGACGTGGTGGCGGGCGCCTGTAATCCCAGCTACTCGGGAGGCTGAGGCAGGAGAACTGCTTGAACCCGGGAGGCGGAGGTTGCAGTAAGCCGAGATCGCACCACTGCACTCCAGCCTGGGCAACAGAGCGAGACTTTGTCTCAAAAAAAAAAAAAAAATTACAAAGTCATAATATAAAACTCTTTAGAGGAGTATGAAGCCAAAAATACAGAAAAAAATGAACTATGACACCATATCAGTTAATTAAAATGTTAAGCTATTTTTCTAAATTTTGTGATATTTGTGCTATTTTTCAGCCTTTTTTTTTTTTTTTTTTAATGACAGAGTCTTACTCTGTTGCCAAGGCTAGAACCACCTTAGCTTCCCAAGCTCAAGTGACCCTCCCACCTCAGCCTCCCGAGTAGCTGGGACCACAGGTACATGCCACCACGTCCCATTAATTTTTAAATTTTTTGTAGAGGTGTGGTATCATATGTTGCCCTGGCTAGTATGAAACTCCTGGGCTCAAGCTATCCTCCTACGTCAGCCTCCCAAAGTGCTGGGATTACAAGCATGAGCCACCATGCTCAGCCTATTTTTCAGCTTTTTAAAATATGTAACTTGTGGTTTTCTCATTCTAGATAGGTATTTGTTTTCATCCCTAGTTTTGTATTCATAATTTTGTATTTTTTCCTAAAAAGTCTCTGTTGATAAGTATTCTGAATACTGATGGAATAATTTAGTCTGCCTCATACTTTCAGTATCATGTATTTAAGATATGTTTAAAAATCTCCCTTCCCATCATGGATCTTGGGTATTATTTATCACAAGGTACAATATACCACAGGATTTTTATTGAGAACTTTTATTTCTTAAAAGCATATTCAGCCAGAGAAAAATTACAGGTAAAAAAGGTGATGAAATGGGCCAGGTGCGGTGGCTCACGCCTGTAATCTCAGCACTTTGGGAGGCTGAGGCGGGCGGATCACCTGAGGTCAGGAGTTCGAGACCAGCCTGGCCAACAAGGTGAAACCCCGTCTCTACTAAAAATACAAAAATTAGCCAGGCATGGTGGTGTGTGCCTATAATCCCAGCTACTAGGGGGTCTGAGGCTGAAGGATCACTTAAACCTGGGAGGCGGAGGTTGCAGTGAGTCAAGATCGTGCCACTGCACTCCAGCCCAGGCAACAGAGAGAGACTCAGTCTCAAATTAAAAAAAAAACACACACACACACAGTTCAGGGCCAGATGTAGTGGTTCATGCCTGTAATCCCAGCACTTTGGGAGGCTGAGGAAGGACAATGTCTAGAGCCCAAGAGTTCAAGACCAGCCTGGGCAATATGACAAGACCCCGTTTCTATAAAAAAAAAAATTTTTTTTTTTTTAATTAGCTGGTGTGGTGGTGTGTGTCTGTAATTCCAACTACTCAGAAGGCTGCGGCGGTAGGATCACTTGAGCCCAGGAGTTCAAGGCTGCAGTGAGTTATGTTGGTGCCACTGCACTCCAGCCTGGGCAACAGAGTAAGACTCTGTTTCTTTAAAAAAAAAAAAAAAAAAAAAGGAAGCAACATATTGTATAATTCTATTTATATGAAATGTCTAGAATAGGTAAATCTAGAGAGACATAAAGTAGTTAGTGCTTACCTAGGACTGGGGTTGCAGGGTGGGGAATGGGGAATGACTGCTAATGAATATGAAGTTTCTTTTCAGGGGGATGAAAATGTTCAAAAATTAGATTGAGATGATGGCTGCACAACCCCATAAACACACTAAAAAACATTAAATCGTATACTTTAAATGGTTAAATCATATGATATGTTAATTATATCTCAATAAAGTCTTTAAAAAAAAAAAAAAAAAAAAAAAAGAAGGCCCAGTGCCAGGCGCGGTGGCTCACGCCTGTAATCCCAGCACTTTGGGAGGCCAAGGCGGGCAGATCATCTGAGGTCAGGAGTTCGAGACTAGCCGCCTGACCAACATGGATAAACCCCGTCTCTACTAAAAATACAAAATTAGCCAGGCGTGGTGGCGCATGCCTCTAATCCCAGCTACTCGGCGGGCTGAGGCAGGAGAATCGCTTGAACCCGGGAGGCAGAGATTGCGGTGAGCCAAGATCGCGCCATTGCACTCCAGCCCCGGCAACAAGAGTGAAACTCCGTCTCAAAAAAAATAGTAAAAATTGGCCGGGCGCAGTGGCTCACGCCTGTAATCCCAGCACTTTGGGAGGCCGAGGCGGGCGGATCACAAGGTCAGGAGATCGAGACCATCCTGGCTAACACGGTGAAACCCCGTCTCTACTAAAAAAAAAATACAAAAAATTAGCCGGGCACGGTGGCAGGCACCCGTAGTTCCAGCTACTTGGGAGGCTGAGGCAGGAGAATGGCGTGAACCCGGGAGGCAGAGCTTGCAGTGAGCTGAGACAGCGCCACTGCACTCCAGCCTGGGCGACAGAGCAAGACTCTGTCTCAAAAAAAAAAAAATAGTAAAAATTAAAATAAAAAAAGAAGGCCAAGGTCACAGCATGTATAAGTCAAGTACCAGTGAGATTATAAAGGAACATCATTTAAAATAATAATTAGTTCCCATTCATTAAGAGCACATTATGTGACAGGTACTATGTTAAGCATATTACATATTATTTCTGATCATTTCGGCAGTTCTAAAAGGGAGGTATATCATGTTAAATGTTATACAAATTTAACAGATGAAGAAACTGAGAAGTAGGGAGAATGTGTAACTTGCATAAAGACAGACACACAGCAGTCAGTACCAGAGCCAGGATTCTAAACCACATTTATGATTCCAAAGATCTTTGACTGTATTGCACTGTTCCTTAGAAACAAACCCAAGGACCTTGAATCAGTAACCTAGTTCTTCTATAATTAATGTTATATGTTACAAAGGACACCCCCTTTAACATTTAAACTCAGCCTGCTCTAGGCACCAGGTGTTCTATCTTGATCACACCAACCTACCCTTATCACCACTTTCCTCAGCCTAACTTTGGACCTGATTAAGTACTAGATCTCCTCAAACAAAACTCTCAGAAATAAAACTGCAACAAACTAAACTGTAGTTTTCTCAGGTATCAAATGGCATTAAGCTTAAAAGAACCGGAAGGGAATATTTACTGAGAGCTATTTTGTTCCAAGTTGTGGAGCTATAATCAGAGATTATATGATCTGTGGTAAATGGTAAAAGGAAGGCCTCCCTACCTCTAACCCAACACCCCTGTACTGTTTGTGTTTCTCTTCTGTGAATGGTAATTAGATATTCCGTGGGTAACTGTGGTCTCCCCTAAGGGTTATATAGACCTGGTGTTGATCACATGAAAGAAGTGGGGCCTGTATCAGATATAACCACAGGCTGGTAAGATAAAGAATTTTTTTTTTCCCTCTGGACCTTCTCCTCTGTATTTAGAGAAATCTGGATATGCTGGAGGCACTCCCAAGTAGCAGAAATAAAGATGGCTTCTGCCACTAGAAAACATATGTGTTGTGGGTCAAGTAAGGGAGGTATCCCAATAGAATACCACAAATTACAGAGGTGTGTGTTTTATCTCGTGAGCCAGATATTACAGAAGCATAATAGTAACTCTGTACTTATTTCCCTTTTTCATCTCTGAGCCTTTAGTAACATACCAGATGTTACAGCCTGGTCTCAGCTGTGTTCTGCAGGAGTATTAAGAGAAGACTCTCCTCTGGGGCAGAAAATTAAAAGAAAGCAGCACCTCTGAGGTCAGCAAGGGATTCCCCAGGGGAAAGTGAATCTTCAGGAACAAAAGTCCTTGCTGTGAGCTCCAATTACTCCACCCCATGTGCAGAATCTCCTTCTAAAGCCAGTTCTGTGGGACCCTGGCTTTTATTTATTGAGATAGAAAGCAGTTTTTCCCTATCAAAAACAAAACCTTACTGTAAATCCAGGTCTGACTCCAAATCCCATATCCTTACTGGCTGTTACATCATACTGCCTCCCAAATATACTATTAATAGAAAATTGTTCAGCCAGAGAATCATTTAAGAGGAGAAGGAGAAAGGGAGAGATGAGAGGAAAGAAGGGGGAGGGAGGGATTTCATCAAAGCAATAAAAACTCCTTGTAGATTGGATGTAAAACACAGAAATATTTAAATTAATTAGCATACACAGAGAGTAGTATCTGATACATAGCTAGCATTCAGTATGTGTTAATTCCCTTCCTTAGGAACAAAGACCATAGAGCCAAGTAGAAAAATGCGGTCTTATGTTTTGGCTTTTGAGGAAGTCCAAATATAATGATATTAGAACAGATACCCAACACGAACAACAAAAAACTCCATGCTTCCTTACTGAAAATTTTTTTTCACAGGTAAAAAGAACCCAGAATTGGGGTGAATTCATCAGTTCTCTGTTTCAATCAAAAAGAGGAACACAATATGCGCTTCTCCAAAATGTATAAAAGCAAAAATATATGTAAATTCACGAATTCATTAAACTGCAAAATCACTTGCTATTTTATTTACTTTAAGACAATAAGGTATATCTTTCTGTAACTGCTAAAAGCTACACTTCAGATTGCAGGTCACTTGTGTACAAGTTCCCCTTTCAAAAACACCCTCCCAACTCAAACCCCTTCCTGTTTTTCAACCTTGTATGTTTACTTTCACATCTGCTGCAAAAGATAAAAGCAACAATGGAGACATCAACCACATGACTGTGTTCTACCCAACCGGAAATAAAGCTCTGAAGCCAGACTTGCTGTGAAATGGGTCTTTAGAATACTCACACTCAGGCATAAAAATGTTACAGTATAAGTCTGGATCAAATCCAAAGATCAACACTAGACAAAACCAGGTGCAGCTATATTACACATGTTTATATATAATAAGCATTAGACAGACATCCAATTTAAGTAGAAAAATGCATAAGTCAAGAGGTAAAAATTATTCTCATTGCAAGATTATTCTCTCCCATCTCCATGAGGTCAGATTTTATCAAAGGGAAAAGGGAACTAACATTTATTGAGTACCTCTGACAGGCACACTACAAGGTTTGTTTTTATTAGTTATTCTATAGATTATCTGCAATGTGAGTATTATGCTCATTCTACAGAAGAAACTGAGGTGTGGAAAAGTACTTTCACAAGATCACAATTAGTAAGAAATCATTGGCTTTGACAGAAGATCCAAATCTCTCCTTCCCCACCCACTCATGGACATAAGTAAAGGTATAGTCGTAAAAAATACTGGCTTTGAAGCGAATTTTCGCTTGCTAGTTGTGTAACTTTGGACAAGTTACTTAACTTTTGGCCTGGTTAATACCTACTCCAAAGAGCTGTGGTGAAGATTAAATGCAAAAATAATAATGGGTAACATTTATCTGGTGCTGGGCACTGTTCTAATCCATTTAATCATCAAAATAACCTTAAAAGATATGTATTTGTATCATACCTACATTACAGAATGATTAGAAGTGAGGTGATATGGTTTGGCTCTGTAGCCCCACCCAGATCTCATCTTGAATTGTAATTTTTGTATTTTTTTTTTTTTTTAGTAGAGATGGGATTTCACCATGTTTGGCCAGGCTGGCCTCGAACTTCTGACTTCAGGTGATCCACCTGCCTCGGCCTCCCAAAGTGCTGGGATTACAGGTGTGAGCCACTGCATCTGGCCTATAATTTTTTTTTGAGACAAGGGTCTCTCTATGTTGCCCAGGCTAGTCTCAAACTCCTGGGCTCAAACAATCCTCCCACATCGGCCTCCCAAAATGCTGGGATTACAGGCATGAGCCCCATCTTTTATATTTTTGTGATCACATATATAAACAGAGTCCTGCTCACTTAACATGTACTAAATGAAGGATCGTGCCATTCCTCTGCTCAAAATCCTCCCAAGAACTCCCGTCTCCAAATAAAATGCGAAGTCATTAACACAGGCAATAAGGCACTACAATGATTTGCTCCTTCTCCTACCTATGACCTCTCTGAATTAAACTCCTGCTACTTTTCCCTAGATCATTTTGACCCAACATGCTGGATCAATGTTTCTCATACACACCAAACCCGCTTAACTTTTGTGCATTTTGTTCCTTCTGCCTGGGATGCTCTTCCCCAGATACCTGCACAGCTCACTGTCTTACTCCATTTAGGACTCTGCTCCAATGTCACCTTATCAGAAGTATCACCCTTATCTAAAATGTACACCCCACCTGCCTCACTGTCTCCCATTCTACTTTCCCTGATCCTCACTAAAATCTGATGTCTTATGTTCTATCCCTGATTTATACATTTATTATTTATCCCCTACCACTAAAATGTAAGCTCCAGGCTGGGTGTGGTGGCTCATGACTATAATCCCAACACTTTAGGAGGCCAAGGCAAGAGACTACTTGAGCCCAGGAGTTCAAGACCAAAATGGGCAACATATGGAGACCCCATCCCTACAAAAAATTTCATTTAAAAATTAGCCAGAATGGCCAGGCGCGGTGGCTCACGCCTGTAATCCCAGCATTTTGAGAGGCCGAGGTGGGCGGATCACAAGGTCAGGAGTTCGGGACCAGCCTGGCCAATATGGTGAAACCCTGCCTCTACTAAAAATAAAAAATTAGCCGGGCATGGTGGTGGGTGCTTGTAGTCCCAGCTACTCAGGAGGCTGAGGCGGGGGAAAAGCTTGAACCTGGGAGACGGAGGTTGCAGTGAGCCGAGATCGCGCTACTGCACTCCAGCCTGGGTGACAGAGCGAGACTCCATCTCAAAAAAAAAAAAAAAAAAAGTTAGCCAGGCATAGTGGTGTGTGCCTGTAGTCTCAGCTCCTCAGGAGGCTGAGGTGGGAGGACTGCTTGAGCCCAGGAGGTTGAGGCTGCAGTGAGCTGTGACCACACCACTGCACTCCAGCCTGGGTGACAGTGCAAGACCCTGTCCCAGAAAAAGAAATAAGCTGCACAAGAACAGATACCTCTATTTTATTCACTGCTATGTCCCAATGTACTTATGATAGTGCCTTGTAAATAGTGAACAATCAATAAGTATTTATTACATGAATAAGTGGTAGATGTTTTAGTTATCTATTACTTTACAATAAATTACCCTCCAAAACATGGTGGCTTAAAACAGCAAACATTTATTATTGCACAGTTTCTGTGGATGAAGAATCCAGGCATGACTTAGCTAGGTGACTCTGGCTTGGGGTCTTTTTTATTTTTTTTTTGAGATGTAGTCTCGCTCTGTCACCCAGAGCTGGAGTGCAGTGGCACGATCTCAGCTCACTACAACCGCCACCTCTCAGGATCAAGCGATTATCCTGCCTCAACCTCCCAAGTAGCTGGGACTACAGGTGCACACCACCACACCCAGGTAATTCTTCTATTTTTAGTAGAGACGGGGTTTCGCCATGTTGGCAAGGCAGGTCTCGAGTTCCTGACCTCAGGTGATCCACCCACCTTGGCCTCCCAAAGTGTTGGGATTACAGGCATGAGCCACGCACCCGGCCAGGGGCTTTCATGAAGTTGTAGTAAAGCTGTCTACTGCATTTGCATTCACCTCTAGGCTCAACTCTGCCTGGAGAATCTGCTTCCAAGATCACTCACACCGAAGATCTGCATCCAAGTTTACTGACAGACCTCGTTTTTAACCACATGGACATCACTACAGACTGCCTGAGTGTTCTCAGGATATGGTAGCTAGTGGTCCCAGGGAGAGGGAGAAAGCCAGAATCCCAAGAGAGAAGCCACAGTATTTTATAACCTAATCTTAGAAGTGACATCCCATCACTTTTGCTGTATTCTATTCAATAGCCCCCACTCAAGGGGAGGAAATTACACTAAGGGTATGCATACCAGGAGGGAGGGATAATTGGGGGCCATAATAAAGGCTGCCTACCACAGTACGCATGATAAAAATTTAAAAACATAAAACAAAAAAACTTGCCCTTTAGTTATATATTCTTTGGTATATTTATTTAAATATGATTCTATGATCATTATGCAATTATTCATCCCAATGCTAGTCTTTTCCATCTTACAAAATACCAAAGAGAATACATTAAATATTGAACATATCTTGTTAACCAGTGTCCATTAATGGTCATATTAGAGATAATACAACTAGCAAGGATAAGTCAACAAAAATAGCATCTGGAGAAAAAAAGACTTACTGGGTAAATCTTGCTAAGTAGATGACACTGACCTTTACTATTTAATCATTATAGGCATCATCTTTAGGAGACGGAATGGCACTTAATAAAAGATCAGCTTTTTATATTACAATTAAAGAAATAATAAAAATTCAAAGGTTACTTAGTAAGCTAGAGGATATATCAATCTACCGTTAAGAAATAAAAAGGTTGCCAAGCGCAGTGGCTCACACCTCTAATCCCAGCACTTTGGGAGGCCGAGGCGGGTAGATTACCTGAGGTCAGGAGTTCGAGACCAGCCTGACCAACATAGTGAAACCCTGTCTCTACTAAAATACAAAAATTAGCCAGGTGTGGTGGCACACGCCTGTAATCCCAGCTACTTGGGAGGCTGAGGCAGGAGAATCGCTTGAATCCGGGAGCTGAGATCCCATCACTGCACTCCAGCCTGGGTGACAGAGTGAGACTCCATCTCAAAAAAAAAAAAAAAAAAAGAAAAGAAAAGAAAGGAAAGAAGGAAGAAAAAGGTTTAAGGCTAATTACACATACCTGATTATCAGAATCAAACAGTGCATCACGGCTGAGTGTGTTGGCTCACACCTATAATCCCAACACTTTGGGAGGCCAAGTCAGGAGGATCTCTTGAGACCAGGCTGGGCAATATCATAAGATCATCTCAGCCTGGGCACAATGGCTCACACCTGTAATTCCAGCACTTTGGGAGGCCGAGGCAGGCGGATCATGAGGTCAGGAGTTTGAGACCAGCCTGGCCAATATGGTGAAACCCCGACTCTACTAAAAAATACAAAAATTAGCCGGGCATGGTAGCACACACCTATAGTCCCAGGTACTTGGGAGGCTGAGGCAGAAGAATTGCTTGAACCCGGGAGGCAGAGGTTGCAGTGAGCCGAGATCGCGCCACTGCACTACAGCCTGAGCAACAGAGTGAGACTCAATCTCGAAAAAAAAAAAAAAAAAATCCTGTCTCTAAGAAAAAATTTTAAAACTGGCGGGGCACGGTGGCATGCACCTGTAGTCCCAGCTACTCAGGAGGCTCAGGTGGGAGGACTGCTTGTGCCCGGGAGTTCAAGGTTAGAGTAAGCCATGATTGCCCCACTGCACTCCAGCCTGGGCAACAGAATGAGACAGAGGATAAAAAGATAACAATAAATCTTCAGAGAAGAAGATATCTTTAAAACCTCTTTCCTCTACCAGGCTTCTTATTCTTGGTCTCCTTTCCCTTAAGTAGCTCTCCTTTACTTTATTTACTTGGCAACAACTATTTCCAACCTAACACAATTATCTCAAGACTATCTAAATATAAAATATAATTTTATAGGCCAGGTGCGGTGGTTCATGCCTGTGATCTGAGCACTTTGGGAGGCCAAGGCGGGCGGACCAGGAGGTCAGGAGTTCGAAACCAGTCTAACCAACACGGTGAAACCCCGTGTCTACTAAAAATACAAAAATTAGCCAGGCGTGGTGGCACGTGCCTGTAATGCCAGCTACTTGGGAGGCTGAGGCAGGAGAATCGCTTCAACCTGGGAGGCAGAGGTTGCAGTGAGCCAAGATCATGCCATTGCACTCCAGCCTGGGTGACAGAGAGAGACTCCGTCTCAAAAAAAAAAAACAAAAAAAAAGTGTATATATATATATATATATATATAAAATTTCATAAATAAAATACTATTTACATTTTCACTGGAAAAACCACAAAGTATACTATGTGGATTTTCTTGCCTCCAAAAGCAATTGTGTTATTTCAAGTGTTGAGGATGCCAGAAAGCTTGAAGATTTAAAAATAACCTCACAAAGAGCTCATTTTCAACACCAGATGGAAAGAAATTACTCTAAAGACACATGTGTAGGAAGACAAATATACAATATCATATGATACCATGCAAAAGGTTTATATAATTACGTAATACCATCAAGACTGGAAAGACTGCAGGTAGTAAGCTGGCAACAGTGTCGATCCTCTGAATCATTAAAAAAAAGAGAAAAGGGCAAGAAACAGCAAGTGGGTGGTAGCAAAAAAAATTTTTTAAAGCCTTTACTTTAAGCTGCCTTCCATGTGTCCCTATCGCATGCTGAAATGGTAGGCAGGTAAAATTTGAGGGCTTAAATCCTTGGCACTCCTGAGAGTCCTGCCTGTGTCCATATGGCCAAAAACT
This sequence comes from Homo sapiens, assembly GCF_000001405.40. Lineage (NCBI taxonomy): Eukaryota > Metazoa > Chordata > Mammalia > Primates > Hominidae > Homo > Homo sapiens. The sequence goes on along the minus strand of NC_000001.11, from coordinate 28,921,431 downwards.
GGGGAGGGAAGGGGGAATGGGATGAATTTCAACAATCTGTATGAAATGTATTATTAAGGTGAAACACTCTTCACTTGAATACATATAGAACTTCTAATTGGTAAATTAAAATATGTGCTTGGCATCTAAGTTAAAGCAGCATTTCTTTATAAGATAGGTTTAAAGATATGCCATTAAGATCCCATTGTGTTAAAATGATTTTAATAGGATTACTTAAGAGTATATGTAAGTACTAATAGCTGTATATCAATCACAACTAAACCTTGGCCTAATACTATGTATTCATAAATCACCAAAAATATACATTTCTATTACACGTATGGGTTACAGGCTTAAATTTAACCAATTCAAAACAACTCTATTAGCTAGATGTGATGGCACACACCTGTAGTCCCAGCTATTTAGGTGGCTGAGACAGGAGGATCACTTGAGCCCAGGGGTTCAACACCAACCTCAGCAACATAGAGAGACTCCCCATATAAATTTTTAAAAATTAAAATAGGCTGGGCGCCATGGCTCACACCTGTAATCCCAGCACTTTGGGAGGCCAAGGCAGGCAGATTTCTTGAGCCTAGGAGTTCAAGACCAGCCTGGTCAAGATGGCAAAACCCAGTCTCTAAAAATATAAAAAATCAGCCAGGTGTGGAGCCTGTAGCTCCAGCTACTCAGGAGGCTGAGGTGGGAAGATCACCTGAGCCTGGGAAGTTGAGGCTGTAATGAGCCATGATCGCACCACTGCACTCCAGCCTGGGTGACAGGAGTAAGACCCTGTCTCAAAAAATAAATAAATAAATAAATAAAAATAAAATAATCCTGTGCTCTAATATAGTTAAATCACGGGGAGTTTCTCACTTGAAACTTTTCTATCATAACTTTTTTATGATTTAATGCAGATATAACAAATATAATGCATGGGCAAAAGTTTTCTGAGTGAATATTAATGTAGAAAGTACCAAAACCTCAGTCTATGTTGTGTCCGGTGCTATGATTCAAACATATAGAGGGCCTACCAAAAGCTGATCTGCATTAGGGTGACTTTTGTGGAGGATGGAATCAGGTTGCATCTATAAATAACAATTAACTACAAGAGTACAGATTATATCCAATCTTATTTGATTATTTCCACCTATTTCCAAAAAAAGATGGAGGTGTTCCTGTCTCTATTAATAGATATTAGATAACAGAACAGAATTGTAGATATACATTGAATATAGAATTAGGTAATAGAAAATAATCTTAATAGAGCATCTATTGCTTCTTCCAATCTAATCAATATAAACTCACAGTCATATTTCTTATCCATTCCATCAGACAGATAATCTTGCCCCTTCCTACCCACCCTGCCAAAATTTCTTTAACCTTACCCAAGCTCTATTCCACATAGCTTAGAAACAATTTTAATCTCCACAAGCAGAGATCACCCTGAGAGTTGAGGGCCTAGATTAATTGGGTAGAACTGACTCAAAGAGTCATCAGCTACGGAAGAGGGAGAGCAGCAATTCAATAAACAATCACAGTTTAATCCACATAGATTTAACTTGGAGATAAGAGATAACTTGCAAAAAAGAGAACTGCTCTTAATTGCAATAATAAAATAATAAAAATAATAAAACAATAAATAATTTAAAAGCATGACGCCAGAATGTCTCTGGAATTTCTATATAGAAAGGACTTTTGGGCTGGATGCTGTGGCTCATGCCTGTAATCTCAGCACTCTCAGAGGCCAAGGCAGATGGATCACTTGAGATCAGGAGTTCAAGACCAGCCTGGCCAACATGGTGAAACCCCGTTTCTACCAAAGAATACAAAAATTAGCCGTGCATGCCTGTAGTCCCAGCTACTCAGGAGGCTGAGGCGGAAGAATCGCTTGAACCCGGGAGGCAGAGGTTGCAGTGAGCCGAGATCATGCCACTGCATTCCAGCCTAGGCAACAGAGCAAGACCCTGCCTCAAAAAAAAAAAAGAAAGAAAGGACTTTTAAGGATAGCAATTTGACTGGAAGGAGAGACAGAATATTTGGATATCAAGCTCCCAGTTCCTACCCAGATTGCATGTTTACTTAGGGTGACTTAGTGGGAAGCTGACGAAGCTAGCGGGTAGGGGATATTAAAGTCTCTTCAAGCTACTCCTTGAATTATACTGGCTGCTGTTCTCCAAAGTTCAAAGAGCTAGCCAATTTATTTTCAAATATTTTAAGTGGATACAATTCAATTTAAATAAAAAATCAGCAAAATAAGTATAAACAGACTTTCATCATAATCGGATTTTCCCAAAACCAATATTTGAAGCAAAGTGTCAGTAAGGTGGGTAGTTCTAAATGAGATCAGCACTCAATATAAAATATCAAAGTTCTCCTTTCTAACACCTCCAAGTTCTGAATACTCCTCACTGCTACAGCATTCTTCTTTATCTTTCTATGTATTCATTAAATAGCAGCAGAGTAAATCAAAATACTAATCTAACCCAGTGTGCACTCCAGAGTAAGTTATATTGCATTTGACTAAACACACCATGAACCCACTCTTAAAAAGGACGCACAGTAAAAGCCACCAGTGACATACCAAGAAACTTAAATGAACAACAAAAAATAACATACATTTGGCATCTGCCTCTCCTCTCCTCTAACTAAATGCTATGATAAATGCAATCAAGCAATTACTTTTTCTTTTTTCTCTTTGAGACAGAATTTCACTCTGTTGCCCAGGCTGGAATGCAGTGGTCTCAAACTCAAAGGCTCAAGTGATCCGTGGGCCTCGGCCTCCCAAAGTGCTGGGATTACAAGCATAAACCACTGCACCTAGCTAGCAATTACTTTTCAATAATTTTGGATCCTTCACATACATAAGGCCCATAACTGATTAATTCAGAGGCCATCTTTGGGGGCTTTATTTAGAGGAAAAAAACAAAGTTATTCATAAGAAAAGTTATTGGAATTATTGTTGTTTAGCTCACAAAATAAAGTGATTCCATGTTCAAGTAATTAAAGAAAAAATTCAAATATAGAGGTAGCAATGAATCCACATCTGAATATGCATTTAACCAAACACAAACTTGATGAAACTCAGAAAAATACAGGCCATTGGCTGGGTGTGGTGGTTCATGCCTGTAATCCCAGCACTTTGGGAGGCGGACGTGGGCAGATCACGAGGTCAAGAGATTGGAGACCATCCTGGCCAACATGGTGAAACCTCGTCTCTACTAAAAATACAAAAATTTAGCTGGGTGTGGTGGTGTGTGCCTGTAGTCCCAGCTACTCAGGAGGCTGAGACAGAAAAGACAAGAAAAACAAAAATACACTGGCAACACTTATGCTGTCCTGCCTCTTAGATAACAAGGAAACAGACTGTGGTCTACATCTATGCTCCTCTTGATTTCAGAACCAAACTCAGCCTCTCATGGCCACTGATATTCTAAAGTTATGAAATCAGATTAGCAATATGAAACTGGATTACTACATTAAAAAAAAGTAAGCAAACTCTATCATTCACACCAACAATTACACACCAGGCATGGTGGCTCATGTCTGTAATACAGACTAAGCTGGGCACAGTGACTCATGTCTGTAATCCCAGCACTTTTGGAAGCAGAGGTGAGACGATCATTTGAGCTCAGGAGTTTGAGACCAGCAGTTTGAGACCAGCCTGGGAAACAATAGCAGGACCCCGTGTTTTAAAAACGAAAAAAAAAAGCTGGGCATGGTGGTGCACGTCTGTAGTCCCAGCTGCTCAGGAGGCTCAGGTGGGAGAATCACTTGAACCCAGGAGTTCAAGGCGGCAGTGAGCCAGGATCATGCCACTGCCCTCCAGCTTGGGCAACAAGGTAAGATCCCTGTCTCTAAAAACATATGTATACAGGGCCAGGCACGGTGGCTCATGCCTGTAATCCCAGCACTTTGGAAGGCCGAGGCGGGTGGATCACGAGGTCAAGAAATCGAGACCATACTGACCAACATGGTGAAACCCCAACTCTACTAAAAATACAAAAGTTAGGTGGGCATGATGGCAAGCGCCTGTAATCCCAGCTACTTGGGAGCCTGAGCCAGGAGAATTGCTTAAATCCAGGAGGTGGAGGTTGCAGTGAGCTGAGATCATGCCACTGCACTCCAGCCTGTGTGACAGAGTAAGACTCCATCTCAAAATAAATAAATAAATACACACACACACATACACACACACACACACACAGAGAGAGAGATGGCAAAGCAAGGGTTATTACAGAGTAGTTCTATTTGGTTGCACAATACAAAAAATAAGGAGAATAAAGGTGGAAAGGTAGATTGTAGCCATATTGCATAAGAACTTACAAGACATTTGGTATAAAACACTTAATAAATGTTGGGAGAGGCCGGGTGAGGTGGCTCACATCTGTAATCCCAGCACTTTGGGAGGCCCAGGGAGGAGGATCTCTTGAGTCCAGGAATTCAAGACCACCCTAGGCAACATAGTGAGACTGTCTCTACAAAAAATAAAAAGACATTAGCCAAGCATGGGGGCACACGCCTATAGTCCCAGCTACTAGGGAGGCTGAGGCAGGAGGATCACTTGAGCCCAGGAGTTTAAGGCTGCAGTGAGCCGTGATCATGCCACTGCACTCCAGCCTGGGTGACAGAATGAGACCCTGTTTAAAAAAAAAAAAAATTGTTGGGAGAATTTTGGTAAAACCTACAGATTAAAAACATTTATTTCTAAGCCTGAATTCAAACATACAAGGAAAAATGTATAGTTTTGTTGGTAGAAGACAGAGGAATCAGAAGGTTGGCATTCTGAACTTATGTTCAACAATGAGTTCACCTTTTTTTGAGACAGTTTTGCTCTGTTGCCCAGGTTGAAGTGCAGTGGTGCAATCTCGGCTCACTGCAACCTCCGCCTCCTAGGTTCAAGCGATTCTCCTGCCTCCACCTACTGAGTAGGTGGGATTACAGGCACATGCCACCACACCCAGCTACTTTTTTGCATTTTTAGTACAGATGGGGTTTCACCATGCTGGCCAGGCTAGTCTCGAACTCCTGACCTCAAGTGATCCACCCGCCTTGGCCTCCCAAAGTGCTGGGATTACAGGCGTGAGCCACCGTGCCCGACATAGTTCACTTTTAATAGTGCCAAAGATATACTGTACTTGTTTCCCCAGGTGTATGAATAATATCTATATTTACCTTAATTATAAGCTTCTTATAGAAAGCACACTGAATTAACTACTTTGATTCTAAGGCAATCTGGTGTTCAGTTATTACATCTATTTTTGAATCTGCCATTTATTGAGTGCTTACTGTACGCCAGATAGCATGTACGCTACATGGATTATATTAATAACACCCCAAACCAAAAATTTTACAACTGGCGAAGAACTGATTACACTTTCAATTTACAGAAAAGGAAAATGAAGAGTACATCAAGTTTCCATAAAAAGTAGGGGTTAGTGCTACATTAACAAAACTGGGACGGGAAGAAACATATACGGGCTATATATCCTGCTTTTGATTAAAGGGATCAAACCAACTAAAATTTTTGCCAGGACTGAGAATACAGAAAACAACAATGAGCAACAGCATTGACTACAGTACATCCTCAAGAGAGTATAAATCCACTATAATAATATCCAAGACACAAGACACAACCATTTCTTGCAATTTTCCCTAAAAACAGAAGGGAAGAAAATAGCAGCTGTGAAATCACCCAGACTACAAAAAAAAAAAAAAAAAAAAGCATCTGAAAAAAAAAAAGGAAAAAGAAAAAACTATCTCCTAATGAACAACTACATGCCAAAAAACAAGTCTCCACAGACTAGTCATTTATGGCAGGGTACAGGGTACAGTTAAAGAAACAACAGGATGACAGTCGCTATCATGTGGCCAGAAACCAGTCCATCAGCAATCTGTTTCACGTGAGATCACTTTTTCTCAAGAGAATGCCTGTTCTTGGGGAGCATGACCTGTTTTGGCAAAACCTCCCCAGGAATAATGGCCTGCTGGTCAATCTCGGAGGGCGAGCCCAGACCCGGCCTCTCCACAGGTACAGCAGCCCAGCGAGCACGGAGGAAGATTTCCAAGCCGACAGATGCGCGAACTGAAAAAGGAGGTCACGACGCTGAGAGAATAGATTTAACCCTCTGCTCGCTGGGAACCCAGAAGACTAAGGGGGAACATGTTTTTCAATGATGCAGGCGTCGGTGGCGGGAAGGCCTGCGAAGTCTTGCCAGGGCTCCCTGCAGTCCTCAGATTCCGCCTGACTTCTGCAGACAGCCCAGCTCCCTCGCCAGGAAGAAATCGCTCCGCGGCTGCACGCAACACCTTCACCGTCTGAAACCTGCGATTCTCCGCATTTGGTTTCCTCCCGAGGCTCCTGCACACCGCACCGTGATTGACGCACCCGAGGGGACCGTCAAAAATACATCTCAAGCCTAACTTTCCAACACTCCCGCGACGCAACCCCTTCCCCTTTCCTCAGCGGCTCTGGCCCGCCCCTCGCTCCTCGGGCCGCGTCCCGGCTGGCGACTCGGCGTGCACACGAGGCTCCTCCGCGGGAGAGCCCGCGCCCCGGCCCGGGGCCTGTCGGGGGTTGCAGACAAAGAGGCTGCAGCGCCGCCGCGGCCGCCAGGACCGTCCCCACGGGGACAGCTCCACGCCCACCGCCCCGGCTCCCGCGCCGCCGCCGCCGCCTCGCCTCACCGGTGGCTCCGGGGCCGGGCTCCTGCGCCCGCCACTGCTGCAGCCCGACGAACAATGGCAGGAGGAGGCGCCGGCGTCCGAGGCTCGGGCCCTCTGCGGCTCGCGGGCCCGCCGGCTGCTGCTGGCTGACTGACTAAACGCACCAGCGGAGGGAGGGAGCGAGCGAGCGACCCTGGCGCGCGCCCTCCCGCCTTCCCTCTGCGAGGCGAGGCCAGCCCGGCCCGCAGCCCGCCCGCCGGCCCGCGCCCCTCCCCCTCAGTTCGCCACAACATTGTAGTAAATTTCTATTGGGCCGCGCCGGAGGGAAGGAGGGGGCCGGGCCCGCGGCCCGTCCGCCCATTGGCTGAGGCCAACTTCTAGCTCCCCTTGTTTCCCCCCTCCCCTAGGCCGGTAAGGAGAGGAGAGGGGAACGAAAAAGAGAGAGGAAAAGGCAAGGGGCTGGCCGCGTGTGCGCACGCGCAAGTCGAACCCGGTCTGGAGCCGGGGTGTTCCGGGATCCCGCAGCACCCACGTGGGGCATGAGGCAGCTAGAGCCCTGGACGGTGAGGCCCTTTCCTCCTTCCAAGTAAGAGGCCGAGATTTGGAAGCCTCAGGGAAGTAACTCGCGTAGAGGTTGTAGCCAGGCTACCCCAACTGACTCCCCCTAAACGCTTAGTGACCTCGGGTAAGTCACTCAGCTTCTCTGTACCTCAGTTTCCCCATCCACTAGTTTGACTGTCTCTAGGCGCCCTTCCAACCCTGACATTCGATGAGACTTTACCTCTCGTGCCAGCTGTGTAAGGCCTGAAATGGAAGCTAAGTGTTGAGACCACGCCAAGATTGAACCTGTCTTCTGCATTTAAGGATCTCCTAATTCCCCCCTGGCAATCTCAACATTATAAAGACCTAGCTTCCGAGGTCTGGTCTCCAGATGAACTGAGGGTTGCTCTGACAATTGCTTAGTGTGTCTTTATTTCCTTCCAGAAGTGTCAGAGACCCCTTGACCCTTCCTACTCCCTGCTAGGCTGGTCTGTGAACAGGCTTCGGACCCACAGTGCAGAAAGAAGGCTTTTGTTTTAAGCATGATACCTAGAAGGTAAGATAGGATCTGGTGTTCTATTTTAGAGATGAGGAAACTGAAGCAGAGAGACTTAAAACTGACAGGATAAGAAGCCAGGCCATCTGACAGCAGAGTCTGTAGATGCCAGCTAGACATTCCTGATATCTAATCACAGCCCCTTCACGATCCCAGCACAGCCTCTGGAAACAGATTGCCTGGGTTCAATTCTTAGTCTCCAGCCTTTTCTAATGGTTTGATTTTCATTTTTCTTTTATTTATTTATTTATTTATTTGAGACGGAGTCTCGCTCTGTCACCAGGCTGGAGTGCGGTGCCGGAATCTCGGCTCACTGCAACCTCTGCCTCCCGGGTTCAAGCGATTCTCCTGCCTCAGCCTCCCGAGTAGCTGGGACTACAGGCGTGTACCACCACGCCCAGCTAATTTTTGTATTTTTAGTAGAGACGGGGTTTCACCGTGTTAGTCTCGATCTCCTGACCTCGTGATCCGCCCTTCTCGGCCTCCCAAAGTGCTGGGATTACAGGCTTGAGCCACCGCGCCCGGCTGTGCCTCATTTTTCAACACCATAAAAGGGGATAATATGTCCAAGTAGCTGGGACTCCCACCTATAGTGGGAGGCTGAGGTGGGAGGATTGCTCAAGCACAGGAGTTCAAGGCCACAGTGAGCTAGGATCATGCCATTCCACTCCAGCTTGGGCAACAGAGCAAGACTCCATCCCTAAAAACAAAAACGAGGGTTGGGGGAGGGAGAAGGATAATAATAGTTCCCACCTCACAGAGTTACTGTAAGAATTAGGCCAGGCATGGTGGCTCATGCCTGTAATCCCAGAACTTTGGGAGGCTGAGGCAGGCGGATCACCTGAGGTCAGGAGTTCGAGACCAGCCTGGCCAAATGGTGAAACCCCATCTCTACTAAAAATACAAAACTTAGCTGGGCCTGGTGGCAGGCACCTGTAATCTCAGTTATTCTCGGAGGTTGAGGCAGGAGAATCACTTGAACCCAGGAGGTGGAGGTTGCAGAGAGCCGAGATCATGCCATTGAACTCCAGGTTGGGTGACAAGAGCAAGACTCCATCTCAAAAAAAAGAAAAAGGAAAACAGAATTAAATGAGTTAAAATATGTAAAGGACTTAGAGCAGTGCCTAGCTCATAGTAAGATCTATGTGTGTTAATTATTATTACTATTCAGAGACTAAAATGTGGACTGAGAGGTGTGGAACTGGCAAATATAATAATATATTTGTTAAGCATGCAATTGTTGTTAGCACTGAGCTGAGCACGTTATGTAAATTGTCCATTTGAAACATCATAAAACCCCTTGAAAACCACCTGACTATACCATCTAAAACACCCTCCACTCAAACACCCTTATCCTGCTTTAATTTGCTTCATAGCACTTACCCTACTTGACTTTCTACTATATATTTATTATTTATTGTGCCTCTCAAATAAATTGCTGTAATCTAGACCCACTAGACTGCAAGCTCAGGAAGGCAGGGACTGTATCTGTATTCATCTCCCAGAACAGTATACGCTCAATAAATATTTGTTGAATGAGTTAATGAACATCCTCATTTTACATATAAGGAAACTGAGTCTTAGTGAGGTCAGGTGACTTGGCCAGGGTCATTCTGTGTATGAGGGGTGAAGCACCTGTTTTTTTTTGAGAAGGGGTTTCGCTCTTTTTGCCCAGGCTGGAGTGCAATGGCACGATCTCGCCTCACCTCACTGCAACCTCTGCCTCCCAGGTTCAAGCGATTCTCCTGCCTCAGCCTCGTGAGTAGCTGGGATTACAGGCATGTGCACCACGCCTGGCTAATTTTGTATTGTTAATAGAGATGGGGTTTCTCCATGTTGGTCAGGCTGGTCTCGAACCCCCAGCCTCAGGTGATCCACCCACCTCAGCATCCCAAAGTGCTGGGATTACAGGCATGAGCCACCATGCCTGGCCACACCTGTTCTTAAATACTCTGGTCTCCTGCCTCAAGTCCTCAGGTTCAGCTGTGCTTTTTATTCAGAGTTCTAGTCCTACCACCTCTGTGCCTCAGGCTTCCTTCACCAATCAGACAGGAAAATCTGGTACCTTGAAGGATGAGTATAGAAGACCAATTACCAGTGGTTTACCATCTCCACCACCACCAAGTTATCCAGCAAATTCAGATTCATGAAAGCCCAGTATTCTCTATGCCATGAAGTGCTAGCCAATGGCACATCTAATTGGATGCAAAGAATATGTAGCATTTAATAATCCTTACTCTGCAAATAAGTAGAGGTCTCAGGCTAACAGCAAAAGGCTAGACACAAGGCAGGTATGAACTACTCTGAAATTCAGAGTGCCATGCAATAACACACCATAATCCATTGACTCAGGCTTTAGAATCTGAAAGACCTGAATTCCAGTGCTGGCTTTTAATTCTTAGCCTGGAGATGAAAGGGCTTTGTAAACTGTAAAGTACTATCCACACATGAGGAATTTTTGTTATTTTAGACACACATCTTCAGTTGTTAGGCTAAGTGCCCAATCTCTGAGTGTTGCCAGGCCTATCACATAGGAAGATGTGGGGGTATAAGTAATGCCTAATATGAAGGTGGAAAAACTACCTTTACTCCTGGGCCCATCTGCCCTCTCAGACTTCTGCAAACCAGGTATCCAGTCCCAGCTCACCCTGCAGAGACTGCCATCAGGTACCAAGGGTAAAGGTCCCAAGCACCGTCTCTGAGGCTAATTTCCAAGGCAGAAACAGCTCTGCTCCATGCTCACATCTGGGTGGCAGCTGTGCTATGCCCCAAGCCCCAGGATGGGGTCCCTAAGGACCATCTCTATCTCGCCTGCCAGCTGAGCCCACCATTACCTCCCCACCCCCTACCCCTTGTGTTCCTTCCTAGGGAATACAGGCCCCGCTAGCTGCCTGTTAGCCCCTGGAGCAGTCAAGGGCAGTAAGCAAAAGAGAAAAAGAAAAAAAAAGACAGTGTGAAAGGGTCTTAATCCTTCCCCACAGCAAACTGAGCCCAAGCAAAAGCAAACACCAGCTGCACATAAGAGGGTGAAATTAGATGGTGAAATTAGGTGGTGACCAGTGGGGAAGGCCAGGGAGTGTAGATGAGGCCTCAGATGACCTGGTAGAGATGAGACTGGAAGAAAGCGGGGAGGGGCGGGGAAACCATACCCAAATCTGGGACGTGGGCGGATTAGGGACACAGCTGGCCTGAAGCCCTGTGTCTGTTGTGGAGGGTGGCAAGAGATTGAAGAGGGCTTTGAAAAGCTGGGCCCACCAACAAAGTGTTCTGAACAGTACTGTTGAATGAAAACTGATGCTGGTACCAAAAGTATATGAAGAGTAGTGCTTGCCATCCTGCCTATGGCAGGATAAAAAATCACAGTTATTTTAGACTTGTAAACACAAATGATAAATCAAACAGGCTATAATGGGATGGGAATTACCATTCATACAGTGGGATGGGGATTAATTTTACTAGTAGTACTTGAATTGTTCATAGAAAATTTAGAAACACAAGAAAAAATGTAAGTCACTATAAAGCCACCAGTCAAAAATAACTACCATCAATATTTTGGGACCTTCCCTTCTAGTACCTTTTCTTATACGTACACTTTTTTTTTTTTTTGAGACAGTGGTCTCACTCTGTTACCCAGGCTGGTGTACAGTAGCATGACCACAGCTCACTGCAGCCTCGACCTCCTGGGCTCAAGTGATGTGATCCTCCCACCTCAGCCTCCCAGGTAGCTGGGACTACAGGCATGCCATCATGTCCACCAAATTTTTTAATTTTTTGGTACAGACAGGGTCTCATAGTGTTACCCACACTGGTCTCGAACTCCTGGTCTCAAGCATGAGACACCACACCCACCCTTATGTATACTATCTATCTATCTATCTATTGTATTTATCTATTTTTGAGACAAGATCTCACTCTGTCACCCAAGCTGGAGTACAGTGGCACAATCATGGCTCACAGCAGCCTTTCCCTGAGCTCCAGCAATCCTGCCTCCTCAGCCTCCTGAGTAGCTGGGACTACAGGTATATGCCACCACACCCAGATAATTTTTTATTTTATTGTTGGTAGAGATGAGGTCTCCCTATGTTGTGGAGACTAGTCTTGAACTCCTGGGCTCAAGCAGTCCTCCCACCTTGGCCTCACAGAGTGCTGGGATTACAAGCGTGAGCCACTGCACCCAGCCTTATTTTTATTTTTTTATTTATTTTATTATTTATTTATTTTTTCAAGATATAGGGTCTCACTCTGTTGCCCAGGCTGGAGTGCAGCTGTGCAATTATAACTCACTGTAGCTTTGAACTCATGGGCTCAAGCAAACCACCCACCTCATCCTCCCAAGTAGCTGGGATTACAAGCACAGGCCACTGTACCTAGCTTCTTATTTGTGTACTTTTCAGTGTACATATATTAAGTCATATGAAATTGCTGATTTTATAGGTTAAAAATGATCAAATGTGAACAATTTCATATGTCTCAACCTAACGCTTTTTAAAAATTTATACCATATTATTTTAGGACTGACTTTTTTTTTTTTTTTTTGAGACGGAGTCTTACTCCATAGCCCAGGATGAGTGCAATGGCCCAGTCTTGGCTCACTGCAACCTCTGCCTTCCAGAATCAAGAGATTCTCCTGCCTCAGCCTCCAAAGTAGCTGGGATTACAGGTGCCCGCCACCACGCCCAGCTAATTTTTTTTTTTTGTATTTTTAGTAGAGACATGTGGGATAGGCTAGTATTGAACTCCTGACCTCTGGTGATCCGCCTGCCTCGGCCTCCCAAAGTGCTGGGATTACAGTCATGAGCCACCAGGCTCAGCCTAAAACTGACTTTTTTCATTTAACAATATGTTGTGAACATTTGTATCATCATTTTTAACAAAGCTAGCAAGCGGATATATCATAATTTAGTTAATCCTACTATTGGACATTGAGTTTGTTTCCCATTTTTCTCTCTTAAAAATGATACTTGGGCCGGGCACAGTGGCTCACGCCTGTAATCCCAGCACTTTGGGAGGCCGAGGCGGGTGGATCACGAGGTCAGGAGTGCGAGACCAGCCTGACCAACATGGTGAAACCCTGTCTCTACTAAAAATATGAAAATTAGCCAGGCGTGGTGGCACACGCCTGTAATCCCAGCTGCTCAGGAGGCTGAGACAGGAGAATGGCTTGAACCCAGGAGGCAGAGGTTGCAGCGAGACGAGATCATGCCACTGCACTCCAGCTTGGGCAACAGGGCAAGACTCTATCTCAAAAAAAAATAATAATAATAATAATAATAACTACTTTTTTTTTTTTTTGAGACGGAGTCTCGCCCTGTAACCCAGGCTGGAGTGCAGTGGCACAATCTCGGCTTGCCGCGGCCTCTGCCTGCCAGGTTCAAGTGATTCTCCTGCCTCAGCCTCCCGAGCAGCTGGGATTACAGGCCCCCGCCGTCACACCCAGCTAATTTTCATGTGTTTCGTAGAGACGGGGCTTCTCTATCTTGGCCAGGCTGGTTTCGAACTCCTGACCTCAGGTGATCTGCCCGACTCGGCCTCCCAAAGTGCTAGGATTACAGGCGTGAGCCACCGTGCCCAGCCATAACAACTAGATTTATGAGGTATTTACTATGTGCCAGGCACACAGTAAGTACTTTTTAATCATTATTGCATTTAACTTCTTAACAGTAATACTTAGGCAATATTATTAGCCTCAAGTACAGTTGAAGAAACTACAGCTTAGATGAATTAGGGGCTGTGCAGGGGCTCACACCTATAATCCCAACACTTTGGGAGGCCAGGGTTGGAGGACTGCTTGAGGCCAGGAGTTCGAGATCAGTCTAGGCAACATAGTGAGACCTCATCTCTACAAAAAAAAAATTAAAATTTTTAAAAAATCAGCCAATCTGGCACTAGCTTTGGAGTCTAGGAAAAAAAAACAATAGCCAAGCATGGTGGCACCTGCCTGTGGTCCCAGCTACTCGAGAGACTGAGGTGGGAGGATCACTGGAGCCTGGGAGGTCTAGGTTGCAGTGAGCCATGATCGCACTACCACACTTCATCACTTTGTGACAGAGCAAGACCCTGTCTCAAAAAAGAAAAAAAAGGCCAGGCACAGTGGCTCACTTGTTGTCAAGGAATGCCTTAACAACCATCCACCAGGTCCACTTTTACAATTTCAATCTTCTTCCCTCTGGCCCTTGTTTCTTGGCATGTCTGCACAGCAACCCCAATGCATAGGGGTAATGTAATCCCAGCGCTTTGGGAGGCTGAGGGAGGAGGATCACTTGAGCCCAGGAGTTTGAGACCAGCCTGGGTAACGGTGAGACCCCATCTCTATTGAAAAAAAAAGAAGGCCGGGTGCAGTGGCTCATGCCTGTAATCCCAGCACTTTGGGAGGCCGAGGCAGGTGGATCACCTGAGGTAGGGAGTTCGAGACCAGCCCATGACCAACATGGGGAAACCATGTCTCTACTAAAAATACAAATATCAGCCGGGTGTGGTCGCGGGCACCTGTAATCCCAGCTACTTGGGAGGCTGAGTAACAAGAATCGCTTGAACCCAGGAGGCGGACGTTGCAGTGAGCCAAGATCGCACACTGTACTCCTGCCTGGGTGACAAGAGTGAGACTCCATCTCAAAAAAAAAAAAGGCCAGGCATGGTGGCTCACGCCTGTAATCCCAGCACTTTGGGAGGCAGAGGCAGGCAGATCATGAGGTCAGGAGATTGAGACCATCCTGGCTGACATGTTGAAACCCCGTCTCTACAAAAAAATTAGCTGGGCTTGGTGGCGGGTGCCTGTAGTCCCAGCTACCTACTCAGGAGGCTGAGGCAGGAGAATGGCGTGAACCCGTGAGGCAGAGCTTGCAGTGAGCTGAGATCGCACTACTGCACTCCAGCCTGGGCAACAGAGCGAGACTCCGTCTCAAAAAAAAAAAAAGAAAAAAAAAGAAAAGTTAGGTGATTTGCCTAACATCGCAGCTTAAACTAGGTCTGTCTGATGCCACTGTCCTCTACTATGTACTGCTTTCAGGAAAGCACTCTCAGGAAAGCACTTTGGAAATGATGTGAATGAGTAATATTAATATCTGTCCCAAGACCTCAGGGAAAGGCTGTCCTGACTACTTCTGATAATAGCCCTGGGACATTCAGGGAGAGACCCACTGATCTGGCCTCCCATGACCCTCTCCAACCCTATTCTCTTACCAGCTGGAATGAGCCTAATGACCCTGATCCAGCAAAGCCTCAGCTCACTCAGCCTTAACCCACTAATTCTCTCTTACTAGGGGAGGGAACCCTCAAGGCGTAGAGGGTTTTCCAAGAAACAGGCTCTGTGCCACCTACTAGCTGACAGTCTTCTAAAACTGGTAAAGTCAGCCTGGCCCAACCCTCACTTGACAGAGGGACAGGGCAGAAGGGGAGATATAAGGAAGCAGGGGTATTGGGGGCACAGAAATTGCCAGGTTTGACTTGCTCCAAGACCCTCCAAAGCTGCTACTATAGGACAGGTTCTGAGCCGGCCAGCCAGCATTTGACTAACCTCAGTTTCCAAGACTTCCGGTGACTGGGAGCACTTTAGTGGGGAAGAAATTGAGAAATTGGGGCCACGCACAGTGGCTCACGCCTATAATCCCAACACTTTGGGAGGCCGAGGGAGGTGGATCAGTTGAGGCCAGGAGTTCGAGACCAGCCTGGCCAACATGGCAAAACCATATCTCTACTAAAAATACATAAAATTAGCCAGGCATGGTGGTGGGCGCCTGTAGTACCAGCTACTCTGGAGGCTGAGGCAGGAGAATCACTTGAACCTGGGAGGCAGAGGTTTCAGAGAGCCGAGATCGCGCCACTGCACTCCAGCCTGGGCAACAGAGCAAGACTCCGTCTCAAAAAAAAAAAAAAAAAGAAAGAAAGAAAAAGAAAGAGAGAAGTCATAAGAGAGACTGCAAATAAGTTGCAGCCTTAGTTCCACAATAAATTTGCTGTATGACTCTAGGCAAGTCACCCACCCTTCATCAGCTCAGCTGCCACAACAAAATGCCATAGATTCGGTGGCTTAAACACAGAAATTTATTTTCTCACAGTTCTGGAGGCTGGAGTCAGAGATCAGGCATGGCCAGGTTCTGGTGAGGGTGCTCTTCCTGGCTGGCAGATGGTCACCTTCTTGCTGTGTCCTTACATGGTGGAGAGACAGCAAGCTTTCTGGTTTTTTGTTGTTTTTTTTTTTTGAGACATAGTCTTCCTCTGTCGCCCAGGCTGAGTGCAGTGGCGTGATCTCAGCTCACTGCAACCTCCACCTCCCGGGTTCAAGCGATTCTCCTGCCTCAGCTTCCCGAGTAGCTGGGATTACAGGCACGTACCACCAGGCCCGGCTGATTTTTGTATTTTTAGTAGAGAGGGGTTTTTGCCATGTTGGCCAGGCTGGTCTCAAACTCCCAACCTCAAGTGATCCACTTGCCTGGACCTCCCAAAGTGCTGGGATTCCAGACATGAGCCACTGCACCCAGCTGATGTCTCTTCTTTTTGAGACATAGTCTTGCTCTGTCGCCCCGGCTGGAGTGCAGTGGCGCAATCTCGCCTCACTGCAACCTCCATCTCCCGGGTTCTAGCTAGTCTCATGCCTCAGCCTCCCAAGTAGCTAGGATTACAGGCTCCCACCACCACGCCTGGCTAATTTTTTTTTTTTTTTTTTTGAGACAGAGTCTCGTTCTGTCGCCCAGGCTGGAGTGCAGTGGCATGATCTCGGCTCACTACAAGCTCCGCCTCCCAGGTTCATGCCATTCTCCTGCCTCAGCCTCCCAAGTAGCTGGGACTACAGGCGCCCCCCACCATGCCCAGCTAATTTTTTTGTATTTTTAGAGATGGGGTTTCACCGTGTTAGCCAGGATGGTCTCGATCTCCTGACCTTGTGATCCACCAGCCTTGGCCTCCCAAAATGCTGGGATCACAGGCATGAGCCACCACGGCTGGCCAATTTTTTGTATTTTTAGTAGAGACAAGGTTTTACCATGTTGGCTAGGCTGGCCTCAAACTCCTGACCTCAGGTAATCCACCCGCCTCCGCCTCCCAAAGTACTGGGATTACAGCCATGAGCCACCGCGCCTGGCCTTGGTGTCTCTTCTTATAAGGGCACTAATACTGTCATGAGGGCCCCACCCTCATAATCTCATCTTATCCTAATTACTTCCCTGATTAATTACTCCATTTCCAAATACCATTACCTTAGAGGTTAGAGCTTCAATATAAGAAAGGAAGAAGGGTCAAATGATGTGGAGAATGCAAAGGGTTCTGCAGATTACAAAGCCCCATACTACACTAAGTATGATTTTTATTTTAAATCTGCTAGCAACCAACCAGAAAGAATCCTCAACCTCAAGGTAAAAGCCTCCCTGGAAGTGGGGACACAGTGGTCCCACCTTTCTTCATCCATCACACATTTATTGGGCACTGGGGATCCTAGCATGAATGAGTCCAGTGGCTCTATAATAACAGCCATCATTATGATCCCATACTTGAGTGATGGCAAGAAAAAGTTTAAAAAAAAAAAAAAAAAAAGCTGGGCCGGGCAAGGTGACTCATGCCTGTAATCTCAACACTTTGGGAGGGTGAGGCAGATGGATCACAAGGTCAGGAGTTCGAGACCAGCCTGGCCAAGATGGTGAAACCCTGTCTCTACTGAAAATACAAAAATCAGCCGGGTGCAGTGGTGGGTGCCTGTAATCCCAGCTACTCGGGAGGCTGAGGCAGGAGAATCGCTTGAACCCGGGAGGTGGAGGTTGCAGTGAGCCAAGATCACACCACTGCACTCCAGCCTGGGCAACAGAGTGAGACTCTGTCTCAAAAAACAAACAAACAACAACAACAAAAAAACTGCACTTTTGAGGCAGGCCGACCTTGGTTCAAATCAGAACTTCACCACTGAGATGCTATGCGAGTCCAGGCAATTCACTTCCCCTCCCTTCCTTTTCTATAAAGTGGAGCTAATATGTGCCAACCATTACACCAAGTGTTTTATATACAATATGTCACTGAACCTTCACAACACCCCCTTGAGGAAGATATGACTATAATTTCCATTGTACAGATGAAGAAATAGAGTCTCAGGCCAGGCATGGTGGCTCATGCCTGTAATCCCAGCACTTTGGGAGGCTGAGGTGGGCAGATCACCTGAAGATCAGGAGTTCAAGACCAGCCTGGCCAGTGAAACCTTGTCTCTACTAAAAATATAAAAATTAGCCGGGTGTGGCAGTGGGCCCCTGTAGTCCCAGCTACTCAAGAGGCTGAGGCAGGAGAATCGCTTGCACCCAGGAGGCGGAGGTTGCAGTGAGCTGAGATCACACCACTGCACTCCAGCCTGGGCAGCAGAGTGAGACCTTAGCTCAAAAAAAAAAAAAAAAGAAAGAAAAGAAAAAGAAATAGAGTCTCAGATAAGTGAAAAACTTGTCCAAGATCACCCAGCTAGTAAGTATCAGAGTTAGAATTCAAATCCACATCTGCCTGGCCCTGTTGCTAGTATTCTTTTTACAGATTGCCTACATTTCCATGATGGTCATTATCATAATACCAGCAAAGATGTGCAGAGTACCAGCTAAGTGCCTAAGTACTTTAACTGCATTCTCTTATTTAATTCTCACAACAACCCTGTAGAGTGGGTACTATTTTAGCCCCATTTTATTGCTTTGGGAACTGACGTCAGAGAGGTGAAGTGATTTGCCCAGTGTCACACAGCTAGGAAGGGGTATGGTTGGGAAGCCAGCTGTGTGTGAGTCCAGAACCCAACTCCTTGCTCAAGACACTATCTTGCCTCTCTTCCCTAGTGAGGTCAAGTAGGCGTCTTTATCTCTGTTTGACAGGTGAGAAAGCTGAGGCCCAACAAGAGGCAGTGACATGCCTAAGAACACACAGCAAGTCAGTAGCTACACAGCCACTTAAGCTCAGGCTCCTGAGTCTCAAACCCAGGATAATTTCCTCCACTTATAATCTTGAGCATCAGAAAATGCCCCTGTCCACTGGATATTTGGAAACCCTACACCTAGCTCCCCTGAAGGTGTGACGAACCCCCCTGTACCAGGCCAGGCATAGAGACCCAGGGGTGTTGTGGGAAAACATTGCAGGATACTGTCTGGGGAAAATAGCAGTTGAGCTGGTGACCTATGTGCCCCTAGCTTTGGGCACCTCTGTCTTGGTCTCCCTAAATCATGGACCCCGAGCTGGGAAGGGGAAAGTTCCAGAGGAAGCTGCTCCAAGCCTGGCTCCCAGTGTCTAGCACAGCTCTCTGCTATGATTTCTGCTGAAAAACAAAAAGCTCAATCCTCTAGGCCTAAGTGCTAATTACCAATAATGACATAATAACCATTGCGGACCCAACAGCCAAACAGCCCCAACTAGAAATTCTGCAAAGCTCGGGCTCCAGAACAAAAGATTTGGGCACTCCAATTGAAACTGATGCCCTGGCAGAAAATATCAGAAGCAATCAGAAGCAAAAGAGCCTCAGGGTTGACCCAGCTAAAGTATGATCTGACAAATGGAAAGGATGATGACCGCTCACTTTTTCTCTCATTCACACATTTATTGAGATTCTACTGTGTGCTCAAAATATTCCTAGATCCAGAGAGAACAGGCTTCATATAGTCATCAGTTTACACCCCAAATATTTACTGAGCACTTCCTATGCACCACGCACTGTTCTAGGTACAAGGGATATAACGCTGAATAATATAGACAAAAATCACCATCATCACAGAGCTTACATTCCAATGCGAGGAGAGACAATAAACAAATAATAAAATACAGTATGTCAAAGAGTCATAAGTGCTATGGATAAAAATAAGCAGACAGTGCTAAGGTTAGAGGACAGAAAGGTGTTACAATTTTAAGTAAGAAGTCAGGAGGCCGGGTGCGGTGGCTCACACCTGTAATTCTAGTACTTTGGGAGGCTGAGGTGGGTGGATCACCAGAGGTCAGGAGTTCGAGACCAGCCTGGTCAACATGGCGAAACCCTGTCTCTACTAAAAATACAAAAATTAGATGGGCGTGGTGGCGGGTGCCTGTAATCCCAGCTACTCAGGAGGCTGAGACAGGAGAATCCCTTGAACCTGGGAGGCGGAGATTGCAGTGAGCCAAGATCGCACCACTGCACTCCAGCCTGGGCAACAGAGCAAGGCTCCATCTCAAAATAATAATAATAATAATATAAAAATAGGCCGAGTGCAGTGGCTCACGCCTGTAATCCCAACACTTTGGGAGGCTGAGGCTCGCGGATCATGAGGTCAAGAGATCGAGACCACCCTGGCCAACATGGTGAAACGCTGTCTCTACTAAAAATACAAAAATTAGCTGGACATGGTGGCGCACGCCTGTAGTCCCAGCTACTCAGGAGGCTGAGGCAGGAGAATCACTTGAACCCAGGAGGTGGAGGTTGTAGTGAGCCGAGATCATGCCACTGCACTCCAGCCTGGCGACAGAGCAAGACTCTGTCTCAAAAAGTAAATAAATAGCCGGGTGCAGTGGCTCACGCCTGTAATCCCAGCACTTTGGGAGGCCAAGGCGGGCGGATCACAAGGTCAGCAGATCGAGACTATCCTGGCTAACACAGTGAAACCCCATCTCTACTAAAAATACAAAAAATTAGCCGGGCTTGGTGGCAGGCACCTATAATCCCAGCTACTCAGGAGGCTGAGGCAGGAGAATGGCATGAACCCGGGAGGCGGAGTTTGCAGTGAGCTGAGATCTCGCCACTGCACTCCAGCCTGGGTAACAGAGTGAGATTCCGTCTCAAAATAAATAAATAAATAAAAAGATAGGAAAGGTCTTATTGAGAAGGTGACATTTAAACAAAAAATTTAAAGAGATGAGAGAACAAGCTACAAAAGTGTTTGGGGGTAGAGTGTTCTGGGCCAAAGGACTGGCAAGTGCAAAGTCCCTGGGGTGGAAGTGTGCTTGATGGACTTGCCTGGGATCATGCCTCTCGTCATTAACAGCTGAGGGGCCTAGTGGGAAAGGAATCAGACACAGACAGACTAGTGCACTTAAACCCTCTTTAGCCTCAGGACAGCCCGGGAGGTAACATTTTGCCCACTATTCTCACCATTTTACAAACAAAGGCATGAGACCAAGAGAAGAGAAGTAAATGATCCAGCCAGGCACAGTGGCTCATGCCTGTAATCCCAGCACTTTGGGAGGCTGAGAGGGGCAGATCACTTGAGGTCAGGAGTTCAAGACCAGCCTGGCCAACATGGTGAAACCCCATCTCTACTAAAAATACAAAAATTAGCCTAGCATGGTGGTGCATGCTTATATCCCCAGCTACTTGGGAGGCTGAGGTTGGAGGTTTGCTTGAACCTGGGAGGCAGAGGTTGCAGTAACCCGAGGTCATGCCACTGCACTCCAGCCTGGGTGATAGAAGGAGACTCCATCTCAAAAAAAAAAAAAAAGAAGAAGAAGTAAATGATCCCACATCACACAGCTAGAATAGGCAGCTCTGTCTGACTCCACCTTTCTGCTGCTAGTCTCTGGCCTATCTGTGGAAACTCTAAATATTTATTGAATGAATGAATAATTCAATCAATCCTGTACATTTCTCAAGTCCTTCCTTCTCAATGAGCTCTTTTATGACTTCTTATTATCTCTACCGATCATAGAATAACGATGACAAAAACAACAATAATAATTCCACCATGTCTGTCAGCTACGGACTGAGTACTTCATACAAATTATTTAATTTAGCCCTTAAATAATCCTATGAGAAGATGCTAATATTTTCCCCACGTTATAGGGGAAAAAACTGAAGCTCACTTAGGTAAAACAACTTGCTAGAGGTCTCACAGCTGGTAAGGGGTGAAGCTGGGATTTAAACCAAAGTCTCTCTGCTCACAAATCCCTACTTTTAATCCTGTAGTATTAGTAGAAACCTCTGACCTCAATCCATCCCCTTCCTTTTTTAAATCAGAAAATGAAGGCTCAGGAAGGGTAGGTAATTTGCCCAAGATCTCACAGTGTGGAGAGCTAGGAGGGCTGGTGTTCCTTCCACTCTACCATTTTTGGGGCTGTGAACCAGGTTTTCTCTTTTAGGCCTATTTCCCAGCATCTGTGGAAGTCTTCAAGTCATCCTAGCTCCCGAGGATGGTTCCAAGTTCACAGTCCATCACTTTCCCCCCAGCCTAAGCCTGGATGGCATGGGGCCCTTCCTACTCTCTGCTTTTCTTGAGTGCCTGCAGTGGCATCATCGGAGGCTGCAAAAGGGAAACTGTCATGGGTGGGGCTAGAATGTCCCAGGAAAGGGGGAAGAGGGGAGGGAAGCATAACAGATGCTGAGCCTCCTGCTTTAAAACTGGCTTATCAGGTGTCATTTGTTCAATAGAAATCATAGCAGATATTCCAAGTCCCTAGATCAGGAAGGGGAAGGGCAGAAGAAGTTTTTAAGAGGCAGCAGCTCTAACAGTAGCTTCCTGCCACTGAGGACTCACTAGGTGCTTTCTGTACATTATTGCCGATCTTTATGGTAAAATCGGTGCCACTCTACAGTGCAGAAAACTGAGGCTCAGAGAGGTAAAGTGACAGCCAAGGCCACTGCACCACATGCATCTATGAGACAGTGCACAGAGGGTCTGGAGACCTGGGCTTCTACTGTGTGATCTTGCACTGACAGACACTTGCTTTGATCTGAGGTCCGTGTCTGTTCCATAAGGGACTTGGTGGCTAGCGTCTGTTGCATGATCCAGAAGGCTGAGGGATCCAGCTCTACCCCGACCACTGGACCTCCAGAAATACTGAACATCACACTCTTCACGAAAGCACCAGAAAAAAAGGGCTTCCTTATCCACTCCCAGAGGAAAAAAAAAATAAAGCTATTTTCTAAATATGTGTCCTGTTTCAAGGCTGCTGCTGGCTTTGGCCTCCAGCCAGGGCAGGGCATCTAGTGCAGGGGGTGGGAGAGTGCCCAGGCCTCAGGACTGAGAATCCTGGGGCCCAAGGCCAAGGCGGGCAAGGGGCAGGAGGGGAGCCAGCTTGGCAGTGGGCCAGCACCCCTCTGAAGACTTGGGCTTGTTTCTTAATCTTTTCCTTCCTTTCTTGGCTAGAACGGGCTGCCAGGAGAGGTAAAGGGGAAGCAGTGGGTGGGGCCAAGGAGATTGAGGAGTCTAAATAATGATGGCTTAATTAGCTCCTGTTTATGGGTGCCCAATATATACAGACACTGGGCCAGGCCATTTGTGGAGATTATCTCATTGAAGCCTCCGCCCTTCTCTGGGAGGAAAGCCTGCTGTTCCCACTTCACTGAGGTGGAAACTGAGATAGACAGGGTATGTGAGTGACTGGAGGCCACATGGCTTTTCAGTGGCAGGGCTGGCAGGGCAGCCAGGTTATTGACTCCTGAGAGAGGCAGCCACTTGATCTGGCTGGGGTGGTGAAGATGAGGGGAGAAGGTGGGAACTCAAGGGGAGGAGCAGCATGGGAAGGTCCTGGTTGTCTCTCTGAGCAGAACAGGCAGTTGTGAGGGTGCAGGAAGGAGAGGGGAGCCAGTGACATCCCCAAAGGTCTGCCTGACGTGGGCCCTACTTCCCTGACCAGCCTCATCTCCTGTCACTGCCAGCCTTTCCCTTTGTGCTCCAGCCACACCAACGACAGTGCTCATCTATCCTGAGCACAGTATGCAGTCTTGAGCCTTTGTACATGCCATTCCCTGTACCTAGAAAGTTGTTCCTGCCATTGCCTACCTAGAGAGCTCTTACTCATCCTTCAAAGCCCAACCTAGCTCTTTTCCCCTTGATGCCCCTGAGTTAACCACCTGCTCCCCTGGGCTCACTCTGCACATGGCAGTTCGTCCTTAAGGAGCAGGAACACTGAGTGAGTCACCTTTGTGCCCCCAGAACCTAGCCCATCAGCTCTCAATAAATGTTTACTGTCTGTAGTTGTATTTTATCACTGAATCTTCGAGGCAAGCAAAACAGGTTTTCTTATTCTCACTTTCAAGGCAAGGAAAAGGAGGGCAAGAGAGAGGGAGTGATGGGAGTGCCTTCTTTCTTTCCTTCCTTTCCTTCCCTTCCTTTCTTCCCTTCCCTCCTGTCCCCTCCCCTCCTCTCCCCTCCTCTCCCCTCCTCTCCCCTCCTCTCCCCTCCCCTCCCCTTCCCTTCCCTTCCCTCCGCTTCCCTTCCCTTCCTACCTTCCTACCTACCTACCTACAGGGGTTTCACTTTGTCACCCAGGCTGGAGCATAATGGTGCAATCACAGCTCACTGCAGCCTCAACCTCCTGGGCTCAAGGGATCCTCCCACCTCAGCCTCCCAAGTAGCTGGAATGACAGGCACATGCACAACGCCCAGCTGATTTTTGTATTTTTTTGTAGAGATGGGGTTGCTCCATGTTCCCTAGGCTTGTGTTGAACTCCTGGGCACAAGTGATCCTCCTGCCTCAGCCTCCTAAAATGTTGGGATTACGGGTGTGAGCCACCAGGCCTGGTGATTCCTGAGGTGGCACAGACACTCAGTAACACTGGTAGGTCTAGAACCCAGGGCTTTTCTGCACCACACAGCTCCTGCCTGGCCCCCACCCCAAAGAGGTCTCATCCCTACCAGACCTACCAGGGTCACCACAAGGGACCCCTGAGATAGGAGTGGGTACCCTGGGCCCTGGTGGCCACAGGCCTTGCCCCAGTGTCCAGCTCAGACATAGCTGCTGCCTGGGAAACTGAGGGGAAAGGTAGTGAGAGCAGCTGAATGGCTTTTACCCTCAACCCAGCTCTGCCTCCTCCTCCCAGATATGTCCCTCAGCCAGAGACCCCAGTGGGCCCCATTGGCCCCAGGCCCCAAGATCTCCCTCTGGCCCTCTCCTCTCCTCTCTGGCCACTGCAGTTCATTATCACGCCCTGCTGGCTCTGCCTCCTAAACAGACTTCACATCGCTGCTCCTTATCCCATGGCACAGTCCCCAGCCCAAGATCTCGGCATCTCTCACCTGGACAGTTCCTCCTGCCCCTGTCCCTGCCCCTCCCTGCTTACTATCCAGTGACTCTCCATTGCCATAGGTCAAGTCCTCACTCATTGTCTTGAGCCTGTCTCTTCAGCTGCATTCCCCCAAGTGCAGGCAGTTGTGTACCTTGGCACATGCTGTTCCTTCCACTAGGAATGTCTTTTTTCCTGCCCTTTGCATAAGAACACCTATTCAATAAAGGTGGAGTTGGTGATTTCTGCATCTTCTTCCCAACTAGACTCCGAGCTCCCGGTGGGGAAGGTGGGGAAGGACTACACAGATTCATCTCTGGGCCCCATGCCCAGCACAGGGCCTGACACAGAGGAAAAGCAGATGACTAGAAAAGGGAGGTACATTCTTACTTCCATGAGGCCACCTCCCTCCCTTCACATGCCTTCAGGAGTCTGTCAGACTAGGCTGCTATCCACCACCTGTCCCCAGAAGTTCCCTCCCAGACCTGGTCTCTTTTGTCCCAAGAGGAACATCTTTATAATCCCCAAATAATATTCATAATTATAATAATAACAATAACCATTGCTACTATTTGTTGAATGCTCACCATGTGCCTCACTATTTAATCCTCACAAGAAGCCTAAGAGGTAGGTAGGTTCTTTTATTTTCCCCATTTTACAGGTAAGAAAACTGAGGCTCCAAGAGGTTAGATATCTTGCCTAAGGTCACACAACTGGTAAACAATAGATGCAAGATGCAAAGTCAGGCCTGTCTGACCCTCAAGTGCCAAGCTGTCCAGCCTTCTCCTGTTTTCTATTATCTTTTCTCTTTAAAACTCTTACAGCAGCAGGCCTGGGTGGGGGTGCAGTGTGTGTGCATGAATTTATTTATCCGACAAACACGTCAGTAGCTCCCACCAGCCGTGTACTGGTCATGGGAGATGGACAAAGAGAATTCAGATGTACACTCTACCTCCTTGGGAGAAATATGAGAGTTTCACACTAAGAATTTGGGCCTTAGGGCCGGGCGTGGTGGCTCACACCTATAATCCCAGCACTTTGAGAGGCTGAGGCAGGTTGATCACCTGAGGTCAGGAGTTCGAGACCAGCCTGACAAATACAGTGAAACCCCATCTACTAAAAATACAAATATTAGCCAAGAATGGTGGTGCACGCCTGTAGTCCCAGCTACTTGGGAGGTTGAGACAGGAGAATTGCTTGAACCCAGGAGGTGGAGGTTGCAGTGAGCCGAGATGGCACCACTGCACTCCAGCCTGGGTGACAGAGTGAGACTCCATCCAAAAAAAAATAATAATAATAATTTGGGCCCTGGAGTGAGCAGGCTTGGGTCTGAGCCCCAGCTGTACCCCTAAAGAACTGTGGGATTCTGGGTGACTCACTTGACTTACCCAGTGCCATGAAGCGGGGATAATAATGCCTGCTTCAGAGGGTCTCCTAGGTCACTAGGAGGAATGCATGAGATAATGTGTCTAAAATAGCATATAACCAGCCCA
The DNA here is from genome assembly GCF_000001405.40 of Homo sapiens. Classification (NCBI taxonomy): domain Eukaryota; kingdom Metazoa; phylum Chordata; class Mammalia; order Primates; family Hominidae; genus Homo; species Homo sapiens. The sequence goes on along the minus strand of NC_000001.11, from coordinate 28,895,294 downwards.
GCCCATAAGAAATAGCCAATAAATGGCAATAATACACATGATGACTAGTGAGTCCCAGGCTCCCTGGGCCACAGTGGGATGTAATTCTTCAGGGCCCTCCCTAGAGTCACCTCAGCCAGAGCCAAATAGCATTATGGATAATAATGCCTAATCCACCTATTTTCTAATTAAACAATTCTTCAAGGGAGGTGTCTTTTAATAACCCTACTTTACAGGTAAGGCAACCGAGGCAGAGAAGGGGTTACAGAACCAAGTCACACAGCGAGAGTGGCAGAGCTGGAACCTCCACTCAGCTCCTCCCACACCAGGCAGAGCCCAGCCCTTATCCCAGGGCCCTGGCCAGTCTGCTGGGAAGTTCAGGGGCTCCTTGGATTCCAGTCCCAGCTGGGTGAGCAGTTAAAAGTAGGAGAAAAAAGCCAGAAAGAGGAACACATAGTCCCCTCCCAGAATCCCAGAATGAGCCCAGGGCTGGGAAGTTACCAAATGGGGCCCTGTGTGGGCTCTTCTCATCAACTCCTTCCCACACCTATGCGGGGAAAGTGTTGTGATATGTACATCACAGATGAGGTCTCCAAGACTCAGGGAAGAGCATGCCTTGTCCAGGGTCACACCTGGACAAGGAAAAGTGGCAGTACTAGAAGGCAGAGTCCCTCCCCATCCCTCCCATTTCTGCCCCAGATCTTCCCAGCTGCCTCTCTCTTCTGATGAAAACTAGAGGCTCTGTCACTCCCTCTCCAGGAAGTCCAGTTGCCAGGCCCCTCTCTGTGCTGATTGATACATGCTTGGTACTTGGCCCCTTACTAAGTTCAGAAGACCCAGAGCTCACTTTACCAGAGCCCTGATCCCCAAGAAAGTCACAGTCTATTGAGCAAATAGGGAATTCACATTCACTGAGCCCCTATCATGCTGGGCCCTTTATATCCATTAGCCATTTAATCCAATACAAAGCACATTGATAGGTATACCATAAACAGTCAATAAATATCTTCATTCCTTTGGAAACATTCAGTGAGCACCTACTACGTGCTACTATACCCTAGGCGCTGAAGATACAGCACCTGGTGAACAGATGAACAAAAATCCCTGCCCTTGTGGGGCTTACATGAATAAAAGAACAAATATACTTGTGTCCCATAAGTATTCATATTCTTATTTTGCAGACGTGAAACTGAGATGCAAAGAATCACCCACCTGTATGCAACAGAAAAAGGATTCTATTCCAGCCCAGTCTGCCCCAAAGACCTTTGCATTGTATCATGTGACCAAAAAATCAGCACCCAGTGTGTTTAATTGGTAGGCCCTGCTTATGGTAGGATCCTAAAATCACAGAGTGCCCTCTCTCAGCATTTCCACCCCTACCCCCGGGCCTCTCTTTACGCCTCCCAGTGGCCTCAGAGCCACAGGACATGCATTAAAATCAGCTCATGTGGCAGTCATTAAGTCAAACCATTACTCACCCAGAAGCAGCCGTCGGGGTCACGCAGCCAGTCCAGGAGAGGCCATGGAGCCATCACCGCAGTGGCACATGGAAGCAAATGACAGCAGTGAGACACACAGCACAGCCAAAGAAAAAGCCCTTTGGGTCCCCTTCTTCAGCCAGGGCCTGAGCCAGGAGGGAACCCTGCCCTCCCTCTGCCTCTGGGGTCTTGCTGGGGCAGACGCCCTAGTCAGCAATAATCTGATAATCCACCCTCAGCTCATCAGGCCTCCAGGGCCCAGCCCACTAGAGGCAGCAGCGTCCCTGTGAACAAACATTAACTGAGCACCTGCTGTGTGCCAGGTGTTGGGGATACAGCCTGAAGAAGACAGACATGGCCCCTGTACTTATGGAGCTTACAATGCAGTGAGGAGACAATCATGTAAATAACTACTGAATTACAACTGTGATGATTGTGTCAAGGAGGAGACTTTAAGAACCTGGGCCAGCCGGGCACGGTGCCTCACACCTATAATCCCAGCACTTTGGGAGGCTGAGGTGGGAGTTTTGCTTGAGCTCAGGAGTTCAAGACCAGCCTAGGCAACATGGGGAAACCCCATCTCTACAAAAAATATGAAAATTAGGTGTGTGTGGTGGAGTCCCACCTACTCAGGAGGCTTAGGTAGGAGGCTCCCTTGAGCCCAGGAGGTCAAGGCTGAAGTGAGCCGTGATCACCCCATTGTACTCTAACCTGGGCGACAGAGTGAGACCCTATCTCAGAATAAAAGAACCTGACACTTGTAATCCCAGCACTTTGGGAGGCCGAGGCAGGCAAATCACTTGAAGCCAGGAGTTTGAGACCAGCCTGGCCAACATGGTGAAACTCCGTCTCTCCAAAAATACAAAATTAGCCTGGCATGGTGGTGGGTGCCTATAATCCCAGCTACTCAGGAGGCTAAGGCACAAGAATTGCTTGAACCTGGGAGGCAGAGGTTGCAGTGAGCCAAGATCGCACCACTACACTCCAGCCTGGACAACAGAGTAAGATTCTGTCTCAAAAAAAAAAAAAAAAAAAAAAAAGAACCTGGGAAAATCCTGACTTCACTATTTATGGCTCTACCTTTTGTGACATTGGGGCCATTTGTTTTGTTTTGTTTTGTTTATTTGTTTGTTTGTTTGAGACAGAGTTTCCCTCTTGTTGCCCAGGCTGGAGTGCAATGGCGCAACCTCCGCCTCCTTGGTTCAAGCGATTCTCCTGTCTCAGCCTCCCAAGTAGCTGGGATTATAGGCGCATGCCACCGTGTATTTTTGTATTTTTAGTAGAGATGGGGTTTCATCGTATTAGTCAGGCTGGTCTCAAACTCCTGACCTCAGGTGATCTACCCACCTCAGCCTCCCAAAGTGCTGGGATTATAGGCTTGAGCCACCACGCCTGGCCTCGTTTTTACTTGTCTATGCCTCATTTATTCATCTGCAAACTGGAGATAATATTAGTATCCACCTCACAGGGTTGATGTGAGGATTAACATGGGTCAATACATGTAACACGTCTGGAAGGATGCTTGGCACACAGTAAACCATTCAGAAGCGTTTGCTACTATCATTACAGGGGCTGTTGGCATGGGTTTTGGAGGGACCCAGCATGGGTGAGGGGTACCACCTACCTGACAAAGTTGCTGTAGGGGGTTAATGATACAATGAGAGGTGAAGTTGAGTACAATGCCTGGTACCGGCAACTGTGCAATAAATGGTGGTGTTATTCTTTTTTTTTTTTTTTTTTTTTTGAGATGCAGTCTTGTTCTTATTGCCCAGGCTGGAGTGCAGTGGCACGATCTTGGCTCACTGCAACCTCCGCCTCCTCGGTTCAAGTGATTCTCCTGCCTCAGCATCCCGAGTAGCTGGGATTATAGACGCCTGCCACCAACCATGCCCAGCTAATTTTTTGTATTTTTAGTAGAGACGGGGTTTCACCGTGTTAGCCAGGCTGTGTCGAACTCCTGATCTCAGGTGACCCGCCCACCTTGGCCTCCCAAAATGCTGGGATTACAGGTGTGAGCCACCATGCCCGGCCGGTGGTGTTATTCTTAGGGCTTCTCTCCAGCACAACTCCTGGATAAAGCATCTCAACAGAGGAGCTGTCAGAAATGCTCCCACCACCACAAACACAAACCCGGAACTGCAGCTTTGGACTGAAAAATGACCAGCAACCACATTCTCACCTGATTTTACAAATGCCTCATCTCCTTTAACCTTCACAACAACCCAGGAAGTGGACAAAGGAGAAATTGTTACTATTCCCACTTTAAAGATGAGGACAGTTAGGTGAAGGGACTCTCGTGTGTCCTCAGGGGTGCCACTTCACACCTCCAAGCCTAGTTAAGTGGCCAACCCAGGATTCTAGCTCATATCTGCCTGGATTTTGTTCTCCGGGTTTTCCCTTGGTTTATTTCCCTTCAGTCTCTGGGGTACTGGCTGAACAGCCCCAGACAAGCCTTTGAACCTCTCCAACCTCAGTCTCTTCCTCTGAAATAGCTATCAAACAGCTGGCCCAGGATCCAAGATGTTCCTGACCCAAACTCTTCCTTCACAGACTCAGTCACTGTCACTCCAAGCTCTCCTCTAACCCTTTATCCTATTGCTGACCTCAGCCACTAACCCAGGGGTCAAGGAGTGTCTACACTCATTTAAGTCCATGCTTTACAGATGAGGCAACTGAGGTCCAAAGTTGGCCACATACCCAAGGTTGCCTTTCAGTGCCCAGTCTTGCACCTGGGCAGTAGCTGCGTGGGGCTGCCCCTCTGGGGAAACCCCTAGTGGGCCCTGGCTGACCTGGAGGTTGCTCCCTCTGCCCCTTTCTCTCTATGCTGGCCCCAGGGGCCACCCAACAGAGGCAGCACAGCTTGTTCCCCAGTTCCCCAGCCTCAAGATCCCAGAGCTCAGAGCTTTGCTCCAGCAGGGGTCAAACAGTTCCACAGGTAAGGGCTGAGCAATGTGGGCACCTCAGTACCCGTGGGGTGGAGGCTCCCACTCTTAGTTAGGTCTGGGCTTTGGAGTTGAACCTAAGTTCAAATCCCAGCTCGGCCACTTCCCAGCTTTGTGACTTTGGTCAAGTCTGTTCAGCTCCCTAAACTCCTGCAAAACAAAGATAATATTTCCCTCATGAGATTGTAAGGATTGAATGAGTTAATGCAGCGTATTAAAGGCTTAGAACAGAATGCTGTGCATAGTAAGTGCTTAACAGGCAGTGGCTGTAATTATGATTAGAGAACACGGGCCAAGAACAGGACTTGTGGGCCCGTCATACTCAGCCTTCATCTTGCTCCATCCTATCCCCTCACGTGGAGTGAGAGTAGGGGGTAGACTAAGTCCCAAACTAGGTCCCGAGGCTATAGTAATAGGCGCTGGAAGACCCGTAGAGACTTTAGACTTATCTCCCCTACTCATTTCACAGAAAGGGAAACTGAAACCCAGGGAGCAAAGTGACTAGCCTGCAGACTATAAAGGAGTGGAATCCCACCCCCTTTAATAAATATCAGAATCAGCCAGGCACGGTGGCTCACGCCTGTAATCCCAGCACTTTGGGAGGCCGAGGTGGGCAGATCACCTGAGGTCAGGAGTTCGAGACCACCCTGGCCAACATGGCAAAATCCTATCTCTACTAAAAATAAAAAAATTAGCCAGGCATGGTGGCAGGAGCCTGTAATCCCAGTTACTCAGGAGGCTAAGGCAAGAGAATCGCTTGAATCCAGGAGGTGAAGGTTGCAGTGAGCTGAGATCATGCCACTGCACTCCAGCCTGGGCAACAGAGTGAGACTCTGTCTCAAAAAAACAAAATAAAATAAAATAAAATAAAAATAAAAATAAAAATAAAATAAAATATCAGAATCTAAGGCCCTGGGAAAATTCTGAACTCCCCTATCCCCAGGAACTGTCATACAGGCCCATTCTGCAAACCCCTAACAAATCTCAGGACACCATAACTCTGTGGTGAGCCCTCTGTGAGTATCCTGTTCAGGTCTGTGGCTGGCAGACCTGTATATGGTGCACAGTACGTGCTCAAGAAAGGCTTAGAGAATAACCGAATGAAGCTCGGTTTGGTTCCACACCTGGGCTCAGGATTCCTCTCCAGGAGTCCCTCCTTGCACCTCCCCTCCTCACTCCCACCACCCCAGCCTCTGTCTCACCCTGCAGCCTAGGTTCCATCAGCTGGGCCCAGCCCCAGCCAACAGAGGTCTGGACCTCCATGGGGCCTGCACAGCGTCAGCATCTTCCTAGCCAGATGGATGTTCCTGCCCAGCACGGCCAGCCAGTCTCCTGGCCATGGTCCATTCTGCAGAGAGGGTGCTGGTCCTGCCCTGACAGGGCTCTACCCGCACTCGTCTGGGGAGTAAGGCGGCCTGGGTGGGAGCTTCTGTTGGCACCTGGAGCCTACAGGAGGGAGGCCAGCCCTGGTCTAGGAGGGATGGGCCAATCAGGAGACAGCCAGTGTGGCCTCAATGAGTATCACCCATACACCCAGGCACTCCACCCATGCCCCATGTTGCTGAGACCTGGCAGGTGTTGCCTGGCTCTCCTATACATACAGCGGAAACCTCAGGACTTCCCCACTCCATTCCCTTCTTAAAACACACTACTGGCCTGCTATCAGACCAGCTACCGTTCTGGTCTGCATACACATTGCCTATTTGATGCTGCTTATGCCTGCAAGGTCCGGATTATTGACAAAGTACAAGCCTGGGACTCAGAGAGGTGAAGTGACTCATGCAGGATCACACAGCAGGAAAGTGGAAGGGTCAGGATTCAACCCAGTTCTGCTGTGTGCAGAGCCTACTGGGCACTGGATGTCCCCTTTCATCCCTCCCTCTGCTCCCTTCAGCTTCTGGCTCCCTTTCTTCTCAAGCCTCCTACCTCCTTGCGCAAAGTTTCTCCTGGCTTAGAATTAATAATTCCCGGCCTGGCGCGGTGGCTCACGCCTGTAATCCCAGCACTTTGGGAGGCCGAGGTGGGTGGATCACGAGGTCAGGAGATCGAGACCATCCTGGCTAACACGGTGAATCCCCGTCTCTACTAAAAATACAAAAAATTAGCCGGGCGCGGTGGCGGGCGCCTGTAATCCCAGCTACTCGGGAGGCTGAGGCAGGAGAATGGCGTGAATCCGGGAGGCGGAGCTTGCAGTGGGCCGAGATCGCGACACTGCACTCTAGCCTGGGCGACAGAGCGAGACTCCGTCTCAAAAGAAAAAAAAGAAGAAATAATAATTCCCACCTCACACCTGCTTTAACGCCTTATTTACAGTGATTTCCGAAGTGTCTGTCTGACACCCCGGAGAGCCTTCAAGGCAGGGAGTGTTCCCAGTAGGTGCTCCTTAGACTTGCGGGTCTGTCATTCTATCTCCACCCTCCTCCCCAACATGCAGAAGTCCCTTGAGCCTCCTCCTGCAGATCCCTTCCCCACCCAGCCTCCTGCCAAGACCATCCTCCAGGCCTGAAACTGGGTGGAGGTAGGGAGCTTGCTGAAGCTCCGGGGCGCGTGCCAGGGCTCTGGCCCCTCCCCAGCCCCTCCCGCTCCCCTTCAATAGCTGAGGACCTGACCCTGACGAGACACTAGGCAGCTCTCACAGGGACTCCCAGTTGCCCTAAGCCCAGCCCCAGCCAGGTTCTGTCCAAGCCTCCTCCTTCTGGAGGAAAGGGCTCCAGAGGCGGAGAAGGGGTCGTCCGTTCCCGGACCCAGGAGCTAAGGGTCCTAGAATCATCTTCCCCAACCCTCCTCTCTCCTCCCCACTCCTGGAGCGAGCTCGGGCTCGGGTTGGTCTGGACAGGTCCCTGCCTCCAACTAGCTGGAGAGGAGGGGTCCTGTCCCACCCTGAAGAGGTGGGGCCTGCCGGGAAGTGTAGGTGAGGGCGAGACAATTCTTGAGGAAAGACAGAGGACAGAGACAGGAAAAGACAGCAAAACAGAGACGACAGATGAGAGATACAGGGAACCCAGAGATGAGAGGGAACCTGAGCCTGAACCGGACAGAGAGACCCGGGAGACCCAGACAGAGGGAAGTCCCCTAGACCAAGCCTGGCAGGGAGGGTGTGGGGCTGGCGCGACGGCCGGGGGGGCCACCCTGGCGGGCACAGCCGGCGCCCCAGCTGGCGGGTCGGTTCCTGGGTCCGGAAACTCAAAGTCAGTTACGTAAGGGCCGGAGCGGGGCGCGGGGCTCCAGGCCCCGGAGCCCCCTCCCGCTGCTAGCCGCCAGCCCGCTCCAGCGCTGCTGCGGGCCCGGCAGGAGCATGCGGGGCCGGGCAAGGCGGGGCTAGGGGGCGGCCGGGGGCTGCGCCGACCTGCAGGGACTCTCCCGCGGACACCGAATGCAGGACCCCCGCCCCAGACAGCCAGGACCGGCCGGACCCGGACGTGTCTAGCTCCGGATCCGAGCTCCCGGACCCCCTCTCCAGACTCCCACGCCCCTCCCTGCACCCTGAACTTTAAGATGCCCAGACTCCTTTGGACCCCAAGTTCGGATTCTGGAATTCGGGACCGCTGGACCCCTCAGCCCTGGACCCTTCGACCCTGGTCTCGCCTCTCCCGGGACGGTCCGAGCCCTTGGGGGTAGGTTCTTCTGTCCCTAACCCCGTCCCTCCCGGGGACCGAGGGTCGCCCCCCAGGTGGTCCAGGCTCACCTGGGCTGGGTGCGGCGGGGACCGGGCCGACCGCGTTCTGGCTCCGCGCCGCTCTCGCCCTTTAAGAGGTTCCTGCCACTTTGCCCCGCCGGGGCCTCCACCTGCACTGACAGGGCAACTCCATCGTGAGGCCCCGCCCCGCCCGCTAGGCCCTCTGATTGGCGCAGGCAACTGCCGATCAGCGGGGCGGGGAGGGGGAGGCCCGGGCAGAGGAGTGCGAGAGTCGCAGTTGGGAAGGGGCGGGGGCTGCAGGTGTAGCCTCGTCCGGCGGGGACACTGAGCCGGGGGCTGCTTTGATAGACCCCAGAGGTCAGGGGAGGGAAGGGCAGGGAGTTCCTGGATTGACTGGTGTGACGTCATATGACAAAAGTGTGAAGCAATTTGACACGTGGTACTGCTCCTAAGGTTACTAGGTAGAGGGGTTGGTCAGAGGGGATCTAGGGAAGTGACCCTGAGGAGACTCACCTGGATCGCCTGTCCTACCACTTCGTCCGGCGTGACCCTGAACAAGTCACTTCTCTGGATCTGAATTTCGTCAACCATAAATCTTACAATGTTTTCCTGAGAATTAGCGATGTAAGTTAAATGTCAAGCATAGGTCTGGTACACAGTAGGCGTTCCGTAAAAGCGAGTTCTGGATCCTGTCGTGCCCGCCTTGCCACTCTTCTCAGTGACTTTTCCCCTCCTGATGGTCCACTCCATCAACGCTTCCATGGTCACTGGCCGAAGTCTCATCCCCTCCCTCCCATTTCAGGCCTGAGCTGGCTTACATATGCCCATGTCAGGAAGCTCACCACCCGGCAGAATGGCCTCTTTCATTTTAAAACTAACCCTGACACTTCAAAAGCTCTTCGTCACAGAATCATAGGATCATAGAATATTCCAGGCCAGAGCACCGTGGAAAACTAACCCTTTCTTTGGACAAATATGGCAAACTGAGGCTCGCTGAGGACAAAGCCTTCCTCTGAATGTAGTGATCTTCCTACTAAATGGGGTAACTAGACTTCCTGTGTTCCAATCCCCAACGCTGCCACTTCCTAATTGAGTTACTTTGGGTGAGCTACTAACTCTCTCCAAGCCAGTTTCCTCCTCTGCAAAGTGGGGTTAATGAAAGTATTTTCCTCAAGGGTTGTGGCAAGAATTGAATGAAAGAATCCATGTCAAGTGCTAAGAACAGTGCCAGTCCCAGGGTAAGCATGCAATAAGCATTAGCATTTATTATAATTATTGATGTTATTGTTATATTGATACATAACTGAATTAAAAGTCATACATTGACTGACTCTCCCCCCCTCCAAATTCACTGAGGACTTCTCTGAATCAGGTCCTGTTTGAGGCTTCAGGGCCCTGGTTCCTGCCTTCAAGGAGCCCATAATCTAGCAGAGGAGGGTCAGACTGAGCCCTTTGACTGGGGAGATGTTTTCTGATGGAGGGAGGTGGGCTTCAAGGGACTAGAGAAGTGTTGGATCCTTCGACCAGAAATCAGGACACTTGAGACCCTTTCAGTCTCTATCCCTGTGAATCCCCTGGGGAAGCCTGGTGCGCGAGCACACACACGTGCGCACACACACACATAGACAACCAGGCTCCCAAGCACATTGATGTACCTTTCACTTGCCTATATCACACCTGCCCACCAGACAGTATTGCCCAGGGGTTACGAGGTAGGGATTTGGAGGCAGGTGAGTCTGGGTTTTGGGCTTTGGGGCAAGGCACCCGCCCCCCACCCTGGGGTAAAATGAGATTAATAATAGTGCTAACTTTATATAGAGCTGTTGTGATGGTTAAATGGGAGTATGTGAAAATATATTTGCAAATAGTAATTAATCTAGTAGTATTTTTTAATTCCTCTCACGTGTACTCTTGCACCCAGGAGAGTGCAGGCTGTGAAATTTTTGATTTGGCCTCTGCAAACAGTGGCTCCTCCCCCAACCCCATCCCCACCCCTGACTCAATCAAAGGGCTAGGGAGAGGAAAACCCCAGCAGTCAGGTGGATGGGGTGATTCTAAAGAGCTGCTGTGGGCCCTGCCCCCTCCCTGCTGGGGCAGCCACGTGGCTCTAGCTCTGTTGGGCTGAGCTGCCTGTGGGTGACTCAGCAGTGCCAGTGCCTGCCCCAGCCTGATAAGAGTGTGTGTGTGTGTGTGTGTGTGTGTGTGTGTGTGTGTGTGTGTGTGTGTTGGCCAGGGAGGGCTCTGCGTTTCTGAATTTGTGCGTGGGGAGTGCATTTGGGAATATGCTTGTGATCCTGTATCTCCTGTTTCTGTGCATTTGTGTATGTGTATGTGTAGGGGGGTGTGTTTTGGTGCCTGTGAGGGTGTGCCCCTGTTTGTGAGTTTATATAGAGGGTGTGAATCTGTGTCTGTCTGTGTCCTATAAACAGGTTGTCCCCTGGGCCTCAGGCCCTGGGACCTAGAGAGCTCTGCCCTGTCCCACAGCCCCTCCACCCAGGCACCTGTGTGTGTGTTTCTCGTTGAGGTGACTTGTGCACTTGTGTGGGTGAAGGCCTTGTGTGGCTTTGTCAGTCACTGAAGCGGGAAAGCTGTCACTCCCTGGACTGCAGGCCCCCTGCCCCATGGCCTCTGCCAGTGACATCATAATCTTCGCCTCCATCCCCAGACTGCAGGGAGCACTTTGCTACCTGAGATGCCCCCGTCAGCAGTGACCTCTTGAAGAAGCCACTCACATTTAGCGATCCTGGTTCTTTTACAGGCATTTGCTCATTTTATCTTATTGAATCCTAACAGCCAAAAATGTTCTAAAGAGCTTCTGAGGCTCAGAGAGCTAAAGTGGCAACCCAAGGTCATACCACTCTTTTTTTTTTTTTTTTTTGAGACGGAGTCCTGCTCTGTCGCCCAGGCTGGAGTGCAGTGGCGTGATCTCAGCTCACTGCAACCTCTGCCTCCCAGGTTCAAGCAATTCTCTTGCCTCAGCCTCCCTAGTAGCTGGGATTACAGGCACAGACCACCATGCCCAGCTAATTTTTTTTTGTATTTTTAGTAGAGACGGGGTAAGTAATAGAGGGTGTGAAGGTGACAGGCAGGGGGCAGCTTTCCTCCCTTGGCTGAGCATTCAGTTCCCCGGAGCCTGTGGGGCGCTGATAAGCTTGGGGGGTGGAGGAAGGAACCTGTTTGTGTCTCCCCCCGCTCCTCTGAGAAGGCCTGGACCTCCAGGAATTCCTTATCCTGTCAGAGCCTGGGCACTCCCACCAGCTTCAGATGGGCTTGAGGTGGGTGATAAAGAAGGCAAGGAACAGACAGGTTGGGGGCGGGGAAGTGCACACGTGGGAGCCTCTGTTCCTTCAGCAGCGCTTCATTGAGCGAATTATTAAAAGTTGAGACTGACAAAGGGGCAGAGAGTCACAAGACCAGGCCACAAGAAATGGTAGAGAGGGAGAGGACTTTCAGGCCCAAGGCAGCCGGTGTGGCCGTTTCGGGTTTGAATCCTGTCTCCACCATTTACGGGGCTTATGACTTCCTCCTAGCCTGTCTCCTCATCAGTCAAAGGAGTTAATGGCTCTCACCCTGCTGCTTTTCCCAGGACCATGATACTAGAAGGGAAAGGCATTTGCAAAGTGTGGATAATGGATGTTCCTGCTGTTACTCACGGCTTCCTATGAGGAAGACCCTAAAGCAATTGTATGCCCAGAGCCCAGAGGGGAAAATGACTCCATCTGAGGGAGTAAGGAAGACTGCCTGGAGGAGGTGACCTCCCAGCTGGACATTAAGGACTAATTTACTACATGGAAATGAGAGAGGGCATTCCAGGTGGAGGAACAGCCTGCACAAAGGCTTAGAGGTAGGATAGTGAAGGTGTACTCTGGGAACAGAAAATGGTCTGGGATAGTTGAAGGACAGGGTGAATCATGAGACCAAATTGTGGAAGGCTTCAAATGCTGGGTTAAGACACAGGGGAAGAGACATTTGGGGATGGTCAGTGAGTCTTTGAGATAGAGGGGACTAGGGTGTGGCAGTCATTTAGGGGTGGGTAAGGGGACAGTGAAAATCGGTAGGCAGTGGGTCAGCAACCCTTCTCCAGGAGAATGCATTTGAAATTTGGGGCCAGGCACAGTGGCTTACGCCTATAATCCCAGCACTTTGGGAGGCTGAGGCAGGCGGATCACATGAGGTCAGGAGTTCGAGATCAGCCTGGCCAACCATGGTGATACCCTGTCTCTACTGAAAATAGAAAAAAATTAGCCAGACATGGTGGCGGGCGCCTGTAATCCCAGCTACTCAAGAGGCTGAGGCAGGAGAATCACTTGAACCTGGGAGGCAGAGGTTGCAGTGAGCCGAGATTCTACCACTGCACTCCAGCCTGGGCAACAGAGTGAGACTCTGTCTCAAAAAAAAAAAAAAAAAGAAAAGAAAAGAAAAGAAAAAAGATAAGAAAATTGGGGAAAATCCTCAGGAAGACATTGAGGTGGGGATGAAGTTGCAGAGCCCTTCCAAGGGAGAGATCGGGGTTGGTAGGGATGGAGAAAAAGCCAAGTCAGACACTGCAGCCCAGGGAGGGGCCCATGTATGGGCACAGAGGATGCCAACAAATGAACACTGAAGAGCCCTGAAAGGCCCCACTGCCTAGGAGTTCCTCGGCTTTGCCACAGCGTGGGGCAGGGGCCAATCCTATCAGGAGAACCCCTTCCCAGGGGAGGTGACATCTCCGGAAGGCCTTGTTGAAACAGCAATGGCTGTCAATGATTGTTGGTGTATTATATACGTGCCGGGTGCTTCACTGACCTGTTTTCACAAGATAGCCCTATTTTATGGATGAGTTCAATGAGGCAGAGGGCGGTGAGGTGATCTGCTCACTATCACACAGCCAGAACATGACAAGGCCAGGACTTGAAGGCGATACTCGCTGTTTGCAGGGAGGGGCAGGAGAGAGCTGATGGAGGTGTTTGGGGAGAGCTGAGATTCTGGCTATGTGGGACTCTGAAAACTGGAATGAGCAGTTGCCAGGGTGAGGGAAAGACGGTGTCTGCTGCCCCCTCGAGGTCATGGAGCAGTTGGGGCGGAAGTGCAAAGCTGAGCCTTCCAGGCTGCCAGAGGCTGAGTTCCTGGGAAAGGCGGGTGACTTTGCGTGCACAGGTGTGCACTCAAGGCAGGAGGTGATATGAAAGGGGAGCTTTCAAGTGGGCTATCCTGGATTGCAACCTCACAGCTTGCCACAACTTGCTGTGAAACCCTAAGTCCCTTATGTTTCCTCTTCATTTTTTCTTCTCTGGGGACTTTGAAAGGAATAAGAGAGATCATCAGTGGCCAGGCGAGGTGGCTCACACCTGTTAGCCCAGCACTTTGGGAAGCGAGGCAGGAGGATCACTTGAAACCAGCCTGGCAACACGGTGAGACCCTGTCTCTAAAAAAAGATGAAAATATGCTGGCCTGAAAGTAGTGAATTATCTCAATTGATTATTCACCATCAGTTACAGATCAAACTCTTTGTTCTATTCTTTCCCTCCTCACTACTGCACTTGACTAGTCTTTTAAAAATTAATAAATAAAATTTAATTTAAAAAATAGGCGAGGAGCACTGACTTATACCTGTAATCACAACAATTTAGGAGACCAAGGCAGGGTGATTGCTTCAGCCCAAGAGTTCACAACCACCCTGGGCAACGTGACGAAACCCCATCTCTACAAAAAAAATACGAAAAATTAGCCAGATGTGGTGGCATGCGCCTATAGTCCCAACTACTCAGGAAGCTAAAATGGGAGGATCGCTTGAGCCCATGAGGTCTAGGCTATAGTAAGCTGTGATTGTGCCACTGCACTCCAGCCTGGGCAACAGAGCAGGACCCTGTCTCAAAAATAAATACAAATTTTAAAAATAAAAGAGATTATCTTACATCCTATGAAGTCCTTTCACAGCCTTTATTCTCTCTTTGCAGTTGGGAAAACCGAAGACCCAACGGGCAGATCCAGGATTGTGGGGCCTGAAGCTTGTCTGAGGTGGGGGGTCTTCCTAGATAAAGAATGCGAAGTTAAGAATACAGGCCGGGCACGGTGGCTCATGCCTGTAATCTCAGCACTTTGGGAGGCCGAGGCAGGTGGATCACCTGAGGTCAGGAGTTCAAGACCAGCCTGACCAACATGGTGAAACCCCATCTCAACTAAAAATACAAAAATTAGCTGGGCATGGTGGCGCGCACCTGTAATCCCAGCTACTCAGGAGGCTGAGGCAGGAGAATCGCTTGAACCCAGGAGGTGGAGGTTGCAGTGAGCCGAGATCACACCACTGCACTCTAGTCTGGGCGACTGAGCAAGACTCCATCTCAAAAAAAAAAAAAAAGTTAAGAATACAGAAGGCGGCTGAGTGTGGTGGTTCACGCCTGTAATCCCAGCACTTTAAGAGGCTGAGGCTGGTGGATCACTTGAGGTCAGGAGTTCGAGGGCAGCTTGACCAACATGGTTAAACCCCGTCTGTACTAAAAATACAAAAATTAGCCATGTATGGTGGCGGATGCCTGTAATCCCAGCTACTCAGGAGGCTGAGGTAGGGGAATCGCTTGAACCTGGGAGGCAGAGGTTGCAGTGAGCCGAGATTGTGCCACTGCACTCCAGCCTGGCGACAAAGTGAAACTCTTTTTTTTTTTTTGTATTTTTAGTAGAGACGGGGTTTCACCATGTTAGCCAGGATGGTCTCGATCTCCTGACCTCGTGATCCGCCCTCCTCGGCCTCCCAAAGTGCTGGGATTACAGGCTTGAGCCACCACGCCCTGCCGACCAGCCCTTTTCTAATTCACAGTCTGGTGGTCAAATAAGACATGGAAGGAGTCTTAAAATGTTTAGGGCCAAGAAGAACTTAGATATCAACTAGTCCAAGAGGTTATCAAACTCTTTTTTTTCTTTCTTTCTTTTTTCTTTTTTTGAAACAGGGTCTCACTCTGTCACCCAGGCTGGAGTGCAGTGGCACGATCATGGTTCACTGCAGCCTCAACCTCTCCAGTCTCCAGCAATCCTCCCATCTCAGCCTTCCGAGTAGCTGGACTACAGGCATGCACCACCATGCCTGGCCAATTTTTTTTGTATTTTGTAGAGACAGGGTTTCGCCATGTTGCTCAGACTGGTCTCGAACTCCTGGGCTTAAGCGCTCCTCATGCCTCAGTCTCCCAAAGTGTTGGGATCACAGGCATGAGCCACTGTGCCCAGCCTCAGACTCTTAATCATAGAAGCCCAATGTATGAAACAGAGGGAAGCAGGGCTGTTCTGAGTGAAGCAGTGGATGTGGGTGGGTAAGGTGGGGTTGGCCTCCCCTCTGTCTCCCCCTACACCCTCCATGTGGCTTCTTCCAGCTTCTCTAAGGAACTACGAGTTGGAAACACTGCCCTAGTTCAAGCTCTTTGCTTTAACCAGTGAGAAAACAGCAGACCGGCAAGGGTAAGAAACTGGACCAAGGTCACAGAACAAGGGAGTGGCTAAGGCTGGATTCAGACCCAGGTCCAACTGACTCCAAGTTTGAGGTTCTCTTTGCTCAACCTCAATACTGAAGAGTTGGGACAGAACCATCCCTCCCCACCACGACCCACCTCCCCCTGCTCATCCACTCAGCAGAGTTGGGATGGCGACAAGAAACTCAAACAGGTCCCAAAAGCCTGTAGGAGTGGGACAGCAAAGAAGGAGCCCATTTCGTGCCCCCACATTGGAATGAGGACAGGGATTGGACTTTTTTTCTTTTCCTTTTTTTTTTTTTGGAGACAGAGTCTCACTCCGCTGCCCAGGCTGGAGTGCAGTGGCGTGATCTCAGCTCACTGCAACCTCCGCCTCCTGGATTCAAGCAATTCTTCTACCTCAGCCTCCCGAGTAGCTGGGACTACAGGCGCACGCCACCACGCCTGGCTAATTTTTGTATTTTTAGTAGAGATGGGATTTCACCATGTTGGCCAGGCTGGTCTCGACCTCCTGACCTCGTGATCCGCCCACTTCGGCCTCCCAAAGTGCTGAGATTACAGGCATGAGCCACCGTGCCCAGCCTGGGACTGGACTTTTGTCTTTGTTCACTGCTTATCCTTAGTCTGAGTACAGAGCCCACCACATTGTGAACAATAAAATACTAGTTGAATGAATTAATTTAAAGCAGCAGCTCAGGGTAGGAGAAACTTCCCAGTGGTGGGGAAATTATCCCTCCAGGTTGACCTCATCCTGATCCCCTGATTCACACAGGTATTGAACGTGTGCCCCAGTGGGAGGTGTGGATACAAAGAGGTGCATGCATGTGCGTGCCTGTAATATGAATGTATGTGTGATGTGTATGTTAACAGATGCCAAGAATGAGTCTGTGAGAGAGGACAGAATGTATCCAGGCTGTGGAGGGTGTAGGGGTGGGTGATGTTTGGGTACACAGCTAAGCGTGCGCATGCATGGCCTCTGGGTCACAGGTGTATAGGTGTGGGCCTATTTGTATGTGTCTGTGAGGTGTGTGTGAACCAAATCTGGGCTGGGCTTCCTGCACGTCTTAGTAAAAATTCCCAGCTTCACTGCTTCTTCCTTCTCCTTCTCTTCAGAGCACTTTCCTGACTATCAGAAGAAGGCATTGTGAGACTTTGGGCCAGTCACTTCCCCTCTCTGAGCTCCCATCTCCCAATTTTTTGTTTGTTTGTTTTTGAGACAGGGTCTGACTCTGGCTGGAGTCCAGTGGTGAGATCATGGCTCACTGCAGCCGCAGTCTCCCAGGATCAAGTGATCCTCCCACCCCAGTCCCCTAAGTAGCTGGAACTACAGGCCTGTGCCACCATACCTGGCCAACTTTTAAATTTTCTGTAGAGACGGAGTCTCACTATGTTGACCAGACTGGTCTCAGCTCCTGGGCTCAAGTGATTGTCAGACCTCAACCTTCCAGTGTTGGGATTACAGGTGTGAGCCACAACACCCAGCCCAGCCCATTTCCTCTTTTTTTTTTTTTTTTTTTTTTTTTTTGAGATAGAGTCTCGCTTTGTCACCCAGGCTGGAATGCAGTGGTGCCATCTCGGCTCACTGCAACCTCTGCCTCCCGGGTTCAAGTGATTCTCCTGCCTCAGCCTCCCGAGTAGCTGGAATTACAGGCACCCACCACCACGCCCAGCTAATTTTTGTATTTTTAGTAGAGACGGGGTTTCACCATGTTGGCCAGGTTGGTCTCGAACTCCTGAACTCAGGCGATCCTCCTGCCTCAGCCTCCCAAAGTGCTGGGATTACAGGCGTGAGCCACTGCACCTGGCCCATCTCCTCATTTGTTAAACACACTCACTTTAAAGTGTTTTTTTGTTTGTTTGTTTGTGTGTGTGTGTTTTTTGAGACAGAGTTTTGCTCTGTCGCCCATGCTGGAGTGCAGTGGTGCGATCTCGGCTCACTGCAGCCTCCGCCTCCTAGGTTCAAGCGATTGTCCTGCCTCAGCCTCTTGAGTAGCTGGGACTACAGGCGCGCGCCACCACGCTCGGCTAATTTTTGTATTTTTAGTAGAGACAAGGTTTCACCATGTTGGCCAGGATGGTCTCGATCTCTTGACCTCGTGATCCACCCCGCTTCGGCCTCCCAAAGTGCTGTGATTACAGGCGTGAGCCACCCCGCCCGGCCTAAAGTGTTTTTAATTCATTTAATTGAAATAGCTATTAGAACTTTTCATGGCCAAGCACTGCATAAGGCACATGGATTGAGAAAACAAATATAACAGCTGTAAGGGACAGCAGTACCTGACATATAACGGACAGTTAGTCAATGATAATTCCCCACCCCACTCACCTCCCTTGTTCGTGTCCCTCTTTCAGGAACCAATTCCAATGCACAGCTTCCAGGGATGAGCAATGGAGGACAGAATGGAATAGAGCAGGAACTAAGCAAGGATGCTAATGCAAGATATAGCCGGTAGGTGGCAGCAGCGTCCGTGAAATGAGCCCGGTCTCGGGCAGCCTTGCCTAAATTTCTCCCAAGCCAAGCTGTTTGACTGTGTGCACGTGTATGAACACAGGTGTACGGATGTGCATGTGTATGGGTCAGGTGTATGGGTCACAGGTGTACAGATGGAGGCCTATTTGTATGTGGCTGTGAGGTGTGTGTGAACAGCTCCCCGCCGCCCCCACTCCCCAAAGCAGCAGCTCTTAAATTTTGGGTCTTGGAGCATCCAATGAAGATTTAGGATCCTGCAGTTAAGTACGAAGTTCGTATTCCATTTAAAAAGGCTCTGGAATCAGCTATGGACCCGTTGAACATTCTTCTGGGTAAGGAAATACACCCAAATGTATGTGTGTGTGTGTGTGTGTGCGGGTTCTTTTCAACTCAAACATATAAATAATTACTTTTTAAAATGTTGTGTCGGGCGCGGTGGCTCGCACCTGTAATTCCCACCATTTTGGCAGGCGGAGGCAGGCGGAACACTTGAGCCCAGGAGTTGGAGACCAGCCTGGGCAACATGGCAAAACTCTGTCTCTACCCAAAAATACAAAAATTAGCCGGGGATGGTGGCACTCACTTTTAGTTCCAGCTACTCGGGAAGCTGAGGTGGGGAGGATCACCTGAGCCTGGGAAGCAGATGGCACAGTGAGCCGAGATCGCGCCACTGCAATCCAGCCTGGAAGACAGAAGAGACCTTGTCTCAAAAAAAAAAAATTTTTTTTTATAAAAATGTATGGGTGATATGTGAACTTTCGTTACCTGTGTGTAATACTTACTGATCAAATCGGGTGTTTAGGGTGTCCGTCCCCTGTGTATAATACATTTTTGTTAAGTATAGTCACTCGACTCTATTATCAAACACTGAATTTATTCCTTCTTACTGTATGTTTGTACCCTTTAACCCAGTTCTCTTCATCCTCCCCTCTCCCCGCACTCGCCCTTCCCAGCCTCCGCTATCTATCTTCCTACTCCCTATCTTTAGCTCCCACATATAAGTGAGAACACGTGATATTTGTCTTTTTGTGCCTAGCTTATTTCTCCTTTTTTTTTTTTTTTTTTTTTAGTGCAGTGGCGACATCTCGGCTCACTGCAACTTCTGCCTCCCCCCAGGTTCAAGCGATTCTCCTGCCTCAGCCTCCCAAGTAGCTGGGACTACAGATGCGCGCCACCACACCCAGCTAATTTTTGTATTTTTAGAAGAGATGGGGTTTCACCATATTGGCCATGCTGGTCTCGAACTCCTGACCTCAGGTGATCCACCGAACTTGGCCTACCAAAGTGGTGGGATTACAGGTGTGAGCCACTGTGCCTGGCCTTGTGCCTGGCTTATTTATCTGAAGATAATCACCTCAACTTCCATCCATGTAGCTGCAAATAATGTGATTTCATTCTTTTTACGGCTAATATTCCATTGTGTATATATACCACATTTTCTTTATCCAGCCATCCATTGATGAACACAGGTAGATTCTGTGTCTTTGCTCCTGTGAATAGTGCTGCAATAAACATGAGAGTGCAGATATCGCTTTGATAAATTGCTTTCTTTTTCTTTGGGTAGATACCCAGTAGTGAGCTTGCTGGATCAAATGGTAGTTCTATTTTTCGTTTTTTGACAAATCTCTATACTGTTTTCTGTAGTGACTGTACTAGCTTATATTCCCAACAGTGTATAAGAGTTCCTTTTCTCCGGCTGGGTGTAGTGGCTCACGCCTGTAATCCCAGCACTTTGGGAGGCTGAGGCAGGTGGATCACCTGAGGTCAGGAGTTTGAGACCAGCCTGACCAACATTGTGAAAGCCCGTCTCTACAAAAAATACAAAAATTGTCTGGGTGTGGTGGCAGATGCCTGTAATCCCAGCTACTAGGGAGGCTGAGGCAGGAGAATCGCTTGGACCCAGGAGGCGGAGGTTGCAGTGAGCCGAGATTGCACCATTGCACTCCAGCCTGAGTGACACACCGAGAGTCTGTCTCGGAAAAAAAAGAGTTCCTTTTTTCCACATCCTCACCAACAACTGTTATTTTTTGCCTTTTTAATAATAGCCATTCTGACTGGGGTAAGATGATATGTCATTGTGGTTTTGACTTGCCTTTCTCTGATGACCAGTGATGTTGAGCATTTTTTTCATATATTTGTTGACCATTTGTATGTCTTCTTCTGCAAAATGTCTATTCATGTCCTTTGCTCCCTTTTTTTTTCTTTTCTTTTCTTTTCTTTTTTTTTTTTTTTTTTTGAGACAGAGTCTCGCTCTTGTCGCCCAGGCTGGAATGCAATGGCTCAATCTTGGCTCACTGCAACCACTGCCTCCCAGGTTCAAGCAATTCTCCTGCCTCAGCCTCCCCAGTAGCTGGGATTACAGGCACCCACCACCACCCCTGGCTAATTTTTGTATTTTTTAGTAGAGATGGGGTTTCACCATGTTGGGCAGGCTGGTCTTGAACTCCTGAGCTCAAGTGATCCACCTGTGTAGGCCTCCCAAAGTGCTGGGATTACAGACATGAGCCACTGTGCATAGCATATTTTTTTTTTTTTTTTTTTTGAGATGAAGTCTGGCTCTGTTGCCCAGGCTAGGAGTGCAGTGGTGCAATCTTGGCTCACTGCAACCTCCACCTCCTGGGTTCAAGAGATTCTCCTGCCTCAGTCTCCTGAGTAGCTGGGATTACAGGTGCGCGCCACTGCACCCAGCTAATTTTTTGTATTTTTAATAGAGACAGGGTTTCACCATGTTAGTCAGGCTGGTCTTAAACTCCTGGTAAACTCCTTAAACTCAGCTAATCCACCCGCCTCAGCTTCCCAAAGTACTAGGATTATAGGTGTGAGCCTATAAGGCACCCGGCCTTTTTTTTTTTTTTTTTTTAAATAGTTGAGGTCTCACTCTGTCACCAAGGCTGAAGCGCAGTGATATGATCTTACTCACTACAGCCTTGAACTCCTGGGCTCAAGGGATCCTCCTGCTTCAGCCTCCAAAGTAGTTGGGTCTACAAGCATGTGAGCCACCATGCCCAGCTAATCTTTACTCATTTTATTTATTTATTTATTTATTTATTTATTTATTTATTTATTTATTTATTTATTTTTGAGACGGAGTTTAGCTCTTGCTACCCAGGCTGGAGTGCAATAGTGTGATCTCAGCTCACCGCAACCTCCGCCTCCCAGTTTCAAGTGATTCTCCTGCTTCAGCCTCCGGAGTAGCTGGGATTATAGGCATGCGCCACCATGCCCGGCTAATTTTGTATTTTTAGTAGAGATGGGGTTTCTCCATGTTGGTCAGGATGATCTTGAACTCCTGACCTCAGGTGATCAGCCCGCCTTGGCCTCCTAAAGTGCTGGGATTACAGGTGTGAGTCACCGCGCCCGGCCAGGTTTCTCAGTTTCTATAATGAGCACATATTCCTTTGATACAGGACTAAGAAACCTCATAAATATCATTGAAGAAGAAACCTTAATGTTCTTTTCCACCAGTCTTTCCTTTTCCCTTAGGGAGGATGGGATTCCCATGTGTTTGGTGGTGCTGCGGGGTCCCCAGCAGTCTACAGAGAGAGAGAGAGAGAGAGAGAGAGAGAGAGAGAGAGAGAGAGCAGGCGGGTCTTGCTCAGGTGGGGCACCCTGACAGCAATTGTAGAAGATCCAGGCAGGGATCCAAGAGTGTAGCTAGAGCCAGCAGAGAATGCTTCCTGGGGGCAGAGGCAGTGGAGCTGACCTGGAAGGGTGATGAAGCTGGCACAAGACAGGAATCTGCTCTGCCTGCCCCCTCACTAAGAACTGCCTGCCCTGAGCTGGACTTCAGCAGTCCTCTTCCTGTAGTGGGTCCCCTTCCCCCTCAAGAGACTTTGAGGTTGCAGGCTGGGAAGTTGGAACTTAGGTTCCCAGGGTCCTCCATTAGAAAGGGGCCTGAGAGATCATCTGATTTTCCACACAAATAGGAACTATGGAAGGTTTAAGGCAGAGTGTGTTTTCCCCCATCAATAAGAATGTACCCTAGTTTCCATGCACAGGTGTGTCTCATTGAACCCTCAAGAGAGTCCTGGTAAATACACTGTTTTAATTATTATTGTTATCTTTTTCTTTTTTTTTTTTTGAGTTGGAGTTTTGCTCTGGTTGCCCAGACTGGAGTGCAATGGCGCGATCTTGGCTCACTGCAACCTCCGCCTCCCAGGTTCAAGCAATTCTCCTGCCTCAGCCTCCTGAGTAGCTGGGATTACAGGCATGCACCACCATGCCTGGCTAATTTTGTATTTTTTAGTAGAGACAGGGTTTCTCCATGTTGAGGCTGGTATCGAACTCCTCACCTCAGGTGATCCTCCCGCCTTGGCCTCCCAAAGTGCTGGGATTACAGGCGTGAGCCACCACGCCCGGCCCCTATCTTTTTCAAAAGAGGAAAGTGAGGCCCAAAGTGGTCATATGGATAAGGTTTTCCTCAGGGTATACACAAAGGTGAATAAAAAAATCTCTGGATAGGCGGGGCGCAGTGGCTCTCACCTGTAACCCAGCACTTTGGGAGGCCAAGGCAGGTGGATCACTTGAGGTCAGGAGTTCGAGACCAGCCTGGCCAACATGGTGAGACCCCAGTCTCTACTAAAAATACAAAAACTAGCCGGGCATGGTGGCGAGTGCCTGTAATCCCAGCTACTAGGGAGGTGGAGCAGGAGAATCTCTTGAACCCAACAGTTGGAGGTTGTGGTGAGATGAGATGGCGCCACTGCACTCCAGCCTGGACGACAGAGCAAGACTCCCTCTCAAAAAAAAAAAAATCTCTGTATACATTCACATCAACACCGAGATGCTCTCACTCATGCTGTGTGCTCACACACACATACACACACACATACACACACACTCTCTCTCTCTCTCACCTTCACAGCTGTCCTTCCCAGCTTTGGTGGGAGTTGGCTCTGACTAGATCTGTCAGGCCTCTGTGAAGTCTTCCTGACTGAGTCTCTCTCTATGAGCAGAGTGGGGCCAAGAAGCCACCCCAACTCCTACCCCCGGGCAGCCTGGTCGCCCTGGCCCTGCCCACACAGCCTGCCCTGAGGCATGCTGAGATCCCAGTCTGCATCAGGGCTGCCCATCTGCCTTGGTGCTCATCACCTTGACATGAACAGGCCCGAAGGTGAGTGGCCCTGGGTTGAGGACTTTGAAGGGAAGTTGCCCCAGGGCTGGGGGAGGCTCCAGGCTCTGGTGGCCTCCTAAGGATGGGTCACATGTGATGGGAAACAGATCTGGGTCAGGAAAGAATTGCCTTCCAGGGAGTTACTTATTAACCACAGGGGCCAGCGACTATTTGAGAACACTGAGGAGGCAGAAGTCTCCTGGGGAACGGGGTTCTAACTCCCACCCCAGGGCCAACTTGAATGCACACAAGGAGGTCTGGTGCTTCTATGGCCTGAAGGAAGGGTCACTGAGGGGCAGAGAGATGGGAGAGAGATTTAGTGGAGCCCCAAGAGGCATGTGGGGTGGGGAGGGCTCTGGAGAACAAGGGACTTAGATTAGGGGAGTGGCGGGGGGGAGGGCTGCAGGGAAGGGGAGGCGCCAGTTCAGAGGGTGGAAGGGGAATGGAGCACCGAGGCCTGGTTTGGTTCAGAGCTCGCTCTAGGAAATGCCTGCCTGTGTGTCTGTCTCTCCCATTAAACTAGAGCCTTTTTTTTTTTTTTTTTAGACAGTCTCATTTTGTCGCCCAGGCTGGAGTGCAATGGCGCAATCTCGGTTCACTGCAACCTCCGCCTCCCGGGTTCAAGCTATTCTCTGCCTTAGCCTCCTGAGTAGGCGGGATTACAAGCACCCACCACCATGCCCGGCTAATTTTTGTATTTTTAGTAGAGACGGGGTTTCACCATCTTGGCCAGGCTGGTCTTGAACTCCTGACCTCGTGATCCACCCGCCTCAGCCTCCCAAAGTGCTGGGATTACAGGCGTGAGCCACCACACCTGGTCCAAACTAGGGTTCTTAAGGACAACATTGCCTCTCCCTCTGAGACACATCCTCAGGGCAGAGCCAGACTTCCCCATAGGCTTATGTGATCCCCCAGACTGGGGGCCCCTTACAAGGGAACCTGGCAGAGGTAAGCAAACAAAACAGCCAGAGATGCAGACACCGAGAAGAGGGCTCACTTTATTGAGAAAACAGAAGGTTGAGTACTTGGTACCAAGATGGAGCCTGGGGTAGGCAAAAAGCCTGAAAACAAAGCTTTAAGCTTCCTTTTTTACATGCCCGCCTCCCTGCCCCTAATTGGGGCAGCTCCTATTACAGACCCCCAGGCATTCTTTTCCCTGTCTCTGGGCAAATGCCCAGTAGATTTTACCAACAGATGTCTGTTTCTGGGACCCAGGAACATGAGGGAAGTGTCTCAGTTCTTTTCCAGGATGGCAGAGCCTTCAGAACCATCAACTCCTACCCCTCCATCGTGCAGAGGCCCAGAGAGGGACAGAGACCTGCCCAACACCACAGCAATGAAGTGGACAATGAAGATTCAAAACCACATTTGCGGTCTCCTCATTCCGAGAGGAGATTCTAGATGAGCCCCGTTACAGGAGTGTATTTGCACCGGCACACGCCAAGGGACTCCATCCCCATGACGCAGATGGCCCGGGACCTTCTTCCTTTCCAGGCTGTCCCTTCCTCTTGGGTCCCTGAGAGGGCAGTCCTGGTGAGGGCAGGAGAGGACAGCTAAGGCTAAGGAGCTTGGGAAAAGATGTCCTCTTAAGAACTGCTTTCCAGCACATGTTGTCCCACCTTCTGAAATTCAAGGAGATGGTTAAAAGAGAAAAGCCTTTCTCCGGACCCACCTGCAGCATTAAGAACCATGGGTTGGGCTGGGCACGGTGGCTCATGCCTGTAATCCTAGCACTTTGGGAGGCCGAGGTGGGTGGATCAGTTGAGGTCAGGAGTTCGAGACCAGCCTGGCCAACACGGCGAAACCCCGTCTCTACTAAAAATACAAAATTAGCCGGGCACGTGCCTGTAATCCCAGCTACTCAGCAGGCTGAGGCAGGAGAATTGCTTGAACCCGGGCGGCGGAGGTTGCAGTGAGCCGAGATCTCGCCATTGCACTTCAGCCTGGGTGACAGAGTGAGACTCTGTCTTAAAAAAAAAAAAAGAAAGAAAGAAAGAAAAAAAAAAAGAAGCATGGGTTGGTGCAGGCATGGCCTAAAACATTAGATAATATGAAAAAAGCTGCATTTTATTGGGCACTTACTATGCACCAGGGACATTGTTCATTAGCTCAGTAGATAACTACTGTGTGTCCATTTGCATTTCCTGGGAACACTTTCATGACCAAAACAGACAAGGTCCTTCACTCATAGCCTCTTTCTGAATCTTCTCAACTTCTCATCAGCTAAGTGCTGTCATCCATGACTGAGAAATGGCTCAGAGTGAAATGACATGCCCAAGGTCACAAGGCAACAACATGGCAGTCAGTCAGAAAATTATCAAACAAGCAGGACTTCCAAGGCAAGGAAGAAATGGATGGGGAGAGGGATCTACCAAGGTTACAGCAGTTTTTTGAGCAGCTGGCACGTGCCTCTGCTGCCAACATGATGAGGTACAGAACCCAGCACAGGGAATGCTCAGCCTGTGACTGTGAGCTGGATGTGAGAGTCTCCTGAGGACCCTCGGTATACTCAGAGCATTTCCTCTCAGGGTGCAGGAAGAGGAAAGCAGAGGAAGTGGACTTGAAGGACCAAAGGTGGGATCCTAGCTGAGCCAATCACTGAGAAGCCATGTGGTCTTGGGCAAGTCATTCCCTTCTCTGAGCCTCAGTTTCCCCATCTGTAAAATGGAGGTAATGATACTATGCCTACCTCATCATCATGCTGTGAAGATTAAATGAGTTATGCCATGGAAGTGCTGTACATTACCCATTGATAATGTCTCAGTGGCCTCTCAATGAAATGGAGTGTGACAGAGTGCCACACTCTGAAACGGCTCATCCCCGGTGATGGTGCTGGGACTAGAACCCGGGCAACCTCGCAGTGCCATGCCCTACTGCATCACTACGTCCACCTCGAGGGCCCCCTCCAGCTCCTCTCTAAGCCCCATTTTGAATTCCCAAGCTGCCTGCAGCCTGAACCACACAGCCATCTGTCACCCAACTCTCAATATCTGCAAGCTCAGCGTGGGGCGGCCAGGTCCTGATTTGCTCCCGTCACTCCTCCCGGCTCCCAGAAATAAAGGAATAAATACATGATGAAAGAGAGGCATCTGTATGTGTTTTGTGTGTGAGTGCAGGGGCCAGGATCTGGGTGCCAGGGATGGGGGGTGGTCACTTCCTAGGGGCTTTGGGGCCGCTGGGGCCGGCTTCAGTCTGGATCTGCAGCAGGTGTTAGTGGGAGCTGGCAGCCAGTAGTCATGCCCTAGGTGAGGGATCTGCGGCTGACACAAAGAGAGGGCTGGCCTTTGGACAGAGACCCAGCAGGTGCCCAGCCTGGACTGTTGTTCTTCCAAGTCCTCTCAGGATGCTAGTGGGCCCTCTCCAACTTGAGGAGCATTTCTTTTTAATTTTTTTTTTTTTTCAGACAGAGTCTCGCTCTGTCGCCCAGGCTGGAGTACAGTGGCAAGATCTTGGCTCACTGTAACCTCTGCTTCCTGGGTTCAGGCGATTCTCCCGCCTCAGCCTCCTGAGTAGCTGGGATTACAGGTGCACGCCACCACGCCTGGCTAATTTTTGTGTTTTTAGTACAGACAGGGTTTCACCATGTTGGTCAGGCTGGTGTTGAACTCCTGACCTCATGATCCACCCGCCTTGGCCTCCCAAAGTGCTAGGATTACAGGCGTGAGCCACTGCACCCAGCCCTTGAGGAGCATTTCTAATTCCAAGCCCAGCAAGCCTCCTTAGAGCAGCTGCCTCTGGCACACGTGTAATTATCAGAGAATAAGCCTGTATCGAGGCCCCACTATGTGCCAGGCACTTTGGTGGCACTTTGCTTACCATATCTCTAGCTTTCAGAGAGTGCTCTCGTGGAGGTGAAGTGACTTGCCTAAGATCACACTGCTAGCACGTGGCCAAGAATTCGGCAAAGCTAGGACTCTTATTAAGTGAGGCTGATGATCGTATTAGAGATGGACCAATTCCCACATCTCAACTCTAGAAGGAAACTGAAGCTCAGAGAAGGCAAATCCCTTGTCTAGGTCACACAGCCAGTTAGCTTGAGAGCTGGGATTTGATCCAGGCTTGGGGGCTGCCTGGGCCATGTAAAAAACTAAATTGGAGAGCTCCCATCACCCTCCTGCCCTCCCTACTCGCATCCTCTCTTATGACACTTGACATTATCCATCACTCCCTCCTCCTGGGAACGCCCTCCTCCTCCAGTTTCCATGGTAGCACATTCTCTCCATCCTCCTCCTGCTTCTCTGGCAGCTTCTCACTCTCCATGGTGGCTCCTGGGCCAGGAAGCAAGGGGATCCCCAAGCTGGATCTCCAGTCTCTTCTCTCTCTCCATCACTAGCCCCGACAGCTCACCTACTCTTCCCTGTAGGTCTCTAGCTCTGACCCTGAACCCTGGCTCCACTTGTAAGCAGTGACTGCCACTTACCATGTACTTAGAGTTTACTTACGTTCTGGGCCTTATCCCTATACATACATTAAATCCTCACAACCACCCGTGAAGGAAGTCTACTCTACAGATGAGGAAACTGAGGCTCAGAGAGGGAAAACCAAGATCTGATTCCAGGCTTAACCACTACTTCTACTGCATCAAGACGAGGTATGAGAGCTGGGCACAGTGGCTCACACCTGTAAACCCAGTACTTTGGGAGGCCAAGGCAGGAGAATTGCTTGAGGACAGAAGTTCAAGACCAGTCTGGGCAACACAGAGACACTCTGGTCTCTATTGAAAAAAAAAAAAATTGGCCGGGCTTGGTGGCTCACGCCTGTAATCCCAGCACTTTGGGAAGCTGAGGCGGGCAGATCCCCTGAGGTCAGGAGTTCGAGACCAGTTTGGCCAAATGGTGAAACCCCGTCTCTACTAAAAATAAAAATATTAGCTGGGTTATGGTGGTGCACACCTGTAATCCCAGCTACTCAGGAGGCTGAGGCGGGAGGATGACTTGAACCCAGGAGGCGGAGGTTGCAATGAGCCGAGATGGTGCCACTGCACTCCAGCCTATGCGACAGAGGGAGACCCTGTCTCAGAAAAAAAAAAACCCAAACAAAATAAATGAATAAAAATAAAAATAAAATTGCTGGGCATGGTGTCACACACCCGTCGTCCCAGATTCTCAGGAGGCTGAGGTGGGAAGATCACTTGAGCCCAGGAGTTTGAGACTGCAGTGAGCTATGACTGCACCACTGCACTTGCACTCCAGACTGGGCAACAGAGCAAGACACTGGCTGAAAAAAAAAAAAAAAAGATGATGAAGAAGAAGAGATCTGAAACAGTAGGACATTTTGAAATCAGGGGCAAAAACTTCCCTCCCTCCTCCTGGAGGGAGATAAATGGAAATTTTGGGGGAAACAGACCTACTCTGCAGTTTTGAGAACCCTGTGACGATCTAGAATTACACTGTCAATTTAGAGCTTTAAAATGCACCATGCACAGTACATTCTGAAACGTGAAGATTTGGAGAGCTTCAGGAGGAACAAAAGTTCATGGAAAATTGCTCGTTTCCTTTAGATTTTTCCATTTGGTTTTAGGTCTTCAAAACCTCATTCTGGGGTTCCAGCTTCTAAGGCCTTTCTACTTCACTGATGCCTGGAATTAACTGGAAACATGGACCCTGGAATTCCAGGGACCCAAGTTCTGCCACTACGAACAGGCCCTGTGACTTAGGAGCAAGTAGCCTGACCTCTCTCAGCCTCAGCTCTCTTTGTCCTCAATGGGGATAACACTACTTCCTCACCAGGCTGTCCTGAGGATCAGGTGGGCTGATGCACACAAGACACCTGGCAGAGAGCCTGGCACACAGAAGAGCTTAGTTAAGCCCCATGCTCCAGCTGCACCCAACTTGTTGGGTTTGCCAAGCATTTAAACATCCCCATGCCTCCGCACACGCTATTTCCTCTTTTTGGTGGCCAACTCCTATTCATCCTTCAGGGTCCCCGACCCTTTTCCACCTCTTACAGAACTGCGACAAACATGTGTTTTAGTGAAAAGCTAGAAAAGGCACTTCCCTGTGACACCCTCCCTGGGGCTCCCTGTCACCGCACTCATCACACTGAGGTGCAATCATCTGTTGATGCTTTATCTCCCAACACTGGCTCAGGCTTTCTGAGGGCAGGGCCAAGGCTGACTCATTCCGAGTCCTGATGCCCAGAGTGCATGCTTGGCATGAAGTAGATTTCAATACAAGTTTGCACTACCTTAAACACACGTGGTCCGGACCCGGGCCCTGCTGACCTCAGGACAGATTTACATATCAGAAGGGGCAAAAAACAGCCAGATCTGTTACAGACACAGGAGATGGCAGTGAGTGGGCTTCAAGCAGCCTTGAAACAGGCCTATCCTGGGAGGGGACACAGGTCCTGCAGGGAGAGTAAACAGCCTGGCTCCAATGTCACCTCCTTCAGGAGTCTTCCCCAGTTCCTAGATTGTCCCTTTTTCTGCCATACCCCCAAAGCATTCACAGGAGGACCCCTGATGAGGAGAAGTGTCTCCTGCCATGCTGACGACCTCCCACCCTCAGACACAGGGGTCTCTGTGGTCACAAGGTAGTGAGAGTGATCTAGGTGGCTTGGGACCCCAGGTCACAATGGCTTGGCAGGCTGGATGTGAGTGCTGGGCATGGCCCCACATCTTTCCAGGACCCGGGGTAGCCATTTCCCAAAGGAGGCACATCCCCGGGTCTGGGGCTGCTGGGAGCCTCACCCTGAGAAGGGGGCTGTGCTTTGCCCTCTGAGAGCATCCCTTCCCCCTAATGTGCCCAAAGCCCCTCTTGGTGCCTAAGTCCCCAGCCCCCTGCATGCTATTCAGTCCCTGCTGGAGTGACAGCCTCCCAGCTTTTGTTCCAAAGACATGGCTGTCAAAGGGAAAAGAAGTATATTGTTTCTTTTTCTTTTTTCTTTTGTTTGAGACAAAGACGTCAATTTCTTTCCATCTGTCCCAAAAAAGGAAGAAAATTAAATTTGTTTTTACAAGGATGTCAGCACACTGCTTCAATAGGGAGTCAGGGGTGCATTACTGAGGCAGTGTTGGTGAGGGAGGGGACAGCAGCGGAGGGAGAGGAGATGAGGCACGGGGGAGGTACAGAGAACAAGGACAGACACTGATATTCTGGGAAGCAAAGATCCAGGAGTGCCTGAATAAAATGCCGAACCAATGAAAAGAAAAACTTCTACACCCAACTCCAGGTGGATATCACTCTCAGCAGCGTGAAGGGGACAGCTGGGCTGGAGCAGGTGGGGGACCTGGGGAGCCTGGGGGGAAAGGCAGAGGGGGACACACACTGATGCCGGCATTGCAGTTACAAAAGCTTCTCCCCCCAGTTCCTTCAAGGTCAGGTCCCCATATGGGCAGTTCCAGTTCACTGGAGTCATTGACACCAGACACATGGATGCAGCCAGATGTTGGGAGAATGGAAGAGGATTTCATCCAGGTTCTTATCAGGGCCCAGGACCCAGCACCAAGTGCGAACTGATGCTTCTCATACCCCGCCCCCCGCCCTCAAGAGTCCCAGGCACCACTTACCATCTACGGGATCTAAGTAGGTGGTCCTCTGTCCTCCAGTATCTGGGCCAGAGAAACTAGGGCCCTGGGGACTCACAGAAAGCATCCACCTTCCACTGGAAGACCTAACCTTGAAGCAGGAGCCCACCTCTTCCTCCACCCACCCACCACCACCCCTTGGCACGGAGGTCCACTCCGGGTCTGGGTTTTCGAACTGGTTTTGGAAGCCTTCTCCTTCCCAAGCCTCTGGGCCCCCATTAGTACTCAGTTCTGGGGACCCTACTCCAACCAAGGTCCTGTCTTATTACCCTATCCTGGAGTGGCTGCCCCCCGCTCTGCTGTCCTGTCCCAAGCCCCACTGTGGCCACCGATTCTGAGGGATTCCTGCCCATTCCAAGGAAATACATGCCTGTCAAAGAGATAAAAGGTATACTGTTTCTCTCTCTTCCTATCTCTTCTTCCCTCATTCTCCCTCTCTCTCCTTTTTGAGAGACAGAGTCTTACTCTGTCCCCCAGGCTGGAGTGCAGTGGCACCACCATAGCTCACTGCAGCTTCAAACTCCTGGGATCAAGTGATCCTCTCACCTTCCAAGGAGCTAGGCCTGCAGGTACACACCACCATGCCTGGCTAATTTTGTATTTTTTGTAGCGACAGGGTCTCCCATGTTGCCCAGACTAGTCTCGAACTCCTGGGCTCATGTCCATCCACCTGCCTCGGCCTCCCAAAGTGCTGGGATTACAGGCTTGAGCCACCACGCCTGGCCCCTCAGTCTTTTATATTCTATTTATAAAGGTGTCAAGTCGGACCTGGACCTCAGCGAGCCTTGCCCCTTGCTAGAACTCAGGGCTGGGACTGTATCCCGTATCCAAAGATGAGGCCACAGGCCCTTTGCACAGGCGCCCTATCTGGTGACCAAATCTTCAGCTGTAGCCACACCCAGCTGTCCTGTCTCTGGGTCTCCCCTCACAGGAGGCTCCTCCCTACTACACAGAGGCCCAGTCTTGCAGCTCAGTTTTCAAGCAACTGTCCCCACCACTGCCCTTTCTGGGTCCTGGGCCCGGACCCCCAACTCCGAAAGTCCGGCTCCAAGTTAGAAACCGAAGCTGTCTCAAGGTTGAAGCCCCGCCTTCCTGGAGATGCCCTGTTTAAGGACTCAGTTGTAGAGCCACAGGTCCCGCTCCTCTCCTGGAGTCACTGGCTTTCCCGCCCCACCTAGAGCCGTGGACGGGGCACCCAGACCAGAGGCACTGCGCCATTGATCTGTCCTCTGCCTCGCCCCAAACCAGAGGCCCACCCCATGCCCATCTAGCGGCCCGGTCCCGTCTCCGAAACAGAGGCCCCATCTGGCGGTCCCAAGCCTCCGACCTTCTACTGCCCCACTCCACATCATGGCTCGCGCCTCCCACTGGGACTCATGTGGCCTCCGGGTCACTAGGGAGGGGCGCTCTGGGGGCCGGATGGCCTGGTCAGGCGGCAGCGCCACCGCCGGGACCATCGGACGGGGTGCAGGCGGTGACACGCTCGCGGGCCGTGGCTTCGCGGGCGCGGCTGAAGCTGCTGGGGTCTGGGCGGCCGCAGGGCTTGCGGCAGAGCTGGCGGAAGCAGCGCTTGAAGTTCTCGTCGAGGAAAGCGTAGAGCACGGGGTTGAGGCTGCTATTGGCGTAGCCCAGCGCGATGCACAGGTGCAGCGCAGCCACCACCAGCGGGTCGCGCCGGTCGATGTCCACCAGCGTCCAGACGATGACGAAGATGTGGATGGGCGCCCAACACACCACGAAGGCGCCCACAACCACCAGCACCATGCGCGTGATGCGCCGCAGGCTGCGGTCCTTCTCCTTGGAGCCCGACAGCAGGCGCACACTGCGCAGGCGCAGCAGCATGAGGCCATAGCACACGGTGATGATGAGGATGGGCACCACGAAGGCGAAGAGGAACACGCAGATCTTGGTCACCGTGTCCCAGTACCAGCTGGGGCTGGGGAACTGGAGCATGCACACCACTGCCCCGTCTGGGCCGCGGAAACAAGGAAAGACAGACGGGGTGAGGGGCCTGTGTGCCTAAGGGGCCCCCACCTGCTTGCCCACCCTTTCAAGGCTTGGGCAAGTCCCACCACCTCCTCCCAGCCTTTGTTCAAGGGGATTCTTCTGTCTGGAGTGTCCTCCTCGGCTTCGGTACTTGGTGAACTCTTAGTTATCCGTAAAGACCTAGCAGGATTGGCCCTCATCAGGGAGGTCCCCTATGTTCTCTCCTGGCCCCTTTTCAGCCTTTGTGTCCATGGGTGGCCGTAATGAAATCGTTTAGCTCAGCCCACTGAATGCCAGTCATTGCAGTAACTCAAAGCACCTTGACCCATTTCCAAACTAGCTCCATTGGGGACAGGACTGCTAAGACAGACAACATGAGCTAGGAGCAGGACTCAGGCCCTACTACATAGTGTAAGGAAATTACTAAACCTCTTGGAGCTTCAGTGGAGTGGGGCTAATGACAGTACCCACATCTCCAGGATTGTCGTAAGGATTAAATAGGCTAAGGCGGACAGGTGCGGTAGTTCACGCCTGTAATCCCAGCACTTTGGGAGGCCGAGGAGGGCAGATCATGAGGTCAGGAAATCGAGACCCTCCTGGCTAACACGGTAAAACCCCATCTCTACTAAAAAAAAAATACAAAAAAATTAGCCGGGCATGGTGGTAGGTGCCCATAGTCCCAGCTCCTCGGGAGGCTGAGGCAGGAGAATGGTGTGAACCCAGGAGGTGGAGTTTGCAGTGAGCCGAGATCGTGCCACTGGACTCCAGCCTGGGCGACAGAGCGAGACTCCGTCTCAAAAAAAAAAAAAAAAGAAAAGAAAAGAAAAGGCTAAGGTACCTAAAGCATTTAGCATAGTGGGGTTCAAGCTCTTGGCGTACCCACAGGGAAAGAGGGGCATATATGTGGGGGAGTCCAGGACTCAAGGATAGGGTCAGGCTCCCTAGAGGGAAGCAGGTCTCAGCTTAATCACAAGAACCTCCTGGCCAGGCATGGGGCTCATGCCTGTAATCCCAGCACTTTGGGAGGCTGAGGCAGGTGGACTGCTTGAGTCCAGGAGCTGGAGACCAGCCTGGGCAACATGGCAAAACCCCATCTCTACAAAAAAAACAAACATTAGCTGGGTATGGTGGTGCATATCTGCAGTCCCAGCTACTTGGGGGGCTGAGGTGGGAGGATCGCTTAAGCCCTGGAGGTTGAGGCTGCAGTAAGCTGGGATAGTGCCGCTGCACTCCAGCCTGGGTGACAGAGCGAGACCCTGTCTCAAAACAACAACAAAAACAAAACAAAACTTCCTTCCTTCTGGGAGGAAAGCAGACTTCAGCTTAACTCAAGGACTTCCTTCTTGAGATAGGAAGGGTGCCTAGGATGAAATGAGCTCCCCATTCCTGGAGTGTGGGCTTGGGCTGGATGAACACCTTAGGGGGTGTTGTGGGATTCTGATACAGCCTTGAGGCTGGCCCAGGGGACTCCCAGGATCTCTTGGAATGCTAGGATTTAAGAAGCCACACGATGGACTTGAGGCTAAGAAGTGAGAAGGGGCTGGGGATCCACAGACAGAGTGGGTCCACAGGACATCAGGCTGGCAGGACCCCTAGAAGTAACTGAATCCAAGACCTTCATTGTATAGGAACCAGAACAGCACTTGTTTAAGGTCACACAGCAAGTGGCCCACAGGTTCAATAAGTGCTGATGGCACACACTGGGAAAGTGTGTGTGTGAGGGATTGTGGAGTGAGGAGGCCCATCTGGTCCAGCCCCAGGAGGGATGCAGTTAATGGCCCGTAAGCTGAAGGCTGACAGTGAGGAATGGGGCTCTGCTGTGAGTCAAGGCCAATGGCTCACAGGCTATAAAAGGGCACCAGGGACTCTGCCCTTGTGAGGGTCAAAGGTAACCAAGAAGCTTGTTCTCTCCCACCCACAGCATCAACCCTCTGCAAACTTCCACAAAAGGGACTAGAAGGAGTAACAGACCTGGGGGCAGGAACCCTAGGTTGCAGGCCAAATTCCACAAAATGCCTGGCTGTGTGACCCTAAGTAAACCACCTGACCTCTCTGATTCTGTTTCCCTACAGTCAAATGGAGGTAGGAGTCCCTGCCTTGTCTATCTCACAGGCTTAATCATTTAATAGCTATTATTCATTGGGCCTTGGCGATGAGCCAGGACTTGTCCTAAGTATTCTACACATATTATCTCTTTTAACCTTCTCAACATCTCATGATATAGTGTGACTCAGAGAGGTTAATTAGTTACTATGTCTGTGGAGCCCTTCTAAACAATATTTCTCACTTCCTTGCATTAAGGTGGGGCCATGTGACCAGCTGTCACTAGAAGAAATGGGCCATAAATTTTTTTTTTTTTTTTTAGACAAGTCCCATTCTGTCGCCCAAGCTGGAGTGCAGTGGCATGATCTCAGCTCACTGCAACTTCCGCCTCCCAGGTTCAAGTGATTCTCCTGCCTCAGCCTCCCAAGTAGCTGGGACTACAGACGCCCACCACCACGCCTGGCTAATTTTTGTACTTTTAGTAAAGATAGGGTTTCACCGTGTTGGCCAGGCTGGTCTGGAACTCCTGACCTCAAGTGATTCACCCGCCTTGGCCTCCCAAAATGCTGGGATTACAGGCATGAGCCACTGCACCCAACCAACATTTAAAGTGGCTGTGCTTTCTCCTCGCTCCCTCTCCATATTCATCTGCCGGCCAGATGCCAGCAGTAGAAGATTCAGAAACCATCAACAGGAGGCTGGGTCCCTGAATGTCTGTGCTCCTCCTACTCACACTGGATTGTGATGGGAGTGAGAGAGAAACCTCTACAGTGTTAAGCCCCTGAGCTTTGGAGAATGTTATTGCAGCTCCCCTGATACAGGCAGTTACTATAATTACCATTTTAGCTCCTATTTGTCATTCCCTGCAGGCTATTCTCTAGGCTTTGCTTTGGTCATCCAGGCCAGTGGTTTTCAAATTAGGATGAAAGGGAGTTTAAAATGGGACCACAGATCTTGCAGCCTCCACTGCTCACTGGTCAGTGACACCCTCACCTCACTGGACATCCAACCATCTCTCTATACATCCACACATCCCTGGCCAGCCACCTACATGTACATAACCAGCCATCCATAATCTCCTTCATAAATTCATACATTCCCTTTGGCCAGCAACCCATATGACCACTGATCAGTCATTCATCTTCACAATAGTCAACCATCCGCATGCCCCCCTGGCCAGCTATTCCCATTCCCATTGGTTGACCTTCTTCTACACTCCCACTGGCCAGCCACCACACCATCATTGATCTTGATCAGAATCCAACCTCTGCTGATGAGCCACCTACACTCACCCTGGTAAGTGCCCTGCAAGCCCACAAAGGCCCATGTACTGCCTCCTGTGGTCAGTGGCCTGTGCCATGGTGCACTCACTCACTCACCCCGGGGACGGGTCACAGCCATGACCATGATGGGCACGCCAACGCCTGAGGCCAGGACCCAGATACAGATGTTGATCAGCTTGGCCTTGGCAGGCGTGCGGAAGTCCAGGGCCTTGACAGGGTGGCAGACAGCGATGTAGCGGTCAACACTCATCATGGTGAGCGTGAAGATGCTGGTGAACATATTGTAGTAGTCGATGGAGAGCACAGCCTTGCAGAGCAGCTCGCCGAAGGGCCACGTCTCCATCAGGTACTTGGCACTCTGGAAAGGCAGCGTGCTGGTGGCCAGCGCATCGGCTAAGGCCAGGTTGAAGATGTAGATGTTGGTGGCCGTCTTCATCTTAGTGTACCTTAGAAAGAAATGCATGTGTAATTAATCCCATTTCACAGATTTCAGTTTCACATGAAACTCAAGGAAGGGAAGTAGCTTTCCTAAGGACATGCAAAAGGTCAGGGGAGGCTAGGCATGGTGCCTCACAACTGTAATCCCAGCACTTTTGGAGGCCAAGGCGGGTGGATCACCTGAGGTCAAGAGTTCAAGACCATCCTGGCTAACAAGACGAAACCCCATCTCTACTAAAAATACAAAAATTAGCTGGGTGTGGTGGTGGGTGCCTGTAATTCCAGCTACTTGGGAGGCTGAGGCAGGAAAATTGCTTGAACCTGGGAGGCAGAGGTTGCAGTGAGCCGAGATTGCGCCATTGCACTTCAGCCTGAGCGATAAAAGCGAAGCTCTGTCTCAAAAAAAAAAAAAAAAAAGGGTTGGGGCAAAGGTGGGACTAGAACCCTGCACTATCTGATTTGGCATCGCTCCTTTCCCCGACAACAGAAGCAAAAGGATTTCTCTGGTTGTGAATAACTTTGGCAGAAGGTGTTTTAAGAAAAATCCTGGCCGGGCGCGGTGGCTCACGCTTGTAATCCCAGCACTTTGGGAGGCCGAGGCGGGCGGATCACGAGGTCAGGAGATCGAGACCATCCTGGCTAACACGGTGAAACCCCCTCTCTACTAAAAATACAAAAAAAATAGCCGGGCGTGATGGTGGGCGCCTGTAGTCCCAGCTACTCGGGAGGCTGAGGCAGGAGAATGGCGTGAACCCGGGAGGCGGAGCTTGCAGTGAGCCGAGATTGCGCCACTGCACTCCCGCCTGGGCCACAGAAGCGAGACTCCGTCTCAAAAAAAAAAAAAAAGAAAAAAAAAGAAAAATCCTAGGCCGGGTGTGGTGGCTCACACCTGTAATCCCGGCACTTTGGGAGGCCGAGGTGGGCGGATCACGAGGTCCAGAGATTGAGACCATCCTGACCAACCAACATGGTGAAACCCTGTCTCTACAAAAAATACAAAAATTAGCTGGGCGTAGTGGTGCACGCCTGTTGTCCCAGCTACTCGAGAGGCTGAGGCAAGAGAACTGCTTGAACCCGGGAGGCAGAGGTTGCAGTGAGCCGAGATAGTGCCATTGCACTCCAGCCTGGGCGACAGACCGAGACTCCGTCTCAAAAACAAAAAAGAAAAATCCTAAGCCAGGTGCAGTGGCTCATGCCTGTAATCCCAGCACTTTGGGGGGCCAAGGCAGGGCAGGTGGATTGCTTGAGCCTAGTTCAAAACCACCCTGGGCGACACAGTGAAACCCCATATCTACAAATAACAATAATAATAATAATAATACAAAAATTAGCCAGGCATGGTGGTGAGTGCCTATAGTCCCATCACTCAGGAGACTGAGGTGGGAGGGTCGCTTGAGCCCAGGAGGCAGAGGTTGCAGCAAGCCAAGATCGTACCACTGTACTCCGGAGTGGTTGACAGAGCAAGACACTGTCTCAAAAATAAATAAGTAAATAAAAGAAAAGAAAAAGAAAAATACTTATCTTCTGAAAGGTACTAAGCAATATGTTTAAAAATAAAACTGGGCTCCAGCAGAAAGCAAATCTGGGTTCTAATCCTGCCTCTACTACTTATTATATTAGCTGAGTGACTCTGAGTTAGAAACTTGAACTCTCTAAGGCTCTGCATCCATAACTGTAAAAAGAGGGGTAATGTTTGTAGCAACCTCTTAGGATGGCTGTGAAAATTTAATAAGCTAACACAGCACTTAGCTCCAAGCCTGATGCATGGAGAGCACTCTGGACACAATCGCTGTTCTTTTTCTTCACAGGTGAAGAATGGAGCTGGGGGCTAGACCAGAGTGACTTGATTCTCTAGCTCCTGGCACTGACCTAGCCTTTGGGGAGTATGATTGGTCAACTCTGAGGAAGGGACACTGCCTAGTAGATTGGCTGGGGTCTGAGACCCCCTGGGTGTCCTCGGTGGTAGACCAGAGCCCCCAGTCCTTCCTGCGGCTCCATCCAGGCCTCTTCATCCCCATGCAACTGGACTCACCTCTCTGCAGAAGCCACAGTGCATCCCTCTTCCCATCCACAGTGGTGTGGGGAAGCGGAGCAGGTGACAGGGTCACACATCCAACCCAAGGCATGAGCCCAGGGGTCCAGGCCAGATGTCTATAGCCAAACTCTGCACCCAGCACTCCCAGCATCCCTCCATGCTCTCTGCCCTGCACAGCTATCTACATTACAGTTGGCCCCTTGTTTGGCCAGTTTACAGCCATGGCCCCTTCTGCACCAGGGCCTGGGCAGGGCAACAGGTAGCCTGGGGGAGACTGCATACACTGAGCCAGACCTTCCCAAATGCAGTGTCACCACCACAGCAACACACGGGCACCCCGAGACAGGGCTATATGACGCTGCTCTCATGCCTCTGGAGTGATCTGAGATACCCAGAGGAGGGTTACATGAGTGACTCCTTGAATTCCAGAGCAGGAAGAGAGACACATTGAGGGGAAGTGATTTTATTAAAGCGTGGCCTGAGGTATCGCTTCAGAATTACCGGAAGAGCCTGGAAGAAATGCAGGGTCCTGAACTGCACCTCAGATCTGAGCGATCTTTATCTCTGGAACTGGGGCCTGGGAATCTTCATCTTTAAGAAGCACCTCCTCACCCCAAGTGATTCTTATGAACTCAAAAGTTTGAGAATTACTATGTAGCCTAAAGCCTCCATTTGGGAGAGACAGGGAGATTGAAGCCCAGAGAGGCAGCAGGACTCACCCAAGGTCACACAGCAACAGTGGCGGAGCCAAGGCGAGAACTGAGACCTCCTGACTCCCACGCTCCCTCTTTCCACCACCCCAAGGGTGGCCCCATACTGTATGCCTCCATTCCTTTAGAATCGCTCTGATCCCATGCCCAGCCCTGGACACCTAGGACGAGGCACTCAGTGTTTTTGAATGACGGAATAAACTCGCATCAGCTAAGGCTGTTCCTGCATGAAGTGACTGGTATTTTTGGTTGAAAAGAAATTGACTCACTCATTGTCCTCCAGGGCAGCATCTATCCTACTCCCTCCCAAATAGCTGTCATTTGCTCTGGGGCTGGAGAAGGAAAAAGTTTTGCTCAGATACAGCAGAATTGCAAGTCTCAGGAAGTGTCTTCAGTGGGGTGTGGGATCACAGCTGTGTGGGAGGCGGTCTCAACCCCACAGCTGACTCGTCTAATTTCTCTGCTCTTACGCAGAACAATTAGAGGCTGTTCTTTGCCTGCTATTTTGATTTGTGAAGGATCCTTCCATTCCCAGAGGGGGCTGGGATGCTGGGAAGTGGGTGATGAAGCTGCTGTAGTTGGTCCAAGCGGGCTGAGCGGCCCAGCGCTGATTGCCCGCCAGGTAGGGCCCCGGGCTCCTCTCCTCACGGCCCCCCTCTCTCCCCTCCACCCACAGCCACGCCCCGTCCTTCTGGCCACCGTAGACTCCCTTCTCCAGCCCCAAGACAAATCATGCCACTCCCCTGCTCTCAGTCCCCCAGCGACTTCCCAAAATTCTCTCTGTTCTGCAAGCTGCCCCGACTACCTTTGGGATCTCAGTTCCCAGCATGTTCCCCTCCACCGATGTGCCCCTGCCACACACTGGCCTCTTTGATGTTCCCTGGACACGTCAAGCCCGCTCCCACCTCCCCACTTCGGGGCCTCTGGACTTGCTCTTGCCTCTGCCTGGAACCCCGGTCCCCCCATATTTTGCATGGCTTGCTCCATCACTTAATTCAGGACTCTATTCAAATGTCACCTCCTCAGGGAGGCCCTCCCTGACCACTCTATCTAAAGTACCATCCTCCCCACCAACTCTCTCTAGCTCCTTCAGCGGCTTCATTTTTCATTACAGCACAAACCACTTCCTGACTTACATTCATCTTCTTTTCTGCCCACTTGGGTCTCTCGCCCATGTAAGTTCCCTGAAGCCAGAAGACTTCGTCCATTTTGTTCCCTGCTGTACCCTTGGGCCTACCAGCAGTGCCCGGCAAAAAAGCAGGCTCTCAGCCAGGCGCAGTGGCTCATGCCTGTAATTCCAGCACTTTGGGAGGCTGAGGTGGGTGGATCACGAGGTCAGGAGTTCGAGACCAGCCTGACTAACACGGTGAAACCCCGTCTCTACTAAAATACAAAAATTAGCCGGGCGTAGTGGCATGCTCCTGTAATCCCAGCTACTTAGGAGGCTGAGACAGAAGAATTGCTTGCACCCAGGAGGCGGAGGTTGCAGTGAGCCTAGATCATGCCACTGCACCCCAGCCTGGGTGACAGGGTGAGACTCTGTCTCAAAAAAAAAAAAAGCAGGCTCACAAGAGACATCTGTGATGTGGATGTCTTAGTCCAACCTCACCAGCTCGCACAGGGACACTGCGGCAGCCTCCCTCTCCCACAATTCATCACCCACGTAAGTTGGCGGCTCACTCTAAAAGGCAGATTTGGCCAGGTATGGTGGCTCACGCCTGTAATCCTAAAACTTTGGGAGGCTGAGGTCGAGGACTGCTTGAGCCCAGGAGTTTGAGACCAGCCTGGGCAACACAGCAAGACACTGTCTCAAAAAAAAAAAATTAGTTGGGCATGGTGGAGTGTGCCTATAGACCCAGCTACTCAGGAGGCAGAGGAAGGAGGAACACTTGATCCTGGGAGTTGGAGGCTGCAGTGAGCTCTGATAATGCTACTGCACTCCAGTCTGGGGAACAGAGCAACACCCCATGTCTAAAAACAAACAGCTCCCTAAACTGGCTTTCCATTTGGGTAGCCTCCTTTCCCACAGTGCCATCCCGGGTCTGGCCACATCTGTAGTTCCTCACATGTTCTGTGTAGCACGCCCTCTCTCCCGAGAGACAGCCACTATCATGACTTGGTGAGGATCCTTCCAAATTACATATATGTATATAGCTTTTTAGAAAATTTTATTTCTGGCCAGATGTGGTGGCTCATGCCTGTAATCCCAGCACTTTGAGAGGCCGAGGCAGGCAGATCGTTTGAGCTCAGGAGTTGAAGACCAGCCTGGACAACATGGAAAAACCCTATCTCTACAAAAAATACAAAAATTAGCCAGGCGTGATGGTGAGCACCGTAATCCCAGCTACTCAGGAGGCTAAGGCAGGAGAATCACCTGAACCCGGGAGGCAGAGGCTGCAGTGAGATTGCGCCACTGCACTCCAGCCTGGGCGACTAGGTGAAACCCTATCTCAAAAAAAAAAAAGAAAAAAAAAAGAAAATTTTATTTCTGCCAATGTAACACAATTACATAGTGTAAAAAGTCATACAGGACAATAATGAGAACAGCTGCCCCTCTACCCATCCTTGCTCTCTTATTCCTCTGTCCTGTTCCCCAGGGGCAATCACTTTGAATGTTTTTAGCTATTCTTATAGTGATTATCTCCACAATTCTAAAGAATATGCTTACGTGGCTATTTCTTGATTCATCCATTTTAGATAGTACTTGTTGAAGCGTGGATTTGGTTAAGCAAGGCTATGCCTAAATACCCAAATCCCAGTGGTTTAACAAATGAAAGGTTTCTCTCTCACAGAGTCCATTCAGTGTTTCCAGGACAATCTAAATTCCAAGAGGCCATTCCAGGCTGCTTTACCCCTGTGGCCCTGCTGTCTTAACCCAAGGCCCCCTTGATCACCAGAGAGGGAGAAGAGGCAGCTGCAGGATCATCTAAACTTTAGTCCAGTGGCGACACATCACTTCCACCTGAAGCTGACTGGCCAAAAGTAGTCATGTGGCCATGCCCAACTGCAAGGGGTTGAGAAATAGTCTTCTATGTGACCCAAAGCAGGGAGAAGCAGATATTAGTGAACACTAGTAATGTTCCTCACAATGCCCTATTACAGTAGATGAGGGCTAACTCATCACATCACTCAATTGTTCCTCTCTCCATCCTCCCAACATAGTTGTTTATTTGTTTGTTTCTAAGAGACGGGGTCTTGGCTGGGCGCGGTGGCTCACGTCTGTAATCCCAGCACTTTGGGAGGCCAAGGTGGGTAGATCACCTGAGGCCAGGAGTTTGAGATTAGCCTGGCCAACATAGTGAAACCTCTTCTCTATTAAAAATACAAAAAATTAGCTGGGTGTGGTGGCGGGCACCTGTAGTCTCAGCAACTCGGGAGGCCAAGGCAGGAGAATTGCTTGCACCCAGGAAGGCAGAGGTTGTAGTGAGCCAAGACCATCCCACTGCACTCCAGCCTGGGCAATAAAAGCAAAACTCCATCTCA
Source organism: Homo sapiens (assembly GCF_000001405.40). NCBI lineage: Eukaryota > Metazoa > Chordata > Mammalia > Primates > Hominidae > Homo > Homo sapiens. The sequence continues at coordinate 28,852,733 of NC_000001.11, read as the reverse complement.
AAAATAAAAAATAAAAAATAAATAAAAAGAAAAAGAAAGAAAGAAAATCCTAAGAGATGGGGTCGTGCTATGTCGTCCAGGCTGGAGTGCAATGGCTATTCACAGGTGCAACCATAGTGCACTACAGCCTCCATCTCCTGGGCTCAAACGATTCTCTGGCCTCAGACTCCTGAGTGGCTGGGACTACAGGTGCTCACCACCATGTCTGGCTCCAATATAGTTTTATCACCATTTTTAGCTAACTCAATATTTAGGGTTTACATTCTTACGACTTTGTAGATATTGTCCACTGCTAAGCCAAAGAACATACTATAATTACATTTTTTAGTGCAGACATTTAAGTTTCCCAGAGGTAATAATTGCGCCAATTTTCTCCACTTGCTTAGTTCTGTGTACATATTGCTAAATCTCCTCAAACATTCCAAAAGACCTATAAGATGTCTCTTCCATCCAATTGCATAATCTACCAGTTCTTTTTGTTTTCCTAGTGAGCTATGAGCTATGTCCTGGACCTTTCCTCCCCACTTTCTTTTCTTTCTTTCTTTTCTTTTTTTTTTTTTTTTTTTTTTACATGGAGTTTGCTCTGTCGCCCAGGCTGGAGGGCAGTTGCGTGATCTCGGCTCACTCCAAGCTCCGCCTCCCAGGTTCATGCCATTCTCCTGCCTCAGCCTCCCAAGTAGCTGGGACTACAGGCACCCGCCACCACGCCTGGCTAATTTTTTGTATTTTTAGTAGAGATGGGGTTTCACTGTGTTAGCCAGGATGGTCTCCATCTCCTGACCTCATGATCCGCCCACCTCAGCCTCCCAAAGTGCTGGGATTACAGGCGTGAGCCACCACGCCCGGCTTCTTCTTTTTTTTTTTTTTTTCTTTTTTTTGAGACGGAGTTTCTCTCTCATTGCCCAGGCTGGAGTGCAATGGCGCAACCTCCGCCTCCCCGGTTCAAGCAATTTTCCCGCCTCAGCCTCCCGAGTAGCTGGGATTACAGGCATGAGCCACCACGCCCGGCTAATTTTGTATTTTTAGTAGAGACGGGGTTGCTTCATGTTGGTCAGGCTGGTCTCGAACTCCCAACCTCAGGTGATCCGCCCGCCTCGGCCTCCCAAAGTGCTGGGATTACAGGCGTGAGCCACGGTGCCCGGCCTCCTCCCCACTTTCCATCTGCACTGTTTGCTTTCTATTCTACACCAGCTGCGCACCTGTCCTCCTCGGCTAGAGCACCCGTTTCTTGGCTTGCAAGTCTTCCTCTGTCTTGATCTATGCCTTCATTTTGGTGGAAGACATCCTCTAATCACTTCCTGAGACAGGGCACATAGGAGGTAGAATTTTTACACCCTTGCTTGTCTGAAAATGTCGTTATTCTATCCTAATTTCTGATTTCTTTGACTGGAGATGAAATGGTAGGTTGGAAGTAATTTTCCATCAGAATTTTGAAGGCATGGCTCCCTCATTGTCCAGACTCCAGTGTTGCCACTGAAGCATCTAAAACCATTCTGATTCCTGATGTTTTGTATGTGATCTGTCCTCTCTACCTGCATAACTTGTCGGTTCCTCTCTTTATCCCTGGTAGTCTGACACTTTGTGACGGTGTGCTTTCAAGTGGCTCTTTTTCATTTCTTTTGGGCCCTCTAAGGGTAACCACTCAGTACTTGTTACCTTCCTTCCTTCCCCATCTCTCCTAGGTGAACTGGCAGCTCCGTGTGTGTGTGAAGATTCATGTCCTTCAGTATAAAACGTTCTCATACCATTTCCTCCCCTTTGCCTTCTCTGGGATCCCTGGAAAATCCCTTAGTCAGATATTGGGCCTCCTGGATAGATCCTCTAATTTCCTCACATCCTCTTTTGTTATATCCTCTGGGAAATTTCCTTTTTGTTATCTCTCGATTCTTCCATTGACCTTTTATTATTATTATTATTATTATTATTATTATTATTATTATTATTATTATTTTGAGACAGATCTTGCTCTGTCACCAAGGCTGGAGTGCACTCGTGTGATCACAGCTCACTGCAGCCTCAACCTCCTAGGCTCAATCAATCCTCCCACCTCAGACTCCTGAGTAGCTGGGGTCGCAGGTGCACCATCATGCCTAGCTAATTAAAATTTTTTAGGTTGGGCACAGTGGCTCACGCATGTAATCCCAGCACTTGGGGAGGCTGAGGTGGGTGGATCTCCTGAGGTTAGGAGTTGGAGACCAGCCTGACCAACATGGAGAAACCTCATCTCTACTAAAAATACAAAATTAGCCAGGCGTGGTGGAGCGTGCCTGTAATCCCAGCTACTCTGGAGGCTGAGGCAGGAGAATCGCTTGAACCCAGGAGGTGGAGGTTGCGGTGGGCTGAGATTGTGCCACTACACTCCAGCCTGGGCAACAAGAGTGAAACTCCGTCTCAAAAAAATAAAATTTGTAGAGATGCAGTCTCCCTATGTTGCCTAGGCTGGTCTCGAACTCCTGGGTTCAAGTGTTCCTTACACATTGGCCTCCCAAAGTTCTAGGATTACAGGCACAAGAGATCATGCCTGGCCCCTGTCTTTTTAAAAAGTTTGACTCTCAGCTGGGCGCCGTGGCTCAAGCCTGTAATCCCAGCACTTTGGGAGGCCGAGGTGGGCAGATCACGAGGTCAGAAGATTGAGACCATCCTGACTAACACAGTGAAACCCTGTCTCCACTACAAATACAAAAAAATTAGCCAGACGTAGTGGCGGGCACCTGTAGTCCCAGATACTCTGGAGGCTGAGGCAGGAGAATGGCGTGAACCTGGGAGGCGGAGCTTGCAGTGAGCCGAGATCGCGCCACTGCACTCCAGCCTGGGCGACAGAGCGAGACTCCGTCTCAAAAAAAAAAAAAAAAAAAAAAGTTTGACTCTCATGTTTTATTTTTCCAGTGCCCTTTCTTCTTCTCTTGTTATTCCTTTTTCATATAGCACTTATAGTATCTTATTTCAGGGACATGATACCTTCTCTTAACTCTCCGAGGATGCTAAGAAGCCTTGTTTAGTATTTTCTTCTGCTCTCTGCATCTTTTACTTGCTTCAAACATTTTTGTTCCTTCATCTGCTTTAGCCTTCCTCTCTTATCCTGGAGAATTCCTTCAAGTATCTGGTGATATATAATATAATTAAACGCTGATTTTTAAATGAAGCACTAAATAACTGGCAGCTCCGTGCGTGTGCACGTGTGCGTGGGCACGTGTGTGTGCCCCTGTGTGTGCGTGTGTGTGTGTGCATGTGTGTGTGTGTATGTGTATCAGTGTGAGGGCTCTGTCAACTGGTGGGCTTCACTGTAGGGGAACTGAGTGATGATCTGGCTTTTACACTGAGGCACATGTAAATATCAATTTCCGTAGGTCTCTTCTCTGGCCTTCAGGCCTTCAGAAAATAATCTCCCCATCTCTCACCCGGGTTGCATACCTCTGGCTGCCAGAATTCTGTTGGCAGAGCTGGAGAAAGGGCCCGGGAGTCCCCCCATCTCCCCATTAAAAAAAAAATTAAAATAGAGATGAGGGTCTCACTATGTTGCTCAGACTGGTCTCCAACTCCTGGGCTCAAGTGATCCTCCCACCTCAGCCTCCCAAAGTGCTGGGATTACAGGCATGAGCCACCGTGCCTGGCCTCCTGCTCCCCATTTACCTTTGGTATCTTGTCCTGACCCTTTCTGTGTCTGCTGGCCCTGAGTCCAGACTTCCTCCATGTTAACTTCTCCAGGAAAAGAAAAAACCTTGCCTTCTTGCAGAGTGGAGGGTAGCCATCTGGTTGTGCAGGATACAAAGATGGGGGTGCCTAACAGTCCCAGTACTCCCTCTAGACAATCATCCTCTTGCCCCTGTTTTCTGTCCCACACCTCACCCCTGCTGTCATTCCTCTTCCAGTTGTTTCTCGTGGTCCAAATATGTATTGACATCTCTTAGAGAAGGTAAACTGAGACACAAGAGGCGAGGTGATTTATCCAAGGTCATATGACCAGTAAGTGGCAGAGCTGGTATTGAACTCAGTCTAAGTGCCAACATCTGGTAACCACTCAGTACTTGTTATCTTCCTTCCTTCCCCACCTCTCACAGTGAAAAAGAATGTGAACTTACTATAAACTGGGGTTTGCTCACTCATCTAACAGGTATTAAGTGGACACTTGAACTGTGCCAGGCACTGAATAAGTGATCTAGGAGTAATGGCGACAGTCTGGCCTCTTGAAATCTGTGACCTTAGGGAGGGGGCAGACATTGAACAAACTGCTGCATTAATTAATGAACAGTTACCTGCTATTACCAAGATGCCATGAAGGATAAGAACGGAGTATATTGATGGACACTGCCTAGTGGGGGTGACAGGCTGGGGAGTGTGGAGGGACCCTGGCTTAGATTAGAAGGTCAACAATGGCTTCTCTGAGGAGGTGTGCTATGAACTGAATTCAGTTCCCTCAAATTCATATACTGAAGCCCTAACTCCCAACGTGATGGTATTGGGGTTTCTCTTGCTGTCATTTTTTTTTTTTAGACGGAGTCTTGCTCTGTCCAGGCTAGAGTGCAGTGGCACGATCTCGGCTCACTGCAACCTCCGCCTCCCAGGTTCAAGCGATTCTCCTTTCTCAGCCTCCTGAGTAGCTTGGGATTACAGGTACCCGCCATCCCGCCCGGCTAATTTTTGTATTTTTAGTAGGGAACAGGGTTTCACCATCTTGGCCAGATTCGTCTGGAACTCCTGACCTCATGATTCACCTGCCTTGGCCCCCAAAAGTGCTGGGATTACAGGCATGAGCCACCGTGCCTGGCAAATTTTTTTTCCAATAACTGGGTTTTTTTTGTTTTTTGTTTTTGGCTTTATTCTGCAGTTTACATATGAGAGCCCTAAGCCCAACACAACACTTGATTTTCTGGTTTTATTTATTTATTTTTATTTATTTATTTTTGAGGCAGGTTCTCACCCTGTTGCCCATGCTGGAGTGCAGTGGTGCAATCATAGCTCACTGTAGCTTTGGCCTTCTGGGCTCAAGCGATCCTACCTCAGTCTCCCAAGTAGCTGTGTTTACAGGTGCACACCACCACACCTGGCTAATTTTTAAATTATTTGTAGAGACAGGGTTTCACCATGTTGTCCAGGCTGGTCTCAAACTCCTGGGCTCAAGCAATCCACCCACCTCAGTCTCCCAAAGTGCTGGGATTACAGGCCTGAGCCATTGTGCCCAGCCTTTATTATTCTTTCAGTATCCATGTCCACAGAGACTGCTTCTCCCAATAACACATGCCATTTGATCCTCAGCTGGTACATGTACAACGTCAAAGAACCTGGGCCCTTCCATTTAAGTGCACTCATGTCAATTTGGGCTGGACCTCTGCCCTGGTCCTGTCACCTCTGAGGTGTCCTCAGGTCAGAAATGCAAACAGGCTCGGCTGGGCGCGGTAGCTCACGGCTGTAATCCCAGCACTTTGGGAGGCCAAGGCAGGCAGATCACCTGAAGTCAGGAGTTTAAGACCAGCCTGGCCAACATGGCGAAACCCCATCTCTATTAAAAACATAAAAATTAGCTGGGCATGGTGGCGGGCACCTGTAATCCCAGCTACTCAGGAGGCTGAAGTAGGAGAATTGGTTGAACCCGGGAGGCAGAGGTTGCAGTGAGCTGAGATCGCGCCACTGAACTCCAGCCTGGGCCACAAGAGCCAAACTCCGTCGGAAAGGAAAGGGGACAGGAAAGGGGAAAGGAAAGGGGACAGGAAAGGGGACAGGAAAGGAAAGGAAGGGAAAGGAAGAAAGTAAAGAAAGGAAGGAAGGAAGAAAGAGAGAAAGAGAAAGAAAAGGAAGGAAGGAAGGAAGAAAAAGAAAGAAAGAAAGAAAAAGAAAGAAAGAGAAAAGAAAGAAAGAAAGAAAGAAAGAAAGAAAGAAAGAAAGAAAGAAAAGAAAGAAAGAAAGAAAGAAAGAAAATGCAAACAGCCTCCATGTGATACAACTCTGAATAAATACAATGGGGCCTTTGGGATGGTGGGATTACTGCACTTACAAGAGAGGCCCCAGAGAGCTTGCTCGCTCTCTCTCTCTCTTTTTTTTTTTTTTTCTTTTTTTGAGACAGAGTCTTGCTCTGTCGCCCAGGCTGGAGTGCAGTGCTGTAATCTCGGCTCACTGCAACCTCCACCTCCTGGGTTCAAGCGATTCTCGTGCCTCAGCCTCCCTAGTAGCTGGGATTACAGGCGCCCACCACCACGCCCAGCTAATTTTTGTATTTTTAGTAGAGATGCGGTTTCACTATGTTGGCCAGGCTGGTCTCCAGCTCCTGACCTCAGGTGATCTGCCCGAGTTTGCTCTCTCTCTCTTTCTCTCTGCCATGTGAGGGCAGTGATGAGGCAGCCATCTAGAGGCCAGGAAGACAGCCCTCACCAGAACCTGACCGTGGTGGCAGCTTGATCTTGGGCTTCTGTCCTTACGAACTGAGAAACTAAATCTCTGTTGTTGAAGCCATCCAGTCTATATTTTGATCTAAGACACAGCAACATTTCTGCCAGGTTGGAAGGATGAGAGTTAGCCATGTGAAGTGAAGGAGGAAGGTTGGTCCAAAGAGAAGGAACAGCATGTACAAAGTCCCTGTAGCAGGAAAGAGCCTGATGGGCTGCAGGAATGGTCAGAAATCACATGTGACGACAGTGTAGTGAGCCAGAAAGGAGGCAACAGGAGAGGCGGCAGCGGAAATCTGCAGGAGTCAAATCACACAGGGCCTTTGGGCTATGGCAAGAAGTTTGGGTTTACTCTGAGTGTAACAGGAAGCCATTGAAGACTTTAAACAGGGAAGTGATGTGGTTCATTTATGTGAGTTTCTTAAAAGATCACGCTGACTACTGTGTGGAAGCCAGATGGAGCACAAGGCAGTAGGGAGCCAGAGACCCAACTTTCTAGAAAGAGAAATTGTTTATGGCTCCATTTCCCAAAACTCTACTGTTGTTCTCTAATTTTTTTTTCTGTTACAAAAGGTTGTGGATATGAAGTTGGGCCTTTCCCTTACACCATATACAAAAATTAACTCAAAATGGATCAAAGATGTAAGAGCTAAAACCATAAAACTCCTAGAAGAAAATATAGTGGGAAAGCTTCATGACACCAGATTTGGCAATGATTTCTTGTGTTTATTTGTTTGTTTTTCTTTCTTTTTTTCCTCTTTTTTAAATTTCTTCTTAGATTTGGCAATGATTTCTTGGATATGACACCAAAAGCCTAGGCCACAACAACAACAACAACTACATTAAGTTGGACTATATCAATTTTTTTTTTTTTTTTTGAGATGGAGTCTCACTCTGTCGCCCAGGCTGGAGTGCAGTGGTGCAATCTCGGCTCACTGCAACCTCTGCCTCATAATTCTCCCGCCTCAGCCTCCCAAGCACCTGGGATTATAGGCTCCCACCAGCATGCCCGGCTAATTTTTTTTTTGTATTTTTAGTAGAGACAGGGTTTCACTATGTTTACCAGGCTAGTCTTGAACTCCTGACCTCAAGTTATCCACCTACCTCGGCCTCCCAAAGAGCTGGGATTACAGGCATGAGCCACCGTGCCTGGCCCCAGCTAATTTTTGTATTTTTAGTAGAGACGGGGTTTCACCATATTGGTAAGGCTGGTCTCGAACTCCTGACCTTGTGATCTGCCCGCCTTGGCCTCCGAAAGTGCTGGGATTACAGGCATGAGCCACCATGCCCGGCTGACTATATCACATTTAAAACTTTTGTGCCTCAAATGACACTATCATCCCAGGACTTTGGGAGGCCAAGGCAGGTGGGTCACCTGAGGTCAGGAGTTTGAGACCAGTCTCTCCAACATGCTGAAACCCCATCTCTACAAAAAAATACAAAAATTAGCCGAGAGTGGTAGTGCACACCTGTAATCCCAGCTACTCGGGAGACTGAGGCACAAGAATCGCTTGAACCTGGGAGGTGGAGGTTGCAGTGAGCCGAGATTGTGCCACTGCACTCCAGTCTGGGTAACACAGTGAGACTCTGTCACCCCCTCAAAAAAACAAAAACAAATGACACTGTCAACAGAATGAAAAGGTCACTCATGGAATGGGAGAAAAGATTTGCAAATCACATATCTGATAAGGGGTTAATATCCAGACTATATAAAGAATTCCTACAACTCAACCAAAAGCAAATAAGTTAATTAAAAAATGAACAAGGGCTGAGCACAGTAGCTCACATCTGTAATCCTAGCACTTTGGGAGGCTGAGGTGGGTGGATCGCTTGAGTCCAAGAGTTTGAGACCAGCCTGGCCAACATGGCAAAACCCCATCTCTACAAAAAATACAAAAATTAGCTGGGCATGGTGACATGCGCTTGTAGTCCCAGCTACTTGGAGGGCCGAGGTGGGAGAATCGCTTGAGTCCTGGAGGTCGAGGCTGCAGTGAGCCATGATTACACCACTACACTCCAGCCTGAACGACAAAGTGAGACCCTGTCTTGAATATTTCCCTAAAAAAGATATACAAATGGCCAATAAGCCCATGAAAAGATGCTCAACATCACTATCATTAGGGAAATGCAAATCAAAACCACAATGAGATACCACTTCACACCTATTAAGATAATGAAAAAAAAAAAAAAAACAGAAATCAAGTATTGGCAAGGATTTGAAGAAACTGGAACTCTCGTGTACCGTTTTTGGAAATGTAAAATGGTGCAGCCACTGTGGAAAACAAAACTGTAATTCCTCACAAATCTGAAAATAGAATTGCCTCTTATGATCAATCCAACAGTTCCTCTTCTGGTAGAAGAATTAAAAGCAGGGTTTTGAAGAGCTGTGTGTATACCCATGTTCATAGCAGTATTCTTCATAATAGCTAAAAGGTGAAAGCAACCCATATATCCATTGATAGATGGAGAAACAAAATGTGGTATAGACATACAATGGAATATTATTCACCCTTAAAAAAGAAGGAAATTTCTAGCCTGGTGGCAAAGCCAGTTTTACAAAAAATACAAAAATTAGCCGGGCGTGGTGATGCACGTTTGTAGTCCCAGCTACTCGGGAGGCTGAGGTGGAATGACTGCTTGACCCCGAAGTTGAGGTTGCAGTAAGCCGAGATCACACCACTGCACTCCAGCATGGGCGACAGAGCAAGAGCCTGTCTCAAAAGACAAAAAAAAGAAGAAGAAGGAAATTCTGACACCTGCTACAACAAGGATGAACCTTGAGGATATCGTGCTAAATAAAATTTGCCAGTCAAAAAAGACAAACACTGAATGATTCCACTTACATGAGGCACCTAGAGTAGTCACAGTCATAGAGGCAGAAGCCCTGGGGTTACGAGGGGCTAGGGCAAGGGGAGGATGGGCAGTTACTGCTTAAATGGTATGGAGATTCAGTTTGGGAAGATGAAAAACTTCTGGAGACGAACGGTTGTGATGGCTGCATAACAGTGTGAATGTACTTAATGCCACTGAACTACACCCTTAAAAATGGTTACAATGGTATTTTTTATGTTGTGTATATTTTATCACAATAAAAAAGGCGGTAATCAAGAGCTGTCGCTGTGTTTATTTTCTAAGCTTGGGAGTGGGGTGAGGGGGTCCTTTCGAGCCATTCAGATCTTGGCTCCCCAACATACATAGCTCAGTGATCTTGAGCAAGTCACTTCACCTTTCTGAACCTGCTTCCTTGTTGGTAATTTCAGTGTAATGATGCTTTCTAGGAGCCGCACGTGTGAAAGCGTGCAGCATACAAGCCAGTGTGTAGTTGAAAATTGCAGCCCTTTTGGTACTCCCTGACCTGGTATTTTTCTTTTTCTTCTTCTTTTTTTTTTCCCAAGTAGCTAGGACTACAGGTGCGTGCCATCACACCAAACTAATTTTTTTAATTATTATTTTTTTAGAGATGGGATCTTGCTATGTTGTCCAGGCTGGTCTCAAACTCCTGGACTCAAGTGATCTCCACTTCAGCCTCCCAAAATGTTGGGATTACAAGTATGAGCCACTACACCTGGCCTGCTTTTTTATTTTAGGGTTTAATCATCACCCTTTGGATCCAATCAGGGGGTAGGGACTGGAAAGCTCTGGCTGAACCTCTGTTGACCGTGAGATACCTTTGTGAAACCCTTTGCTTTCTTTCTGATTCCAAATCCACAAAGCTTCCTTAGCACCAAGCACTGAGTGGCTATGCGTGTTCCTTTCGGAGCCCTACACTCCTCTGTTAAACAAGCCCCCACTGCAGAAGGATCATCACCACCTCTATTAATTTTCTTTCAGTTTGATGGAGACTGGTTGTACCCTGGCACAGCCAGGCCACATTCAATCCACACTTGTTCCTGGGCCTCTGGAGAGCTGGGCTTCTCAACTGAATACCCAAGTGCTGACTGACAAGTAAGCTCCTGGTAAGAATGTTCTCCCCAGGCAAAGCCAGAGCAGTTGGTCAGAGCGGCCGACGTCTAAATGCCCGGTGCTCAGGCCGGGTGCAGTGGCTCATGCCTGTGGTCTCAGCATTTTGGGTGCCAAGGCAGGTGAATTGCTTGAGCTCAGGCGTTGGAGACCAGCTGGGGCAATATGGCGAACCCCCGTCTCTACTAAAAATACAAAAGTTAGCTGGGCGTGGTGGCGCATGCCTATAGTCCCAGCTACCCCGGAGGCTGAGGTGGGAGGATCGCTTGAGTCTGGGAGGTTGAGGCTGCAGTGAGCCATGATCATGCCACTGCACTCCAGCCTGGGCAACAGAGTGAAACCCTGTCTCAAAATAAAAATAAAAATAAAAATAAGGCCGGCACAATGACTCATGCCTGTAATCCCAGCACTTTGGGAGGCTGAGGTGGGTGAATCACTTGAGGCCAGGAGTTCAAGACCAGCCTGGCCAACATAATGAAAGCCCATCTCCACTAAAAATACAAAAAAAAAAAAAAATTAGCCAGGTGTGGTGGTGCATGCCTGTAGTCCCAGCTACTCAGGAGGATGAGGCAAGAGAATCGCTTGAACCCGGGAGGCGGAGGCTGCAGTGAGCTGAGATCACACCACTGCACTCCAGTCTGGGTGACAGAGCGAGACTCTGTTTCAAAAATAATAATAATAATAAATAAATAAATAAAATAAAAATAAATAAATAAATGCCCAGTGCCCAGAAGATCAATACATTCCTTCCTTTGTGCAAGGTGTCAATGGGACAGGACCAGCAGCTTTGGGTGAGTTGTTTCCTTTAAACAATATTCTCTTATGCGCCAAGCACTATGCCAAAAGCAGTGAATGCAGGATTTCATCTCAGCCTCATCCTACAAATGAGCTAAGTTAGATGCTCACCCAAAACACACAGCTAAGAAGTGGCGGTGACAGGACACAAGCGCATATCTATCTGGTTTCCAGAGCCTAAGCTCATAACCACTTGGGTCTGTGTCCGCTTTCCCCCAGCCTCCTTGCCACCTGCACCTGTGAAACCTTGGCCATGGCAAGGGGCCGGGCTGGGCTGGGGATGGGCCCACACCGTAGCATTCATCTGCTTCTCACACATTCCCCAACCCGGCTCTGGTTTAAGGATTTGGAGACAATGTGCTCACAGCCCAGGTGGGGTCAGGGAGAGACAGACTTATAAACATCAGAACAACGTCACAGGCACGAATGTGGGGCCCAGTGGAGCAAAGAGGACAGGTCAATTCAGAACAAAATGTACACCTCTGGTCCCAAGGGGGCAGCAGCCAGTATTCATGGATAACTATGTGCTAGGTCTTTCTCAGGTGTGGTTTATGTGCTCCTTAAGCCTGTAATTGGTTTTGTTTTTTAACAGATAATAAACATTTGTTGGACACTTACTATATTCCAGTCACTGGGATAAGCATTTTACTTTATTTATTCATTTTTATTTTTTATTTTTTTGAGACGGAGTCTCATTCTGTCTCCCAGGCTAGAGTGCAGTGGTGTGATCTCAGCTCACTGCAACCTCCGTCTCCCAGTTCAAGCGATTCTCCTGCCTCAGCCTCCCGAGTAGCTGGGATTACCGCTGCCCACCACTATGCCCGGCTAATTTTCATATTTTTAGTGGAGCCGGGATTTCACCATGTTGGCCAGGCTGGTCTTGAACTCCTGACCTCAAGTGATCCACCCACTTTGGCCTCCTAAAGTGCTGGGATTACAAGCATGAGCCACCACGCCTGGCCCCGTATTTTACATTATTTAATCCTCACTATGGGGCAGACAGTGTTTATTATTCCCAATTTACAGACAGTGGGACTTGCCCCAGGCTGCAGAGTGGCAAATAGGCTGAGCAGAGAGTCAAACCCAGTGCTTTTCCCCGAAATCCCAGTGCCTTCTTCTTGGCTTCAGTTTTAGCTTCTCTCCTGTGGACCCAAAGTACTCTATGTGTCCTTCACATACTCTTTTTGCCAGGTAGTGGCTCATGCCTGTAATCCCAGCTACTCGGGAGGCTGAGGTGGGAGGATCACCTGAGTGCAGGAAGTAGAGGCTGCAGTGAGCTATGATTACGCCACTGCACTCCAGCCTGAGGGACAGAGCGAGACTCTATCTCATATATATATAAGCTCCCAGAGGGCAGGGATCACGTCTGTCTTGGCTATCACGAAGAGCCTAGAACCTACAGCAGCACCCAGCACAAAGCAGGTACTCAAAACACATTTGTGAAATGAATAAATGTTCATGTGTCTGTCTTCCACACTAGACTGAGACATCCCTCAGGCAGGAACTGTGTCCCCTTCATGCTGTCTCCCAGGACCTAGCACCCAGCACAGGGCCAGGCTCAGAGGAGACACAGCGCTTACTGGAGGAACCCTGAGTGCAGGTGCCAGGGTGCCCTGATCCTCAGTAATGAGCAACAGACCAAAGAGATCGAATCAGAGCATCTCTCTTCCTCATCCTCCCTTCCCCTTGCACTGTCTCCTTTCGTCCTTCTTCCCTCCCTCCCTTCCTACCTTCTCCCATGCTCACCCTGGGCCAGCCCAGGTGCCCTGAAGGATGCCTGGGCCTGACCCGGTTTGCCCTGAAGTCTGAAGTGACTCAGCTCTGCTGGTCGTGGGGGAAATGTTTACTCTGATCATTTATCCAAGGTAGCTAATTTGTCGTTAACTAAACTGAGGGTTTTTTTTTCCCACTGATGCACAACAGCCCATGAGTTCAAGGTGGGGGCAAGAGACCTAAAATCAAAAACAGTAACAACAACAGCAACAAGGTGAGAACGTCTACACCCAGTCGCACTGACCCTGTGGTACCTCAGGAACCAAACTGAACAAACGGCTCCAGCCTAGACCAAAGCTCATTTGGTCTCCAACCAAATCCAGTGTGGATTGCTGGAGTATTTAGAATTAATTTTATTCCCAAATGCTGTTCGAGCTCTCAGAAATAACAGCTGCTCACTATAAATGCAAAATCATTTGCAGTCATAATTAAGTTAAGGATCTCAAGCCCATCTTGGATCATTGAGGGGGACTCTAACTCCAGCAACAAGTGTCCTTGTAAGAGACACACAGGGAGGAGAGGAGAGGGCCGTGTGAAGAGGGAAGCAGAAATTAGACGATGCAGCTGCAAACTAAGAAGAGCCTGGAGCCACCAGAAACGGGAAGAAGCAAGGAAAGATTCTCCCCAAGAGGCTTCAGAGAAAGCACAGCCCTGCTGTCACCTTGATTTTGGATTTCTGGCCTCCAGAACTGTGAGAGAATACATTTCTGTTTTAAGCCATCAAGTCTGCAGTAATTTATTTTGGCAGCCCCAGGGAACTAATCTGAAAAAGTATGCATAGTCTCAGCTCCTGGGAGGCTGAGGCAGGAGGATCACTTGAGCCCGGAAGTTCAAGGCAGTAGTGTGCCACGATGGTGCCTGTGAATAGCCATTGCACTTCAGCCTGGGCGACACAGCTTTAGATCCCATCTCTTACAACAACCAAAAAAAAGGGCAGCCCAAGGAGAAGCATGGACTTTGACACTGGACACACCTACTGAAGCCCCAGCTCTGTCCCTAACTAATTGCATTGATCTTGGGTGAGCTCTAACTTCTCTGAGCCTCGGTTTACTCCTCTGTGAACTGGTTATCATGATCTTTCCTGCCTCGTGATGGTGTGGGGAATATCAAATGAGGTAATGCCTGCCATGTTCCTAGCACTCTGCCTGGTGCACCCATATCATAGTGGCTTCTCTTCTTGCTCAAGTGAACAAGATGGATCCAAAATGTACCTTTGAGGCTGCCCCTGGAGTCCCAGGGCCCCTGACTTCTCTGCTGGCTCTTGGTAACCTGCCACCATGGGGGTGAGACACAGAGCCCTGTGTTGGAACTTCAGTGCTGGAAGAGGCTCTGATGGGTAACAATGGGTTCAAACCTCCTCTCTCACTTTACAGATGGGGAAACTGAGGCCTGGAAAGGGGAAAACAGTTGTGCAAGGTCACACAGAAAATCTGTTCTGCTGACTTCTGGGAAACCAAGTTCCTTCTGCTTCTTCAAGCTGACCTAGGAACTAAGTCTCAGGTGAGGTTCAAGGTGGCTGAGGCTAAAGGGGAAGGAGAATCCTGTCCAAGACTTCAGAATTTCTGACAAGGTCCCGGCTCTTGGCAGATGTCTACATTCTAGGTCCCTGTGTCTAGTGATTAACCAGCATAGGGTAGGTCCATGAATGGAACCATCTCAATCACTATCATCATTTCACCACCATCTCCATCTCAGCAGCTATGTGGACTCAGTGCTTACACAACTGACACATTCTATCGAATGCTACTATGACATTTACAGAGATCACCTCATTTAATCACTCCAAAAACCCTATGAAATTGCTGCCATCCTCAGTGTACAGAGGAGGAAAGTAAGCCTTGGGAGGGTATACTGAATTCAATAGTGTGCCCCAAAATCCATGTCCACCAGGAACATCGGAATGTGACACTATTTGGAAATAGGGACTTTGCAGATGTAATTAGTTAAGATGAGGTCATACTAGATTAGGGTGGGTCCTTATATGACTGGTGTCCTTACATGAAGAGAGAGTTGGGTGTCATGGCTCACACCTGTAATCCCACTTTGGAAGGCTGAGGTAGGAGGATCACTTGAGTCCAGGAGTTCAAGACCAGCCTGGGCAATACGGTGAGACTCTCCATAAAAGAGGGGTCCCGAACCATTTTTTGGGTTTTTTTTTGTTTTTTTTGTTTTTTGTTTTTTTGAGACGGAATCTCACTCTGTCACCAGGCTGGAGTGCAGTGGCACGATCTTGGCTCACTGCAAGCTCCGCCTCCTGGGTTCAAGTGATTCTCTTGCTTCAGCCTCCCGAGTAGCTAGGACTACAGGTGCACGCCACCATGCCCAGCTAATTTTTGTATTTTTAGTAGAGACAGGGTTTCATGATGTTAACCAGGCTGGTCTCGATCTCCTGACCTCGTGATCTGCCTGCCTTGGCCTCCCAAAGTGCTGGGATTCCTGGTGTGAGCCACTGCACCTGGTCCCCAACCCTGTTTTACAGGAACCAGCCCACAGAGCAGGAGGTGAGCAGTGGGCGAGTGAAGCTTCATCTGTATGTATAGCCACTCCCCATTGCTCGCATTACCACCTGAGCTCCGCCTCCTGTCAGATCAGTCAGATCAGCAATGGCATTAGATTCTCATAGGAGCGTGAACCCTACTGTGAACTACATATGCAAGGGATCTAGGTTGCAAGCTCCTTATGAGAATCTAGTGCCTGATGATCTGTCACTGTCTCTCATCACCCCTAGATGGGACCACCTAGTTGCAGGAAAACAAGCTCAGGAGCCCCACTGATTCTACCTTACGGTGAGTTGTATAATTATTTCATTATATATTATGATGTAATAATAATAGAAATAAAGTGCACAATAAATGTAATGAGCTTGAATCATCCTGAAACTATCCCCGTTCCCCCACCCTGCCCCCATCGATGGAAAACTTGTCTTCCACGAAATTGGTCCCTGATGCCAAAAAGGTTCGGGACCGCTGCTATAAAAAATAGCTGGGCATGGTGGCACACACTGGTCCCAGCTACTTGGGATTGCTTGAGCCCAGGAAGTCATGAGCTGTGTTCATGCCACTGCATTCCAGCCTGGACAACAGAGAGAGGCCCTGTATCAAACAAAGGACACAAGACACAGAGACATACATGGCCATGTGAAAACAGGAAAAAATTAAAGTGAGGTAGCTGGAATGCCAAGGATTGCCAGCAACCACCGAAGCCGGGCCAGCAGGCGTTCTTCCACGGAGCCTTCGGAGGGAGCACAGCCCAGCCAACACCTTGATTTCAGACTTCTAGCCTCCTGAACTGTGAAATGTCTAATTTTTTTTTTTTTTTTGAGATGGAATCTCGCTCTGTCGCCCAGGCTGGAGTGTAGTGGCGCGATCTCGGCTCACTGCAACCTCTCCCAGGTTCAAGCTACTCTTCTGCCTCAGCCTCCTGAGTAGCTGGGACTACAGGCGCACATCACCAAGCCCGGCTAATTTTTGTATTTTTAGTGGAGACGGGGTATCACCATATTGGCCAGGTTGGTCTTGAACTCCTGACCTTGTGATCCACCCGCCTTGGCCTCCCAAAGTGCTGGGATTACAGACGTGAGCCACCGCGCCTGGCTGAAATGTCTTATGTTTTAAGTCACCCAGTTTATGGCAATTTGCTATGGCAGCCCTAGGGAACTATACGAAGGGGCTAACCATCTCACCAGGCATGGCCTAAACACAGAAGCAATGTCTGTTAAAATTGCTCCACACCCCAGCTCTCACAACAGAAGGCCTTTTTTCCATCAAGAATATAGAATGTTAGCCTAGAAGGAGAGATGTCTGGGTAGAGCGTTTACGAGCGCTCACTATGTGCCAGTCTCCCTCCTAAGTGGCAGCCATGTGCTCCATAACCCACTGAATCCGCACAACCGCCACAGGAGGTGAGCACTGCTCTCCCCATCTTACAGGTGGGGAATGTTGAGGCTCAGAGGGATGAAGTAACTCACCCAGAGGCCCACAGCTAGGGATGGCAGGGCCTAGCTTGGGTCTCAGGTTCCTTGGACTCCAGAACCCACACTCCTAACCACCACCCAATCTTCTCCCTGCTGCAGGTCAAGTTCATTCCCTTGATTTTACAAATGAGGAAACCAAGGCACATCTACCACAGTGATCACAAAGGCTCTGCCCACTGTGGGGGAACAAATAGCTTCAATGAAGCTACTGCCAGTCAGCCGGGGTCCAGCTGGGGCTCCCTCTATTTGCAGACAAAGGGTGGTTGCCCTCCACGACTGGCAAAACAAGCCCAGCTGGGCAGCAAGAGCTGCAGGCTGCATCCCTGCCCACCACTTAACGAGAGTGGCAAGTGGCCAGAAATTAATTAGCTGTCTCAGTTTTGGCACAGCCTGAGGAAGGAAAGTGGTTAATTATAATGAAGCCCAGAGAGCATGTCATAGGAGAAGATTAAAGGCTGGAACAGAGAAATCCAGGCCCCAGAGTTGAACATGAGCAGGGAGGCCAGCCAGGTCACACTCAACAAGAAGCAGGACAGATGCCTCGTTCACCTCAGTTCAAGAACAACACACTCATGGCAGCCAGGGAAGAGCAGCTCCTCCCCACCACCCTGGCTCTGCTTCTGGCTTAGGGGTGGCTGGACCAGGGATGGGGCAGCAGGCACAATGGGGGCCCAAGAACGCAGACTCCCACAAGGATGTGGCATATCAGACCCTGGACCTCTGGAAATAGGACAGGTCCTTTGTACAAACACCTAGTGACATGCTGTCTGAGTGTTGGACCCTCTGCTGGGGCTCCAGCTATGAACAAAGGATATACTCCCTCTACCCCACACCCACTCATGGTGGGGAGAGCAGAACAGGGGAGCAAACAGGTGTCTGAAATAGTGCATAGACCCTATTCCAATGGCGGGGGACACACAGGACACTGTGGGAACATAGAGGAGGGTTACCTGTTGGCTGGAAGGGCGGTGAGGAGCAATCAGAGAAGGCTCCCTGGAGGAAAGACTTTCTAAGCTGAAAAGTCAGGGGTTTCTCTGAAGGAGACAGCAGCCTGAGGTTCCTGCACATCTTACTGCCCTCTTGTCTCGTAGTTGGGTGATTTTTATTATAGATCCCAACAACTCTACAGACCAAATCTCGTTAACAAAGTGCCATCTGGATATTTAAGAAGTACCTGAATGGGCACAGTGGCTCACACCTGTAATCCCAGCACCTTGGGAGTCCGAGGTGGGAGGATCACTTGAGCTCAAGAGTTCGAGACCAGCCTGGGCAACATAGGGAGACCTTATCTTTATCAAAAATTTAAAAATTACCCAGCATGGTGGCACACACCTGTAGTCCCAGCTACTCAGGAGGCTGAGGTGGAAGGATCATTTGAGCCCAGGAGGTGGAGGTTGCAGTGAACCGAGATCGAGTTACTACATTCCAGCCTGGATGACAGAGCAAGACTCTATCTCAAAAAAAAAAAAAAAAAGAAAAAAAGAAAGAAATACTTAGTGATGCCTCCTTAGGGTGAGGGACTAAGCTACGAAACAGGATTGAGGATGAATGTGACACAGTTCCTGCCCTCCAGGAGGAACTGGTAAAAGGGAATGCAAGCACAGAAACAAGCAGCAGCACTGTCATGGGGACACACTGGTTCAAGGCTGGGCGCGGTGGCTCACGCCTGTAATCCCAGCACTTTGGGAGGCCGAGGTGGGCGGATCACCTGAGGTCAGGAGTTCGATACCAAACTGGCCAACATGGTGAAACCCTGTCTCTACTAAAAATACAAAAATTAGTCAGGCATGGTGGAGTGCACCTGTAATCCCAGCTACTCTGGAGGCTGAGGCAGAAGAATCACTTGAACCCAGGAGGCAGAGGTTGCAGTGAGCCGAGATCACACCACTGCGCTCCAGCCTGGGCAACAAAAAAACAGAACACTGGTTTGTGACCACCTACTTTTGTGTGTGTCTTCCCTCTCTCTAGGTGACAGGCACTGGATGAAGGCACTGTGATTTATATCATTGCATTTAATCCTGATAGCCAAATGTAGTAAGCACTACCACGGCATTTGGTAGATGAGGGGACTGTGGATCAGAGAGTCAGGGAAACTTGCCCAACGAAACACAGCTGACAGGTTGTAGTACCAGGACTCAAGCCCAGGTCTGTCTGGCCCCGTGATGGTTAGTCTGATGTGTCGACTTGGCTAGACTATAGTACCCGGCTATTTTATCAGACACTAATCGAGGCGTTGCTGTGAAAGGATTTTGTAGCTGTGGTTAGTATCTGCCATCAGCTGACTTTAAGGAGATTATCCTTGATCATCTGGGTTGGCCTTTTCCAATCAGTTCAAAGGCCTTATGAACAAAACAGATTTCTCAGAAGAAACTCCACCTCTAGCATCAGCTCCTGCCTGAGTTTTCCACCTACCACTTTCAGACTTGCCCAGCCAGACCCCACAACGGTATAAGCCAACTCCCTGAAATATATCCTACTGGTGCTTTTTCTCTGATAGGATCATGCCTGATACAGACCCAAAGCCCACGCTCTAGGCCAAGGCTGGTGCCACAGAGCCACGCAGTCTCCTGAGCTGGAAAAGGGCAGTGACACCCACCATCACATGGGGGGCTTTGCTGTCAGACACTTACTAACCAGGTGCCCTTAGGCAAAAGTCTTTCATCTCTGAGTCTCAGCTTCTTCACCTGTAAAATGGGCACATTACATTGTTCCTACCTCATAGAAGTGTTGTGAAGACTCAGTGAGATTTTGCATGCAAGGTCTCCTGTAGAGAGCCTTCTAATCTTGTCAAACACAGGCTCATTTTTTCCACAGTTGTAATTTCTCGGTTCTTCATGATTTTGAGTCCTCACCATCTGCCAGCTTAATGTTTCAGTCCCACAATTCCACGTAAATAATGTCCACAAGTTTATTATTCTTAGTGACAGTGATGTAGATGTTACAGTTTCCCTAACCTGTACCCACCCAGCTCCCCAGCAAAGAAATACCCTTTGAAGACAATGGGCTAGGGAGCCCCTGTTCAGAGCATCACACATGTTCTCTCATTTGAATCACACACACCCCAGGAAGTGGGTCTCAGTATATTCCCATTTTGTTTATAGAAGAAACTGACCCAAAGATGAAAGGCGCTCATCCAGGAGTGTAGAATGAACAGAACTGAGATGCAAAGCCAGGCATTCCAAAAAGCCCAGGCAGACTCCAGGCCTTTGGCCATGCTGTATGTTACTTTTTTTTTTTTTGAGACAGAGTCTCACTCTACCACCCAGGCTAGAGTGCAGTGGCGCAATCACAGCTCACTGCAGCCGCCAGCTCCCGGGCTCAAACAATTCTCCCACCTCAGCCTCCCAAGAAGTTGGGACTACAGGTGTGTGCCACCATTCCTGGCTAATTTTGTATTTCTTGTAGAAATGGGGTCTCCCTGTGCTGCCCAGGTTGGTCTTGAACTCCTGGGCTCGAGCGATTCTCCCACCTCGGCCTCCCAAAGCAGGCCTCCTACCGACTTGATTACAGGCAGGAGCCACTGAGCTTGGCCTTTACTTCTTATGCCATCTCTCTGCCTGGGACCCAAAAGAGCTTCTCTTTCCTTTTGTTTATTAACAATGGATTATTTTTTAAATTATTTTAATGACATTACAAATAAGTCTGCTCTGTTCCACAGCCTCTCCCAATCCCTGGCTGTATCAAAAAGTCATTTTTCCACAGTGGAAATCAGAGGGTATCATAGGTTCAGCCTTCTTCATGGACATTGCTTCATGGACACTGCTTCATGGACACTTTGTACATCTGAGCTCTGAGAGTCAAGGGGCCTCAGTTCAAAGGCTGGCTCTGCCACTTCCTAACTGTGGCCCTGGGCAAGTGAATTATCATCTCTGAGCCCCAGTTTTCTCATCTGTCAAATGGAGAGAAACATGGTACTAAACTCATAGAGCTGGCTGAATTAAATGAAATAACCTATGTGCAATGCTTCACATAGAGCTTGGCACAAAGCTGGCCACCTTGTCAGCATCCAAAAAAGGTCAGCCAGGCATGGTGGCTCATGCCTGTAATCCCAGTACTTTGGGAGGCCAAGGCAGGAGGATCACTGGAGCCCAGGAGTTCAAGACCAGCCTGGGCAACATAGTGAGACCTCATCTCTACAAATAAAAAAATTAGCCAGGCATGGTGGTGCCTGTGGTCCCAGCTACTCAGGAGGCTAAGGTGGGAGGATCACTTGAGCCTGGGCAGTTGAGCCTGCAGTGAGCCATGATCACTGAAAGAAAGAAAAAAGTCAGCAGTTCTATTTTTGGTGTTAACTCCGACCGAGTCAGTATGCTATGCTTTGCTGTTGAGCTCTTTTTTTTTTTTTTTGAGACGGAGTCTCACTCTGTCGCCCAGGCTGGAGTGCAGTGGCACGATCTCAGCTCACTGCAACCTCCACCTCCCAAGTTCAAGCGATTCTCCTGCCTCAGCCTTCTGAGTAGCTGAAACTACAGGCGCACGCCACCACGCCCGGCTAATTTTTGTATTTTAATAGAGACAGTGTTTCACCATGTTGGCCAGGATGGTCTCCATCTCCTGACCTCGTGATCCACCCACCTCGGCCTACCAAATTGCTGGGCTTACAGGTGTGAGCCACCACACCAGGCCGAGCCCTCTCTTATATGGGACAACAAGGCCTAGGCAGGTGGAAGGAGTGTCTTGTGGCTAACCTGCCCCTCCCAGCAGGACAGCTCCATTCGCTCCCCTCAGGGAGGAATGGAAAATCACTAGATGTGGGGTATTTCCCAGCACTGTGGGAGGATGAGTTTTTGTAACCAAGGGAAACAGATTATCTCCATCTGTCCTGCAGGGGCATCTGGTGGGGACAGCATCTGGTGGGGCCAGGAGAAGCAGCATCTCCGCTCTGGCTTAATTCCTGCCCTGGTTCCCAGGTGCTGGGCAATGATCCAAAAGGCCTCATTATCACCAATGGCTTCTTGCTGTGGGCCAGGCCCTGTGCTAAAGCCATACAGCATCATCCCCCTTAACCTTTGCCCTTGCTGTTCCCTCTGCCTAAAACACTCTTCCTCCAAGCAACAGTCCTCTGCTCATTTGTCTCCTCTTCTTTGACCTCTCCATATACAGGTATGCCTCGTTTAAAGCACTTTGTAGATATTGTGTTTTTTACAAATTGAAGGTTTGTGGCAACCCTGCTATGAGCAAGTTATCAGCACCATTATTCCAACAGCAAGTGCTCACTTTGTATCTATGTCATATTTTGGTAATTCTTGCAATATTTCAAATTTTTCATAATTATATCTCTTATGGTTATCTGTGATTAGTGTTTTTGTTGTTGTTGTTGTTGTTTTATTTTTGACTGGGTCCTCACTCTGTTGCCCAGGCTGGAGTACAGTGGCACTATCACAGCCCACTGCAGCCTCGACCTCCCAGGCTCAAGCAATCCTTCCACCTCAGCCTCCCAAGTAGCTAGGACTACAGGCATGTCCCACCACACCTTGCTATTGTTTTTTTCATTTTGTAGAGATGGAGTCTCATTATGTTGCCAGGGCTGGTCTCGAACTCCTGGGCTCAAGCGATTCTCTCACCTCAGCCTCCCAAAGTGCTGGGATTACAGGCATGACCACCGTGCCTGGCCATCAGTGATCTTGGATGCTACCACTGTAATTGTTTTGGAGTGCCACAAACCACACGCCTGTAAGAGGATGAACTTAATTGATAAATGTGTATGTTCTGACCGCTCCACTGACTGGCCATTGCCCCATCTCTCTCCCTCTCCTCAGGCCTCTCTATTCCCTGAGACACAACAATATTGAAATTAGGCCAATTAATAACTCTACAATGGCCTCTAAGTGTTCAAGTGAAAGAAAGGGCCAGGTGCAGTGGCTCACACCTATAATCACAGCACTTTGGGAGGCTGAGCTGGAAGGATTGCTTGAGCTCAGGAGTTCAAGACCAGCCTGGGAAAAAAGTGAGTCCCCATCTCTACAAAAAATTAAAAAATTAGCTGAGTATGGTGGTGCGCACCTGTAGTTCCAGCTACTTCGGAGGCTGAGGAAAGAGGATCACTTGAACCCAGCCAGTTGAAGCTGCAGTGAGGCATGATTGCATCACTGCACTCCAGCCTGGGCGACAGAGCAAGACCCTGTCTCAGAAGATAAAAAGAAAATGAAAGGGTCGCATGTCTTGCACTGTAGATCAAAATCTAGAAGGCCAGGCACGGTGGCTCACGCCTGTAATCCCAGCACTTTGGGAGGCCGAGGTGGGTGGATCACCTGAGGTCAGGAGTTCGAGACCAGCCTGGCCAACCTGGTGAAACCCCATCTCTACTAAAAATACAAAAAATTAGCTGGTGTGGTGGCGGGCACCTGTAATCCCAGCTACTCAGGAGGCTGAGGCAGGAGAATCACTTGAATCTGGGAGGAGGAGGTTGTAGTGAGCCGAGATCGCGCCATTGCACTCCAGCCTGGGCAACAGAGCAAGACTCTGTCTTAAAAGAAGGAAAGAAAGAAAGGAAACAAAATACACTTAACTGCTGATATGGAGAAGGTTTGAGTGGTCTGGATAGAAGATCAAGCCAGCCACAACATTCCCTTAAGCCAAAGCCTAATCCAGGGTAAGGACCTAATTCTCTTTAATTCTAAGAAGGCTGAAAGAGGTGAGGAAACTGTAGAAGACAAGTTTGAAGGTGGCAGAGGCTGGTCCATGGGGCTTTAAAGATCACTGATGAAGGCAGCTACACTAAACAACAGATTCTCAAGGGGACAAAACAGCCTTCTATTGGAGTAAGATATCATCTAGGACTCTCATTCCTAGAGAGAAGTCAGTGCCTGGTTACAAAGCTTCAAGGAGAGACTGATGCTCCCTCTCTCTCCTTTTTTTTTTTTTTTGAGACAGAGTCTCACTCTGTTACCCAGGGTGGAGTGCAGTGGCGCAATCTCGGCTCACTGCAACCTCCACCTCCTGGGTTCAAGCGATTCTCCTGCCTCAGCCTCCCGAGGAGCTGGGATTACAGGTGCACATCATCACACCCGGCTAATTTTTGTATTTTTAGTAGAGACAGTGTTTCACTATGTTGGTCAGGCTGGTCTCAAACTCCTGACCTCAGGTGATCCACCTGCCTTGGCCTCCCAAAGTGCTGGGATTACAGGCGTGAACCACTGCGCCTGGCTTTTTTTTTTTTTTTTTTTTTAAGAGATCGAGTTTCACTCTGTCACTCAGGCTGGAATGCAGTGGCACGATCATAGCTCAGTGCAGCTTCGAACTTCTGAGCTCAAGCGACTCTCCCTCTTCGGCTTCCAAAGTGCTGGGATTACAGGTATGAGCCACCGCACCCAGCCAGGCTGACTCATTAGGGGCTAATGCAGCTGGTGACTTTAAATTGAAGCCGATGCTCATTTACCATTCCAAAAATCCTAGGGCCCTTAAGAATTATGCTAAATCTACTCTGCCTGTGCTCTATAAATGGTACAACAAAGCCTGGATGACAGCACATCTGTTTACAGCATGGTTGATGGAGTATTTTAAGCCCACTGTTGAGACAAACTGCTCAGAAAAAAAGATTCCTTTCAAAATATTATCGCTTATTGACAATGCACCTAGTCACCCAAGAGCTCTGATGGAGATGTACAAGGAGATTAAGTTGTTTTCATGCTTACTAACACAACATCCATTCTGTAGCCCACGGATCAAGGAATAATTTTAACCTTTAAGTTTTATTATTTAAGAAATACATTTTGTAAGGTTACAGCTGTCATAGATAGTGGTTCCTCTCATGGATCTGGGCAGAGGAAACTGAAAGCTGGAAAAAATTCACCATTCTAGTTGCCATTAGGTACATTTGTGGCCAGGTGTGGTGGCTCACACCTGTAATCCCAGTACTTTGGGAGGCTGAGGTGAGAGGATCCCTTCAGGCCAGGAGCTCGAGACCAGCCTGGGCAACACAGAAACTCCGGCTCTACAAAAAATAAAAATAAAAAATAAATAAATTAGCCAGACATGGTGGCACACACATGTAGTCCCAGCAACTTGGTAGACTGAGGCAAGAGGATAGTTTGAGCCCAGGAGTTTGAGGCTGCAGTGAGCTATGATCACTGCACTCAGCCTGGGCAACAGACTAAGACTGTGTCTCTGAGCAGGGGGAAAAGAAAAAAACAATATTGACAGGAGTTTTAAAGAAGTTGATTCCAGCCCTCATGGATGACTTTGAGGGGTTCGAGGCTTCAGTGGAGGAAGTAACTGCAGATGTAGTAGAAATAGCAAGAGAACTAGAATTAGAAGTGGGGCCTGAAGATGTGACTGAATTGCTGCTGCTGCAATCTCATGAAAAAACTTTAATGGATGAGAAGTTGCTTCTTATAGATGAGCAAGAAAGTGGTTTCTTGAAGCTAGGCGCAATGGCATGCGCCTGTACTACCAGCTACTCAGGAGACTGAGGCAAGAGGATCACTTGGGCCCAGGAGTTTGGGGCTGTAGTGAGCTATGATCGTGCCTGTGAGTAGCCACTGCACTCCAGCCTGGGCAACACAGTGAGACAAAAATCAAAAAGAAAGAAAGTGGTTTCTTTTGGTTTTGTTTTGTTTTTGAGACAGGGTCTTGCTCTGTCACCCAGGCTGGAGTGCAGTGGTGCAATCTCAGCTCACCACAACCTCTGCCTCCCGGACTTCAGCAATCCCCCCACCTCAGCCTCCCTAGTAGCTGGGACTACAGGCGCACACCACCACGCCCAGCTAATTTTTGTATTTTTTTGTAGACACAAGGTTTTGCCATGTTGCCCAGGTTGGTCTTGAACTCCTGACCTCAAGGGATCTGCCCACCTTGGCCTCCCAAAGTGCTGGAATTACAGGCGTAAGCCACCGCTTCTGGCCGAAAGTGGTTTCTTGAGATGGAATTTACTCCTGGTGAAGAAGATCTGTGAACTTTGTTGAAATGACAACAAAGGATTTAGAATATAACATTAATTTAGTTGATAAAGCAGCAATAGGATTTGAGAGGACTGACTCCAATTTTGAAAGTTCTACTGTTGGTAAGATGCTATCAAACAGCATCGCATGCTACAGAGAAATCTTTCATGAAAGAAAGACTCAATTGATGCAGCAAACTTCACTGTTGCCTTGTTTTAAGAAATTGCCACAGCCACCCCAACCTTCGGCAACCACTACCCCCAACCAGCAGCCATCAATATTGAGGTAAGACCTTTCACCAGCAAAAAGATTATGATTTGCTGAAGGCTCAGATGATCATTAGTATTTTGTTAGCAATAAAAGTATTTTAAAATTGAAGTATGTATATTTTTCTTTAGACATAATACTATGACACACTTAATAGACTACAGTATAAACAACTTTTTTTTTTATTTTTTTTTGAGACAGGGTCTGGCTCTCTCACCCAGGCTGCACTGCAGTGGCGTGATCTCGGTTCACTGCAGGCTTGACCTCCTGGGCTCCACCCATCTCAACCTCCCGAGTAGCTGGGACTACAGGTGCATGTCACCACACCCGGCTAATTTTTGTATTTTTTTGTAGAGACAGGGTTCTGCCATGTTGCCCAGGCTGGGCTCTAACTCCTGAGCTCAAGCAATCTGCCCACCTCAGCCTCCCAAAGTGCTGGGATTACAAGCATGAGTCAGCACACCCAGCTGTAAACAACTTTTATATGCACTGGGAAACCAAAAAATGTGTGTGACTTGCTTTGAGATATTTGCTTTATTGCAGTGGTCTGGAACCCAAACCACAGTATCTCTGAGGTATGCCTGTACAACTGCAGCCCCGCCACCCTCTCACCCAATGCCTGTTTCGGTTGACTTCACTGCCTATAGCCTTAGCCTTATATCTATTTGTTTACTGTCCATCTTTTCCCCACTAGACTGTCAGCTCCATGAGGGCAAGGACTGTGTCTTCATCACTGTTGCATCCCAAGTACCTAGAACTGTGCCTGGTACTTCAGGGGGGACAACCCAATGATGTAGAGTTTTTCTATCATCCCCATTTCACAGATGAGAAAACAGACAGCACGCTGAGTTCAACAGTGGACAGCCAGCAAGAAGCTGGATTTGAACCCTAGTCCACCTGCTGATGAAGGACAGGGCTGCCTCCCTGCTGTTGGCCTTGTCCCAGGGAACCTGGAGTTCTTTAGGCCTATCATGTGTTATCAGTAGCCCCTAGGCCAGGCTGCCCTGTGTAAGAACCCACTTCTTGGGCTGGGCGCTGTGGCTCACGCCTGTAATCCTGGCACCTTGGGAGGCTGAGGCAGGCGGATCACAAGGTCAGGAGTTCAAGACCAGCCTGACCAACATGATGAAACCCTGTCTCTACTGAAAACACAAAAATTAGCCGGATGTGGTGGCGTGCGCCTGTAATCCAAGCTACTCAGGAGGCTGAGGCAGGAGAATCGCTTGAACCCGGGAGGTGGAGGTTGCAGTGAGCCGAGATCGTGCCACTGTATTCCAGCCTGGGCAACAGAGTGAGACTCTGTCTCAAAAAAAAGAACCTACTTCTTGTGTTCCCAAGTACTGCTATTTCCAGCCACTCCCTGCCTCTCTCTCACTTTGGAAAATCCCAATTGTGCAAAGAGACACAAGGAGAGGGAGCAAGGGGATAGGAAAAGCAGTTCTAGTCCAGCCTTGGCCATGGACTCAAAAGACACAGAACCTTTCTAGGTCTCGGTTTCCTCATTTGTAAATCAGAGGGGCTGAACTTGACATACAAGGTGGCAGAGAACAAGGCAATGGTTAAGAGTGTGGGCTCTGGCCAGGTGCAGTGGTTCACACCTGTACTCCCAGCACTTTGGGAGGCTGAGGCAGGTGGATCACAAGGTCAGGAGATCGAGATCATCCTGGCTAACACGGTGAAACCCCATCTCCACAAAAAATACAAAAAAAAATTAGCCGGGCGCGGTGGTGGGCACCTGTAGTCCCAGCTACTCGGGAGGCTGAGGCAGGAGAATGGCGTGAACCTGGGAGGCAGAGCTTGCAGTGAGCCGAGATCGCGCCACTGCACTCCAGCATGGGCAACAGAGCGAGACTCCGTCTCAAAAAAAAAGAGTGTGGGCTCTGGGTTCAGAACAACACTCTTCTGATTTCAAAATTATCTTGGGACTTTGGGCATGTTATGTCGTTTCTCTGAGCCTCAAGTTTCCTTATGTATACAATGGGGGCAACACACTCACCTCCTACGAGGTCTGCAAAAATTAAATGGGATAATATATATACATCTCTAGGCAGGGTGCCTGGCACAAAATAGGTACTCAAGAAAAAGAACCATCAGCCAGGCACAGTGGCTCACGCCTGTAATCCCAGCACTTTGGGAGGCCGAGGCGGGCGGATCACAAGGTCAGGAGATCAAGACCATCCTGGCTAACACGGTGAAACCCTGTCTGTACTAAAAATACAAAAAAAAAAATTAGCCGGGTGTGGTGGCGGGCGCCTGTAGTCCCAGCTACTCGGGAAGCCGAGGCAGGAGAATGCCGTGAACCCAGGAGGTGGAGCTGCAGTGAGCTGAGATGGCGCCACTGCACTCCAACCTGGGCAACAGAGCCAGACGCCATCTCAAAAAAAAAAAAAAAAAAAGAAAAAAGAAAAAGAACCATCATCCATGAGTCACAGTTCTATGCCTTGGTAACAAGCTCATTTCTGCAGGGGAGGAAAATTCTGCCTCTCTCTGTGTGGTGTTCTTTGAATGGGGCTTTTTTTTTTTTTTTTTTGGAGATAGGTTCTCACTCTGTCACCCAGACTGGAGTGCAGTGATGCGATCTCGGCTCACTGCAACCTCCGCCTCCCAGGCTCAAGCGATTCTCCTGCCTCAGCCTCCCGAGTGGCTAGGATTACAGGCATGCACCACTACCGCCCGGCTAACTTTTTTATTTTTAGTAGAGAAAAAGTTTCACCATGTTGGCCAGGCTGGTCTCAAACTCCTGACCTCAAATGATCCACCCACCTCAGCCTCCCAAAGTGCTGCGATTACAGGTGTTAGCCACCGCACCCGGCCTGAATGGGGTTTTTTTGACCTCACAGGACCTTGAAGTTTGAGTTCTTTCTACTTATCAAGAAAGACGGGCTGGGCACGGTGGCTCACACCTGTAATGCCAACACTTTGGGAGGCCGGGTGGGTGGATCACCTGAAGTCAGGAGTTCGAGTCCAGCCTGGCCAACATAGTGAAACCTCATCTCTACTAAAAAATACAAAAATTGGCCAGGCACAGTGGCTCACGCCTGTAATCCCAGCACTTTGGGAGACCAAGGCAGGCGGATCACAAGGTCTGGAGCTCGAGACCAGCCCGGCCAACATGGTGAAACCCCGTCTCTACAAAAAATACAAAAATTAGCCAGGCATGGTGTGCGTACCTGTAATCCCAGCTACTCAGGAGGCTGAGGCAGGGGAATTGCTTGAACCCAGGAGGCGGAGGTTGCAGTGAGCCGAGATCATGCCATTGCACTCCAGCCTGGGTGACAGAGCAAGACTCCGTCTCAAATAAATAAATAAATAAATAAATAAACAAACAAATAAAATTTAAAAAAGAATAGCCGGGTGTAGTGGTGCACATCTGTAATCCCAGCTACTTGGGAGGCTGAGGCATGAGAATCACTTGAACCCAGGAGGTGGAAGGTGCAGTGAGCCGAGATCGCACCATTGCACTCCAGCCTGGGTGATAAAGTGAGGCTCCATGTCAAAAAAAAAAAAAAAAAAAAAAAAGACTACAGAAGAAAAGATTCTTTCTGCACACACCCTTCCTGGCCAGAGACAAAGCTGCTGATTTCTGCAGCTGCACTGGGAACTATAAATCAGTAGAACACAACCCAGACACCCCCTCATTCCACCCCACAGCTCCCAGCCGGTAATGGGGCCACTATAGCCTGCAGAGGATGGTAAATTGTTCATTTAAGCCAGACTTTCTGCTCTACCCCCACGATTATCCCTCTTCCTGTGCATGTTATGACATTCCGTGTGGCCAATTTGATTTTGAGGTCCCAGGACTCTGAGGTTAATGAAATCATGCCTTTTCCTTGCACAGCCCCCTGCCTCTCAAAGTCCAGACATCTGCCAGGCAAGGGGGAAGGAGAACCTGAGATCACAGCATTTAAAAATCATTCTTTTTAAAATCTCAGGGTTGGGTGCCTGTAATCCCAGTACTTTGGGAGGCTGAGGCAGGTGGATCATTTGAGGTCAGGAGTGCGAGACCAACCTGGCCAACATGGTGAAACCCCGTTTCTATTAAAAATACAAAAAAAAAAAAATTAACCGGGCATGGTGGCACATGCCAGTAATCCCAGCTACTTGGGAGGCTGAGGCAGGAGAATTGCTTGAACCCAGGGGAGCAGAGGTTGCAGTGAGCCGAGATTGCGCCACTGCACTCCAACCTGTGCAACAGAATGAGACTCCGTCTAAAATCAATCAGTCAATCAATCAATCAATCGATAAACAAACAATAAAATAAAATCTCAGCCATGGTGAGAGGGGCCTGCAATTCTGCTTGTCTTTTCTCCACCCGAATCTCCAGGGCCAAACCTCCACCCAGTGGTTTCCCAGTGTCTACTTGCGCACTTCAGTGACAGGAAGCTCCCTACATTACACAGCAGCCCGTACCTTCTTGGAGAGCTTTGACTGTGGGAAAATTCCTTATAGAAATAATGAAATAGCAGGGCGCGGTGGCTCACACCTGTAATCCCAACACTTTGGGAGGACGAGTCGGGCGGATCACGAGGTCAGGAGGTAGAGACCAGCATGACCAACATGGAGAAACCCCATCTCTACTAAAAATACAAAGTTAGCCGGGCATGGTGGCGCATGCCCGTAATCCCAGCTACTCGGGAGGCTGAGGCAGGAGAATCGCTTGAACCCAGGAGGCGGAGGTTGTGGTGAGCCGAGATTGCGCCATTGCACTCCAGCCTGGGCAACAAGAGCAAAACTCCATCTCAAAAAAAAAAAAGAAAGAAATAATGAGATGTGCGCAAACACACATGTCTAAGAATGTTCACAGCATTATGTATGATTACTATTTTTTTGTTTTTAGAGACAGGGTCTTGCTATGTTGCCTGTGCTGATCTTGAATTCCTGGGCTCAAGTGATCCTCCCACCATGGCCTCCCAAAGTGCTGGAATTATGGGGGTGAGCCACCATGCCCGGGCAGCAGCAGCATTATTTAGATTGGCATAATATTGGAAATTATAAAAGTCACTGGAAAAAGAACACATTCATGCAATGTAGCCATCAAAAATCATGTTTTCAAACTAGAAGAGCACATGCTTAACATATAATGTTAAGTGAATAGGCATCTCACAAAATATTACATGCAATGCGATCATGACTTCGACATGTGACCCTGATTTCACTAAAATGGAAAAACAAAGCTGGGTGTGTCGGCTCATGACTGTAATCCCAGCACTTTCGGAGGCCAAGGTGGGAGGATCACTTGAGTCCAGGAGTTCAAGACCAGCTTGGGCAACATAAGGAGATCCCCATCTCAAAAATAAAAATAAGCTGGGCACGGTGGCTCATGCCTGTAATCCCAGAACTTTGGGAGGCCAAGGCAGGTGGATCACCTGAGGTCAAGAGAAGAGTTCAAGACCAGCCTGGCCAAGATGGTGACACCCCATCTCTACTAAAAATACAAAAATTAGCCGGGCATGGTGGCAGGTACCTGTAATCCCAGCTACTTGGGAGGCTGAGGGAGGAGAACTGCTTGAACCCGGGAGGCAGAGGTTGCAGTGAGCCGAGATTGTGCCATTGTGCTCCAGCCTGGATGACAAGAGCAAGACTCTGTCTCAAAAAAAATGAATAAATAAAAATAAATAAAATTGAGAAACAGAAAGAGAGACAGAAAAGAGATGGGAAGGAAACACACCAAAATGAAAAAGCTCTTTTCTCTGTGGTAGGATTATGGATAATGTCTGTCTCTGCTTAAATTTCTCCACATTTTCTGAAATAAGTTTGTTACCTTTTATTGTAGAAGAAAAAAAAATTTTTTTTTAAATATGGGGTCTCAGGCCAGATGCGGTGGCTCACACCTGTAATCCCAGCACTTTGGGAGGCCAGAGGCGGGCAGATCACCTGGGGTCAGGAGTTTGAGATATGGGATCTCGCTTTGTTGCCCAGGCTGGACTGCAGTGGTACAATCATAGCTCACTGTCACCTTGAGTTTCTGGGTTCAAGCCATCCTTCCACCCAAGCAGCTGGGACTACAGGTGCATGCCACCATGCTCAGCTAACTTTTTAATTTTTTTGTAGAGACAGGGTCTTGCCATATTGTTCGGGCTGGTCTCGAACTCCTGGACTCCAGTGATCCTCCTGCTTTGCCTCCCGAAGTGTTAGGATTACAGGCGTGAGTCACTGCACCCAGCTGAAAATTTATAATATTGAGTTGATAAAGTTTCCCTATACCACCCACTCAATAATTCTAGTTCCAGTTCACACCTGTAATCCCAGCACTTTGGGAGGCTGAGGCAGGTGGATCACTTGAGGCCAGGAGTTGGAGACCAGCCTGGCCATCATGGTGAAACCCCATCTCTACTAAAAATACAAAAATTAGCCTAGTATGTTGGCACACACCTGTAATCCCAGCTACTCAGGAGGTTGAGGCAAGAGAATTGCTTGAACCCAGAAGGCAGAGGTTGCAGTGAGCCAAGATTGCGTCACTGCACTCCAGCCTGGGCAACAGAGCGAGACTATCTCAAAAAAAAAAAAAAAAAAAAATCTAGTTCCTCTGAGGCTCGATAAATGTCAATCAAATGAATGCAAAGCAAGTGTGACTCCTCTTCTAAATAGTCATAATTACAGAAGATGTTTATTGACCACATACCAAATGCCTAGCTCTGTGCTGAAGTCCCTCATATCAGGCCTCGTGAACTCCTCATAACCACTCTGTGAGGGTCTATCACTACTCCCGTTTCACAGATGATAAAGCTGAGGCTCAGAGAGGGTGTGTATGTATTGTTCAAGCTCACTCTCTTAGTAAATGGCACCGCTGGGATGTAATTCCAGGTCAGTCTGGCTCCAATGCCCAGGCTCTCAACTGCTGCCACCCCATGCAGAGGCCTCAGAGATTTGCAGACAGCAATCTACCCTCTACCCCATCCCCATTCCTCGCTTCTCTACCTAGACGTCCCCAGCACTCGCCTCCATTCCGCCATGTCATGGACAGCAGCAGCAGATGGAAACATGGAGTGATTTTGGAGTCAGAGAGGCCTGGGTTGGAATCTCGACTCCACCCCTCTCTTGCTGTGAGAGGCACTCGCTCCCTCTGAGCCTTCTTGTCCCCATTTGCAAATGAGAACAGAAAGCCCCCATCACAGGGCTGTGGTGCAGCTTGCATACTTCAACCTCAATATGGCCTCTGGATCCAGAAGCCTCTGGCATGTGGCAGAAGCTTAGGAAGAGGCTTTTCAGTGTTCTCAGTGACTCCTATGGACCCACCGCAGTGCGTCTGTAAGTCACACACACTCCCCAGGGAATGAACCCAAGACCCAGGAAGAAGCAGGCTCCAGGCAAGACCAAGAGATGCAGCAGGAACAGCAGCCAGGGCTGCTGCTTGTTCTCTCTGCTCAGCCTCACCAGAAGTCATCTAGCCCAGCCTCCTCCTGCTGCCTCCTTCCTTTTTTTTTTGAAATGGGGTCTTGCTATGTTGTCCAGTCTGATCAACATCTTAGCCTCTTGAATAGCTGAGATTACAGGCATGCACCACCATGCACAGCTTCCTGCCTTCTTGTTAGGTCCAACAGCACTCCATTTCAGAAAGGGGACAGCTGAGCACAGGGTTTTAATGGCCCCATCCAAGGTCACATGGCTCTCTTTTCATTGCCCTGAGCCACCCTCTCTAGTCTCCCCACATTGAGCCCCTCCCCATCCAATCCACCCCTCACCCCCACACCAAATTCATTCTCTTGAAGACCATTCTGCACAGATTGCTCCAAAATCCCCCTCCCCATGGCCTGTGACCCAAAGCTTCCTCATTTCCCAGCACGCCAACCTTACCATGGGACCCCTGAGGACCTGTCCAGCCTCAGCTCCCACATCCAGACTAGAACCTCAGCACGGCCTCTGGCTCCTCACACAGTCATGCTGGGCCTGCCTCCAGGCCTCTCCTCAGCCCTCCCTCTCACCATCCCCATGAGAACACCTGCCTCCAATTACCTGGGGCTACTCTACCAGGTGTATCTCCTCAGGAATCATGGGTGGCTCCCGAGCCCAGCCAAGCTCAGCACCTAGCAGGTGCTTTTGACACTATGGTAAGAAGGACACCTGCTTACGACGCCTTTCCTGCTTTTGTCCCTGCAGCCTCTCCATCCTCACAGCCACCCTGGTCCCCAACACTCTCGTCTCAGCCTCGGTGAATTGGTGAATCATTGCTCCTGTGGTTCCCTCTATCTGGAATGCTCCACTCACACCTCTCCAGGGAGCCAACTGCTGCTCCCCTCCATGATGCACAGGCATCCCCTCCTCTGGCTGGGTCTGGAGACTCCCTGGACTCCCATAGTTCCAGGGAGCTGCACTTGTCTGTGGAGTTGCAACTAACCAGGGGGTGGCATGGGACATAGCTGTGTTAGGAGCCAGGGGGCGTATGGAGGTTTAAGCTGTGGGTCTGGGCAGTGAGAGCTGAGGCTGGACAGGCCTGGCATGGGTCAGCATCAGCAAATGCTTTACTGACTGAGTACACGTGCAGGCAATGCAGGACATGGGAAAGGGCCAAAGGTGGAAAACATAGACGACCAGGCCTCAACAGCCCACCTGCACTCTGCCCACCTGCAGCCACTGCAGGAAACCACAGCGCAGGGCATGCCAGGTGCTATGCTACAGCCTTTCCATGCTCGATCTCTTTGAGTCCTCCCAATAACCTGTCATATCGCCCCAATTTTTTAAATGATAAAATGAGCCAGGCGCAGCGGCTCACGCCTATAATCCCAGCACTTTGGGAGGCCAAGGCTGGCGGATCACTTGAGGTCAGGAGTTCGAGACCAGCCTGGCCAACATGGTGAAACCCCCCCCCCGCCCCGCCCATCTCTACTAAAAACACAAAAACTAGTTGGGCGTGGTGGCGAGCGCCTGTAATCCTAGCTACTGGGGAGGCTGAGGCACGAGAATCCCTTGAACCAGGGAGGCAGAGGTTGCAGTGAGCCGAGATCACACCACTGCACTCCAGCCTGGGCAACACAGTGAGACTCCATCCAAAAAAAAAGGGAAGTTAAGCTGTTTTTGCCCAAAGCCACACCTCTGGGACATGGATAGAGACCAGGCGCTCCCTGACCTCTAGTCACAACCTTTACCACTGCACTGTGTCATCTCACTGGAATCTCTCCTGGCCCAGAGGCCCTGGGTCCAGACCCCAAGAGAGGGGAGGGAGACAAGAAGCCAAGGGGCTTCCAAAAACAGGACACAGATTCAGTGCTACAAATTCTGCTAAGAAGACACTTCAGCATTTTCCCCAGCAGCTTCTGGAACCTCGGCAGGAGACTGAAGAAATAACCAGAACCCTTCATTCACCTATCCCGACCCTGCCACAGCCCACCTGCCTGGCCCAACTCCCCTCCCTGCTGGGTGCTGCAGTCACCTCAGATAGGAGGGAAAACGCGGTGCTTTGCCAACATCATCTCATCTAATCCTGAGGACAAAGGTACCTATGAGATAGTACTATTACCCACATCTTCCCGATGAAGACAGGTGCAGTGAGGCGATCCGGCTTGCTAAAGCTCTTAGTAAGTAGCAGAGCCAGCATTTGATACAAGGAGACAAATCAGAAGAGACATGGGCTGAGGTGAGATCAAGGGGCAGAGAAGCACACAGGCTGAAGGCGTCTCATGGAGGCTGGCCGGGGCTGGCAGGAGGCAGGGCATGCTGCGAGGGTACAAACCTGCTGAAACCTAGCTCGGGGCGCAGAGGAGGCAGGGAAACAGAGAAGGCTGTGGAACAGACAGGAGGCCAGGTAGGAAAGCACTGACTCCTCTTGCCCAGGTTCTGGGTCGGGCCACCCAGGATCTGGGCCAGGCGGGAGGAAGAGGGGGTCACCTGCCACAGGTGAGGGGCCTGCTAAGCCCATCACACCACACCTACCCAGTGGGCTGC
Organism: Homo sapiens; assembly: GCF_000001405.40. Taxonomy (NCBI): domain Eukaryota; kingdom Metazoa; phylum Chordata; class Mammalia; order Primates; family Hominidae; genus Homo; species Homo sapiens. Next base: position 28,816,830 of record NC_000001.11, on the reverse strand, counting down.
CCATGGGAAGTCTCTGAGATGCCAGCCCTGCAGAGGACACTGACTCTGCCCGGAGGAAGGGGTTGTCCGGTGTCTGCTCTGAGGACCAGGGCATCCCCATGGCCAGCACGAGTCATCGTGCTGGCCAATCCCACATGCAGGAGGAGGGGGTGATGCTCTGCCTTGGGACCACCTGTCCACAGAAGTCCTGCTCACGCTTCATGGAAGCCTCATTCCCTCCAGCCACAGGCTGTTTGCTAAAAGCACAATTCCCAGAGGCCCCTCTCAGGCCCCCAGGATGAGACAGCTTCTCAGGTAGCTTCTTGGAGGGGAGAGAGGACAGAGTGTGGGGCCTGCAGGATGGAGGATGCTTCTGACCTGGAATTCTGAGATTCCTGGTTCTTACGTTCAGGCCCTCATCAGCATCCTGCTTCCCAGCCACAGCTCCTCCCTCAGCTTTTGACTCAGTTTCCCCTCCTCGTCCTTTAGCTCTGCAGAGGCTTCTCTGATCTCTCCGCCCAGCTGAGACCCTCCCCTGCCCCCATCATGGGCTCCCAAATCCCCCACATACTTTCACAGATAGCCCCTACCACAGCTACAAACTTCAGTTTATTGGATGACTGGCTGACGAATGTCTGTCTCCCACCAGACCCTAAGCTCCGGAAGGTCTGGAGCACGGTGTGGTTTTTTTCTTGGCATTTAGCACAGAGCATGTAGAATGTTGTAGAATGAGTTAATTCTTTTCAGTCCTTCACACAGAGCCCCTCATGTTCTCAAAGAGCTTAGGGTCTAAAAGGCTCAGATATCACACATTATGCCACTTAATCCTCACCCCCACCCTGGAGGCGCTGTTGGTGTTCCCACTTTAATGAGAAGAGCTTCAGACAGCTCGTCACTAGCCCGAGTACACAGCAAGTAAGTGGCTTTGAACTCAGATATGTCTGGTCCAGAGCCACAGCTCTGCCCACTACACCACCCGGCTTTCCTTCCCCAAGGGTCTCTGAATCTTCCCTTGCACACCTGCTCCCCACCCCCCACATGCTGCCTAAGCTCAGGACTGACAGGCAGAATTCACTCATTCAACCACTCATTCACTCAACCCAGCAGCCGGCTCATGTACTGGTTGTGGCAGGCCCTGCTTGGGCTGCCAGGAAACCGCAGATGGAGCGCAGCTCGAGGAGCCCTTCAGGGGAGCAGGGTCCCTTCTCCAGCCCGGGCTGCGCTCTCCCCACTGCCCTTGGGGTGTTTCCAGCAGAAGCCAAGACCCAGGCAGCTGCCCTGCCCTCAGACTCTCGTTCACTGTTCACTGGGGAAGGACTGAGCGCCAGCCCTTATCATTCAGCCTCCCCAAAGGACAGCAGCCTAAAATGCACAGGCTGAAAAACGCAGAGGAGCATAGTCCCCAGGTCTCTGCTCTCTGAGGACTCTAAGACAAGAGGAGGGACACAGCCGGGCACCATGGCTCCGCCCGTAATCCCAGCACTTTGGGAGGCCGAGGCGGGTGGACTGCTTGAGCTCAGAAGTTTGACACCAGCCTAGGCAACATGGCAAAACCCTGTCTCTGCAAAAAAAACTAAAGTTAGCATGGCGTGTGCCTGTAGTCCCAGCTACCCAGGAGCCTGAGGTGGGAGGATCGCATTAAGCCCAGGAGGTCGAGGTTGCAGTGAGCTGTGATTGCGACGCTCCAGCCTGGGCAACAGAGAGAAATCTTGTCTCAAAAATAAAAGAGGAGGGACAGAATTCTGCCACCCTCCTTCCAGACAATGCTTTGACTGTCCTCTACCCCAGGCAACTCTGGAGAAAAGTTTTGGACTTAAGTCACAGACTAAGGTTCTAGCTCTGGGCCTGGTGCCAACTGTGGTACCCTCCGAGAACAAGTCACCTTGCCTGTCTCTGAGCTGCAGATTCCTCATTTTATCTGCAGGATGCGGGTACTGATGATGATTCTAATGCCTGTCCCATAGGATTGAAGGTGAGGATTCAATCATTCAGACCCAGAGATACAATTTTCACATAAATGGTTGACCAGCGAAATGTCTTGGCAACATGGGGACCCCTAGGGGCCCACTAAGCTGCTTGCGTACACTTGGCAATGCGATTCCGGGAAGGCTGTGTGGGAATGCCCCTAGCAGGCTGAGCCCAGAGCCTCCCCACAGTGGACCCTCAGCAGTGGGAGTCCCCTCCCCTTGCTCAGTGGTAGTGGGGAAGCTGTGCTCAGTCAGCCAACCAGCCAGAGGCCCCGGGGAAAAGGTTGGAAATGAGACTGAACACACCGACGCTCGGCTTTTTCCAGACTTGGGCACCTGGAGCTCCCCTAGACAGGGCAGGTGCCAGGAATCCGGAGCTCTCAGAATCACAGCTACTCTCAGGCCCACCTTAGGACAAGCACCTCCCTCAAGCTCCCTTCTTTAGTCAGATTCTACAGGATCTAGAAAATCCCTCCGCCTCGCTATACAGACAGCGTCCATTTACTGGGTCCAGGCGCCAGGCCAGTGCGTTATGTGCTCTCTCACTGACACCTCACAACAACCCTGTGGAAGAAGATTTATCATTACGTCATTCTACAGATGAAGAAACTGAGGCTCAAAGAGGCTAAGTGATTCATCCAAGTCACAGAGCCAGTTCGTGGCAGAGCAGGGATTCATACCAGGCCGGCCTGCCTCGAAGCCTGCGAAGTGGGGAGAATCACTGACAAAGACACAAAGTAAAGATCAGTCCCGCCTGTGCTTGGGGGGAATTCTCCCACTGTTGCTTGTGATGAGTCATGGAAAGCACAGGAAATTCTTGTACCCGCCACTCTTTCTGGAGGAGCAAAGATCTCCCAGAGATCATCAATGCCGAAGCCCACTGACACCCACACACCTCATCCCATGCTCCAACACACCACGTTCTGCGCTGCAGAGACCCCATACCCTGGAATTCATACTTTCCAATTGAGGAGATTAGGTCTGTATTCTTCGAACAGGGAAACTGAGGCGGATGGGAGGCAGGGCAGGAAGAATGATGCCTGGGCATCCATGACTAGGCTGAGACTACAGTTCATCTCTCTAACCTCTGAGTCCACGACCTGACCTATGCCCTGCATGGTGGCACCCACAGCCCAGAGAGGTTTAGGGCCATGTCCTTGGTCCACCAGCATGAAGGACCCATTTTCAACTAACAGCAAATACGAGGGCATCTTTGTTGTTTTAAAGATGGAAATTTTCCTCTCAACCCTTACTGGCCATGTCTGAGCTTGTGGGGCTGTATCAGGAGGGCTACTTCTGGGGCAAGCTGACGTCTTAGGCTCTCTGAGAAGGTCCCAGCACTCTCCATAAACTCCAAGAAGAGCACCTCACTTCCTGGGATGAAAACTCAAAATCCACTCCCGCCCAGACCAACCTCTGCTGCCTCTGGCAGAAGAAAAGACTGTTAGAGGAGGCAAAGAGAAAATGGGAGAGGGCATTTGTGAGGAGGGCGTGAGTCTTCTCTGAATCCTATTCAGAATTCCTGACCAGATGGGCACTGGCGAAGGGAACAGAGAACCGGTTGGCGGCCCACAGCTGTCGCCCATGTTATCCAGGAATCACTGGCAAAGGCACACACAGCTGCACAAACACAGGGACGACGGCCACTCCGGATGCTCTGCCGCCCTCGGGGTTTCAAGAGCTTGACAAGAAACAACAGTCACATTGTTACATTCAGACAGAATCACAAACTGACCGTTAGGGACAAGCTCACACCAACAGATGAGCACCAAATATGACTTGGTAAGGGCCCCACGGCGAGGTGCTGACACCCAGCACCCTCCTGTCCGCCCTGCCTGCACGGTGCCCTCACACCGGTCTCCCCAAAGGCCCGCGGCACCTCAGAGCAGCTCTGCCCACCCCATGGGCATGTTTCCGACGTCCAAACATACAGTTGTACTGTCACAACCATCCACTCACAAACTGTGACAGACACACAAACTGACGCCAAACTGTCCCACAAAGAAGCAAGGGGATGCCAACAGATGATCAAATGTAATTTAGTCAACCGCGGCGCACTCCCCCCCCCGCACCACACACACACATACACACGATGACACACATTCCTGTGTTCCCCTCGATGTAAGTGGCCTCGCCTCTCGCTGGGCCCCAGGTGCCCCTGCAGGAAATGCGGAGGCGCGGGGAGTCCAGGGAACGGGCTTGGGGTCTCAAGTTCGTGATCCCCACCCTCACCCCGGGCTCCAGCCCTGCGGCGCCGGCCCGCAGCGGACTCACCGGACGATGCCGAACATGACAAGCACGTTGCCCAGCAGCCCCACGGCGCACACGGCCGAGTAGAGCGCGGTGATGGCGATTGCCAGGGCGAGGGACGAGGCGCTCCGCGCGCCTGGCGGCCCCGACGCATTGGCGCCAGCGCTGGGGCAGGCGCTAGGGTAGGCGTCCGAGGCGTTGGCGAAGAGCGGGGGCTGCAGCTCGGCGCCGGCGGAGGGGGCCGGTTCCATGGCTGCCGGCCGGCTCCGCCGCGTCCCTCTCCACCGTGCGCCCTGGGCGCGGGGATCCGACGCGAGGGGAGCGGCAAGGCAGAGGCCGCGGCCCCGACGCCGCCGGCTGCCGCGCCCCGGCCGCCCCGCTGTCTCTGCGCCTCGTCCGCCTGCCTCGCCGCCCGCACCGGCCCAGCCCCCGGCGTCCGCCCGCTCTCCTCGCCCGGAGCGCTGTGAGCCAGGAGCAGCCGCAGGCTCCTCGGACGCGCCCGCCGCGCGCACCACGTGGCCCGGAGGCGGCCGCCAGTCTGCGCCCGCGACCGGGGGCGGACGCTGCACCACCGGCTCGGAGCTGGGCAGGGGAGGCCTCCCGCCCCCTCCCTAGGGATGCTCCGCCGGCTCGAGTGCGACCCCGTCCCAACCTGGACTCCCCTCCCACCCCCTTGCCACTTTGGTGTCAGAGGGACCTGGGTGTGGATCCCGCCTCCCGCCCCTGCACTAACAGGCGGAGTGACCTTGTGTAAGTCACTTAACCTCCCTCAGCTTCATTCTCTTTGTCTGTGAGATGAGGAAAATCGTACCACCTCCCTCAGAGGGTGGTTGGGGAGATTGAATAAAATGATTCGAACAAAGAGCTTAGAGCAGTGCCCTGCGGACAGTTACATGCTCCGTAAATAACCTATATTATCCGTGCCTTTCTTGCACCCCATTCATTCGCTCAACAAAAATTCTGAGGGTGCCTAATAGAAGAGCCGGGTATTTGGGGGGACCCTCTAGTACACAAAACCAGATGCAGCCTCTGCTTCCTGGGGCTTACAGCCCAGTGCAGGAGAGAGAGCGAGCAACCCTAAAATGACATTAAGATATAGGTACGAATTGAGAAAGTGGCAGGGTCTACAAAACCCAGGGGTCAGGACAGCTTCCCTGGGGAAACGACACTTGAGGTGAGGTGTGAAGTTTGGGGAAGAACTAACTTAAGGAAGTAACAAGGGAAGAGGATTCCGGATAAAGGAAGCAGAGGGACTGAAAGGAAGCCAGGAAGAGGAGAAGGCAGGAAGTGAGGGGGCGATGAGGTGGTGGGCAGGCTCTTGAAGACCACCTTAAGGAGCACTCTGGCTGCAGTGCGAGCAGATAGAAGGGGGGCACTTGGCTAAGTCATCCTTGCCACACCCCTTCCAAGACCTAACCATTCCAGATTAGAGCCATCCTTCTTCTTGGGGTGCCTAGCCTTTCCAGAACATTCTACCAAGCATTACTTTGCTCCAGGCACTGTGATAAGCACTTTATCCATGCACCAACACTTTGGTGTAGCTTCTATTATTATTGTCCCCATGTTACAGATTTAGTGCTCAGCACTAAATTATCCCATATAGTAATTATTTCTATCCGAACTGGTCTCCCTCCTTAAAGGGACCAGGTCTGATTGACCCCTGCATCCAGGAGAGGGCTGGGGTCACAGCAGGTGCTCAAGAAATACTTTTTGGATAATAAAGATCCCAAAGGGAACTGGAGTGGAACAATATTAGGGGTTCTGAGCTCTAGGCTCTGGGGCAATGCTCTTGGATCTGTGTGTGGCTGGACAAGGAGCTCTCCCTCATCTCACCCTCTAGCTTGAATCATCCATATATGTGCAAGGCTCCTACCCTTTCCCAGAAAAAAGCAAAGCCAGAATTCCCAAGCTCACCCTCTTCTCCATTTTCTCCACCCCACTTAGCTGCTGTCCAGCCACTTCTACCAACTACAGCAAGCCCCCCACCCCAGGGCTTTCCCACTCAACCACCTAAGGACTTATCAGAAAGATTTTTGCTGTGGTCACCTGCTGCCAAAACTCTCTCCCTTTCCCAAAGGGCCTGGTACTCAGAAACTTTTCTAGTGCCAGCAGAGAGAAATTGGGATAGGAAGAAGGAGGGCTACTTTATTGGAATTCTGGTCCCCTCCCTAACCCTCCAAGCCAAGTTTTTTCCTACCTCAGGACATTTGTACATGCTATTCCTTCCACTCGGAAGGCTGGGCCAATACCCCAGCCTAAGCGTTATTTACCCCTCAAATTTCAGCTTAAATATCACTTCCTTTGTGAAACCTTCCCTGATCCCCACCCCACCTCCAACTAGCCCAGCTCTCCTTATTATGCAGTAGCATCACGTACTTCTTCTTTACATATTAATAGTTTCCCATGTATTTATTGTGTAATCATTGGATTTTTTGTGCATCACCTTCACACAAAAAAGTATTGTGTAAAACTAACCATTGAATACTATGCTCAGTAACTTAGTTGACAGGATAATTCATACCCCAAACCTCAGCATCACAAAATATACCCAGGTGGCAAATCTGCACATGGATCCCTTGGATCTACAAGAAAAATTGAAAAAGGCTGGGCACGGTGGCACACACTTGTAATCCGAACATTTTGAGAGGCTGAGGCAGACAGATCACTTGAGCCTAGGAGTTCGAAACCAGCGTGGGCAACATGGCAAAACCCTGTCTCTACAAAAAAAAAAAAAAAAAAAAAAAAAAAATTAGCCAGGAATGGTAATGTGTGTCTCTAGTTGCAGCTACTTGGGAGGCTGAGGTGGGAGGATCATTTGAGCTGGGAAAATAGAGGCTGCAGTGAGTCGAGATCTTGCCCCTGCACTCCAGCCTGGATGACAGCAAGACCCTGTCTCAAAATAATAATAATAATAATAAGTTGAAAAAAACATAAAAAGATCTTGTGTGTTTCTGTGCCCTCCAGCTTAGTGCAAGCCCTGACACACAGGTGCTTACTTGATGAGTGACTGAATAAAGAAGCTCAGTTCCAACTTTGGTTACTTCGTAATTTTTTTTTTTTTTAAAGAAGCTCACAATCAAGAAGTTGTGAAAGAGGGCTGGGTGTGGTGGCTCATGCCTGTAATCCCAGCACTTTGGGAGGCCAAGGAGGGCGGATCACCTGAGGTCAGGAGTTCGAGACCAGCCTGAACAACATGGTGAAACACCGTCTCTACTAAAAATACCAAAAAAAAAAAAAAAAAAAAAATAGCTGGGCATGATGTTGGGCGCCTGTAATCCCAGCTACTTGGGAGGCTGAGGCAGGAGAATCGTTTGAATCTGGGAGGCAGAGGTTGCAGTGAGCTGAGATGGCACCATTGCACTCCAGCCTGGGTGAAAAGAGCAGAAGTCCATCTCAAAAAAAAAAAAGAAGTTGCAAAAGATATGTAAATGACCAAGTACATGAGTGAAATAATTGCTAAGAAAACATACATGTTGGCTGGGCTCCGTGGCTCACATCTGTAATCCCAGCACTTTGGGAGGCCGAGGAGGGCAAATCACCTGAGGTCAGGAGTTCAAGGCCAGCCTGGCTAACACAGCAAAACCCCGTTTCTACTAAAAATACAAAAAATTAGCCAGGCTTGGTGGCACACACCTGTAATCCTAGCTACTCAGGAAGCTGAGGCAGAAGAAATGCTTGAATCTGGGAGGCAGAGGTTGCAGTGAGCCGAGATTGTGCCTTTGCACTCTATCCTGGGCAACAGAGCGAGACTGTCTCAAAAAAAAAAAAAAAAAAAAGAAAAGAAAAGAAAAGAAAACATACATGCCTAGTGCAAGTGAATTTCCCCATTCTGGACATTGGAGGAACAAATGAAAATTCAAAGGCTTCTAGAGGGTTTTCCACAATGACCTTCTAAAATGAAAACTTGGAAATGATCAATTTATTTTATTTTTATTTTTTTGAGGTGGGGGACGGAGTCTTGTTCTGTTGCCAGGCTGGAGTGCAGTGGCACGATCTCAGCTCACTGCAACCTCTGCCTCCAGGGTTCAAGCAATTCTCCTGCCTCAGCCTCCAGAGTAGCTGGGACTACAGGTGCGCAACACCACACCTGGCTAATTTTTGTATTTTTAGTAGAGACGGGGTTTCACCACATTGGCCAAGATGGTCTCCATCTCTTGACCTCCTGATCTGCCCGCCTCGGCCTCCCAAAGTGCTGGGATTTCAGATGTGAGCCACCGCACCTGGCTTTTTTTTTTTTTTTTTTTTTTTTTGTAGAGATGGTGTCTCACTATGTCGCCCAGGCTGGTCTCGAACTCCTGGGCTCGAATTCCTGGGCTCAAGCCTCCCAAAGTGCTGGAATTATAGGCATGAGCCACTGCACCTGGACTTCTAGTCTACTTATCTTTAAAAGGCAGTCTCATTTCTGTGGTCACAAATTCATATAACAACGCTGTTGGCTTCCATTTATGGAGAGCATGTTCTATGGCAGGCACTGGGCCAAATGCTATGTGGATTATCTCATTTAATCCCCAAGCAGTCCTATAAGCATATAGAGTTATTATTATTCCATTTTGCAGAGGTTAGGTTACCTACCCAAGCCAGAACTGAGATGCCAAGCCAGATCTGTGTGACTCCAAACCCCAGTCTCCTGACTACTAGACTATGATGCCTCCCAGAACAAAGACTAGAAAGTCACCCAGAAAAACATACTCCGTCTGCCTCTGTTCAGCAGAGTTTCCCCACCACCCCGGTGTAGGGCAATGACTCACTTGGAGCTTGGGAGATTCTTTATTATTATTATTATTATTATTATTATTATTATTATTATTATTATTGAGATGGAGTCTTGCTCTTGTTGCCCATGCTGGAGTGCAATGGCACAATCTCGGCTCACTGCAACCTCCGCCTCCCGGGTTCAAGCGATTCTCCTGCCTCAGCCTCCCGAGTAGCTGGGATCACAGGCATGTGCCACCACACCTGGCTAATTTTGTATTTTTAGTAGGGATGGGGTTTCTTCATGTGGTCAGGCTGGTCTCGAACTCCTGACCTCAGGTGATCCGCCCGCCTTGGCCTCCCAAAGTGCTGGGATTACAGGTGTGAGCCACTGTGCCCGGCCACTTGGGAGATTCTTGAGTTCATCCCCACTGTTGGGGGGAACCAGGGTAGACACAGTCCTTCACACCTGGGTCACAGAGGAGTTTGAGCTGTATTTGGAGCTTGTTCATATCCTGACCTCAAGGTGGGAGAAATGAAGAGAAAAATGGATGGGAAATCCTGGGCTAACCCAGGGCATCAGAAGGCGTCAGCAGGAGAGAAACAGAAATCACTGAAGGAGTCAGAGCAGAAAGGAACTCCCTGGGGAAGCTATTAACAATTTAGTATGTGGGAATGTGGCTCCCACCTGCCAAAGAGACAGAGCTGCCTGATGGAAGATACAGCGGCTGCCTCCCAGTGAGCAGGCAGCTCCCCTGGGTTGCCTCTCAGTCTGGCTCCATCAGCAAGCTCCAGGAGGGGGAGGATAGTAAAAATAACTATAAAATAATGCAAAGGACTTTTGACTTTCCAAAGTACTTCCAGGCCGGGAGCAGTGGCTCACGCCTGTCATCCCAGCACTTTGGGAGGCCGAGGCGCATGGATCACTTGAGGTCAAGAGTTCAAGACCAGCCTGGTCAACATGGTGAAACCCCATCTCTACTAAAAATACAAAACTTAGCCAGGTTTGGTGGTGGGCGCCTGTAATCCCAGCTACTCAGGAGGCTGAGGCAGGAGAATCACTAGAACCTGGGAGGCGGAGGTTGCAGCAAGCCGAGATCGCGCCATTGCACTCCAGCCTGGGCGACAGAGCAAGACTCCACCTCAAAATAAAAATAAACAAACAAACAAACAAAGCACTTCCAGATTGATGACTTCATCTTGACACCAGCCTGATACACGGGGAAGTTAGGCTTCATTATCTTCATTTGCTAGCTAGGAAGACAGACATCTAGAGAGCCTGATACACGGCAAATTGGCGAAAGAAATAGGATTGGCACTATCCATGTAGTTGCTCAAGCTAGAAACCTGAGAATCATTCTTGACTCCTCTCTGTCTCTTTCCACCACTTCTAAGCAATCACCAGGTCCTGTCCATCCTTCCTTTATAATCCCTGAATCCCGCCATTGTTCCTTATTCTTATTACCAATGTCCTCCTAGTCTGACAAACCACCATTTCTTCTTTTTTTTTTTTTTCTTGAGATGGAGTCTCGTTCTGTTGCCCAGGCTGGAGTGCCGTGGTGTGATCTCAGCTCACTGCAACCTCTGCCTCCCGATTTCAAGCAATTCTCCTACCTCAGCACCCCGAGTAGCTGGGACTACAGGGACGTGCTACCATGCCCTGCTAATTTTTGTATTTTTGGTAGACACAGGGTTTCACTATGTTGGCCAGGCTGGTCTCGAACTCCTGACCCCGGGTGATCCGCCCACCTTGGCCTCCCAAAGTGCTGGAGTTATAGGCACCATTTCTTGCTCAACTACTGAAATAGCCTCTGAAATGACCTCCCTGCACCCAGGCTTGCTGCCTTCAAGCAGTAACATGGCTCCAGGGTGCTTCACACCTCCACCTCTCTCTACCTCACCAGCCCCTTGTACCACCTTACATCTTTATCTTTACATGCAGGGTTCCAACAAAAATAAACTCCTTGAGGTTCTCCAAACAACTTGCTTCTCTCACCTCCAGTTTTATCTGAATGGTTAAGAAAAAGGTTTGAGCATCAGACTGGTTGGATTTGAAATCCCAGCTCATCTACTTAACTAGTTGCATGACTGGGTGAGTTATGTAAGTTCCGTAAGTTTCATAAACTGGAGACAACAAAAGTACCTACTTTATGGCACCTGGTGTATAGGCATTGTTCAGTAAGTGTTAGCTATTGCTGTGATGATGGTTGCTCTGTTTGGAATGCTCTGCTGCACCCCCCCCCCCCCCGGCCCTCTGTCATCTAACCCACTACAACACCTCCATCACTTTGCAGCTGAGATGCCACTTCCTTCCCTGCTTCCCCAGATGAGTTTCCATCACATACTGTCTGTTCCCTTGGGGCACGTCTCTCTCCTGGAAGTACAGTCAAGTCCTGAGTCCCTTGAAGACCATCCTATCCAGGCATTGCTGGGGAGGCCTAGGTCTGCCAGGAGGAGGAGGGAAAGAAGTTGAAGAGGAAGTGATAGTTTGGCTGTGTCCCCACCCAAACCTCATCTTGAATTGTAGCTCCCATAATTCTTACATGTTGTGGGAGGGACCCAGTGGGAGATAATTGAATCCTGTTTGTATTTTTAGTAGAGACGAGGTTTCACCGTGTTAGCCAGGATGGTCTCCATCTCCTGACCTCGTGATCCGCCGGCCTCAGCCTCCCAAAGTGCTGGGATTATAGGCGTGAGTCACCGTGCGCGGCCTTAGGTATGTCTTTATCAGCAGCATGAAAACCGACTAATACAGGGAGGGTGGTCCCGGGCAGGACAGAGAGCTGGATTCTGTGAGAAGGGGAGGATAGAGAAGTAGTGGGTTCTTTGAGTGAAGACTTTGGTGGGTGGTAAGAGCCTGAGAGAAGTTCTGCAGCAAGTTCAAGGTCAAGGGCACACAGACTGTCTCCCCTCTTTTGAATGGACCCTGAGGCTTGAACAAAAGCTCTTCAGAGATTATTTTGATGAAACAAATGACAGAGGCCTCTACCCCATGTTTCCTGGATGGTGAAAACCTCAAGGGACCCCTCCTTCCCAGTGACTGAGGATGGATTTTCCCACCACCCTAGTGGATGGGGCAGAGACAGAGCTCGTTTGACTTTTTAAAAGTTTGTTTTTGCATCTGAGTGTCACGGAGGAAATGCCTACACCTGTTAGAGGAATCATCATGAGGCCTAGAACAGGCATCAACAAGACAGATGGAAATTATGCTTTTCAGAAGAAGGATGATGACTTGTAGGAACTGAACATGCAAAATCTCCCTCCATTTCCTTGTATCTGGTATTGGCGCCCTGTCCAGACACTTTTAGCTGTCTGCCCAACAGCAGTGTTCCCTCTTCATTCCCTGCAACTGTATCCCCCCACCCCATCAGGGGATAAGGGTTTTCCCTTGATTTGGGGAAAGGGAGCCCCTTCTCTGCCTCAAGGAATGAATTGGTCTAAATACATTATGGTAACCTGTGGTAAATTGCAAAGTGGTCACAATTCTTCATTCCTCTCTATGCCCTTTGCAATGTGACTTTGCAGCCCCTCCCATACAAGTGGTTGAGTCTATTTTCCCACCCCTTGGACCCGAGCCAGCCTGTGACTTGCTTTGTCCAAAAGAATGGGATGGAAATGAGAGTGCCAGTTCAGAGCCTGTGCCCCAGGGGGCCTTGCATTCTTCCACCCAGTCTTAGAACCCTACTGCTGCCATGGGAACAAGCCTGGGCTAGCCTGCTGGAGGATGAACCCAGTCAACCCAGGACCCCAGTTAGAGCCAGCCAACACCAGACACTTGAGTAAGTAAGGCCATCCTAGACTAGCCAATCCCCAGCCGACTCAACAGCTGGCCACAGACACACACGTAAGCCCAGCCAAGATCAGCCAGGACCACCTGGTTACCCATAGACTTATGGCAACAATAAATGGGGGTTGTTTCCAGCCACTAGATTTTGGAGTGATGAGTTAAGCAGGAGCCATCATAATATATACTTTCTACAGCACTGACTGGTCTAGGAGTAGATATGTGGCCAATAAGGCATTAAGAGAAATCTGCTAACAAACTTTTTTCCAGGATAAAAATCAAAGCTCCATCAGGAGAAAACTGTTTGCCCCTGCCCCTTGGGAGGTTGATATGATGCCTGGAGCTGCAGCAGCCACCCTGCAATCATGAAGCAGTACACGTGAGGATGAAAAGCCAATACAGTGACGTTGTGAGAATGGAAAGACAGAATAAGCCTGGCTCTTTGGTGACGTTGTTGAACTCCAGGTACACCACCTCTGGACTGCCTGCTTCAAGACCTTTTGTTTAGGCCAGGTGCAGTGGCTCACACCTGAAATCCCACCATTTTGGGAGGCTGAGGCAGGTGGATCACCTGAGCTCAGGAGTTCAAGACCAGCCTGGCCAACATGGTGAAACCCCATATCTACTAACAATACAAAAATTAGCTGGGTGCGGTGGTGCGCACCTGTAGTCCCAGCTACTTGGGAGGCTGAGGCAGGATAATCACTTGAACCCGGGAGGCAGAGGTTGCAGTGAGCCAAGACCACGCCACTGCACTCTAGCCTGGGTGACAGGGTGAGACTCTGTCTCAAAAAAAAAAAGACCTTTTGTTTAAGCCACTCCTAGTCATGTTTTTGGTTCCTTGCAGCTAAAAGCATTCCTAAAGGATGCACTAGTGTGCATTCTTCTTGCACGAGCATTCCAAGAAGAATGTCACAGGAATAAGTGGGCCTGGTGGATTGGCATGAATACATCTTCGTTTGGACACTGGGAGCTGGAATTCTGTGATTAAACATACAGACTCTGGGTTTAAACATTGGGTGGGCCACATGCAAGTGAAGTGACTTTGGATAATTATTTCCATTTTTCCAAGCCTCCGATTCATCATCTGTTAAGAGGCAATAATAATATCACTCACATCTGTAATCCCAGCACTTTGGGAAACTGAGGCAGGAGAATTGCTTGAAGCTAAGAGTTTGAGACCAGCCTTGCTAACATATCAAGACCCCATCTCTACAAAAAAAAAAAAAAAAAATAGCCAGGCATGGTGGTGTGCACCTGTAGTCCCACTTACACCAGAGGCTGAGGTGGGAGGATAGCTTGAGGCCATGAGTTTGAGACTGCAGTGAGCTATGATAGCACCATTGCACACCAGCCTGGGCACTGTCATCATCATATATATTTTATAGGATTATGAAAGAGATAAATAAGGTAATGCAAGTATAGAGCCTGGCACACAGGAAACATTCAATCAGTTCTTGTCTTAGCTGTACTAACAATAACCACAACTATGTTTAGATCAGCCCTCCTCTCTTGATCTTGTGGGGCAAAGTGGTCTCAGTTTTAGACCAATCCATCCCTGGGATTTAGCCAGTGTTGGGTCCATGGACGGCACAGTGCGCTGGATCCTGCCTGCAGTTCATTCCCATGTGTCCAATTGCAGGATTTGTTTGCTTGTTTGTTTGCAAGTGGAGGTTGATGAGGGGAGGGATTAGAAGGGACTTGAAGGATGAGCAGCAGCAGGGATGGCACAGTGGCTGGGAGGACCATAGGACAGGCTCACAGTCCCCAGCCCAGTGCCAACTAGAGCCTCATGAATAGAGGCCGCAGTGTTACAGGCAGAAGGCATGGGGCCCCAGCATCCCTTGATCCCCTGGCCATCAAGTGTGACCCAGCGGGGCGAAGGGCCTTCAGACTTTTCCTCTGAGAATGGCCCATAGTTCCTCCCCTGCTCACCTCCTGAGGGCAGTGAGCAAACACCATGATGGTGGAAGTAAACATTCTTTGAAAAACTCGGCCTGGCTCCTGGTTTTTCTATCAAGCTGTCATCTTCCTCAGGCAAAAATCAGTTCTTCCCTTCCCTTTCTCTGGTTTTTCTTCTCTGCTTGCCCCCTTCAGCTTCCTGCCCTATCCTAACCCTTCCCCACCAGGTTGGACTTCCCATTCCCTCCACTGGAATCCTAAGACCCACCTGCTCTCCTCGCTCCTCCTCCTCTTGCCTCAGCAATTACTGTCTAGAGCATCAAATCAGCCCAGGCCTCATTTGCATACTCTGATGCTGAAGGTATTGAAAATTGCTTTCAGTTAACCTTGTCAGATCCAAAGTATTCTTCCTCACTCCCCCCTCCCATCTAGTCTCCCCCAGCTTCTCTCCACAGAGCATGGCCAGGGCCCTGAACCAGAGGCAGTCACCAGGGAGCCAGACTGAGTGCCAGTACTCCAGCCCTCAGAGTCATCTCTGCTGCCCCCTGCAAAGAGCCCTCAGGCTCAGGGCACCGGCCTCCTGGTTGGATCCCTGAACCCATCTGGCAATGAATCAGGGTGGTGTGGTGGAACAAACACAGATTTAGGAGCCCTGGGATTAGTCTTTTATCACCAGAAACGTAGATTTGTAGAACCAGAAAGAAAACTTAGACATTGGCCAGATTCGGTGACTCACGCCTGTAATCCCAGCACTTTGGGAGGCCAAGGCGAGTGGATCGCTTGAGGTCAGGGGTTCGAGACCAGCCTGGCCAACATGGTGAAACCCTCTCTCTACTAAAAATACAAAAAAAAAAAAAAAAAAAAAAAAACACTAGCCAGGCGTGGTGGCACACACCTGTAGTCCCAGCTACTTGGGAGGCTGAGGCAGGAGAATCACTTGAACCCTGAAGGCAGAGGTTGCAGTGAGCCAAGATTGTGCCACTGCACTCCAGCCTGAGTGACAGAGCGAGACTCCGTCTCAAAAAAAAAAATTAATACATAAAATTTAGGCATCATCTAGTCCCACCCTCCTTCAGTTTACAGAAAAAGATGCTGAAATTCAGAGTGATGAAGGGACTTGAGCAAGCCACACAGCAATTGAGTAGCAGAGTCAACACCAGAACCCACATCTCCTGAATCCTATGATAGTTTCCTCCATACTGGACATGACCTTGAACAACTGCATGTCCTTACAAAGTGCCAGGCCTTTGTGAAGCACTGTACGTATACAATTTCACTTAATCCTTCAAATACCACTTTCAGGGCACGGGTATTCGGATCCTCAGATTACAGAGGGGGAATTCAAAGCTCAGAGCAGTTCAGGCTGTGACTCCAGATACCCTCCTGGCCAAGGCACAAAACCTCTTTGTGAATGCTAAGCACCCGGGACTCAGTTTCCCCACCTGTGAAATGGAAGCATTGGACTCCATGGCCCTAAGGTACACCTGTGAGGCACTGAAAGGAATTTCAAGGAGACGCTGGCTGTTTGCTAGTTGCCTGTATCAGTGGGAGAATTTTTCTGTTTTCCCTGTTTTGCTTCAAAACAGTTTGCCCCCAGGTTTACACTGAAAGGAGCCCAGGGAAGGTGCCATGGCAACCGCAGCTGCTGCAGGGAACCAAATTTGCCTGACTTGGCCAGACTGGCAAACCAGTTGACCCAATGTCTGCCCTTCCCAAGGGGTCAGGACAGAGCCACGGACAGCCCAGAGGAATGAGACCCCAAGGCATCTGGAGAGGGGAGGAGGAGCCTGCATTCTTCCCTGGTGATTGGAGAGAGTGCAGGTTTGCAGCCTGAAAATCAGGCTCTGTGGTCAGCTCTGTGATATATAAAGGTGGGAATCTCTGGCAAATCCTTTACCCTCGGTGATCCTCCAGGATTTTTTTTTCCTCACCTAGCACATAAAATATGCACAAAATAAATAGCAGTTTATCATTATTATTTTAGAGAGAGGGTCTCGCTTCGTCACCCAGGCTGGAGTGCAGTGGCGTGATCATGGCTCACTGTAGCCTCAAACTCCTGAGCTCAAGCGATCCTATCACCTTAGCCTCCTGAGTAGCTGGGATTACAGGTGTGTACAACCACACCTGTCTGATTTTTAATTTTTTTGTAAAGACAGAGGCGCACTATGTTGCCCAGGCTTGTCTTGAACTACTGGCCTCAAGCAATCCTCCCACCTCAGCCTCCCAAGCAGCTGGTACTACAGGCATGAGCCACTGTACCCAGCTGAGATTAACGTTTAAATCAGTGGACTTTAAGTAATGCAGATTGCCTCCCATAATATGGGTGGACCTCATCCAATCCGTTGAAGGCCTGAATAGTGCAAAAGATTGATTTCCCCTGAGCAAGAAGGAATTCCGCCTTCAGACCTGAACTAACACACTGGACACTGACTTTTCCCTGGGCCTCCAGCCTGTTGGTCCACCCTACAGATTTTGGACTTGCCAGCCTTCATAATCATGTAAGCCAATTGCTTAAAATAAATCTTTATAGGCCAGGAGTGGTGGCTCATGACTGTAATCCCAGCACTTTGGGAGGCCAAGGCAGGTGGATCACAAGGTTGGGAGATCGAGACCATCCTGGCTAACACGGTGAAACCCCGTTTCTACTAAAAATACAAAAAATTAGCCGGGCGTGGTGGTGGGCACCTGTAGTACCAGCTACTCGGGAGGCTGAGGCAGGAGGATGGCATGAACCCAGGAGGCGGAGCTTGCCGCAAGCCAAGATGGCACCACTGCACTCCAGCCTGGGTGAAAGAGCAAGACTCTTTCTCAATTAAAAAAAAAAAATCTTTATATATGCACACATCTTTTGGGTTCTGTTTCTCTGGAGAACCCTGACTCATAGGACCTACTGTGTGCTTAGTTCTGAAGACAGAGCAGTGCACACAGCAGACAGGTCGGTGGCCTTGCTAAGTTCACATTCCAGTTCAGGGAGGGAGCAATAAATAAGAAACACATCATGAAACAGACTAATTAGAGATGTTTGCAAGTGTGCTGAAGGGCACAACTTGGACTGACCTCAAGGCTGATTCAGGTGGAGGGTTAGACAGGGCAGCTTTTAGGCAAAGGCCAAGACTTCAGGGTCAGTTTCCTCTTTTGTAAAATAGTGCAAAGAATATCACTTTGTTTGTCATAGAGAATATGCAGAATTAGCCCGCTTATGTTTAAAAAAAAATAGATGGATGTGTCTGACAGGTCGGGAAGAACTGCTGTCTTAACAGATGGCAGCAGGTTCCTTACGGAGGAAACTGTCTCTCTTTAAGATAACACTTTGATAAACCACTGGAGGTAGGAAGTACAAACCTGAACCCAAAGGCATTAGCTCTCAGAGACAAGTGAGTAAGAGAGATCACATTAAAAACAACAGGATCTAGGGTGGGAGATGCAAGGACGTATGACCGGCATACAAATGCATAAGAAAGCAAAGTGGAGAAAGCTTGACACCAAAACACCATCAGGGGCTATTTCTGGATGAGGGAACATGTGATTTTGTTTACTTTTTAAAATACCTTTGTGCATCTGTCTAAATCTTTTACAATAAGTAGGAAAAAAATCCAGCAAAATTATTTTCATTTTGCAACATACATAAATAAATCCTTGCTGTCAATCTGGTGGAAGTGGCCAAGATGGCAGGTCTCGCCTCACCAAGGCAAGGAAGGGAGAAAAGTAAGGAGGGCAGGGCGCCAGGCACCCAGACAGGGGACCCAAGGACCTTCCTGGACAACTATATCAATGTTCAATTTTAGGCTGGGCGCAGTGGTTCATGCCTGTAGTCCGAGCACTTTGGGAGGCTGAGGCAGGTGGATCACCTGAGGTCAGGAGTTCAAGACCAGCCTAGCCAACATGATGAAACCCCATCTCTACTAAAAATACATAAAATTAGCCAGGCATGGTGGTGTGCACCTATAATCCCAGCTACTCAGGAGACTGAGGCAGCAGAATCATTTGAACTCAGAAGGCAGAGCCTGCAGTTAGCCGAGATCTCACCACTGCACTCCAGCCTAGGCGACACAGTGAGACTCCGTCTCAAAAAAAAGTTCAATTTTAGATCATTAGTACTCCTGTGACATAACCCCACCTATCAACCCTCTATACCTTAGGAATGTGTGTAAGATGCACACAGCTTCTTTTTTTGTTGTTGTTGTTTTCTTAGACGGAGTTTCACTCTTGTTGCCCAGGCTGGAGTGCAGTGGTGTGATATCGGCTCACCGCAACCTCCGCCTCCCAGGTTCAAACCATTCTCCTGCCTCAGCCTCCTGAGTAGCTGGGATTACAGGCATGCACCACCACACCAGGCTAATTTTGTATTTTTAGTAGAGACAGGGTTTCTCCATGTTGGTCAGGCTGGTCTCGAACTCCTGACCTCAGGTGATCTGACCGCCTCGGCCTCCCAAAGTGCTGGGATTACAGGCATGAGCCACCACGCCCAGCCGCACACAGCTTCTTATGAATGCATATTTTTCTGGAAATGGAGGAAAGTTCCTAAATTCTAGGTCTCAGTTAACACCAGGCTGTGCTGCCCTGGGAGTTACACACCCCAGCCATCAAAAGGATGCAGAGCAGAGACTAAAATTTCAGCAGAGTTGGGAAGTAGGGCTCAGAGATAACCAGGCCCATGTAAGCCCCCTGGAAATACAAGCAAGTTTTGAGGAGGGAATTGGAATTTCCACTGGGCACAGAAGGAAGGGTTCAAACCCATCTTCTTTCAATCTTAAAACCTCCGGCTGACTTCTGGGTGACCGGCATACGAATGCACAAGAAAACAAAGTGGAGAAAGCTTGACACCCAGACGCCATCAGGGGCTATTTCTGAATGAGGGAACAGCATGTGATTTTGTTTACTTTTTAAAATATCTTTGTGCATCTGTCTAAATCTTTTACAATAAGCAGAAAAACAAATCCAGCAAAGTTATTTTCATTTTGCAACATACATAAATAAATCCTTGCCGTCAATCTGGCGGAAGTGGCCAAGTGGCAGGTCCCATCTCACTAAGAGGGGATGGGAGAGAGACAGGAGAGAAGCGGGACTTGTTCGTCCACTGCATTTGGAAACGTGATTCATTTCGCACTTTAAGCTGCCATGAAAATGAAGACAGCGCCAAGGGAGACTTGCAAGAGTTGCCCATCTCTCTGTCTCCCTCCTACTCTCTCTCTCCCCTCACCCTTGTCTCTTTCCATAGCAAGTGTGAGAGCGGCCCCAAGTGTCCTGTCCTTCTCTCCAGAGAGCTCACGCCTGGCCATTTGCCTACCAGACCCAGAGCTGCGTCCCGGTTGCTCTCAAGTCCAGGAAAGTTAACAAGGCAGTGTCCGCTCCCACCTTTCTCCCTCCCAACTCCATGCCAGGCCTTAATCAAGTTGCTACAAGGCTCTCGGTCACAGTCACAGTCACCTTTGCCCAGAGAGGGAGTTGCTATTCTTCCCTTCATTCCCCAAGGCAATGTGTGCCACAGGCCAGTTCCAGGGGTGCCAGCTAACAAGCCTTGCTGACAGCTTGACGTCTTACAGGAAAACTCAAATGTTGATATCCAAAAGCCCCTCCTCAGAGACCCTGCTGTCCCCCCAGCCTCCCACCCTCATGTCAGCGGAGGACTCCCTGCTCACATCAAGCTCTTCCGTTCCTGCCCTTTCTTCGCTGAGCCCAAACTGCCCCACCCCATTTCCCGGATCTTCCAGAGAAAGAAAACCACAACAACATCTGCAACCAAAGACAAACAAACGACAAAAACTACTAATAACCAAACAACCTTTCCACCCAGAAAGATGCCCTTTACCTCATTGTGCAAAGCAGTTTAGCTCTTTTGGCCTCAATTTCTCCCACCACATTCACTCTGGGACTTGCATTGCATAACGAGAAGGCCAAGTAGGTATGTTGTCCAAAAATAGGCAGTTTTCCACCAGGATGGAATCTGGCTGCATATAGAAAATGCAATGCTGCCAGGCAGCTTTTTTTTTCCTTAGTTGAACATACATAACAAATTCTACCATTGCAGGCAGGTTTTTAAAATAGGACTTTTGCCAGACGCGATGGCTCATGCCTGTAATCCCAACACTTTGGGAGGCTGAGGCAGGCAGATCACTTGAGGTCAGGAGTTCAAGACCAGCCTGGCTAACATGGTGAAACCTCGTCTCTACTAAAAATACAAAAAATTAGC
Source organism: Homo sapiens (assembly GCF_000001405.40). Classification (NCBI taxonomy): domain Eukaryota; kingdom Metazoa; phylum Chordata; class Mammalia; order Primates; family Hominidae; genus Homo; species Homo sapiens. The sequence continues at coordinate 28,796,066 of NC_000001.11, read as the reverse complement.
CGGGCGTGGTGGCGGGTGCCTGTAATCCCAGCTACTCAGGAGGCTGAGACAGGAGAATTACTTGAACCTGGGAGGTGGAGGTTGCAGTGAGCCAAGATCGTGCCACTGTCTCCAGCCTGGGCGACAGGGACTCCATCTGAAAATAAATAAATTAATTAAATAAATAGGATTTTCCCCATCCCTGCTACATTATGAATAAAAAGGGCAAATTAAGTCTAAGGAGAATATGAATGGCAGCGGGGGTGGGAAATTGTTTGCCAGGCAGGTGGCTTCAAGTGCCCAGGAGGTGGCATGCACTTCTCCTGGGCACCCCCAAGTTACAGCTTCTGCTTGCCTGATGACTGCCCAGCTGGGAGTGACTAGCGGTGAGATTGCAAAATTGTGTTGAGGCCCTACTGCAGAGGCCTGAAATGCTACTTGGTTGACTATATGCATCTTTCTTTTTCTTTCTTTTTTTTTTTTTTAGACAGAGTCTCGCTCTGCTTCCGAGGCTGGAGTACGGTGGCGCAATCTCGGCTCATTGCAAGCTCCACCTCCTGGGTTCAAGCCATCCTCCTGCTTCAGCCTCCCAAGTAGCTGGGATTACAGGTGCCCACCACCAAGCCCGGCTGATTTTTGTATTCTTAGTAGAGACAGGGTTTCGCCATGTTGGCCAGGCTGGTCTTGAACTCCTGACCTCCAGTGATCCGTTCACTTCAGCCTCCCAAAGTGCTGGGATTACAGGTGTGAACCACCACACCTGGCAACTATGTGCATCTTTCTAATCCATGAGGAGCCACTGAAGTGATCATCTGACGTGAGGGTGAGAAGAGCAAGGGAAGAGTCCCAGGGTGGGGAAATGCATTAGGAGAATGGCAGGGAACTAGCCAGGGTCCAGGTTCTGGCCATACAGGGTAGGGAGATAGAACGGAGACTCTCATATAAATACTACACCCTAGGCCGGTGCGGTGGCTTACACTTGTAATCCCAGCACTTTGGGAGGTGGAGATGGGTGGATCGCTTGAGCTCAGGAGTTCCAGACCAGCCCGGGGTAACATGGCAAAACCCCATCTCTACAAAAAATACAAAAATTAGCGAGGTGTGGTAGCACCGCCTGTAGTCCCAGCTGCTTGGGAGGCTGAGGTGGGAGAATCACTTGAGCCCGGGAGGTGGAGGTTGCAGTGAGCCAAGACTGCACCACTGCACTCCAGCCTGGGTGACAGAGGGAGACCCTGTCTTAAGATAAATAAATAAATATTTGTTTATTGTATTTATTTATATCAATAAATTATATAAATAAACTATTTACATGCACATAATTAAATTATTAATTATTCATTTACATTAATAATATTTATTTATGTATCTCATATATATGACATGTGTACACCAGGGTTGGAGAGAAGAGCCCTAATAGAACAGAGGAGACGGAGCTTCGTTGCTGGCACCGTGTCTCCCTGGTTGTGTGTCCTCAGCAAGTTCCTTCCCTTCCTTTCCCCAAGACTCCACGTTCTCATCTAAAGTCTCTTCAGATGCTAAGAGTCCATGTGCAGCTGGGGAGCCAGGCTAAAGGAGAGGGCTCCAGAGGGGCAGCTCAGCTCTGGGCAGGGGGCAGCCATGGTGGGGAATGGGAAGCCCAGAAATAGCTGAGGGCAGTGGCAGGCTAGGGCAGGGGGTGGGGAGCTGGCACTTGACATCTTTGTCCTCACCTGTCCGAAACTCCACTTCCTCATCACCCAGTCAGTCCCTAACACTTCGCAAACTGGCCTCAGCCCCAGCACACTCTTGATGCTGCCTCCTCTGTGGCTGCCAAGGACCCAGGCCCCAAAGCGCTTTCTTGGTTTCCATTCCCCTCAGTCTCTCTGGTACGGCTGACACTGTTGTTCCCTACGTCAGCTGGCCTCAGTCCAGGCTTCTCCTGCCTCTCATAGGTACCAGGTTATTATTCCTAAAGTGCAACTAGCAAATCTCATTCTCTTACTCACAAACCTCCAGTGGGTCCTTACTGCCATGGGTTTAAGTACTAACTCATCCCGGAAGCACGCTCTGCACAATGTAGCCTCAACCTACCTCCCCAGCTGTCTCTCCCCCTTCTCCCTTGCACAAATTGTGAACCCCAGCTGTACTCTCAACATTCTTTCTGACCTTTCTGCCTTCGCTCACCCAGTGATTCTCTCCTGAAATCTCCTTTCTCTGCTGGTCAAATTACTTTCCATCATCAAGGTCCATACTATCTCTTCCTTTAAGGAAGATTTTAAAAATCTGTCTTGAGGCCTGGCGCAGTGGCTCACGCCTATAATCCCAGCACTTTGGAAGGCTGAGGCAGACGGATCACTTGAGGTCAGGAGTTCAAAACCAGCCTGGCCAACATGGTGAAACCCTGTCTCTACTAAAAATACAAACATTAGCCATGTGTGGTAGTGCATGCCTGTAGTCCCAGCTACTCGAGAGGTTGAGGCACGAGAATCACTTGAACCTGGGAGGCAGAGGTTGCAGTGGGCTGAGATCGTGCCACTGCACTCCGGCCTAGATGGCAGAGTGAAACTGTGTCTCAAAAAAAAAAAAAATCTGTCTTGATCATTTCCAAACTTAACCATAAAATAGTTAAGCTGCAGAACAAAGACACTATAAAAAACATGGGTTTACACAAGCCTTCTTTGATTCCTGCCTGTTTTCTAACCCTAGTTCTCCAGTTTTCCCTTTGACTCAGTGAGCTGTTTGATAACCTCCCAATCCATTCCTTCTCTCCTTAAACTACCCAGAATTGGTTTCTGTTGTTTCCAATCAATAACTGTGACTGGTACCCCTGCCTCCCTCCTGGATTGCTATCGAGTGAGATGCTGTCTATACAGGTGCTTTGTGAACAGTAAAACCCAGCAGAAATGTGATTTATCATATTCCACTCTGTATTTCCCCCAACCATCGCCTCCCATCATCCAGCCACCTCCAACAGAAGAGAACCAGCAAAAACAACTCAGAATCACATTAGCCAAAGGGAATGAAGGGCCAGAAGAGCTAGCACTGAGGCCCAAAAATAGAACACTCATGTTACACTTGATAATTACCTCCCTGACTATGACTTTTGCAATTACATAAGCCCAAACTTTTTTTTTTTTGCATTGTAAACAGATAGCAAATAATCTCTAAAACCACTTACTGATGATTCCTGACTCCATTAACGGAAATTTAAGTGCTTTGTTTAGATCTTCTGTTACTGAGCCACCAAGGGAGAGAAAGTGGCCATTTCCACCCCCTGCAGTTTCTTCTCTGGCCACATGTCCTTTTTTTTTTTTTTTTTTTTTTTAAGACAAGGTCTCACTTTTTCACCCAGGCTAGAGTGCAGTGGTTCCCTCATAGCTCACTGCAGCCTCCAACAACTCCTGGGTCCCTCCCAAGTAGCTGGGACCACAGGCATGCATCACCACTCCCAGCTAATTTTTTATTTTTTGTGGAGATGGAGTGTCACCATGTTGCCCAGGCTGGTGAACTCCTGGGCTCAAGCAATCCTCCCGCCCCAGCCTCCCAAAGTGTTGAGATTACAGGCGTAAGCCACCATGCCCAACCTCAAAAACGTGTTGAATCAAAAAGGGTAGAAGCAAAAGAGTACATACTATATGACTCCATGTTTATGAAGTTCTAGCACCAGCAAAACAATCTTTGGTGACAGAGGTCAAAAGAGCGGTTTCTTCTAGGCTATTGACTAGGAGGAGGCATGAGGGAATTTTCTGGGGTGTTGGAAATGTTCTTTATCTTGATTTGGGTAGTGGCATCTGGGCGTGTGCAAAATATGCAAAAATTCATCCAATGGTACACTTAAGATTTGTGTACTTTACTGTATGTAAATTATTTGGGAGGCCAAAGAGGGAGGATCACTTGAGTCCAGGAGTTGGAGACCAGCCTGGGCAACACAGTAAGATCCCATCTCTGCAAAAAATTAAAACTTACCCAGGCATGGTGGTGTGCACCTGTAGTCCCAGCTACTTGGGAGGCTAAGGTGGGAGGATTACTTGAGCCTGGGAGGTTGAGGCTGCAGTGAGCGATGATCATGCCACTGTACTCCAGCCTGGGCAACAGAGCAAGACCCTGTCTCAAGCAAACAAAAAAACACAGATTTTTGAGTCCCTGGCTTTTTTTTTTTTTTTTTTTTGAGACAGAGTCTCACTCTGTAGCCTAGGCTGGAGTGCAGTGGCGCGATCTCAACTCACTGCAATCTCTGCATCCTGAGTTCAAGCGATTCTCCCACCTCAGCCTCCCGAGTAACTGGGATTGCAGGGCCCACCAACCACGCCCAGTTAATTTTTGTATTTTTGTAGAGATGGGGTTTCACCATGTTGGCCAGTCTGGTCTCAAACTCCTGACCTCAGATGATCCACCTGCCTCAGCCTTCCAAAGTACTGGGATTACAGGCATGAGCCACCGCACCCAGCTATGGCTTTTTTAAAAAACGAAATCTTTCTTAGGCCCTTTATGCTTTCCATGTGAACATGTGAAAGCTTCCTGGCTTATGTACGTGTCTTCTCTACTAGACTTGGGAGCCAAGAGCCCATTGGATGGCAGCCCCTGCAGGATCCTCCACAAATTAGATGCTTGATAAATAGTTCCCTTATGAATTCACCAATGCAGATCAGAGCTGCTGATCGTTTGTTTTTGTTTGTTTGTTTTTGTTTTATTTGTTTTTGAGGTGGAGTTTTGCTCTTGTTGCCCAGGCTGGAGTGCAATGGTGTGATCTCGGCTCACTGCAACCTCCTCCTCCCAGGTTCAAGCGATTCTCCTATCTCAGCCTCCCGAGTAGCTGGGATTACAGGTGTGCACCTCCACGTCCGCCTAATTTTGTATTTTTAGTAGAGACAGGGTCTCTCCGTGTTGGTCAGGCTGGTCTTGAACTCCCAACATCAGGTGATCTGCTCGCCTCATCCTCCCAAAATGCTGGGATTACAGGCGTGAGCCACCGCACCCGACCCGCTGATCAGTTTTCTCTCTCCCTTTTGGTCCCTGGCACGATGTCGAGCACATTTTTTGGGCCCTTATCATGTGCCAGTCTCACAACGAGGCATACACATGAACCCTGCATACACATGAGTTTCACAGCTCACAACAGCCCTGGGGTGCAGGTACAACTTTGTCCTCATTTCCCACGTGAGGAAGCTGAGACTTCTCTCAGGTTGGCTGGCTAAGAAGTGACAGATTCAGACACTGGTCTGTCTGACGCAGAACCCAGACAGCTAGCCACTAACCAGCACCGCCTCACGTTGAGGAAAGAAGCAAACCACTCATGGTCCCAATGTGCTTTGCGACAGCTCATGAACTCCTCCCTGGGGCCCACATGTTATCACGCACGCCTCCACAGGCAGGAAAGCTGAGGGTCAGAAACACTGAGTGCCCTGTGCCCACAACTAGTAAGTGCAAGACTGGAAACTAGAATCCGTCTCCACTGAAAGCCCGTGTTGTTTGTGTGACACCCTCAGGCTGCCTTCCCATAGGATGATTTGACTGCAGGGAAGGGCTTTGGCAGCAGACCTCTGTGCAGGCTGGGTGTTTACCTTCCCCAGTCGGGAAGATGTCAGGGCTCAGTGGCCTCCTTCAAACCACAGTGTAGAGCCGGGTGTGGTGGCTCATGCCTGTAATCCCAGCACTTTTGGGAAGCAGAGGAGGGCAGATCACTTGAGGTCAGGAGTTTGAGACCACCCTGGCCAACATGGTGAAACTCCGTCTCTACTAAAACTACAAAAATTAGCCAGGTGTGATGGTGGATACCTGTAATCCCTGCTACTCGGGAGGCTGAGGCAGGAGAATCTCTTGAACCCGGGAGGCGGAGGTTGCAGTGAGCCAAGATCACACCACTGCACTCCAGCCTGGGCAACACAGTGAGACCCTGTCTCAAAAACAAAACAAAACAAAAAAGCACAGTGTTGAAGTATTGTAGACTTGATTGTACAAGGCTTTGACAAGGGTGGCTGCGGCTGTGGCAGCATTTAAGATAGCCTCAAATGTTCTAAAAAAACCAGATCCAAATGAAAAGGACACATCCTTTCATTCAACCAGTATGTATCGGGTTCATGACAGGCACAGTGCCAGGCACTGGGGAACACGGTAGATCTGGGTTTTAGCCTCGTGGAGCCTGTGATCCATCAGGAGAATCAGAAGTGGGCAGTGAAGGGCAAGGTCGGGACCATAGGAATGCATAACAGGGGTTCCTGGATGAGCCCAAGAGCTCCAGGGAACGTTTCAGGGAGGAATGATATTGAATTTTGATCCAAGTCATGAGCAGGGGTTAGTAGTTGAGGGGAGTGGAGTGTGTGTGTTGGAGCAGGGGGAGTAGTGGAGAAGGCCCTGACACAGGAAGAGAAAGCCCTGGAGGCTTCATGAGGCAGCAGGTTCGCCTTGTTCACACTCAAGCCCCTCGCACCACACCTGGCACGAATAAGGCACTCAATAAATACCTGGATGCCTGAATGAATGAATGAATGAATGAATGAATGTTTAAATGAAATTCAAACTAACTGAAGGAGAGTGGGGATAAAACACCATGAGATAGAGCCTGAGAGGTGTCAGGCGTCGGCCAGACCACACGGTCTTGATGGTCATGCTTAAAGGGCTTGGATTTTTTTTTTTTCTTGACACGGAGTTTCGCTCCTGTTGCCCAGGCTGGAGTGCAATGGTGCAGTCTCGGCTCACCACAACCTCCGCCTCCCAGGTTCAAGCGATTCTCCTGCCTCAACCTCCCGAGTAGCTGGAATTACAGGCATTCGCCACCACACCCAGTTAATTTTGTATTTTTAGTAGAGACGGGGGTTTCTCCATGTTAGTCAGGCTGGTCTTGAACTCCCGACCTCAGGTGATCCGCCCGCCTCAGCCTCCCAAAGTGCTGGGATTACAGGCATGAGCCACTGCACCCGGCGGGCTTGGATTTTATTTAAGAGAAATAAGAAGATATCTGAAGAATTTTGAGACATAGTATGATCCTATTTGCATTTTTAAAGAGGCACTTTGGCTACTGAGGAGAGAATGGCCTACAGAAGAGGTGGCTCAAGATGAGGGAAGTGGTGGGAACGGAGAGTCTTAGATTCAGGAGACACTGAGGGGATGGGATGCTCAGGACTCGAGTCGAGAGTGACTCGCACAGGCCTCTGGCTTAAGCAACGAGTTGGATGATGCAGACATCCACCATGACAGGGACCCTGGAGAGGAACAGGTTCTCTAGGGAAGATGAGAGTTTTTGTATACTTGAGGAGAAGATATCTTAAGAAACATCCAAGTTAAAAAAAAGTCACAAATGTTATTGGATATGTGGACTGGAGCCCAGAGAGAAGGCTATGGAGAGAGTTCTGAGTACTGATAACACCCAGATGGTAATTGCAACCATGGGAAAGAATGAGACCACTCAGGAAGAGAGGTTAGAGCCAGAGGAGGGCAGGGCCTGGAACTGGACCTTTAATGGCTACAGAGGAGAGGAATAGGACGTGGCAAATGAAACTAAGAAGAGGAGAGAGGCAGGTGGCAAATTGAAGAGTACTGGGTCAGACAATGAGGAAGGAGAATGTTTCAAGAAAAAATCACCCTCTGAATTAAGTAAAAATGAGGATTGAAATGTTTCCAGTGGACTTCACATGGAAGTGACGGATGACATTGGTTGCTATAAAAATATAAGCAGGGCCGGGCACAGTGGCTCACACCTGTAATCCCAGCACTTTGGGAGGTCGAGGCGGGCAGATCACCTGAGGTCAGGAGCTCAAGACCAGCCTGACCAACATGGTGAAACCCCATCTCTACTAAAAATACAGAAATTAGCAAGGCGTGGTGGCACACGTCTGTAATCCCAGCTACTCAAGAGGCTGAGGTAGGAGAATCACTTGAACCTGGGAGGTGAAGTTTGCAGTGAGCAGAGATCGCGCCACTGTACTCCAACCTGGCCGACAAAGCGAGACTCCATCTCAAAAAAATAAATAAATATAAAAATATGTGCAATTTTTTTTTGAGACGGAGTCTTGCTCTGTCACCCAGGCTGCAGTGCAGTGGTATGATCTTGGCTCACTGCAACCTCCGCCTCCTGTGTTCAAGCAATGCTCCTGCCTCAACCTCTAGAGTAGCTGGGATTACAGGCACGAGCCACCATGTCCAGCTAATTTTTTTGTATCTTTAGTAGAGACAGGGTTTCACCATGTTGGCCGGGCTGGTCTTAAACTCCTGGCCTCAAGTGATCTGCCCACCTAGGCCTCCCAAAGTGCTGGGATTACAGGCGTAAGCCACCACGCCCGGCCAAAGCAATAATTATTATTGTCTCAGCTCTGGGAAAGAAGACTGTGTTCTGGGGACAGGACTTGAGAATCCTATAATAAGGCTCTGGATGCCAGAGATCTTATTGGTTATTGCAATCCTTCCCTTTTCGGGGTCAGGATTTCTTGTCTTTGGGGTAAAGAAAAGCTGTCTGTGAAGAACTTCTTACACAGGGGGAAGAATCCTGGAATACACATTTGTGTGTGTGTGTGTGTGTGTGTGTGTGTGAGATACAGGGTCTTGCTCCAGATGAGTGCAGTGGCACAATCACAGCTCACTGTAGGCTTAAACTCTTGGCCTCAAGCAATCCTCTTGCCTCCTGTCTCCACTTTCCAAGTGCTGGGATTACAGGCATAAGCCACCTTGCCCAGCTGAAAACATGCTGTTTTTGTTTGTTTTGAGACAGGGTCTTGCTCTATCACACAAGCACGAGTGCAGTGGTGTGATCACAGCTCACTACAGCCTCTACCTCCTTGGTTCAAGTGATCCTCTCACCTCAGCCTCCTGAGTAGCTGGGACTACAGGCATGCACTACCACTCCAGACTAATTTTTTTCTTTTTTTGAGATGGAGTCTTGCTCTGTCACCAGGCTGGAGTGCAGTGGCATGATCTCGGCTCATTGCAACCTCTGCCTCCCAGGTTCACGTGATTCTCCTGCCTCAGACTCCTGAATAGCTGAGATTACAGGTGCTCACCACCATGCCTGGCTAACGTTTGTATTTTTAGTAGAGATGGGGTTTCACCATGTTGACCAGGCTGGTCTCGAATTCCTGACCTCAAGTGATCCGCCTGCCTTGACCTCTCGAAATGCCGGGATTACAGGCATGAACCACTGCGCCCAGCCCAGACTAATTTTTGAAATTTTTATACAGTCAGGGGGTCTCACTTTGATGCCCACACTGGTCTTAAACTCCTGGCCTCAAGCAATCCCCCCTCTTTGGCCTCCCAAAGTGCTGGGATTACAGCATGAGCCACCACACACAGCCTGAAAACACTCTTAAAGTATCAGCAAAGACCTATGATTTAGCAAAGAAACCACCTAGAATTCATGATTCATTCACTCAAGTTTATTGAGCCTCTACTATATGCCTGACACATAAATCTCAATTGAATAACTTTCTTCAGACCCTTCTGTATGCATTGCATTAATTTCATAAGACCGTTGTCCTTTCATTGCCTAGGCATGGTGGTTCACACCTGTAATCCCAATTCCCAGAACAGCCTGGGCCACATGATGAAACCCTATATCTACAAAAAAATACAAAAAATAGCTGGATGTTGTGGTGGGTGCCTGTAGTCCAGCTACTTGGGAGACTGAGGTGGGAGGATTGCTTGAGCCTGGGAGGCAGAGGTTGCAGTGAGCCGAGATCACGCAATTACACTTTAACCTGGGTGACAGAGCCAGACCTCATCTCAAAAAAAAAGAAAAGAAGAATGAATGTTGTCCTTTCATTAAAAATGTGAGGCTGGGCTCAGTGGCTCATGCCTGAAATCCTAGTACTTTGGGAGGCCGAGGCAGGCAGATCACTTGAGGTCAAAAGTTTGAGATCAGCCTAGCCGACATGGTGAAACCCCATCTCTACTAAAAATACAAATATTAGCCAGGCATGGTGGCATGTGCCTGTAATCCCAGCTACTCGGGAGGCTGAGGCACAAGAATCGCTTGAACCTGGGAGGCAGAGGCTGCAGTGAGCCGAGATCAAGCCACTGCACAGCCTGGGTGACGGAGGGAGACTCTGTCTCCAAAAAAAAAAACAAACAAACAAACAAAAAAAACAAGAAGTGAGGTCTCACCAGAACTTTTTATTTAATCTCCCACCAAACTCAGGATAACCCAGCCATCCTTGACAATTCATCATTCCCCCAGTTTCCCATGAGTCTGTTACCTCTACCCAGAATGTCCTCCAACTGGATAAATTCTCCTTATGTTTAGGCCCAGTTCAAATGTCATCTCTGTGAACTTTCCCCAAATGCCTCAAACTTAATCCTCCTTCCTCAGGGCTCCTAAGGGCCAGAATAGCACTTGTCTTCCCATATAGCGTTGGTGTCTCTGTGGGGCTGCAGTCTCCCTGACCCAGCTGTGCCTCTTCTTCTTCTTCTTTTTTTTTTTTTTTGAGACGGAGTCTCGCTCTGTTGCCCAGGCTGGAGTGCAGTGGCGCAATCTCGGCTCACTGCAGGCTCCGCCCCCCGAGTTCACGCCATTCTCCTGCCTCAGCCTCCCGAGTGGCTGGGACTACAGGCGCCCACCACGTCGCCCGGCTACTTTTTTGTGTTTTTAGTAGAGACGGGGTTTCACCGTGTTAAGCAGAATGGTCTCCATCTCCTGACCTCATGATCCGCCCGCCTCGGCCTCCCAAAGTGCTGGGATTACAGGCGTGAGCCACCTCGCCCGGCCGCTGTGCCTCTTCTTATAAGCCCGTAATAAATTTTTCAAAAATCACCCAACTCCACTCCCTCCCCGGGTCAAAACGGGACTCTGTGCCCAGACTGCAAGGCTCAGGCTGAGCAGCCATCTCAGAAAATACTTCTGTACTGCCACCTCCTGGCAAGATGGGGTATGACAGCTACTGATTCTGGCTTTTCTGGAGTTCTCTCAACTCCTTGTATTCTTTCATTCATTCGTTCTTTTGTTCCTTCTGTGCCAAACTCAGGTTATCTGGTGAGCCAGACAGACCTAGTTCCTGACCTCAGGGAATTTAGAATTTAGAGCAGAAGACACATTAGGAACTGGAATGTTATGGGAGCTATGATCCTGAATGTTTTGAGGCCACAGGAAATGGGGTGGCTTTGCCTATATCTAAAGCTGCCACCCCAGAGGCCATGACTGGGGTATAGTCTGAGCACGACATTGCCCTGCTATTTTGGCTACTAAGACTCTCACTTGGGAAGTGCATCTGTGACCAGGCCTGTCCTCCATATCCACCCTCTACACATTCTCCTGTGATGTTTTTTGGGGGACTCTGTCGCCAGGCTGGAGTTCAGTAAGGCGATCTTGGCTCACTGAAACCTCCACCTCCTGGATTCAAGCGATTCTCCTGCCTCAGCCTCCTGAGTAGCTGGAATTACAGGCACTTGCCACCATACCCGGCTAATTTTTGTATTTTTAGTAAAGACGGTTTCACCATTTTGACCAGCCTGATCTTGAACTCCCAACCTCAAGTGATCTGCCTGCCTCAGCCTCCCAAAGTGCTGGGATTACAGGCATGAGCCACCACACCCGGCCCTTTGTCATGTTTTTTTTTTAACATGATAACAACGGCCGGGCTTGGTGGCTCACGCCTGTAATCCCAGCACTTTGGGAGGCCGAGGCGGGCGGACCACAAGGTCAGGAGTTCAAGACCAGTCTGGCCAACAGAGTGAAAACTCTACTAAAAAACTACAAAAAAGGTGGGGCACAGTGGCTCATGCTTATAATCCCAGCACTCTGGGAAGCTGAGGTTGACAGATCACGAGGTCAGGAGTTCGAGTCCAGCTTGACCAATATGGTGCCCTGTCTCTACTAAAAAAACTACAAAAATTGGCCAGGCATGGTGGCGCGCACCTGTAATCCCAGCTACTCAGGAGGCTGAGGCAGGAGAATCGCTTGAACCCAGGAGGCAGAGGTTGCAGTGAGCTGAGATCATGCCACTGCACTCCACCCTGGGCAACAGAGCAAGACTCCATCTCAAAACAAAAACAAAAACAAAAAAAATTAGCCGGGTGTGGTGGTGTGCGCCTGTAATCCCAGCTACTCAGGAGGCTGACGCGGGAGAATCGTGTGAACTGGGGAGACAGAGGTTGCAGTGAGCTGAGATCGCGCCACTGCACTCCAGCCTGGGCTACAGAGCGAGATTCCGTCTCAAAAAAAAAAAAAAAAAAAAAAAAGATAACAATTAAGAAAAACAGTACACCATACTAAAAACAACTCAGCATCTCTCTCAGTTCCTCTGAATGGCTGGGTCCTGGAATCCATTTCATACCTTCTTGAAGTGAGCTGGAAGAGACCTTCACTTTCATTTATTCATTCTGTAGATAAGCATTGAGCATGTATTAGGTACTAGGCATTGTGTTAAATGCTGAGGGGGTAACAGTGAACAAGAAAGCAAATGGTGTATACTCTCATGAAGTTTATGTTCTCTGTAGGGAGAGAGAAAACAAAGTAAGTACACAACTTTTAAGTATTTCTTGTTAATAGGTGGTACATAATGTGATCCAGAATGCAAAAGGATGCACAATGAAAAGCTCCCCACTCTTACCCCAGCCGCCTAGTGCGCCCCCATAGGGCAAGCAATGTTATCAGTTTCCCCTGTAGCCATCCAGATATAACATATACATGTACAAGCAAATGTATTCTCTCCCTCATTCTTGTTATACAAATGGTGGTATTTTATACACTCTGTGCTGTACTTTGGGTTTTTTCCACTTACCAATATATCTTAGAAAGCATTTTTTTTTTTTTTTTGAAATGGAGTCTCACTCTGACGCCCAAGCTGGAGTGCAGTGGCGCAACCTCGACTCACTGCAAGCTCCACCTCCTGGGTTCACGCCATTCTCCTGCCTCAGCCTCCCAAGTAGCTGGGACCACAAGCGCCCACCACCACACCCGGCTAATTTTTTGTATTTTTTTAGTAGAGACGGGGTTTCACCGTGTTAGCCAGGATGATCTCGATCTCCTGACCTTGTGATCCGCCTGCCTCGGCCTCCCAAAGTGCTGAGATTACAGGCGTGAGCCACTGCACCCGGCCAGAAAGCATTTTATATCAATACATGGATTCTTACCTTTTGTTCAGTTGTATAGTATCCATTGTATGAGTATTACATGATTTAAAATAATGTTACAGGGCCGGATGTGGTGGCTCATGCCTGTAATCCCAGCACTTTGGGAGGCCGAGGCAGGCGGATCACAAGGTCAGGAGATCGAGACCATCCTGGCTAACATGGTGAAACCCCGTCTCTACTAAAAAAATACAAAAAATTAGCCGGGTGTGGTGGTGGGTGCTTGTGGTCCCAGCTACTTGGGAGGCTGAGGCAGGAGAATGACGAACTCAGGAGGCGGAGGTTGCAGTGAGCCAAGATTGCGCCACTGCACTCCAGCCTGGGCTACAAGAGCGAAACTCCATCTCAAAAAAAAAAAAAAAATCCCAGCTACTCAGGAGGCTGAGGCAGGAGAATCGCTTGAACCTGGGAAGGAGGCTGATGCCATGGCATGGGTAGGGTGACAGCAATGGGGGTGGAGAAACACTGGCGATGTGGGGATTTATTTTGGAAGTGGAGCTCACAAGACATGCTGATGGGAGTGGGTTAATCTCACAGATCATGCAGCCCAGGTCCCTCACTTCCCAAACAGGCCAAGCCTAACGACTTGCTTGTCACAGGTCAGAGCTCTGTAGTGGTGGATCCTGGCCTAGAATCCAACGTTTCTGACTCCCACATCAGTGTTCTTTCACTTTAGTGAAGCAGAAGGAGTTGGAATTTGAGTAGAAACTGTAATCTTGAAATTCTATGCGCCAATAATTACTGACATATTCCTTTTTGTTGTTGTTGGGCAGCTTTCTGTTGGCTTTCTTGACTCCCTGCCTCAGGGTAGAAAGACACAGATCTGGGGTGGGTGGAATCTCAGATATACCACACCCTGTGGCCAGCCTGGAGCAAAGGGGACAGGCAATGTGGGGGATGGGGATGGTGAGTGTAGAGAGGATATTCGGGAGACCTCACTGATTAGGTCGTCCCTGCTGTAAAACCTGAAGGAGGTGAAGAAGTAAGTGGGCCTTGCAGATATATGAGGGAAGAGTATTCTGGGGGAAGGGGCAGCTGGGAAGAAGATCCTCTAGCAGGAGCCTGCATGTCTGGAGGCCACAGTGAGTGGAGCAGACAGGAACAGCGGGAGGTAAGGAGAGACTGGAGATGGGCCTCAGATGGTCAAGGCTTTGTCGGCCGTTGAAGGGTTTAGCGTTTACTCTAAGTGAGATGGGGGCCATGAGAGGGTGAGCTGAGAAGCGACGTGATTTGGTGCACATTTTATGGGATCCCTCTGCTGCTGTGTGGAGAACAGACTGGAGGAAGCAAAGGTGGAAATAGAAACTAGCCAGGAGATTACTGCAATCGTCCAGATGAGAGGATGGTGACTTGGCCCAGGATGGATATGGTGATAAGGGAGGAGACCACCCCTCATATCGTCTTATACCCAATTTCTGCCTCCAAAGAAAGAAGAAGTAAAAACTACAAGGCAGAAATGAAATCCACAAGCAGACAGCCCGGCGCCGTGCCCTGGGCCTGGCAGTTAAGATCGACCCCTGACCTAATCTGACCCCTGACCTAATCGGTTATGTTATCTATAGATTCCAGACATTGTATGGAAAAGCACTGTGAAAATCCCTGTCCTGTTCCGTTCAGATCTGATTACCGGTGCATACAGCCCCCAGTCACATACCCCTTGCTTGCTCATTGGATCACGACCCTCTCACGTGGACCCCCTTAGAGTTGTGAGCCCTTAAAAGGGTCAGGAATTGCTCACTCGGGGAGCTCAGTTGTTGGAGATGTGAGTCTTGTCGAAGCTCCCGGCTGAATAAAGCCCTTCCTTCTTTAACTCGGTGTCTGAGGGGTTTTGTCTGCGGCTTGTCCTGCTACAGTGAGACATGGTCACCAAGAAAATATAACTGACTAATCTGATGTAGGATGTGACAAAGGGAGCCAAACATTACTCCCAGGATTTGGTCTGAGAAACTGGAAGGATGTGTTCATTATTAATGAGATGGAGCAGATGAGGAAGGACAAGGTTTGTGTTTAAAAGTGTTGGGTTTGAGGCCAGGCACAGTGGCTCACGCCTGTAATCCCAGTACTTTGGGAGGTCGAGGCGGGCAGACCACCTGAGGTCAGGAGTTCAAGACCAGCCTGGCCAACATGGTGAAACCTTGTCTCTACTAAAAATACAAAAATTAGCTGGGCACAGTGGTGGGCACCTGTAATCCCAGCTACTCAGGAGGATGAGGCAGGAGAATTGCTTGAACCCAGGAGGTGGGTTGCAGTGAGCCAAGATCGTGCCACTGCACTCCAGCCTGGGTGACAGAGGGAGACTCTGTCTCAAAAAAAAAAAAAAAGTGTTGGGTTTGAGATGTTGCCAACATCCAGGGGAAAGCCTGGGTTGACAGTTGAATATACGAGTTCAGGAGACATCTCTGGGCTCTCTGTATTTGGGGGTTGTTGGCACATGGGTAGTGACTAAAGCCACAGGCCTGGACGAAATCTGGTGAGTGTGGACAGAAGGTCAAGGACTAAGCCCTGAGATCAAAGACAAAGAACTGAGGAGGAACCGGGCCAAGGAGACTAAAAAGGAACAACCAGTGAAACAGGAGGAAAATCAAGAGGCATGCTGTGCCAGAATCCAAGGGAAGGAAGGAGAAAAGCATCAACAATGTCACAGGTTGCTTATAGATCAGAGAAGATGAGGACTGAGAATTAGCAATGTGGAATAGTGGCCTTGCCAGGAGCAGTTCTGCTGGAATGAAGAAGAGAGCCTGAACTGGAGTGGGTAAGAGAAAATGGAAGGACAGAAATGGAGCCAGTGAGCAACAGCTTCCTCTCTGGGGTTTTGCTGCAAAAAGGAAGAGAGAAATGGGCAGTAATAACTGGTGGAAGAAATAGGAGAAACAGGCCGAGCACGGTGGCTCATGTCTGTAATCTCAACACTTGGGGAAGCCGAGGTGGGAGGATTACTTGAGCCCAGGTGTTCGAAACCAGCCTGGGAAACATACAGAGATCCTGTCTCTACAAAAAATAAAAATAAGCCCAGTGTGGTGGTGCATGCCTGTGGTCCCAGCTACTCAGGAGGCTGAGGTGTGAAGATCGCCTGAGTCTGGGAAGTGGAAGCTGCTGTAAGTCATGATTGCGCCACTGTACTCCAACCTGAGTGACAGAGCAAGACTCTGTCTCAAAAACAAAAAGAAGAAAGAAAAAAAGAAAAAAAAAGCATAGAAAGAAAAAAAAGAAATAGGAGAAACAACAGCATGTTTGTATGTTAATGGAAATGATCCATTAGAGGTAAAATTATAATGTGGGAGAAAAAGAGATTTGATGAAGCCATCTTTTCTGCTTTTTTTGTTTGTTTGTTTGTTTATTTGAGACAGTGTCTTACTCTGTCTCCCAGGCTGGAGTGCAGTGGCATGAACATGGCTCACTGTAGCCTTGACCTCCTGGGCTAAAGCAATCCTTCTGCCTCAGCTTCTGGAGTAGCTGGGACTACAGTACCACCACACCTGGTTTTTTATTTTATGTAGAGATGAGATCTCACTATGTTGTCCAGTCTGGTCTCGAGCTCCTAGGCTCAAGTGATCTTCCCACCTGGCCTCCCAAAATGCTGGGATTACAGCTGTGAGCCACCAAACCCGACCAAGCCATCTTCTTGAGTTGCTGAGAGACTGAGATTTGATGCACAAATGGAGGGATTTGTTCTAGACAGAACCATGTGTAGTCCAAAGACATTGGTTCTCAAACTCTAGAGAGAACTTGTTAAAACACAGATGCAAGATTTCTGATTCAGGAGTTGGGGCCCAATAACTTGCATTTCTGACAAGTTCTCCAATGGTGCTGACGCTGCTGGCCAAGACCAGGCTTCATGAGATACTGATCTGTAACAGGTGGGAAGGCAGCATCTGTGACGGGGGTAGATGTAATGGAGTCTGTGACGTTTTGTTCTGATTGCTTCAATTTTCCTGTCTAGTTGAACTGGAAGTAAAGATGGGAGAGGAGGTGTTGGAGACCTGAGGAAAGGGAGAAGGTATGAAATGGTTCTCTTGAGAGTAGAAGGAATCTGGCCAGGCACAGTGGCTCACGCCTGTAATCCCAGCACTTTGGGAGACCAAGGCAGGCGGATCACGAGATCAGGAGATCGAGACCATCCTGGCTAACACAGTGAAACCCCGTCTCTACTAAAAATACAAAAAATTAGCCGGGCGTAGTGGCGGGCACCTGTAGTCCCAGCTACTCGGGAGGCTGAGGCAGAAGAATGGCGTGAACCTGGGAGGCGGAGCTTGCAGTGAGCCGAGATTGTGCCACTGCACTCCAGACTTGGCGACAGAGCGAGACTCCGTCTCAAAAAAAAAAAAGAGAGAGAGTAGAAGGAATCAATGAGAGAAAAGCTGATTTTCCTCCTGAGGCTGATGCTTGTGAATTAAAAATGAGACACCGGTTGAATGATTTTTCTCCAGCCACTCTAAACTGTACAGGTGCAGGTAGGTGGAGAGTTGGATGTAAATAGGGTTGTGGTTGTCAATTAAATTTGATGAAGCAAGAGAAAGGGGCCAGGGAGTTGATGGTGAATACTAATTAGGAAGGGGGATTATGGTGAACCATGGAATTGAAGCTAAGTAAAGAGAGATAGACGAGGCATGGTGAGGGAGAAAGAAATTAACTTTTCTTAAAAGTGGGTGCTTTCTTCTCAAAGCCTTACCCAACTTGCCTTCATCTCTCACCTCTCTGGACTTCTGTTAGCTGGCTCTTCCCTCCAGCCTCATACCCATGTTTCTTTATAGCACTCATCACCATCTGACAAATGTTTCCCTCTAAGGCAGGAGCTTTTTGATACCTGCTGTGGCTCCTGTGCTCTCCTCCACACTGTCCTCCTTATGCAATCCTGGTCAGCTTACTCTTCAACCACATATCCAGGACACATCCTGTAGGTCCGCATCAAAATGCCTTGATCTGGAATAACACCCATCTAAAAACTGAGTGCCTAACTTGTCGACTGAGTGGCTTCAAGAAAGCAGAAACCTAGAAAGGTTTGAGTTCCAATGCTAAAGAGTAAGATGAGAAGGATGGGCTTCTGCCAAGTTGCGATTGATGTCTGAGACCCAGGTCCTTGGGGCACCCCTCACCTCAGGATCCCAGAAGAGGATCCCAGAATGGCCATTTGAGGTTGTCACAGAAGTGCTGGGTCCTTTAGCAAACCAGTAAACTTACGGAATCACAACTTGAGAGGGGTTGGGGAACCATGAAGATGGTTTGGTATTATTTCATTTTTTTTAAAATTGTGTAGACGTGTATATTTAGGAACACAAACATGCTACATATACTGATTTTACTTTTTGAGACAAGGTCTTACTCTGTCACCCAGGCTGGAGTGCAGTGGCACAATCATGGCTCACTGCAGCCTTGACCTTCCCAGACTCAGGTGATTCTCCTACCTCAGCCTCCCCAGTAGCTGGGACTACAAGTGTGCACCACCACACCGGGATGATTTTTGTATTTTTAGTATAGACAGGGTTTCGCCACGTTGGCCAGGCTGGTTTCAAACTCCTGACCTCAAGTAATCCTCCAGCCTTAGCCTCCCAAAGTGCTGGGATTACAAGCATGAGCCACCGGGCCTGGCCCATATACTGATTTTATATGTTATAAAGCAAGTGTTTTTTTAAAAAGGTTTATAAGGATAGATTAGCGAAATGTTTTTTATTTATTTTTATTTATTTATTTATTTTTGAGACGGAGTCTTGATCTGTCGCCCAGGCTGGAGTGCAGTGGTGCGATCTCCACTCACTGCAACCTCCGCCTCCCGGGTTCACTCCATTCTCCTGCCTCAGCCTCCCGAGTAGCGGGTACTACAGGCGCCCGCCACAACGCCGGCTAATTTTTTGTATTTTTGGTAGAGACGGGGTTTCACCATGTTAGCCAGGATGGTCTCGATCTCCTGACCTCATAATCCGCCCGCCTCGGCCTCCCAAAGTGCTAGGATTACAGGCATGAGCCACTGCGCCCGGCCTAGCCAAATATTATACCAAGATTTTTGTTGTTGTTTGAGACGGAATCTTGCTCTCATAGGCTGTCTGCGGCATCCTTCACGAGCTGCGTGATATTGGGCAGGTCAGAGAATTGCTCTGTGCACGCATTTTCTCATCCAAAAAAGGAAATTGCCTCTGAAGCCACTTGATGGTATGAGTTTTACAGGGATTTAAATTGACGTTAGTGGTCCTTTTTTTTTTTTTTTTTTTTGAGACGGAATTTCACTCTGTCGCACAGGCTGGAGTGCAGTGGTGCGATCTCCGCTCACTGCAACCTCCGCCTCCCAGGTTCAAGTGATTCTCCTCCCTCAGCCTCCCGAGTAGCTGGGATTACAAGCACGCGTCACCACGCCCGGCTCATTTTTTGTATTTTTAGTAGAGACAGGGTTTCACCGTGTTAGCCAGGATGGACTGCGCCCGGCCTGTACACACTTTTTATTCTGCATGTGTAACTGTCTGAACTGTGTTAGCTGTTTGTTTGTTTTAAATTAGAACAGCACTACTGGGGCCCGGCGCGGTGGCTCACGCCTGTAATCCCAGCATTTTGGGAGGCGGAGGTGGCCGGATCACCTGAGGTCAAGAGTTAGAGACCAGCCTTACCAACAAGGTGAAACCCCGTCTCTACTGAAAATACAATTGGCCAGGCATGGTGACGGGCTCCCGTAATCCCAGCTACTTGGGAGGCTGAAGCAGGAGAATCGCTTCAACCCTGGAGGCAGAGGTTGCAGTGAGCCAAGATCGTGCCACTGCACTCCAGCCTGGGAGATAGCACTCCAGCCTGGGAGATGGAGTAAGATTCCATTTAAAAAAAAAAAAAAAGCACCAGTAACGTCAATTTAAATCCCTGTAAAACTCATACCATCAAGTGGCTTCAGAGGCAATTTCCTTTTTCGGACGAGAAAATGCGTGCACAGAGCAATTCTCTGACCTGCCCAGTATCACAGACCTCTTGAAGGATGGCACAGACAGCCTATGAGAGAGAGCTGAGCTGTGGAGGACGATGAAGAGGCGAAGGGCTCCTGTGGTTTCCAGAGATAAAGAAAAGCTAGGGAAAAAACGCCAATATAGATAGGGGCAGTTTTCTGGGTAGCTCTGCTCTTATGGAGCTCGCCAAATATAAGATGGTATATTCCTTAAACAGGATGCTGAGAAAACAAGAATCTTCATTTATTTCTCTTTTCCCCAATGCCCAACAATAGTAGCGACAGGAGCTCACAAAATACAGGTTAACTAACACATGGAAACAACAGATGAGTACACTCACACGCACACCTGGAGAGGGCAGCAAAATTGGGAGTTTCCTCGGGGAGCTGCCCTTCAGAGGCACCTCAACTTTTTCGAGTACATGAACCCACGGCCCGCAGGTCGGCTAACAGCTTTCCAACCTTTACCAAGCCTCATGTCTGAGCATTATTGAAGAGGCCGAAGAAAGCAATAAGCTACACATGACACGAATGTCATCTTTGCCTGGTTAGCAGGGTGGTGTGAAACCCCATTTCCCTCTCAGACGACCCAGCTCACCTGCGCAGGTGAGGGCCGGGCGCTTCCGCACAGGCGCAGAAGCAAGGGCGGACACCATCTTGAGCCGCAGCTCAAGGTGGCACAACCGCCGTCAGAGAGAAGGCGTACAAAAACCAGGCTGCGACGGGGTGGGGAAGCATGGAGGGAACCTGGCTACAGCCGGGCAGAAGGTGGCCCTCCTCCATCCGCAGGCACGGCGCACGCGCCGTCCAGCCGCCAAGCCCGGCCCCCGCAGGCGGAGCTCCAGAGCCTGTCCCGGAAACCCGGAGCCAAGGGCCCTAAAGGGCGTGGGACCTTCTGTAATTCCCTCCACTAGCTGAAGACCGCTGGCTTTCACCACACCATGTCAGCTTCCCACGTGCAAACCCGGCAGCTGTAATTAAACATCACAGTTCCAAAGGCTTCTCAGTAGTAAGGAGGTGCACCAGCTGCCCAGAAACCACTAGCGATGAGCGATGCTCATGACAAAGTGGCATTGCTTCCTAAAGCAGAAAAAATTGATTGCAAGTGGACTTACAGATCTGAATCCTAGGGACACCTTTACTTCCACTCTCATTTTCAAAACATTCATGACACGCAGGCCACAAGTCAACTTTCAAATAAAAGTCAAATAAGTGGTAACATCAAGTGCAATGTTAGCTCCATAATGAAAAACGAAAACTTAATTTTTTTAGTATGTTTTGAGACGGAGTTTCACTCTTGTCGCCCAGGCTGGACTGCAATGGCATGATCTCGGCTCACTGCAACCTCCACCTCCTCCTGGGTTCAAGCAATTCTCCTGCTTCAGCCTCCCGAGTAGCTGGGATTACAGGCGTGCACCACCACACCCGGCTAATTTTTGTATTATTAGTAGACATTAGTAGAGACGGGGTTTCACCATATCGGCCAGGCTGGTCTCGAACTCTTGGCCTCAGGTGATCCACCTGCCTTGGCCTCCCAAAGTGTTGGGATTACAGGCGTGAGCCATTGCCCCCGGCCGAAAACTTTTATTACAAGAGCATTTACTTTCTCACTGGTAGAGAAAGCTCCAAGGTGTGGGAACCAGGACTTCAAACATTCTAGGTAGGACTTCTAACGTTTTGGGGTCTCTATTTACAAGGCTTAACAGAGACATCGTGAAAGGATGTAAACCCATGAGCACTGAGCCATACCCTAGCTGAAGTACTGTCAAGTGGAAGCCCTCTAATTCCAGAGGATTCATTCACATGTAGCTTTTTAAAAGGTGAGGACAAAATAAAGTGGTTAAGTGTTTTGATTAGTCTCAATAATTCTCCACTTACCCTGGTAATAAGTCCCAGTTTAATAATCCATTGCAATTTGAAGAATTGCCTTTAAAAAAAGTTCAATAGGGCCGGGCACGGTGGCTCACGCCTGTAATCCCAGCACTTTGGGATGCCAAGGCAGCTGGACCACGAGGTCAGGAGTTTGAGAACAGCGTGGCCAACAAGGTGAAACCCTGTCTCTACTAAAACTACAAAAATTAGCCGGGCACGGTGGCAGGCACCTGTAATCCCAGCTGCTCAGCAGGCTGAGGCAGGAGAATCACTTGAATCCAGGCGGCAGAGATTGCAGTGAGCCGAGACTGCGCCACTGCACTCCAGCCTGGGCAAGAGACGCTGTATCTTAAAAGCAAAAAACAAAACAAAACGAAAAAACACCTCGATAATTCTGAAACATTCTCCAATAAAAGGAAGCAGAATTTCTTGGAAAAAAGTGGAATTGGGGCAGGGAAAATACAAGATTCCCAGGGAACATCTTACAGTACCAGAAGGGCAGACACCAGAAAATTTTTCTGAGACAGGGCCTTGCTGTTAGGCAGCTCACTGCAACCTCAACCTCCCCTGATCAAGTCATCCTCCCACCTCAGCCTCCCCAGCAGATGGGACTACAGGAGCATACCACACCTGGCTTATTTTCTGTAGAGACCAGGTCTCAATATGTTGCACAGGCTGGTATCAAATTCCCAGGTTCAAGGAATCCTCCCACCTCAACTTCCCAAAGTGCTGGGGTTACAGGCATAAGCCACAAAGCCAGACCACCAAAAATAATGACAGCATGTCAAGAAAACAAAGGAGCCAATTTTAAGGAGCTCCTAATGGCCAAAGCTGAGACAATTTGAGCAAAAGTGAATCCATACTGATATACTGAATAAATACAGAGAAGGGACACCTCCTTACAATAGAGTGCTAATTAATAAATGTAGAAGGACTAGAAATCGTGAAGCAACATTTGGCAAATGGCACAGGAACACTTGTTGCATGCAATAACAATCCATAGCTGCCCAAAGTTAGTGGGTCAAAGAATGATAGTTTCAGCTGGGCGCCTTGGCTCACACCTGTAATCCTAGCGCTTTGGGAGGCTGAGGCAGGAGGATAGTTTGAGACTAGCCTGGCAAACACAGCAAGACTTCATCCCTATTTAAAAATAAAATAAGCCAAGCACGGAGGCACATGCCTGCAGTCCCAGATACCCGGGAGGATTGCTTGAGGCCGGAAGGTTGAGGCTGCAGTGAGGAATGATTGTGCCACTGCACTCCAGACTGGGGAAGAGTGCAAGACCGTCTCCAAAAAGAAAAAAGTTTCCAAGTATATCCGATCCCCTAAGTTACATATTAAGTACAAAGGAGGAAATTAATAACTTTCCAATGGAGAAGTCTGGCAACACTGTAACCAAGTGATCAGAGTTAACATCACCAGTATGAAATCATGTGACAATCATGTATCCTGATACAATGCACTGAAAAAGGCACGGTGCTTTTGTGGCATTCTTGTCAAAGAATAACCTCAACCTAATAGTGAGAAATGATCAGATAAATCCAACTGGAAGGGCATTGTATAAAGTAACTGGCCAGTACTCCCTAAAAGTGTCAAAAAATGGAAACTGAAAAACTGTCACAGGCTAGAAGAGACTAAAGACAATTAAATGCAATGTGGGATCCTGGATTGGATGCTGAACCCCAAAAGATGACACAGTGTAACTCACACAACTCAAATTAGTTAATAGTACTGCATCAATATTTGCTAGTCTTGATAATTTTACTATGGTTATACAAGATGTTAACATTTGGGAAAAGCTGAGTGAAGAGTATGGTAACTCTCCATACTACATTTGCCTAAGTCTAAAATTATTTCAGAACGTTTTATATAATGGAACACACTAAGAGAAGATAACCAATCAAATACAGCTAAAATAAAATTGAGGGAAAGTGAAATTTATTTTGAGGATGGAGTGCAGTGGTGTCTCAGCTCACTGCAACCTCTGCCTCACAGGTTCCAGCAACTCTCCTGCCTCAGCCTCCTGACTAGTTAGGATTACAGGTGCACACCATCACACCCAGCTAATTTATGTATATTTAGTAGAGACGGGGTTTCACCATGTCGGCCAAACTAGTCTCAAACTCCTGACCTCAAGCGATCCGCCTGCCTCGGCCTCCCAAGGCACCAGCCTCAGGCTGGGCACGGTGGCTCACGCCTGTAACCCCAGCACTTTGGGAGGCCGAGGCAGGCAGATCGCTTGAGGTCAGGAGTTCCAGACCAGCTTGGCCAACATGGTGAAACCCTGTCTCTATTAAAAATACCGGCAAAGTTGTCTTTAACAATAAGAAAACTGGTTTAGCTGCATTTTGGAGTCTTTAGTAAAGAACAGTCTGATTTTTTATACTACAAGAAAAGCCAATGTGGTTTTTCTAAAATTCACAAATCCAAAAGGGAAGGCTAAGTATGCAACCTTATTAGGGGCTCCAAATTCTTTTCAGTCTACTCTTAAAAGCTGAAACAGTACTTTCTATGTGTGCTATAAAATACTGGGAACTACTATGTTGCTAACATTTCAAATTGCAAATAATCATCTCGAATAATCTCATATCCAACTTGAAATACTATGTAGGAAAATCTAGTTAAAATTGCTTTTGAATTTGCTTTTCTCTGGATTTTCCCTTCTCAAGGTCAAATACTAAAGAAGCCCAAGGGAGTCCTCTACAAGTCACAGAAGTTTGGGCTAAAAGTGAAAACGATGAGTGCCATACATATTAGTAGGAAATCTAGCACCTTCCTACTGATAAAAACACAAGGAACTCCCCCAAAATTTGAGGTAAATGTGCTTCAAAAAGGATGGCAGCCAGAAATATTTAGCAATATTGTACTGTGCCTCTGACAGGCCAAAAAAAGCTTTTGACTGCAAATGTCAATAATGGTGCTATTGGCTGGGCACAGTGGCTCACACCTGTATTCCCAGCACTTGGGGAGGCCGAGGTGGGCAGATCACCTGAGGTTGTGAGTTCGAAACCAGCCTGGCCAACACGGTGAAATCCCATCTCTACTAAAAGTACAAAAATTATCCGGGCATAGTGGCGCACGCCTGTAATCCCAGCTACTCAGGAGTCTGCGACAGGAGAATCACTTGAACCCGGGAGGTGGAGGTTGCAGTGAGCTGAGAGTGCACCACTGCACCCCAGCCAGGGAGACAGAGTGAGACCTTGAAAAAACAAAAGAGGGGAAAAGAAAGGAGAAAAGAAAAGAGAGGAAAAGGAAAGAGAAAAGGAAAAGGGAAGGGAAAGAAGGACAGGCAAGGGAAGGGGGGAAGGGAAGAAGGGAAGGGAAGGGAAGGGGGGAAGGCAAGAAGGGAAGGGAAGGGAGGAAAGGAAAGGGAAGGGAGGAAAGGAAAGGGAAGGGAAGGAAGGAATGGAAAGGGAAGGAAGGAAGGAAAGAGAGAGGAAGAAAGGAAGGAAGGAGAAAGAGAAGAAAGAAAAGCAAGCTAGCTAGCTATTTAGAAACCAGCATTTAATAATTTTATTGGTACTCCTGACTTTACTGTCCTGGGCTGTGTAGAACTCAGTAATTTTGAGGGCACGACTCTGTCCAACAGTATTAAAATCCATTTCCATAACCCTTTCTTAGTATAAATGTTAGATGTTTTCACACATGCAACTCTAAAAATGGAAACTTTTTTTTTTTTTGAGACAGAGTCTTGCTCTGTCACCAGGCTGGAGTGCTGTGGCACAATCTTGGCTCACTGTAACCTCCACCTCCTGGGTTCAAGCAATTCTCCTGCCTCAGCCTCCCAAGTAGCTGGGATTACAAGCATGCTCCACCATCCTCCAGCTAATTTTTGTAGAGACAGGATTTCACTATGTCGGCCAGGCTGGTCTCAAACTCCTGACCTCAAGTAATCCACCCGCCTCAGCCTCCCAAAGTCCTGGGATTACAGGCATGCGCCACTGTGACCAGCCTAAAATGGGAACATCTTAAGAGCTGAAAATCTTTTAAGATAGAGAAGCCTCTAAAACTGTTGAAAATAAACAAGAAGAAATGAAATGCTATTACAATTGTTATAAGGTTCCCAAAGACCCAAGACCACAGAAATTTTATTGTCAGGGATCTGCATCCATATGGAATATTGTCTAAAACCAATATTTCAAATTAAACACTTATTTCCTGGGCTCTACTTCCTCTGCATCTAAGATAGCTGGCCAGATTCCATGGAGTTAAGCATAGTGCCAGGCACCCAATAGTCTTAATATCTGTTGAACAAATGATTTAGCAATGACTCTACATTCTCTGCAAAGTATCCAGATATAAAGCATTATGAATATCAGCCCACCTTGCTTTTGCAGAGGTCATGGTTAACCAGCCCTGGGTACAAAGCAAGCCTGAAGTGTTTACTCTTAGCACAAACTCTGTAAAATTAGTTGCCGTCTCACCTGTTATACCCCCTTATACTCCAAATATTTAAAACACAGCAGACTCAAATAATACTAAATGGTACTAGAAGTGATGCTCAACAGGATCTCACGTTTATTGAGAAGTGATTAATGGTAAAAAGAAAGGCAATGCCCTTTCCTCATTGGCTGAACAAGAAACTGAAGAAACATTCACGACACGTTTTACAGTATTTTTCTCTTCCAAAATGCATTTCTGTAAACGAGTTTTTACCACTGTTCTCAGCTTTGAAATCAAATTAATCCTGACTTAATCAGTATAATGTACAAGAACAGAACATTTCTTAGGACTCCTAGTACTTTACTTTGAGTAACAAAAGGTCAGAGAAAATGAACCACCCTTAAAGACACAACCTTGGGTAACACTGTTATATTCTCCTAGACAAAAATTCTTCATAAAAATGTTCTTCCAGTTCGGAAGGATAAAATCAAATTCCCACTTTCTGGGGTGGATGCCCAAAACCTTCACAACTCAAGTGTTCTCCAAGTGCAAATGTCAAAATGGGAGGAGGAAAGGGTTTAAAAATTAGAGAAAACTGTATGCACTTACGGACTTAAAAATCCGAAAAACATAGTAAAAAGACAAAAAAACATAGCATTATGCTCTGAAATCACAACCAAAGCCAAAATAAAAGGGACATTTTTCACCTAAACTACCTAGAGGGATTTTTTGTTTAGTTTTTTCTTTTTCTTTTTTTTTTCATTTTCCAGTTAAGTCCTATGTCTTTTGTGAAATTCCAATACTTAAACTGCAAGTCTGCAATCGTCTCTGAAGTCAGTGAAATTAAGAAAAAAGTCCTAATTCTCTTGAAGGTCATTTTTTCCTCTTAGGATATGCAGATGCAACCGTTGCTGCAGTCTGTGTAGAACTGCCTTTTATTTCCCACGACCTTGACGTTCCTACAGAGGTAAGAAAAAAATTGAAATGGTTAAAAATTATCTGAACATGCTTTATGAATTTAAAAACTTCACAGAATAACTCAACAGAAATTTAATTATTTAGAATTATTAGAAAATTAATTATTCTAAGTAGAACATTCCCCACAAAGAAAAACTGGCTTTTACTTTGTTTTAAACACTTAAACACCTTAATGCAAAATTACTTTTGACTTGAAAATTCATTACATGCTTTCCTATTATACTGTTTAGATTAATACTTAGTTGTCAGGCCCCCCAAAAATATGGGCCTAATGGAAGTAACCCAAACATACATGACTGGTCAGATAAAGCAGAATACATACATACATAGTACACTAGAGTGTTAGAGTCAGACTGACCTAAATTCAAATCCCAAACTAGTCCCAAGGCCTTGGACATACTCATAAGTCCTCAATTTCCTTTTCTGAAAAGTGAAGGTAAGTATCTCACAGGGTTATGGAGAATTAATAAGCTGACATATAGAAAGCCCTTAGTCCACAGACAGAAAAAAAAAAACAAACCCACACATCTGGCCTCCTTCCCTAGGGAGGTGGTAATCTGACTACAATACTTATGTTTTCCCTGAAATAAATCCCAATGCTCATTTTCTTAAGAATCACTGTTTATGAGTCTTTCAGAAACTTATCCTAAATTCTTCCATTTCACACATTACTTCATGCACAGAATTTTAAAAAAAATTTTTTTTTCTTTTTGAGACAGAGTCTCGCTCTGTAGCCCAGGCTAGAGTACAATGGCGCGATCTTCGCTCACTGCAACCTCGGCCTCCCGGGTTCAAGCCATTCTGCCTCAGCCTCCTGAGTAGCTGGGATTACAGGCGCCGCCACCATGCCTGGCTAATTTTTTCTATTTTTAGTAGAGACGGGGTTTCACCATGTTGGCCAGGCTGGTCTCGAACTCCTGACCTTGTGATCTGCTCGACTCAGCCTCCCAAAGTGCTGGGATTAGAGGCGTGAGCCACCGCGCCCGGCCTCAGAATTTTTTAAATTTTACATTTTTACCAAGGCAGGTGGATCATGAGGTCAAGAGAGTGAGACATCCTGGCCAACATGGTGAAACCCCGTCTCTACTAAAAATACAAAAATTAGCTGGCGTGGTGGCACGCGCCTGTAGTCCCAGCACTTTGGGAGGCCGAGGCGGGCGGATCACGAGGTCAGGAGATCGAGACCATCCCGGCTAACACGGTGAAACCCCATCTCTACTAAAAATACAAAAAATTAGCCAGGCGTGGTGGTAGGCACCTGTAATCTCAGCTACTCAGGAGGCTCAGGCAGGAGAATGGCGTGAACCCGGAAGGCGGAGCTTGCAGTGAGCCGAGATCGTGCCACTGCACTCCAGCCTGGGCGACAAAGCGAGACTCTATCTCAAAAAATAAATAAATAAATAAATAAAATAAAAATAAATAAAATGAAATTCCACCTATTATCTCTTAATGTAACTCCAGAAATACAGACAATAAATTATTTGTCCCAAATTGTAACACTGAATTAGAAACTTAGACTATAGATGTCCTTTTTCCTAAGAAACATGTTTATATTTAAGTTAGTTGGCATACTTAATAGCATTTAAAATAGTCAAGAAAAAATTCAAAACAGCATCATGCAATTATATTTACTACAGCACTGTCTCATTCTTTAAACACCAAATTTGTTCCTCTTTATAATGTGCAATTTTAAGTCTCACAAATACCTATGTTCAATATTGCTTCAAAAGTCAAACTTTCTCAATTTTAACACAACAATACCAAAACAGCCAGAAGTGGTGGCTCACACCTGTAATCCCAACACTTTGGGAGGCCAAGGCAGATAAGACTGCTTGAGGCCAGGAGTTCAAGACCAGCCTGGCCAACATATGGAGACACTGTCTCTACAAAAAAAAAAAAAAAAATCTTTTAATTAGGCATGGTGGTGGCATGTGCCTGTGGTCCCAGCTACTTGGGGGGTGAGCTGGGAGGATGGCTTAAGCACAGGAGGTCAAGGCTGTAGTGAGCCCTGATCACACCACTGTACTCCAGCCTGGGTGACAAAATGAGACCCCATCATTAAAAAAAAAAAAAGAGAAGGAAAAGTATAGATTGGAAACAGAGTGGGAAGCCAGGGCATCAGTAGGCTCCTTCTTGAAGGACCTCCCACTGGCCAAATCTGTGACTTGAGCATTACGTAATATTAATGGTAAGTAAACACCTATCATAGTAATACCTGAATCAAGCAAGAATTATCAATGCTAGAATTAAAAGGAGACAGTTTGATGAGAAACAAGTTATTTACATAGTGTCAACTATTTTCCCACGTATTAAAAAAAAAATTAAGTGGAGAACCTGGTGGACAACACTTTACCCAAAGTGACCAAAGTTAACATTATCAGTAATGGCATAAACAGACATCTTGTACCTCCCAGTATGATGCACTGAGAAGGATACAACCTCACTTGAAACCAGTGAAGACAGACTTGAAACCAGTGAAGACAGACTTAGGAGGGCTGGGCGCAATAGCTCACTCCTGTAATCCCAGCACTCTGGGAGGCGGAAGCTGGCAGATAGCTTGAGCACAGGAGTTCAAGACCAGCCTGGGCAACCTGGCAAAGCCCTTGTCTTACATTACAAATACATACATACACACATACACACACACAAAATTATCTGGGTGTGGTGGCATGCACCTGTAGTCCCAGCAACCTGGGAAATCACTTAAGCCCGGGGAGATGAAGGCAGCAGTGAGCCATGATCGTGCCACTGCACTCTGGCCTAGGCAACAGAATGAGACCCTATCTCAAAACAATGAAAACAACAAATAACAACTTAGGAGACATGAAACCACGGTCTCCAAATGTTCGTGGACTAGAACTTGGACCACAAAAAAATTGCTATCAAGGACATTAAGACAACTGATAAAGTCTGAATAAGATCTGTGGGTAACAACATTGTGTCAATTAAATTTCCTGATTTTGATAAATGCACTGTGGTTATGTAACTGCATGTCTTTGTTCTTGGGAACTACACACTAAAATACCTAGGAGAAAAGACATGATGTCTAGACTGTAACTCTCTGGCTCAGGAAAACATTATATATACACATTTTAAAAACATTCAAATGATAAAGCAAATGTGGCAAAATGTGGAAGAGTAAATCTGAAATTATTCCAAGGCCCAGCATGGTAGCTCACATCTGCCACTCACACTTTAGAAGGCTGAGGCAGGGGACGTGCTTGAGGCCAGGAGTTCAAGACCAGCCTTGGGCAACATAGTGAGACCCTGTCTCTACAACAACAACAACAACAACAAATTTAACTTAGCTGGGTGTGGTGGTGCGTGCCTGTAATCCTAGCTACTTGGATTAGCTACTTGGAAGGCTGAGGTGGGAGGACAGCTTGAACCCAGGAGTTAGAGGTTACAGTGAGCTATGATGCCACCGCTACATTCTAGCCTGGCAGCCTGGGTGACAGAGGCCCTGTCTCTCAAAACTTTTTTTAAAAATGTATTTCAAAACATAAAACTGGGGGGAAGGGAAGAAATGAATTTATTTCTTCTGCAAAAAAGTTAGGTGCACTAAGTTATATTTAACACTTAATAACACTTTAATGTTTATATAATTACAGGCTGGGTGTGGTGGCTCATGTCTGTAATCTCAGTACTTTGAGGCCGAGGCAGGTGGATCACTTAAGGCCAGAGTTCGAGACCAGCCTGGGCAAGGTGGCAAAACCCCGTCTCTACAAAAAAAATACAAATATTAGCCAGCATGCTGGCACACACCTATAGTCCCAGCTGCTGGGGAGGCTGAAGGCAGGAGGATGCAGTGAGCCGAGATTGCACCACTGCACTCCAGCCTGGGTAACAGGTGAAGATAAATTTAAACCAGGAACAGAGGGCCTTACACCTTGTTCAGTCCTAGCTACTTGGGAGGCTGAAGCAAGAGGATCATCTGAGCCCAGGAATTTGAGTCTGTAATGAACTATGATCACAGCTGTGAATAGTCACTGCACTTCAGCCTAGAGAACATAGCGAGACCTCATCTTAAAAAAAAAACAAAAAACAAAAAACAAAAAAACATTAAGGCCTGGCACGGTGGATCACCCGAGTAATCCTAGCACTCTAGGAGGCCGAGGAAGGTGGGATCACCTGAGGTCAGGAGTTCGAGACCAGCATGGCCAACATGGCAAAACCCCATCTCTACTAAAAATAAAAAATTGAGGCCAGGCACGATGGCCCACGCCTGTAATCCCAGCACTTTGGGAGGCCGAGGTGGGTGGATCACGAGGTCAGGAGTTCAAGACCAGCATGGCCAACATGGCAAAACCCCATCTCTACTAAAAATAAAAAATTGGGGCCGGGCACGATGGCTCACGCCTGTAATCCCAGCACTTTGAGAGGCCGAGGTGGGTGGATCACGAGGTCAGGAGTTCAAGATCAGCCTGGGCAAGATGGTGAAACCCCCACTACTAAAAAAAACAAAAAAAAAATTAGCCGGGCGTGGTGGTGGGCGCCTGTAATCCCAGCCATTTGGGAGGCTGAGGCAGAGAACTGCTTAAATCCAGGAGGCAGGGGATGCAGTGAGCTGAGATCGCGCCACTGTACTCCAGCCTGGGTGACAGAGCAAAACTCCGTCTCAAAAAAATAAAAATAAAAATAAATAAAAATAAAAAATTGGGCCGGGCACAGTGGCTCATGCCTGTAATCCCAGCACTTTGGGAGGCCGAGGTGGGCGGATCACCTGAGGTCGGGAGTTCGAGACCAGCCTGACCAACATGGAGAAACCCCCGTCTCTTACTAAAAATACAAAATTAGCTGGGCGTGGTGGCACATGCCTGTAATCCCAGCTACTAGGAAGGCTGAGGCAGGAAAATCGCTTGAACCTGGGAGATGGAGGTTGCAGTGAGCCGAGATCACACCACTGCACTCCAGCCTTGGCAACAAGAGAGAAACCCCGTCTCAAAAAAAAATAAAATAAATAAATTTAAAAAATAATAATAATAATAAAGATATGAGCTGGCATGAGTTAAAGTATATATAATAGGAAAAAAAAAAACAAAAGTTGGTTCTTTGAAAAAATTAAGATTACTTTGTACCCCATAAATATATACAATTATAAATTGTCGGCCAGGCTCAGTGGCTCACGCCCATAATCCCAAAAAAAAAAAAAATTGGCTGGGCACAGTGGCTTACGCCTGTGATCCCAGCACTTTGGGAGGCTGAGGTGGGCGGATCACCAGGTCAGGAGATCGAGACCATCCTGGCTAACATGGTGAAACCCCATCTCTGCTAAAAATACAAAAAATTAGTTGGGCATGGTGGCACACACCTGTAGTCCCAGCTATTCAGGAGGCTAAGGCAGGAGAATCGCTTGAACCTGGGTGGTGGAGGTTGCACTGAGCTGAGATCGCACCACTGCACTCCAGCCTGAGCAACAGAGGGAGATTCCATCTCAATAAAAAATAAAAATTAAAAATAAATAAAAAACTAGCCAGCCCTGGTGTCAGGCACCTATAATCCCAGCTACTCAGGAGGCTGAGGCAGGAGAATTGTTTGAACCCAGGGGGCAGAGGTTGCAGCGAGCCAAGGTCACGCCACTTCACTCCAGCCTGGGCAAAAGAGCAAAACTCTGTCTCAAATAAAAACATTAAAGATATTAACTATGAATAAATTAGGAAACTACAAGTCCAGACAGATCTGGTCTGTGGCTTAAATAACTAGAAATAATGTCGACATCTCTATCCACCCATCCACCTTAGGCCCTCCTCACTTTAAATCTATGATTACAAAATAGAAAACTCGGCTGGGTGCAGTGGCTCATGCCTGTAATGCCAGCACTTTGGGAGGCCGAGGCAGGTGGATCACTTGAGGTCAGTAGCTCAAGACAGGGCTGGCCAACATTGTGAAACCCCATCTCTACTAAAAATACAAAAATTAGCCAAGCGTGGTGGCACATGCCTGTAGTCCCAGCTATTCAGGAGGCTGAGGCAGGAGAATCAATCACTTGAACCCGGGTGAGCCAAGATCGCGCCACTGCACTCCAGCCTAGCCAACAGAGCTAGATTCTGTCTCAAAAATAAAAATTAAAAATAAAATAAAATAAAATAGAAAATTCAGTCTCTGGAGGAAATATACAAAAAGCCATAAGGTGGCAATGTTAAAGTCTGCACATATGCAATCTCTTCATATAATATTCAAAAACAGTAAATCTGCCTATTTAGCTTCCCTCTATTTAAGCTTAATAACCTTTCTACTTACTACTGCACTGTTCTATCCCTCCCTCTCCCTTCACTTTCAAGTGGGCCATAAAACACAACTGAGGCATATTCATATTCACCTGGATATAATTTTATTAACATTAAAATCTGGTAAATGTTTATCTCTCCCACAAAATTAAATCTATATAGCTCTCAACTAGTTTTTCCTATGCCCCCATGAACCTTGAAAGAAACCCAAAGTTCAGCACCCCAGCTGACAATATAAAATGCTTAGACGGGAGTCATTCTTTGAGACGGAGTCTCATTCTAAAATTCTTTGAGACAGAGTCTCGCTCTGTTGCCCAGACTGGAGTGCCGTGGCACAATCTCCACTCACTGCAAGCTCCACCTCCCGGGTTCATGCCATTCTCCTGCCTCAGCCTCCCGAGTAGCTGGGACTACAGGTGCCCGCCACCATGCCCGGCTAATTTTTTGTATTTTTAGTAGAGACGGGGTTTCACCGTGTTAGCCAGGATGGTCTCGATCTCCTGACCTCGTGATCCGCCCGCCTCAGCCTCCCAAAGTGCTGGGATTACAAGCGTGAGCCACCACGCCCGGCTAGGAAAATGTGTTTTTAAAAGTGATGTGATGACACAAAAATTACTTCCATTGCTTGATATGGTTTAATAGAATCAACCTTTATAGTCTCCAATGCCGTGAATAAGTTAAATAAGTCTAATGACTTGACTTTAGACTTCAAGTCATATATATATGAAACATCAAGTCATATATAATTAAGATGCTAACTTCCCCCAGATAAAGAGACAAAGTATTTTTCATCAGTTCTCCAATTTAAAGCAAGGCTATAATATTTTATTAAAAATATCTATTTTGGCCATGGTACCTCCTGCCTACAAGCCCAGCACTTTGGGAGGCTGGGACCAGCAGTTTGAGACCAGCCTGGGCAACATACTGAGAACCTGACTCTACTAGAATTTGAGACAGAGTTTCGCTCTTGTTGCCTGGAATGCAATGGCGCAATCTCGGCTCACCGCAACCTCCACTTCCCGGGTTCAAGCGATTCTTCTGCCTCAGCCTCCTGAGTAGCTGGGATTACATGCGTGCGCCACCATGCCCAGCTAATTTTGTATTTTTAGTAGAGACGGGGTTTCTCCATGTTGGTCAGGATGGTCTCGAACTCCCAACCTCAGGTGATCCACCTGCCTTGGCCTCCGTTATGTGCTGGGATTACAGGCATGGGCCACCGCACCAGCCAGAAATTTTTAAACATTAGGCCAGGCATGGTGGCTCACACCTGGAATCCTAACAATTTGAGAGGCCAAAGGAGGAGGATCACTTAAGCCCAGGAATTCAAGAACAGCCTGGGCAACACAGTGAAACCTTATCTCTCCAAAAAGTTTTTTTAATTAGCCAGGCATAGTGGCGAACACCTGTGTGGTCCCAGCTACTTAGAAGGCTGCAAGAAAAAGTATGCTTAAGCCCAGGAGGTCAAAGCTGCAATGAGTTGTGATCAGGCCACTACACTCCAGCCTGGGTGACAAAGTGAGGCCTTCTCTCAAAAAAAAAAAAAAAAAAAAATACACACACACACACACACACACACTCATGCACGATATAATGACATTTCAGTCAATGACAGATCAGTAAGATTATAATGGAGCTGACAAATTCCTATCACCTAGCGATGTCGAAGCCACTGTAAGGATGTAGCACAAAACATTACTCACTTGTTTGTGGTAATGCGGTGTAAACAAACCTACCGCACTGCAAGTCGTATAAAACTATAGCACGTAAAATTATGTATAATAAATAATACTTAATAACAAATTCGGCCAGGCGCAGTGGTTCACACCTGTAATTCCAGCACTTTGGGAGGCAGAGGCAGGCGGATCACCTGAGATCAGGAGTTTGAGACCAGCATGGCCAACATGGTGAAACCCTGTCTCTACCATAAATACAAAATCAGCTGGGTGTAGTGGCACGCGGCTGTAGTCCCAGCTACTTGGGAGGCTGAGGGAGGAGAATCGTTTGAACCTGGGAGGTGGAGGCTGCAGTAAGCAGCCAAAATCACACCACTGTACTCCAGCCCGGGCAACAGAGTGAGATTCTGTCTCAAAAAAAAAGCCAGGTGTGGTGGCTCACGACTGTAATCCATGGGAGGCCGAGGCAGGTGGATCACAAAGTCAGGAGATTTCAGACCATCCTGGCTAACACGGTGAAACCCCGTCTCTACTAAAAATACAAGAAATTAGCCAGGTTTGGTGGCGGGCGCCTGTAGTCCCAGCTACTCTGGAGGCTAAGGCAGGAGAATGGTGTGAACCTGGGACGTGGAGCTTGCAGTGAGCCAAGATAGCGCCACTGCACTCCAGCCTGGGCGACACAGCAAGACTCCGTCACACACACACACACACACACACACACACACACACACACACACAACCTACTATGTTATTGGCTTATATATTTACTATACTATACTTTTAATCATTATTTTAGAATGTACTACTTATTAAAAGAAA
Organism: Homo sapiens; assembly: GCF_000001405.40. Taxonomy (NCBI): domain Eukaryota; kingdom Metazoa; phylum Chordata; class Mammalia; order Primates; family Hominidae; genus Homo; species Homo sapiens. The sequence goes on along the minus strand of NC_000001.11, from coordinate 28,760,190 downwards.
GGCTAATTGTAAAACTGCCTCTGATAGGTCCTTCAGGAGGTATTCCAGAAGAAGGTACTATTTTAGGAGATGACAGCTGTGTGTTACTGCTTCTGAAGACTTTCCAATCGAACAAGATGTGGTGGTTAAGACACTGATACTGATGATCCTGAGCCTGTGTAGGTCTAGGCTAATGTGTTTGCCATAGTTTTTAAAAAGATGTTAAAAATGTAAGTTTTTGTTTTTCTTTTTTTAAAGACAAGAGTCTCGCTCTGTTGCCCACGCTGGAGCACAGTGGCTCAATCTCAGCTCACTGCAACCTCCGCCTCCCGGGTTCAAGCAATTCTCGTGTCTCAGCCTCCCCAGTAGCTGGGATTACAGGTGTGCACCACCACGCCCGGCTAGGTTTTGTATTTTTAGTAGAGATGGGGTTTCACCATGTTGGTCAGGCCAGTCTCCAACTCCTGGCCTCACGTAATCCACCCGCCTCAGCCTCCCAAAGTGCTGGGATTACAGGCGTGCACCACCGTACCCAGTCCCCTTATCTTTTATACTGTGTTTTAATGTACATTTTCTGTGTTTAGATACACAAATACTTATCATTGCATTACAAGTGCCTATACTATTCAGTACGGTAACATGCTGTACAGGTTGGTATCCTAGGAACAACAGATTATACCATATAGCCTAAGTTGTGTAGTAGGCTCTACCATCTAGGTTTGTGTAAGTACACTATGTTTGCAGGACAAAATCACCTGACAATGCATTTCTCAGAACATATCCCCATCGCTAAGGGATGCATGATTGTATATCTAAATCTTCCTATTAACCCAATTAGGTATGTTCCCTAAGTTTTAAAGATATTTAGGCTCAGAGGATTTTCCATCTTCAATATTGGTGACAGCGGCAGATATGAAACCAACTCTTCCTCCAGAGCTCCAGGTCTTTCCAGTACCTATATATTTATTATCAAGACCACAAAATCCATAATTCATGCTCTACCAATATCAACTTTATACACCCAAATTTAAAATACAGGAGAATCACTTGTAGAGCTGATAAAATGCAGATTCCAAGGCCTCACCTCCAAAGATGCTCATTCAGTAGGTAAGGGAGAACAAGAATCTCAAAGTAAGAACTCTCAGAGGGTACTTTTTGTACTAACTGAAAAACTTCTCTTCAATCATTTCTAATCCTACAAGAAATACCTAGGGAGCTTATTAAATAAAATTTCTAATTCAGTTAAGTCTGTAAGTAGAACCTAGGTTATCAATGTATTTTTTAAACTTTCAAGGTGACTCAAAAGTTGTTTTAAATCAGTTACCATTTTTTGGCATTTATATACTGAAGCTCTCACGTCCAGGTCCACCGTACTTCCCCTCTCCTCACCACTGTGCAGGCCCACCGACCTCAACTAAAGTAACTTTTGCCATAACTAAAACTTTGAATTAGCCAAGAACTTGTCTAGGTTCTAATTCTAGCTCTGCCACCAAAGTGAGGTAACCCTGCAGTTCATGTATAACATGACAGTGGGGTAGACTAAAACGGTCCTACTTATGATAACCTGTCGCTGTGCATTATCCAGAACTGTTTACACTCTTCCTTATTCCTGCTGCCTGTAATTAGCAGCAACTTTTACAACCTTCAGCAAATGGTCATGGAGGTCATGTAGAGTAGATCTAATTCATTCCATTTTGAGACTTGTGATGGGAAAATTAAAACTGAGTGCTTACATACTTACGTTCCAACTAATTATGTTCTCTTTATATGTCCACAAAGGGGACTGACTACAGGCATCAGCAGATACTAAAACACAGTTAGCAATTTTATTATTATTAGTTTTTTGGAGACAGGGTCTCACTCTGTTGCCCACACTAGGGTGCAGTAATATGATCCTAGTTCACTGCAGCCTCAACTTCCTGGGCTCAGGGGATCCTTCCACCTCAGCCTCCCAGGTAGCTAGGACCACAGGTGCACGCCACCACACCTGGCTAATTTCTTTTTATTATTGCTTGCCCATGCTGGTCTCCAACTTCTAGGTTCAAGTGATCCTAGGTGGTTTACAGGTGTAAACCACCACACCCGGCCAGTTAGCAATTTTAAATAAGTATGAAGATATAGCATGGCCTAAAAACAAAAAGAGCCTTGGGGCAAAACAAATCCCAGTTCTACTTCCTAGGTAGTGATCTAGTTTTTCCTTATTCAATCTCAGGTCTCTACTTGGAAGATGAAGATAATCTTCACTCTTTTACAGGATTATTACAAGAGATTGAGGATATATGACAAGCGCCTTATAGATATCCAGCAAATGCCTAAATATGGGTAAATATTATACCTAAAGCACTAAGAAAAAGAGGATGAAATGAACACTATATACAAGATGATTATAACTGTATAAATTACATAGGTAAAGAAAAGAAAAAATGCCAAGATGAGTAGTTTTGTTGTAGTACAGGAATTACAGGTGATTTCTTTTGTTTTCTACGCTTTTTATAATTTGGTTACATTTTATAATAAAAACAAATGCAAAACTTGCAAATATTTATAGTTTGCACATTGCAAGATTTTTACATGCAAACGCTTAAGTTCTATATGCTATCCACATTACTCAAAAAAAACTCACATGAAGAGCTTTTAAGTCTATCTTCTTAAAATGGCTTCATGTAGTACACCAAGTGATATAGGCAAAATCGGAATTCTGACATAAGCAGTAGGCACACTGAACATCTCTTGAGAACCAACAGAAATTGCAATACCAAGTGCAAATGAGTTGGAAAGTAGAACAACTGCCAGCCCCTGTCCCTTCCCACTCTATATCCAACAGTTCACACAGGGGATTGGCCATTTTCTTCATCTTTCTGTCTTTTCCTACCCATCCTTTTAGACCCAATTCAAATTAAGTCTTCCATAAAAGTTTCTTGGTAACTCTAGCTCTAACTGATTTTGCTATTTTTCTATACTTGGTCTCACACTGTCAATTAGTACTTTAATATATGCTGCCCTAGAATGTTTCATTTGATACATCGTAATTCCTTGATATCTTTTCCCAATGGCTAACTGGAGTTAAATCAGTTCAACGAGGGACTATTTGTTTATTCCGCAAGGAATGAAAAGCATTAGGGTACTACTAATTGGGCCCACTGGAACTAGAATTTGGTCCAGGAGGTGGCAGCAGCATGCATATTTAAACTGTTACCTGCTTTGTGTAGGAGAAAGAAGCAACGATCTGAGCTGCCACTTTTTCCTTGCTCATTGTGCAGACTTACAGGATTTCAATGATGAATGTAAAAAAGCAGGAAGAGAACGTTTGCCCTAATTCAAAGAACAGAGCTTTTTTTTCTCCTCTGCATAAACTCCTAAGGAACTATAAGAACAGTCCTTCATCATGCTGTCCCTTAAAGGCAGGCAGGCAGGCAGGCAGGCAAAGCCAATGCTGTAAGCCTTCCCTATCTCCCTCCTGGGTAACTCTTCCTCATCCCTCCAAACCTGCGCCCAGACTAAATCACCCAACACCTTTAGAAGAGATGCTGAACTTGCTGAATCCTCATACTTCTCCCATATCAAAACAGATCCCTCTACCTCATCTTCCATGCATCATTCCCATTTTTAAAAATTCACTGTCATCTAGTGTGTTTCAAATTATGCTTCATAGGAGAGATGCTTCAGGTATCTTCTGGGAGAAGGGAAGCTGAACATGTAAAAATCATTCATGAGGTTCCAAGAAAAGTTTTGTTTGCAGGGAAAAAAAGAATTCCAATGCTAAAAACTGTTAGAGGAGTAATCTTTACTTCTGGTAGGTAAGCAGAATGGCTCATACTTGAGTGATTCTTGGTTTAAACTATTCAAGATATACTAAACGATTCTAGCATTGCCAACTAGCCCTTGTCCCACAAATGTTTAAGCATGGAAAAATAGCAGTCCTCCCTGGATCAATCTTTAGCCACATCAAAATCAAAATGCTGCCATTCTTCATATTCAACTCTGTATTTCAGACATTTTTACATAGTCTATTTCACCAAAACAGCCCATACTAGGCAAACAAAAGAGCTTTATAATAGCTCTTTAAGGCTTGGAACAGAGGTTGAAAGATACCGACTCTGCAAACACAAAGATAAAGAAACATGCAGAGTCTTTTGAATGAAGTACGGAGATCAAAACTTTCAAGTCTCTAATAGCAAAGCAACTTTTTATTCAACAGACATCACTGGCATCTGCAGTCATCTGTTACCTCTCTGCAGCCTCTGAGTTAAGTGTACTCTACCATACTGCTTGAAGTTCCATACAGGCTGTGTATCCCCTATCTGAAATTCTTGGGGTAAGAAATGTTTTGGATTTCAGATTTTTTGAATATTTGTAGATACATACTGGTTGAGCAACCCTAATCTGAAAATCCAAAATAGGAAATGCTCCAATGAACATTTTCTTCAGTGTCATGTGTGCACTCAGTTTCAGACTTTGGGGCATTTCAGATTTTCAAATTAGGAATACTCAACCTGAATAGCCCCTTCCTTGTTCTCTTTCTGAAACTCAAACTATTCTCTCTCAATCTCTTTCACTTGCTCCCTCTTTATTCTTCAAATTTTGTTATTTCTGGGGAACTTTTTCCATAGTCCTTTTCTCTCACTCGTGTTGGCTCTAGAACCACGCTGCAGAATTAGAACACCAGCTTTACTTTCGTATCTCATGTGCCTTTGCAAAGTTATTTACTCTTTTCTGTGTTTTAATGTTTTCATCAGTAAAACTGAGCTACTTATACCTACCTCACAAGGATACAAGAATTAAATGAACATACATTTAAATATATATTCAAGACAACTGTATGCTAGACACTGTACAGAGCATTCAATAACTGTTAGCCATTCTTATTACAAGAATCTTTGAAAAGTCAAACTCTTCCATGCCTTTACCTATCCTGAGGGTTGAAAATTCAAATTCCTGTCAACAATCTGAGCTCCAGATTCCCAGCTGCCTACTATCACCTGGCTGCTGCTACTATCACAGGCACCTGAAACTATTTCCAAAAGCCAATACAACCCCAAATCCTAACCCTAAACTGCTGCTCCTCTCATCATCTTTAATTTTTGAAAAACTAGTCAACAAATATGTCTACCACATTCTTCATATCCAGTTTCCCGTTCCCACTGTCCTGGTTCAGGCCCTCATCATCTTTTTTTCCCCAGAATACTGTAAAAGCATCTCGTTTAGTCTCTGAGCCATCTCCCACCCCTTTTTTTTTTTTTTTTTTTTTGAGCTGTCACCCAGGCTGGAATGCAGTGTTGCGATCTCGGCTCACTGTAACCTCTGCCTCCCAGGTTCAAGTGATTCTCATCCCTCAGCTCCCTGAGTAGCTGGGACTATAGGACTATAGGCACACACCACCACTCTTGGCTAATTTTTTTGTTTGTTTGAGACGAAGTTTTGCTCTCATTGCCCAGGCTGGAGTGCAGTGGAGCAATCTCGGCTCACTGCAACTGCCGCCTTCTGGTTTCAAGTGATTCTCCTGCCCCAGCCCCCTGAATACAGGCACCCACCACCACGCCCAGCTAATTTTTTAGTAGAGATGGGGTTTCACCATGTTGCCAGGCTGGTCTTGAACTCCTGACCTTGCGAACTACCCACCTCAGCCTCCCAAAGTGCTGGGATTACAGGCATGAGCCACCGCGCCCGGCCAATTTTTTTTTTGAGACACAGTCTCGCTCTTTCGCCCAGGCTGGAGTGCAGTAGCGCTATCTCAGCTCACTGCAAACTCCGCCTCCAGTGTTCACACCATTCTCCTGCCTCAGCCTCCTGAGTAGCTGGGACTACAGGCGCCCGTCACCACGCCCGGCTAATTTTTTTGTATTTTTAGTAGAGACAGTGTTTCGCCATGTTGGCCAGGCTGGTATCAAACTCATGGCCTCAAATGACCTGCCAACCTTGGCCTCCCAAAGTGCTGGAATTAGAGGCGTGAGCCAACTCACCCAGCCTCATAGATGTTTTGATAAGTTGCTTTCCTAAGCTTCCATTTGTTGATCTATAAATACAGGATACTGCCTCCCAGGTTGGTATGGGGATTAAAGTAAGGCTATGAAAGTACCTAGCATGGTGCTTAACAAGGTCAATGCTCAGTAAGTGTTTCATCCTTCCCATCCTCCAAACTGTTATTCCCTAATTAACTACCCTCCCTTACAACCAAACTAAAACACAGGTAAAGAATAAAATCCTAGGCCGAGCGCAGTGGCTCACACCTGTGATCCCAGCACTTTGGGAGGCCAAGGCAGGCAGATCACCTGAGGTCAGGAGTTTGAGACCAGCCTAGCCAACATGATGAAACCCTGTCACCACTAAAAATACAAAAATTAGCTGGGCGTGGTGACAGGCACCTGTAATCCCAGCTACTCGGGAGGCTGAGGCAGGAGAATCGCTTGAACCTGGGAGGGGGAGGCTGCAGCGAGCCAAGATCGCGCCATTGCACTCCAGCCTGGGGGACAAAGCGAGATTTTTGTCTCAGAAAAAAAAAAAAAAAAAGAATAAAATCCTGAAACTCTTCATATACTTGCCCAACCAATCTCTCCAGCGTTATCACTTACCATTCTAGACCACATTAAACTTCTCATTCTGAAAACATACCATAAGCATTCTCAAGACTATGTTTTTAACATGCTCTTACTAGAATGCCATTTTTTGGAAGACAGGGTCTCACTGTGCCCAGACTGGAGTACAGTGGTACCATCATGACTCACTGCAGACTTGACGTCCCGGGCTCAAGCAATCCTCCTGTCTCAGCCTCCTGAGCAACTAGGACTACAGGTGTGCCTCATCACACCTGGCTGATTTTTTTTTTTTTTTTTTTTTTTTTTTTTTTTTTTTTTTTGGAGAGGCAGGATTTCATTATGTTGCCTAGGCTGGTCTCAAACTCCTGGGTTCAAGTGATTCTCTTGCTGCAGCCTCCCCAAAGTGCGAGGATTACGGGCATGAGCCACTGCACCTAGCCATTTCTCTACTTTTCTATCTGGCAAACTTCATAGATCATGGAGTAGTCCATGAGCTTCGGGGTTAGAGACTCAGTGGCTCTCCAGGTGTAAGTTCCAATATACAAACATGAAACATGTTTTGAGCAACTTCTTTGCTAAACTGGGTAATAGTTTTTCAAATATTAGAATATTTCCTCAAAAAAATTTTTTTTTCTAGGGACAGTCTCCTGCTGTCACCCAGGCTGGGGTGCAGTGGCATGATCACAGCTCATTGCAGCTTTCATTTCCTGGACTCAAGCAATCCTCCTGCCTCAGCCTCCTGAGTAGCTATACTTTAGTTATGCGCCACCAAGTCTGGTTAATTTTTTTTAAATTTTTTGTAGAGACAAGGTCTCGCTATGCTGCCCAGGCTGGTCTCAAACTCCTGAGCTCAGGCAATCCTCCCACCTCAGCCTCCCAAAGTGTTGGGATTACAGGTGTGAGCCACTGTGCAGGACAAATTTTTGTGTTATTGAAAAAAAATGTTTAAGAGCTACAGTCGTGACACACAAATTTAATCTGCAATCAATATTTTCTCCATCACTATGAAGTCTAGACAATCAGCAAAAATTAAACATTGATTTATATACAGCATTTGTCAATTTCCACGATGTAACTAACAGCTGGGCCAGGCATGGTGGCTCACACCTGTAATCCCAGCACTTTGGGAGGCCGAGGCAGGCAGATCACAAGGTCAGGGGTTCGAGACCAGCCTGACCAATATGGTGAAACCTCGCTTCTACTAAAAATACAAAAATTAGCCGGGAGTGGTGGCAAGCACCTGTAGTCCCAGCTACTTGGGAGGCTGAGGCAGCCCTGAACCCGGGAGGTGGAGGACACAGTGAGTTGAGATCATGCCACTGCACTGCACTCCAGCCTGGGCAACAAGTGAGACTCCGTCTCAAAAACAACAACAACAACAAAAACACCACAGCTGATTTCAGATTACCAATGTGTTATCAGTGTGCAACAGCATATTATATATTGATACAACAGCTGTAAATAACCTCAAGAGTAAGGAATTTGAATATTACCTAATACGATGGTAATTATAATGTAATTTAATGTACAGAAAGGTATTCTTGAAAGCTAAACAGCTGGCTCCAACTAGCCAGCTCCAACACATCGCTGGAGAGACTTCTGTTAAAGACCAACTCCAACACTTACTAGCTATGAGACTTTGGATAAATAACCTCTGAGCCTCTTCCTTTATCTGAAATATGAGAATTACAGTGTTAGATAAGATAGCTAAGCTTCTGTGTGTACTATGTGCCAAGCACTGTGCTGCCATTTGAGTGCTTATCATTCTATTATTACTTATTTGGCAGGGTTCCAATGTTATTGCCTCCATGAATTCTTAATTTCCCCCAAGTAATTAATCACTTCTCCAGAATGCCAAAAATGTATTCATTCCTCTATTACAGCTCTTATCCCATATTTTATCCATTTTGCTGTCCTCCTAAAACCCTCTGCTTCTAAGGCAAAGATGGTGCCTTGTTTCTCTGTTCCATCCCAGCAATTAACACAAACGTTTGTTGAAAGATAGATACAAGGGGCATGGTTCAGAGATACAAATTCAATGTTATCTATTCTCTTCTAGTCCTCCTTTAAGGAGGCTGCAGAAAGAGGCGTTTTATCTATTCACAAAGCAAGGAAGGTGATGAGTAATACAAATAAAATTTCCTTAACCCTTTTGGCAGATAAACAAGTATATTTATCTGCAAGACAAAAATAGACATAGATGGCCTTAGGATTTTACAAAAAATGCTCATGTTTGTCATCCTGGTTTAAAACAGGATGCCCACTCACTAGATCTGAAGAGTCAATAAAACAGTGGTGGGGTGGTAAGATACTAAATGGGAGCCAACAGTATCACATGGTTATTTACTTCCTAAGGATTTAATATATTTAGCTCAAGTGAGGATGTTTTCCTCTTTTATATCACAGAAACTTGAATTTTTTTTGAGACAGTCTCGCTCTGTCACCCAGGCTGGAGTGCAGTGGTAAAATCTCTGCTCACTGCAACCTCCACCTCCTGGGTTCAAGAGATTCTCCTGCCTCAGCCTCCTGAGTAGCTGGGATTACTAGCGTGCACCACCACGCCCAGCCTTTTTTTTTTTTTTTTTTTTGAGACAGTCTCGCTCTGTCACAAAGGCTGGAATGCAGTGGCACAATCTCAGCTCACAGCAACCTCCATCTCCCAAGTTCAAGCGATTCTTATACCTCAGCCTCCTAACTAGCTGGTATTACAGGCACGAGCCACCACGCCTGGCTAATTTTTTTATTTGTTGTAGAGACAGGGTTTCACCATGTTGCCCAGGATGGTCTTGAACTCCTAGGCTCAAGTGATGTGCTCATCTCAGCCTCCCAAAATGCTGGAATTACAGGCATGAGTCACCGCATCCAGCCTCTAAATTTCTTTAATAAGCCTTTTCACAGTTTAGGAAACAATTTTTCATTAATATATATATATAGTAAATGTATTTAAAAACTACCCACATACTTAATTTGTATCAAAATTCACTGAGAATGCACCAATCCCTTCTGTCATCCACAGCTTTCTGGCCTCAGTCCGTTCTTACTTATTTTACGTGTAACAAATACTTCGGTCAGAAATTATGAAACAACCTTTCTAAAAAGATCTGTTTCAAAGGACAAATTCATCTTCACAAACCTGAAATGTTATCCTGAGTCAGCTAATCCTCTTTTATCCCTTGGTTTCTCTAGTCCAGACTACCCTATGTATGAACCCCCTCTACAACATCCCTAGTTTAGTTTCTATAACATCTCTTTTAGTTTCTTGAAATTCTGTGACTAAGAACTTCGTTTTTAGCAAGTTTTCCATCTACAAAAATATTTCTCCATATAACCTCTATCCATTCGTTCTAGCTTTGTCTTTTGACATGAAGAATCTAGTCTTAAAAAAATTTGGGCTGGGCATGGTGGCTCATGCCTGTAAACCCAGCACTTTGGGAGGCCAAGCCAGGCGGATCACAAAGTCAAGGGTTCAAGACCAGCCTGCCCAACATGGTGAAACCCTGTCTCTACTAAAAATACAAAAATTAGCCGGGCATGGTGGTAGCTGCCTGTACTCCCAGCTACTTGGGAGGCTGAGGCAGGAGAATCGCTTGAACCTGGGAGGCAGAGGTTGCAGTGAGCCGAGATCACGCCATTGCACTCCAGCCTGGGTGACAAAAGTGAAACTCCATCTCAAAAAAAAAAAAAAAAAAAAACAACCTTTTTTTTCAAAAATTTCAATAGCACAAAAGGGTATACAGTGAAAAGTCAAAAAATCCTACTGGTCCCATTTAATACCAATGACTTTTTTTTAGACTAAAACTCAAACTGTTGCCACCACAATCACACTTCCTCTGTAACTCAACTCTCTCCTCACTCTCCATTTGCTCTGCAGTTATTCAGAAAAATCATTTACCCAAGTACCCAATTAAGTCTACCTTTTTTTTCTATTTCATTAATTTTTGTCTCCCACGGCTCCATCATTCATTGAATCTAACAAGATGCTGGACTTAAAAGAATTAGTCCTTTGTCCTCTCTACTTGACTGCTTCCCTTATTCTTGACTACTTCCCTCATTTTTACTTGTAGTTAAAGGGCTAGAAACAAGACAAAAATTAAACCAATTATTTTATGAAATTTCTTTTAAAAAATTCACTCATTCAGGAAAGTTAACTCTCCTTTCTCCCAGACTATTCCAAAGTTGAGTCAAAAGAGAAACACGGCTGGGTGTGGTGGTGGCTCACGCCTGTAATCCCAGCACTTTGGGAGGCCGGGGCGGGCAGATCATGAGGTCAGGAGATCGAGACCATCCTGGCTAACACGGTGAAAACCCGTCTCTACTAAAAATACAAAAAAATTAGCCGGACGCCTGTAGTCCCAGCTACGCGAGAGGCTGAGGCAGGAGAATGGCGTGAACCCGGGAGGCGGAGCTTGCAGTGGGCCGAGAATGCGCCACTGCACTCCCGCCTGGACGACAGAGCGAGACTGAGACTCCCGTATCAAAAAAAAAAAAAAAAAAAAAAAGGAAGAAAGAAAGGCTCTTAACTGTTGCCTTCTTCTAGATAACAGTTGCACAATGATTCCCTCAACAAAACTTTTCAGGAAAAAGGAAAAAGGTTTATGTAGCAATATATACAGAAATTAGCCAAGACCACAAAGCACATACCCCTTTAGTAAGAATTTCTGAGTTTGTGGTTAAATACTAATTTTAAAAAACCATATACCTTTGACACATTTAACTACTAAAGGACAGATGTAAATATTTATACAAAAGGATGTTCAGTGTAGTGTTATTTTAATTAGAAAAAATAAAATACAAATTGTTGACATATTCAACAATTAGGGATTGGTAAATTATAGTAAGTCTGACAATACTATGAAGCCAACAAAAGTGATGTCATAGGGAATACTTAACTGGGGAAAAGTTCTAAATAAACGCAGAAAGGTCACACAATAGTATCTGCAGTATTCAACAAGGTAAACCACACCTAAAGCACAGTATATTGCTTTTTAAAAAAATAAAAGTAAGTCACATCTATCAAACATGTCACTAAAATTTGCTCTAAGTTTCAAGCCTGACAGATCTAATGCTTGAAGGTTCTATGTTAATTAGATCATGCAGAACAAGTCAGTAATAATGCTAGGCAAAAATGGCTGTGGCTCTGCTTCAGTGTGTTCTGCCAAGATACTGCCCAATCATGGAACTTTAAAACAGCTGTGACACCTTCAGGATGAAGTTTAAGTACTTCCCTACTTCTTTATGGGGTTACCACCCATCTGGCATGAAAGCTTCTGCAATCTCGTAAATACTACAAAGGTACACACACAAACACTTCACCTAAGGGAGTCTACCATCTCAATGAGCTATGAGCCCCATTCTCATAAAACCTGCTTGTTCTTTAAAGCCTAATAAAGATTGTAAGAACAGTTTACAATCAGTTATGTAAAGATGTTAAGGAAAATAGTAACCAACAGGAGAGTAAGGCAGTACTAACTAAAATGGTAACTGGGCTTAGAAGCAATCATAGGCATCTTCCTGAAATCCCAGCAGTTCTTTTTTTTGGTTTTTTTTTTTTGAGATGGAGTCTCGCTCTGTCGCCCAGGCTGGAGTCCAGTGGCGCCATCTTGGCTCACTGCAAGCTCCGCCCCCTGGGTTCACGCCATTCTCCTGCCTCAGCCTCCCGAGTAGCTGGGACTACAGGAGCCCACCATCACACCCAGCTAATTTTTTGTAGTTTATTTAATAGAGACGGGGTTTCACCATGTTAGCCAGGATGGTCTTGATCTCCTGACCTTGTGATCTGCCCGCCTCAGCCTCCCAAAGTGCTGTGCTTACAGGCGTGAGCCACCGCGCCCGGCCAGTGCCAGCAGTTCTTACAAGAGAGTAAACTAAAAAGTAACCTGACAGAAGTATAATTGAAGCCTTTATTTGGTGGTTTGCTCACCGGCTGAGAACTAGGATACTCACTTATCAAGAGTCTTTATGGGCTGGGCGTGGTGGCTCACGCCTGTAATCCCAGCACTTTCGGAGGGAGAGGCGGGAGGATCACAAAGTCAGGAGATCAAGACCATCCTGGCTAACACAGTGAAACCCCTGCACTCCAGCCTGGGCGACAGAGTGAGATTCGTCTCTCAAAAAAAAAAAAAAAAGTCTTTATGGAATGGTTTTTTTTTTTTTTTAGACAAGTTTTGCTCTTTCACCAGGCTGGATTGCAATGGCTCAATCTCAGCCCACTGCAAGTAGTAGCTGGGATTACAGGCACCTGCCACCATGCCCAGCTAATTTTTGTATTTTTAGTAGACACAGGGTTTCACCATGTTGACCAGGCTGGTCTCGAACTCCTGACATCGTGATCTGCTCGCCTCGGCCTCCCAAAGTGCTGGGATTACAGGCATGAGCCACCGCGCTGGGCAATGGTTTTTAAAAAGAGCCATTAGTTAGCTTACCAAAGACGCTAAATTCTGTTTACTATTGCACTCATTCTATGAAAACATTAAAAGGCTGGTCAATTCCAACAAACGAATCTTACACCTACATATCAAGTTCAATTATCATTAACTGAACCACTCTAGCAAACATAATCAAAATACATACTTGATTAAAAGCTGAATTTTTTTTTTGAGACAGAGTTTCACTCTTGTTGCCTAGGCTGGAGTGCAATGGCACCATCTCAGCTCACTGCAACCTCCGCCTCCCAGGTGTAAGCGATTCTCCTGCCTCAGCCTCCCAAGTAGCTGGGATTACAGGCATGCACCATCACGCCCAGCTAATTTTGTATTTTTTAGTAGAGACAGGGTTTCTCCATGTTGATCAGGCTGGTCTCAAACTCCTGACCTCAGGTGATCCGCCCACCTCGGCCTCCCAAAGTGCTGGGATTACAGGCGTGAGCCAGAGCCTGGCCAAAAGCTAAATTAACAAAACCTAAATTTGCTACTTGTTTGTTTAGACAGAGTCTCTCTCTATCGCCCAGGCTGGAGTGCAGTGGCAGGATCTCAGCTCACTGCAACCCCTGCCTCCCGGGTCCAAGAAATTATCCTGCCTCAGCCTCCCAAGTAGTTGGGATCACAGGTACCCACAACCACACCCAGCTAATTTTTTTTTTTTTTTTTGTAGTATTTTTAGTAGAGACGGGATTTCACCATGCTGGCCTCAAACTGCTGGCTTCAAACTGCTGACCTCAAGTGATCGGCCCGCCTCTGCCTACCAATGTGCTGGGATTACAAGCATGAGCCACCTGCGCCCAGCCTGCTACTCCATTTCTAAACCCATATTTCTTCATCTGGCCCCAGCAATGCAAAATTGAAAAGAAAATCACCCTGTATTTCCCCACTGGCCCTAACACATACAAGTCTATCTTAACAACTATGCTGTGCATTAAATTCATCATTTCCTTCCTGCTTTTAATCACAAGATGTAGGACAGAATTTTATTATAAAGATTAATAAGATAGTACACATTTCAAGTGGACAAACCAAGCACCTAGATGCCCCTCAGACGTCTATAAATCTGCTATGCTACTAAAAGATGCCTAAAAGATCATGGCCTCCTTACTTGTCCCTCTAGAAACAGAAGCCTGATGACCATTTAGAGCCCTTCAGATGTCTAGCAAAAAGCACCAATAAACTATCTTTTTCTACAAAATACTGTAAATTTTATTTATTTTTGATACAGAGTCTCACTCTGTTGCCCCTGCTGGAGTGCAGTGATGCAATCATGGCTCACTACAACCTCTAACTCCTGGACTCAAGGGATCCTCCTTCCTCAGCCTCCAAAGTAGCTAGGACAACAGGTGTGTGCCACCATGCCCAGCTAATTTTTTCTTTTTTAGAGAGATGGGGTCTCACTACATTGCCCAGGCTGGTCTTAAACTCCTAGGCCCAGGCAATCCTCCTGCCTCGTCCTCCCAAAGTGTTGGGATTACAGGTGTGAGCCACCACGCCAGGCCAAAATATGTTAGTTTTTTTTTGGGGGGGGGGGGCGGGGGGAGATGGGAGTTTAGCTCTTGTTGCCCAGGCTAGAGCACGATCTCGGCTCACCGCAACCTCTGCCTTCGGGGTTCAAGTGATTCTCCTACCTCAGCCTCCCAAGTAGCTGAGATTACAGGCATGTGCCACCACACCCGGCTAATTTTGTACTTTTAATAGAAACGGGGTTTCTCCATGTTGGTCAAGCTGGTCCTGACCTCAGGTGATCTGCCCACCTCAGCCTCCCAAAGTGCTGGGATTATAGGCGTGAGCCATGACGCCAGGCTTAATATGGAAGACTTTAAGTTAAACTATTAAACTGTGGGGAAGAGAGGAGTTTAAAGGACTATCAAAAAGGAAGTTTATTAGCCAACTTTTCAATAATCTGGTTCTCCATTCCCAATGCTTTTAGTGTCACTGACAAGTGTAACTCCCATTTCTTATTAATCTGTACCCACTGAAAGATAAAATAGCAACCATCCCTACTTTAACAACTATGTACCTCCAAGAAGATTGTACCAACGAGCCCTTCCTCCACTGCTAAAAGGAGTAAATTCTCATAGAGCAGCCTAACAATGCCTCAGATCCTAGATCACGTATAAGATCCCTATGAATTCATAACAAATTTAAGGAAAACATTGCTTGTTAGACTTTATTTTATATTTGAGATTAATCAACTCAGGATTCTCTCAACCACTAATACACAGATCTTCAAAGAAAAATTTCTCCTTGCTCATAAACTTTTCACCTACTTCCTACATTTAACAATGTCTAGGCCAGCTGCAGTGGCTCACACCTGTAATCCCAGCACTTTGGGAGGCAGGGGCAGATCACTTGAGCTCAGGAGTTCAAGACCAGCCTGGGCAACATGGCAAAACCCAGCTCTACAAAAAACATGAAAAACTAGCCGGGCATGGTGGTGCATGACTGTGATCCCAGCTAGTCACGAAGCTGAGATGGGGGGATCACTTGAGCCCAGAAGGTGGAGGCTGGAGTGGGCGGACATCATGCCACTGCACTCCAGCCTGGGCAACAGAGAACCCTGTCCAAAAAAAAGTAAGTATAAATCCCAGATAATATATCATTATCTGCTCCAACCAGTTTTATCATCCTCTTATAATCCTAAAGTTTACATTCACTCAATACTCACAGAGCAAACGCTACCAACTCTTTCAAATTCAACTCTAGTTTGAATCCATTCCTCATCATTCTGCCCAAGATTCCCACTTGTTACAGAGGAAATCAGAAGTGACTCTTTTACACCGCCAATTGTCACAGGGAAGACAGAAGTGATTTCAAGAGTTGGTGATGACATATTGACTCTTGAAAATAACCACAAAACCCCAGCTAGGCCAAGTTAATCCAACAGAGAACATTTCGATTTTTCTCTGCCATATTATAGACTCAATCTTCTGCTTTAATTTCTATGGTTTTATCACTTCCATTACCCCTCTGCATCTCTTTGACTCATTCTTCACCTCTTTCTGCATCATGTACTGTTTCTGTCTGATTTCCTTGTACTGTTTTTGCTTTCCTTTCAAAGTCCGTATTTCTGTCCTCTACTAATGTTCTCACATTCCTTCACATTAGGGTTCAAGTATTAAAACCAATTATACTTCTATAAAGCCTTGAACTGTTAGGTGATACTGTATTCATTTACAGAGTTTTTATTAACGGTTCACTATATAATACCTCTTCTGTTCTCTCTGGTTCCTCCTTCCCTAAAAATCTTAATAAGAAGAAGTGGGTTACCTTTTTAACACTTTCTTCTTCCTCTTGGCGTTTCTCATAGTGTGAGAAGTCATCAAAAATGGAAGTGGTGTGCTTGTAGCTGGCTATAATTTTCAACACCTGCTTAGCCTTTTCCAGAGGCACTTCCTGAGTGTCCCTAGAGTTGGTCACTGGTTTATTCTCGTTGTTCTCTAGGCGAATGTGTCGCAGTTGGCTATTGGGAACGTCCTTCACAAAAATCCACCTGACATCAAAACGACCCTTCCATTTGTCCTGGGACCACACACCTGCACATGTGTTGTAGTCCACAGCAGATTTCATTTCTGCCACGCCACAGAAGTGTCCACTGCCGTTGACACTGAAAAGTAAGTAAACGGGGCCTTTCCCGTTCATGGAACGATAAGCAGCATCCAGTCTCTTGTTACCATGCTCTGTGCTGCACCAAATATTATACTTAATGGAACGGTGAATATCGTCCTCAGAGTAGCTCTTAATGATGAAAACCCGGCCATGTTTCAGATTCCAGTCAAAATCTTTGGGGTTATAGTTATTAATGGACCGAAGCTTCTCCAACACTGGGTGGGGTTCTGAAGGAGTAGATCCAGAACCAGCCTGAGACTGTCCTACTCCATTACCATCCACCCCATTATGACCGAACCCACTGCCACGGTTCCGAGGTGCTACCCAGCGGGTTGGCTGAGCTGCCTGTTGCTGGACTGAAAGCTGGGCAGGCTGTGGTGGAGGTGGAGGCAATGGCTGTGTCTGTTGCCCTACTGATGCCTGAGCCACTGGTGGGCTATTGTTAGCCTGCTGACCTACAGGCTGAGGAGACCCCTGGGTTGGCTGACCTATATTCTGAACCAAAGCCTGTGAGGGGGCTTTTGCAACGGGACCCTTGTTATCCCAAGTTCCAATATCCATGTTATGCTTTATCGGGGGTGGCGGAAGACTTGACCCTGCAATGCCATTCTTGGTCTTCAGTTTAGGTTGCTGTTTTGCAGGCTTGCTAGCAATATCAGCCCAAGATGCTGGTTTTGGAGGAGCAATGGTGGCTGGAGGCAAACTATTGGAAGCCACGATGTTACTAGTAATGGACCCGCTACCAACAGCAGAACCTACAACTTTTGGAACATTGCTTGCAACTTCTGTGCTACCCAACTTCAGTGCTGCCATCCCTTGGTCTATAGTATTCATGCCAGGAGCCTTATTGAGGGTCTCATTGGCAAAAGCTGACTGTCCATCAATCATGGCTCCACCTAAGGAGCTAGGTGCATAAGCATAATTGCTACTATATCCAGAGCTCTGAGTAGACTGTCCCTGAGAACTGTTATTTCCCCATGCTGAGAAGTCAATCCCACTGGGAAAGAAATTAAAACCATGCTGACCAAGAAATGGAGTGCTACCTAGGGCTCCTGGTTGCCCAAACATTGCATCTGGTAGGAAGTGGGGCTCTCCGTTGCTCAGCTGTCCATAAGAAGTTAAGTAGGGCATGGCTGTGTCACCCCCCGTAGACCAAGCAGCTTCACCCAAAGAATAGGAGAAGCCAATGGAGGGACTGTAGTAACTGGGTAAGTAGGAATCTGACATGGCAGTATATGCATTATTCTGTGGAAGAAAAAAAAAGGCAAATCAAAACACAAAAAATTAACATCAGGCTATTTCCTCCCCCCACCTAGTCACGCAATTCAAATATACTATAAAAAGGAGTGTGCAGGCCGGACGCGGTGGCTCACACCTGTAATCCCTACACTTTGGGAGGTGGAGGCGGGTGGATCACCTGAGGTCAGGAGCTCGAGACCAACCTGGCCAACACGATGAAACCCTGTCTACTTGGGAGGCCTGAGGCAGGAGAATCACTTGAACCCAGGAGGCGGAGGTTGCAGTGAGCTTAGATCGCACCACTGCACTCCAGCCTGTGGGCAACAAGAGTGAAACTCCATCTCCAGGAAAAAAAAAAAAAGTGTGCAGCACATCAGATGATTTCCTATAAACACAAGGGCATTTTTTATATCATAAGAAATTTTGGTGTAATAACTGAAATGTTTAAACATTTAAAGTTAAGCTGATACAGTGAATATGGGCCTTAGCTTTAGCACTACAACTAAGTAAAGAGAAAACTTAGCATTTCACAAACTGTTTAAGTCCTGAGTGTTGAGATAATCCTTTTATCAACTTCCTATACAAACCAGGTGATAATAAAACAAGAATAACAAAAAGAAATGGAAATTTCAAGTTCTAGCCCAAATGTCTGTACAGCCGTTCCTCAATCATAAACCAAAAAGCAAGGTTCACTACCAGTTTATAGTGCTAGCCTCTTGGCAAACTATCTGGGAATATCAATAGATCCCACTACTCAGTTATAACCTGAAAAGGAAATGCACAGTGGTTTCTGGAGGATGTAAAATGAGAAATATGGCCAGGCGCAGTGGCTCCCGCCTGTAATCCCAGAACTTTGGGAGACAGAGGGGTGGATGACTTGAGGTCAGTTCGAGACCAGCCTGGCCAACATGATAAAACCCAGTCTCTACTAAAAAGACAAAAAATTAGCTAGGCATGGTGGCACACACTTGTAGGCCCAGCTACTCAGGAGGCTGAGGCGGTAGAATTACTTGAATCCAAGAGGCCGAGGTTGCAGTGAGCCCAGATGGCACCACTGCACTCTAGCCCAGGCAACAGAGCCAGACTGTCTCAAAAAAATAAAATAAAAACAGGCCGGGCACAGTGGCTCACGCCTGTAATTCCAGCATTTTGGGAGGCTGAGGCGGGCAAATCACTTGAGGCCAGGAGTTGGAGACCAGCCCGGCCAACATGGTGAAAGCCCGTCTCTACTAAAAATACAAAAATTAGCCAGGCGTGGTGGCACCTGCCTGTAATCCCAGCTACTCAGGAGGCTAAGGTGGGAGAATTGCTTGAACTCAGGAGACAGAGGTTGCAGTAAGCCGGACTGCACCACTGCACTGCAGCCTGGGCAACAGAGCAAGACTCCGTCTCAAAAAAAATAAATAGCCGGGCGCGGTGGCTCACACCTGTAATCCCAGCAATTTGGGAGGCCAAGGTGGGAGGATCACGAGGTCAGGAGATCGAGACCATCCTGGCTAACACAGTTAAAACCCCGTCTCTAGCAAAAATACAAAAAATTAGCCAGGTATGGTGGCGGGCGCCTGTAGTCCCAGCTACTCGGGAGGCTGAGGCAGGAGAATGGTGTGAACCCAGGAGGTGAAGGTTGCAGTGAGCCGAGATCGCACCACTGCACTACAGCCTGGGTGACAGAGTGAGACTCTATCTCAAAAATAAATAAATAAATAATACATAAAAACAAAAGTGAGGTCTTTTCACACATACCCTTTTCACATTTAAAATTTCTCACAAAGGTAAGGTTAAAAATTTTAGCAGACCCAAATCCACATATATAAGAAATTCAGCCTATAATCAACAGATTAAACTTGAAGTATTATTCCAAAATAGGGTAATGAAAAATTGGCTAAAAAGTAGATGACTTACTCTAGACAATGAACTAGATTCTCAGGTTACCCTTCCTCATCTACTCATCTAAGATTTATATTATTAGCCAAATTTTTTTTAAACAAAGACATTTAAGCTTTGGCTTACCTGAGAAAGAAAAATCAAATGCACTTAATATCACAGGTTATGCCAAGACACAGTTGAATGTCTGTACCTGAACTGGCAGGCTCCCACATGCTCAAGCTAAAAAATTTGAATTACACAATGTTTTACAAGAACTACCTAGAATTATGCTTCTAAATGCTCCAACTCTCCCTGTTATAATGATTATGTAAGCAAACTACTTCAATAGCAGGAACCTATTAATAGTTCATTCCTCTACTTCCTTCCCTACTTTTCCTGATTAACTGGTTGTGTTTTGTGAAAACTTTTTTCCAATCACTTGCTCAAGTGGTTTCTATACTTTCAGTGTTGAAAATTTTACACAGGGATTCTACAAGTTTTATGTGATAATCAGATCCATATATGGGCATGCAGTTATTCAGGACTACCAACTATGTTTCATACAGCATACGTTCAGAACTTATAAATTTCTTGACCTTTCAGGGCATTTTGGAAGATATATTGCCAGTTTTCCTTTTGGCCTATTAATCTGGGGAGTTAAATTAGTTACAACAGTGTAACTGTCTTTGGAATCAGAGATAATAATACAAAAGAACTGCTGAATCAAACAAGTTTCTACATGCACAGGTCATATTAGTATTTGAATCTACATGCAACTTTAAAAGACTATGCCACAAAAACCTCCAACGTTATTGATCTTCATTTGTGCTAAACAGTATTTTAACTTTCACTCCATTTTATAAATCCTACACCTCCCTTCGGTGAGAAATAAAGTATTCTCCACAGATGTAGGTGCAGCTCAACTCAAAAATTTCCTGACTCAGCCGGGCATGGTGGCTCACACCTGTAATCCCAACACTTCTGAGAGGTCGAGGAGGGCGGACCTCTTGAGCTCAGGAATTCAAGACCAGATTGGGCAACATAGTGAAACCCCCATCTCTACAAAAAAATTAAAAAAATTAGCCGGGCATGGTGGTCCCAGCTACTTGGGAGGCTGAGGCGGGCAAAATCACCTGGTAGGCAGAGGTTGCAGTGAGCCGAGATTGCACCACTGCACTCCAGCCTGGGTGACAAGAGTTGACACTACGTCTCAAAAAAAAAAAAAAAAAAATTTCCTAACTCCGAAATAGTTCTGATAATCTAAGAACCCATAAACTAGAGAAAAGAAAGACAGCCAGTCCTGCAGCACTGAATGAAGTTCAGGTGACTATTTTTTAGAGACCAGATCTTGTTCTGTCACCAAGGCTGGAGCGCAGTGGCTTTTCACAGGTATGATCGTAGATAGCTCACTGCAGCTTCAAACTTCTGGGCTCAAGAGATCTTCCCGCCTTCAGGTGATTTTACATTAGAACTTTCCCTATCATATGAATCCAAAGTTCTCTGGGGTGAAAATTCAGAATATTTAACACTGTAAGAATCCCTAAATTCTGCACTGCTACATTCTTGGTAAGGAAGAAGACAATTATTCATGCACATGTTACTGCCAGTAGAGTGTTATCAGTATTACGTTCTCAATACAGTATGGTTGCTGATATTACAGAGATGGGAATCTCAACGGCCTAGGACATTTGCAGTTAACTGTTTTATAATACATTAATAGGTATTAAGGAGGTGAACCCTCAGAACATGGGATTTCCTGATAGAGGGCAGAGAAAAAATACAGGTATTAAGAAAGTGAATCCTCGGCTAGGCGTGGTGGCTCACGCCTGTAATCCCAGCACTTTGGGAGGCCAAGGCGGGTGAATCACCTGAGGAGTTCAAGACCAGCCCGGCCAACATGAAACCCCGTCTCTACTAAAAAAATAGAAAAACTAGCTGTGTGCGGTGGTGCACACGTGTAATCCCACCTACTCGGGAGGCTGAGACAGGAGATTCGCTTGAACCCGAGAGGCGGAAGTTGGAGCGAGCCGAAATTGCGCCACTACACCCCAGCCTGGGCGTCAGAGCGAGACTCAGTCTCAAAAAAACAGAAAACAGAAAAAAGAAAAAAAAATGAATCCTCAGAAAATGGGATTTATTGGTAGAAGGCGGAGAAAGAATATACCACACCCTTCGATTAGATATGTAAATAGTTAACTACTCACGGGCCTTGCCTGTGGACTCAAGTAAGGTTCAAAATCATCATCGTTTAATCCATCCTTTTGATGTACAGATCCATTTTGTACTAAAGAAAAAAAAATTCAATTAGGAGTGTCCCAATCCTACAATCTTCCTTTCAAATTAGTTCATATATGCTAACCAGAGAAAAACCTTACTAGTTAACAAAGCACGTAAGATTGAACTTCAAAAGGGTAAGAGATGACAGTGAATGCTGAAGCGACAGTCGCCAGTGAAAATGTCCCCCTCCACCCAGAGCAAGTTGATCTAAAAAGGTCATTTTATTGGCTCCTCTGGATTTCCATTCCCTCCCGCTTCCCCTCCCCCATCACATGAGAGTACTTCCAGAGAGTGATCCACGAGGATGAAAAACAAAGGCCTTCTAAGACCTACAGGAAACTAAGGACCTGGAGCGTTTCAAAACCCAATCCACCCCCACCCTTAATGAATTACTCCTTGTTAGCGAAAAAGCTGTTCGCCAGCTGCAAGAACACACCGAAAGGGTCAAAATACTTAAGTGTGCGGCACCTGCGAACTAAGCGGCTTCCGAAAGGTCCTCCGCCCGGGGCGCTTCCCGGAGACCCCGCCCCCACCGCCCCGCGTCCCCCTCCCGGCTCAGGGCCACCGGCGGAGCGGGACTTACCTTTGTTTCCTTGACCTTTTGGTCTCTGCAGGGGAAGGAAACGTCGCCGAGCAGCAAGTTGTCCAAAGGAGAAATGGAAAAGGAAGAACAAATTAAGGCAGGGCCCGAAGGGAGAATAAAGGAGCAGGCCCGAGGGGAGGCGTCAGGAATGGTAGTGAGGAAGAGGCTGAAAATGGGAGGCGGGGGAAAGCGCCAGGCCCGTGGGGCAGGGGAGAAAACGCGGCAGACGCGCCACCGGCGACGCGAGGAACCCAGGGCTTTAAGGAAGGGGAAGGAAACAAGGAAGGAAAACGAGGCCCGCCGAGAGAAGGGAACGCGGCGCGGCCCGGCCCGTGGGCTCCGAGGCCCGAGGAGAAGCGGGAAGAACAGGCTGAGGGAGAGGCGCCGGGCGCGGCCGGCCTGAGAGGCCCGAAACCTGGCCCGCAAGAGACGACGCCTCGGCTCGGCTCGGCCTGCCCAGGAGCGGCGGGCCCGGGCCTAGTCGGGCTCCTTCTCGCCTCACACAATGGCCGAGGCATGCGGGCCGGGCCTGTACCTGCTCCAAGAGGCTGCTGGCCGACATGGCTCTCAGATCCTCACGGGCGGCGACGGCGGCGAACTCTCCTCAGCGCGGCGGCGGCGGCAGATGAGCCCCGTCTGCGGGAGCAGGCGGAGGCTTTTGTCCCTGACACTCGGGGGCCTCGGCGGACGCAGCGGAGACACAGCGCGCGGCTCAGGCTCCGGCTCCGACTCGGCGACGCTCTAGCCCAAGAGCTCAATGCCCGTCTCTATGCTTTTACGCGCGCGCCCGCCCCCCACCGCCTAAAGCAGAGCGCCGAACAGCGGAGGCGGGCGGCGCGCGCGGCGCGAGCGCTGACTCTCACATTCACTCACCCACGCGGAAGGGGCCCGGCGCGAAGAACCCCGGGAAGGGAGAGGCCGGCCGCTGCGCCCTCTGGCGGATTGGAGGAGCGGAAGCCGTGCTCACGGCCTCCCCGCCCCCACCGCCCCAGGATTAAGGCCTAGGGGGTTTGGGACGACCAGGGTCGCACCACGAGGTTTCGACTAACACCTGGAAAGACTAGCTCTGGCTTCAGAAGAACGACAAAAGCCGGTTTCTCAGTGAGGGAGGGGCCTCCGAAGCCCGCGAGACCTTAAAATGAACCTGCCTTCCAGCTGCAAGTGATACCCCACCCCCATCTGGGAGGTAACCCGACCCCTAGGGAGTCACACAGTCCCCAGGGAAACTTCATGGGGGCCCTGTCCGGGAGTGACCCGCCCCCGCCCCCGCGAGGGGCTTGGTCATCCTCTGTTAGCCGACTACAGAAAGAGTACCCAGAGAGCAAAACACACACCGAAAGAATCCAGTCTCCCGCAAAAGAGATTCACCCCTTAGCATTGCAGGAAGGAGAATCTACAATTTATTTTCGGGGAAATCGCTGGCCCCAAGATAATCTGTTAAATTGTGGACTTTATTTCCAAGAAAAATACACCTCATGCATCTACACAAAACTTTCAAGGAGTCCGGAGAACCTATGAATCTTAAGGACCTCAAGAGGGAAGCAAGGAAATTAACATTATTGAAATACCAGCTGTGGGCCAGGCTTTGTTGTTAGGTATTTTCAAACACATTAAAGTCTTTCGACAACTTCAAAATCGCTATCAGTCTTTCGGTTTTTTACGACTGGAAAAACAGAAAGCTTAAGTAATGTGCCCAAGTTTACAAAACTATTAAATAGCCAGGTGTATCTGACACTAACATAATGGTATCTCTCTACCCCTACGAGACTCTGTATTAGGGAACCAGAATATAGGGGAGATGCAAAGGATGGGCAAAAGTATTTTCAATCAGAAGCAAAGCCAACTCATGCAGGAATATTTGATACTAGGAAAGCCCATCTAATAGCTTTTGTTATTGCAAGTACGTCGTGGTAAACAGGTAACTAATGCACTAATTGTCAACCTCGTACTATCCACACGCTGGATATAGGAGGCTTGGGTGGACTCGGTAAAATAAATAACATGGCATCTTGGATTTAACATCATAATTTGGTCAAAGTGCTCAAAGCACTTTTTTTCTCTGCCCATAATCACATTTATGGTAGGAATGAGTAAGGTCAGGCACCAAAGGTGAAGGACTTTTAATGGAGACAGTAAAATGTCAAGTCTGGGAGCATAGATTCCATCAAGGGAATAGAATAAACCTAGTAATACTTCTTTTTAAAGATACTCGGCTACGGCGGGCGCGGTGGCTCATGTTTGTAATCCCAGCACTTTGGGAGGCCAAGGCGGGCCGGATCATGAGGTCAGAAGATCGAGACCATCCTGGCCAACATGGTGAAATCTCGACTCTACTAAAAATACAAAAATTAGCTGGGCATGGTGCCATGCACCTGTAGTCCCAGCTAATCGGAGGCTGAGGCAGGAGAATCGCTTGAACCCGGGAGGCAGAGGTTGCAGTGAGCCGAGATCACGCCATTACACTCCAGCCTGGGCAACAGAGCGAGACTCGTCTCAAAATAAATAAATAAATAAATAACAAATAATAATAATCAGCCACTTAGCTCCATGGCCCAGATTTATGTATAAACTGTAAGCGGTTGCCTATACTTACCCTTGGAGGCAACATGGCATTGTAAAAACAGCATTAGACGAGAAGTCATATGCTGGGAGACAAAGGGTCTAAATAATGGTTTCCCCACCCAGATGTGCAATACTGGGTAAACAACTAAAACCTTTCTTAGATTCCCTCATTTGATAAAGGGGATGATGGATAATGATACCTACCCAACAGGTTTGTCGTGAAGATAAACTTTAAAAAAAAAAAAAAAAGCCGGGTGCGGTGGCTCACGCCTGTAATCCCAGTATTTTGGGAGGCCGAGGAGGGCAGATCACCCGAGGTCAGGAATTCAAGACTAGCCTGCCCAACACGGTGAAACCACGTCGGTACTAAAAATACAAAAATTAGCTTGAGCGTGGTGGTGGGCCCCTGGAATCCCAGCTACTCGGGAGGCTGAGGCAGGAGAATCACTTGACCACAGGAGGCGGAGCTTGCAGTGAGCCGAGATCGCGCAATTGTACTCCAGCCTGGGTGATAAAGCGAGACTCTGTCTCAAAAAAGTAAATAAAATAAGTAAAATTAAAATTTTTTTAAAAGCTGACATTAAAGCATGTGTGGCACAGTGTAAGTTCATTTCCTATAATCCCATTAAGCGATTTAAGTAAAAATTCTTTCCCTCCAAGAAAGAATGGTGCCAGGAGTTTTTATTAGTTCCTTTGGGATGACTTTCTGTTTGCCAGAAGTTCCCAGTTAAAATGCAAATTATCCTTAGGAAAAGGGTAATCTCTAAACCTGGATTCGTTTACCATGATGGCTTTTAACAGGCCCCTGAAGAAACAGAACCCAGAAGACTGATAATATTTAATCACTGGAAAGAGAGAGGGGAAGTTGGAATATGTGGTGTCATTTCATGGTTTGAAGAAAATAATACTGTACTGGAAATGTTTAGATTCTAGGTTCAGCTCTGCCGCTGGGTAAATGAAGCATTCAGTCTCTCTTTCAACAAATATTTATTGAGGGCCAGGCAGTGTGCTGGGGAGAAAGTTCATTTCTCCTTGAAGCAGACTAGCCAGGGAAACTGAGACTATGAAAATAGCTATTCAAATAGTTGTTCAATTACAGTTGTGGAAAGTGCAATGAGGAAGTACAGACAGGTATAACCTCCTCAGAGGAGCTAGGGAAGGTTTCCCTGAGGAGATGAGCTTCAGCTAAAACATAAAGGATGAGGAGAAACAGGCCAGGCAAGGAGAGAAGGGAAACAAAAGAACAACATGTGCTGGCCAGGCACGGTGGATCACGCCTGTAATCCCAGCACTGCGGGAGGCCGAAGCGGGCGGATCACCTGAGGTCAGGAGTTCGAGGCCAGCCTGGACAACACGGTGAAACCCCGTCTCTACTAAAAATACAAAAAAATTAGCTGGGCGTGGTGGCAGGCACCTGTAATCCCAGCTACTCGGGACGCTGAGGCAGGAGAATCACTTGAACCCAGGAGGCAGAGGTTGCAGTGAGCAGAGATCGCGCCATTGCACTCCAGCCTGGGGGACAACAGCGATACTTCCTCTCTCAAAAAAAAAAAAAAGAAAAGAAAACAACATGTGCAAGGGCCCTGAACAAGGAAGGAACTTGGCACTGGTGAGGAACTGAAGGAGGCCAACATGATGGTGCACCATGAGAGAGAGGGTGGCACTAGATAATACCGAGGAACTGGGCATAAAGGAGAAAAATAAGTCAGGTATGGTGGCATGCGCCTGTAGTCTCAGCTACTCGGGAGGCTGAGGCAGGAGGATTGCTTGAATTTGGGAGGCTGAGGTTGCAGTGAGCCAAGATCCCACCACCACACTCCAGCCTGGGGAACACAGTGAGACTCTGTCTCAGAAAAAAATAAAAATAGGCCAGGCGCGGTGGCTCACGCTGGTAATCCCAGCACTTTGGGAGGCCAAGGCGGGTGGATCACGAGGTCAGGAGATCGAGACCATCCTGACTAACACAGTGAAACCCCGTCTCTACTAAAAATACAAAAAATTAGCCAGGTGTGGTGGCAGGCACCTGTAATCCCAGCTACTTGGGAGGCTGAGGCAGGAGAATCACTTGAGCCCGGGAGGCGGAGCCAAGATCGTGCCACTGCACTCCAGCCTGGGCAACAGAGCAAGACTCCGTCTCAAAAAAATAATAATAAATTAACAAATAATAATAATAATAAAGGGTTAATAGGAGCAGAGCAGGCTCTGGTTTACATTTTAAGAAGTTTACTCTGGTTGCAGTGTGGGAAGTAGATTTAAGGAGAAGAGAGTAATTTAGGAGTTAGAAGAGTGTTGCAGTAAGTTCAGGCCAAAAAATAATAATAATAATAGTGGCAGGCTCTAATGTAGTGGCAGTGAAGACAGCGAGAAGTGGACAAAATTGTGTCCAGGTACAGTGGCCCACACCCCTAATCCCAACACTGGGAGGCCAAGGTGGGAGGATCATTTGAAGCCAGTAGTTTGAGACCAGCCTGGGCAATATAGGGAGCCTTCCGTCTGTAGAAAAAATAAGTAAATAGGCCGGGCGCAGTGGCTCATGCCTGTAATCTCAGCACTTTGGGAGGCCGAGGCCGGGAGATCACAAGGTCAAGAGATTGAGACCATCCTGGCTAACATGGTGAAACCCCATCTCTACTAAAAATACAAAAATTAGCTGGGCGTGGTGGCATGCGCCTGTAGTCCCAGCTACTCGGGAGGCTGAGGCAGGATAATCACTTGAACCCAGGAGGTGGAGGTTCCAGTGAGCTGAGATCGCACCACTGCACTCCAGCCTGACAACAGAGCGAGACTCCGTCTCAAAACAAAGTACATAAATAAATAAAAGAAGTACGACAAAATTGAGAAGTTTTAGAAGGTAAAATGGGGACTCTTGGTGGTTGATTGGATTGGGAGGGAGGACCCTAAAGGAGAAGTTGGTATCAAAGATGATAACTGGTTTGAGATGAGCATTTGGGCAGGGGAGGTATGGGTTTTCTGATGTGGGAAATGCTGGAGGAGATTTGCTGGGGAGCAGGGAGGTCATAAATTTATCTTTGGACATGCTGGGTTTCAGGAAAACATAAAACATCAGATCACAGCCAGGCATGGTGACTCACGCCTGTAATCCCAGCACTTTTGGAGGCCGAGGCAGGTGGATCACGAGGTCAGGAGATCAAGACCATCCTGGCTAACACGGTGAAACCCCGTCTCTACTAAAAATACAAAAAATTAGCCGGGCGCGATGGCAGGCGCCTGTAGTCCCAGCTACTCGGGAGGCTGAGGCAGGAGAATGGCGTGAACCTGGGAGTCAGAGCTTGCAGTAAGCCGAGATAGTGCCACTGCACTCCAGCCTGGGCGACAGAGAGAGACTCCTCTCCAAAAAAAAAAAAAAAAAAAAACACATCAGATCAAAATGTTCTGTAGAGGCCGGGCATGGTGGCTCATGCGTGTAAACCCAGCACTTTGGGAGGCCAAGATGGGAGGGTCGCTTGAGCCTAGAAGTTCAACACCAGCCTAGGTAACATAGCAAGACCCTGTCTCTACAAAAAAAAAAAAAAAATATATATATATATATATATATGATAAAAAATTAGCCAGGTGTGGTGGCACACACCTGTGGTCTCAGCTACTCGGGAGGCCGAGGTGGGAGGATAGCTTGAGCCTGGGAAGTCAAGGCTGCAGTGAGCTATGGTCATCCTACTGCACTCCAGTCTGGGCAACAGAGAGAGACCCTGTTTCAAAAAACAACAAAGAAATGTACAGTAGACAGTTAAACAGTTTAGAGCTCAGAGAGAAAAACAAGGCTGGGAATCCAAACCTTAGAGGCTTTGGTATACAGATGCTAAAGTCAAAGGAGTCCTTGAGATTTCCTCAGAAGAAAGGGAGAAGAGTAAGGCCCGGCACCAAACCAGAGAGATCGAAGGGAAACCAGGAGAGTAAATCATTTCCTCACTCAGAGTCTATTTCCAAGACTGTGAAATAAGGAAGATGAGTTCCAAAAATAACCCCTTCTATTTCTACCATTTTAGGCCTCTGGTGGAAACCGAAGAGATCCTTCTGGATATATGAGGGCTGTGGCAGGGGGTAGAATGAGAGAGAAAACACATAGGAAGGGGAAAGGGAAAATTTTACATACGCTTCAGAATTTTGCCATGGGCTGGACTGGGTCCTAGAGTTCCAATCACAAACTTTCCAGACTTCCAAAGCTCTTCTCAGGAACAATAGACTTCATTGCCCAAGTCGTTCCATTAATGTATCAGGAATAAAAGAGACCACTGGTGAGAAATGTTTATATATCTCACACAACTGACAGTGTAAAAACACTTAAAAATTTCTGCTAGTTTTCTGTGGTGTACACAGTGTAGGACACTTGTCCCTCTCTAGCCCTGTGTATTTCTCAAGCATTGATTGCCAGGCAATTCCAGTCACTCCAGTCACACTGAAGTCACATTGAACTTTTTAAAAAATTTATTATTGACCGGGTGCAGTGGCTCACACTTGTAATCCCAGCATTTTGGGAGGCCGAGGTGGGTGGATCATGAGGTCAGGAGTGCAAGACCAGCCTGGCCAACATGGTGAAACCCTGTCTCTACTAAAAATACAAAAATTAGCTGGGCATGGTACCACGTGCCCGTAACCCCAGCTACTCGGGAGGCTGAGGCAGGAGAATTGCTCGAACTGGGACCCGGGAGGCAGAGGTTGCAGTGAGCCAAGATTGCACCACTGCACTCCAGTCTGGGCTACAGAGTAAGACTCCATCTTAAAAAATAGATACATATAATTATTTAGTTATTTTATTTTTTGTGTTTTTTGAGACAAGATCTTGCTCTGTCGCTCAAGCTGGAGTGCAGTGACACGATCTCAGCTCACTGTAGCCTCAACCTCGTCTTCCTGAGGCCTTGGCCTCCTGAGCAGCTGGGACCACAAGCACAAACCACTATGCCTGGCCAATTTTTTATTTTTTGTAGAGACAGGGTCTCTATGTTGCCCAGGCTGGTGTCAAACTCCTGGCCTTAAGCAATCCTCCTGCCTTGGCCTACCAAAGTGTTGGGATTACAAGCATGAGCCACCATACTCTGAACTTTAAAAAAATTTTTTTCCCAGAGCCCGTAATTTTGCACATGCAGTTGTTTCTGCCTGAAATGGCCTTGCCATCTTCCCTATCCAATTGCTATCTGTCCTTCAAGATCCTGATCGGTGAAGCATTATTTCTGCCTCCAGGCAGAAAGAAGGTGCTATTCTTTGTTCATCCATAATATTGGTCATATTTCCTTATGGTAACTTATTTTAGTGTATTAGAACCATCTGTTTACTTCAATATTTCCCTTTTATTGGTGGGGGGACATTTTGGACTCAGTTGAGAATCTAATGAAAGTAATGAATCTTCTCACTGGAAACATACACATACACCCAAATTTTTGCCCATGAGCAATCTCATTAACTACTCTCTCCCCAAGCCCACCCACCACATGGACACTAGGTGAAAAAAAAACTAGTTTACATACTGCTAGGCCCAGCCTGGTGGCTCAAGCCTGTAATCCCAGCACTTTGGAGGCTGAGGCAGGCGAATCATTTGAGGTCAGGAATTTGAGACCAGCCTGGCCAACACGGTGAAACCCCGTCTCTACTAAAAATACAGTAATTAGCTGGGTGTGGTGGTGCGTGCCTGTAGTCCCAGCTACTCGGGAGACTGAGGCAGGAGAATCGCTTGAACCCAGGAGGCAGAGGTTGCAGTGAGCTGAGTCCATGCCACTGCACTCCAGCCTGGGCAACAGAGCAAGACTCCATCTCAAACAAACAACAACCTAGTTTACATATTGCCCCTCTAATAAATCTACAACTGCTTAAAGGACAAAGAGGCCAGGTGCGGTGGCTCACGCCTGTAATCCCAGCACTTTGGGAGGCTGAGGTGGGCAGATCACCTGAGGTCAGGAGTTTGAGACCAGCCTGGCCAACATGGTGAAACC
The DNA here is from genome assembly GCF_000001405.40 of Homo sapiens. Classification (NCBI taxonomy): domain Eukaryota; kingdom Metazoa; phylum Chordata; class Mammalia; order Primates; family Hominidae; genus Homo; species Homo sapiens. The sequence continues at coordinate 28,729,178 of NC_000001.11, read as the reverse complement.
TCATCTCTACTAAAAATACAAAAATTAGCTGGGCATGGTGGTGGGCGCCTGTAATCCCAGCTGTTTGGGAGGCTGAGGCAGGAGAATTGCTTGAACCTAGGAGGCAGAGGTTGCAGTGAGCCGAGATCACGCCACTGTACTCCAGCCTGGGCAGCAGAGTGAGACTCCATCTCAAAAAAAAAAAAAAAAAAAGGACAAAGAACATTTTTTATTATAAATCTGTATAACCCAATGCTAAGTAAATGTTTGAATTAATCTGTTATCTCATTCATTTTCAAAATTCTCTCTAGTAATGTCAACCTCCATTTTTTTTTTTTGAGACAGAGTCTTGCTCTGTTGCCCAGGCTGGAGTGCAGTGGCACAATCTTGGCTCACTGCAACCTCTGCCTCCCGGGTTCAAGCAATTCTCCTGCCTCAGCCTTCTGGGTAGCTGAGATTACAGGCATGCGCCACCACACCCGGCTAATTTTTTTTTGTATTTTTAGTAGAGACAGGGTTTCACCATGTTGGCCACGCTGGTCTCGAACTCCTGACTTTGTGATCCACCCGCTTTGGCCTCCCAAAGTGCGGGGATTACAGGCGTGAGCCACCACGCCCGGCATCAACCTCCATTTTATAGATGAAAACCTGGTGGGGCCAACAATTGTGATAAGCAGTTAAATGTGCAGCTTAACTAGCTTAGTGGGATGTTAAAAGAAAAGTACTGTGGAAACCAAAATCACCAGGTAAATTGATGATTGGTTAACTAGCTTAGTGGGATGTTAAAAGAAAAGTACTGTGGAAACCAAAATCACTAGGTAAATTGATGATTGGCTTTTTAATGTGCAGATGTTTTATAAATCTCTGAATAGAGGTATGAAAAGAGCAATGTAAAAACCAGACTAAAGGAAGAAAGAACCTGCAGCTGGGCCAGGTGGCCTTAAGCTGCTAGGAATTCAAGGCTGTGAATATTCAAGGGATACTTTTAGAGACATATAGGGCAGAAAAGAACGTGAACCAAGAAAGAACCACCATTAAAAGACCCTTGAAGATTCAACTGGAAAAAAAAAATTCGACTGGAACTCTAGAAGAGAAAGCAGAAATTTTCACCTGTCCTCCAAGAAGTGAGAAAGGTAATGACAATGTAATGAGTTTTGTTTTTTGTTTTTTTTGAGACAGAGTCTCACTCTGTCACCAGGCTAGAGTGCTGTGGCACAATCTTGGCTCGCTGCAACATCCGCCTCCCAGCTTCAAGCGATTCTCTGCCTCAGTCACCCAAGTAGCTGGGATTACAGGTACATGCCATCATGCCCAGCTAATTTTTGTATTTTTAGTAGACACAGGGTTTCACTATTATGGCCGGGCTGGTCTCGAACTCCTTACCTCAAGTGATCCATCCGCCTCGGCCTCTCAAAGGGCTGAGATTACAGGCCAGAGCCACCAGACCCGGCATGTAATGAGTTTTTCATAAAGCTAAATTTTATTCAATTGAGAGAACTTTTCTTTATCCTGAGATTATTTATTTCTTACCTCCTTGATGTCAACATATCCTTTCTTTTCAAATGATGGCAATGTTGCAAGATGAAATGAGATACAAAATAAAAAAGAAGAAAAAGAGAATCACATGATGGGCCGGGCACGGTGGCTCACACCTGTAATCCTAACACTTTGGGAGGCCGAGGCAAGTGGATTCCTTGAGCTCAGGAATTCAAGATCAGCCTGGGCAACAGGGCGAAAGCCCGTCTCTACAATAAATACAAACAAAATTAGCCAGGTATGGTGGCACACGCCTGTGGTCCCAGCTACTTGGGAGGCTGAGGTTGGAGAATCACCTGAGCCCAGGAGGTCGAGGCTGCAGTGAGCCAAAATTGTGCCACTGTACTCCAGCCTGGGCAAATCAGAGTGAGACCCTGTCTCAAAAAAAAAAAGAAAAAAAAAAAAAAGGGAAAAAGAAAATGGCAATGAGATTTGGCAATTAAAAGAAAATCCTTTTTTCACAAAATATAATGTTGGGAAGCTCGTGTTGGTCTCCAAGACGTGTTTTGTTTTATTGATACATGAGATCTATAGGTCTGAGTATCACTGTGCTAGGGAACAGCGTACCATCTCAATCTAAGACAATAGACTTGAGAGAAAAATGGAACACAAACAAGATTTCTGGAGATAGTGCCAAGGGGAAATGAAGTCAAGGAGCCTCTGGAAGGCTGGTCCAATTTTAGCTGGGTGTGGTGGCATATATCTGTAGTCTCAACACGTAGGAGGCTGAGGTGGGAGGATGACTTGAGCCCAAGAGTTCAAGACTGCAGAGAGCTATGCACTCTAGCCTGGGCAACAAAGAGACCCTGGCTCTAAAAAAAAGAAATTTAGCTGGGTGCAGTGGCTAATGCCTGTAATCCCATCACTTTGGGAGGCCAAGCTGGGCGGATCATGAGATCAAGAGATCGAGACTATCCTAGCCAACATGGTGAAACCCGTCTCTACTAAAAATACAAAAATTAGCTGGGCATGGTGGTGCACACCTGTAGTCCCAGCTACTCAGGAGACTGAGGCAGGAGAATCACTTGAACCCAGAAGGCGGAGTTTGCAGTGAGCTGAGATCATGCACTCCAACCTGGTGACAGAGTGAGACTCTGCCTCAAAAAAAAAAAAAAAAGAAATTTAAATCTGTGCAAAGAAAAAATAATTACACGGGCCAGGTGTGGTGGCTCACACCTGTAATCCCACCACTTTGGGAGGCCAAGATGAGAGGATGGCTTAAGCCCAGGAATTTGAGACCAGCCTGGGCAACATATTGAGACCCCATCCCTACAATAAAAAATAATAATAATAAGACTAAATATGTTCCAAATAAAATATCATGATTGTACAATGATTCATTGAAGGGTTCCTTTTAGGTATTAAGCTTCTCTAGTACTTTTTTTTTTTTTTTGAGGCGGAGTCTCACTCTGTCGCCCAGGCTGGAGTGCAGTGGCACGATCTCGGCTCACTGCAACCTCCACCTCTTGGGTTCGAGCAATTCTCCTGCCTCAGCCTCCTGAGTAGCAGGGATTACAGGCGCCCACCACCACGCCCAGCTAATTTTTGTATTTTTAGTAGAGAAGGGGTTTCACTATGTTGGTCAGGCTGGTCTTGAACTCCTGACCTCGTGATCCACCCGCCTTGGCCTCCCAAAGTGCTGGGATTACAGGTGTGAGCCACCGCGCCCTGCTTAAGCTTCTCTAGTACTTTTGAAGACTGTTTAGCCAGGCTCAGTGTCTCACACCTGTAATCCTAGCACTTTGGGAGGCCAAGGTGGGTGGATCCCTAGAGACCAGGAGTTTGAGACCAGCCTGATCAACATGACAAAACCCCATCTCCACTAAAAATACAAAAAATTGGCCAACGATAGGCATGCGCCTGTAATCCCAGCTACTCAGAAGGCAGAGGCAGGAGAATCGCTTGAACCCAGGAGGCAGAGGTTTCAATGAGCCGAGACTGCGCTACTGCACTCCAGCCAGGGCAACAGAGTGAGACTCTGCCTCAAAAAAAAAAAAAAAAAAAAGAGTCACAATAATCCTTTGTGATAGCATTACTTAACCCATTTTACAATGAGGAAACTAACATAGTTTACTACTGTAAACAATACATACATTTGAAGTGTTGTATACCAATCACATTTATTAAAGAGTCTTGGCCAGGTGCAGTAGCTCACGCCTATAATTACAGCACTTTAGGAGGCCAAGGCAGGTGGATCACCTGAGATCAGGAGTTCGAGACTAGCTTGGCCAACATGGTGAAATTCTGTCTCTACTAAAAATACAAAAAAAAAAAAAAAAAAAAAAAAAATTAGTGCCTATAGTCCCAGCTACTTAGGAGGCTCAGCCTGCTGAGATGGGAGGATCACCTGAGCATAGGGAGGTGAAGGCTGAATGAGCCACCATTGTGCCACTGCATTCCCGCCTGGGCGACAGAGTAAGATTGTCTCCAAAAAAAAAAAAGAAAAAGAAAAAGAAAAGTCCTTGATCTCACAGAGCTTCCATTGTAGTTGGAGGGAGAAAATAAACATACATCACATAAGTAAAACAGAGAAAAATAAAGCAAAGTAAAGAGAATAAAGGAAAACAAGAACCATAGTGCAGGGGGAGGTTACCATTTTTTATAGGGCGGGTATTAAGGAAGTCCTCTCTGATAAAGTAACATATGAACAGATACTTGAAGAAAATGAAGAAATAAGCTTTGCAGGCCAGGTGCAGGGGCTCACGCCTGTAATCCCAGCACTTTGAGAGGCCAAGGCGGGTGGATCACCTGAGGTCCGGGGTCTGAGACTAGCCTGGCCATCATGGTGAAACCCCATCTCTACTAAAAAAAAAAGTATGGAAAATTTGCCAGGCGTGGTGGTGGGCGCCTATAATCCCAGCTACTCGGAAGGCTAAGGCAGGAGAATTGCTCCAACCTCGGGAGGTGGACATTGCAGTGGAGATCGAGCCATTACACTCCAGCCTGGGCAACAAGAGCAAAACTCAGTCTCAAAAAAAAAGAGGTTGGGCGTGGTGGCTCACGCCTGTTATCCCAGCACTTTGGGAGGCCTTGATCACGAGGTCAGGAGTTCAAGACCAGCCTGATCAGCATGGTGAAACCCCCATCTCTACTGAAAATACAAAAAATTAGCCAGGCAGGGTGGCACGCTTGTAATCCCAGCTACTCAGGAGGCTGAGGCAGGAGAATCATTTGAACCCAGGAGGCAGAGGTTGCAGTGAGCTGAGATCGCGCCACTGCACTCCAGCCGGCGATAGAGCAAGACTCTGTCTCAAGGAAAAAAAAAAAAAAAGAAATAAGCTTTGCAGTTTTCTAGGGGAAGCGTGTCCTAAGAGATTATTGAATTTAAGAAAAAAAAACAAAGGCCAGGTGCAGTGGCTCATGCCTGTAATCCCAGCACTTTGGGAGGCCGAGGCAGGTGTATTACCTGAGGTCAAGAGTTCGAGACCAGCCTCACCAACATGGTGAAACCCTGTCTCTACTAAAAATACAAAAAAAAAATTACTTGGGCATGGTGGCACATGCCTGTAATCCCAGCTACTCAGAGGTTGCAGTGAGCTGAGATCACGCCACTGTACTCCAGCCTGGGTGATAGAGTGAGACTCTGTCTCAAAATAAATAAATAAATAAGCTTTGCAGTTTTCTGGGGGAAGCGTGTTCTAAGAGATTATTGAATTTAAGAAAAAAAAAGGGCTACCAAAATAAATATGTCTGCATGTCTGCATTTGTAATAGAAGTGGCAGGGTCTGTGAAGATGTCATGTCCTAAGACATGTGTCATTCCAGTCAAGTGTTACTATAAGGAAATGTGAACCCACTGTTGTCAAGCCTTCTGATGGTAGTTTATTTTTTGTTTTTTTATTCTTTTTTTTTTTTTTGAAATGGAGTCTTGCTCTGTTGCCCAGGCTGGAGTGCAGTGCAATGGCACGATCTCGGCTTACTACAACCTCCACCTCCCAGTTTCAAGTGATTCTCTTGCCTCAGCCTCCTGAGTAGCTGGGATTACAGGTGCACACCACCACGCCTGGCTAATTTTGGTATTTTTAGTAGAGAGGGTTTCACCATGTTGGTCAAGCTGGTCTTGAACTCCTGACCTCATGATCTGCCCACCTCGGCCTCCCAAAGTGCTAGAAGTACAGGCGTGAGCCACCGCGCCCAGCTGTTTTGTTTTGTTTTTGAGATAGGGTCTCACTCTGTCACCCAGACTGGAGTGTGGTGGTGCAATCATGGCTTACTGCAGCCTAGACCTCCCAGGCTCAAGTGATCCTCCCATCTCAGCCTTCTGAGTAGCTGGGAATACAGGCATGCCATCACCGCATCCAGCTAATTTTTGTATTTTTTTGTAGAGATGGGGTTCACAGTGTTGCCCAGGCTGGTCTCGAACTTCTGGCCTCAAGCAATGGTACCAACTGGGCCTCTCAAAGTGCTGGGATTACAAGCATGAGCCACCACACCCGGCCCCAGGAACGTTCATAGAGGCATTATTATAGTAGTCCGAACTGGAAACTACCCACCATTAGTAGGAAGGATCATTTGTGGCAAAGTCACATGTTCTTTTTTTTTTTTTTTTTTTTTTTTTGAGACGGAGTCTCGCTCTGTCGCCCAGGCTGGAGTGCAGTGGCGCGATCTTGGCTCACTGCAAGCTCCGCCTCCCGGGTTCACTCCATTCTCCTGCCTCAGCCTCCTAAGTAGCTAGGACTACAGGCGCCCGCCACCACGCCCAGCTAATTTTTGGTATTTTTAGTAGAGACGGGGTTTCGCCGTGTTAGCCAGTATGGTCTCGATCTCCTGACCTCGTGATCCGCCCGTCTCGGCCTCCCAAAGTGCTGGGATTACAGGCGTGAGCCACCGCGCCCGGCCAAAGTCACATGTTCTATGTAGCAATGAGAAAGAACCAACTACAACTTCAAACAACTTTATGGATTAATCTCAATAATGTTGAGTGAAGAAGAAAGCCAGTCACAAAGAGCTCAAAAAGAGGCAAAAGCAAGCTATAGTTTTAAAGAGGTAGGTAGTGGTTATCGTGGTAGGTGCGGTGCTGGTAATTTATTTCTTCTGATCTAGAAGCTGGTTTCATGGGTGTTGACTAGCCTTATCAAGTTGTAGAATTATGATTTGTATTCATTCGTGTATACATGTTCAATAAAAAATAAAAACACAACAAAAATGTAGGTCAGGCTGGGAGCGGTGGCTCAACGCCTGTAATCCCAGCCCTTTGGGAGGCCAAGGTGGGAGGATCACTTGAGATCGGGAGTTCAATTCCAGCCTGACCAACATGGAGAAACCCCGTCTCTAGTAAAAAATACAAAATTAGCCGAGCATAGTGGCGCATGCCTGTAATCCCAGCTACTTGGGAGGCTGAGGCAGGAGAATGGCTTGAACCCAGGAGGCGGAGGTTGCGGTGAGCCGCCATCGCGCCATTGCACTCCAGCCTGGGCAACAAGAGCGAAACACCGTCTCAAAAAAAAAAGAAAAAAAATGTAAGTCAGTCTTCAGGCTGAATCATGGCTGTGGGCATCCAGTTTGCTTTATAATGTATAGACATATTTAAGAAAACACCAGAGGGCCGGGCGTGGTGACTCATGCCTGTAATCCCAGCACTTTAGGAGGCCGAGGCGGGCTGATCACTTGAGGCCAGGAATTCAAGGCCATCCCGGCCAACATGGCGAAAGCCCGTCTCTGCTAAAAATACAAAAAATTAGCCGGGCGTGGTGGCGCATGTCTGTACTCCCAGCTACTCGGGAGGCTGAGGCAGAAGAATTACTTGAACTCGGGAGGTGGAGGTTGCAGTGAGCAGAGATCACGCCATTGCACTCCAGCCTCGGCAACAGAGCAAGACTCCGTCTCACAAAGGAAAAAAAAAAGAAAAAGAAAACATCAGAGACTTTTTAAATATTTTATTTTATTTTATTTTATTTATTTATTTTGAGACGGAGTCTCGCTCTCGCCCAGGCTAGAGGGCAGTGGCGCGATCTCGGCTCACTGCAAGCTCCGCCTCCCAGGTTCACGCCCTTCTCCTGCCTCAGCCTCCCAAGTAGCTGGGACTACAGGCGCCCGCTACCATGCCCGACTAATTTTTTGTATTTTTAGTAGAGACGGGGTTTCACCGTATTAACCAGGATGGTCTCGATCTCGTGACCTCGTGATCCGCCCGCCTCGGCCTCCCAAAGTGCTGGGATTACAGGCGTGAGCCACTGCGCCCGGCCCCTTTTTTTTTTTTTTTTAAAGTAAACTTTGAGGATGGGCGCGGTGGCTCACACCTGTAATCCCAGCACTTTGGGAGGCCGAGGCGGACGGATCACGAGGTCAGGAAATTGAGACCATCCTGGCTAACACAGTGAAACTCCGTCTCTACTAAAAATACAAAAACAAAATTAGCCGGGCGTAGTGGTGGGCGCCTGTAGTCCCGCCTACTTGGGAGGCTGAGGCAGGAGAATGGCATGAGCGAACCCGGGAGGTGGAGCTTGCAGTGAGCCGAGATCACACCACTGCACTCCAGCCTGGGCGACGGAGTCAGACTCCGCCTCACAAAAAAAAAAAAAAAGTAAATTTTGAAATCAGGTAAATTCTATGTGTGCTTTTCTTAAGAGTACCTCCTACAAAGCCCAGTGAGGAAGCTCTTTCTCTCTGGGTCCTAACTCAGCCTCATGTTTACCCTTATATGCAATCCAAACCTATTGTTCATTCTTGTTCTCAAACTAGAAAAATAAATCCATGTGTTTATGTAATTTTTTTTTTTTTTTGAGGCAGCGTCTCACTCTGTCACCCAGGCTGGAGTGCAGTAGTGTGATCTCGGCTCACTGCAAGCTCCGCCTCCCGGGTTCACGCCATTCTTCTGCCTCAGTCTCCCGAGTAGCTGGGACTACAGGCACCCGCCACCACGTCCGGCTGATATTTTGTATATGTATTGTTACTCATACTGGGCTGAAGTAAGTTACCCAGGAAAACAAGATATGTCTAAGCCTAGGGCCGTGGGCCAGGGGTAATCAATCAGGTGTAGAAGATGGGTTTTTAGAGTCCGTGTGTCTTGGGGGAACTTGCCTAACGCCACTATGCAAGCACATTGCAAAAGGGCTTCAATTCAGGTGACTAACGGTGTCAGCAAGGCTGTTGTAGTTAGTGAAGACTGCGGTCTAGGAATGTATGCTCAGGTTTGGGCCCTGGGGGTGGCATTCCTTTAGTTGGGAAAGATGATCATCTCAAGAGTTGAAAGAGTTACTGCCATGGCAGGAAGGCAAAAATACTAACATGGCAGAATTTGGGGACTAAATCATGGTTCCCAAAAGAGCTAGAGAGGAAGGATGATGTAGTGTGGATAGGGGAGTCTGAGGCAAGTAGAACCCTCTAGAGGAAGTCAAATTGCCTAACTCAGGGCTAAGAAAGGTGTTCCAGGACTTGGGAACGAAACCTGGAAAGGGCTCAAATAGGGCTGCCTAAGAATGGAAATTCTAGGGACAAAGAGTCCAAATCTTTTTTTTTTTTTTGAGACAGTTTCACTCTTATTGCCCAGGCTGGACTGCAATGGCACGATCTCGGCTCATCACAACCTCCGCCTCCTGGGTTCAAGCGATTCTCCTGCCTCAGCCTCCCAAGTAGCTGGGATTACAGGCATGCGCCACCATGCCTGGCTGATTTTGTATTTTTAGTAGAGACAGGGTTTCTCCATGTTGGTCAGGTTGGTCTCGAACTCCTGACCTCAGGTGATCCGCCCACCTCAGCCTCCCAAAGTGCTGAGATTACAGGCGTGAGCCACCGTGCCCGGCCAACAGTCCAAATCTAACTACACCACACCCTTGAGGTCCTTGACAACCTTGGTTGTTATGGCAGCACATTTCAGACTACACAAAAATTTCCCAGGGAGGATTTCCCAGGGAGGAACTAACCTGGAGTAAGGGATGTGCTGCACCTCCAGGGAAGTGATCAATTGTACTAGGAAAGTTGTCTCAAAATGCAGGAGCTAGGCTAGTGTATGACATTATGTCTCAGAGAGGACGAGTTCCTCAAACTGCCCAAGGTGAATCACAACCTCATGCCGATTTTCAGAATTCAACCTTTCCTTTGTCCTTTCCACCTCTCTGATAGTACTAAAACCTGGATGCTATAACTCAACTACTAATTCCACATTTCATGCTTGACTTTTACTATCTTTATAATCAACACTCTCCACCATAGTCTTACCTTTAATGCCTTTCATGAAATGGGATAAAATGCTACCACTAGTGGGTGTCAGAACCACCTGAACTGAATATTAATTTTCCAGATGTTTGGATTAACATTGGTCCTCCTTCCCTAATAAGGACAGAGGTGCAAAAGAACCTTCATATGAAGTGGCTTTGAATCTTGAATATTCATGTTTATTGTCCATTTTTTACTTCAGAATGACTGGTGTTTTTAGGAGTGGGTGGAGCTTGGAAATTGAGAAAGGGAAGAGAACAAGGCAGGGACCAAACAGGGACATGGCCAAGACAAGACAGTTGTACAGCTGACTCTCAGGCCTTCGTGGAAACCATATGGCAGGAAGGCTTTGGGGGCATTTACCCTTTGCCAGCTAGACTCCAGTCCTGCACTGGATTCAACACTGGATCCCATCTGATGGAAACTTGGAGAAGCCCATGCATGACTCAGCGTTCTCCAGTGGGGAGACTGCCCATGTTGCTGACTCTGCCTTGCTTTGCAGGCAGAAGCAAGAGACTGAAGACTTTTTCTCTAGAATAAATAAGCCCAATTACTTGAAAATCAAGTAGTACAATAAACCTAGCCAAAAGTGGTCTCTCCTAAATCAGCTTAGGTATATGCCTTCTCCAGGAAGATCTCCCTTATTTGCTGACCCCACCTCTACACCGCTAAGCTGGGTTAGGCACTTCATGCTTTGTTCTCTCAGCTCCTAGCCAATAGCCCTATCACACACAGCACTTACGCAGTAGGATCTGTTTCAGTACCTCAGTAAAGGAGAGCTGCTTGTTTGTGCCTTTGGCAGTCTGCTGAAACCTATGAACCAATTCTTAAATAATGTTTTTCAATGCATAAAATACATAAAATTACAAAAAAAAACAATTATAATGAAATGTGTAGTTTTGGTTTTCTGAGCTGGGGATGTTGCCCTGTTACCTGGGCTAGAGTACAGTGGCAAAGTCATAGCTCACTACAGCCTTGAACTCCTAGGCCCAAGCAAAATCCTCTTGCCTCAGCATCCTGAGTAATTGTGTCTACAAGTGCGAGCCACAAGACTTGACTAATTTTTACATTTTTTTATAGAGATGGGGTCTGGCTATGTTGACCAGGCTAGTCTTAAACTCTTGGCCTCAAGCAATTCTGCCTCAGCTTCTGAAAGTGCTGGGATTCTAGGTGTGAGCCACCATGCCTGGCTGAAATATGTATTTCTTAACTCCAGACATCTGGAGTATGAATTCCTTAAGTGCAAGGACTATGTCTTCATCTCTCTACTGTCAGTGCCTAGCACAAAGCCTGGCACATAGATGGTTCTTAAAAATGTTTATTCAATGCATGAACAGAAAGACAAATGCCTACTACCAAGTCAGCCTAAGGTTCATTGCAACTGCTTATGCACATACCAATGGCTTGCATATGTCTCACCCCATCTAGGATCATCTAGACCAGGGCTGTAAGGGAACCTACATTCAACAACAGGTGCCATAATATCTAACAATAATGACAGGCTATTGGAAGACCAGGAAAACAACAAAGCTCATGTATTTCACCAGCTGGAAAATTCATCTAGTAAACAGGCTGTTTGAGGAAATCTCTTGACATTGGAAGCATGATGCACACACGACCTTAAAACCCTACCAATAGCTCTGATGGAGGAAAGAAGGGAACCTGAGCTAGCACGTTGGTATTCACGAGGGCTCTTCTGTCCTGAATTGGTCCTCTCATCTCTGGGAAAGAGAAAAGTGTCCCTAAAAACCACAATAGGGATGAGATGTGCCTTCCTAGATTCAAGTAGATTCAGTCTGAGACAGCAATTTTGTTTTTATGTACCAACAGAAAACCTAAACAAGCAGGAAATAAAAGCTACTTCCCTCACTAAAGATATATTAAGGGCCAAATATTTGTTCTAAATTGATTGCTAAGTCTATTAGATATTTTGAAAAGAAAAATAAAACCCCAGACTATTTAAAAACTGAAATCTACAACTGTATGGAGTTCATAAATCTCATTCTTAAGAGTCACCTTCAGGCTGGGTGCGGTGGCTCATGCCTGTAATCCCAACACTTTGGGAGGCCAAGGCGGGCGGATCGCTTGAGGTCAGGAGTTCAAGACCAGCCTGGCCAACATGGCAAAACCCCGTCTCTACTAAAAATACAAAAATTACCCGGGCGTGGTGGTGGGAGCCTGTAATCCCAGCTACTCAGGAGGCTGAGGCAGGAGAATCACTTGAACCAAGGAGGCGGAGGTTGCAGTGAGCTGAGATCACACCATTGCACTCCAGCCTGGGCTACAGAGCAAGACTCCATCTCAAAAAGAAAAAAAAAAAAAAAACAGCAACCTTACCATGTTACAGGGTTTCTTTGACTACATACAGCCATCTGAGGGATGGAGAATGCAACTTTTACTTGCTCGATGGGGTTTCCAACATCTGTTGGAAGAAACATGGCTTCTGAAAGGTGCCTTCTTAAAAATAAAAAAGAAAAAAAAAAACTACAGGTCCAAGTTTTGTTTTTAATAAAAATATTCCTCCCACTCTTAAGGTGTGTGCTTTCTTTTTTGACCTATTTTTCCTTAAATTTGTCTGTAGTTTCCCTGTATCTCTATATTTTTCCTAGTGCAGTAAACAATGCAATCAAAGAAATAAAAACCAGGGTCCACTCTTGCCCCAAACACTGAAGAGGGTCAAAGAGAAGAAATCGCAGCACGGAAAATGGCCCAGCTCTAAATATACAAACAACATTAAAAACAAAACAAAACAAAATAACCCCCCCCCCCAAAGCATTATTATTGACATTCCTGGTACATTTCCTATAATATAATGTTGCAGACAATGCTTCTTTCCCAGGGAGTCCAGCTCACTCAAGAGACATCTAGTTGGTGCCTCAGGAAAGCCTGGGGGTGTTGAGTCCTCTCTGCCAAGCCTAAAGCTTTTTATGATCTCAGTATCTCACAGAAACATCTGTGGTATAAATGAATCTAAAAGGGGACGAAGGCAGGCAGGCACCTGTCACTGTTCTCCAAATCAGCCAAAAAGCTGAAGAGCGTGGGTTCTAGGAGACAGATGCCATTAAGAGTTGAGGGATGGAGGGCAGAACAAGAGGAAGCACCAAATGAGTGGCTGCTTTGGGTTCCAAAGCCAAAAAAATGGCCCCACCAAAAAAGGCAGCTGGTTTCATTGAGGAACTCCCTGCTCTTGGAGCCATGCAATGAAAATGATGGCCTTGGAGCCCCATCCCTGTGACAGCCACAGTCTAAGAACCAGAGCCATTTACATCACATTGCACAGTTTCAAATGAATGGACTGGTCCTAGCTTAGGAGGGTGAGTGCTTTGACAAAGTGTGGAACAAGGTAAGCTATTACCTTGAACCCCAAAGCACAGCTGCAGCATCCTTGGCTTTCCATTTCTTTCTTTTTTTTTGAGACGGAGTTTCACTCCTCGCCCAGGCTAGAGTGCAATGGCATGATCTCAGCTCACTGCAACCTCCGCCTCCCAGGTTCAAGCAATTCTCCTGCCTCAGCCTCCCAAGTAGCTGGGATTACAGGCGCGTGCCACCATGCCCAGCTAATTTTTTTTTTTTGTATTTTCAGTAGAGACGGGGTTTCACCATGTTGGCCAGGCTGGCCTCAAACTCCTGACCTCAGGTGATTCACCCACCTCGGCCTCCCAAAGTGCTGGGATTACAGGCATGAGCCACCGCACCCGGCCTTGGCTTTCCATTTCTGCAAAACCACAGGCCACTGCTGCCACTTGCTCTGTGGAGATGTACCTTCCACTTATTACCACCTTCTTCTCAAAATGGCACTCACGGTACTAACTTTTGGAGATCTCCAGAGGCGTCAGTTGCACCTCTGGAAGTAAGATGATTTCCCTGCCCCATACTTGCCAAAGCACTTTTTTTTTTTTTTTTTTTTGAGATGGAGTCTCGCTCTTGTTGCCCAGGCTGGAGTGCAGTGGTGCGATCTTGGCTCACTGCAACCTCTGCCTTCCCAGGTTCAAGCGATTCTCCTGCCTTGGCCTCCTGAATAGCTGGGATTACAGGCTCCCGCCACCACACCCGGCTAATTTTTTTTTCGTATTTTTAGTAGATACGGGGTTTCACCATGTTGGCCAGGCTGGTCTCAAACTCCTGACCTCGTGATCCACCCGCCTCGGCCTCCCAAAGTGCTGGGATTGCAGGCGTGAGCCACCACGCCCGGCTAGCACTTCCCTTTTTAAGCTAGTGCTGGCATGCCACCTTCCCCTCAAAGCAGAGTCAACTTCCTTTTGTTTGAGAGTTTTGTACTGGCCTCTGTAGGCCCTTTTCAGGATACAAAATAAAGTGCCCTTCAGCATCCACATGCGAGTGGGTTGCCTTCCAGTGTCAGATCTGTGTTCCAGAGTTTGGTCAATGCATCTTTACAAGAATAAAACCACATGCCTACACACACAGACGAGCCTGGAAATGGCTTTCTGGACAGGGTTACTTGTTATCTTGACACTTCCCCTAAAAGAAATTACTTTCTTGGTGTAAGATGATTAGGACATTGAATGACCTACTCTCAACTTCTGGAAGGGCAGCTTGTTTTGTCCATTTTTCAATGAGGGAGTGGGAAGAACCCAACATTTTCAGTTACAACAATAAGATTTTGTTTTTTTTTTTTTAAAAAAGGGTCCTATGTGGAAATGAGTGGGACAATGATAAAAATAAACAAATAATTAAAATTCCAAATCAAAACATAACTCCTGGCCCTGAGATCCCCAGTTAATCCTCTAAGACCACAATCTCCACATTGTGAACTTGATGCTGGTGTTCTTCCATCTCAGCCACAACTTTCTCCTCAGTCCTCAGCTCTGTCTCCAAGATGACTGCTTTGCCCTCAGTATCTTCAGCTTCTGGGTCCGGGGCTGGATCAATCTCAATGATGGTCTGCCCATCCTCTGAGGTGCTTTCAACAGCCTGAATTGCCGAGGTTAGGCCGGACTCCATGGCCACCAATTCCACAGGGCTAACCATGGTGGTCATGTTGCCCAGTGTACTCCCATCCTGCATGGCAGTAGAGCTCAGCAGCGCCAAGCTAGATGAAGGGTGGATGGTCACTGTGTCTGGTGAGCTGCTCTTGGCAGAGGAGACCACTGTGGCATAGCGGAAGAGCTGAGGGCCAGAAGGCAGTGTGTGGACAGTCACAGGACTGGAGCCCTGGCTGAGGGTGGCCACTGGAATATTGCCCATGGAAAATGACTGACCCACTGGGGTGATGGTGATGGGTGAGATGACTGTGAACTGAGGCTGCTGGACAGGAGGAGAAGGGCTCAAGACAGTGGTGGAGGCTGGCCGCTGGAGCCGGGGCCTTTTTGGAGGCTTAGGAGTGCTCACAGGCATCAGTACCACATTTTGAACTGTCTGAGATTTCAGCCTGTGATCCTGGCCTTGCTTCTTCTGCTCCTCCAACTGGCGTTCCAAGTCTATGGAAAAAAAGAAAAGACTTTGTGTAGAGGGAAGTAAAATCTTGGGAGCATTAAACTGAGAGTCAGGAGACCTGGTGTCTCTGTCTGGTTTTGTTACTAAGTAGCTTCAGGCAAGTTGTGACATTGTTTTCTTTCTTGTGCTTATTTGGGGGGCAGAGTCTTGTTATGTTGCCTAGGCTGGAGGGTAGTGGCTATTCACAGGTGCTATCATTGCGCACTATAGCCTCGAACTTCTGGCCTCAAGCGATCCACCCACCTCACCTTCCCAAAGTGTTGGGATTACAGGCATAAGCCAGTGCACCCAGCTGGCACAGTCCCTTGGAACTCTCATGCACCTACAAAGGAGCTACAATGGCCACTCCAAAAAACAGTGATTTTCAAACTATCCTTCAAGGCAAGAATGCCTTGCTGCATTGGCTGGAAAACTCCTTTGCTGGTGACTCAAACAGCCACAGTTTACAATTGTTGCCTAGGAAGGTCTACAGAAAGTTATAGAAGAAGTCCCTAAAAATTACAGAACTAAAAGAGGTCTTAAGAGCTCAAACAAATTCATTTTGACAGGGATCCAGAGAGGGAAAATGACTAATTTAAGGTTATGAAGATTGGGCCAGGACAATGGTCAACTTGGTTGCTTTTGCATTATAGTACGCCTATCACTATCCCTCTCCCAAGTGACCAGTCCAACCCTAGGTGACCACTGGTAAGTTGGCTTCTACAATGGAACCTATTACTTAGTACCTGATAAGCACCCAAGAAAGAATCAATTACACTTGTAGAGCACTTTGCTCCCTATGTGTGATATTGTGATATAATAAGAAATACATATTTAGTCTCTGCCCCTGGATCCTGGCACACAGCTCCTAAAACACATGGATCTCCAGAGCGGTAAATGTCTTTTTTTTTTTTTTTTTTGAGATGGAGTCTCGCTCTGTCGCCCAGGCTGGAGTGCAGTGGTGCGATCTCGGCTCACTGCAAGCTCTGCCTCCTGGGTTCACACCATTCTCCTGCCTCAGCCTCCTGAGTAGCTGGGACTACAGGCGCCCGCCACCGCGCCTGGCTAATGTTTTTTTTTTTGTATTTTAGTAGAGACAGGGTTTCACCATGTTAGCCAGGATGGTCTCGATCTCCTGACCTCGTGATCTGCCCGCCTAGGCCTCCCAAATTGCTGGGATTACAGGCGTGAGCCACCATGCCCGGCCCAGCGTGGTAAATGTCTTTATATCTCTTTTTTTTTGAGACAGAGTCTCGCTCTATCGCCAGGCTGGAGTGTGATGGCGCGATCTTGGCTCACTGCAACCTCCGCCTCCCAGGTTCAAGCAATTCTCCTGGTTCAAGTGATTCTCCTGCCTCAGCCTCCCGAGTAGATGGGACTACAGGCATGCAACACCACACCCAGCTAATATTTGTATTTTTAGTAGAGATGAGGTTTCACCATATTGGCCAGGATGATTTCAATCTCTTGACCTCATGATCCGCCCACCTCGGCCTCCCAAAGTGCTGGGATTACAGGCATGAGCCACTGCGCCCGGCATAAATGTCTTTATATCTTAATGAGATGACTGGTATCTTGGAATCCTTAGATAGATTCAAGATGGGGGCTGGTCACCAGAAAGATCCAGGCATGATTAAAGACTAGGACTTTCAGCCCTCCCCCCGAACCTCCAAGGAGTGGAGAGAGGCTGTAGGTTGATTACCAATGGCCAATGAAGTAATCAACCATACCTATGTAATGAAGCCTCCATAAAACCTCAAAAGTACAGGGTTCAGAGAGCTTCAGATTGTTGGAGGTTCCTGAGAGTGGCGTGACTACAGAGTGCATGGAAGTCCCACTCTCCTTCCCACCTTGTCCCATGCATCTCTTCCATCTGGTTATTCATCTGTATCCTCTGTAATAACCTTTATAATAAACCCAATAAACATTGAGTAACTGCTTCTCTGAGTTCTGTGAGCCACCTTAGCAAATTAATCAAACGCAAGAAGGTGATTGTGGGAACCCCAATTTATAGCCAGTTGGTCAGAAGCACAGGTCATTTGCAGTTTGCCTTCAACAATTAATCAAAAAAAAGAAAAAAAAAGCACAGGTCACAACCTGGGGCTGAATGGGAGGCAGTCTTTTGGGACTGAGCCTCACCTGTGTGATCTGATGCTATCTCCAGGGGGATAGTATCAGAATTGAACTGAATTATATAATACCCAGTCAGTGTCCACTGGAGAGTTGATTGCTCGGTATATGCAGAAAAACCCCTACACATCTGATTACAGAAGTGTTCTGTGCTATACTGAGTACTGAGTAGCAACTTGAAAAATACTAATAGGGCTGAGCACAATGGCTCACACTAATAATCCCAGCACTTTGGGAGGCTGAGGTGGGTGGATAACTTGAGTCCAGGAGTTTGAGACCAGCCTGGGCAATGTGGTAAAACCCCATCTCTACCAAAAATACAAAACAGCTGGGCACGGTGGTACATGCCTGTAGTCCCAGCTATTCAGGAGGCTGAGGTGGGAGGGTCACCCTGAGCTCGGGGAAGGTCAAAGTTGCAGTGAGCCGTGATTGTGCCACTGCACTCCAGCCTCAGTGACAGAGTGAGACCCTGTCTCAAAAACAAATAAACAAACAAAAAGAAAAATATGTCATGGTGAAAAAAAGCAGAAAACAAAACTTTATGTATACAATGATTAAAAATATCTGAAGAAATAATACACACAAGGGACCAAAAGCCTGTATTTCTAACAAAAACCAGTTTTCTGACGGTTTAAAGGTTTTTTTTTCTTTTTTTTTTTTTGAGACAGAGTCTCGTTCTTGTCCCTCAGGATGGAGTACAATGGCACTATTTTGGTTCACTGAAACCTCCGCCTCCCGGGTTCACGCCCTTCTCCTGCCTCAGCCTCCCGAGTAGCTGGGGCTACAGGCACGCGCCACCACATCCAGGTAATTTTTGTATTTTTAGTAGAGACAGGGTTTCACCATGTTGGCCAGGATTGTCTCAATCTCTTGACCTCGTGATCTGTCTGCCTCAGTCTCCCAAAGTGCTGGGATTACACAAAATTTCTGATTACCACAAATAATGGAGAAAGTGCTAAATTTATATCTATCAAAAGATGCAGTATCAATAATGTAAAAAAGACAAAGACCAATTTGTGTCTTCTGCCACCAATGTTATTGAATTAATGGAGCAATCTAAGAGACATCTTAATCCTCCACAAGACACAGAAGGGGGACTATGATGGCAGCTTCCTTTTTTTTTCCTTTGTGCCTCTTTTGTTTCTCATCAATCCACCTCATCTGCGGCTTTTTTTTTTATTTTTAAAAGCAAAATCTGATACTATTTAAAAAAAAAAAAGTTACCCCAACAAAAGTCAACAAGAAAATGGGAAGACAAGAATATTAGCATGATATCACCGAAGAAGAGCGATAACTTATACATACCTGTCAGAGTATAGAGAAACTGTTCTTCTCCCTGCTCTACTTGGTTCCTTCTGTTGTCTAAAACCTTCTTGACTGTGTCCATTAGGCCAAATGTGTGTGCTACATTGTTGAGAACAGCAGCATCTATTTAAAACAAAAGACATGCCTGTCCAGTTAAAACAGATATGTTCCACCACTCTCCATTGTGCTGTTTATAAATATGAAACAACCAGAAATTATGGGACTCTCCTAACTGCATTTTAACACATTTTTAACAAAGATTTATTACATGTATAATGACTACTGGTTTAATTGTTATATTTTTGTAAATCTTTCCATATAAATAAATACAAAGATCAGGCTGGGCATGGTGGCACATGCCTGTAATCCCAACACTTTGGGAGGCCAAGGCGGGAGCATTGCTTGAGGCCAGGAGTTCAAGACCAGCCTGGGCAACATAGTGAGACCCCTGTCTCTACTTACATAAATTTGAAACAATTTTTTTTTCCTTTTTTTGGAGACAGAGTCTTGCTCTGTCCCCCAGGCTGGAGTGCAGTAACATGATCTCAGCTCATTGCAACCTCCACCTCCCGGGTTCACGCCATTCTCCTGCCTCAGCCTCCCGAGTAGCTGGGACTACAGGTGCCTGCCACCACGCCTGCCTAATTTTTGTAGTTTTAGTAGAGATGGGGTTTCACCACATTGGCCAGGCTGGTCTCGAACTCCTGACCTTTTGATCCACCCACCTCAGCCTCCCAAAGTGCTGAGATTACAGGCACAAGCCACCGCGCCCGGCCAATTTGAAAAAATTTTAAGGCCAGGAGCGGTGGCTCACATTTGTAATCCCAGTCTCTAACAAAAATACAAAAATTAGCTGGGTAAAAAATAATAATAATCATAAATAAATAAATAAATAAAATTAGCTCGGTGTGGTGGCATGTGCCTGTAATCCCAGCTACATGGGAGGCAGCTGAGGCAGGAGAATTACTTGAACCCAGGAGGCAGACGTTACAGTGAACCAAGATCGTGCCACTGCACTCCAGCCTGGAAGACAGGGCCAGACTCCATCTCAAAAAAATTTTTTTTTTTTAATATCTTGCATCTGTTTATAGTTCTGACTTTAGGTTTTGAAAACATGGTCCCTGTACTAGATAGAGTTAACGTTCATCTCAGTTTTGCTATTTCCCATATGTGCAACCTTTGGTAAGTCATTTCACTCTTCACTTTTCTCATCTAAAATGAATGGGATTAATAACACTTACTCTGCAAAATAGACATGAAGATTAGAAATATATTTTAAGTGTCAAACATGGGGACTGGCATGCAAGATTATTATTTTTATTATTTTTTTCTTTTTGAGATGGAGTCTCACTCTGTCACCCAGGCTGGAGTGCAATGGCGCAATCTTGGCTCCCTGCAAGCCCTGCCTCCCAGGTTCAAGCGATTTGACTGCCTCAGCCTCCTGAGTAGCTGGGATTACACGTGCACGCCACCATGCCTGGCTAATTTTTGTATTTTTTTTTTTTTTTTGAGATGGAGTCTTGCTCTGTCGCCCAGGCTGGAGTGCAGTGGTGCAATCTCAGTTTACTGCAAGCTCCACCTCCCGGGTTCACACCATTCTCCTGCCTCAGCCTCCTCAGTAGCTGGGATTACAGGCGCCCGCCACAATGCCAGGCTAATTTTTTTTGCATTTTTTAGAAGAGATGGGGTTTCACCGTGTTAGCCAGGATGGTCTTGATCTCCTGACCTTGTGATCTGCCCGCCTCGGCCTCCCAAAGTGCTGGGATTACAGGCGAGAGCCACCTCGACCGGCCTAATTTTTGTATTTTTATTAGAGACGGGATTTCACCATGTTGCCCAGGCTGATCTCGAACTCCTGACCTCAAGTGATTCACCTGCTTCAGCCTCCCAGAGTGCTGGGCGTGGTGGCTCCCATCTGTAATCCCAGCCCTTTGGGAGGCCGAGGTGGGTGGATTACCAGCCTGACCAATATGGTGAAACCCCGTTGCTACTAAATACAAAAAAATACAAAAAATTGGCCAGGCGTGGTGGTGCATGCCTATAGTCCCAGCAACTTGGGAGGCTGAAGCAGGAGGATTGCTTGAACCCGTGAAGCAGAGGTTGCAGTGAGCCGAGATTGCACCACTGCACTCCAGCCTGGGAAACAACAGCGAAACTCTGTCTCAAAAAAACAAAATTGGGCCAGGCACGGTGGCTCATGCCTGTAATCCCAGCACTTTGGGAGGCCGAGGTGGGTGGATCACGAGGTCAGGAGATCGAGACCATCCTGGCTAACACAGTGAAACCCCGCCTCTACTAAAAATATGAAAAATTAGCCAGGAGTGGTGGCAGGCACCTGTAGTACCAGCTACTCGGGAGGCTGAGGCAGGAGAATGGTGTGAACCTGGGAGGTGGAGCTTGCAGTAAACTGAGATTGCACCACTGCACTCCAGCCTGGGTGATAGAGCGAGGTGTGGTGGCTCACGCCTATAATCCCAGCACTTTGGGAGGCTAAGCCAGGTGGATTGCTTGAGCACAGGAGTTTGAGACCAGCCTGCGCAATATGGCAAAACCCTGTCTCTACAAAAACTACAAATATTAGCCAGGTGTGGTGGTATGTGCCTGTAGTCCCAGCTACTTGGGAGACTGAGGCAGGAGGATCAATTGAGCCCAGGTGGTTGAGGCTGCAGTGAGCTGTGACTGCATCACTGCACTCTAGCCTGGATGACAGAGCAAGACCCTGTCTCCAAAAAAAAAAAAAAATTGTCAGTATTTGTGTTAATTGCTTCCTTAACCTGGACAACCTCACCTACATTCCCTTCCACAGTCACCTCACTTGGTCCCATGGTTTGAAATAACACACACATGCTGAGCACTCCCACATGTACATCTCCAGCCCTGACCTCTTTCCTGTATTCCACATTCATACTTCTATCTAGATGAGTGACATCTCTATTTGATGGTCTAATAGTCATCTCAATTTAAGAGGTAAAACTAATTTTTATTTCCTCTCTAAAACTGTTCCTCTCCCAGTGGCCTTCATCTCAGTAAATGGCATCACCACTCACAGCTCAGGCCAAAAATGTGTGAATCATCCCGGTATCTTTCTTTCTCTTTCATCCTGCCTCCAATCCATCAGCAAGACTTAGTAGTTCGACATTCAAAATACATTCTCAATCTAATCACTTCTTCCTAACTTTACCGCTACCCACTCTAATCCATGATACATTATCTCTTGCTTGGACTAATTCCTTTAAGAGCTTCCCAACTGGTCTTGTTTCTACTCTTTCCCCATAAGAGTCTACTCTCCACACAGCAACCAGAACAATCTCTTAAAAATACAAATTTTTAAGAGATTTAAAATTTTAAATCTCTTAAAATTTTACAGGCACAGTGGCTCGCGCCTGTAATCCCAGCACTTTGGGAGGCCGAGGCGGGCAGATCATGAAGTCAGGAGATCTAGACCACGCTGGCTAACACGGTGAAACCCCGTCTCTACAAAAAATATAAAAAATTAGCTGGCCGTGGTGGTGGGCACCTGTAGTCCCAGCTACTCGGGAGGCTGTGACAGGAGAATGCCGTGAACCTGGCAGGTGGAGCTTGCAGTGAGCCAAGATCGCATCACTGCACTCCAGCCTGGGAGACAGCAAGACTCCATCTCAAAAAAAAAAAAAAAAAAAAAAAAACCAAATCTGGAGGACAGGCATGGTGGCTCACGCCTGTAATCCCAGCACTTTTGGAGGCCAAAACAGGTGGATTACCGGAGGTCAGGAATTCAGGACGAGCCTGGCCAACATGGTGAAACCCCATCTCTACTAAAAATACAAAAAACCTAGCCAGGCATGGTGGTATTTGCCTGTAATTCCAGCTAGTCAGGAGGCTGAGACAGGAGAATCACTTGAACTTGGGAGGTGGAGGTTGCAGTGAGCCAAGATCACGCCACTGCACTCCAGCCTGGGCAACAGAGTGAGACTCCGTCTCTAAATAAATAAATAAATAAATAAGAATTCACTGAATACACAAGGTCTCATCTCATCATAATCCCATTTTTTTTTTTTTTGAGACGGACTCTCGCTCTGTCACCCAGGCTGGAGCGCAATGGTGTGATCTCCACTCACTGCCACCTCCACCTGCCGGGTTCAAGCGATTCTCCCACCTCAGCCTCCTGAGTAGCTGGGATTACAGGCACCCGCCATCATGCCTCGCGGATTTTTGTATTTTTGTAGAGACAGGGTTTCACCATGCTGGCCAGGCTGGTCTTGACTTCCTGATCTCAGGTGATCCACCTGCCTTAGCCTCCCAAAGTGCTGGGATTACAGGCGTGAGCCACAACGCCTGGCCCATAACCCCATTTCTATTAGATTAGAACGTCATTTTACATTCTGCACAGCAGCACCCTGAAAGTATTCAGAAACAGCTATAAGTGAACACAACAAGTTCAGAAAGCCTTAAATTAATAGGATATGAGAATAATCTTTATTTATTTATTTATTTATTTATTTATTTTTGAGATGGAGTCTCTCGCTCTTCCGCTTGGGCCAGACTGCAGTGGCGCTATCTCGGCTCACTGCATGTTCTGCCTCCCGGGTTCATGCCATTCTCCTGCCTCAGCCTCTCAAGTAGCTGAGACTACAGGCGTCCGCCACCGCGCCCGGCTAATTTTCTGTATTTTTAGTAGAGACGGGGTTTCACCGTGTTAACCAGGATGGTCTCGATCTCCTGACCTCGTGATCCGCCTGCCTTGGCCTCCCAAAGTGCTGGGATTACAGGCGTGAGCCACCGCGCCCGGCCGAATATGAGAATAATCTAAAAACAAGTGGATTTCTCCAATTTTCAGACTCTTTCTCTATACATACACATAGTGGACATACCACATAATGAATGTATACAGAGAGTCTGAAAATAGATGTATCGGCTGGGCGCGGTGGCTCATGCCTATAATCCCAGCACTTTGGGAGGCCGAGGCGGGCGGATCACCCAAGGTCAGGAGTTTGAGACCAGCCTGGCCAACATGGTGAAACCTCATCTCTACTAAAAATACAAAAAATTAGCTGGGTGTGGTGGCATGCGCCTGTAATCCCAGCTACTCAGGAGTCTAAGGCAGGAGAATCGCTTGAACTCAGGAGGTGGAGGTTGCAGTTAGCTGAGATCACGCCACTGCACTCCAGCCTGGGTGACTGAGTGAAACTCCGTCTCAGGAAAAAAAAAAAAAAAAAAAGAAAATACATATATCGCGCGAGAGAGGATGCTTTCTGTCAGTTTTTTTTTTAGATGGAGTCTTGTTCTCTATCACCCAGACTGGTGGGCAGTGGCATAACCTTGGCTCACTGCAAACCTCCACCTCTTGGGTTCAGCAATTCTCGTGCCACAACCTCTCAAGTAGCTGGGATTACAGATGTGCACCATACCCAGCTAATTTTTTTTTTTTCATATTTTTAGTGGAGACAGGTTTTCACCATGTTGGCCAGGCTGGTCTCGAACTCCTGACCTCAAGTAATCCGCCGGTCTCGGCCTCCTAATGTACTGGGATTACAGGCGTGAGCTACCGCACCTGGCCTGTGTTTTTTTTTTTTTTTTTTTTGAGACAAGGTCTTGCTCTGTCACCCAGGCTGGAGTAGAGTCCTATGATCATAGCTCACTGCAGCATCAAACTGCTGGGCTCAAGTGATTCTCCTATGCCTCAGCTTCCCAAGTAGCTGGGACTACAGGCACCCACTACCAACCATACCTGACTAATGTTTAGAAAGTTTTTTGTAGGCTGGGAGCGGTGGCTCATGCCTGTAATCCCAGCACTTTGGGAGGCCGAGGCGGGGGGATCACCTGAGGTCAGGAGTTCATGACCAGCCTGGCCAACATGGCAAAACCCTGTCTCTACTAAAAATACAAAAATTAGCCGGATGTGGTGGTGGGCGCCTGTAATCCCAGCTACTCAGGAGGCTGAGGCAGAGAGAATTGCTTAAAACCCAGGAGGCGGAGGTTGCAGTGAGCTGAGATTGCGCTACTACACTCCAGTCTAGGCGATAGAGCGAGACTCCGTCTCAAAAAAAAAAAAAAATTTTTTTTGTGGAGACAAAGCATCTCACTATGTTGCCCAGACTACTGGCACCATTTATAAAGACAAAAATTACCTGTGGAAAAGCATGGCCAGATCTGAGTTCAAAACCTAGTTATGAACCTTAGACAAGTGACTTAACTTATATGAGCCTTAGTTTCCTTATCTGTAAAATTAAGATAATAATACCTATACATCAGGGTTTTTGCAAGGCTTACAGGACCTGCCTACGGAGGTGAGTATTCAATAAATCACTGCTACTGTTAGGATTAGTGCACTTACCTGTGACTTGGAAGGGAGCCTGGATGAGCCGCTGCTGAACTCCCCTGAGTAGCTCCTCTATTTCCTTCTGTATATTGCAGACAACCTCTTCCATCAGCCCTACATCAGCTATTCCTTTCCAGAACATCAAAGTGTCCTCTGGCACAAGAAGGATAAGACAGAGGGTAAAAAAGAGACACTACCTAGATACTTAGGCAAATCTCTACAACGTTAAATTCAAAATTATTTTAACTCAAAATGATTTCTTATTGGGCCATTCCTGAAAAAAGGGAATAAGCTTTGGAATACTAGATGCTTCCCTGAGTGGGCACCCAATTATGTCGCCCCTTCAGCAGCATAGGTGCTTGGGATGATTGCCTCAATTTGTCATTCTCTCAATTTGTCATAGTTCTCACTACAAAGAATAGTCATTTTCCTCCAATAAAAATATTAAACATTAAACATATTTAACATTACATATTATTTAATTTTAATTTAATTTAAAAACGAGATATTTAATATCATAAAAGTTAAATAGTAAAGAAATGAAATATTAATTAAGATATACTCTCTCTAGTCCTATACTTAAGAAAACAAAACAAAACAGTTGGATAGATGGGGCTATAAGCTCTCTGAGGGTGGTGGCTATGTCTTTTCTTTTTTTATTTTTTTATTTTTATTTTTTTTCTGAGAACAGAGTTTCGTTCTTGTTGCCCAGGCTGGAGTGCAATGGCGTGATATCAGCTCACTGCAACCTCCACCTCCCAGGTTCAAGTGCTTCTCCTGTCTCAGCCTCCGAGTAGCTGGGATTACAGGCATGCACTAGCACACCAGGCTAATTTTGTATTTTTAGTAGAGACGGGGTTTCTCCATGTTGGTCAGGCTGGCCTCGAACTCCCGACCTCAGGTGATCCATCCACCTTGGCCTCCCAAAGTGCTAGGATTACAGGCATGAGCCACCGCACCTGGTCTGTCTTTTCATCTACGCACCCAGCATCTAACAACAGTGCCAACTAAAAATAGGCAATAATAAATACCTATTAAATGAATAAATAATTGGAGGGTGATGTGAAGCCTCTCCTGGTCCCCTCTAAGTGAATCATCATTAATCACCATGCTCTACAACACTTGCCACCTATTTTTTCCTTCTAATATCTCAAAACTTAGTCTATCTAAGAAATGTGCCAAAGTTGGAGGCAGTCTGATCAGAAGAAAAGCATAGACTACATAGTCAAACAGCTAAATTCAGCTCTGACACTTGTTTGTGACTGGTCTTAGGCAAGTTGCTGAACCTTTCTAAATTCTGATTTCTTGTTTTTTGTTTTTTGTTTTTTGAGATGGAGTCTTGCTTAGTCGCCCAGGCTGGAGTGCAGTGGCGCGATCTCGGCTCACTGCAAGCTCCCGAGTAGCTGGGACTACAGGCGCCTGCTACCACGCCCGGCTAATTTTTTTTTTGTATTTTTAGTAGAGACGGGGTTTCACTGTGTTAGCCAGGATGGTCTCGATCTCCTGACCTTGTGATCCACCTGCCTTGGCCTCCCAAAGTGCTGGAATTACAGACGTCAGCCACTGCGCCCGGCCAATTCTGATTTCTTTGTATGTAAAATGTGACTATGCAGGGCTATTGCATGGATTAAAGTAGGATGTTTGTAGCTATAGTTAGTATTTACGTGCATGAGAAAATCCAGCGAAAGTAATTAAGAGGTCTTCCGTGTCCATAATGATAATGGTGATAAGGCTCACAAGACCCTGCAAGACATCTGAGCCCTATAGAAGAATACCTGAAATTTCCTCTGAGTCTTTCTTTACACCCTCCTCCGTGGCCATGGTGACAGCAGCGGTGAGAGCTGAGTTCCATTCCAGCCCTGCCTCTTCCATGCTCTCTTCTGAGATGGCAATCTGCGTGATGCTACCTAAAAACAGTCCAGTAGAGGTGAGAACAGTGAATTTAACGAAAAAGTTATAGCTATCCTATATCTCATACTCAATAGCTACAAAGACCTTGTTATTTTAACATTCTAGCCTCTTGGCTGCAGGTCCCTATTTTAAAAACTAGACTCTTAGGTAAGCTAGGATGAATATTGGATTTTCTAAAGAAAACCTGCCTTGCAAAGGAAAATGCTTTCTTACTTTGAATAGAAAGTGAAAGATAACTTACAAAATCACAAAAGAGCAATGTGTTTCCTAGGTAGGTATGTTTTTGAAAGAGATTGAAGATAGACATTACTACTAGCCTGCCAGCCCCTACTAGCCTGCCAGCCCCAGACTTACTGAGGGTGAAGAAAGCTTGAAATAATTTAAGAGAAAGGTATAGTGCTTTCCCAAGAGCTCTACTACAAGCAAGTCTGATGCTAAGCATCTAACTTATTTATTAGCCTATAAAGAGAAAGTAAAAGAAATGGAGACCATAAAAATCAGATAAGAGATTCATGTATAGCAGATTCACAGAGGGGAAAAATACCCTTTGCTATTACTTGTATAGTAAGATTTTGACTGGGCGTGGTAGCTCATGCCTGTAATCCTAGCACTTTGGGAGGCTAAGGTGGGCAGATTGCTTGAGTCCAGGAGTCTGAGGCCAGCCTGGGCAACATAGCAAAACCCAGTTTCTATAAAAACTAGCTGGGTGTGGTGGTGCACATCTGTAGTTACAGCTACTCAGGAGGCTGAGGTGGGAGAATCACCTGAGCCCAGGGGCTTAAGACTGCAGTAAACCATGGTTGTGCCACTGTACTCCAGCCTGGGTGACAGACTAAGACCCTGTCTCAAAAAACAAGAAAGCTTTTGGCCAGGCGCAGTGGCTCACGCCTGTAATCCCAGCACTTTGGGAGGCCGAGGTGGGCGGATCACGAGATCAGGAGATCGAGACCATCCTGGTTAACACGGTGAAACCCCGTCTCTATAAAAATACAAAAAATTAGCCGGGTGTGCTGGCGGGTGCCTGTAGTCCCAGCTACTCAGGAGGCTGAGGCAGGAGAGTGGCGTGAACCCGGGAGGCGGAGCTTGCAGTGAGCCGAGATCGCGCCACTGGACTCCATCCAGCCTGGGAGACAGAGCGAAATCATCTCAAAAAAAAAAAAAAAAAGACAGCTTTTAAACAAAGAGAATCAAGAAAAACCAAACTGATCCAAACAGCAATATAGGAAAGTACGGACTCTACACACTGGAGGATATCAATCATCGGGCAAAAGATAATCAAGTAAAAGACTTTTAGCCAAATAAAAAGGAAGTACAGTTGTCCCTCAGTATACATGAGGGATTGATTCCTGGACCACCTGCATATATAACCAAATCTGTACATGCTCAAGTCCTAAAGTCAGCCCCGTGGAACCCATATATACAAAAAGTAAAACTCAACACTTCATAGACCCGGGTTTTGCATCCTGCAAATACCATATTTTCCATCCATGTTTGGTTGGGAAAAAAAAAGCTGCATAAAAGTGGACCCCCACCAATCAAACCCATATTGTTCAAGGGCCAACTGTAAATAGCATTTCACAGTATTTTTCACTTTTCAAGTGAAAGAGTCAAGTGTCCAAATATTCAAACCGCCAGATATTTTATACTTTCCTGAAAGGGATTTAGGTTTCAAGGATTCTGGCCTCTATTCACCCACTGGATACACACAGAATATTAGAACTGACCAAAAGATCTTTTTTTTTTTTTTTTGAGACAGAGTCTCACTTTGTTGCCCAGGCTGAAGTACAGTGGCATGATCTCGGCTCACGGCAGTCTCCGCGTCCCAGGTTCAAGCAATTCTCCTGCCTCATCCTTCTGAGTAGCTGGGATTACAGGCATGCACCACCATGCACAGCTAATTTTTTTTTTTTTTTTTTTTTTGAGATGGAGTCTTGCTCTGTCGCCCAGGCTGGAATGCAGTGGCGCGATCTCGGCTAACTGCAAGCTCCACCTCCCGAGTTCACGCCATTCTCCTGCCTCAGCCTCCGGAGTAGCTGGGACTACAGGCGCTCACCACCACGCCCAGCTAATTTTTTTTGTATTTTTAGTAGAGACAGGGTTTCACTATGCTAGCCAGGATGGTCTCCATCTCCTGACCTTGTGATCTGCCAGCCTCGGCCTCCCAAAGTGCTGGGATTACAGGTGTGAGCCACCGCGCCCAGCCATGCCCAGCTAATTTTTATATTTTTAGTAGAGATGGGGTTTCACCACGTTGGTCAGGCTGGTCTCAAACTCCTGACCTCATGATCCGCCTGCCTCAGCCTCCCAAAGTGCTGCGATTATAGGCGTGGGCCGCTGCACCCGGCCAAGATCTTTTTTTTTTTTTTTTTTTTTTTGAGACAGGGTCTCTCGCTCCTGTCACCTAGGTTGGAGTGCAGAGGCACAATCACAGCTCACTGATACGTGATCTTCCCACCTCAGTCTCCTTAGTAGCTGGGACCACAGGCCCACACCGCCATGCTCAGCTAATTTTTTTATTTTTTGTAGAGATGGGTTTTCGACAAGATGCCAAGGCTGGTCTCAAACTCCTGGGCTCAAGAAATCCTCCTGCCTCAGCTTCCCAGAGTGCTGGGATTAGAGGTGTGACCCACCATGCCCAGCCATTAAGAGGTCATTTTTTCAGCACCGTAAGACAAGGCAAAAAAGAAAAAAAAAAACAAAAAAGGGCCAGGCATGGTGGCTCACATTTGTAACTCTAGCACTTTGGGAGGCTGAGGTGGGTGGATCACCTCAAGTCAGGAGTTTGAGACCAGCCTAGCCAACATGGTGAAACTCCGTCTCTACTAAAAATACAAAAAATTAGCTAGGCTTGGTGGCGGGCACCTGTAATCTCACTACACGGGAGGCTGAGGCAGGAGAATTGCTTGAACCCGGGAGGGGGAGGTTGCAGTGAGCCAAGATTGCACCATTGCACTCCAGCCCGGGTGACAAAGCAAGATTCTGTCTTAAAAAAAAAAAGAGGTCAATTTACAAGCACAGTGTATGTCCCTAACCTTTTAGATCCTTTAGCATTCTTGTGACTTTTCTCAGGCATATTTGTAAGTCTTGTAACAGTAGTTGAGATACATTTTATCCAACTATATAGTAAGTCTCCAGCTGGACTAACTAAATCCTTAATAATAATCTTACAGTTACATCTTTCCTGGATGGTAAGGAGCCCTAGTACCAAACTCAACAATACTGAAGTTAAGTGTGCTCATCTGTTTCATCTGTGGGAAGCCTCAACTTGGTAATCAGGAGCCCCTCCAAGCAGACAACTCCAATCATTACAGTGGGGTATCCAGAGTCCTGTCCAGCCAATCACATTGTCTTTGATACACCTCAGTATAATGGGTGAAAACCACTCATCATTCTAATCTACCTCTTGTGTTGACCACTAGTAAAGCAAGCATTTTTCTTTTTTCCTTTTTTTTTGAGACAGAGTCTTGCTCTGTTACCCAGGCTGGAATATGGGACGATCTCGGCTCACTGCAAACTCCACCTCCTGGGTTCAAGCAATTCTCCTGCCTCAGCCTCCCAAGTAGATGGGATTACAGGCATGCGCCACCACACCCGGCTAATTTTTGTATTTTTAGTAGAGACAGGGTTTCACCATGTTGGCCAGCCTGGTCTTGAACTCCTGACCTCAGGTGATCCTCCCGCCTCAGCCTCCCAAAGTGCTAGGATTACAGGCGTGAGCCAAAGCACAGCTGCAAAGCATTTTTCTTTTTTTTTTTTTTTGAGATGGAGTCTCGCTTTGTCGCCCAGGCTGGAGTGCAGTGGCGCCATCTTGCCTCACTGCAAGCTCCGCCTCCTGGGTTCACACCATTCTCCTGCTTCAGCCTCCCGAGTAGCTGGGACTACAGGCACCCGCCACCATACCTGGCTAATTTTTTGTATTTTTAGTAGAGACAGGGTTCCACCGTGTTAACCAGGATAGTCTCGATCTCCTGACCTTGAGATCTGCCCGCTTTGGCCTCCCAAAGTGCTGGGATTACAGGCGTGAGCCACCATGCCCAGGCTTCTTTTTTTTTTTTTTAAGACGGAGTCTTGCTCTATTGCCAGGTTAGAGTGCAGTGGAATGATCTTGGCTCACTGCAGCCTCTGCCTCCCATGCCTCCCAGGTTCAAGCAATTCTCCCGCCTCAGCCTCCCAAGTAGCTGGGACTACAGGTGCACGCCACCATGTCTGGCTAATTTTTGTATTTTTAGTAGAGACAGGGTTTCACCATGTTGGCCAGGATGGTCTCGATCTCTTGACCTCATTTTTCTTTTTTGAGACGGAGTCTCACTCTGTTGCCCAGGATGGAGTGCAGTGGTGCCATCTCGGCTTACTGCAAGCTCCGCCTCCCGAGTTCACGCCATTCTCCTGTCTCAGCCTCCCCAGCAGCTGGGACTGCAGGTGCACGCCACCACACCTGGCTAATTTTTTTGTATTTTTAGTAGAGACGGGGTTTCACTGTGTTAGCCAGGATGGTCTCAATCTCCTGACCTCGTGATCCGCCTGCCTCAGCCTCCCAAAGTGCTGGGATTACAGGCGTGAGCCACCGCACCTGGCCGATCTCTTGACTTCATGATCTGCCTCCCTCAGCCTCCCAAAGTGCTGGGATTACAGGCGTCAGCCACCACGCCTAGCCTGCAGAGCATTTTTCAAAACAGCCTAATTCAACCTTAATATGCCAAGTGGCACCAAAGTGAAACTGTTATGTAAGTATTGTAACTACTGAACTACCTTTCTAATGCCTACAATGCATTGTAAGGAAAAAACAAAGGAGGAGGTCTGACCAATAGGAATCATTGGGAAGAAAACAAAGCATGTTTCCAAAGCATGGAATCCCATCCAAGATTACCATACTTTACAACAAGGCACATCAATGTTCATGAGAATTGAAATTAAGAATATGCAAGGGGACAGGCATGGTGGCTCATGCCTGTAATCCCAGCACTTCGGGAGGCCGAGGTGGGCGGATCACCTGAGGTTGGGAGTTCAAGACCAGCATGATCAACATGGAGAAACCCTGTTTGTACTAAAAATACAAAATTAGCCAGGTGTGGTGGCGCATGCCTGTAATCCCAGCTACTCAGGAGGCTGAGGCAGGAGAATCGCTTGAACCCAGGAGGCAGAGGTTGCAGTGAGCTGAGATCACGCTACTGCACTCCAACCTGGGCAACAAGAGCAAAACTCTGTCTCAAAAAAAATTAAAATAAAAAAATACATATATATATATATATATATATATATATATATATATATGTACACACAAGGGAGAAATAAGGGGGAAAGTTCTGCTGAAAAACACAATGGGTTTTCAGGTGGTTTCCTACCCCCTACCATCAGCCGAAGTGGGTGTCTGCACCACACTTGTCTGCTGTCCTGGCACTGGAGCTCTTGCACTGCTGATCAGAAGATCAAATTTGGTGCTTCTGCAGGTATTGGAGCAAACTTTGTCATGTTGGTAAAAATCAATCTGTCCGGAGTCCATCATTTTCCTGTGCAAAGGGAGACAAGAAGTACCAGTTCAGCCTATACTTCATCTAGTGGGAACTAGGCCTCAGGGAAAAATAGGGACAACACTGCTGAGCCTACTGTGTAGATTAGTGAAACCTAATAGTGTTAGAAGTCATTAGGTTGCAAAAATTCTAATTGGGGCTTTAAATTTTCACTGGTCCTGCCCACATTTACCAGTATTCCTCCTCCCTCTGTAGTTTATTCATTATGAGTATTGCAGCAAGATCTGGTGCCACTTTCACAGACATAAAGTTTCAGTCTTTTAAAAAACTCTCCTAGGAATACAGAAAAAAGTTCACTATACTAAACCCACTCTGGAAAATGTCCTTATAATTGGATCCACAAAACGTTATAGGACATGAGCAAAACCATGGGGTATTTTAATTATAGTAAATTCTATGTTATAATGTCATTTGGCTTTCACTAAAGATTTTTTAGTATCCTGACTCTTTTACATTTGGGGAAAATTGGCATATGCTTGTCCTTCTGGGTAAATAAAACCCGCCAAGAACAACAAAACTCAAAGTTAAAGGTATTCCTCAGCCAGGTGCAGTGATTCACGCCTGTAATCCCAGCACTTTGGCAGGCCAAGGCAGGAGGATCACTTGAACTCAGGAGTTTGAGACCAGCGTGTCCAACATGGTGAAACCACATTTCTATAAAAAATACAAAAATCAGCCAGGCATGGTAGCTGAGGCCTGTAGTCCCAGCTAATTGGGAGGATGAGGCTGAAGAATCACTTGAGCCAGGAAGCTGAGGTTGCAGTAAGCTGAGATCACGCCACTGCACTCCAGCCTGGGTGACAGAGTTAGACCCTGTCTCAAAAATAAATAAATAAATAAATAAATAAATAAATAAACAAACAATAAAAATAAAGATATTCCTTCCCAATTTCATTGGATTACTAATTTCTGCATACAAATCATCTGAAAATTTTTTTTTTTTTTTTTTTTTTTTTTTTTTTTTTTTGAGACGGAGTCTCGCTCTGTCGCCCAGGCTGGAGTGCAGTGGCGGGATCTCGGCTCACTGCAAGCTCCGCCTCCCGGGTTCACGCCATTCTCCTGCCTCAGCCTCCCAAGTAGCTGGGACTACAGGCGCCCGCCACTACGCCCGGCTAATTTTTTGTATTTTTTAGTAGAGACGGGGTTTCACCGTTTTAGCCGGGATGGTCTCGATCTCCTGACCTCGTGATCCGCCCGCCTCGGCCTCCCAAAGTGCTGGGATTACAGGCGTGAGCCACCGCGCCCGGCCGAAAAAATTTTTTTAAAATAATGTTTTGTTGGAAGTACAGGAGTAAAATAATTTAAAAATTTTTTAAATAAAAACAAAAAGAACACAAATAATGTTTCTGTGTCTCTGACTAAAAAAATGATGTGGGCCGGGAATGGTGGCTCACACTTGTAATCTCAGCACTTTGGGAGGCCAAGGCGGGTGGATCACCTAAGCTTGGGAGTTTGAGACCAGCCTGACCAACATGGAGAAACCCCATCTTTCCTAAAAATACAAAATAAGCCAGGCATGGTGACGCATGCCTATAATCCCAGCTATTTGGGAGGCTGAGGCAGGAGAATTGCTTGAATCTAGGAGGTACAGTTTGCAGTGAGCCGAGATCACGCCATTACACTCTAGCCTTGGCAACAAAAGTGGGGTGTGGTGGCTCACGCCTGTAATCCCAGCACTTTGGGAGGTGAGGTGGGCAGAGCATTTGAGGTCAGGAGTTCAATACCAGCCTGGCCAACATGGTGAAACCCTGTCTCTACTAAAAATACAAGAAAATTAAGTGGGTGTGGTGGCGCGCACCTGTAATCTCAGCTAATCAGGAGGCTGAGGCATGAGAATCACTTGAACCCAGGAGGTGGAGATTGCAGTGAGCCAAGATCATGCCACTGCACTTCAGCCTGGGCAACAGAGCAAAACTCTGTCTCAAAAAAAAAAAAAAAAAAAAAGGCTGGCCACGGTGGCTCACGCCTGTAATCCCCACACTTTGGGAGGCTGAGGTGGGCAGATCAAGAGGTCAGGAGTTCGAGACCAGCCTGACCAATATGGTGAAACCCTGTCTCTACTAAAAATACAAAAATTAGCCAGTCGAGGTGGCGTGCTCCTGTAATCCCAGCTACACAGGAAGCTGAGGCAGGAGAATCACTTGAACCTGGGAGGCGGAAGTTGCAGTGAGCTGAGATCGTGCCACTGCAGCCTGGGCGACACAGCAAGATCCCAACTCAAAAAAAAAAAACCTATGTTAAGAAAATATTTAGCATTTTCAGCTGGCCACACTGGCTCACACCTGTAGTCCAACCTACTTTGGAGGGCTGCTTGAGCTGAGGAGATTGAGGCTGATCATGCCAATGCACTCCAGCCTTAGTGACAGAACATGGGCTTTTTTTTTTTTCAATTGCTCTTTTTAAAAAATCTTAGGCCAGGCATGGTGGCTCATGCCTATAATCTCAGCACTTTGGGAGGCCAAGGCGGGTGGATCAGGAGGTCAGAAGATCGAGACCAGCCTGGCTAACATGATGAAACCCCGTCTCTATTAAAAAAAAAATACAAAAATTAGCTGGGTATGGTGGCACGCGCCTGTAGTCCCAGCTACTGGGGAGGCTGAGACAGGAGAATCACTTGAACCCGGGAGGCAGAGGTTGCAGTGAGCCGAGACTGCGCCACTGCACTCCAGCCTGGCAACAGAGCAAGACTCCGTCTCAAAAAAAAAAAAAAAAAAATCCTACAACACACAGACCATGTCAACATTTTAGCATATTTTCTTCTACTAAATTTTACTTACATATGTATGTCTTAACACAGCCAAAATCAGTTTAATGAATTTTATATTTTTCTTCCTTCAAATTGTCATAAGCATTTTTCCATGTAAAATCTCTTCAGAAATATTTTAATGACTGCAAAATATTCCATAGTATATACTCATATAAATTTACACAAGCCATAATTGACTTTAGAAGTCTTTTGACTATATATTAAAGCAGACTATAATTTTTACATTAATAAATAATGTAATAAACATCTTTATGCTTGAATCTCTACAAGCATTATGGATTTTTCTTGAAAGAGATTCCTTAAAAATAATTATTTTTATTTTTTAATTTTTTATTTCTTTTTAAAAATGTTATCCTTTTTTTGTTTTCCCTGTTAAAAAGAATTAAATGGCCGGGCACAGTGGCTCACGCCTGTAATCCTAGCACTTTGGGAAGCGGAGGTGGGTGGATCACGAGGTCAGGAGTTCAAGACCAGCCTGGCCGAGATGGTGAAACCCCGTCTCTACTAAAAACTACAATTGCTTGAACCCGGGAGGCCGAGGTTGCAGTGAGCCGAGGTCGCGCCACTGCACTCCAGCCTGGGTGACAGGGCAAGACTCTGTCTCAAAAACAAACAAACAAGAGGCTGGGCGTGGTGGTTCATGCCTGTAAACCCAGCATTTTGAGAGGCCGAGATGGGTGGATCATGAGGTCACGAGTTTAAGATCAGCCTGACCAACATGGTGAAACCCCGTCTCTACTGAAAATACAAAAAATTAGCTGGGCGTGGTGGTGGGCACCTGTAATCCCAGCTACTCGGGAGGCTGAGGCAGAGAACTGCTTGAACCCGGGAGGCGGAGGTTGCAGTGAGCCAAGATCATGCCACTGCACTCCAGCCTGAGCGACAGAGTGAGACTCCATCTCAGAAAAAAAAAAAAAAATCAATCTCGTCTCCCAGGATTTTTAAGTTGATTAAAGTCAAATAATGCACGGATTGCTCAAGCCAATTCTTCAGAAAGAATAAAAATGTCAACCTAAAGAGAAAAGCCCAGATTCTAGCATGATTATGTGCCCCAAAGTTTGTTGAAAGGTATGTGCTTGACATTAGAGCTTACCTGAGCATGATCCCACCCAGACGAATAGCTCTCTTCCAGTCCTTCAGAGTGGACTTGCCAGCCAGATGAACAAAGTGCTTGGGGCTGATCAACTGATCATTGAACTAAAAGTAAAAAGAAAAGTCCAAAGAGTCTAATGTCAACTTAGGCAGGCCAAGAGGGGAAATAATGAAATGATAACTCTACATCATTTGTATAAAAAATACCCAGATGACATCCTAAGCCTTGTATTATCCAACCTCCTGTACTATTGTGTTAGAGAAGACGATCCTTCTCTGAGCATAGTCTCAATTCCTGGTACAAAGCCACAGAATACATGCAGAGATCAGAGATAAATATATTAATAAATATCTAAAATCCATTTATGCCTGGAATCAGGTCTAGTGTGGCAAACAAAGGCTGTTCAAATAAACTGAAATAATCTATCCAGCCCTAATGAAGACAGAATAAGCAATTCTATTTTTATCAATCATGTATTTTTTTGGCTAGTCAATCTAATAATTTTTTTTTTTTTTGAGACAGAGTCTCACTCTGTCACCTAGACTGGAGTGCAACAGCGCAATCTCAACTCACTGCAACCTCTGCCCCCGGGTTCAAGTGATTCTCCTGCCTTAGCCTCCGGAGTAGCTGGAATTATAGGCGCCCAATACCACGTCCAGCTAATTTTTGTATTTTTAGTAGAGATGGGGTTTCACTATGTTGTCCAGGCTGGTCTCTACCTCCTGACCTCAGGTGATCCACTCACCTCAGCCTCCCAAAGTGCTGGGATTACAGGCATGAGCCACCTCACCCAGCCAATAGTTTTTTTTGAAGATGCAAGGTTTTCCAGCCTAGGCAACATAGCAAAACCCCCCATCTCTACAAAAAATTAGCCAGGCACAGTGGTGCACACCTGTGGTCCCAGCTACAGAGGAGGCTGAGGTAGGAGAATCACCTGAACCCAGGAAGTGGAGGCTACAGTGAGCCAAGATCATGTCACTGCACTCTAGCCTGGGCAACAGAAAGTCACTGTCTGAAAAAAAAAAAAAAGAAAGCCAAGGTCTCACCATTTTGCCCAGGCTGGTCTTGAACTCCTGGGCTCAAGTGATCTTCCCACCTCAGTCTCCCAAAGTGCTAGGATTACAGGCATGAGCCACCACACCCAACCCAAAGTTCTTATTTTTTCTATTGTGACACATTAGGACAATAGCCACAAAATAAATAAATAAATAAATAAATAAATAAATAAATAAATAAATAAAACTGATATAGTGGAAGATAAAAAGGATGCATGGAACTCACACCCTTTGAGAACAAGGAGTCCCAAATTTGGCTTCAGCATGGAAAAGACAATTACCTTGACACACTTCACGTTTATTCCTGGACATACAAACTTCTTCCAGAGGAGGATGGCTTTGCTCTCCCCACAAGTTATGGGGTAAGCAATTTCCATATCCTCATTTGCTTCTATAGTGCCTGTATCTGAAAACAGAAAAAATATCAGTTATTTATCAAACAACTCTTCCCCAAAGCTGAAATTCAAAATCTCTAGTCTCCTGGTTCCTCTAAGGGACTAATACTTCACTCTTGCTGGTATCATTTAGGAATCCTCTGGAAGAAGTTTGGCCTAAGAGCTATCTCTTCCCAAGCTCTCACAGTGTGCCAGACACCATACTATGTATTTTACACACATAATCTTGTTTAGTTCTTACAACAAACCTGTGAGGCAATGATTGTTTCCTAGGTGTTTTTTTCTTTTTTTCTTTTTTGAGATGGAGTCTCACTCTGTCACCCAGGCTGGAGTGCAGTGGCGTGATCTCAGCTCATTGC
This sequence comes from Homo sapiens, assembly GCF_000001405.40. Classification (NCBI taxonomy): domain Eukaryota; kingdom Metazoa; phylum Chordata; class Mammalia; order Primates; family Hominidae; genus Homo; species Homo sapiens. The sequence continues at coordinate 28,691,236 of NC_000001.11, read as the reverse complement.
AACCTCTGCCTCCTGGGTTCAAGCAATTCTCCTGCCTCAGCCTTCCAAGTAGCTGGGATTATAACCATATACCACACACCACCACGCCCGGCTAATTTTTGTATTTTTAGTAGAGATAGGGTTTCACCATCTTGGCCAGGCTGGTCTTGAACCCCTGACCTCAACTGATCCACCTGTCTTGGCCTCCCAAAGTGCTGGGATTACAGGCATGAGTCACCTCGCCTGGTGTAGGTGGTTTTATTTATTTATTTTTTTTAGGATGATGTCTCGCTCTTGTTGCCCAGGCTGGAATGCAGTGGTGTGACCTCGGCTCACTGCAACCTCCACCTCCCGGGTTCAAGGGATCTCCTGCCTCAGTCTCCTGAGTAACTGGGATTACAGGCGCGCACCACTACACCCAGCTAATTTTTATACTTTTAGTAGAGGCGGGGTTTCGCCATGTTGGCCAGGCTGGTCTCAAACTCCTGACCTCAGGTGATCCGCCTGCCTCAGCCTCCCAAAGTGTTGGGATTACAGGCGTGAGCCACTGCGCTCGACCAGATGTTTTTTAAATTAATTAATTAATTGTTTCCTAGGTGTTAAATGTAAGTATATGGGCTTCAGAAAGGCTAACTGACTTTCCCAAGGACACATTTAGAGATGAGAAATTGGGATTTAAACTAAGGTTTGTTAAATTTCGGTTTCTTTCCAGTTTCTTTCCACTGACTGCCTTCTAGACAATACCTCATCAGTCATCATCAACAACTTATTTAATGACAGGGATCAACTTTGAGGCTCCAATTTCTATATGGGATTTTTATCGACAAAAAGTCTTTTCAGTTACCCTTCCAAATTGACATTAACCAACCAACTGACGACCCTAGCATCTTAGTCAGTGGTGTCTCAAGATGTACCACCATCAAAATCGAGGGCTGTAGTACTGGTAGGGCACACAGGGATGGGAGAAAAACATAAGGCACAGATGGCAAGAAAACTCAACCAAGGAAGCTAAAGTCAAAGGTATTAGAATGACAAAAAAAAAAAAAAAAAAAAACACAAAAAAACCCTTACCAATCCCTTCTTCAATTTTGTGTATCGTGTGAGTTTCTACTGCTACAACTGCCGTGTTGTTCTCCGACCCAGCTTCATAAATCCTGTTGTAAAAGTGTCCATCGATAAACAAACTACATAAATCATGAAAAAATTAATATTCACAGCATGGGGTTAAGAAATTTGTTTCAAACTATCTCAAAAGAAATAAAATAAATATACTTTATAACTCTGACTAGTTTCCCATTGTATTTAAACTCCAAACCTCCCAGGATTGCTTAGCAGCTTCTACCATGAAAATGAATCCACAACTCTCCTCACCTCAAAGGAAAGTAATTTTTGCTACTTATTTATTTATACCACCACTTGCTACTGTATTACACCAGACTTTTCCCTTCATAACTTTATTTTTTAAATCTCAGTAGTGGAACAGTCCATGCTTTTTAGTTGCAAAGGGTGAACAGAAAGCTACAATATTTCTCTAGGACATCTACAAACAGTTACCTTCACCTTGAGAAAAAACTGAATAAAAATAAATGTCCACTCCTTTCATAACTTTTTATTTATTTATTTTTTTGAGACATAGAGTCTCGCTCTGTCACCCAGGCTGAAGTGCAGTGGTGCGATCTCGGCTCACTGCAAGCTCCGCCTCCCAGGCTCACGCCATTCTCCTGCCTCAGCCTCCCGAGTAGCTGGGACTACAGGAGCCCGCCACCACGCCCCACTAAATTTTTTTTGTATTTTCAGTAGAGATGGGGTTTCACTGTGTTAGCTAGGATGGTCTCAATCTCCTGACCTCGTGATCCGCCTGCCTCGGCCTCCCAAAGTGCTGGTATTACAGGCATGAGCCACCGCACCCAGCTCCTTTCATAACTTTAAATGGGCCGGGCATGGTGGCTCACACCTGTAATTCCAGTACTTTGGGAGGTTGAGGTGGACAGATCACCTGAGGTCAGGAGTTCGAGACCAGCCTGGCCAACGTGGTGAAACCCCACCTCTACTAAAAATACAAAAAAATTAGGCTGTGTGCGGTGGCTCACGCCTGTAATCCCAGCACTTTGGAAGGACAAAGCGGGCGGATCACGAGGTGTGGAGTTCGACACCAGCCTAACCAACATGGTGAAACCCCGTCTCTACTAAAAATACAAAAATTAGTCAGGCATGGTGGCGCGCCTGTAATCCCAGCTACTCAGGAGGCTGAGGCAGGAGAATCACTTGAACCCGGGAGGCGGAGGTTGCAGTGAGCTGAAATCGCACCACTGTACTCCAGCCTGGGCGATGGAGCAAGACTCTGTCTCAAAAAAGAAAAAAAAAACTTTAAATGCCCATGGCATAGTATTGCTACAAGTACACAACTAATTCATATTATGGAATTACCCTGAAAAGACTAAAAAGTAGTACCAGCAGATAGTTTGAGATAGGAAGAACCACGCTGACTAAAAAGCTGATGTCCCTTGCTGGAAACGGTGTATTTTGCTGGGGGTGGTGGGTGGTGGGGGGGTGTTTGTTTGTTTTTAGCATTTTAGCATCTTTTAAGGTACCATAACCAAACTATTGACACGAGCAAAGCCTAGTGGAAGAAAAGTAAGAGAGAAACTACATCCAAAGTAACTAGGAGTGACTAGAGGCACCACTTAGAGAAGGTTATATAATGCAGATCTCTCCAAGATATCTCTACATTTATGGGCTCAGATAATGTAACTTGATATATCAACAATCAACATCCTTTATTTAATTTCTGTAATAAAGCTGATGTGCTAATTATTGCATCTTGTTACTTGAAAGCACTGCCTGAATATTCTCCTTTGTATCAATGACTACCTCCACAGTGATACCTCTAGCACAGACCTCCCTTCTGAATTTCACATTCAAACACAGCCAACTGCTAAATGAATAAATACATTTGTATGTGTGTTTGTTTCTTGAGACGGAGTTTCGCTCTTATTGCCCAGGCTGGAGTGCAATGGCGCGATCTTGGCTCACTGCAACCTCTGCCTCCCGGGTTCAAGCGATTCTCCTGCCTCAGCCTCCCGAGTAGCTGGGATTACAGGCATGCGCCACCACGCTGGCTAATTTTGTATTTTTAGTAGAGATGGGGTTTCTCCATGTTGGTCAGGCTGGTCTCAAACTCCCGACCTCAGGTGATCTGCCCACCTCCGCCTCCCAAAGTGCTGGGATTACAGGCGTGAGCCACCGTGCCCAGCCAAATAAATACATTTGGAAGTCCCACAGGACTTTGTCGAATTCGTTATGTCTAAAATAACCATCAAGTTCCCTTTTCCCACCCACCCTCAAACTATTCTTCTTCCTATACTCTCCATCCTTGTTAATAGCACCACTCAGCACACTGTAGACAGAAATCTAGGAATCATACTAGATTTGTTTCATTTCCTCCTTCACAACTCCACATAGTCAGTCACCAAATCCTGCTAGATGCATCACTTTAACACTATCCATCCTCCCTCCCTGTCTCTATCTCCACTGCTACTGCCTTAATTCAGGCCTCATCATCTCTAGACTAGTATCCTTGCATCTAACTAATCTTCTACATTCCCACCAGATTAATCATGTGATTTCCTCCTTAAAATCCCTCAAACACCCTCTCTCCTCATTGTTAAAATAAAGCTCCAAATCCTTTGTATGATATTTAAGCTTCTTTAAGATCTGGCCCCTGGTTTCAATTCTTCCCAAACCTCACCTTAAAATCCAGGCCCCGGCACTGCCAAACTATTTGTGGTTCCCAAAAGTGCCATCTTTCTTATACCTTCTTTCTCTTATTTCTGCCACTTCCCAGAACATTATTCTCCACTGTCTTTTTTTGTGTGTGTGTGTGTGTGTGTGTGTGTGTGTGTGTGTGTGTGTGTGTGTGTGTGAGATAGGGTCTCATTCTGTTGCCCAGGCTAGAATGCAGTGGTGAGATCATAGTTCACTACAGCCTTAACCTCCCTGACTCAAGCAATCCTTCACCTCAGCCTCTTGAGTAGCTGGGACTACAGGCATATGCCACCACATCTGGCTAATTTTTCTATTTTTTTATAGAGACAGGGTCTTCCTATGTGGCTCAGGCTGGCCTTGAACTCCTGGACTCAAGTGATCCTCCTGCCTCTGCCTCCCAAAATGCTGGGATTACAAGCATGATCCACTGCACCAATCTCCTATCTGTCTTTTAATAAGTAGCCTCTAGGATGCTTTTCTTTCCTTCCTAATCCCTTCAATATAATCACTTACTTCCTCCTTTGTGACCCAGCTGTACGTTGGGTTTTGTCATAACACCTATCACAATGTATGCTTGTTTATCTGTCTGTCTCCCCTTGAGCACAGGCTAAGAGGTCCCCAAGTGCACAGATTATGGCTTATTCATTTATTCAATTTTGTATGCCCAGCATGTAGTTGACTGACTGGAACATGGCAAAGCACCCAATAAATGGTTATTCAGGGAATGAGGATTGTGATAAACATGAGAAACCACTGCTTCAAATAAGACTGGTAAACTCATCCTAAGTTGACCACTATGTGAAAAATCTCTTAAAAGAATACATTCTCATGTATGAATAATGTCCTTTTTTTTTTTTTTTTTTTGAGACAGAATCTCACTCTGTCACCCAGGCTGAAGTGCAGTAGTGCAATCTCGGCTCACTGCAACCTCCATCTCCCAGACTCAAGCAATTCTCCTCCCTTAGCCTCCCAAGCAGCTGGGATTACAGGCGCGTGCCACCACACCCGGCTAATTTTTGTACTTTTAGTAGAGACGGGGTTTCACCATGTTGGCCAGGCTGGTCTCGAACTCCTGATCTGCCCACCTTAGCCTCCCAAAGTGTAGGGATTACAGGTGTGAGCTACCATACCCGGCCTTTTTTTTGTTTTTTTGACACACGGTCTTACTCTGTTGCTCAGGTTACAGTGCAGTGGCATGATCACAGCTCACTGCAGCCTCAATCTCCTAGGCTCAGGTGATCATCCCAGCTCAGCCTCCTGAGTAGCTGGAACTACAGGTGTGAGCCACCAAGCCTAGCTAATTTTTAAATTTTTTGTAGAGACAGGGTCTCGCCATGTTGCCCTGGCTGGTTTTGAACTCCTGGGCTCATGTGATCCTCCCATCTTGGCCTCCTAAAGTGCTAGGATTACAGGCATGAGCCACTGCACCCAGCCAAGTAATTTCAACAACCAGTAAATTGCACTTAACGGTGGCAAGTAGGAGGTAGTCTATATTTTTACAAGTAAACAAGATTTCTTTTTGTTTGTTTGTTTTGAGACGGAGTCTCTCTCTGTCGCCTAAGCTGGAGTGCAATGGCACAATCTCGGCTCACTGCAACTTCCGCCTCCCGGGTTCAAGTGATTATCCTGCCTCAGCCTCCTGAGTAGCTGGGATTACAGACATGCGCCACCATGCCCAGCTAATTTTTGTATTTTTAGTAGAGACAGGGTTTCACCATGTTGGTCATGCTGGTCTCGAACTCCTGACCTCGTGATCCGCCCACCTCGGCCTCCCAAAGTACTGAGATTACAGGTGTGAGCCACTATGACTGGCCGTAAACAAGATTTTTTATCAGGGAAAAATTATCTAAAGTAACTCAGGATAGTGATGGATTGAGCTTAATTCTCTATATCTACTATGGCCATAGTCAAAAGTCACGAAATATGTTCAAAACGTTAAGGCATCATAAGATATTGACATTCCCTACGAATCATCATTATGTTTACTAGAGCTTAAAAGGTAAGTCTACATTATTGTATTCTTTCTTTTTTGAGACAGAGTCTTGCTCTGTCACCTACTGCTGCAGTGCAGTGGCATGATCTCAGCTAAACCCCATCTCTTCTAAAAATACAAAAATTGGCCAGGCACGGTGGCAAGAGCCTGTAGTGCCAGCTGCTTGGGAGTCTGAGGCAGGAGAATCACTTAAACCTGGGAGGCGGAGGTTGCAGTGAGCTGAGATCCCACCACTACACTCTAGTCTGGGCGATACAGTGAGACTCCATCTCAACGAAAAAAAAAAAAAGAACCCCTTTTTAAATCTTATCTTTTTCCAACACCTTCATAATACATTGTATTGTAGTAGGTGCTAGACTCAGCTTGATAATTTCCCCTCCATGGGGGTTCAGAGAATTTATGGTCGTTGCCTTGCCTGATATCCTCTGACTCTAGCTACACAGTCTTTTGGTAAACACATAAGGAGCCTCTGTAAATAGTGCAGATAAACTGAGCAACAAAGCAAGACCCCTATCTCTACAAAAACTAAAAAAGTCAACATTTGAACTCTGAAGTAAATCATGCCTTCATGGTTATGCTGAAGATTCATAACTGTGTAAGAGTGGGATTAGAACTGGAATTTTTATTTATTTATTTATTTAAAGTTCTAGGATACATGTGCAGAACGTGCAGATTTGTTACATGGGTATATGTGTGCCATGGTGGTTTGCTGCACCTATTGACTCGTCCTCTAGGTTCCCTCTCATCACCCCCTCACCCCCCAACAGGCCCCAGTGTGTGTTGTTCCCCTCCCTGTGTCCATGTGTTCTCATTGTTTAACTCCCATTTATGAGTGAGAACATTCAGTGTTTGGTTTTCTGTTCCTGTGTTGGTTTGGTGAGGATGATGGCTTCCAGCTCCATCCATGTAGGCCTGGAATTTTTTTTTTTTTTTTTTTGAGATGGAGTCTCGCTCTGTCGCCCAGACTGGAGTGCAGTGGCGCGATCTCGGCTCACTACAAGCTCCGCCTCCCGGGTTCACGCCGTTCTCCTGCCTCACCCTCCCAAGTAGCTGGGACTACAGGCGCCTGCTACCACGCCCAGCTAATTTTTTGTATTTTTAGTAGAGACAGGGTTTCACCATGTTAGCCAGGATGGTCTTGATCTCCTGACCTCATGATCCACGCGCCTCGGCCTCCCAAAGTGCTGGGATTACAGGCGTGAGCCACTGCACCCGGCCAGGCCTGGAATTTTTAAATTGAGTATATGATGAAATGATAATGTGCTGGGTATATTGGGTTAAATAAAATATGTTATGAAAATAAAAAAAGAAAAAAGAACAAAAGAAAAATCAGCCAGGTGCAGTGGTATGTGCCTATATTCCCAGCTATTCAGGAGGCTAAAGTGGGAGGATCTTTTGAGCCCAGGAATTCGAGGTTGCAGTGAGCTATGATCGCACCACTGCATTCCAGCCTAGGTGACAGAGTAAGACTCTGTCTCAAGAAAAATAATAATAAAATAAGATGAGGGAGCCATGCAACTTACCCTCAAGGAGCTCAAGGTGGAGAAGAGAAGCAGATACAAGGAAACAAGTAACTGTTGGTAATAAGTATTAAAATGACAAATACAGCACGCAATACAGTATATTATACAGATGAAAACTGAGCCAGCTCTGATTGATGTTAAATGTTCCATTGTGCTAAGCAACCATAAAGTTATAATTTCCCCACCCTTGAAGCTTCCCAAAATACTTCAGAATACCCAAATCTCTAGCCACTTACCCTTGTTGCACAGGCTGTAACTGCAAAATCACTTGGGTTTTAGTGTCTTCAGGATTCTCCCCTTCATTTCCTTCAGTAGGTACCACAACCACATCCCCCACTGGGACACTCACTTCTGCATTAGCCATCTTTCACATGAAGTCAGATAGCTGGGACTGCTGTCGGGAACAAGAAGCACCAATAACTTAATCTGGTTTAAAAAGATGTCAACAGGCCGGGCATGGTGGCTCACGCCTGGAATCCCAGCACTTTGGGAGGCCTAGCTAGGCAGGCGGATCGCCTGAGGTTGGGAGTTCAAGACCAGCCTGACCAACATGGAGAAATCTGTCTCTACTAAAATACAAAATTAACCGGGTACGTGGTGGAGCGTATCTGTAATCCCCTCTACTCAGGAGGCTGAGGAAGGAGAATCGCTTGAAGCCAGGAGGTGGAGGTTGCGGTGAGCCGAGATCATGCCATTGCACCCCAGCCTGGGCAACAAGAGTGAAATTCCGTCTCAAAAAAAAAAAGAAAAGAAGAAAAGAAAAGAAGTCAACCATATGAAAGGACTGCCAAGATAATGCCTAGAGCACCCTAGAGACCATGGGCCTCTAAAAAGGATGGGAACTGTGAGATGGGCTATCACAGGCTCTGATCCTTCCAGAAACGCCTCAACAGTCACTTGCTAGTATAGGTTTTCTTAGTACGTGTGACTCATCCCATGGTGTTCTGCAGCAAGCTCTAACAGCTCCTGAGAACCCATTGTGCACACATATCTCTTCCAACTTCGAGTTTAGTGACACTAAGTTGACAGCTTGAAATCAGCGATGCTGGGCGTAAACAGACCCGAAATTGACAAGCACTACAAATCAGAGTATTTTGTTTTTCCAGAGAGTTGGTTTGTAGCACATTACCAGTTCCACACCAAACAGGAAGCTCTTGGAAATTAGGAATCACATCTACTTTCTGTGCAAACAGCCATTTTGCCTCAAGTTCTCCATCCTTTAAAATACTCAGTATCTGTGGAGGGAGACTGAACTGAGCTGCATGGGAAGGGGAAGATGACTTTTATCATGTAGTTGCTTAATAAATGCTGAATTCACCTGTATGACCTCTAAGACTTTTTTTTTTTTTTTTTTTTTGAGACAGGGTCTCACTCTGTCGCCCAGACGAGTGCTGTGGCATGATCTTGGCTCACTGCAACATCTGCCTCCCAAGCTCAAGCGATTCTCCTGCCTCACCCTCCCCAAGTAGCTTGGATTACAGGTGTGCGCCACTACCACTCAGCTAATTTTTGGATTTTTAGTACAGACGGGATTTCACCGTGTTGGCCAGGCTGGTCTTGAACTCCTAACCTCAAATGATCCACCCGTCTCAGCCTCCCAAAGTGCTGGATTCCAGGTGTGAGCCACCACGCCTGGGACTTCTTAATAACTCTTTGCCTCAGACTGAATGGAGAGATAATCTTGCCCAGTATCTCCCTTGCAGAGTTAGTGAGGAAACCAACGTCCAGCACCATGTGCTCCTTGACTCTAAAGTTACTCCAAGCATTGTCCCAATCTTAATGAAAACTCAGAGGACCCCAAGATATTCTGCAGTTATTAGTCTTCACAGTTGAAAAGAGAGAGTCACTTAAGAGAGTATAGGTAAGAGCACTGTATTTATTTTAATATATGAGTATGTAAAGATGACTACGACTGTGCCCAAACAGAGTAGGCACACAATGGATGCAAGTTTGAGTACAAAACGTGTAGTCAGGGCCGTGCGTGGTGGCTCACACCTGTAATCCCAGCACTTTTGGAGGCCTAGGCGGGTGGATCACCTGAGGTTGGGAGTTCGAGACCAGCCTGACCAACCTGGAGAAACCCTGTCTCTACTAAAAATACAAAAAATTGGCCTGGCGCGGTGGTACATGCCTGTAATCTGAGCTACTTGAGAGGCTGAGGCAGGAGAATCGCTTGAACCCAGGAGGTGGAGATTGCGGTGAGCCGAGATCATGCCATTGCACTCCAGCCTGGGCAACAAGAGCGAAACTCCGTCTCAAAGAAAAAAAAAGTGTAGTCAGAAGATCTAATCCACATCTCACCTCTCCCACAGCACTTGTTTGCCTAAAACACACATACTTAAGCACGGCACTCTGAATTCCCTCAATGGTCCCAAAATACTCATCTGGTCTTACCTGCAACTATCATACCCCAAGAATCTTAAGTCCTAATACCATACCAGCCACCTAATGTACTCTGAGCATAGCATAATGTACCTTTATATTTCTTTGCCCTTTATTCCTTAAGCCTGAAATGTCTTTAATGCCTTTCTCCCTCATCTTCTCCCTTCAAAGTCCAGTTCAAAGCTCACTTCTCCACAAAGCCACTGCTAAACTATTTTCTTTTTTTTGAGACGCGGTCTCGCTCCGTTGCCCAGACTGGAGTTCTGTGGCACGATCTTGGCTCACTGCAACCTCTGCCTCCCAGGTTCAAGCAATTCTCTTTCCCTTCCTTTTTGGCTAGTCCCTGCTAACCATTTTGTGATTTACTTGAAACATCACTTCCTTGGGGAGGCCTTCTGTGAATTCCTTCACTAGGTTTGAGTTTGTGTTCTTGATCTCTCAGCACCTGCAGTACCCCCGTCACAACCATCATCTCACTTTGTTGGCTTTTCCTCCTCAGTCTGTACGTCCTGGAAAAGCAAGGATTGTGTTTTGTTTTGTTTTGTTTTTTTAGACAGAGTTTCGTTCTTGTTGCCCAGGCTGGAGTACAATGGCACAATCTCAGCTCACTATAACCTCCGCCTTCTGGGTTCAAGTGATTCTCCCACCTCAGCCTCCACAGTAGCTGGGATTACAGGCATGCCCCACCATGTCCAGCTAATTTTTATATTTTTAGTAGAGATGGGGTTTCTCCATGTTGGTCAGGTTGGTCTTGAACTCCCAACCTCAGGTGATCTGCCCACCTCGGCCTCCCAAAGTGCTGGGATGAGCCACCATGCCTGGCCAAGGATTCCAAGGATTGCTTTTCTTTTTTTTTTTTAAAGATGGAGTCTTGCTGTGTTCCCCAGACTGGAGTGCAGTGGCATGATCTCAGCTCACTACCACCTCCCTTTCCTAGGTTCAAGCGATTCTCCTGCCTCAGCCTCCTGAGTAGCTGGGACTTTAGGCACGCACCACCACGCCCAGCTAATTTTTGTATTTTTAGTACAGACTGGGTTTCACCATATTGGCCAGGATGGTCTTGATCTCTTGACCTCGTGATCCGCCTACCTCAGCCTCCCAAAGTGCTAGGATTATAGGTATGAGCCACTGCGCCTGGCCAGGATTGCTTTTCTTATTCAGCAATTCCCCCAAGGCTACCACAGTGCCCAGGACAGGAGTGTAATAAATGGTTTTCAAATATCAGACTTACATTTTATCTACAAAACTGCTTATCTAAACCTTTGTAAACAAATCTGAGCACACAGCAGATATGCAATACATTTTTGTCCAATTAGTGACTCAACCTAAAAGACTTCTAGAATTTTCTTTTTTATTTTTATATGTATTTATTTAAAGATAGAGACAGGATCTCACTATGTTGCCCAGGCTGGTCTTGAACTCCTGGCTTCAAGTGATCATCCGGCCTTGGCCTCCCAAAGTGTTGTGATTACAAGTGTGAGCCATCTGGCCAGGAGGGGTGGCTCACGCCAGTAATCCCTGCACTTTGGGAGGCCGAGGCAGGCGGATCACCTGAGGTCGGGAGTTGGTGACTAGCCTGACCAACATGGAGAAACCCCATCTCTACTAAAAATACAAAACAATTAGCCAGGCGTGGTGGCGCTTGCCTATAATCCCAGCTACTTGGGAGGCTCAGGCAGGAGAATTGCTTGAACCCGGGAGGCAGAGGTTGTGGTGGGTGAACCGAGATCGTGCCATTGGACTCCAGCCCGGACAACAAGAGTGAAACTGCCACTCAAAAAAAAAAAAAAAAGTGTGAGCCATCATGCCTGGCCCCTTCTAGAACTTTCTGCCTTCCTATCTGGGAGGGATATAAATTTGCTTAGGCAGCTAGGCTAAGCTATACAGCTTATGGCTCATCATTATGGCCAGTTCAACAAATATTATATTGAGTCTCTACCTCACATCAGCTAGAGTTAGATTCCTTAGATATGAGGAGCAACAATACCTGCTCTTGAGAAACTACAGAAGGAAAAGAGATACATGACACTATTGGATATGCAGGGAAAAAATTAACTGCAAGATATTACAGTACAGAATATGAACTCCTGCAACTTGAAGCCTTAAAACTAGAAAGGGGCCAGGCACAGTGGCTCACACCTGTAATCCCAATACTTTGGGAGGCCAAGACCGGTGGATCACTTGAGGTCAGGAGTTCGAGACCACCTTGGCCAGCAGGGTGAAACCCCATCTCTACTAAAAATATAAGTATTAGCAAAGTGTGTTGGTGGGCGCCTGTAATCCCATCTACTCAGGAGGCTGAGGGAGGAGAATTCATTGAACCCAGGAGGTGGAGGTTGCAGTGAGCCAAGATGGTGCCACTGCACTCCAGCCTGGGCAAGAAAGCGAAACTCCATCTCAAAAAAAAAAAAGGTCAGGTGTGGTGGCTCATGCCTGTGATCCCAGCATTTTGGGAGGTCGAGACGGGCGGATCACGAGATCAAGAGATTGAGACCATCCTGACCAACATGGTGAAACCGTCTCTGCTAAAAATACAAAAATTAGCCAGGCATAATTAGCCGGAGGTTGAGGCAGGAGAATTGCTTGAACCCGGGAGGCAGAGGTTACAGTGGGCCAAGATCACGGCACTGCACTCCAGCCTGGCGACAGAGCGAGACTCCGTCTCAAAAAAACAAAACAAAACAAAACAAACAAACAAAAAAAACAACTAGAAAAGGGCCAGGCACCGTGGCTGATACCTAGCACTTTGGGAGGCTGAGGTGGGCGGATTGCTTAAGCTCAGGAGTTCAAGACCAGCCTGGGCAACATGGTGAGACTCTGTCTCTACTAAAAGTACAAAAATTAACCGGGTGTGGTAACGTGAACCTGTAGTCCCAGCCACTCAGGAGGCAGAGGTTGCAGTGAGCCAAGATCGTGCCACTGCACTTCAGCTTAGGTGACAAAGCAAGAGTCTGCCTCAAAATAAAATTATATAAAACTAGAAAAGAGACGGACGCGGTGGCTCGCACCTGTAATCCCAGCACTTTGGGAGGCCGAGGCAGGCGGATCATGAGCTCAGGAGATCAAGACCATCCTGGCTAACATGGTAAAACCCCATCTCTACTAAAAATACAAAAAATTAGCCAGGCGCGATGGCGGGCCCCTGTAGTCCAAGCTACTCGGGAGGCTGAGGCAGGAGAATGGCGAACCCCAGAGGCGGAGCTTGCAGTGAGCCAAGATTGCGCCACTGCACTCCAGCCTGGGCGACAGAGCGAGACTCCGTCTCAAAAAACAAACAAACAAACAAACAAACAAAAACACTAGAAAAGAAAATCAAGGGTCTCCTCTCTTGGCTTTGGAGCCCCCTTCCCTCTGTCTCTGTAAGGGGAGCTTCTTCCTTTCTTCTCCTTTCTTTTTTTTTTTTTTGAGACGAAGTCTCACTCTTATACCCCAGGCTGGAGTGCAGTGGTGTGGTGTGATCTAGGCTCACTGCAACCTCCACCTCTCGGGTTCAAGCAATTCTCCTGCCTCAGCCTCCCGAGTAGCTGGGATTACAGGGACCTGCCACCACACCCGGCTAATTTTTGTATTTTTAGTAGAGACGGGAGTTCACCATGTTGGCCAGGCTGGTCTCAAACTCCTGACCTCAGGTGATCCGCCTGCCTTGGCCTCCCAAAGTGCTGGGATTACAAGCGTGAGCCACCATGCCCGGCCTCTTCTCCCTTCTTTCTTGCCTATTAAACTCTCCACTCCTTAAAACCAAAATAAAATAAAATAAGATAAAATAAAAATCAATGAACTGGTTCAGCTGGCTACCAACAGTAGAACCAAAACAATTAAGACCCTCGAGTCTAGAAAAGGCCAAAAAGGAATGTGATAAAGCATACAAATACCATCTAATCCTAGAATAACTGAACCCATAAATATCTTCAAAATTTGAACCATAAAAATGTAGGCGGAATTAAAAGAATCAGCTAACCTTTATTGAGCTAGCACTCATTGTCAAGCACCGTGCTATAACACATTTAATTTAAAAGATGTAATACTTTGGCAAGTAGCAAACTTATGGAATCATTATTCCAAAAATGTGCTTTAAATTTTCAAAAATTACAGATTATGGGCCAGGCACGGTGGCTCACGCCTGTAATCCCAGCACTTTGGGAGGCCAAGGCAGGCGGATCGCAAAGTCAGGAGATCAAGACCATCCTGGCTAACACGGGGAAACCCTGTCTCTGCTACAAATGCAAAAAATTAGCCAGACGTGGTGATGGGCGCCTGTAGTCCCAGCTGAGATCGTGCCACTGCACTCCAACCTGGGCGACAGAGCAATACTCCATCTCCAAAAAAAAAAGAAAAAAAAAATTACAGATTATGCATCCCTTATTTGAAATGCTTGAGATCAGAAGTGCCTCAAATTTCAGATTTTTTTTTTTAATTTTGGCATATTTACATAATGTGATATCTGGGGGATAGGACACAAGTCTAAACACAAAATTCAAAATTCGATTATGTTTCACATACATCTTACACACATAGCCTGATGGCAATTCTTTTTTATTTTTGAGACAAAGTCTCGATTTTTCACCCAGGCTGCTGTTCAGTGATGCAATTTCAGCTCACTGCAACCTCTGCCTCCTGGGTTCAAGTGATTCTCCTGCCTCAGCCTCCAGAGTAGCTGAGATTACAGGTGCCCGCCACCATGTCTAGCTAATCTTTTTGTATTTTTAGTAGAGTCAGGGTTTCACCATCTTGGCCAGGCTGGTCTTGAACTCCACTCACCTCAGCCTCCCAAAGTGCTGAGATTACAGGCATGAGCCATGGCGCCCGGCCACTTGATGGCAATTTCATACAATATCTTTATTTGTATTTATTTATTTATTTATTTTTTTTTGAGACGGAGTCTTGCTCTGTCACCCAGGCTGGAGTGCAGCGCCCTGATCTCGGCTCACTGAAGGCTCCGCCTCCGGGTTCATGCCATTCTCCTGCCTCAGCCTCCCAAGTAGCTGAGACTACAGGCGCCTGCCACCATGCCGCCTAATTTTTTGTATTTTTAGTAGAGACAGGGTTTCACCGTGTTAGTCAGGATGGTCTCGATCTCCTGGCCTCGTGATCCACCCACCTTGGCCTCCCAAAGTGTTGGGATTACAGGCGTGAGCCACCACGCCTGGCCAATTTTATACAATATTTTTAATAATTTTGTGAATGAAACAGAGCCTGCGTTAACTACTAATCTGTGGGATTTTTTCACTTATGCCATCATGTTGGCTCAAAAATTTTCAGATTTTGGAGATTTGGGGTTTCAGATTTTCAGATTAGGGATACTCAACCTATAATACCTTAGGCAAAAAAAATGGGTTAGTTAATTGTTAAAGAAGCAGATTTAGAAGGATGCTTCTAATTTCAACTTTCTACCCTAAGCTAAGTCCCCTCTACAACATTCTGAATAGATGGTTGACTAACTTCTTAATACCTTCCTCAATAGGAACTCACATTTTACTCTTTACCCACACCATACATTAGTACCCAAGAGGAATGTTCTGGCTTCTTCTCTAGCCTTCTGAGAGTTTATCAGAGAGGATAATTATAATCATCCACAATACATCTCTCAATGTCACTCTAAGTCATGGGTCTGATTCAACATGGCAATTCTGACCTTCTTTAGAGAAGCAAGTTTGGGTTAAGTATCACTCATTACCCTAAATACCATATTCCTTGCAGGTAACCTGAAACCAACTCTAAATGCAAGGTCATCTCTAAGCTGAGTGTAAATGGAAAAGTAGCTCTTGTTTACAGCAACAAAAACTCCTGAGGCAAGATGAGTGAGTTGATCGTTCGGGGCTTTGGAGTATGCATTGTGAAATCATACAACTCTCTCTGGAATTCTTTTTTCTTTTTTTAATTTAAACTTGCTTTTCTTTTCTTTTTTTTTTTTTTTTGAGACAGAGTCTCACTCTGTTGCCCAGGCTGGAGTGCAGTGGCGGGATCTCCGCTCACTGCAACTTCTGCCTCCTGGGTTCAAGCGATTGTTGTGCCTCAGCCTTCCGAGTAGCAGCTGGGATGACATGTGCACACCACCATGCTCGGCTTTTTTTATTTTTAGTAGTGACGGGGTTTCACCACGTTGGCCAGGCTGGTGTCAGAACTCCTGGTCTCAAGTGATCTGCCCGCGCCTGTCTCCCACAGTGCTGGGATTACAGGAGTGAGCCACCCCGGCCGATCTCTCTCTGGAATTCTATGTGAACACATGTAAAAGAAATATGCCAAATTTATGTGAAATGCTTAAGAATTAACTATTGTGGGGCCGGGCGCGGTGGCTCACGCCTGTAATCCCAGCACTTTGGGAGGCCAAGGCAGGTGGATCACAAGGTCAGGAGATCAAGACCATCCTGGCTAACATGGTGAAACCTCGTCTCTACTAAAAATACAAAAAATTAGCTCAGCGTGGTAGCGCACGCCTGTAGTCCCAGCTACTTGGGAGGCTGAGGCAGGAGAATGGCGTGAACCCAGGAGGCAGAGCTTGCAGTGAGCCAAGATGGAGCCACTGCACTCCAGCCTGGACGACAGAGCAAGACTCCGTCTCAAAAAAAAAAAAAAAAAGGCCGGGCGCGGTGGCTCACGCCTGTAATCCCAGCACTTTGGGAGGCCGAGGCGGGCGGATCACGAGGTCAGGAGATCGAGACCATCCCGGCTAAAAACGGTGAAACCCCGTCTCTACTAAAAATACAAAAAATTAGCCGGGCGTAGTGGCGGGCGCCTGTAGTCCCAGCTACTTGGGAGGCTGAGGCAGGAGAATGGCGTGAACCCGGGAGGCGGAGCTTGCAGTGAGCCAAGATCCCGCCACTGCACTCCAGCCTGGGCGACAGAGCGAGACTCCGTCTCAAAAAAAAAAAAAAAAAAAAAAAAAAAAGAATTAACTATTCTGGCCGGGCACGGTGGCCCACACCTGTAATCCCAGCACTTTGGGAGGACCAGGCAGTCAGATCACCTGAGGTCGGGAGTTAAGAGACCAGCCTGACAAACATGGAGAAACCCCATCTCTACTAAAAATACAAAATTAGCCAAGCGTGGTGGCCCATGTCTGTAATCTCAGCTACTCGGGAGGCTGAGGTAGGAGAATCACTTGAGCCCAGGAGGCGGAGGTTGCAGGTGAGCCAAGATTGTGCCTTTGTACATGGGGAACAGAGGGAGACTCCGTCTCAAAAAAATAAATAAATAAATAAATAAAATTAACTGTTCCGTAGTTTTTTGGGTTTTTGTTTTCTTTCGTTTTGTTTTTTGAGACAGGGTCACCCTCTGTCACCCAGACCAGTGTGGAGTACAGTGTTTTTGGCTCACTGCAGCCCCGACCTTGGGGCCTCAAGTGATCCTCCCACCTCAGCCTCTGGAGTAGCTGGCACTATGGGTACCAACCACCAACCCTGCTCATTTCTGTTTTCCTTTTTTTCATTAACTTTTTTTTTTTTTTTCAGACGGAGTCTCGCTCTGTCACCCAGGCTGGAGTGCAATGGCAGGGTCTTGGCTCACTGCAACCTCCACCTCCCTAGTTCAAGCAATTCTGTCTCAGCCTCAGCCTCCCGAGTAGCTGGGATTACAGGTGCCCGCCACCATGCCTGGCTAATTTTTTGTATTTTTAGTAGAGACAGGGTTTCATCATGTTGGCCAGGCTGGTCTTGAACTCCTGACCTCGTGATCCACCCACCACGGCCTCCCAAAGTGCTGGGACAGGCATGAGACACCACGCCTGGCCTAATTTCTTTACTTCTTTGTAGACATGAGGTCTTGCTATGTTGCCTAGCCTGGTGTCAAACTCCTGGGCTCAAGCAATCCTCTCACCTCGGCCTCCCAAAGTGCTGAGATTAAAGACCTGAGCGACTGTGCCCAGCCTGTAGTTATTTCCAAAGACAAAAACAACACTTTGAAACTAAGCACATCGCTGCTTATATAGCCACCAGAAAACTAAACAAATGATTTCTGACCCACTCTAAATTCATTTTTGTGTGTCCTGAAAATCCAATGTCTATAATGTGGCAAGATGCTATGTTTGAATAAGGACAAGTGTCAGGCTGCACGCAGTGGCTCACGCCTGTAATCCCAGCACTTTGGGAGGCCAAGGAGGGTGGATCACAAGGTCAGGGGTTCGAGACCAGCCTGGCCAACATGGTGAAACCCCGTCTCTACTAAAAATACAAAAATTAGCCAGGCGTGGTTGTGGGTGCCTGTAATCCCAGCTACTCAGGAGGCTGAGGCAGGAGAATCGCTTGAACCCAGGAGGCGGAGGTTACAGTGAGACAAGAACGCGCCACAGCCACTGCACTCCAGCCTGGAAACTCCATCTCAAAAAAACAAACAAACGAAAAATGGACAAGTGTCACATGATTGCAGGGAAGGACATTGGAACTAGTAATGAAAAAGGAGTAATACTGGCTGGGCGCAGTGGCTCACACCTGTAATCCCAGCACTTCGGGAGGCCGAGGCAGGCGGATCACCTGAGGTGGGGAGTTCAAGACCAGCTGGCCAACATGGAGAAACCACGTCTCTACTAAAAATACAAAATTAGCCGGGCGTAGTGGCACATGCCTGTAATCCTATCTACTCGGGAAGCTGAGGCAGGAGAACCACTTGAACCCGGGAGGCAGAGGTTGCGCTGAGCCGAGATCGCGCCACTGCACTCCAGCCTGGGCAACAAGAGCAAAACTCAAAAAAAAAAAAATTATCTGGGCATGGTGGCATGTGCCTGTAGTCCCAGTACTCGGGAGGCTGAGGCAGGAGAATCACTTGAACCCAGGAGGAGGAGGTTGCAGTGAGCTGAGATTGTGCCACTGCACTCCAGCCTGGCAACAGAGCGAGACTCCGTCAAAACAAAAAAAAAAAAAAAAAAAGGAACAATATGTCACCCAGGCCAGAGTGGGGAGGGATAGCATTAGTAGATATACCTAATATAAATGACGAGTTAATGGGTGCAGCACACCAACATGGCACATGTATACATATGTAACAAACCTGCACGTTGTGCACATGTACCCTAGAACTTAAAGTATAATAACAAAAAATAATAATAATAATATTGGCACTTTCTGGGGACTTAAAAAAGTAGGCCGGGCGTGGTGGCTCAAGCCTGTAATCCCAGCACTTTGGGAGGCTGAGGCGGGCGGATCACGAGGTCAGGAGATGGAGATCATCCTGGCTAACACGGTGAAACCCCATCTCTACAAAAAATACAAAAAAAAAAAATTAGCTGGGAGTGGTGGCGGGAGAGTAGTCCCAGCTACTCGGGAGGCTGAGGAGGAGAATGGCGTGAACCCGGGAGGCGGAGCTTGCAGTGAGCCAAGATCGCGCCATTGCACTCCAGCCTGGGCGACAGAGTGAGACTCCGTCTCAAAAATAAATAAATAAATAAATAAATAAATAAATAAATAAAAATAAAAGTTAAAAAAAAAAGTAAAAATGAGTACGAGATTTTCTGAAATTTTCTAACCCCAAAATATTTATTTAATTTTTTTTTTGAGACGGAGTTTCTCTCTTGTTGCCCAGGCTGGAGTGCAATGGCACGGTCTCGGCTCACTGCAACTTCCGCCTCCCAAGTTCAAGCAATTCTCCTGCCTCCCAAGGAGCTGGGATTACAAGCATCTGCCACCACGCCCAGCTAATTTTTGTATTTTTTAGTAGAGACAGGGTTTCACCATGTTGGCCAGGTGGGTCTCAAACTCCTGACCTCAGGTGATCCGCCCGCCTCCACCTCCCAAAGTGCTGGGATTACAGGCGTGAGCTACCGCGCCCAGCCCAAAATATTTATTTATTCCACACTCTATTATAACTTTTGAAGACTGTGTAGTCGTTTTATTTTTTATATATTTATTTATTTATTTTTTAGTGAGACATAGTCTCACTCTGTCACCCAGGCCGGAGAGCAGTGGTGCGCTCTCGGCTCACTGCAACCTCGACTTCCGGAGCTCAAGCGATCCTCCCACTTAAGCCTCCAGAGTAGCTGGGACCACAGGCAACTAGCTCCACCACGCCCATCTAATTTTTGTCATTTTTTGTAGAGACGGGGTTTCACCATGTTGCCCAAGCTGGTCTGGAACTCGAGCTAAAGAGAGGCCGAGGAGGCCGCTCACTTTGGGAGGCCGCCTGTCTCGGCCTCCCACAGTGCTGGCATTACAGGCATAAATCACAGCGCCCGCCAGAAAACTAACAAAATTAGGCGGGCGCAGTGCCACGCACCTGTAGTCCCAGCTACTCAGGAGGCTGAGCTGAGAGGATCGAGTTTGCAGTGAGCTGAGATCCCGCAATGCACTCTCACCTGGGCAACAGAGGGAAACTCTGTTCCCCCAAAAAAATAAAATAAAAAAGAAATTTCCACTCTAAACTACAGTTTTGTTTAAAACGGGGGGAAAAATCCAAGTTAAAACTTTATTATTACTTGAGGCCAAAACTCCTTGATATCCCCTTTATTTCTTCTCATGCATTCAGTGGGTGATCCATAGTGCTACAAGATGTAATGAGGTCAACAAGTAAATTATGCAGAAACACTGAGGGAAGTATCCAGAGGAGGTGAAATTCTAAGTCACAGACTGGAGACTATTATGTAGATGTTTGAGGGAGCGATGGGATAAGAGTTATTTGGAGTCATCCCGCTACAGTCCGGTGGACTTTGGCTTAGGGCAAGACCAAAATACTGCCCCCACAATAAACCCAATGAAGCTGAGTAGAAGCTACCTATACAATGTATTTGCTGAAGTAAATAGGAACCCAAAAAAAATCATTTAAGTAAGATATTAAATATACATCCTTGATATAAGGCTCTCAAATTAGGAGACGGTGCAACCATTGAATAAGTTTCCCCCGCCGGGCGCAGTGGCTCACGCCTGTAATACCAGCACTTTAGGAGGCCAACGCGGGCGAATCACAAGGTCAGGAGATCGAAACCATCCTGGCTAACATGGTGAAACCCCGTCTCTACTAAAAACACAAAAAAATTAGCCTGGTTGGGCCAGGCGCAGTGATTCACGCCTGTAATCCCAGTACTCTGGGAGGCTGAGGATGTGGGATCACCTGAGGTTGGGAGTTCGAGACCAGCCTGGCCAACATGGTGAAACCCCGTCTCTATTAAAAATACAAAAATTAGCTGGGTGTGGTGGCGGGCGCCTGTAGCCCCAGCTACTCGGGAGGGTGAGGCAGGAGAATCGCTTGAACCCAAGAGGCGGAGGTTGCAGTGAGCTGAGATCGCGCCATTGCACTCCAGTCTGGGCAACAGGAGTGAAACTCCGTCTCAAACAACAACAACAACAACAACAAAATTGGCTGGTGTGGTGGCACGCGCCTGTAGTCCCAGCTACTCGGGAGGCTGAGGCAGGAGAATCGTTTGAACCCAGGAGGCGGAAGTTGCAGTGAGCCACCACTCCAGCCTGGGCGATAGAGTGAGACTCCGTCTCAAAAAACAAATAAATAAATAAATAAATAAAAAGGGTCCCCAAATGCACTTTGGTAACTATTAGAAGAGGCAAGGAGGAAGAAGATAATCCCTCAAGACTAGAATTATGTCTGACAGTCTCTTTTCCTAAAACCCGTCTTGATTGGCCTAAACAGACACCAATCAAGGCCCCATCTGTGTCTACTAGGAAGTGGTTTTGAGATTTCTCTCATCTTGAGAGAATCCAGGGCTGCGCCTGCTCTGCTGTCTAGGTCAAGACTTCACCCTCTTGTCTTGTGGATCATCCTCCAAAGACCCTCGGGTTGAGATTTTGCCTTCATCTCTCCTGCCCCTCAATTAGATAACACCTGGCCAATTCCTGTCATTTCAGAAAGCGGGAACACCTTAAGCATCTTTCCTCAACGATCTCTGCTTCTCTCAAAAAGATAGGTTTCTCCATCCCCTGACCGAGCGGGTTACTTTGTTCTCCACCTAGACATCAAGAGGCACCTAGACACCTTCCATCCCCTCAGGTTTGGACGCTGCTCTTTCGTACTTCAGGAGGCTCTAGGAGTCTTCCTACCACGCGCTCATCTGTGGGGAGACCTGGGCCTGCTCACTTCCCCTTAGAGCTCCTCTTCCTTCCCTGCCTTTGGAAAAAACCTGCCCTTTTTTCCCTTGTTCTGAGTGGCCGAGGCCTCTACCGCGCCCCTCGGGATAAGCTGGACTCTGCTCTCCTCAGAAGAACCCACTCTGTACTCTTGCTCTCCCGCCAAGGCTCCGAGAGGGTCTCCTCCCAGGCGGGCATCCGGGCTTCCAGCACCTATCGTCCCCCTCCCACTGGGCAGGACCCAGGCCTCCAACCAGCTCCTCATCCAAGGGCCCGGTGCTCCCCGGACCCCGCCTTTGGGGATACCCCAGGCTCCCCGGACCCCTCGATGGGGTCCTGGGCGCCTGGCCCTCTCAGTCCGGAGTCACTCCGGCCCCTCCTGGCCCCTGAGCCGAGTACTTCCGGGCCCCTCGGTCCGGGGGCGCCGGGGCCCCCCCAGTGGTGGACTCGCCGGTTCCCGCCGCCCTGGTCTGGGGCCCGAGCCCCGGCGGCGCGGCCGGCTGCGCTGGGGGCGGCCCGGCGGCTCGGGCGGACCCAGCGGCAGCGTCCCCCCACCCCCCCGCGGCGCCGCGACGTCCGCTCGCTCCCCGGCGGCGGCGGCGGCACGCACAGGGCGTGGGGAGGCGCCCGCGGAGGCAGCAGCCCCCCGCCCCCTGCGCGCCCGCCCGCCCTCGCCGGCCGCCGCGCGGCCCCCGCGCCCGCCCCCCCGCCCCCACCCCACCCCGCGCCCGCGCGCCCACCCCTCCCCCTCCTCACCGTCTCCGTCGGGCGGGCGGGCGGCGAGCGGCCAGGGCGGGCAGGCGACGGAGCATGCGCAGAGGCCGCCACGGCAGCTACCGCCACCGCCGCCGCCAGGCCGGGCTTCAACACTTCCGGCCGCCGCCGCCGGAGAGCTGGCGCCTTAAAGGGGACGCGTCCCTATTGCCGGTCCCACCGAGGATTAACCTTAGCCAAGGGATTTGGGCCTTACCTAAGCAGAATTCTTTCGCCCTTGAAAATCAGTGTTGGAAAGGTCGCTAGAGACCCCAGTAACTCTCCTTCCCGCACTCATAGATGAGGAAAATAGGCCCTAAATGAAAGAATCACCTCAACCACAATTGAGGGCCAAGCTAGCTTTCTCGACTCCTCTGGAGGACTCTACTCCATTTACCTCCCCAAATCCTGTTTTATGAAGTTTACATCTTATCGGACCCTTCAAGTTACAATCCAGCTATCAGTTTGCAATCAGAAGATCTGCATAGATCAGTAACTGGTCACGAGTCCTTGAGCAAGCCCTAAGCATTGTCTGACCCGTGCCTGTTTGCCAAGTTTTTCCTGCTTGTGAGTTTCTGGGTTGAAGTCTTGACTCCCCTGCTGGAAGTGTAAACGACTCTGGAGGAATTTCTTGACAGCTCTAAACCTGTTTCCGATAAGACATAATGTGAGTGCTAAAGAAGGTGATACCTGCATGAAAAGTGCTTCAGAGAGTTCCTGGGGTCAGTAATAGTAATTAACAAGTATTAAGACCTTTATTTTTTATTTATTTATTTATTTTTTTAGACAGAGTCTTGCTCTTTGGCCAGGCTGGAGTGCAGTGGCGCGATCTCGGCTCACTGCAGCTTCAGCCTCCTGGGTTCAAGTGATTCTCCGGCCTCAGCCTCCCGAAGAGCTGGCACTAGAGGCGCGCGACACCACGCCCGGCAATTTTTTTTTTTTTTTGTATTTTAGTAAAGACAGGATTTCACCATGTTGGCCAGGATGGTCTCAATATCTGACCTCATGATCCACCCGCCTGGGCCTCCCAAAGAGCTGGGATTACAGGCGTGAGCCACCGCGCCCGGCCGTATTAAGACCTTTCTATGGCCAGGTGTGGTGGCTTACGCCTGTAATCCCACACTTTGGGAAGCCGAGGCGGACAGATCACTTGAGACCAGGAGTTCGAGACCAGCCTGGGCAACATGGTGAAACCCCGTCTCTACTAAAAATACAGAAATTAGCCGGGCGTCGTGGCACGCGCCTCTAGTCCCAGCTACTCAGAAGGCTGAGCCAGGAGAATCACTTGAACCCGGGAGGCGGAGGTTGCAGTGAGCCGAGATCAGGCCATTGCACTCCAGCCTGGGCAACAGAGTGAGACTCTATCTCAAAAAACAAACAAACAAAAAGACCTTTCTATGGCCTATGGCTTGGTGAAGATGCTTCTGTCTTGTATAATCCTCACAGCAACCCTACTAAGTAAGTTTCTCTTTTTTTTTTTTTTTGAGACGGAGTCTTGCTCTGTCGCCCAGGCCGGAGTGCAGTGGCGCAATCTCGGCTCACTGCAAGCTCCGCCTCCTGGGTTCACACCATTCTCCTGCCTCAGTCTCCTCAGTAGCTAGGACTACAGGCGTCCGCCACTACGCCTGGCTAATTTTTTTGTATTTTTTAGTAGAGACAGGGTTTCACCGTCTTAGCTAGGATGGTCTCGATCTCCTGACCTTGTGATCCGTCCGCCTCAGCCTCCCAAAGTGTTGAATTACAGGCGTGAGCCACCGCGCCCGGCCCTTCTTTTCTTTTCTTTCTTTTTTTCTTTTTTTTGGTGGGGGGGACCGGTCTGGGTTGATCTCCCAGGCTGAGTGCAGTGGCGGGATCTCGGCTCACTGCAGCCCCAGCCTCCAGTGCTCAAGCAGTCCTCCTGCCTCAGCCCCCGGAGTAGCTGGGACCACAAGCAGGAACCACCATGCCTGGCTAATTTTTACATTTTTAGTAGAAATGGGGTTTTACCATGTTGCCCACTCTGGTCTCTAACTCCTGGGCTCAAGCAATCCTCCTGCCTTGGCCTCCCAAAGTGCTGGGATTACAGGTGTGAGCCACCATAATTGTTTGTTTATTGATTGATTGATTTGGAGACGGAGTCTCGGTCTGTGCAGTGGTGCGATCTTGGCTGCCTCCCAGGTTAAAGCGATTCTCCTGCCTCAGCCTCCCGAGTAGCTGGGACTACAAGCACGAGCCACCACGCCTGGTTAATTTTTTGTATTTTTAGTAGAGACGGGGTTTCACCGTGTTGGCCAGGATGATCTCGATCTCTTGACCTCATGATCTGCTGCCTTGGCCTCCCAAAGTGCTGGGATTACAGGCATGAGCCATCGCGCCCAGCCAATTTTTGTATTTCTGGTAGAGACAGGGTTTCACCATGTTGGCCAGGATGGTCTCAATCTCTTGACCTCGTGATCCTCCTGCCTCAGTCTCCCAAAGTGCTGGCATTACAGGCGTGAGCCACCGTGCCTGGCCATTTATTTTTATTTAGTTATTTTGGAGGATAGAGTCTCCTCCTGGGCACAAGTGATCCTCCAATCTTGACTTCCCGAGTAGCTGAGACTATAGGCTTGCACAACCACGCCCAGCTCCTTTTTGTATTTTTCATAGAGCTGGGGTTTCACCATGTTACCAAGGCTGGTCTCAAATTCCTGAGCTCAAGTGATCCACCCACCTCGGCCTCCCAAAGTGCTGGAATTATAGTCGTGGGCCACCGTGCCTGGATGATAACTGATTTTTTTTTTTTTTTTTTTGAGATGGGGTCTCGCTCTGTCGCCAGGCTGGAGTGCAGTGGCCCTACAATCTCAGCTCACTGCAGCCTCTACCTTCTGAGTTCAAGGGATTCTCCTGCCTCAGCCTCCTGAGTAGCAGGGATTACAGGCATGTGCTGCCACACCTGACTAATTTTTGTATTTTTGGTAGAGACGGGGTTTCACTATGTTGGCCAGGCTGGCCCCAAACTCATGACCTTAGGTGACCCACCCGCCTCGGTCTCCCAAAGTGCTGGGATTACAGGCCACTGTTCCTGGCCTATAACTGATATTTTTTTTTTTTTGAGACAGAGTCTCACTCTTGTCACTCAGGCTCGAGTGCAGTGGTGCCATCTCGGCTCACTGCAACCTCTGACTCCTGAGTTCAAGTGATTCTCCTGCCTCAGCCCCGGAAGTAGCTGGGATTACAGGTCCCCACCACCACACCTGGCTAATTTTTGTATTTTTAGCAGAGACGTCGTTTCACCGTGTTGGGCAGGTTGGTCTCAAACTCCTAACCTCCGGTGATCTGCCTGGAGCCACCACTTCTGGCAACTGATTTTTTAAAAGACAAAAACTTCAAGCATCATCTGGTCTCTCCTCCAGCCTGGAACAGTGTCTCTGGCTGTCCACCGACTCTCCATACTCCACATGCCCACAACTGAATTTGTTTCTTTCCCCACCCACCTTAGATGTCTTCAACAAACCTGCTTCTGTCCTAGTGTCCCCCACCTCAGGGAATGTTGCCCTCATCTCTCAGTCACCTCCCAAAGACCCCTAGAATATCATCTCTTCTCTAACCCCCACTGGTCCAGATCATCATCATCTGCCTCTGTCACAGCCAGTGCCTCCTAATTGGTCTCCCTACTTCCTGTCTTGCTGCCTTTGAGTCTTCATTCTTAATTCTTTTAGTGGCCTCCTATCCCCTTTAAAAAAAATTGCTTGTGAACTCCCCATCATGGTCTATAGGACCTGGCACTGGGATCCTTTCTTTACTTTCTTTCTTTCTTTTTTTTTTTTCGAGACGGAGCCTTACTCTGTCACCCAGGCTGGAGTGCAGTGGCGCAATCTCGGCTCACTGCAACTTCTGCCTCCCAAGTTCAAGTGATTCTCCCACCTCATTCTCCCAAGTAGCTGGGACTACAGGCACATGCCACCACACCTGGCTAATTTTTATATTTTTAGTAGAGATGGGGTTTCACCACGTTGGCCAGGCTGGTCTCGAACTCCACCTCAGCTTCCCAAAGTGCTGGGATTACGGATGTGAGCCACTGCGCCTGGCCTTGACTTGCCTTCTTTCTGTCTCTCTAGTCCAGCCACACTGGCCTTCCTAAAGTTCCTCCAACACATGGATTTCACAGCCTTTCCCTGTTTCGCCAGGCCAGGCACCCTCTTCCTCTGGATCTTCAGCTGCCTCCTTTGCATCTCCCAGGTCCCAGCTCCTCAGCGTGGTCTTCGCTGTTCTCATTGTCTCAAGCTGTGCCTTCTCCCCAGACACTCTTACCTCCTTTATAGCCCTTACCCATTCCTGACATATCTTGTCCCCGTCTGTATCTACAGTTCCCTCCCCTCCCCTCCATACATATATACCCTGCAATGGAACCTCTGTGAAAGCAGGGACAAACTCGATTTTATTCATGGTAGGACTCCCCCAGCTCCTAGAATATTGCTTGATACCTAGAGAGCACTCAAAAAATATTTGAAAGCCTATTAAGGACTGCCTGTGTTTTTGTATCTACTTCCCCACCCCCCACAGCTTACCCCACCCTTCTGCATCCACATTCTCAGAAGCCAGAAGCCACTAACAGATGGAGAGTGAATCAGAAAAGGAGGCAGAGAGAGAAAGGGAGGAAATTCTGCCAGTTGGTGCAAAAAAAAAAAAAAAAAAAGACTAGGATGAATCTAGATGCAGCAGTCAGGTGTATCACCTCCTGCTCCACCCCACCGCACCCCTACCCTCACCCAGGGTCCACCACCGCAACCAAAACAAAAGGCAAGGCCGGTTGCGGAGACTCACAGCTGTAATCCCAGCACTTTGGGAGGCCAAGGCGGGTGAATGGCTTGAGTCCAGGAGTTTAAGGCTGCAGTGAGCCATGATCAGGCCACTGCACTCCAGCCTACATGACTCTGTCTCGAAACAACAACAACAACAATAACAAACCTTCCACTGACACTTACCACCCACTCACCTTACAGAACTCAGAGCCCAGTCGGTGCTGCCTCCCTTGTCGTAGGACCTTCATTCCTTTGTTAAGGCTCTCTCTGGGCCTCAGTCTACTTATCTGTGATGGTGACCATTATGCAACTAAACTTAAGCCTGATGAGACAGAAATAATTTGATAAAGGCTTATTGGAAGGCAAATGTGAGAATTGACCCAGGAAGACACACCAGCAGAGTTGGGCATGTTCCCGAGTCTGTCCCAAGGACAAAGGTTTTTACAGGAAAGTTTAAAACAAGGGCGTGGGGTCCTCATACCAGAATTGTCCTCTTTTTTTCTTCCTTTTCTTTTTTTTTTTTTTTTTTTTGAGACGGAGTTTCGCTCTTGCCCAGGCTGGAGTGCAATGGCGTGATATCGGCTCACCAAAACCTCCACCTCCCAGGTTCAAGTGATTCTCCTGCCTTAGCCTCCTGAGTAGCTGGAATTACATGCATGCACCACCATGCCCGGCTAATTTTGTATATTTAGTAGAGATGGGGTTTCTCCATGTTGGTCAGGCTGGTCTCGAACTCCCGACCTCAGGTGATCCACCTGCCTTGGCCTCCCAAAATGCTGGGATTACAGGCGTGAGCCACCGTGCTCGGCCTTTTTTTTTTTTTTTGAGACGGAGTCTCATTCTGTTGCCCAGGCTGGAGTGCAGTGGCGCGATCTCAGCTCACTACAACCTCTGCCTCCCAGGTTCAAGCGATTCTCCTGCCTCAGCCTCCCAAGTAGCTGGGACTACAGGTGCATGCCACCATGCCGGGCTAATTTTTTGTATTTTTAGTACAGACAGAGTTGCACCGTGTTAGCCAGGATGGTCTCGATCTCCTGATCCACCCGCCTTGGCCTCCCAAAATGCTGGGATTACAGGTGTGAGCCACCGCGCCTGGCTTTTTTTCTTTTTTTTAGAGACAGGGTCGGTCGGGCGCGGTGTCTCACACCTGTAATCCCAGCACTTTGGGAGGCCAAGGCGGGCAGATCATGAGGTCAGGAGATCAAGACCATCCTGGCTAACACGGTGAAACCCCACCTCTACTAAAAATACAAAAAGTTAGCTGGGCGTGGTGGCGGGCGCCTGTAGTCCCAGCTACTGGGGAAGCTGAGGCAGGAGAATGGCGTGAACCCGGGAGGCGGAGCTTGCAGTGAGCCCAGATCGCGCCACTGCACTCCAGCCTGGGTGACAGCTAGACTCCGTCTCAAAAAAAAAAAAAAAGAGACAGGGTCTCACTTCGCTGCTCAGGGTAGAGTACAATGGTGCAATCATAATTCACTATAGCCTGGAACTCCTGGGCTCAAGGGATCCTCCAACCTCAGCCTCCAGAGGTGCGCTTCAGTTAATCTTAAAAAAAAAATAAATCAGCGTCCCATTTAGTGTCCCACAGGTTACACATTGATCAGTACAACAATTTGAGAAATTTACAATGAGATTTTTTGCTAGTATGTTCCTATTGTTCTGTACAAAAAAGAAAAAAACGGAATCTTTTTTTTTTTTTGAGACAAAGTCTCACTCTGTTGCCCAAGCTGGAGCACAGTGCAACCTCCACCTCCCGTTTTCAAGCGATTCTTCTGCCTCAGCCTCCTGAGTAGCTAGGACTACAGGCACGCGCCACCATGTCCAGCTAATTTTTTTATTTTTAGTAAAGACAGGGTTTCACTATGTTGGCCAGGCTGGTCTTGAACTCCTAGCATCAAACGATCCGCTCTCCTCAGCCTCCCAAAGTGCTGGGATTACAGGCGTGAGCCACCACACCTGGCCTGAAAAAACAGATTCTTTTTGTTTTTTCTGAGACAGAGTCTCATTCTGTCACCCAGGCTGGAGTGCAGTGGCACCATTTTGGCTCACTGCAACCTCCATCTCCTGGGTTCAATCGATTCTCCTGCCTCAGCCTCTTGAATAGCTGGGACTACAGGCCCTCGCCACCGCACCCGGCTAATTTTTGTATTTTTAGTAGAGACGGGGTTTCACCATGTTGTCCAAGCTGGTCTTGAACTCCTGACCTGAGGTGATACACCTACCTCGGCCTCCCAAAGTCCTGGGATTATAGGCGTAAGCCACCGAGCCCAGGCGAAAACAGATTCTTTACTGGGAGACAGAATGTCACCATTGTGTCATAAGACTTCTCCAAGGTGGTTTAATTTGGAATCCTGCTTACTTTCAAAAGTGAGCTGAGGGTTATCAAATAATAACTACATTTATGAGCACTTCTGCTCTACCAGGCATGATGTGGACACTTGGCATAAGCACTGTTGGCTCATTAGCGTGTAAGCTCCCTGAGCCAGTGACCACCTCCCAGCTCAGTGTCAGGGATATCACAGGCACACCCAAAATCTTACTCTTCAATATCTTTCCTTTTAAATTATTTCATTTTTAAATTAACTTTTAATTTTTTATTGTGATAAAATAGACATTACATAAAGTTTACCATTTTAACATTTTTTTTGAGACAGAGTCTCGCTCTGTCACCCAGGCCACAGTGCAGTGGTGCAATCTTGGCTCACTGCAACCTCCGCCTCCCAGGTTCAAGCAATTCTCCCATTTCAGCCTCCAGAATAGCTACTCCAGAGTAGTAGGACTGCTGGCGTGCACCACCACACCCAGCAAATTTTTGTATTTTTAGTAGAGGCGTTGTTTCGCCATGTTGTCCAGGCTGGTCTCAAGCTCATGACCTCAAGTGATCTACCCGCGTCGGCCTCCCAGAGTGC
This sequence comes from Homo sapiens, assembly GCF_000001405.40. NCBI lineage: Eukaryota > Metazoa > Chordata > Mammalia > Primates > Hominidae > Homo > Homo sapiens. Next base: position 28,661,170 of record NC_000001.11, on the reverse strand, counting down.
TGGGATTACAGGCATGAGCCACTGTGCCTAGCCAGAATTTGACTGTGCTAAGTGCTTCCTATAAGTAGTATTGTACAATATTTGTCCTTTTGAGTCTGGTTTATTTAACCTGGCATAATGTGTTCAAAGTTAATTCATGCTATGGCATGTTTCAGTACTTCATTCCTTTTTATGACCAAATAATATTTCCATTGTATAGACATCCATTGATTTGGTGTATCCATTTATCCTTTGATGGACATTTGAATTGTTTATACTTTTTGGCTATTGTGAGTAATGCTGCTATGATGCTATGAACGAGGGTGTACGAATATCTGTTCAAGTTCCTGGTTTCAATTATTTTGCGTCTATACCCCGAAGAGGAATTGCTGGATCACATGTTTATTCTGTGTTTCTTTGTTTATTTATTTATTTATTTTTGAGATGGAGTTTTCCTCTTGTTGCCCAGGCCAGAGTGCAGTGGCACGATCTCAGCTCACTACAACCTCCACCTCCTGGGTTCAAATGATTCTTCTGCCTCAGCCTCCTGAGTAGCTGAGATTACAGGCGTGCACCACCACGCCCAGCTAATTTTTTGTATTTTTAGTAGATTCAGGGTATCCTCATGTTGGCCAGGCTCGTCTCGAACTCCTGACCTCAGGTGATATACCCACCTCGGCCTCCCAAAGTGCAGGGATTACAGGTGTGAGCCACCGCACCCTGCCCTGTGTCGATTTTTTTCCTTTTTGTCTTTTTTTTGAGACAAAAAAAAGTCTCACTCTGTTGCCCAGGCTGGAGTGCAGTGACGCACTGTCAGCTCACTACAATCTCTGCCTCCCAGGTTCCCGCATTTCTCCTGCCTCAGCCTCCCAAGTAGTGGGGACTATAGGTGCACACCACCACGCCCAGCTAATTTTTTTTTTTTTTTTTTTTTTTTGTGACAGAGTTTCACTGTGTTGCTCAGTTGCAACCTCCGCCTTCTGGGTTCAAGCAGTTCTGCCTCAGCCTCCTGAGTAGCTGGGATTACAGGCACGCGCCACCACACCCAGCTAATTTTTGTATTTCTAGTAGAGACGGGGTTTCACCATGTTGGTTAGTCTGGTCTTGAACTCCTGACCTCGTGATCCGCCTGCCTCGGCCTCCCAAAGTGCTGGGATTACGGGCGTGAGCCACCATGCCCGGCCTTTTTTGGTTTTTTTGAGAGGGTCTTCATTCTGTCGCCCAGGCTGGAGTGCAGTGATGTGACCTCCGCTCACTGTAGCCTCTGCCTCCCAGGTTCAAGAGATTCTCGTGCCTCAGCTTCCCTAGTAGCTGGAATTACAGGCGCACATCACCAAGCCCACCTTTTTGTATTTTTAGTAGCATTCCAATCTCCCTTGGTTTAATGTAGAGGAAGGGATCCAAAGGCTTAGGGAAATTGGAACGCTAGAGTGGATTAGTCACTTTAGACCTACTCATCCCCACTGGGAGGGTCCAGAAGACCTATCCTTCACCATAGGGTATAACCTTGTGAAACAGATTTCTGAAGGGAGCACCCGTGTCCTTGAAGAGCTCTGTGATTGCTCCTCTCTGTATGCCAGATCGTACAGTGGGAACTGTACTCACTCAATTGGAAAACTTAAACGCAGTGGGAATAATTAAATCCCAAGGTGGCAGGAGCCAAGTGGCAACACTCAACCATCAAAGGCAAAGCAGATGTAGTTACCGTAATGGACAGCAGAGGCAAAGCAGCAATCGGAATAGTCTGACTCGTTGATAGAAAGCCTACTGAATTCTTTTTTTTTTCTTTTGAGACAGAGTCTTGCTCTGTTGCCCAAGTTGGAGTGCAGTGGTATGATCTCAGGTTACTGCATCCTCCCCCTTCTGGGTTCAAGTAATTCTCCCGCCTCAGCCTCCCGAGTAGCTGGGATTACAGGCATGTGCCACCAAGTCCAGTTAATTTTTTTTCTTTTTTTTTTTTTTGAGAGGGAGTCTTGCTCTATCGCCCAGGCTGGAGTGCAGTGGCGCAATCTCGGCTCACTGCAACCTCTGCCTCCCAGGTTCAACAAAGGTTTTTACAGGCTGGGACTACAGGCCCATGCCACCATGTCCAGCTAGCTTTTGCATTTTTTGTAGAGACGGGGTTTTACCATGTTGTCCAGGCTGGTCTTGAACTCCTGGCCTCAAGTGATTCACCCGCCTCAGCCTCCCAAAGTGCTGTGATTACAGGCATGAGCCACTAGGCCCAGCCCAATTTTTTTTTTTTTTTTTTGAGATGGAGTTTTGTTCTTGTCAGCCAGGCTGGTCTTGAACTCCTGGCCTCAAGTGATTCACCCGCCTCAGCCTCTCAAAGTGCTGTGATTACAGGCATGAGCCACTATGCCCAGCCCAATTTTTTTTTTTTTTTTTTTGAGATGGAGTTTTGTTGTTGTCACCCAGGCTGGAGTACAATGGCACAATCTTGGCTCACTGCAACCTACACCTCCCGGGTTCAAGCGATTCTCCTGTCTCAGCCTCCCGAATAGTTGGGATTATAGGTGCCAGCCACCATGCCCGGCTAATTTTTTGTAGTTTTAGTAGAGGCGGGGTTTCGCCATATCGGCCAGGCTGGTCTTGAACTCCTGACCTCAGGTGATCCACCTGCCTCGGCCTCCCAAGATGCTGGGGTTATAGGCATGAGCCATTGCACCCAGCCCACCTGGCTAATTTTTGTAAATTTTTAGTAGAGACCAGGTTTCGCATGTTGGCCAGGCTGGTCTCAAACTCCTGACCTCAGGTGATCCACCTGCCTTGACCTCCCAAGGTGCTGGGATTACAGGCCTGAGCCACTGTCCCTGGCCCAATTTTTTTTTTATTTTTGTAGAGACAGCATTTTGCCATGTTGCCAGTAGTAGAGACTGGTTTCAAACTCCTTACCTCATATGATCTGCTGCCTTGGCCTCCCAAAGTGCTGAGATTACAGGTGTGAGCCACCATGCCCAGCACCTACTGCATTCTTAATTTGTATAAACAGAAAATTTCCAGGTTGAGTGGACAAAAGACTAATTTGAATTATAAAACAGAGACTCGGCCAGGCGTGGTGGCTCACGCCTGTAATCTCAGCACTTTGGGAGGCCAAGGCAGGCAGATCACCTGAGGTTGGGAGTTCGAAACCAGCCTGACCAACATGCAGAAACCCCATCCCTGCTAAAAATACAAAATTAGCCAGGCGTGGTGGCACATGCCTGTAATCCCAGCTACTTGGGAGGCTGAGGCAGGAGAATCGCTTGAACCTGGGAGGCGGAGGTTGTGGTGAGCTGAGATCGTGCTTTTGCACTCCAGCCTGGGCAACAAGAGCGAAACTCTGTATCAAAAAGAAATAGAGAATCATGGTCTCTCAAGCAATTTCCAGACTTGAGCCAGTTTACAGACCCAGAACTCCTTGAATGAAGGGGAGGCCAGGTCCCCTTGAAGAACGACCCCACTACACTATGGACAATTTATACTGCTAATCTTTCTCCCATATTTCCCCACGGAGACCTCTGGGCTAAGTTAATTGTGCATTAGGGAAAGGGGAATAATTAGACCTTTGAGGGAGTACTGGATGCTGGCTCTTAGCTGACATTTATTCCAGGGGACCCAAAACATCACTGTGGTCCTCCAGTTAGAGTAGGGACTTATGGAGGTCAGGTAATTACTGGAGTTTTAGCTCAGGTCCAACTTACAGTGGGTCCAGTGGGTCCCTGTACTCATCCTGTGGTCATTTCCCCAGTGCCAGAATGCATAATTGGCATAGACATACTTAGTAGCTGGCAGAATCCTCACAATGGCTCCCTGAGCAGTAGGGTGAGGGCTATTGTGGTGGGAAAGGCCAAATGGAAGCCATTAGAGCTGCCTCTGCCTAGAAAAACAGTAAATAAAAAACAATATTGGGCCAGGCACAGTGGTTCACACCTGTAAGTCCAGCATTTTGGGAGGCTGAGGCGGGCAGATCATCTGAGGTCAGGAGTTCAAGACCAGCCTGGCCAACATGATGAAACCTTGTCTCTACTAAAAATACAAAAAATTAGCCAGGCGTGGTGGCAGTTGCCTGTAATCCCAGCTATTCGGGAGGCTGAGGCAGGAGAACCACTTGATTCCGGGAGGCAGAGGTTGCAGTGAGGTGAGACTCCATCACTGCACTCCAGCCTGGGCAACAAGAGCAAAAGTCCGTCTCAAAACAAAACAAAACAATATTGCATCCCTGGAGATTTTGCAGAGATTAGTGTCACCATAAAGGACTTGAAAGACAAAGAGGTGGTGGTTCCCACCACATCCTCGTTCAACTCTCCTATTTGGAGAAGAAGGCAGGCGGATCTTGGAGAATGACAGTGGATTATTGTAAGCTTAACCAAGTGGTGACTCCAGTTGCAGCTGCTGAACCAGATGTGGCTTTATTGCTTGAGCAAATTAACACATCTCCTGGTACCTGTTATGCAGCTACTGATTTGGCAAATGCCTTTTTCTCCATTCCTGTCCACAAGGCCCACGAGAGGCAATTCGCCTTCAGCTTGCAAGGCCGGCAATATACTTTCACTATCTTACCTCAGGGGTATATCAACTCTCACAAAGCTGGTATATCCAGCTTTGTGTCATAATCTTGTTCGCAGAGATCTTGATCACTTTTCCCTTCCATAAGATATCACACTGGTCCATTACATTAATGACATCATTATGCTGATTAGACCCAGTGAGAGAGATGTAACAAACACACTGGACTTACTGGTGAGAGATTTGCATGCCGGGGAATGGGAAGTAAATCTGACTAAAATTCAGGGAACCTCTACCTCAGTGAAATTTCTAGGGGTTCAGTGGTGTAGGGCCTTGCCTGTCGAGATATTCTTTCTAAAGTGAAGGATAAATTGCTGCATTTGGCACCTCCTACAACCAAGAAACAGACACAGTGCCTACTGGGCCTATTTGGATTTTGGGGGCAACGCATTCCTCATTTGGGTGTGTTGCTCTGGCCCATCTATCAAGTGACCCGAAAGACTGCCAGTTTTGAGTGGAGTCCAAAACAGGACAAGGCTCTGCAACAGGTCCAGGCTGTTGTGCAAGCTGCTCTGCCATTTGGACCATATGACCCAGCAGATCCAATGGTGCTTGAGGTGTCAGTGGCAGATAGGGTTGCTGTTTGGTGCCTTTGGCAGGCCCCCGTAGGTGAATCACACAGAGGCTTCTAGGACTGTGGAGCAAGGCCCTGCCATCTTCTGCAGATAACTACTCTTCTTTTGAGAGACAGCTCTTGGCCTATTACTGGGCTTTGGTAGAAACTGAACGTTTGACTATGGGTCATCAAGTCACCATGTGACCTGAACTGCCTATCATGAACTGGGTGCTTTCTGACCCATCTAGCCATAAAGTTGGGTGTGCACAGCAGCATTCCATTATCAAATGGAAGTTGTGTATATGTGATCGGGTTAGAGCAGGTCCTGAAGGCACAAGTAAGTTGCATGAGGAAGCGACTCAAATGCCCATGGCCCCCACTCCTGCCACCCTGCCTTCTCTCCCCCAGCCTGCACCAATGGCCTCATGGGGAGTTCCCCCGATGAGCTGACAGAGGAACGGAAGAATAGGGCCTGGTTTACAGATAGCTCTGCATGATATGCAGGCATCGCCTGAAAGTGGACAGCTGCATCACTACAGCCCCTTTCTAAGATATCCCTGAAGGACAGCGGTGAAGGGAAATCTTCCCAGTGGGCAGAACTTTGAGGAGTGAACCTGGTTGTGCTCTTTGCTTAGAGGGAGAAATGACCAGATTTGCAATTATATACTGATTCATAGGCTGTAGCCAATGTTTTAGCTGGATGTTCAGGGACTTGGAAGAAGCATGATTGGAAAATTGGTGAGAAAGACATTTGGGAAAGAGGTATGTGGATGGACCTCTTTGAGTGGTCAAAAACTGTGAAGATATTTGTATCCCATGTGAATGCTTACCAAAGGGTGACCTCAGCAAAGGAGGTTTTTTTTTTTTTTTTTTTTTGAGATGGAGTCTTGCTCTGTTGCCAGGCTGGAGTGCAGTGGCACGATCTCGGCTCACTGCAACCTCCGCCTCCCAGGTTCAAGCGATTCTCCTGCCTCAGCCTCCCGAGTATCTGGGACTACAGCTGTGTGCCACCACACCCAGCTAATTTTTTTGTACTTTCAGTAGAGACAGGGTTTCACCGTGTTAACCAGAATGGTCTCGATCTCCTGACCTCGTGATCTGCCCGCCTCGGGGTCCCAAAGTGCTGGAATTACAGGCTTAAGCCACCGCGTCCAGCCAGCAGAGGAGAATTTTAATAATCAAGTGGATAGGATGACTTGTTCTGTGGACACCACTCAACCTCTTTCCCCAGCAACCCCTGTCATCGCCCAATGGGCCCATGAACAAAGTGGCCATGGTGGCAGGGATGAAGGTTACTAATGGGCTCAGCAACATGGACTTCCACTCACCAAGGCTGACCTGGCTACGGCCACGACTGAGTGCCCAATTTTCCAGCAGCAGAGACCAACACTGAGCCCTTGATATGGCACCATTCCTCGAGGTGATCATCCAGCCACTTGGTGGCAGTTTGACTATATTGGACCTCTTCCATCACAGAAAGGGCAGAGGTTTATCCTCGCTGGAATAGACACTTACTCTAAATATGGGTTTGCCTATCTTGCATGCAATGCTTCTGCCAAGACTATCATCCGTGGACTTACAGAATGCCTTATCCACCATCACGGTATTCCACACAGCACTGCCTCTGACCACGGCACTGACTTTACAGCTAAACAAGTGCAACAGTGGGCTCTTGCTCATGGAATTCACTTGTCTTACCATGTTCCCCATTATCCTGAAGCAGCTGGATTGATAGAACAGCGGAATGGCCTTTTGAAGTCACAATTACAACGCCAACTAGGTGACAATTCTTTGCAGGGCTGGGGAAAAGTTCTCCAGAAGGCTGTGTATGCTCTGAATCAGCATCCAATATATGGTACTGTTTCTCCCATAACCAGGATTCAAGGGTCCAGGAATCAAGAGGTGGAAATGGAAGTGGCTCCACTCACCATCACCCTTAGTGATCCACTGGCAAACTTCTTGCTTCCTGTTCCCATGGCATTATGTTCTGCTGACCTAGAGGTCTTAGTTCTAGAGGGAGGAATGCTGCCACCAGGAGGCACAAGGATTCCATTAAACTGGAAGTTAAGATTGCCTCCTAGGCCAGGTGCACTGGCTCACCCCTATAATCTCAGCACTTTGGGAGGCCGAGGCGGGCAGATCACCTGAGGTCAGGAGTTCAACACCAGCCTGGCCAGCATGGTGAAACCCCGTCTCCACTAAAAATACAAAAAAATTGGCCAGGCATGATGGTTCATGCCTGTAATCTCAGCACTTTTGGAGGCTGAGGCAGGTGGATCAACTGAGGTCAGGAGTTCGAGACCAGCCTGGCCAACATGGTGAAACTCCGTGTCTACTAAAAATACAAAAAAATTAGCCAGACGTGGTGGTGGGCGCTTGTAATCCCAGCTACTCAGGAGGCTGAGGCAGGAGAATCACTTGAACCTGGGAGGTGGAAGTTGCAGTGAGCTGAGATCACACCACTGCACTCCAGCCTGGGCGACAAGAGCAAAACTCCGTCTCAAAAAAAAAAAAAAAAAAAAAGGCTGGGTGCAGTGGCTGACGCCTATAATCCCAGCATTTTGGGAGGCTGAGGCGGACAGATCACAAGGTCAGGAGATCGAGACCATCCTGGCTAACCCAGTGAAACCCCGTCTCTACTAAACATACAAAAAAAAAAAAAAAACTTAGCCAGGCGTGGTGACGGGTGCCTGTAGTCCCAACTAGTTGAGAGGCTGAGGCAGGAGAATCGCTTGAACCCAGGAAGCGGAGGTTGCAGTGAGCCGAGATTGCGCCACTGCTCTCCAGCCTGGGCTATAGAGCAAGACTCTGTCTCAAAAAACAAACATGTGATGTAAGATTTATTACCTTCATATCAGACCGGACCTCGTGGCTCACGCCTGTAATCCCAGCACTTTGGGAGACTGAGGCAGGCCGATCACTGGAGATCAGGAGTTCAAGAACAGCCTGACCAACATGGTAAAACCCTGCCTCTATACTCAAAATACAAAAATTAGCCGGGTGCAGTGGCACACGCCTGTAATATCAGCTACTCAGGAGGCTGAGGTGGGAGCCTCGCTTGAACCCAGGAGGCAGAGGTTGCTGTGAGCTGGGATCACACCACTGCACCGCTGCACTCCAGCCTGGGTGACAGAGCAAGACTCCATCTCAAAAAAAAAAAAAAAATTATCAATTTGATTGGATTGAAGGATACAAAATATTGTTCCTGGGTGTGTCTGTGAGGGTGTTGGCAAAGGAGATTAACATTTCAGTCAGTGGACTTGGAGAGGCAGACCTACCCTCAATTTGGGTGGGCACCATCCAATCAGCTGCCAGCGCAGCTAGAATAAAGCAGACAGAAGGTGGGAGAAGCTGACTTGCTAAATCTTCCAGGCTTCATCTTTCTCCCATGTGGGATGCTTCCTGCCCTCAAATATCAGACTCCAAGTTCTTTGGCTTTTGGACTCTTGGACTTAGACCAGTGGTTTGCCAGGGGCTCTTGGGCCTTTGGCCACAGACTGAAGGCTGCACGGTCGGCTTCCTTAGTTTTGAGGTTTTGGGACTCAGACTGAGCTACTATTGGCTTCCTTTTTTTTTTTTTATTTTTTTGAGACGGAATCTTGCTCTGTTGCCCAGGCTGGAGTGCAGTGGCGCAATCTCAGCTCACTGCAAACTCCACCTCCCAGGTTCACGCCATTCTCCTGCCTCAGCCTCCCGAGTAGCTGGGACTACAGGCACCTGCCACCACGCTGGGCTAATTTTTTGTATTTTTAGTAGAGACGGGGTTTCACCGTGTTAGCCAGGATGGTCTCAATCTCCTGATCTCGTGATCCGCCTGCCTCGGCCTCCCAAAGTGCTGGGATTACAGGCGTGGGCCACCTCGCCGGGCCTTTTTTTTGAGACTGAGTTTCGCTCCTGTTGCACAGGCTGGAGTGTAGTGGCACTATCTCGGCTCACTGCAACCTCTGCCTCCCAGGTTCAAGCAATTGTCCTGCCTCAGCCTCCCGAGTAGCTGGGATTACAGGCGCATGCCACCATGCCCCGCTAATTTTTGTTTATTTTAGTAGAGACAGTGTTTCATCATATTGGTCAGGTTGGTCTTGAAATCCTGACCTCAGGTGATCCGCCCGCCTTGGCCTCCAAAAGTGTTGGGATTGTAGGCATGAGCCACCATGCCCAGCCCACTATTGGCTTCCTTGCTCCTCGATTTGTAGATGGTCTATCATGGGACCTCACTTTGTGATCATGTGAGTCAATTCTCCTTAATAAACTCTCTTTGGCCAGGTGAGGTGGCTCACACTTGTAATCCCAGCACTTTGGGAGGCCGAGGCAGGCAGATCACAAGGTCAGGAGTTACAGACCAGCCTCACCACCATGGTGAAACCTTGTCTCTACTAAAAAAAAAATACAAAACTTAGCCAGGTATGGTGGGGTGCGCCTGTAATCCCAGTTACTCAGGAGGCTGAGGCAGGAGAATTGCTTGAACATGGGAGGTAGAGGTTGCAGTGAGCCGATATTGCTCCACTGCACTCCAGCCTGGGCAACAGAGCAAGATTCCATCTCAAAAAAAGTTTTAAAAAATTAAATAAAATAAAAATAAACTCCCTTTCATATATACATATGTCCTATTAGTTCTGTCCCTCTAGAGAACCCTGACTAATACAGATTTTGGTACCATGTCGGCCAGGCTGGTCTTAAACTCCTGATCTCAAGTGATTCGCCTGCCTTGGCCTCCCAAAGTGCTGGGATTACAGGCATGAGCCACTGTGCCCGGGCTGTGTTGATTTATTTTATTTTATTTTATTTTATTTTATTTTATTTTATTTTATTTTATTTTATTTTTATGTGACGGAGTATCCCTGGAGTGCAGTGGCACGATCTCAGCTCACTGCAACCTCTGCCTTCTGGGATCAAGCAATTCTCCTGCCTCAGCCTCCTGAGTAGCTGGGATTACAGGCGCCCGCCACCATGCCTGGCTAATTTTTGTATTTTTAGCAGAGATGGGGTTTCACCATGTTAGCCAGCTGGTCTTGAACTCCTGACCTCAAGTGATCCACTCACCTCAGCCTCCCAAACTGCTGGGATTATAGGCATGAGCCACCATGACTGGCCCACACCTAGCTAATTTTATAAATTATTTGTAGAGATATCTTTAGGTCTTGAACTCCTGGCATCAAGGGATCCTCTCACCTTGGCTTCCCATAGTGCTGGGATTACAGGTGTGAGCCATAGCAATGGTCTTTATTATTATTATTATTATTGTTATTTTGAATTATTGTCTGGCAGCCTCTTGGGCCAGAGTAGACTCAGAGAGACTCCCGATATATATTTTTTAATAATAGCTATCCTAATGGGTGTGAAGTGCCATCTCATTATGGTTTTGACTTGCATTTTCCTAATGATTAGTGATGCTGAGCATCTTTTCATGTGCTTATTGGCCATCTTTGGAGAAATGTCTATACAGGTCCTTTTGCCCATTATTGAACTGGGCTGGGTTTGTGTTGTTGTTGTTGAGTTATGAGTTCCTTATGTATTATGGATATTAATCCCTTATCAGATATATTATTTACAAATATGTTCTCTGATTCTGTGGATTGTCTTTCCACTCTGTTGATAGTGTCCTTTGATGTACAAGGGTTTTCTTTCTTTCTTTTTTTTTTTTTTCTGAGACGGAGTTTCGCTCTTGTCCAGGCTGGAGTGCAATGACGCTATCTCGGCTCACTGCAACCTCTGCCTCCTGGATGCAAGCGATTCTCCTGCCTCAGCCTCCCGAGTAGCTGGGATTACAGGCATGCACCACCATGCCCGGCTAAATTTTTTGTATTTTTAGTAGAGACAGGGTTTCACCATATTGTCCAGGTTGGTCCTGACCTTCTGACCTCATGATCTGCCCACCTCAGCCTCCCAAAGTGCTGGGAGCCACCATGCCCGGCTATTTTTTTTTTTTTTTTTTTGAGACAGAGTCTCACTCTGTTGCCCAGGCTGGAGTGCAGTAGCACGATCTCGGCTCACAGCAACACCGCCTCCCGGTGCAAGCAATTCTCCTGCCTCAGCCTCCCAAGTAGCTGGGATTACAAGCGCCTGACACCAGGCCTGGCTAATTTTTGTATTTTTAGGAGCGACGGGGTTTCACCATGTTGGCTAGGCTGGTCTCCAACCCCTGACCTCAGGTGATCCGCCCACCTCGGCCTCCCAAAGTGCTGGGATTACAGGCGTGAGCCACCGCACGCGGCCGGGTTTTTCATTTTAATTTTAAAATTAATGTTAACATTTTAAAATTTGATGAGGACCAATTTATTTTTTGTTGCTTGTAAACCATTGTTTATATCCAAGAAATCACTGACAAATTCGATGTCATTTTCCCCTGTGTTTTCTCTAAGAGTTTTATAGTTTAAGGTCTTACATTTAGGTCTTTAATCTTTTTTTTTTTTTTTTTTTTGAGACGGAGTTTTGCTCTTGTTGCCCAGGCTGGAGTGCAATGGTGCGGTCTCGGCTCACTGCAACCTCCGCCTCCTGGGTTCAAGCAATTCTCCTGCCTCAGCCTCCTGAGTAACTGGGATTACAGGCATACTCCACCACGCCTGGCTAATTTTGTATTTTTAGTTAGAGAAGGGGTTTCTCCATGTTGGTCAGGCTGGTCTTGAAATCCCGACTTCAGGTGATCCGCCCACCTCGGCCTCTAGGAGTGCTGGGATTACAGGCGTGAGCCACTGCGCCCGGCCTTGAATTAATCTTTTGTGTATGGTATAAGGTATAGAAAAAGTTTGCTAAGGCCTGGTGAAGGTAATTTCAATTTCCTCTGCTTCATAAAATAACATTGCAGGCCGGGCGCGATGGCCACGCCTGTAATCCTAGCACTCCTAGAGGCCGAGGTGGGCGGATCACCAGATGAAGAGATGGAGACCATCCTGGCCAACATGGTGAACCCGTCTCTACCAAAAATGCAAAAATTAGCTGGGCGCGGAGGCGCACGCCTGTAGTCCCAGCCATTCGGGGGGCTGAGGCAGGTCTCCTAAAGTCAGGGACTAGGTCTATTCCATTTGCTGCTATACTGTAACACAGTTGCCAAATAATTTCCTCATACGCGCGCCACCACGCACGTATAATTTTTAAATTCTTTTGTTGGTGGGGCCTTCCTGCTTTGTTGCTTAAGCTAGCCTCCCACACGAGAACACGCAGGGTTATCCCACTTCCACTTCTTAAGTGCTAGGATACAGGTCTGAATTACCTTGCTAATTAGGTCACCTGCGGTTCATACAAATAACTATGCAGCCTCTAAAAAAAAAAAAAAACACACACAGAATCTCTTTTCAGTTACAAAAAGCACCACTTACTCCAAACGCGTAATATTTCGCCTAACATATAACAGTAAAGAAAGGGCGCCGGGACCAACGATCACCAGCTGCCCAAATACCAAAAAATTATGCTTCCGAAATCTCTTGATGTCGATTCCGCACGCAGAGCAATCGAGTTGCCCTACGTGTGCCACTCACGACAGAAGCCCTTTTTGCTTTCTCTGTCACCAAAGCAGGGTGGCAGTGTTACCAAATCCATTTTTTGGTAAAGGTGAACACAAAATCCAAGCAACTCTTTATTTCAACTTCCTGAAGTTGAAGAGCGAATTCCATTTCTTCTGAACTGAAAGGAAGACTTCACAAGGAGAATCTGGAATTTGTCCTTTCGATTTTTTAGTTAGAAGAAAAAAATGTAGTGAGTTGATATGCAAATATACTCAGGGCTTGCTGGGAATGTGCTGGCGGGCACCGAGGGAGTGGCGGGGAAGAGCGGCTGCGCGAGCGAGGGAGGAACCGCTCCTTCCGGTTGCAGTAAGTGCTGGGTCTTTCTTGTCAACTGCTCACGACAGAAGGCGTCTCATGGCGTTGGAATACCGGCTCTCAGCGGCTGTAGGTATCTGACTGGGGAAGACAAGAATCACAACCTATCCAAATTGAAAATGTGTAACTTGTGCCACCCCTAGCCACCACCTTGGAGCAGCCCAGGCAGGCGTGCAGTGGAAGCACAAGGTCACAAGGTCACGCATAAGCTGATTGTCATGGTGTGTTCATATTGTGGCATGCTATATGCTGCACTTCGAAGGAGTATTAGAATTTTTTTTTTTTAAATCGAGTGAAAAGAGTTGTAGAATAAGGTACAGCATAGCATTAATGTGAAAAATGAAATACTGTACCTCAGATGACTGAAGTAGATCTTTATCAACACAATTTTTTTTTTTTTGAGACGGAGTCTCGCTCTGTCGCCCAGGCTGCAGTGCAGTGGCGCGATATCGGCTCACCGCAAGCTCCACCTCCTGGGTTCACGCCATTCTCCTGCCTCAGCCTCCCAAGTAGCTAGGACTACAGGCCCCTGCCACCATGCCCGGCTAATTTTTTGTATTTTTAGTAGAGACGGGGGTTTCACCATGTTAGCCAGGATGGTCTCGATCTCCTGACTTTGTGATCCGCCCGCCTCAGCCTCCCAGAGTGCTGGGATTATAGGCGTGAGCCACCGTGCCCGGCCTGTTCCCATTTTTTTTATGGATAATGATGGACGGGTGCTGTGGGTCATGCCTGTAATCCCAACACTTTGAGAGCCCAGGAGTTTGAGACCACAATGGGCAACATATAGAGACCTCGTCCCTACCCCAAAATAAAATATTAACTGGGCATCGTGGCATGGGCCTGTGGTCCCAGCTACCCCAAAGGCTGAGGCAGAAGGATTGCTTGAGCCAGGGAAGTCAAGGCTACAGTGAGCCATAATCATGCCACTGCACTCCAGCCTAGGTGACAGATGAAGATCTTGTCTCAAGAAAATAAAAAAAAAACAATATGTGACAATTGTAAAGAAATTGAAACAGCACAGAGATGTTATAAAATGTGAAAATGCTTCCTCCAAACTGTGAACAGTTTAGTGTTTATCTTGCCAGACTGCTTTCTATGTATGTACACATCGTATATATATAAAAATAAATGTTTTCAGGCCAGGCATGGTGGCTCATGCCTGTAATCCCAGCACTTTGGGAAGCTGAGGTGGGTGGATCACCTAAGATCAGGAGTTTGAGACCAGCCTGGCCAACATGGTGAAACCCTGTCTCTATTAAAAATACAAAAAATTGGCCGGGTGCGGTGGCTCACGCCTGTAATCCCAGCACTTTGAGAGGCCGAGGTGGGCAGATCACTAGGTCAGAAGATCGAGACCATCCTGGCTAACACGGTGAAACCCCGTCTCTACTAAAAATACAAAAAATTAGCCGGGTGTGGTGGCGGGTGCCTGTAGTCCCAGCTACTCGGGAGGCTGAGGCAGGAGAATGGCGTGAACCCAGGAGGTGGAGCTTGCGGTGAGCCGAGATTGCACCACTGCACTCCAGCCTGGGCGACAGAGTGAGACTCTGTCTCAAAAAAAAAAAAAAAAAAAATTGGCCGAGTGTGGTGGCAGGTGCCTGTAATCCTAGCTACTAGGGAGCTGAGGCAGGAGAATCACTTGAACCTGGGAGGCAGAGGTTGCAGCGAGCCGAGACTGTGCCATTGCACTCCAGCTTGGGCAACAAGAGCGAACTCCGTCTCAAAAAAAAATAAATAAATAATAAAGTAAAATGTTTTCAACACAAAATATAGACTGTTAGGTATTTTACTTTCTTTAATATATTTTAATAATACATGGAGTTCCCTGCTCTTTACAAAGTAGAAGTCACAAGAGAAAGGAGATAAATAAACAGCTCTTACATTGTAATAGGAAGCAGATGTGTTGTATAAACTTGTGAGAAGCCCAGAGATGGTGCTGTCAATTGCTCTTCCTATCATCCACCAGTGTTATCTCTCTCTCTGTCTTTTTTCCTGAGACAGTGTGTTGCTCTGTTGTCCAGGCTGGAATGCAGTGGTGCAATCATAGCTCACTGCAGCCTGGAACTCCTAGGCTCAAGCAGATCCTCCTGCCTGTCAGTCTCCTGAGTGGCTGGGACTACAGGTACACACCACCATGCTGAGGCTAATTTTTTTTTTTTTTTTTTAGAGACAGTGTCTCCCTATCTTGCCCAGGCCGGTCAAACTCCTGGGCTCAAGCAGTCCTCCTGCTGCGCCTCCCAAAGTGTTGGGATTACAGGTGTAAAGCCACCACATCTGACCTTATCTCTCTTTTTTTTTTTTTTCCCAGACAGTCTCACTCTGTTGCCCAGGTTGGAGTGCAGTGGCACGATCTCGGCTCGCTTCAACCTCTACCACCCAGGTTTAAGCGATTCTCATGCCTCAGCCTCCTGAGTAGCTTGGGACTACAGGCACGCGCCACTACACCCGGCTAATTTTTAAAATATTTTTAGTAGGTTTCACCCTGTTGGCCAGGCTGGTCTCAAACTCCTAACCTCAAGTGATCCACCTGCCTCGGCCTCCCAAAATGCTGGGATTACAGGCGTGAGCCACAGTGCCTGGCCTGGCCTTATCTGTTTTTTTGTTGTTGTTGTAGTTTTGTTTGAGATGGAGTCTTGCTCCCGTCACGCAGGCTGGAGTGCACTGGCTCAATCTCCGCTCACTGCAACCTCCACCTCCCGGGTTCCAGCGATTCTCCTTCCGCAGCCTCCTGAGTAGCTGGGGTCACAGGCGTGCACCACCACGCCCAGCTAATTTTTGTATTTTTAGTAGAGATAGGGTTTCACTATTTTGGCCAGGATGATCTCTATCTCCTGACCTCGTGATCCTCCTGCCTCAGCCTCCCAAAGTGCTGGGATTACAGGCGTGAGCCAGGGTGTCCAGTCCTTATCTCTTAAAGAAAAAAAAAAAAAAGAAGAGGCCGGGCGCAGTGGCTCCTGCCTGTAATCCCAGCATTTTGGGAGGCCAAGGCAGGCGGATCACGAGGTCAGGAGATCGAGACCATCCTGGCTAACATGGTGAAACCCCATCTCTACTAAAAATACAAAAAATTAGCCGGGCGCGGTGGCGGGCGCCTGTAGTCCCAGCTACTTGGGAGGCTGAGGCAGGAGAATGGCATGAACCTGGGAGGCGGAACTTGCAGTGAGCCGAGATAGCTCCACTGCAGTCCGGCCTGGGTGAAACAGCGAGACTCCGTCTCAAAAAAAAAAAAAAGAAAATTCATCTACTTGGGAAGCTGAGGTGGAGGAGGATCGCTTGAACACAGGAGTTTGAGGCTGTAGTGAACTATGATTGTGCCACTGCACTCTAGCCCTGGTGACAGAGTGAGACCCTGTATCATTTAACAATCGCCATAATTTCACCGTTCTTCCAACACCTTCCCATTGCATACTGAATATAATCTCAAGTCCCCATCATAGTCTAGGCTAAAAGGTCCAGACTATAACAAACCCCTGCCTACCTCTCCAAACTCATTGTCTTTCCCGGTTACCAAAGCTCCAGCCACCTTGGCCATCTTGGTCCTTGAGTAAGTGTTTTCCTTACTGAAGACCATGGCTCAGGCCATCAGCCAGCTAGATAAGTCTGGCTTATTCCAGTATTCTCTTCTATCACCCTTTTGTGCAGTTGCTAATGGTCTGTTTCCCACTCTAGGTTGCAAACTTTCTAAGGACAGAGATCATCCGTCTTAGCCACCAGTTATGTACTCAGCACATAGCAAAAGGCTTGTCACACAATGAGACTCAAACACTTGTCAAATGAACGTATATACATTCAACCTGGGTCTTAAAAAAGATGTATAGGCATTCAACAACAAAAAGTGGTATGCCGGACCCTAAAAAGAATGGAGAGCAGTGGCAAGGAAATAAGGCTAGGAATACAGCTTAGAGCCCAATGTTCATGAGGACTTGAATCTGAGAATTTGGATTGGGTGGCAGTGTAGAGGGTGGACTGGGAACGTGGTAGGATGAGGATTAGGAAGATATAAAGACAGGGCAGGATGCCGCACCAATCTGGGCACCTCTTCCTAATTTCTATGTGGCTCACTCTGGCCTGTCACAGCTCTTTATACAATTTTTGGTGTGTTTGTGGGTTCTTCTCCATCTTACTGTGAACCTTACAGATGCTGGAATTGGGTCTTACTTGCATGCCTAACATTCCAGCATACAGTAAAAAATAACAGCTGTTCTCTTTTTTTTTTTTTTGAGACAGAGTCTCGCTCTGTCGCCCAGGCTGGAGTGCAGTGGCGCGATCTCGGCTCACTGCAACCTCCGCCCCTCCAGGTTTAAGCAGTTCTCTGCGTCAGCCTCCGGAGTAGCTGCGATTACAGGCGCATGCCACCACGCCCGGCTAATTTTTTGTATTTTTAGTAGAGACGGGGTTTCACCATCTTGGCCAGACTGGTCTTGAACTCTTGACCTCGTGATCCACCCTCCTCGGCCTCCCAAAGTGCTGGGATTACAGGCGTGAGCCACATAACAGCAGTTCTCACCAAGCATCTGACAGCCGAAAAACTGAAAGCATTAGAGAATGCTACAGGACAGGCTTTGGCTTAGTAGTGAGTTCTGAGTTCAAGCTGAGGCTCTGCACTTATTAGCTAGAACTTTGCTTAATCTCTCACAGGTCTCCTCTAAATGATTAAATGGCGTAACGGAGGTAAGCGGATTAGCACAATTCCCGGCAAACAGTAAGCACTCAATTGTTACTACTGAATTGCCAGTTCACAGGCACAACCAACCGATCTCTCTCATCTCCTGGTTCCTCTGTTGCCAACTTCCTCGTTGAGGTCCAACAGGATACCTGTGGGGTAATGTGTCCCAGATGATATCCCAGTCCTGACACCAAGACAAAGGCACCAACCAAAAATGGCGACCTCAAAGCCATCCGAGGGCGTCAATTACCCGTCATGCTACCGATAGATAAATAAGCAGCGTCGGGAAGAAAAGCTAGTGAAGGATTCTTAACGCCGGGTTGGAATACGCAGAGCTCGCTCATGCTGCCACTCAACCACAAGCAGTTAAAAGCGCAAGCTGCAGGGTGTACCTACACACAGCTCAATATCGCCACCACGTGTCGGAGGGCAGTCTGCGCCTGCGCAAGCGAGGCGCGCGCCCGCCGGCCGGAAGAGCCGCGCGTTTCCGGGTTGGAGGCGGGGAGCGGTGCCGGAAGTAGTCGGGGAGGGCCGCGCAGTCGGACCGGCTGCTGAGACGAACGCTTCACTGGGGCAGTCTCTGCATATCATGGGGAGATAGACGCTGCTGCCTGTGAGTCTTGGGCCCTGGCAGTTGAGGAACAAGAGCGGGAGGAGGGAGTCAGGACCCAGACCTACAGTGGGTCAGTGTTCGAAGGACCAGGTTGTGGACGAGACGGGGCTGTGAGGATTCAGGCTCTTGGGAAGGGACTGACTGAGAGGATCAGGCTCGGAGAAGACGCGGCTGTGGGGACCCGGGCTCTAAGACGGGACTTAGGGAACGGGGACGGATGCGAGTTCTCCGGCATCTGAGGGAAAGTGGTCTGAGAGGAGCAGGATTATGAGGACCCGCACTCCTACGAGGAAAGGGTCAGAAAGGAACGGGGCGTGAAGACACAGGCTCCGGAGAGGTAAAAGTGGAGCGGTGAGGACTTGGGCTCCTAAGAGGCAGAAGCGGGACAGTGAAGACCCGGGCTCCTAAGGATTCAGAAACGGGGCAGCGAAGACTTAGGTTCCTGAGGGGCAGAAGCAGACAGAGAAAACTTGAGTTTGGAAGGGAACAGAAGCGGGCAGTGAAGACTGGGGCTTCTTTGGGGACGGGATCCGGGCTTTGAGACTCCGAGTTCCTGAGTCTCGGAACAGGGCTGTGAGTACCCAAGCTCCTAAAAGCCTTGGATCTAAGGGACCATGGATATGAGATCAGCCTACAAAGTAAAGGGAAAGGGTTTGGAAAAGATTTAGTGATCCATTTTTTCACAGTATTCCCTGAACCCAGAGAGATAAAGGACGTATTCAGGGGAAGACAACTTCTCCTTCGCACTGCCTACTTGGCTCTTGGCAAGCTTTTCTTGTGTCA
The DNA here is from genome assembly GCF_000001405.40 of Homo sapiens. Classification (NCBI taxonomy): domain Eukaryota; kingdom Metazoa; phylum Chordata; class Mammalia; order Primates; family Hominidae; genus Homo; species Homo sapiens. The sequence continues at coordinate 28,642,208 of NC_000001.11, read as the reverse complement.
GATACTCAATCTAGGAAGCCCATATGCAAACATCTTCATTTTCTGCTTCATTCTTGGGAATCAGATGTGAAGTTGAAAACAGTTGGAACTCAGTTATGTACTTGATAAGTGCTTTAAATCCCATTCCACTCAACCCTGAATGAGCACAGATCTCTGCATCTCAAATAAAAGAATGTCAGTGATGGAAGAGTCCCAAAAGATCATCTTTTAAAAACTCCTATTTTACATTTAAGAAGGCTAAGGTTCAAAGAGGCTTAGGATTACAGTGAGGCAATGGTTAGTTAGATCATAATTTTAATACAGTACCCTTCTGTGCGTAGCAAATGAGATGCTTGGTTAATGTTCCTTAAATGCTTCTAGAATCTTTGCTTTATCTTCAAACTCAGGAGGGAATTTTTTTTTTTTTTTTTTTTTTGAGACAGGTTCTCTCTCTGTCGCCCAGTCTGAAGTGCAGCGGCTCAGTCTTGGCCCCGTGCACCTCCAACCTCCTAGGCTCAAGCAGTCTTCCCACCTATACCTCCTGAGTAGCTGGAACTACGGGCGTGTGCCACCACGCCCTGCTAATTTTTAAATTTTTTGTAGAAACAGGGTCTCACTATATTGCCCAGGCTGGTCTCAAACTCCTAAGCTCAAGTGATCCTCCCACCTTGGCCTCCCAAAGTGCTGGGATTACAGGCATGAGTCACCTCACCCCCCTTGCAGTTTTTGTTTTTGTTTTGTTTTGTTTTGTTTTTTTGAGACAGAGTCACCCAGGCTGGAGTGCAGTGGCACGATCTCGGCTCACTGCAATCTCTGCTTCCCCAGTTCAAACGATTCTCCTGCCTCAGCCTCTCAAGTAGCTGGAATTACAGGTGTGTGCCACAATGCCCGGCTACTTTTTGTATTTTTAGTAGAGACAGGTTTTTGCCATGTTGGCCAGGCTGTGTTTCGAACTCCTGATCTCAAGTGATCCGCCCGCCTCAGCCTCCCGAAGTGCTGGGATTATAGAAATGAGCCACTGCGCCCGGCCCAGTTTTTATTTCCAGTAAAAACTGGAAATTTTTACAGTTTCTGATAATTTGAGTGTTGTTACTGTATTGACATTAATACAGTAAATGTCACTTAATAGTAAGGAAACCTTTATTTTTATTTTTGTGTTTTTGAGACAGGGTCCTGTTCTGTTGCCCATATTGGAGTGCAGTGGCATAATCATAGTTCACTGCAACCTATATTCTTGGGCTCAAGCACTCCTCCTGCCTCAGCCTCCTGGGACTGCAGGTATGAGCCACTACACCCAGCTAATTTTTAAGTTTTTTTGTAGAGACAGTGTTTGGCTGTGTTGCCTAGGCTGCTGTTGAATTCTTGGCCTCAAATGATTCTCCCGCCTTGGCCTCCCAAAATGTTCTTATAGGCATGAGCCACTGCACCTGGCTGGAACCTTTAAATAAAGCTCAGTGTTATTTATTTATTTAATAAGCTGTTTGGAAAGTCATAAATAAGTGTGTCCTGTATTTTTAGTGCAAACATTTACTAGGGATGGCTGCTTTTGGATAAGGATGGTGGGGAGACTTGCACCAGTCACTTCCTTCAATATTAATATCTTTTTCTGAAACCTACTCAGACTAACGAGGCACAGCTTATGCACTATCGAGTATTCTATGATTTAATTATCACAGCCCCACAAGTTAGATATTGTCAGTCCCGTTGTACAGATAATGAAATAGGTTTAGAGAGGTTACTTTGCCTGAAATCACACAGTGACCCAACCCCAGTTACATGTGCCTCTAAAACTTTTTTCTACTCTTCTAAGTGGATTCCTCTCAGTTTGTCCATCAGCAAAATAGAAGTAATCGTTATACAAAACATATAATTGAATGAAAGCATCTCCTCCTTCTTAAGGCTCCTCTAAATGTCAAGGACTATAACATATTAGGGTACTTATGTATTGTGGCATTTGAGAACTAAATTCTGTTTTCACAGAAGCATAGATTATTCAAGATAGAAAAACGGGAACTTTGTAGAGCTTTTCCTTGCAATGTAGAAAGACATTTAATTTTAGATTTAGGAGGCCAAGAAAGACTAATTTGGACTGGGCATGATGGCTCACACCTGTAATCCCAGCACTTTGGGAGGCCAAGGCGGGCGGGTCACCTGAGATCAGGAGTTCGAGACCCGCCTGGCCAACATGGCAAAACCCCGTCTCTACTAAACATACAAAAATTAGCTGGGCATGGTGGCACATGCCTGTAGTCCCAGCTACTCTGGAGGCTGAGGTGGGAGAGAATCACTTGAATCCTGGAGGTGGAGGTTCAATGAGCCGAGATTGTGTCACTGTACTCCAGCCTGGACAACAGAATGAGACTCTGTCTGAAAAAAAAAAAAAGTAATTTGAAAAACAAGGGCTTAAATTTGATTGATTTTCCAGTTAATTATATCATGAACTAGATGTTTGGGGGAATTGGGCTTAGTTAAAACTACTATTTTTTCCCCAGGGTTAGCCTGTACTATTTGCAAGCGCCTATTATATATAAATGATCAAAACTAACTTATACCAACTTATAAGGGAAAGCATACCGATGCCCATGTCACCACTTCAAAGTACTTGATGGTTTAATTAATGATAATTTATTCCTGAGTTAACATCCTTACCTATACTTGCAAAATGTACTTCATTTCATTTGTGGCTCTAGCGTTGACTTATTATAATAGGACTTCAAAATACCCGATCAGAAAATCATTGCATTATAATTAGAGCCGATAGGAACAAAGGACAAAAGGACATATTACCTTTTTTTTTTTTTTTGTGAGACGGAGTTTCGCTCTTTCACTCTTGTTACCCAGGCTGGAGAGCAGTGGTGCAATCTTGGCTCACTCCAACTTTCACCTCCCGGGTTCAAGCGATTCTCCTGCCTCAGCCTCCCATGTAGCTGGGATTACAGGCATGCGCCACCATGCCTGGCTAATTTTTGTATTTTTAGTAGAGACGGGTTTCACCATGTTGGCCAGGCTTGTCTCGAACTCCTGACCTCAGATGATCTGCCTGCCTCGGCCTCCCAGAAGGTGGGAGGTGGAAGTTGCAGTGAGCCGAGATCACACCACTGCACTCCAGCCTGGGCAATAGAGCAAGATTCTGTCTTAAAAAATTAAAATAGGCCAGCCGGGCGTGGTGGCTCACGCCGGTAATCCCAGCACTTTGGGAGGCCGAGGTGGGCGGATCACGAGGTCAGGAGATCGAGACCACGGTGAAACCCCGTCTCTACTAACAATACAAAAAAAATTAGCTGGGCACGGGCGCCTATAGTCGCAGCTACTTGGGAGGCTGAGGCAGGAGAATGGCGTGAACCCGGGAGGTGGAGCTTGCAGTGAGCAGAGATTGTGCCACTGCACTGCAGCCCGGGTGACAGAGCAAGGCTCTGTCTCAAAAAAAAAAAAAAAAAAAAAATAGGCCAGGTGAGGTGGCTCATGCCTGTAATCCTAGCACTTTGGGAGGCTGATGTGGGCAGATCACCTGAGGTCAGGAGTTCGAGACCAGCCTGGCCAACATGGTAAAACCCCGTCTCTACTAAAAATATAAAAATCAGCTGGACATAGTGGCGTGTGCTTATAATCCCGGCTACCTGGGAGGCTAAGGCAGGACAATCGCTGGAACCCGGGAGGCAGAGGCTGCAGTGAGCCGATATTGCGCCACTCCAGCCTGGGTGACAGAGTGAGACTCTGTCTCAAAAAAAAAAAAAAAAATTAGGCCGGGCGCGGTGGCTTATGCCTGTAATCCCAGCACTTTGGGAGGCCGAGGTGGGCGGATCACCTGAGGTTGGGAGTTCGAGACCAGCCTGACCAACATGGAGAAACCCCATCTCTACTAAAAATACAAAATTAGCTGGGCGTGGTGATGCATGCCTGTAATCACAGCTACTCGGGAGGCTGAGGCAGGAGAATCCTTTGAACCTGAGAGGCGGAGGTTGTGGTGAACTGAGATTGCCCCTTTGCACTCCAGCCTGGGTGACAAGAGTGAGACTCTGTCTCAAAAAATAAAATAAAATAAAATAAAATAAAATACAAAAATTAGCTGGATGTGGTGGCAGACGCCTGTAATCCCAGCTACTCAGGAGGCTGAGGCAGGAGAATCACTTGAACCCAGGAGGCAGAGGTTGCAGTGAGCCGAGATTGTGCCACTGCACTCCAGCCTGAGCGACAGAGCGAGACTCCATCTCCAAAAAAATAATAATAATAATTAAACAAAAAATAGGAATGGGGTCTCACTGCATTACCCAGGCTGGTCTTAAACTCCTATCAGCAAGTGATCCTCCTACATCTGCCTCCCGAAGTGCTGGGATTGTAGGCATGAACCATGACACCTGGCGAAGACATACTACTTTTGGTTGGGATTCTTTATGGAAAGCCCTAAAATATTTTGTAGGCACTATATCAGCAATGTTTACAGGCTGCACTGTGAAACAGGTGTGTTGGAGGCAGACAGACTTTGAAATTTCTGTGTATGGACTTAATTTAAGTCAGACAGGGAGGGTAAAGAGAGCAAAAATAAAAAAAAGAAAATCTTTTTTCTGGAGACGGAGTCTTGCTCTGTCGCCCAGGCTGGAGTGCAGTGGTGTGATCTCGGCTCACTGCAACCTCCGCCTCACGGGTTCAAGCACTTCTCCTACCTCAGCCTCCCGAGTAGCTGGGACTATAAGCGCGCGCCACAATGCCCGGCTATTTTTTGTATTTTTAGTAGAGACAGGGTTTCACCATATTGGTCAGGCTGGTCTTGAACTCCTGACCTCGTGATCCGCCTGCCTCGGCCTCCCAAAGTTCTAGGATTACAGGCGTGAGCCACTGTACCTGGCCTTTACACTGATTTTTAATGCTGAAAGGGACTTTAGAATTTGCCTGGTCTGGCCAGAGGCGGAGGTTGCAGTGAACCAAGATCGTGCCACTGCGCTCGAGCCTGGGTGACAGAGCAAAACTCTGTCTCAAAAAAGAGAAAAAGAAAAAAAGAATTTGCCTGGGCCAACTCCTAATTACAGATGTGGAAACTGACCAAAGATGGCATCCAGCCCTCTTGATTTGGGTTTTCCACAGTAACTCTCATCAGCCTCCTGCTGACCACTTGTTACCATTTTTTTCCAATCCACCATTCTTCTGTTAATCTCTGAAGTCATACAGAACACTTATATGGTGCCAGCACACATGGATATGTGTGTTGGGTTAGCAGCAGGATGAGTGAAATGAAACACTGGTATTTTTTGAGAGATGGGGTCTTGCTTTATTTTCCAGGCTGGAGCATGGTGGCTAGCCACAGGCCTATCACAATGTACTACAGCCTCGCACTCCTAGGCTCAAGCCATTCCGTCACCTCAGACCCCATAGTAGCTGGGATTATACATGTGCTCCACTGCATTGAGCAGTATGTTGATTTTTTTTTTTTCCCTGAGACAGGGTCTTGCTTTGTCACCCACGTTGGAGTGCAGTGGTGCCATCACATCTCACTACTGTATCAACCTCCTGGGCTCAAGTGATCCTCCCGCCTTAACCTCCCAAGTAGCTGGGACCACAGCTGCATGCCACCACGCCTGGCAAATTTTTTGATTTTTTTTTTTTTATTTGTAGTGACCAGATCTCACTATGTTGCCCAGGCTGGTCTCAAACTCCTAGGTTCAAGTGATCCTCCCGCTCAGCCTGCCAAACTGCTAGAATTATAGGTGTGAGCCACCAAGCCCACCCTGTACTTCATTATTAACTTAATTTTTTCAGATGAGAAAATTGAGGCATAAAGAGATTATGTAGCTTGCTCAATACAGCTGAAAAGTGGCACAGTTGGTACTTAAACCCAGATACTGCTACCATGGTTCATATCCTTGACCACTGTACTATACACTATACTACCTTTTGTTGTTGTTAGAGACAGGATCTTTTTGTGTTGCCCAGGCTGGTCTCCAACTCCTAACCTCAAACAGTCCTCCCATGTTGTCCTCCCAAAGTTCTGGGATTACAGACGTGGGGTCCCACATGTGGCCTATACTGCCTTTTTGATAAGTCAAAAGCAGCTGGAGCCTCAACTAACCAATCCTAATTGCACACTGGAAAAAAATCTTGCATTTCTATTGCTCTCGAGTCTCACAGACTGCAAATAATTGATCCTTTTTAGCTTATTTAGGCTGGGAAATATGAGCTCATTTAGATACATTTAGAAGCCAGAGAGGAAAGAAACAGCCAGGTAGAAAAACCAGTCATTAAGTGAAGTCATGCACCACAGTATAGGGCTTTTATGCCATCAGGCCAGTCCTCTTGATTCCAGTATTTTGCTTAAATAATAAATTACTAAACATTTCAGAGGTAAAAAAAGGTTTTGAAGGCTACCTTTTCTTCTGTTCCCCTTTCTCTTCACCTTTGTTTTGTTTTTTTAAAAAAAAAAAAACAGTTAATGGAATAGATGCACAGAGAATACCAGGGTCTTACAACTATTGCCAAGGTCTCCTTAATTCCTACCCTATGAAAAATTAGACCCTCTCAATACAATAATAGGGTTGCAGCTAGACTTCTGTTTGAAGTACAAGGTTGTTAAAGGGAAGCAATTAGGGCTTGTCATCCTCAGCCAGTCAACCACAGTTTAAAAGGAGGGAGGATAGGCCGGGTGCAGTGGCTCATGCCTGTAATCCCAGCACTTTGGGAGGCCGAGGTGGGCAGATCATGAGTTCAGGAGATTGAGACCATCCTGGCTAACACGGTGAAACCCCATGTCTACTAAAAATACAAAAAATTAGCCGGGTGTGGTGGCAGGCGCCTGTAGACCCAGCTACTCAGGAGGCTGAGACAGGAGAATGGTGTGAGCCCAGGAGGTGGAGCTGGCAGTGAGCCAAGATTGCGCCACTGCACTGTAGCCTGGGCGACACTGCACTGTAGCCTGGGCGACACAGTGAGACTCCATCTCAAAAAAAAAAAAAAAAAAAAAAAAAGGAGGGAGGATAGATGTGGTTTTTTTTATTTATTTATTTATTTATTTGAGACGGAGTCTTGCTCTGTCGCCCAGGCTGGAGTGCAGTGGCGCGATCTCGGCTCACTGCAAGCTCCACCTCCCGGGTTCGCGCTATTCTCCTGCTTCAGCCTCCGGAGTAGCTGGGACTACAGGCACCCGCCACCATGCCTGTCTAATTTTTTGTATTTTTTTTTTTAGTAGAGGTGAGGTTTCACCCTGTTAGCCAGGATGGTCTCGATCCTGACCTCGTGATCCGCCTGCCTCGGCCTCCCAAAGTGCTGGGATTACAGGCATGAGCCACCATGCCTGGCCTACTTATTTATTTTTTAGATGGAGTTTTGCTCTTGTTGCCCAGGCTGGAGTGCAATGGCGTGATCTCGGCTCACTGCAACCTCCACCTCCCGGGTTCAAACAATTCTCCTGCCTCAGCTTCCCGAGTAGCTGGGATTACAGGAATACCCCACCATGCCCGGCTAATTTTGTATTTTTAGTAGAAATGGGTTTTCTGCATGTTGGTCGGGCTGGTCTCAAACTTCCGACCTCAGGTGATCTGCCCACCTCGGCCTCCCAAAGTGTTGGGATTACAGGCGTGAGCCACTGCACCTTGCCTAGATGGGTTTATTTAAATTGAACTCTAACCCATACAATCGTGTTTTGATAGAATTACTAAATATTTTCAACAACCAATCACTGGGGGGTGGACTTTCCATATTTACTTTGTGACTCATAGCACACAATTTCTACATAGTAGGTAATAGTAAGGGTTAATTATTATTGTTCTCTCAAACTGTCCCACAGTTAATGCCTGTTTTTTGTGGGGTTTTTTTTTTTTTTTTTTTTTGAGATGGAGTCTCGCTCTGTCGCCCAAGCTGGAGTGCAGTGGTGTGATCTCGGCCTACTGCAACCCCTGCCTCCCGAGTTCAAGCTATTGTCCTGCCTCAGCCTCCTAAATAGCTGAGATTACAGGCAAGCGCCACCACGCCTGGCTAATTTTTTTGTATTTTTAGTAGAGACGGAGTTTCACCATGTTGGTCAGGATGGTCTCGAACTCCTGACCTTGTGATCCACCTGCTTCAGCCTCCCAAAGTGTGGAGATTACAGGCGTGAGCCACTGTGCCCGGCCAGTTAATGCCTGTTTTTGTTTTTGATTTTTATTTATTTTTTATTTATTTGTTTGAGACAGTCTCACTCTGTCATCCAGGCTGGGTTGCAGTGGCGCAATCTCGGCTAACTGCAACCTCCACCTCCTGGGTTCAAGTGATTCTCCTGCCTCAGCCTCCCGAATAGCTGGGATTACAGGCACGCGCCACCACACCTGGCTAATTTTTTTTTTTTTTTTTTTTTGAGATGGAGTTTCGCTTTCATTGCCCAGGCTGGAGTGCGATGGCACAATCTCGGCTCACCGGAACCTCCGCCTCCCGGATTCTAGCGATTCTCCTGCCTCAGCCTCCCGAATAGCTGGGATTACAGGCATGCACCACCATGCCCAGCTAATTTTTGTATTTTTAGTAGAGACGGGGTTTCACCATGTTGGTCAGGCTGGTTTAGAACTCCCAGCCTTAGATGATCTGCCCACCTCGGCCTCCCAAAGTGCTGGGATTACAGGTGTGAGCCAACATACCCGGCTAATTTTTGTATTTTTAGTAGAGACGGGGTTTCACCGTGTTAGCCAAACTGGTCTTGAACTCCTGACCTCAAGTGATCTGCCCGCCTCAGCCTCCCAAAGTGCTGGGATTACAGGCATGAGCCACTGCACCTGGCCCTGTTTTACTTTTTAAAATTTATTTTCGGTTGGATACAGTGTCTCATGCCTGTAATCCCAGCACTTTGGGAGGCTGAGGCGGGTGGATCACCTGAGGTCGGGAATTCAAGACCAGCCTGGCCAACATGACGAAATGCCATCTCTACTAAAAAATGCAAAAATTAGCCCAGCATGGTGGCACGTGCCTGTAATCCCAGCTACTCTGGAGGCTGAGGCAGTAGAATCGCTTGAACCCGGGAGGCAGAGGTTACAGTGAGCCAAGATTGGGCTCCTGTACTCTGGCCTGGGCAACAGAGTGAGATTCTGTCTCAAAAAAAAAAAAAAAAAAAAGTAGGCCGGGCTTGGAGGTGCATGCCCTGTAATCCCAGCACTTTGGGAGGCCGAGGCAGGTGGATCACCTGAGGTCAGGAGTTCGCGACCAGTCTAACATGGTGAAACCCCGTCTGTACTAAATAAAAAAAAAAATAGCTGGGCATGGTGGTGTATACCTGTAATCCGAGCTACTTGGGAGGCTGAGACAGGAGAATTGCTTGTACCTGGCAGGCGGAGGTTGCAGTGAGCTGAAATCGTTCTATTGCACTCCAGCTTGGGCAACAAAGCGGAACTCCACCAAAAAAATACATATTTTTTAAAATTTATATACAATAAAATTATTATGGGGTACAGTCATAACTCATAGAATATGACAAATATATACTGTCATGTAAGCACTACAACACTCAAGATACAGAACAATTTCACCCCCCACCTCCACAGATTTAATCATGCTGCTCCTTTGTAGTCAAACGCTCCTCTGCCCCAGACTCCTTAACAACCACTGATCTGTTTTCCATCCCTATAACTTTTTTTTTCCAGAGTGGCCTATAAATGGAATTATACAGCCATTTGAGCCTTGCCTTTTTCACTTAGTATGATACATTTGAGATTCATCTGTGTTGTTGCATGCGTCAGTAGTCTTTTTTTTGTTGTTGTTATTGTTGAGACAGAGTCTTACTCTGCTGCCCAGGCTGGAGTGCAATGGTGCGATCTCTGCACACTGCAACCTCCGCCTCCCGGGTTGAAGCAATTCTCTTACCTCAGCCTCCCGAGTAGATGCAATGGCGTAATCTTGGCTCACTGCAACCTCCGCCTCCCAGGTTCAAGCGATTCTCCTGCCTCAGCCTCCCGAGTAGCTGGGATTACAGGCACATGCCACCATGCCAGGCTAATTTTTGTATTTTTAGTAGAGAGCGTTTCACCATGTTGGCCAGGCTGGTCTCAAACTCCTGACCTCAGGTGATCCACCTGCCTTGGCCTCCCAAATTGCTGGGATTGCAGATGTGAGCCACTGTACCTGGCCTTTCCTTTCTATTTCTGAGTATTCCATTGAATGGATATACCATAATTTGTTTATTCACCATTTGAAGGACATGTGGATTGTTTTCGGTTTTTGGTAGTTGTGAATGATGTTGCTATAAATATTTATGAACAGATTTTTGTGTGAATGTAAGTTTTCATTTCTCTACAGTAAGTACCTAGGAGTGGGATTGCTGAGTCATATAAGCATACATTTAACTTTAGAAGAAACTACCAAACTGTCTTCAAGAAAAACTATACCATTTTACATTCACACCAGCAATGTATGAGGGTTTCAGTTCCTTTGTATCCTCTCCAGCACTTGTTTTTGTTTTTAAATTTTAGCTATTTTATATAGGTATATCATGTTTTTTAAAATTTGCATTTTCCTGGTGACAAATGATATTGAGCATCTTTTCATGTGCCTATTTGCCATTTGTTTATCTTTGATGAAGGGTCTGCTCAGATCTTTTGCCCTTTAAAATAAATAAATAAAGAGCCAGGGTCTCATTATGTTACCTAGCCTTGTCTCAAACTCCTTAGCTTAAGCAGTCCTCCTGCCTTGGCCTCCCAAAGTACTGGGATTACATGCATGAGCCATCATGCCCAGTCTGCCCATTTTCTTTTTTTTTGGAGAGAAGGAGTCTTGTTCTGTTGCCCAGGCTGGAGTACAGTGGTGCAATCTCAGCTCACTGTAACCTCCGCCTCCCAGGTTTCGGTGATTCTCCTGCCTCAGCTTCCCAAGTAGCTAGGACTATAGGTGTGTGCCAACACACCCAGCTAGTTTTTGTATTTTTTAGTAGAGACGGGGCTTCACTATATGTTGGCCAGGCTGGTCTCAAACTCCTGACCTCAGGTGATCTGCCTGCCTCGGCCTCCCAAAGGGCTGGGATTACAGGCGTGAGCCACCATGCCTGGCCGAGTCTGCCCATTTTCTAAATTGGGTTGTTATTTTCTTATTGTTGAATTTTGAAAAAAAAAATTTTTTCCTCCCCCACAAGCCTTTGCACTGAAATTTCTTTATATGTGCTGGATACAAGTCATTTGTTGGATATGTGATTTATACATATTTTCTCCTAATCTATGACATATCTTTTTTTTTTTTTTTTTTTTTGGAGACGGAGTCTCACTCTATCACCCAGGATGGAGTGCAGTGGCACGGTCTCAGCTCACTGCAACCTCCGCCTCCCGGGTTCAAGTACTTCTCTGCCTCAGCCTCCCGAGTAGCTGGGATTATAGGCACCCACCACTATGCCCTGCTAATTTTTTTGTGTTTTTAGTAGAGACAGGGTTTCACCATCTTGGCCAGGTTGGTCTGGAACTCCTGACCTTGTGATCTGCCCACGTCGGCCTCCCAAAGTTCTGGGATTACAGGTGTGAGCCACCACGCCTGGCCCAACTTATCTTCTTATTGTCTTTTGCAGAGCAGAAGTTTTACATTTTGATTAAGTCCACTTTATCAATTCTTTTCTTTTGTGGATTGTGCTTTTGATATTGTATCTAAGAACTCTGACTAACCCGAAGTCATGAAGGTTTTCTCCTGTTTTCTTCAAGAAGTTGTATATTTTTACATTAGGTATATGATCAGTTTTGAATTTTTTTTTTTTTGAGACAGCGTCTCACTCTGTCACCTAGGCTGGAGTGCAGTGGCGTGATCTCAGCTCACTGCAACCTCCGCCTCCCGGGTTCAAGCGATTCTCCTGCCTCAGCCTCGAGTAGCTTAGATTACAGGCGCACGCCACCACGCCCAGCTAATTTTTATATTTTTAGTAGAGACGGGTTTCACCATGTTGGTCAGGCTGGTCTCGAACTCCTGACCTCATGATCTGCCCGCCTCGGCCTCCAAAGTGCTGAAATTACAGGCGTGAGCCACTGTACCTGGCCCTGAACTTATTTTTGTATAAATGTGAGATAGGCTGGGCATGGAGGCTTGTGCCTATAATCCCAGCACTTTGGGAGGCTGAGGCAGGAGGATCGCTTGAGCCCAAGAGTTTGAGAGCAGCCTGGGCAACATGGTGAGACTTTCTCTCTACAAAAAATAAAAAATATAAAATGAGCTGGGCATGGTGGTGCATGCCTGTAGTTCCAGCTTCTGAGGAAGCTGAGGTGGGAGGATAGCTTGAGTCCAGCTGGTTGAGGCTGTAGTGAGCTCTGATTGCACCACTGCACTCCAGCCTGGGCCACAAAGTAAGACCCATCTCTAAAAAATAAACAGGTTAGAGTTGGGTGCGGTGCCTTGCACATATAACCCCAGCTATTTGGGAAGCTGAGGGGAGAAGACTGATAGAGGCAAAGAGTTCAGGGCCATCCTGGGCAACATAGCAAGACACCGTGTTTTAAAAAAAAATAGAAAAATTAGCCAGGTGTGGTTTGCACTTGTAGCCCCAGCTACTCAAGAGGCTGATGCAAGATTATTGCTTGAGCCTAGGATTTTGGGGGTGCAGTGAGCTGTGATTTCACCACTGCACTCCAGCCTGGGCAACAGCAAGACCTATCTCTGCAAACAAACAAACAAAAAACCCAAGGCCTGTTGCAGTGGCTCACGCCTGTAATCCCAGCACTATGGGAGGCCGAGGTGGGTGGATCACTTGAGGTTGGAAGTTCGAGACCAGCCTGGCCAACATGGGAAAACTCCATCTCTACTAATAATACAAAAAAATTAGCCAGGCGTGGTAGTACGTGCCTGTAATCCCAGATGCTCAGGCTGAGGCAGGAAAATTGCTTGAACCCGGGAGGCCAAGGTTGCAGTGAGCCAAAATCATGGCCACTGTATTCCAGCCTGGGTGACAGAGTGAGACTGTGTCTCAGAAACAAAAAACAGGAAGAAAAGGGTGAGTATGATCTATTTCTGCAGAGAAAAAAATTCAAATAGTAGTTTATCTTAATTTTTTCCATAGGTAACATATGCACATAATACAGGATTTAGGGTGTACAGTGAAAAATAAGACGTTCTTGGTCCCATAGGCCACCCAGATACCACCATTCCCCCACCTCCCTCTGTTATCAGTTTCTTATGTATCTTGCCAGGAATAATTTATGAATTTACAACTGTATGTCTGTGTATGTGTGTTTTATTCATTTATTTATTTGAGACGGAGTCTTGCTCTGTCACCCCAGCTAGAGTGCAGTGGTGCAATCTTGGCTCATTGCAACCTCTGCCTCTCCATGCAAGCGATTCTCCTGCCTCAGCCTCCCAAATAGCTGGGATTACAGGCGCCCGCCAACGCGCCTGGTTAATTTTGTATTACTAGTAGAGAGGGGGTTTCTCCATGTTGGTCAGGCTGGTCTCGAACTCCCAACCTCAGGTGATCCGCCTGCCTTGGCCTCCCAAAGTGCCGGGATTGTAGGCATGAACCACCGCATCCGGCAATACATGTGTTTCAATAAACAATAACAAAATATTCTCCCATTCTATGTTTTGCTTTCATTCATTGAACAATTTCTCTTGGAGACCATTTCGTGAGCCTCCTCATTTTTTTTTTTTAAAGTCTTTATTTAAATCATTCACATTTCACACAAATCACTGATTTAAAGTGTATAATTCTGTGGGTTTTTTTTTTAATATAATCAGGGTTGGCAACCATCACCACAATGTAATTTTAGATCATTTTTGTATCCCGTAAAAGAAACCGTATACCCATTAGCAGCCAGTCTCTATTCCTCTCCTACATGCCCTGGCCATAGGCAACAACTAATCTACTTTCTGTCTATGGGTTTGCCTATTCTGGACATTTCATATAAATGTAATCGTACAATATGTGTTTTTTTTGTGACCAGCTTTTTAGGGTTTTTTTTGAGACAGAGTCTTGCTCTGTCACCCAGGCTGGAGTGCAGTGGCGCAATCTCGGCTCACTGCAACCTCCACCTCCTGGGTTCAAGCCATTCTCATGCCTTGGCCTCCCAAGGGATTACAGGCGCCCCCCCCCCCCCCACCCCCTGCACCGTGTCTGGCTAATTTTTGCATTTTTTTAGTAGAGATGGGGTTTCACCATATTGACCAGGCTGGTCTCGAGCTCAGGTTTTCCTTTCTGTCGGATAAATATCTAGTAGTACAGTGTTTTTCCTGGGAAGCTGGAGGGGTGTTTGAGTTATTGTTCTTAGTTGTAGTATAATTTACATACAGTAAAATTCACAGATCTTGAATGCTCAATGGGAGGAGTTCGACAGTTGTATAAGCCTATGTATTACCACCCATCAAATGTGTTACAGTTTTAAAATCTTGCCATATCAAGAAATAGTTTAGAACCTAAGGGTAGTGTTAGTCTGGCACCAGGGGGTGTCTGGTTATCATCTGCTTTTGTTTCGTTTAGTTTTTATAGGAAGAAATCGTTTGCTTAGTCAGAATTATTTAAAATTCAGAAGTATTGTTTGCTTTTCAGCAAGGTCAGTGACAGCAGTAAATTTTTGTCGAGTTTCTTAGGGAGAAACTGATTTTTCCCCTTCTCCAGAGGTTCCACTTACTTCTTTTTTAGTTTTTTTTTTTTTTTTTTTTTTGAGGGAGTGCAGTGGCGCGATCTCGGCTCACTGCAAGCTCCGCCTCCTGGGTTCACGCCATTCTCCTGTCTCAGCCTCCCGAGTAGCTGGGACTGCAGGTGCCCGCCACCACGCCCAGCTAATTTTTTGTATTTTTAGTAGAGACAGGGTTTCACCGTGTTAGCCAGGATGGTCTCGATCTCCTGACCTTGTGATCCGCCCGCCTCAGCCTCCCAAAGTGCTGGGATTACAAGCGTGAGCCACCGCGCCCGGCCTCTTTTTTTTTTTTTTTTTTCTTTGAGACGGAGTCTCACTCTGTTACCCAGGCTGGAGTGCAGTGGCCTTATCTCAGCTCACTGCAACCTCTGTCTCCCAGGTTCAAGTGATTCTTGTGTGTCAGCCTCCTGAGTAGCTCGGATTACAGGCGTGTGCCACCACGCCCGGCTAATTTTTATATTTTTAGTAGAGATGGGGGTTTCACCATGTTGGCCAGGCTGGTCTCGAACCCCTGACCTCAAGTGATCCACACACATTGGCCTCCCACAGTGCTGGGATTACCGGCGTGAGCCACTGCACCCAGCCTCCACTTATTTCATTAAAGTGACTGCTGTTGGAGCTATTCCTTAAGGTTATTTGCTAATTTCATCCAACTTCACTGGAAACAACAAAAAAAGAAAAAAAAATCCTAATTTGATATGTGAATATTCATATTTGGTACTATGTAGATAGGCCATACTTTTTGTCTCCAGATCTTTAAAAAAAAAATTTTTTTTTTGAGATGGAGTTTCGCCCTTGTCGCCCAAGCTAGAGTTGCAATGGTGCGATCTTGGCTCACTGCAACCTCCGCCTCCCAGGTTCAAGTGATTCTCCTGCCTCAGCCTCCCAAGTAGCTGGGATTACAGGCACCTGCCACCCCACCTGGCTAATTTTTTGTATTTTTAGTAGAGTTGGGGTTTCACCATGGTGGCCAGGCCGGTCTCGAACTCCTGATCTCAGGTGTTCTGCCTGCCTCGGTCTCCCAAAGTACTGAGATTACAAGCGTGAGCCACATCAACCGTCCTAAAAAAGTTTTTCATTATTTATTTGCTTTTTTTTTTTTTTTTTTGAGACAGAGTTTCACTCTTGTTGCGCGGGCTGGAGCGCAGTGGCATGATCTCGGCCCACTGCAACCTCCACCTCCTGGGTTCAAGCAATTCTCCTGCCTCAGCCTCCCAAGTAGCTGGGACTACAGGTGCCTGCCACCAAGTCTGGCTAATTTTTTGTATTTTTAGTAGAGATGGGGTTTCATCATGTTGGCCAGGCTGGTCTCGAACTCCTGACCTCAGGTGATCCACCTGCCGTGGCCTCCTAAAGTGCTGGGATTACAGGCGTGAGCCACTGTGCCCAGCCCTAAAAAAAATTTAGGCTGAGGCCGGGCGCGGTGGTTCATACCTGTAATCCCAGCACTATGGGAGGCCCGAGGCGGGTGGATCACGAGGTCAGGAGTTTGAGACTAGCCTGACTAACATGGTGAAACCCCTCCTCTACTAAAAATACAAAAATCTGCCAGGCATGGTGGTGTGCGCCTGTAATCCCAGCTACCCAGGAGGCTGAGGCAGGAATTGCTTGAACCCGCAAGGCAGAGGTTGCAGTGAGCTGAGATCACACCGCTGCACTCCAGCCTGGGGGACACAGTGAGACTCCGTCTCAAAAAAAAAAAAGAGACGGGGCTGAGTGTGGTGGCCCAAGCCTATAATTCCAGCACTCTGGTAGGCTGAGGCAGGAGAATTACTTGAGGCCAGGAGTTAGAGACCAGCCTAGGCAGCATAGCAAGATCCCATCTCTACCAAAAAAAAAAATTAGCTGGGGCCAGGCGCGGTGGCTCACGCCTGTAATCTCAGCACTTTGGGAGGCCGAGGCAGGCGGATCATGAGGTCAGGAGATCGAGACCATCCTGGCTAACACGGTGAAACCCCGTCTCTACTAAAAATACAAAAAAATAGCTGGGCGTGGTGGTGGGTGCCTGTAGTCCCAGCTACTTGGGAGGCTGAGACAGGAGAATGGCGTGAACCCAGGAGGCGGAGCTTGCAGTGAGCCGAGTTAGTGCCACTGCAGTCCGACCTGGGCGAAAGAGCGAGACTCCGTCTCAAAAAAAAAAAAAAAAAAAAAATTAGCTGGGTGCAGTGGTGTGCACATGTAGTCCTAGCTACTTAAGAGGTTGAGACAGGAGGATTGCTTGAGTCCACGAGTTTGAGTCTGCAGTGAACCATGATTACACCACTACACTCTAGCCTGTCCTACAAAATGAGACCTTGTCTCAAAAAAAAGAGAGAAAGGGACAGTGTCTCACTATGTTGCCCAGACTGACCTGAAAGTCCTGGGCTCAAACAGTACTCCTACTTCAGCCTCCTGAGTAGCTGGGATTATAGGTGCACACCACCACACCCAGATATGTCTCTAGATGTTATAACAAATTCTTACTCAAAAATCTCTGTTATAAAAAGTCTCCACTTATTTTGTGCAATACTCAGTATTATTTGGGAAGTCCCTTGAAGGTTGTGGGAATGTTTTTGAGAGATAAAGTATGTTCAGTGTGAGGCTAGAGTGATGAGGATACAGTTTGATGATCCTTAATGAGGCTTTTGCATAGAACTTGCTTTGGGAAAATAGTTTGCTTTTATAATATTAGAACAGCTATTACCATGTTAAGAAAGGTTTCTATCCTGACTCTTCTATTGGTAATGTTTGTGGGTAGGGGAGAAGGAGGCCACATATGGTTAAAACAAACAAGTGATCCTAATACTCTGCTGTCCCCATCAGCTGGTTCTTGGCCAGCAAGTCAGCCTAGTTAATCTTGGTTTTTTAACCAGTACATACTTAGTTGCCTTTATTAAGCGTAAACCAGGAGAACATGATTTCTTCTTATTATTATTATTTATTTTTTTATTTTTATTTTTTTTTGAGACAGAGTCTCGCTCTGTTGCCCAGGCTGGAGTGCAGTGGCCTGATCTCGGCTCACTGCAACCTCTGCCTCCTGAGTTCAAGTGATTCTCCTGCCTCAGCCTCCCAAGTAGCTGGGATTACAGGCACGTGCCACCATGCCTGGCTAGTTTTTGTATTTTTAGTAACGACTGGGTTTCATTATGTCGGCCATGCTGGTCTCAAACTCCTGACCTCAAGTGATCTGCCTGCCTTGGCCTCCCAAAGTGCTGGGATTACAGGCATGAGCCACTGGGCCGGGCCAGATTTCTCATATTAGAAAGTCAGACAGTGTGGTGAGGAGGAACTCAGGACTAGGGACAAGAGTAGGATAGATACAGTAGACATTTATATTGCCAACTTTTACCAAGTTCTGAAGGCCATTGATATAATTCCTGCAGGCTCATATCCCACAATTTTGCCCAATAAAATATTCCATATGCTGTTAGTTTATCCCTAACAGCAGACATTCATTTTATAAGAAGGTGGTCTATATGTGCCATAATCATCATTAATTAATTTTCAAAGTTGCTTATGAAAGAGATGGAGATGTTTGTCTTGGCTCCCACTAAGGAAAAGGAGATATATTTCTCCACATCCAGTTTGCTTGGATCCTGGTTGGTGAAGATGTACCAGGCCATTCAACTAAAATGGTTCCATGGCAAGGATGGTGCTTGATGCCAGTTGTTCATTTACAGGTAGCTTTTGAAAATGGCTGCCTCTCATTTCACCGGGCTCACAGCTGTTGCTGATGTAATTAAAGATCTAGACACTCAGATAGCTGTAAGTAAGTTTGAGGCTACTGTGAGCAGAACTTGGTGAATGTGCTTCTGATCGTGATGACACCCAAGCTGACGTCCACAGAGTCAGCCTCATGACTCTAAGATTCAGGAGTCTCAGCTGCTCCAGACTAGGGTCTCTGCATGTACTTAGATTGCTAACACTCAGAGAAAAATTGCTCTTGATAAAGAGGAGTTTACTTTTAACAGCTGCTAAAAGTTATGTTTATTGGGCATAGCCCTGACATAGACTTAAGCATGTTTGAAATGCCAGAATGAACTAGTCTGTATTCTTAAGCTTTGTGACTGATTTTTTTAAAGGATGTGATTGTGCTATGACTTATTTGAATTTAACATTATTTGATACTTTAAAAATAATGCATGTAGTACTTAACTATTTTTACAAAGTTCTCAAAAATGTCTTGCTTATTCTAGTTTATTTATTTATTTATTTATTTATTTTTATTATTATTTGAGATGGAGTTTCGTCAACCTCTGCATCCCGAGTTCAAGCAATTCTTCTGCCTTAGCCTCCCAAGTAGCTGGGATTACAGGCGTGTGTCACCACGCCCGGCTAATTTTGTGTTTTTAGTAGAGTTGGGGTTTCTCCATGTTGGTCAGGCTAGTCTCAAACTCCTGACCTCAGGTGATCCACCCACCTCGGCCTCCCAAAGTGCTGGGATTACAGGCATGAGCCACTGTGCCCAGCCTCTAGTTTATTTTTATTTCATTTTATTTTTAGATAGTGTCTCACTCTGTCACCTAGGCTGGAATGCAGTAGTGGTGTGATCATGGCTTATTGCAGCCTCAACTTCTTGGGCTCAGGCAATCCTCCTGCCTTAGCCTCCTGAGTAGCTAGGACCACATGCTACCATGTCCAGCTAAGTGTTTTTTGTGTTTTGTTTTTTTTTTTGTGGGGCGGTGGGGGCGAGTCTCACTCTGTTGCCCAGGCTGGAGTACAGTGGCGTGATCTCGGCTCACTGCAAGCTCTGTCTCCTGTGTTCAAGTGATTGTCCTGCCTCAGTCTCCCCAGTAGCTGGGAGGGATTATAGGCATGTGCCACTACGCCTAGCCAATTTTTTTGTATTTTTAGTAGAGATGGGGTTTCACCATGTTGGTCAGGCTCCTCTCGAACTCCTGACCTCAGGTGATCTACCCGCCTTGGCCTCCCAAAGTGCTGGGATTACAGACCTGAGCCACCACACCCAGCCCCAGCTAAATTTTTACAGAGATAGGGCTTCCCCATGTTCCCCAGGCTGGTCTTGAACTCCTGTCTCAAGTGGTCCTTCCACTTCAGGCACCCAACATGCTGGGATTACAGACATGAGCTACTGCACGCGGCCCTAGTTTATTTTTGTACATAAGATTCTTCATTTCATTTACTTGCTTCCTTGTTTAAATTTTGTGGACTATTTCACTTAATATTTGGAAATGAGATGGTTTCTAAATATCAGCTGAGAGTAATAAACATTCTTCATTCCCTCAATTTTTAACCTGTGGATATTAAATGGTCACCATTCCATATATACTGAAGAACCCTCAAAGTCTAACAGACCTCATTTTACTTACTTTTTTTTTTTTTTTTTTTTCTTGGTAGAGACTAGGTCTCGCTATGTTGCCCAAGCTGGTCTTGAACTACTGGGCTCAAGTGATGCTACCACCTGGGCCTCCCAAAGTGCTGGGATTACAGTTGTGAGCCATTGCACCAGGCCTCTTTTTACTCTCAAGATTCATCCTTTATTACAGGTTCTTCTAGAGCTAATTCTTGTGCTTTTCTTCTCCAGTTAATTGGCCTTGGTCCTCACAGCTCCAAAAAGAAACAGGATCTCGATAAGCTCTATGAGCTGAAGTCCAAAGCTCGGCAGATTATGAACCAGTTTGGCCCCTCAGCCCTAATCAACCTCTCCAATTTCTCATCCATAAAACCGGAACCAGCCAGCACCCCTCCACAAGGCTCCATGGCCAATAGTACTGCAGTGGTAAAGATACCAGGCACTCCTGGGGCAGGAGGTCGTCTTAGCCCTGAAAACAATCAGGTATCATCCTCTTACTCTTTCTTCTCTGTAGCCACTTCTTACCTATTATTTCAATCTGTAATACTTTAAGAGATGTCCATCTCAGATGCTGCTTTTTTCTCTTAGCCGAAAAGGTCTTTTCCCTCTTTTGGATTTCTAACTTTTTTTGTTTGTTTTAATATAAGTAGAGAGTTTATTTGGGCCAAATTTGAGGACTCCCAATTCAGGAGACACAGATTCAAGTTGTCCTGAATGTATACTCCTCTGGGAACATTCTTTAGCAAATTATCATGTACAATGTTTATTAATTACTGTATTGTATGTGGTTGTGTGTATGCATATATACATCCATCCATCCATCTGTACACACTAACACAATACCTTGCCTATGAAAGGTGTTTTTTTCCTTTCATTTTGATAAGTGCTTTATATACATGTTAACCATGTAGTTGTTAAATAAAATAATAAATTGATTCATTATTCCTATGATAAAAGTACTCTTGCTTCTAGTCATTCCATCTTCTAGTTCATCCAATTGCTGCCATTATTAATTTTCTGCAGTGATTCTAAAATCTGCTCCATTCTTTCTACCCATAATTCTGATTCTGCCCTCCAGAGCCACAAGAAATAAGTATAATCCCTTTGACTTGTTTTTTGTAGGCTGTGTAGAATGGATGAGTTCGCCCAGTATTTCAAGGGAATGAGTGGAGGGACTTGCAAAGATTAATGAGAGCGGGTTGGGCAGTCAGGATATCAACCTATGTTGAATATGGAGTCTGTTGTAGAAGACAGAATTTAAAATTGTATAGGTAGGGCAGAACATAGTGGACCTGTACTAGTCAATTTCCATTGGAACTTTTAGGCAATATACAATCTTTGCAGATATTTAATAAAGGAGTAAAAGTAACATAATAAAAATAGTGTGTCCTATAGAGGATTAACTTGGCAGTAAGGGGACAGGATGGGTAGAAAAGGGGGTTAGACTGGGTGGATGACCAATTCTAAGATTTTTGCAATAAATCAAGACATGTAGTGAAGGCTCGAATTAGGTGATAATGATAGAATGAAGAAGAATGGATAGATATGAGACATCATTAACAAATATTTATTCATTTTTTTTAGAGAAAGGGTTTTGCTCTGTTGCCTGGGCTAGAGTGCAATGGTATAATCATAGCTCACTGTAGCCTCAAATTTCTGGGTTCGGCCGGGCATGGTGGCTCAAGCCTGTAATCCCAGCACTTTGGGAGGCCGAGGTGGGCGGATCACGAGGTCAGATCAAGACCATCCTGGCTAACACGGTGAAACCCCGTCTCTACTAAAAATACAAAAACATTAGCCAGGCGTGGTGGCAGGCGCCTGTAGTCCCAGCTACTCGGGAGGCTGAGGCAGGAGAATGGCGTGAACCCAGGAGGTGGAGCTTGCAGTGAGCAGAGATTGCGCCACTGCACTCCAGCCTGGGCGACAGAGCGAGACTCTGTTGCAAAAAAAAAAATTATTTTCTTGGGTGTGCGCGGTAGCTCACGCCTGTAATCCCAGCACTTTGGGAGGCCAAGGCAGGCGATAACCCAAGGTCAAGAGTTCGAGACCAGCCTGGCCAATATGCTGAAACCCCATCTCTACTAAAATTACAAAAATCAACCTGGCATGGTGGTGCACACCTGTAGTCCCAGCTACTCAGGAGGCTGAGGCAAAAGAATCACCTGAACCCGGGAGGCAGAGGTTGCAGTGAGCCGAGATTACACCACTGCACTCCAGCCTGGGTGATAGAACGAGATTCCGTCTCAAAAAAAAAAAAAATTTTTTTTCTTTTTTCCTTATTTCAAAAGTTATATGTGTTCATCACAGAAACTTCAGAAATACACAAAGAATAAATAGCCTATAATTCTAATGCCACCACCCTAAAATAGCCATGGTTAGCATTTTAGTGTATGTCTTTTGGTGTTTTTCTTTTTTTCCTCTGTCTGTCTCTCTCTCTTTTTTTTTTTTGAGACAGAGTCTCGCTCTATCACCCAGGATGGAGTGCAATGGCATAATCTTGGCTCACTGCAACCTCCTCCTCCCAATTCAAGCTATTCTCCTGCCTCAGCCTCCCTAATAGTTGGAATTATAGGCACCCACACCATGCCCAGCTAATTTTTGTATTTTCAGTAGAGACAGGGTTTCGCCATGTTGGTCAGGCTGGTCTCAAACTCCTGACTTCAGGTTATCCACCCGCCTCAGCCTCCCAAAGTGCTAGGATTACAGGCATGAGCCACCGTACCCGGCTTTTTTTTTTTTTTTTTTTTTTCAGTGGAATTTTACTAGAAGGTTTAGAGCAGGAAAGAAAGGAAAGTACACTTGGAAGAGACTCAAATGGGCACTGAGGAGGTCAAGTGCCTAACTTTTTCTTTTTTCTTAATTTATTTTTTATATATTTTTTAGATTTTTTTTTTTTTTTGAGATGGAGTCTCACTCTGTTGCCCAGGCTGGAGTGCAGTGGCGCAATCTCGTCTCACTGCAAGCTCTGCCTCCCGGGTTCACGCCATTCTCCTGCCTCAGCCTCCCAAGTAGCTGGGACTACAGGCGCCCGCCACCACGCCTGGCTAATTTTTTTTTTTGCATTTTTAGTAGAGACAGGGTTTCACCGTGTTAGCCAGGATGGTCTCAGTCTTCTCACCTCGTGATCCGCTCACCTCGGTCTCCCAAAGTACTGGGATTACAGGCATGAGCCACTGCACCCAGCCATTTTGTAGATGTTTTTTTTAAATAGAGATGCAGTCTCGCCATGTTGCCCAGGCTGGTCTTTGAACTCCTGGGCTCAGGTAGTCCTCCCACCTCGGCCTTCCAAAGTGGTGGGATTACAGGCGTGAGCCACTGTGCCAGGCCCTTTTTTTTGTTTGTTTCTTAAGACATGAGGTCTTCCTGTGTTCCCCAGGCTGGAGTGTAGTGGCACAATCATAGCTCACTGCAGTCTCTAACTCCTGGCCTCAAGTGATCCTCCTGCCTCAGCCTGCTGAGTAGCTGGGACTACAGGCACAGATCACTGTGCCTGGCTTTCTTTTGATTACTTTTTAATGGCATACGTATGTAACATGACATTTCCTTTATGAAGGCTGCCCTCAGGGAGCTTTTAGCCTATTAAGTCAGAAACAGGGAAGTATATAAATATGCACAATGATAAAGGGTACACAGGATACAGTAGAGGCCAAAGGAGGAAGTAAGTGGTTACCTTTACTGGGATGGGCTAGGAAAAGCATCAGAAAGAGGCACCATGAGCTAAGCAAGAAGGAAGAAGAGAGGAAGAGTGTGTACAGCACTTTGGGAGGCTGAGGTGGAAGAATCACTTGAGGCCAGGAGTTCAAGAGCAGGCTGCACAACATAGCGAGATCCTGTCTCTCAAAAAAAAAAAAAAAAAAAAAAATTAGCCAGGTATGATGGCACGTGCCTATGGTCCCAGCTAGCTGGGAAGCTTAGGTGGGAGAGCTTGGCAGTCAAGGCTACAGTAAGCCATGATCATGCCACTGCACTCCAGTGGGCAATAGAGCAAGACCCTGTCTCAAAAACAAAACAAAACAAAAAAACAAACTTGTCTAAAGGCAAGGGGCATGGTACAATTTGTGGTGGTCAGAGAATTGCAAATTTCTACATGTGAAGAGACACAGTGAGAAAAAGACATGAGGCTGAAATATACTGCCTGACAGCTGGATGCTGGCCTGTCTTCAAACTGCTCTTTCCACCTTTCCCTAAGTTACTTCTGTCTTGAGAGTGTAGTCTTACAGCAGCATAGTCAGGTAGGCCAGACTGTGAACTCATTGGAAAGTGGAAACTAAAACCAACAATTTGACAGCCTTTCTTCATTACAGGGTAATGATTTGTTTCATTTCCTTAATATCTGGTTGAAAAGTCTTCTTCCAATTAACTTTAGGTATTGACCAAGAAGAAATTACAGGACTTAGTAAGAGAAGTGGATCCTAATGAGCAGTTGGATGAAGATGTGGAGGAGGTAAGGTGGGGTTGGGTACCCCAGAAACTGGTCCCTGAGAACCGGTATAGCATAGTGGTTAAGAGCACAAACAGGCCAGATGCAGTGGCTCATGCCTTTTGAGAGACCAAAGCAGGAGGATTGCTGGAACCCAGAGGTTCAAGACCAGCCTAGGCCATATAATGAGACCTTGTCTCTGCAAAAAATTAAACAATTAGCTGAGTGCCAGGTGTGGTGGCTCACTCCTGTAATCCCAGCACTTTGGGAGGTCGAGGTGGGCGGATCACAAGGTCAGGAGATCAAGACCATCCTGGCTAACACAGTGAAACCCCGTCTCTACTAAAAATACAAAAAACAAAATTAGCCGGGCATGGTGGCGGGCGCCTGTAGTCCCAGCTACTCGGGAGGCTGAGGCAGGAGAATGAAGTGAACCTGGGAGGCGGAGTGCAGTGAGCCGAGACCATGCCACTGCACTCCAGCCTAGGCGACAGAGCAAGACTCCATCTCAAAAAAAAAAAAAGAAAAAAAATTAGCTGAGCGTGGTGGTGTGTACCTGTAGTTCCAGCTACTAGGGAGGTTGAAGTGTTCTTAAACCCAGAAGGCCGAGGTTGCAGTAAGCCAAGATTGTACCACTGCAATAAATAAATAAAATAAGAGCACAGACAAATCTGAATTTGCTTTATACCCAATAACTGCTGCTACTTTTGCCTGTTAAAAACGGCATAGTCTGTTGCTCACAGGCAATCACTTTCAACAATTTTAGCTGTTTCTGTAACATTCTTCTATATTTCTAAGTAATATACTTAAAAAGATACTCTTTGACCCATTAATTTTATAATATTCTTTTTTTTTTGAGACGGAGTTTCGCTGTTGATGCCCACGCTGGAGTGCAATGGCGCGATCTTGGCTCACCGCAACCTCCGCCTCCTGGGTTCAAGCGATTCTCCTGCCTCAGCCTCCTGAGTAGCTGGGATTATAGGCATGCACCACCACACCTGGCTAATTTTTGTATTTTTAGTAGAGATGGGGTTTCTCCATGTCAGTCAGGCTGGTCTCAAACTCCTGACCTTAGGTGATCCACCTGCCTTGGCCTCCCAAAGTTCTGGGATTACAGGTGTGAGTCACCGTGCCTGGCCAATTTTATAAGATTCTGTTGATTCCCTATTATGGTAGATGAGAATTTTTTACACTACTCAATGTGTGCCATATAACTTTTATTTATTTATTTATTTATTTTTTTGAGACAGTCTTGCTCTGTTGCCCAGGCTGGAGTATAGTGGCAGGATCTCAGCTTACCGCAACCTCTGCATCCCGGGGGTTCAAGTGATTCTCCTGCCTCAGCCTCCCAAGTAGCTGGGATTATAGGCATGTGCCACCACACCTGGCTAATTTTTGTATTTTTTAGTAGAGATGGGGTTTTGCCATGTTGGCCAGGCTGGTCTCGGACTCCTGACCTCAGGTGATTCACCCACCTCGGCCTCCCAAAGTGCTGGGATTACAGGCATGAGCTATCACGCCTGCTGGTCCATATAACTTTCCTTACTGTTTTTCTTTTTCTTTTCTTTTTTTTTTTTTTTTGAGACAGAATCTTGCTCAGCTGCCCAGGCTGGAGTGCAGTGGTGCGATATCGGCTCACTGCAAACTCCATCTCCCAGGTTCAAGTGATTCTTCCACCTCAGCCTCCCGAGTAGCTGGGATTACAGGTGCACACCACCATACCTGACTAATTTCGTATTTTTAGTAGTAACAAAGTTTTACCATGTTGGCCAGGCTGGTCTCAAACTTCTGACCTCAAGTGATCTGTCCACCTCAGCCTCCCACAGTGCTGGGATTATAGGTCTGAGCCACTATGCCCGACCCTGGCTATTCATTCTTAAAGAATCACTCACTGAAAAGCTGATTTGAAGTATAATTGATGGATTTGGCCCAGTAATATATGGGTAAATGTTTAACAACTAGCTCTTTGGAGAAAAATGCCCGATTTGCAGTGCTTTATTATTTCTGTGGTGTAACTATTTCTACCAACATGACATCACTAAATACAAACTTGGGAAAAGAGGTACACAGTTGGCTTTTATGAGCTGGTCTCGGTTCACTCTAGCAGACCACAAGACTTTACTTCAGAGTAATTTGTCCACAAGTCAACCTTCCTAATGGAAGATTCCCTAAATGTCAGTATCTGTAAGTCTTTTCTCTGGAATCATTCAATATCTCCGGAGAAAATTCCAGTCTCCTATCTTGAGGATTTATCCCTTAGCTTCTTTTTTTTTTTTTTTTTTTTTTTTTTTTTTTTTTGAGACGGAGTCTCGCTCTGTTGACCAGGCTGGAGTGCAGCGGCATGATCTTGGCTCACTGCAACCTCCACCTCCCGGGTTCAAGTGATTCTCCTGCATCAGCCTCCTGAGAAGCTGGGACTACAGGCACACGCCACCACACCTGGCTAATTTTTGTAATTTTAGTAGAGACGGGGTTTCACCATATTGGTCAAGCTAGTCTCGAACTCCTGACCTCAGGTCATCCACCCACTTCGGCCTCCCAAAGTGCTGGGATTACAGGCATGAGCCACTGCACCTGGCAATATTTTTTTAACTTATTTTAATGGGATTAGGGAGGGACAGGAGGTTATTTTTAGAGTTGATCTGCTGTTTAATCTGAAATCTTTCTCTAAGATGGTGTCCATTTGGTTCCCACAGTAAAGATGACAATGAGTTAATGGTCCACCAGAACAAGGAATTTTGTATCTATGGTTGTAATTTTAGTTTGTTTTTGTTTGTCAGCAGAAGCTGCCATGGGGACTATATTGACTGATAAAAATCTCAGTTTTTTCATGTGCGTGCATATATATATATTTATTTATTTATTTATTTTTGAGACAAGGTGTCTGTCACCTAGGCTGGAGTGCCGTGCCATGATCACAGCTCACTGTAGTCTCGACTAACTGGACTCAAGCAGGCGTCCCACTTCAGCCTCCCAAGTAACTGGGACTACAAGTGCATGCCACCAAGCCCAGCTAATTTCTGTATGTTTTGTAGAGACAGGGTTTTGCCATCCATGTTGCCCAGGCTAGTCTCGAACTCCAGAGCTCAATCAAACCATCTGCCTCGGCCTCCCGAAGTGGTGGGATTATAGGAGTGAGCCACTGCTCCTGGCCTCGTAGATTTTTATCTTCAGAATTCTCATCCTTCTCTTCACACAGTCCAATAATAATTGATAGTGATGTGGAAAGAACTCAAGATTTAGACTCAGAACGCTTGAGGTGGCATCCTGGTTCCTCTGCTTGCTTGCTTTTTTTTTTTTTTGTCTCGCCCTGTCACCCAGGCTGGAGTGCAGTGGTTCAGTCTCGGCTCACTGCAACCTCTGCTGCCCCGGCTTCAGCGATTCTCCTGCCTCAACCTCCAGAGTAGCTGGGATTACAGATGCCTGCCACCATGCCCAGCTAATTTTGTATTTTTAGTAGAGGCAGGGTTTTACCATGTTGGTCAGGCTGGTCTCAAATTCCTGACTTCAGTTGATCCACCTGCCTTGGCCTTCCAAAGTGCTGGGATTATAGGCATGAGCCACTGTGCCTGGCCCTTAGAGACTGGGTTTCACCATGTTGGTCAGGCTGGTCTCAAACTCCTGACCTCAAATGATCTGCCCACCTCAGCCTCCCAAAGTTCTGGGATTATAGGTGTGAGCCACCATGCCTGGCCTCTATTTATTTGTTATTATTTTTTTAATTATTGGTTTTTTGTTTTGAGACAGAGTCTCGCTCTGTCGCCAGGCTGGAGTACAGTGTCACGATCTTAGCTCACTGCAACCTCCGCCTCCCAGGTTCAGGTAATTCTCCTGCCCCAGCCTCCCAAGTAGCTGGGACTACAGGCACGTGCCACCACGCCCAGCTAATTTTTGTATTTTTAGTAGAGACAGGGTTTCACCATGTTGGCCAGGATGGTCTCAATCTCTTGACCTCGTGATTCACCTGCCTCAGCCTCCCAAAGTGCTGGGGTTACAGGCGTGAGCCACCACGCCCGGCCTATTTATTTTTAAATACAGATGGGGCTCTTGCAATATTGTTGGGCTGGTCTCGAACTTCTGACCTCAAGTGATCCTCCCAACTCGGCTTCCCAAAGTGCTGAGATTACAGGCATGAGCCATTGTACCTGGCCTTCTGCTTTCTACTTACATGGCCATGAACAAATTAGTCTCTCTGAGTCTGTGAAATCCTCTATGGAATGAATAAAATCCATGTCCCATTTTCTTCACAGGATTATTGTAAGGACTAAGTGAGATAATGGAAACAAAAGTGCTTTTAAGATACTGTGAGTGAGGAATTGAAATGATTCACTTTTATTTTCCCACTAATAAATAAAGATATGGAGGGTAGGGATTGGGATAGTTGATCACTGCTGGGTAGAAAGTATATGCTCAGAAAGGTGTGAGTTGCACTCAACCTGGGTAACATTTCTTTTGTCCTTCTCATTCCTCTTCCCCACCTTAGCCCAAATGCTGATTCCAGCCTTCTACTAGAATGCCTGACTAAATATGCAATCCAAGCTGAAAGCAGTTGTCCCAGCAACAGGAGCCTACCCTGCCAATGTCGTGCTGACTCTTCCCACTTTACCTTCCCCAGATGCTGCTGCAGATTGCTGATGATTTTATCGAGAGTGTGGTGACAGCAGCCTGTCAGCTTGCGCGGCATCGCAAGTCTAGCACCCTGGAGGTGAAAGATGTCCAGCTGCATTTAGGTATGTGGTCTTGTTTCTCCCTGAAGTATGGATTCAACTGCTTCTTCAGGACTGCCAGGGAAAGTGTAGTCAGAGGAACCTTCATGCCAGAACCAGACTTTTGGGCACTGGGATTTATGTATTAATTCAATAACAGCACCAAATAGAAAAGAGAAATCCATCTGTGGTAGGGAGAATGAGCCCAGGCATGGGTTTGAAACCAGATTCTGCCACTTTCTAGTTGTATCAGCCTATTTTTCCTACCTAGTATCTCTTAGAGTCTGTTTCCTCATTTGTAAAGTGAGGATCATAATATCCTCCTTACAGAATAATCGTGAGAATTATAGACCATGTCTGTAAAGTGACTGGCACAGGGCCTGCACAAAGTAGGATCTAGTCAATGTAGGTACTGTTATGTCTTCACCATGCAAATAAAACTGTTCCTCAGTGTTCCCTTAGAGTTTTAGCCTATTTATGCATTTTTTCCAAAGTTTATAATCGTAATATACATACAATTTTATAGTCTCCTTTTCTACTTAACAGACACTAAATTTGAGTTTGAGTTTTTCTGGGAGATACTCAGCTAACAGTGATGACCATAATCACTTGGAAATGAATAAGCAGCCCTCTGCATTGGATACGATGTGATTAAAAGAAAGAGATCAGTCTATAACTATGTGTTATATATATGTATATATATGTATATATTTATGTGTGTATATATATTTATATATAATTTATATATATTTATATATAATTTTTATATATATTTGTATATACTTTATGTATAATACTTTATATATATAAATATATATATATATATTTTTTTGATCGAGTCTCACTGTCACCCAGGTTAGAGTGCAGTGATGCCATCTCAGCAACCTCTACCTCCTGGGTTCAAGCGATTCTCCTGCCTCAGCCTCCTAAGTAGCTGGGACTACAGGCCTGCACCACCACACCTGGCTAATTTTTGTATTTTCAGTAGAGATAGGGTTTCATCATGTTGGTCAGCCTGGTCTTGTACTCCTGGCCTCTGTTGATCCACCTGCCTTGGCCTCCCAAAGTGCTGGGATTACAGTCATGAGCCACCATGCCCAGCCCAGTCTATAACTATAGAGACAGGCCAAATGAATGAGATTCGGTGCAGATCAGCCCATGACTAATTATTGAAAGACTTTCTTCACAGTGTCAAGAAGCTGTTGCCTTGGGGAGGCATTGGTAGTCTAGGTAAAGTAAATAACACACTTCAGGTAATGTTGCTGGTATCTAGAGAAAAGAACAGATATTTTGGTTATCCATTAATGTGTAGCAGACCACCCCAAAAACAGTGGTTTAGCACAATAACAGTTGTTGATTTGATTCATGAATCTGGGGGTTGACTGGGCTCAGCTAGTTTTACTAAGTCAGGCAGTGGCTGGGCCTGAGATTGTCTTGAAGGAAGGCATACTAGTTTCCTAGGGCTACCTTAACAAAATACCATAAACTTGGCAGCTTAAAACAACAAAAAATTTTCTCTCACAGTTCTGCAGGCCAGAAACCTGAAATCTAAGTGTCAGCAGGGTCATGCTTCCTCTGCTGCCCCTAGGGAAGAATCTATTCTTGCCTCCTTCTAGCCTCTGGTGGTGGCTGGCAATCCTTGGTGTTCTGTGGCTTGTAGCTACAGAAATCCAGGCTTTGCCACGGTCTTTACGTGGCCTTTTCCCTCTGTGTCTCTGTCTCTGTGTCTCTTCTTTTCTTCTCATAGGACACCAGTCATATTGGATTAAGGGCTAACCCTACTCCAATATGATCTCATTTTAACCAATTTCATCTGCAACATCCCTATTTCCAAATAGGATCATATTCTGGAGGTACTTAAGGTTAAGACCGCAACATATCTTTTTTAGGGACACTTTTAAATAACCCATAACGGAAGGCTTCATATCTTCCGTGTCTGATGCCTGGTCTAAGAACACTGAAAAAGGTGGGATTCTGCAGGCGTCTCCCTCCGTCCCTCCCAACCCTCCCATTCTGCTTCACATTCCCCAATCCTACCCTTCCCATCTTCCCCACCCACCGTCTCTCTATATGGTCTCATCCTTTAGCAGTCCCAGGATAGCTAGACTTCTTATGTGGCAGCTAAGCAGCTAAAGGCTCCCAGAACTAACATCCCATGAGCACCTGGCAGAAAACTTCATGGCCTTTTCTAACACAGTCTTCAGCATCACTCCTGGTGAATTCTATTCTTTGAGGCAGTCAGAAACCTGTCCAGGTTCAGGGGGAGGGAACACAGACTCCACCTGTGTTTTTTTTTTTTTTTTTTTTTTTTTTGAGACAGTCTCACTCTGTTGCCCAGGCTGGAGTGCAGTGGCGCAATCTTGGCTCACTGCAACCTCCGCCTCCCAGGTTCAAGGGATTCTTCTGCCTCAGCCTCCTGAGTAGCTGGGACTACAGGCACACGCCACCATGCCCAGCTAATTTTTGTATTTTTAGTAGAGATGGGGTTTCACCATATTGGCCAGGCTGGTCTCAAACTCCTGACCGCCTGATCCTCCCCGCTCAGCCTCCCTAAGTGCTGAGATTACAGGTGTGAGCCACCATGCCCGGCTGACTCCACCTCTTGATAGCAGGAGGGTAAAGGAATTTATAAACATGTTTTACAACCACCACTAGTGGCCTGGCATGGTGGCTCACACCTGTAACTCCAGCATTTTGGGAAGCTGAGGCAGGAGGATCGCTTCAGCCCAGGAGTTCAAGACTAGCCTGGTTAACACAGTGAGACCTCACTGTGTTACAAAAGATTTAAAAGATTTAAAAAAGATTTAAAAAATTAGCCAGGCATGGTGGAGTGCACCTGTAGTCCCAGCTACTCAGGAAGCTAAGACAGGAGGATCACTTGAGCCTGGGAGGTCAAGGCTGCAGTGAGCTATCATGCCACTGCACTCTAGCCTGAGTGACAGAGTAAGACCCTGTCTCTAAATAAATAAATAAGTAAATACATACATAATTAAAAAACAAATCGGCCAGGCGCAGTGGCTCACGCCTGTAATCCGAGCACTTTGTGAGGCCGAGGCAGGTGGATCATGAGTTCAAGACCAGCCTGGCCAAGATGGTGAAACCCTGTCTCTACTAGAAATACAAAAATTACCTGGGTGTGGTGGCAGGTACCTGTAATCCTAGCTACTCGGGAGTCTGAGGCAGGAGAATCACTTGAACCTGGTGGGGTGGAGGTCGCAGTGAGCCAAGATCTTGCCACTGCATTCCAGCCTGGGTGACAGAGACTCCGTCCCAAAAAAAAGAAAAAAAAAATAATCCCCCACAACACAAATTCATAGAGACAGAAAGTAGAATAAGTAGAATGGTGATTACCAGGGGCTAAGGGGAAGGGGGTACAGGGAGTTGTTTAATGGATATAGAGTTTCAGTTTGGGAAGATGGATATCCTCAATTTGGGAGTTCTGGAGATGGATGATGCTGATGGTTGCATAACAAATGTGAATTGGGGCCAGACACGGTGGCTCACGCCTGTAATCCCAGCACTTTGGGAGGCCAAGGTGGGCGGGTCACCTGAGGTCAGGTGTTCGAGACCAGCCTGGCCAACACGGTGAAACCCCATCTCTACCAAAAATACAAAAATTAGCTGAGCGTGGTGGTGCACGCCTGTAGTCCCAGCTACTCCAGAGGCTGAGGCACGAAAATCGCTTGAATCCAGGAGGCAGAGGTTGCAGTGAGCCAAGATCACACCACTGCACTCCAGCCTGGGCGACAGAGCAGTAGCCCATCTCAGAAAAAAAAAAGTTAAAGTTAAATGAGATAATTTACATAGAATGCTTTGCACAATGTTGCTTTGACCATGCATTTACTACATTTCATTCACTAAATGATTGTTGTTGCTATTATATTAAGATTATATAGGCCGGGCATGGTGGCTCACGCCTGTAATCCCAGCACTTTGGGAGGCCGAGGCGGGCATTTCCCTTGAGGTCAGGAGTTCGAGACCAGCCTGACCAACGTGGAGAAACCCTGCCTCTACTAAAAATACAAAATTAGCCGGGCGTGGTGGCATGTGCCTGTAATCCCAGCTACTCGGGAGGCTGAGGCAGGAGAATCGCTTGAACCTAGGAGGCGGAGGTTGCAGTGAGCCGAGATCACACCATTGCACTCCAGCCTGGGCAACAAGAGCAAAACTCAGTCTCAAAAAATAAATAAATAAAAAAGATTATATAAGATATATGTATACACACATAACGCATATAGGTATACGTAGTTACATAAATAGACACACATACATGTATGTATTCATGTGTGGTAGCTACTGTCTTTATTATTTCTTTCTTTATTTATTTTTGAGACGGAATTTCACTCTTTTTGCCCAGGCTGGAATGCAAGGGTGTGACCTCGGCTCACTGCAACCTCTGCCTTCCAGGTTCAAGTGATTCTCCTGCCTCAGCCTTCGGAGTAACTGGGATTACGTAGGCGCCCTCCCACCACGCCTGGCTAATTTTTTGTCTTTTATTTATTTATTTATTTACTTTGAGACAGAGTCTCAGTCTGTCGCCCAGACTGGAGTGCAGTGGCACAATCTCCGCTCACTGCAACCTCTGCCTCCCGGGTTCAAGCGATTCTCCTGCTTCAGCCTCCCGATTAGCTGGGACCACAGGCACACGCCACCACGCCTGGCTAATTTTTTGTATTTTTAGTCGAGACGGGTTTTCACTGTGTTGCCCAGGCTGGTCTCCAACTCCTGAGCTCAGGCAATCTGCCTACCTTGGCCTCCCAAAGTGCTGGGATTGCAGCCGTGAGCCACCACACCCGGCCTGCTCTCTTTCTTTAAAGTGACTTTGCACACTTTATCTACTTTTTGTTGACTGTAAAGTTCAATTCGTAGAGAATAACCTTTGTCTGCAACCTCCACCACCTGAGTTCAAGGGATCCTTTTTTTTTTGAGATGGAGCCTTGCTCTATCGCCCACGCTGGAGTGCAGTGGCGCGATCTTGGCTCACTGCAAGCTCTGCCTCCCAGGTTCACACCATTCTCCTGCCTCAGCCTCCCGAGTAGCTGGGACTACAGGCGCCCGCCACCACACCCGGCTATTTTTTTTTTTTTTTTTTTTTGTATTTTTAGTAGAGACCGGGTTTCACTGTGTTAGCCAGGATGGTCTTGATCTCCTGACTTTGTGATCCACCAGCCTTGGTCTCCCAAAGTGCTCGGATTACAGGCATGAGCCATCACGCCCGGCTGTTCAAGGGATTCTTGTGCCTTGTAGCTGGGATTATAGGCACTCACCATCACTCTTGGCTAATTTTTGTATTTTTAGTAGATAGGAGGTTTCACCATGTTGTCCAGGCTGATCTTGAACTCTTGGCCTCAAGTGATCCATCCGCCTCAGCCTCCCAAAGTGGTGGGATTACAGGTGTGAATCATCGTGCCTGGCCCTTTTTGTTTTCTTTTGAGGCAGGATCTTCCTCTTCACCCAGGCTGCAGTGCAGTGGTGTGATTATGGCTCACTGCATCTTCTACCTCCTGGGCTCAAGTGATCCTCCTGCCTTAGACTCCCAAGTAGTTGGGACTACAGGTGCACACCACCACATACAGCTAAAAAAAAAAGTTTTCTTTTTGAGATGGAGTCTCGCTCTGTCACCTAGGCTAGAGTGCAGTGGTGCCGTCTCAGCTCACTGCAACCTCTGCCTCCCAGGTTCAAGTGATTCTCCTGCCTCAGCCTCCCAAGTAGCTGGGATTATAGGCACCTGCCACCATGCCTGACTAATTTTTTATATTTTTAGTAGACACCAGGTTTCACCATGTTGGCCAGACTGGTCTTGAGCTCCTGACTTCAGGTGATCCGCCCACTTTGGCCTCCCGAAGTGCTGGGATTACAGGCGTGACCCACCACTCCCGCCCAGCTAATATTTTTATTTCTAGTAACAATGCAGTCTCACTATTATGCCTACACTGGTCTTGAACTCCTGGGCTCAAGCAGTCTTCCCGTCTTGGCCTCCCAAAGTGCTGAGATTACAGGAATGAGCCACCACATCTGGCCAGTGTCACTTTCAAATACTAATAACATAAATTGTTAGCAGAAGGTTTCAGACATTCTGTTTTCAAAGAAATATTGGGCCAGGTGTTGTGGCTTATGCCTGTGATTTGCTAAAAGTGACGTACACCTTTATACATGAGTTTAGGGGGCCATGCCCCTATGCCAGTTACTGTCAAAGAGGAATAAACAAAGTCCCTGTCCTCTGGGAACTTCTTGTGATAACCTTATAAGGAAGATAATATCCAGGGGCACCAGGTCATGGAACTGTGGTGTGGACATACTTCTCTCTATATCCATACCTATATGTTTACCCTAGGCTCTGGGCTGAATACTTCACATGCCTTATGTCATTGAATGCCCCAACCACCCTGTCAGTGGTTATTACTGTTGTTACAGCTACATAAAAAATGAAGAAACTGGGAGCCAGCGTCATACAGCTGCTCAGTGAAGCAGCAGACCTCAGCTTTGGCTCTTAATTCCAGAATGCTTGAAGTGCCTTCATGTCCCTTAGGTGTGAGAGGGGTTACTTTGAGCCTTAGGATTAAGACAACTAAAGAAATAAATGATATTTATTTTCTGTGAATTGGATAAGCTGCATGGAAACCTTAGGTCTCAGCATTCACAGCTTTGACTAAATTACCTCTTTTTCTTTGCAAGAAGCTTGAATTTTGTCCTTTAGAAACCTTGGAGGAAGCCAGGCATGGTGACTGATGCCTGTAATACCAACACTTCGGGAGGCTGAGGCAGGAGGATGTGCTTGAGCCCAAAAGTTCAACATAACAAGACCCCCTCTCTACAAAAAATAGAAATATACAGCCAGGCGCAGTGGCTCACGCCTGTAATCCCAGCACTTCGGGAGGCTGAGGCAGGCAGATCACCTGAGGTCAAGAGGTTGAGACCAGCCTGGCTAACATGGTGAAACCCCGTTTCTACTAAAAATACAAAAAATTAGCTGAGGCCAGGTGCGATGTCTCACGCCTGTAATCCTAGAACTTTGGGAGTTCGAGGTGGGTGGATCACGAGGTCAGGAGTTCAAGACCAGCCTGACCGAGATGGTGAAACCCCATCTCTACTAAAAATACAAAAATTAGCCAGATGCAGTGGCAGATGCCTGGAATCCCAGCTACTCGGGAGTCTGAGGCAGGAGAATCGCTTGAACCCAGGTGGCAGAGGTTTCAGTGAGCCGAGATCGCACCACTGCACTCCAACTTGGGCAACAGAGTGAGACTCCATCTCCAAAAAATAAAAAATAAAAAAGCCAGGCATGGTGGCACACACCTGTAATCCCAGCTACTCAGGAGGCTGAGGCAGGAGAATTGCTTGAACCTGGCAAATGAGCCTGTGGCATATTCAATGTTGAAGCCTGAGAGATTGCAGTGAGTCGAGATTGCGCCATTGCACTCCAGCCTGGGCAACAGGAGCAAAATTCCGTCTTAAAGAAATATAAGAAATAAGAAATATTAGCTGGCCATGGTGGCATGCGCCTGTAGTCCCAGCTACTTGGGAGGCCAGGATGGGAATATCGCTTGTGCTGGGGTAGTCAAGGCTGTAGTGAGCCAAGATTGTGCCACTGCACCCCACTCTGGGTGACAGAGTGGGAAGACCCTGTCTCCAAAAAAAAAGAAAAAACCTTGGAGAAGCCATGTCCATTTTCCCTATTTGTAATAGAATCCCTTTGTGGAGTTAGTAGCCAGATGCCCACATTCATCCTCCCTGATCCAAGGGGGTCACATTGCACTCCTGGTACTGCCTTCTTGGTACGTTTATCTCTGTGCTGGCTTCTTCCTTGCAGAGCGCCAGTGGAACATGTGGATCCCAGGATTTGGCTCTGAAGAAATCCGACCCTACAAAAAAGCTTGCACCACAGAAGCTCACAAACAGGTGAGGAAATGCCAGAGCCCTGGGGACAGCCAGGGCTGATTCCTTGAGTTACGTCTCAGAGTGGATACACACAGCTACCTTCTAGGGGGCCTCGCTTCCTCCACACAGCAAACTTCACTCTCTGGAGCAAGGGTCAGAGAGGGCAAGAGGCAGCAGCGGTCTCCGGGAGATCAATAAGATATTCACATGGTGCTGTGCTGTTCCCACATGTGGTCTGTTTTTTCTCGTAACTCTGTTGAGTGTCACTTAAAGCTGTTGATTCTGGGTTCTTCTAATATGGATGCAGCTCGCCCCACCATACCTCCTTAATGAAATCTTCCTTCATTGTTGCTGATTGCAACACCATATATGGTCCTATGAAGAGAGGGCAGGTTAAAGAAAGCAAAAATGTGCTGTACTTGTTCTGAGAGGTAGTATCCAGGCTGCCGTGCTGGACATTCTGGCCTGTGTCCTGGTTTTACCTTTGAACAAGGTTCCCTCTGAACAAGGAACCTAGGAGTCAGTGTGAGAATACTACTTCTGCTGTGGAGCAAGTCATCCCCATCTTTGGTCAGTCCAACAGCAGTGTTGGCCTCCCTCTGACAAGGCTGTTATCCTTTCTGTCTTAACTTAAGTGGCTACTCTGATTTGAAACGTGAGCTTTTTCCAAGCTTAGCAGGCACAACTGGGCAGTCCTGGTTGAGTGCCCCTGCTTCGCCATAGCCTGGTATCTCTGGAGCCGGTGTTTGTAAAGCTCACGAAGCAAGCCCTAAAGGGAAGCCACCAGTTTCCTGAATGGAAAGATTGCACTGTTCAGAAGAGAGTCCCTGCAAACAATGGACTGTCACTTTGTGCTCCCAAGTTAACCATTTTCAGCCCTATTTATTTAGTCGACAAATGCCATAATATTGGTATTTGGTCAAAAAGAATGAACAAAGTAAGTTGTTAATTTGGCTAGTAGCTAGTAATAGTAAAAGAATTCAGATCATGAAACCTATGATCTGAGTGTTTCCATGATGGACTGTGGTAGAAGTTGTTAGTCTTCAGTTTCCCTTCAATGCAGGTCATGAGATGTGAAATGTCAGCTCCCTTTGTGTGTGGCAACACTTTGAAATTGAGGCCCCTTCCCTATTGTGTCCATCATTGGAGAAAAGATTGGGGTCAGGGGACCCCAGAAAACACATGCTTGGCCAGGCGCAGTGGCTCATGCCTGTAATCCTAGCACTTTGGGAGGCCGAGCCTGGTGGATCACTTGAGGTTAGGAGTTTGACACCAGCCCGGCCAATGTAGTGAAACCCTGTCTCTACTAAAAATACAAAAATTAGCCAGGCGTGGTGGCACGTGCCTGTAATCCCAGCTACTGGGGAGGCTGAGGCAGGAGAATCACTTGAACTTGGGAGGCAGAGGTTGCAGTGAGCCGAAATCATGCCACTGCACTCCAGCCTGGGCAACAGAGCGAGATTCCATCTCAAAAAAAAAAAAAAGAAAGAAAGAAAACACATGCTTTGCCAGCTTATTCTCTAAGTCACCAAAACTCAAGAGCTGTCACTTTCTCCTGCTTTTAACTTTTTTGCCATTCTGCTAGCCTAGAGCAGTTTGGTGGATGAAATGGGTCCACTAGCCCATCTAAACATCTCTTGGGGCCTTGCAGACTGCTCTCTGGTTAAAAGGAATCTACTGAGATGCCTTGTGACTGCAGGTCTCTGAGGGCTGCGGCCTACAGTGTAGACCATGAGGCCTGCTAGCCACACAGAATGTTCCAGAAAGCTCCTGACTCCAGCTGCTGCTGTATAACTGCTTATTTGTCTCTCCTTTCAGAGAATGGCATTGATCCGGAAAACAACCAAGAAATAACACACGGAAAGGTCAGGGAATGGACAGCAATGTATTTGGAGATACTTGAGCTGAGAACTCAGCCATCTCATCCTTGGATTTTTTTTTTTAATGCTTTACAGAGAAGCATATATTTTTTATTAACAGTGCAGCAATATCTATAATGACTGAGAGGATCTGCCAAAAGAATAAAGCCTCCTACCCCAACTTCCGGTCCCTTTTCCCTGCCATCTCAAAGAGGAGCAATGTATCTTCCAGAGAAGATTTTATTTGTGGTTTATTATATAAGTGACTGAATATGGGACAAAGCATTATGGTCTTTTTGGGTAAGACAGTATTAGCAGGATTTGTAAAGGGTTTTGTTTCCTTCTCCCTTCCCCTTTTCCCTGTACTTTGTAATGTCAGTGTTTATATGAATATGACTTTCATTTGCTTTTCCAGAATAAAGAAGTTATTAATCGAAAGACAGGGTACCTTTGAAATCCCAGAGGGAGTCAGGACAAGCAAGCCTGGATTGTAGCTCTCTAGTCAGCAGGTGGCAGCATCGTTATTCATTTTGGTGTTTGAGAAAAACTCAGGGATTTTCCATCATTTTACCCCAAGGGAGGCCATAACATCAGCAGGAGTTTGAGTCCAGCTTCTCGGCCATAAGAATTGAGTAGGGTGACCTTCTCTCACGGCCCTCAACTGAAGAGGCATCCTTGTTTTGGCAATGTTATATGCCTAAAAACCCTTTTTGGTTTTTTTTGTTTTTTTTTAATTTTTTTTTTTTTGAGACGGAGTCTAGCTCTGTCACCCAGGCTAGAGTGCAGTGATGTGATCTTGGCTCACTGCCACCTCAGCCTCCCAGGTTTAAGCGATTCTCCTGCCTCAGATTCCCAAGTAACTGGGGTTACAGGCGCCTGCCGCCACACCGAGATAATTTTTGTATTTTTAGTGGAGATGGGGTTTTCACTGTGTTGGTCAGACAGGTCTCGCACTCCCAAAGTGCTGAGATTACAAGCGTGAGCCACCGCGCCCGGCCTAAAAACCCTTTTTGACCTGCTCTTCTGGAACTCCTGGAGAAAGCTGTGTTTGTCCCTGTCCCTGAGAAAGGATGGGAGTAGGCCCCTGTCCTCAGGATAGGCATGTCTGTGCAGGTGCCCATCTCTTCTTAGTTGCTGTTATCTTTGATCCTGGTGTTTTCACCATCATGCAGAAGAAACCAGGCGCCTTCCAGACCTCTGGGTCATGTCCTTCAGTGGCACCTAGCATCATCCTGTCCTGGGCCCAGCATGGCCCTTGTGGATTGTGAGAGTTCTGTGGGCTCTAGGGAGGATGGCTGTCCTACCCAAGGGTCACTAGCACAGGCACAGCCACCTTGATTTGCTTTGGTCCTCTGCGTCCTGAAGCTTGGCCCAGGATGAGACCCTGCATTTCAAAATTCCCTCCCACCCTGAGTTAGATCCCATGTCCCCCCCACTTCACAGTCTCACAGATACACTGAGTGAGCTCCTCAGAGGCTGTGCTAATGTTACTGTTGCTCTTGGCTGAAGTTTCAATGCCCCAAAGAGGCAGCCAGCTTCTTTCCCTGTGGTGTCACCCAGTGCTCACCAACAGGTCACTCTTGTGGCCAACCATCAGGACGAGGATGCTGAAGGGTTTCACTTTCCCCAGAACCTCCTGATGCCAGTGGTGACACTCATAAAGGATATTCTGTTGGTGATACCAAACACCAAGGGGCCTCCAGCTGGGTTTCAGTAGTACGATGAGTCACTGACCTTGGCAGCCAAGGAATCTAGAATTAGTTTTGAGATCTCCACTAAGACAGAAGGGAACACAGGAATCGGGGAAGTTTAATGGAAAGAGCTGAGGTAGAATCAAAAGACCCCAGTTCTTGATTTGCAGTGTGACAAGTAAGTGGCGTCATCTATCTCAGTCTTGTCCTATCTGCATATTGAGGGACTTGTTCATTCACTCAGCAAGTATTTATAATCCCATGCCTGTCCTAAGCAGAGGGATACAATGATGAATAAAAACAGACCCAGGTGACCGGGCGCAGTGGCTCAAGCCTGTAATCTCAGCACTCTGGGAGGCCAAGGCAGGTGGATCACTTGAGGTCAGGAGTTCAAGATCAGCCTGGCCAACATGGCGAAACCGTCTCTACTAAAAATATAAAAAATTAGCCAGGCAGCTGAGGCAGGAGAATTGCTTGAACCTGGGAGGCGGAGGTTGTAGTGAGCCGAGATTGCACCACTGCACTCCAGACTGGGCGACAGAGGGAGACTCCATCTAAAAAAAAAAAAAGAGAGAGAGAGAGAGTCTCACTCTATCACCCAGGCTGGAATGAATGAAGTGATGCGATCTCGGCTCTTGCAACCTCCACCTCCCGGGTTCAAGCTATTCTTGTGTCTCAGCCTCCCAAGTAGCTGGGATTACAGGTGCGCCACTACATCCGACTAATTTTTGTATTTTTAGTAGAGACGGGGTTTTATAATGTTGGCCAGGGTGGCCTCTAACTCCTGACCTCAGGTGATTCTCCTACCTCTGCCTCCCAAAGTGCTGGGATTACAGGTGTGAGCCACCATGCCTGGCCTCCTTTTTTTTTAATTAATTTTTTAAAAACAGAGAGTTTTGCCATGTTGCCCCGGCTGGTCTCAAAATCCTGGGCTCAAGCAATCTGCTTACCGCTGCCTCGCAAAGTGCTGGGATTATAGGTGTGAGCCACTGTGCCCAGCCTATCCTGGCTTCTTATGAAGGTACGTGGAGCCCTCAGTTCAGTGCCCATGCCTTGGAGGCTGCTGTGTGTTGTGTGTGTGTTGCAGGCTGTAGTGTGGGAGGCCCAGCAGGCTGGTTCCAAGCTTTCCACTTTTCTTCAGTCTGCATAACATCTTTCTTAACTGTTGGACATTTTTAGGGCTCTGAGAAACATTCCGTCAGATGAGGATTCTAATGCTCAAAACAGATAAAAAGTTTTGAAAACCACTGCACACACACACACACACACACACACACATTAAAAAAAAACACACACACACACCACTGCAGAGCCTTTGGGAACCCCTGAAGTTTCAGATGAAGGAGTGGTGTAACTATGTTTGCATGTTAAAAGCCTCTCTGGCTGCCAGTGTGGAAGGTGGAATTGGAAGCAGGCAGGAGGGATACTAGCCGGAAGTTGCTACAGTTTTTTGGACTAAAGGTGATAAGATTTGAGTCCGGGTGTGGTGGCTCACACCTGTAATCCCAGCACTTTGGGAGGCCAGGGCAGGTGGATCACCTGAGGTCAGGAGTTCGAGACCAGCCTGGCCAACATAGCGAAACCTTGTTTCTACTAAAAATACAAAAATTAGCCGGGCGTGGTGGCATGTGCCTGTAATCTTAGCTACTCGGGAGGCTGAGGCAGGAGAATAGCAGGAACCCAGGAGGTGGAGGCTGCAGTGAGCCAAGATCATACCACTGCACCCCAGTCTGGGCGACAAGAGTGAGACTCCATCTAAAAAAAAAGACTTGAGACGTTTTCCCAAGAAGGAGTTAACCAAAAGACAGGGGCAGGGTCTGGCTGTAACAACAGGATGAGTTCCAAGGACACAGAAGGAGCCATCTGGGACCAGGGAGCCATCCTGGAAAGAATCCCCTGTGCCTGCATGGCGTGAAGCTGGGAGGAGGAAAGCAGAGTTAAGCTAGGGTCTTACAATTACCTGGAGTTACAAAAGAAGGGGCCTTCAGAGGTCATCCAATGTGGCCCTTATTTTACAGATAATGCTGAGATCTGGAGAGGTCGTGTGACCTGTCCAAGGTCACTAGGCAGGTCAGGACTCAGACCTGTGCCCTTAGTCCAGTGTCCATCCTTCTAAATGGCCTCCAAGGCCCCTTCTCTTGACCCCTCCCTTCCTGGTGGATGAGTTCTCTCCTTGGCCCTCAGGGTTGGGGTGGCACCACAGGCGCGTGCCATCACGCCCGGCTAATTTTTTATATTTTTTGGTAGAAACGGGGCTTCATGGTGTTAGCCAGGATGGTCTCGATCTCTTGACCTCGTGTTCCACCCGCCTCGGCCTCCCAAAGTGCTGGGATTACACGCGTGAGCCACCGCGCCCGGCCTATTATCCCCATTTTTAAATCACTGAGGCTTAGAAAGATAAAGTGAGTTAGTCAGGGTCCCACTGTTAGTGGAACTGAGATTCAAACCAGGTTTGACAGCAAAGCCTGTCCTATTTTTGGCAGCTGGGATAATGTGGTTAAAAGGAAGTGATGTCTACCTGAGTGTTGCAGGCAGATCAGATAACACAGGGAGAGAGAGAGAGCTGGGACTTTCCCGGCACAGAAAACAGCATATGCGAAGTCCAGAGCTGCACCTGGTTCAGAATTTGGCCGCCTGGGCCAGTGGTTAGAGATGATGCAGCTGGCTCCAGGTGATGAAAGGCTTGGATTAGAGCAAAAGGATTTGGATTTTATGCTGTAGGTGTGGGGCCATAGGAGGATTCTAGCAGGGAGGCGGCCAAGCCAAAACTGTCCTTTAAAAAGATCCCTCTGGGTCAGTGTGGATGCTGAATTACAGGAGAACCTAGAGGCCTGAGACTCAAAAGGAGTGGCACAATGTACACTGGTGCCTCTGCCTTTCCTGTAGCCTGGGCTCGCTCTGCTTGTGCAGGCACACACCCATCAAAGCCACTTACAGCCTCTCGAGATTTTGCCACACTGAGGGGGATAGTGAGGGTAGGACTGGAGCGCTGAAGTTTGAGAAAGGACCCACCCTGGGGCTGGCCTGAGGCAGTGGACAAGATTATTGGAGCTGGCCTGGGTTCATCACTTTAGCCACATGAGTTTTCTGTCTTGGAGCTGAGGTCTGTGAAATGGACAAGATCAGCCCAACCTCACGGGGTTGCTGTGGGTTTAATAATAAGCCTCTGGTAGGGCCGGGCACGGTGGCTCACACCTGTAATCCCAGCACTTTGGGAGGCCGAGGCGGGCGGATCACGAGGTCAGAAGATTGAGACCATCCTGGCTAACATGGTGAAACCCCATCTCTACTAAAAATACAAAAAATTAGCTGGGCGTGGTGGCACGCACCTTTAGTCCCAGCTACTCAGGAGGTTGAAGCAGGAGAATCGCTTGAACCCCGGAGGCAGAGGTTGCAGTGAGCCGAGATTGCGCCACTGCACTCCAGCCTGGGTGACAGAGCAAGACTCCGCCTCAAAATAATAATAATAATAAGCCTCTGACGGACCAGGCACTTTGGGAGTGGCTCATGCCTGTAATTCCAGCACTTAGGGAGGCCAAGGCAGGTGGATAACATGAAGTCAGGAGTTCAAGTCCGGGCTGACCAACATGCAGAAACCCCATCTCTACTAAAAATATAAAATTAGCCAGGTGTGGTGGCGCATGCCTATAATCCCAGCAACTAGGGAGGCTGAGGCAGGAGGATCGCTTGAACCTGGGAGGCGGAGGTTGCAGTGAGCAGAGATCGTGCCATTGCACTCCAGCCTGGGCAACAAGAGTGAAACTCTGTCTCAAAAAAAAAAAAAATTGATGAAGCATCTGGGCGCAGTGGTTCACGCCTGTAATCCCAGCACTTTGGGAGGCCAAGGCGGGTGGATCACCTGAGGTTGGGAGTTCGAGACCAGCCTGGCCAACATGGTGAAACCCTGTCTCTACTGAAAATACAAAAGTTAGCCTGGTGTGGTGGCACAC
This sequence comes from Homo sapiens, assembly GCF_000001405.40. Taxonomy (NCBI): domain Eukaryota; kingdom Metazoa; phylum Chordata; class Mammalia; order Primates; family Hominidae; genus Homo; species Homo sapiens. The sequence goes on along the minus strand of NC_000001.11, from coordinate 28,597,892 downwards.
ACCTGTAGTCCCATCTTCTTGGGAGGCTGAGGCGGGTGGATCACGAGGTCAGAAGATCGAGACCATCCTGGCTAACATGGTGAAACCCCATCTCTACTAAAAATACAAAAAATTATCTGGGCGTGGTGGCGTGCGCCTGTAGTCCCAGCTACTCAGGAGGTTGAGGCAGGAGAATCGCTTGAACCCAGGAGGCAGAGGTTGCAGTGAGCCGAGATTGCGCCACTGCACTCCAGCCTGGGTGACAGAGCAAGACTCCACCTCAAAGTAATAATAATAAGCCTCTGACGGACCAGGCACGGTGGCTCATGCCTGTAATCCCAGCACTTTGGGAGGCCGAGGCAGGCAGAGTACCTCAGTTCGGGAGTTCGAGACCAGCCTGGCCAACATGGTGAAACACTGAAAATACAAAAGTTAGCCTGGTGTGGTGACACACACCTGTAGTCCCAGCTTCTTGGGAGGCTGAGGCAGGAGAATCGTTTGAACCCAGGAGGCAGAGATTGCAGTGAGACGAAATCGCCCCACTGCACTCCAGCCTGGGCGACAGAGCAAGACTCTGTCTCAAAAAAAAAGAAAGAAAATTGATGAAGGAGACCAGGTACAGTGGCTCACACCTGTAATCCCAGCACTTTGGGAGGCTGAGGCAGGAGGATTGATTGAGGCCAGGAGTGTGAGACCAGCCTGGGCAACATAGTGAGACCCTGTCTCTGCAAATAATTTAAAAGTTAGCTTTGTGAAGTGCACCTGTAGTCCCAGCTACTTGGGAAGCTGAGGTGGGAGGATCACTTGAGCCCAGGAGGTCGACATTGCAGTGAGGTGTGATTGCATCACTGCACTCCAGCCTGGGCAACAGAGCGAGACCCTGTATCTAAGGAAAAAAAAAAAAAAACGATGAAGGAATGAAAAGATACCCTAAAGCAAGTAATTTTCCTCTCCTGGCCCCAGCTTTCTTATCTGTGAAATGGGGATGATTGTGCCAACCTCACCACGTCACAAGGATGAATAAGGATGTTTAAAAAGAAGAGGCAGGTCATGTGCAACAACATGGATGGAACTGGAATTATAAGTGAAAAAAGCCAGGCACAGAAAGACAAACTTTTTACATTCTCACTTACTTATGGGAGCTAACAATTAAAACAATTGAACTCATGGAGATAGAGTAGAATGATGGTGACCAGAGGCTGGGAAGGGTAGTGGTGGGGGGAAGTGGGTATGGCTAATGAGTACAAAAACATAGTTTTTATTTTTATTTTATTTTTATTTATTTGTTTTTTGAGATGGAGTCTCGCTCTATCGCCCAGGCTGGAGTGCGGTGGCACGGTGTCAGCTCGCTGCAGCCTCTGCCTCCCAGGTTCCAGTGATTCTCCTGCCTCAGACTCCGCGGTAGCTGGGATTACAGGTACATGCCACCATGTCCAGCTAATTTTTGTGTTTTTAGTAGAGACAGGGTTTCACCAATGTTGGCCAGGCTGGTCTCGAACTCCTGACTTCAGGTGATCCGCCCACCTCGGCACTCAGAGTGCTGGGATTACAGGCGTGAGCCACCACATCCAGCCAAAAATGCAGTTAAATAGAATGAATAAGATTTAACATTTGATAGCACAACAGGGTGACTACAGTCAACAGTAATTTATTGTACATTTAGAAATAAAAACGTATAACTGGATTGTTTGTAATACAAATAAAATATAAATGTCTGAGGTAATGGATATTCCCCACCCCCCACAAAATAAAACAGGTGAATTTTTATGGGTTTAAAAAAAAAAAGAGGCAGGACCAAGTGCACAGGAAGACCCCTCAGCCCCCTCTCCATGGGGAGGAAGCTAAGAAACTCATTCTGAAAACCTTCTAAGAACCCTAGGAGGGAGGGATTATCAGTCTCATGTTACTGACTGAGGAGGAAACCAAGGCTCAAGGAGGCCAAGTAACTAGCTCAAGGTCACAAAAGAGAGTTAAGTGACTATGCTTTTTTCTTTTTTTATGAGACGGAGTGTTGCTCTGCCACCCAAGTTAGAGGGCTGGAGTGCAGTGGCGGGATCGTGGCTCGCTGCAACCTCTGCCTCCTGGGCTCAAGCAATTCTCATGCTTCAGCCTCCTAAGTGCTGGGATTACAGGCATGAGCCACCACACCCAGCTAATTTTTGTATTTTTAGTATAGACAGGGTTTCGCCGTGTTGGCCATACTGGTCTCGAACTCCCAACCTCAAGTGAACTGCCTGCCTAGGCCTCCGAAAGTGCTGGGATTACAGGCGTGAGCCACTGCACCCAGCAAAGTGGCTGTGCTTTTTGCTACAGCACAATGATACCCACTAAGCCCTACACCTGCTGAGATTCGGCCTAACATAAACAGTGTCTCTTCCATGAAGCCTTCCCTAATTGCTCCCAGGACATTCCCTGCCTAGCAGTTCCCATCATAGGTTAGGTTACCAGGAGGCAGATTCTGAGATGGAGATGAGTGTGCAGATGTTTATTAGGGGATATTCTTGAAATGGATACCTGTTTGGGGAAGAAAAGGAAGCAGGATTGGGCAAGGGGATAACTTGGCTATGATGTCACAACAGTGTCCTCAATGAAGCCCACAGAGACTGATAAAGTTGGTTTTGACTTTCAGAGTTGTCCAGAGCTGGGGCAAGAGGGAGTCCTTTAAGGCCCCCCAGGAGATGAACTTTGGATACAAGCTGCCCTGAAGGGAGGGCCTTTCCCAGAGAGTGGGGCAAGCTGAAGTCCATCATCCAGTGGCACTCCAGCAGCTGGGGAGAGGGTTGATGGGTTCCCCAGCCAGAAAGGGGGATCTTGGTGGCTCATCACAGTGGCCACTGTGTGCCCAACATAGTTGCTACACATTCATGTTCATCCCAGCCTCCAACATCCATTTTTCAGCCCCTGGGCCTGGTCGGGGGGGCATTGGCCAGCAACCCTGGGTTTGACGTCACATATTAATCCCATGCCCAGAATCATTTTAGCCTGAGGACATAAGAAGCCTCCAAGCCAAGCTCCCCCTGGAATTCCCCGCACCTGCCTTTGCCCATGCATCAGCTTCCTGACGCTGGCTTCTCAGTGTCTGAGCCCAGGAATGCTGCCAGAGTGGCCACATCGCAGCCAAGAAAAAGGGAGTGGGAATGAGAGCTTTTGTCATTCAATTCACAGCGCGGCAGGCTCTGGGTGAGCACATCCTGTCCACTGTCTCATTTGTGGTCACCACCTCCCTTCAAGGTGGGATCTTTTATGAGCCCCATCGATAGATAGGGACACTGAGGCTCAAGGACAGGAAGTTGCACATCTGGTCTCTCAGGCCTTTCTTTTCTTTTCTTTTTTTTTTTTGAAACAGAGTCTCACTCTGTTGCCCAGGCTGGAGTGCAGTGGCGCAGTCTTGGCTCACTGCAATCTCTGCCTCCCAGGTTCAAGCAATTCTCCTGCCTTAGCCTCTGGAGTAACTGGGATTACAGGCATGCACCACCACGCCTGGCTAATTTTTGTATTTTTAGTAGAGACAGGGTTTCACCATGTTGGCCAGGCTGGTCTCGAACCCCTGACCTCAGGTGATCCACTGTCCTTGGCCTCCAAAAATGCTAGGATTACAGGCGTGAGCCACCATGCCTGGCCATCAGAACTTTCTTTTCTGTAGAAAGCCTCGACTCCAAAATCCAGGAAGCATGACTGTGTCAGGATACTGTTTATATGAACCCTTCTGTCATTTGTCCTCCAGAGAGATATTAACACTCCCCATCCCACCAGGTGGGCTAAGGCTGGGACTGCTTTAACCCTTTCTCTCCTAGAGTCAACACTGGCATGGGCCTGAGTGCTGCTTCCTGCTGGGGGACCTGGGGATTTGGGTCTTGTGGATGAGCCGGACACCCCCCCAGCCCTCTTCTAGCTTGATGTCCCCCTGCTGCAGGGCCTGCTGGATAGCATCAGCGAGGGTGTCAAAGGCCAGGTCCACATTGCAGTTGTTTTTAACCGAGGTCTCCACGAAGGCCATGCCCAGGGAGGCAGCTAGCTCCTCGGCCTCCTGGGCTGAGACACAGCGGGTGCTCTGCAGGTCACTCTTGTGGCCAACCAGCAGGAAGATGACCTTGTCCGGGCCCTGAGTGGCCATGACCTCCTGGTGCCAGTCTTGGATGTGTTCAAAGGACTTCCTGTTTGTCACATCAAAGACCAGCAGGACACCCACCACATTCCGGTAAAAGGACCTGGTGATGCACCTGGGGAGGCAGGGAGGTGGAAAGGTAAGCTGGGAGAGGCTGATGCCTCCATGACACCCCCAGAGGCAGGACCTCCTCCCCCTGGGATCCACAGAATGCCTCACACCCCAACAGGGCTCACTTCACACGGCCCCGTGGTTCTCTGCCTCGGTGTCTGTGTCTCTCCTAACAGTCTGGGTGCTGGCCGGGTGCGGTGGCTCACGCCTGTAATCCCAGCACTTTGGGAGGCCGAGGCGGGTGGATGTGGATCACGAGATCAGGAGATCCAGACCATCCTGACTAACACGGTGAAACCCCGTGTCTCTACTGAAAATACAAAAAAATTAGCCGGGCGTGGTGGCGGGCGCCTGTAGTCCCAGCTACTTGGGAGGCTGAGGCAGGAGAATGGCGTGAACCCAGGAGGCGGAGCTTGCAGTGAGCCAAGATCGCACCACTGCACCCCAGCCTGGGCGACAGAGAGAGACTCCGTCTCAAAAAAAAAAAAGAAAAGAAAAAAGTCTGGGTGCTCCAGTTAGGGAGCAAGCGTGACTTGAATCCCTCATTCTTGGAGAAGGCCTGGTGCTGCCCTGACCTAGGTCTTCGTTCCTCTGTTCTCTTCCTGGCAAACTCCTGCTGATCCTCTCTCCCTTCCACATCTCCTCGACACTTCCCGCTCTGTTCCCCTGAGCTCTCAGCACCCGGGGCCAGTATCACTCAGCATCTCTCCAGAGTCCAGAGCTCAAAGCCAGGGATGTTCCTGGTCTCTGGGACTCGACCCACCCCGCAGTGTTCGTGGGAAAAATGACTCCGAGCAGGGGAGGTTCTGGCCCCAGTGGACCGGGCGGGACCCAGGGCAGGGACCTCGCCCTCCGCCTGACCTCTGAGTTGGCCTCTCGGGAGTTGCCGTGGCCTAAAGCACGCTCACCGAGCCCCCCACCAGAAGTCCCTCCCGCGCCCCGGCTACCCGCACCTGAAGCGCTCGTGGCCCGCGGTGTCCCAGAGTTGCAGCTTGACCCGCGGCCCGGCCCGCAGCTGCAGCGCGCGGCGGTAGCACTCGGCGCCCACCGTGGGCTCGGGCTCGGGCTCCGGCTCCGGGGCGCCAGGCGCGCCTGCCACGTAGCTCCGCAGCAGCGACGTCTTGCCCACCGCCGCGTCCCCCAGCAGCGCGACCCGAAATTGGTAGCGGCAGCCCTCGGCCTCCATGGCCGCGTCCGCCACCCCGCCGCCCCGCGGCGGTTTTGTCCGCGCCCCGACCCCGCCCCTGCCCGGGGCCCCGCCGGCGCCGCCCCCCGCTCCCCGCGCCCAGCCACCGTACCCGGCGGGGCACCGAGGGCGTCGGACCGAGTGGAAACTCCTGGCCAAGTTTCTCTCTCTCGAAGCCTCAATTCTCTCCTCTGTAAAAGGGGGCTAATGATGACCCCTACTTCACAGGATAAAGGGACTAAACTAGATGAAGTGAGGAGGGGCATGGGGAGGAGACTAACAGCGCTGAAGCATCCACCTCACTCATTTCTTAATCTCCAGCCCCACCCCCTTACCCGCTCCACACCGCTCCCCCGCCCCACCCCCCGCCTCCTCTGTGGGTTCCCTAGTTGGCGCCCAACCCTCTGCTGGACCCGGGAAGGCCACTCTGGAAGTGAGTGGTTAGTAGATGCTCCCTCTCCACCCAGAAGCCCTTTCCTGGAGCCCTCATTAGCCCCGGCCTGGGGCCTCTAGTTCAGTGTTCAGGTTCAACGTTCAACAGCCCCCACGGCTTCCTCTAATGCCTGTCTGAGTTGGACACCAGGGCCCCAGAAGGAACTTGGGCACAGTCTGGTTGAGGAGGCAGGACAGACACAGACAACTGCAGTTCTAAAGGGAGTGCAGTTGGCCTGTGGATTCGACAACTAACATGTATGAGGCCAACGGTCAGTTCATGTTTTGTGGACAGCAACCCTTTGACAGGGCCATGGGAGTGCCCCTCTTAGAGCTGAGGAGACTGAGGCTCAGAGGCACGGCTTGTCTCAGGTCACACAGCAGAGTTGGGACTCACATCCAGGTTTGTCTCATCCTTCATCACCCCTTCGATGCCACAAAAGGGGACAAAGCAGGTCCCACAAGCACTAAGACACTGGTTGAGTTTTGCTTGGGTGAGGGGCTAGGGTGAGGCAGCACATGAGCCTCCAAGGTTTACTCCACCCTTTCCAGGCTGGCCTTCTGGAAACCCAGGGCACTGAGGCTGGAGTTCCAGTTGCTCCAGCCAACTCTAGTCTCTCTAGTCTCGTTTTTATTTATTTACTTATTTTTGAGATGGAGTCTCACTCTGTCGCCCAGGCTAGAGTGCAGTGGCACAATCTCGGCTCACTGCAACCTCCACCTCCTGGGTCCAAGCCATCCTCCCAACTCAGCCTCCCAAGTAGCTGGGATTATAGGCACCTACCACCACGCCCAGCTAATTTTTGTATTTTTAGTAGAGACGGGGTTTCACCATGTTAGCCAAGGTGGTCTCAAACTCCTGACCTCAAGTGATCCGCCCGCCTCCATCTCCCAAAGTGCTGGGATGCTGGGATTACAGGTGTGAACCTGTACCACGTCTGGCCCACATGCACTTCTGACCATCTCTGATGTCAGTCTCTCTCCCAGGCTGCAGGCTCCTTGAGGGCAGGGGCTGATGATTGTATCCTCAGGGCCTAACTCAGCGCTTGGCATAAAGTAGAAACTCAAGGCGCAGTGGCTCACACCTGTGATCCCAGCACATTTGGAGGCTGAGGGTGGATCACTTCAGGTCAGGAGTTCGAGACCAGCTGGCCAACATGGTGAAACCCCGTTTTTACTAAAAATACAAAAATTAGTCGGGCATGGTGGCACGTGCTTATAATCCCAGCTACTTGGGAGGCTGAGGCAGGAGAATCGCTTGAACCCGGGAGGTGGAGGATGCAGTGAGCCAAGATTGCGCCACCGCACTCCAGCCTGGGTGACAGAACGAGACTCCGTCTCAAAAAAAAATAATAATAAACAAAGTAGAAGCTCAGTAAATATTTATAGCTAGATGAATTAATGAAAGTGGGTAAGTGCTGTTCATTCACCCATCCATTCATTCCGTCAAACACCATGATAGAGCTGGACTTGGGAAGCCAAAGGGTCAGAGAAGCCCATCCCAGCTGATGTTGAAGCTGAGTCTCCAAGGATAAGTGGGATCTGGGAAGGTCAAGGAGAAAGGAGAATCCAGAGAGGCATGAAGCAGCTGGAAATGCAGTCTGACCCCAGCCCTCCCTGAGGCCTTTCCAGTCAGCCCACGTGGGCAATGCACTGTCAGCATCTGGCTTCTTGAACTTCCTCCCTTTCCCAGATGCTCCTGCTGTGGGCTGGGATCATGTGTCTGCCTCTGACTGCAGTTAAATCCAGATGTCAGCTGACTTCTGCCATGACTTCTGCCACAGATTCACTGTGTAACCTGGGGTAAGTTATTTCCCTTCCCTGATCCCTGCTTCCTCTTCTGCTAAGTCAGGCAAATCACGGTACCTAATCTCACAGGGTAGTTCTGGAGGAGCCGCGTGACACAGCAGTTAAGGTTATCTGCACTTGCATTAGAACATATCTGGGTTGGGTTGGGCGCGGTGGCTCACGCCTGTAATCCCAGCACTTTGGGAGGCTGAGGTAGGCAGATCAGGAGGTCACGACTATCCTGGCCAACATGGTGAAACCCCGTCTCTACTAAAAATATAAAAATTAACTGGGCGTGATGGCACGCGCCTGTAGTCCCAGCTACTTGGGAGGCTGAGGCAGGAGAATCACTTGAATCCGGGAGGCAGAGGTTGCAGTGAGCCTAGATTGCACCATTACACTTCGGATACTCCATCACACACACACAAAAAACAGACCTGGGTTGTAGTTCCAACGGCCACTTACTGGGAAGAGAGAGACCCTGTGTAGAGGTGTTGGACTCAGTTTATTCTAGTAGGCCCAACCTCCGAGACCACCCTTAAACATCAGTAGACTGGGAGCTGTACGTGGATGGAAGCAGCTTCGCCAACCCCTGCAAAGTGACTCTGAAGAAGATGGCAAGCCCTGTTCCAGTCACACCCGGAAGCTGACTGGTCCACGCGCGGCCAAAGCATGAGGAAACTCATCGCGGGACTCATTTTCCTTAAAATCTGGACTTGTACAGTAAGGACTTCAACTGACCTTCTTCAGACTGAGGGCTGTTCCCAGTATATACATCAGGTCACTGAGGTAGGACAAAAGAGTGCTACAGCCCTATTATTTTATAGTTTTTATGAATGCCTAGGAACTCCAAAAGGAACCTGTTCGTACAATAACATTCAGTACAAAGTATGTAATCCAGGAAGTGACCAGTCCGATGTGTGCTATGACCCCTCTGAACCTCCCATGATCACAGTCTTTGAAGTAAGACTAAGGACTGGTCCTTTTCTAGGTGACACAAGTGAAGTAATAGCTAGGACAGAAGAAAGAGGGGTCCCCAAAAATGTAACCTTAAAATTTGACGCCTGTGCCGCTATTAATAGTAAACAGCATGGGATAGGATGCGGTTCTCTAGATTGGGAAAAAAGTTACACAGCAGAAAATAAGTACATTTGTCAAAAATCATATTTATGTGAGATGTGTCAATACTGGTCTTGTGTCATTTGGGCTACTTGGAAAGAAGATTTAAAAAGATCCTGTTTGGCTCCAAAAAGGAAAAATCAGCCCCTCCTGCATGAGTGGGAGCTGCAACCCTTTAGAATTGATAATCACAAACCCCTCAGACCCAAAGTAGAATAAAGGAAAATATGTAACATTAGGCATTGATGGAAAAGGACTAGATCCTAGTGTAAGCATCCTAATAAAAGGAGAGGTTCAAAGACGCTCTCCAGAACCAGTATTTCAGACTTTCTATGATAAATTAAATGTGCCAGTATCTGAGATTCCAGGAAAAACTAAAAATTTGTTTTTGAAATTAGCCGAGCATGTAGCCCAGTCTCTAAATGTCACTTCATGTTATGTTTGTAGAAGAACCGTAACAGGAGATCAATGGCCATGGGAAGCCCGAGAATTAGTTCCCACAGGCCCAGTTCCTGATGAATTCCCAGCCCAAAAGAACCACCCTGACAATTTTTGGGTTCTGAAAGTCTCAATTATTGGACAGTATTGCATAGCTAGAGAAGGAAAAGGATTCACTCATCCTGTAAGACGGCTTAGTTGTCTTAGGCAAAAGCTGTATAATGGTACCACAAAAACAGTTACATGGTGGAATTCCAATTACACAGAAAGAAATCCATTCAGTAAATTTCCAAAGTTGCAGACTGTTTGGGCCCACCCAGAATTCCACTGGGACTGGATGGCCCCCACCAGGTTATACTGGATATGTGGACACAGAGCTTATGCTAAGCTGCCTGATCAGTGGACAGGTAGCTGTGTAATTAGCACCATTAAGCCATCTTTCTTCTTACTGCCCATAAAAACAGGTGAACTTCTAGGCTTCCCAGTCTATGCTTCCCACGAAAAACGAAGCATAGCCATAGGTGATTAGAAAAATAATGAATGGCCCCCTGAAAGAATCGTACAATACTATAGACCCGCCACTTAGGCACAAGATGGCTCATGAGGATATCGAACCCCCATCTGCATGCTCAACCGAATCACACGGTTGCAAGCTGTTTTAGAAATTATTACTAATAAAACCAGTCAAGCCTTGACTGTTCTTGCCTGGCAAGAGACTCTGATGAGAAATGCGATCTATCAAAATAGACTAGCTCTTGACTACTTGCTAGCAGCTGAAGGAGGAATTTGTAGAAAATTTAACCTTATTGGCTGGGCGCGGTGGCTCACGCCTGTAATCCCAGCACTTTGGGAGGCCGAGGTGGGCAGATCACGAGGTCAGGAGATCAAGACCATCCTGGCTAACACAGTGAAACCCCGTCTCTTAAAAAAAAAAAAAAAAAAAGAAAATTTAACTTTACTAATTGTTGTCTACACATAGATGATCAGGGGCAAGTAGTTGAGGACATAGTTAAAGACATAACAAAACTGGCACATGTACCCGTGCAAGTGTAGCACGGATTCAACCCTGAAGCCATGTTTAGAAGGTGGTTCCCAGCACTAGGAAGATTTAAAACTCTTATAATAGGAGTTATAATAGCAATAAAAACCTGCTTACTGCTCCCTTGTTTGCTACCTGTACTTCTTTAAATGATAAAAAGCTTCATTGCTACCTTAGTTCACCAAAATGCTTCAGCACAAGTGTACTATATGAATCACTATCTATCTGTTGCACAAAAAGACATAAGTAGCAAAAATAAGAGTGAGTACTCCCACTAATAAAAAGTGAGAGTCTCAAAGGGGGAAAATGAGGGAAGAGAGAGACCCTCTCATATTGTTTTATATTGTTTTATACTCAGTACCTGTTTTTTAAAAAAAAAAAAAAGGAAATGAAACAAAGACAGGCAGCCCAGCGCCAGGCCCAAAACCGGACCTGGGCCTGCCTGGCCTAAACCTAGTAGTTAAAAATCAACTTATGACTTAGAAACCGATGTTATTCATAGATTCCAGACATTGTATAGAAGAACATTGTGAAACTGCCTACCCTGTTCTGTTTCTCTCTGACGACCGGTGCATGCAGCCCTTGTCACGTACCCCTTGCTTGCTCAAATCAATCATGACCCTTTCATGTGAAATCTTCAGTGTTGTGAGCCCTTAAAAGGGACAGAAATTGTGCATTTGGGGAGCTCGGATTTTAAGGCAGTAGTTTGCCGATGCTCCCAGCTGAATAAAGCCCCTCCTTCTACAACTCGGTGTCTGAGAGGTTTTTTCTGCGGCTCGTCCTGCTACAGTGTGACCTCAGCCAAGTTTTATTCATTCATTCATTCACTTGGTGATTTTTTTTTTTTTTTTTTGAGATAGAATCTCACTCTATTGCCCAGGGTGGAGTGCAGTGGCACAATCTCGGCTCACTGCAACCTCCGCCGAGGTTGAAGCGATTCTCCTGCCTCAGTGTCCCGTGTAGCTGGGAGGCGCGTGCCACCATGCCTGGCTAATTTTTTTAATTAATTTTTTTATTTTATTTTATTTTTCCAAGATGGAGTCTCCCTCTGTTACCCAGGCTGGAATGCAGTGGCACAATCTTGGCTCACTGCAAGCTCCGCCTCCCAGGTTCACACCATTCTCCTGCCTCAGCCTCCCGAGTAGCTGGGACTACAGGCGCCAGCCACCATGCCTGGCTAATGTTTTGCATTTTTAGTAGAGACGGGGTTTCACCGTGTTAGCCAGGATGGTCTCAATCTCCTGACCTCGTGAATGTCACATGCGTCTGTGTGAAGAGACCACCAAACAGACTTTGTGTGAGCAACAAGGCTGTTTATTTCACCTGGGTGCAGGCGGGCTGAGTCCGAAAAGAGAGTCAGCAAAGTGTGGTGGGATTATCATTAGTTCTTACAGGTTTTGGGATAGCTGGAGTTTGGAGCAATGTTTTCTGGGCAGGGGGTGGATCTCACAAAGTACATTCTTGAGGGTGGGGAGAATTACAAAGAACCTTCTTAAGCATAGGGGAGATTACAAAGTACATTGATCAGTTAGGGTGGGCAGAAACAAATCACAATGGTGGAATGTCATCAGTTAAGGCTATTTTCACTTCTTTTGTGGATCTTCAGTTGCTTCAGGCCATCTGGATGTATATGTGCAGGTCACAGTGGATATGATGGCTTAGCTTGGGCTCAGAGGCCTGATGGTGATCCGCCCACCTTGGCCTCCCAAAGTGCTGGGATTACAGGCCTGAGCCACTGCGCCCAGCCTGTTTTTTTTTTTTGTTTGTTTGTTTTTTAGTAGAGACAGGGTTTCACTGTGTTAGCCAGGATAGTCTCGCTCTCCTGACCTCGTGTTCTGCCCGCCTTGGCCTCCCAAAGTGCTGGGATTACAGGTGTGAGCCACCGCGCCCGGCCCACTTGGTGATTATTTCAAGAATGCTGGCCATCTTTTATGTACCAGGCATTTATACAGCAGTAGGGGGGAAAAAAGACAAAATTCCAGCTCTCTTGGGATGCTCACATTCTAATAGGGAAAACAGAAAACAAAATACATATATAATACCATGTCAGGAAGCACTAAGTGCTGTAAATAACAATCAAGGAGGCAGTGACTTGAAGGTTGGAGGATGGAGGGGTGCTGTATCAAAATAGGATGGCCTGAGGAGGTGACGTGTGGACAGAAACCCAGGGGAAGTGAGGCTTAAGAAGTGTGATTGTCTGTGATATTCAGGTGGGGCGAGTTCCAGGCAAGAGCAAAGGCCCTGGGGTGCTTCAAGAAGAGCAAAGAGTCCAGGAAGATGGAGCTGACTGAGTGAGGGAGCAAGTGGTGCGTGATGAGGGCAGGAAGGAGGAGGAGCCTGATCACGTATGACCTTGGAGACCATTATGGAGATTGCCGTTTTTATTCTAAGTGTGTTGGGAAGTCATGGGAGATTTCTGAGCAAGTGAATAACATGATATAAATGTTTTTTAGGCCTGGCTCATGCCTGTAATCCCAGCACTTTGGGAGGCCAAGCAGGTAGGTCACCTGGGGTCGGGAGTTCAAGACCAGCCTGACCAACATGGAGAAGCCCCGTCTCTACTAAAAATACAAAAAATTAGCCGGGCCTGGGGCAGGTGCTGTAATCCCAGCTACTCAGGAGGCTGAGGCAGGAGAATCACTTGAACCTGGGAGGTACAGGTTGCAGTGAGCCGAGATCGTGCCATTGCACTCCAGCCTGGCAACAAGAGGGAAACTCCGTCTCAAAAAAAAAAAGTTTTAAAAAATACATGTTACTTATTTATTTACTTTTATTTTATTATTACTTTTGAGATGGAATATTGATCTGTTGCCCAGACTGGAATGCAGTGGCACGATCTCGGTTCACTGCAACCTCTGCCTCAGCCTCCCGAGTAGCTGGGATTATAGGCGCCCGCCACCATGTCTGGTTAATTTTTTATATTTTTAGTAGAGACGGGGTTTCACCATCTTGGCCAGGCTGGTCTTGAACTCCTGATCTCGTGACCCACCCGCCTTGGCCTCCCAAAGTGCTGGGATTACAGGCATGAGTTACTGTGCCTGGCCTTATTTATTTTTAAAGGCAGGGTCTCACTTTGTTGCCCAGGCTGACCTCCAGCTCCTGGACAGAAGTGATCCTCCTGTTTCAGCTTCCCAAGTAGCTGGACTACAGGTGATCCACTGCATCTGCCTTAATATAATATGTATATCTATCTATCTATATATACACACACATAGATATAGATAGATATATATAGATATATTTTTTGAGAGGGAGTCTCGCTGTATCACCCAGGCTGGAGTGCAGTGGCATGATCTTGGCTCACTGCAACCTCTGCCTCCCAGGTTCGAGCGATTCTTATGCCTTAGCCTCCCAAGTAGCTGGGACTGTAGATGAGTGTCACCATGCCTGGGTAATTTTTTTTTTTTGTATTTTTAGTAGAGATGGGGTTTTGTCATGTTGGCCAGGCTGGTCTCTAGTTCCTGATGTCAGGTAATCCACCTGCCTTGGCCTCCCGAATTGGTGGGAGCTACTGCGCCTGGGAGATATACATTTTTTCTTAATGGTTTTTTGACAGCTTTATTGAGGCATAATTGACACAGAATAAACTGCACAAGCCTGGGCGAAAAAGCGAGACTTCATCTCCAAAAAAAAAAAAAAAAGTTTAATAATTTTACTTTTTTTCTTTTTTTTTTGAGACGGAGTCTCGCTCTTGTCGCCCAGGCTGGAGTGTAATGGCTCCATCTTAGCTCACTTCAACCTCCGCTTCCCAGGTTCAAACGATTCTCCTGCCTCAGCCTCCCAAGTAGCTGGGATTACAGGCGCCTGCCACCACGCCCAGCTAATTTTTGTATTTTTAGTAGAAACGGGTTTTCACCATGTTGGCTAGGCTGGACTTGAAATCCTGACCTCAGGTTATCTGCCCCCTCGGACTCCCAAAGTGCTGGAATTACAGGTGGGAGCCACCGCGCCCAGCATAATTATTAAGCTTTTAAAGCGTAAACAAACGGCCGGGCGCGGTGGCTCGTGCCTGTAATCCCAGCACTTTGGGAGGCCGAGGCGGGTGGATCACGAGGTCAGGAAATCGAGACCATCCTGCCCAACATGGGGAAACCCTGTCTCTACTAAAAATACAAAAAATTAGCCGGGCGTGGTGGCGGGCGCCTGTAATCCCAGCTACTTGGGAGGCTGAGGCAGGAGAATGGCGTGAACCCGGGAGCGGGAGCTTGCAGTGAGCTGAGATGGCGCCACTGCACTCCAGCCTGGGCGACAGAGCAGCTCCGTCTCAAGAAAAAAAAAAAAAAGCATAAACTACAAAAAAAAAAATTGACTCTTAGACTTCATAAAAATTAAAAAACTTTTAGCAGGCTGGCTGGCGTGTGGAGACCAGACTGTCGGGAGCAACAGCAGGATCTGGGAGATAAGAGACTATTGCTATCATCTGGGTCAACGATTAGGGTAACATCAGTGGAAGGGGTAAGAAACAGTCAGATTATTGATACATTTTAAAGGTAGAGCACACAGGAGTTGCTGATGGCTTGGACATGTGATGTTAGAGAAAGAGAGGAGTCCAGGACCACAGGCATGCGCCCCCACGACCTGCTAAAGTAGTACTTACTTTTTATTTTATTTTATTTTTTTGAGACAGAGTCTCGTTCTGTTGCCCAGGCTAGAGTGCAGTGACGCGATCTCGGCTCTCTGCAAGCTCCGCCTCCCGGGTTCACGCCATTCTCCTGCCTCAGCCTCCCGGGTAGCTGGGACTACAGGCGCCCGCGACCACGCCCGGCTAATTTTTTTTTGTATTTTTTTTTAGTAGAGACCGGGTTTCGCCGTGTTAGCCAGGATGGTCTCGATCTCCTGACCTCGTGATCCACCCGCCTTGGCCTCCCAAAGTGCTGGGATTACAGGCGTGAGTAACCGCACCCGGCAGTAGTACCTACTTTTTAAAGTGTAAGCAAGGAAAGTTGGCCCGCACCTGTAGTCCCATCTACCTGGGAGGCTGAGGTGGAAGAATTGCTTGAGCCCAGTTGGTCGAGGCTGCAATGAGCCTTGATCACGCCACTGCACTCCAGCCTGGGCAACAGAACAAGACCCTGTCTCAAACAAAAAAGTGTATGTAAGAATAAAAATTAATAGATTAGGCACAGGATGGGTGTTTAATTCTCGGCAATCACCACTAAGTTTTCATACTGAGGCTTATTCATTCCATGGGCAAAACATTGCGCTATGTGTGGTGCCTGGGGTGGGCTCCAAATTCCAGTCCTCTCCTCGCTTGCGATAGCTGTGTGATCCATTCCTAAGTTTCCTTATTTGTCCACAGAGCGTACACAGGGTTTTTATGAAAACTAGATCAGATAATCAGACACAGTTAAAATAGCACGCGCTCAGTAAAATTACATATTAGTGGAAGAGACAAGCCTTGAATAAATCGCCTTTCGGGGAGTATGACCCCCTCCCCGAAACCCACTCAGGCGCTGCTCGCTCGCACGCCCACTGAGCTCGGAGCGGAGCCCGAGCCCTTTCCCAGCACACAGGGTTCATTTCCAGACTGAAAGACATCCCAGAGACAACTCCAGAGGCCAAGGCGGGTCGGCTTCCTGCGTGGGCCCAGCGCCGGGCACTGAAAGGTGAAGGCGCTTCTTCCGCTCGGAGGAAAGCCTCTGGCGGTTCTCGCTTCGCGGGCTCGGGATGGACACGCGCGTAGGGCTGGGGAGGTGACGCGCGGACAACGCCGGGGCGAGCAAACTAC
The DNA here is from genome assembly GCF_000001405.40 of Homo sapiens. NCBI lineage: Eukaryota > Metazoa > Chordata > Mammalia > Primates > Hominidae > Homo > Homo sapiens. Next base: position 28,581,967 of record NC_000001.11, on the reverse strand, counting down.
AACTCCCAGGCAGCTGTGCGCCACGCGGGCGGCCTACTGTCGGGTGTGGCCGCGAGGGGCGGCCTATATAAGCTCTTGCTCGCGGCTTCAGCGCCCTTTCTCCCCGCCGCATTCCCGGTGTCGACTTACTAGCTGCAAGCCTCTGCCTGCCTTCCTGCGCGCCGTTCCCCGCTAGTCGCTGCTGCTGGCGCGCACTCGCCGGGTTTTTCCTCCCACGGCCTCGAGATGGTGGTGAATGTGGCACGGAGGAGCCGGGCCTTCCAACCCGGTGGGCCCGAGCTCCGAAAGGCCCCCTCGGCAGTGAGAGGGGCGGGAGCCCGCGGGGGCCGCGCCCTTCTCTCGCTTCGGACTGCGCAACGCTGCGCTCTGGGCTGACAGGTGAGTGTTGCAGGCAGGCGGCCGGGTTTACGGAAGGGGTGGGGGTTTGGGAACCGGTCTCCTGGGGGATGCGGGGATGAATCCCTGGGCCTGAAGTGTCTTAATTCAGGGGGAGGCCGCATGCTGGTGTCAGGATGGCCTCCAGTTGAATCTGTGACATTTACCAGCTAGGTGATTTTGGGACTGGTGACTACGCGCGAGACCTCTGGAGGTCGCCCTGGTAGACACGGTTTTCAGAAGGACGGGTTTTAGGCATTCAGACCCTTGCGTGCATCCCAGCTTGTTGCTTTCAGCCTCGCTAAGTGACTAAGCGACCTTCAGGAAGTAACTTAATCGGTCTAAACCTCTTACCTGTAATAGGCGGATAAAACGGTCCCATCAAGACTGAGAAAAAGCACACCAGCTATTGGCACAGCGTGGGCAGTGGGGCCTACAGGATGACTGACTTAGTCTACAGAGATCCCGGCGTACTTAAGCAGGTAGTAATGATGGACAGGTGAGGCTTTAGGCGGCCGCCCTGGGATCTGAATTGCCCCTTGGCCCTTATCGAAGCTGCAGCTGCTTCCGCATAGCTGCTGTGGTCAAAAAGGAGCCCAGAGTGACAGTTTTCCTTGACGGTCGCCGTTCTGTTTGTTGTAACTGATCTGCAACATTTTGGGAAAATACAGTTCCATTGTACCTGCCACCTTTCAGCTGTAGCCAGAGACCTTTATCAAAATGGGCTTGTTTCCACAGAACAGCAGAACGGTTGGGGGTTTGCATGTACAGTTAACCAGCATAAGACTCGTACTGGGAAAATCCAGCTGGGATGTGACACAGCTTAACTGATAGCTTAAGGCATCAGTATTGGGACCAAAGGCTGGTCAGATTTGTATCATTCTGAGGACCAAATGATGGGAACAATAAAATTGTTCATGACAGTTGTTCTCATTTTGCTGTCCAGATGAAGACTCTTAAGATGACAGAAGGTGATTTTTCTGGTGATCGAGGACTTCCGGGGTAATGACAGTGATGAAATGCAGGGGACCTGGTAGGTTTCTTTTGGAGACTAACTGGGGGCTGCCTGGTGGGACAGAACAGCATGTTTCCAAGGGCTGTGGCTGGTCATAGCCATGGGATCTCCAACTGCATGCAAGAGCAACCTGGAAAGACTTTGACAGCGCAGGTCAGTACAATACCTGCAAGCTGCCACTCAGCTTTCCTATAATGTTTCAGGACCAGGGCTGGAAGCCTTCCATGTGTCAACTTCAATGTAGATGGGTTTTTTTTTTTTTTTTTTTTTGAGACGGAGTCTTGCTCTGTCACCCAGGCTGCTGGAGTGCAGTGGCATGATCTCGGCTCATGGCAACCTCTGCCTCCTGGGTTCAAGCGACTCTCCTACCTCATCCTCCCGAGTAGCTGGGATTACAGGTGCCCACCATCACACCCAGCTAATTTTCTTGTATTTTTAGTAGAGATGGTTTTCACCATGTTGGCTAGATGGGTCTCGAACTTCTGACCTCGGGTGATCCGCCCGACTCGGCCTCCCCTTCCAAAGTGCTGGGATTACAGGCATGAGCCACCGCTCCTGGCCAGTTTAGTTTTCACGCTAAGCTTTTTGTTCTGCAGGTTGCCCCCAAGTTTCCTGGCAGTGTGTGATACTGAGGAGGTGAGCTTGTTTCTGGAGCTGTGCTTTAAGGTAAAGTTGATCAGCTTAATCCTCCTGATCCCTTTCCCATCGGATCTGAACACTGGTCTTGGTGGTCGTAAAAGGAGGAAAAGTAATAGTGAAGCTGGCCTAAATGTTGTAATCTGGTATATGGCATGTGGGCTAGTTTCAGACAGGTTTCAGAGATGGTTGGATCTCTGAAATTGTAAAATGAAGTATAATCTTAGGCTAAGGGAAGGATGCGTGTGAAGCTCTGGAGGTTGGTATAGTAATAGCTGACCTATTACTGCATTTGGGAGGGATCTGTCATAGCTTCCTTGCCTCTTAATTAAGGGTGGTGTTTTTTTCTTTTAGATTCATGTTACATGTAAAGCTGTCCTCATTTGTGACTATGGACCTATGGAGTTGGGTAAGTTAGTGACTACCCAAAGCTTTGTCACAACTTGGTGTGTAGCTGCAGGTAGTGCTCAACTATCTGGGATCCTGTCCTAAGTAGTCAACCTAATAGAACTATAAGGTTACTTAGGTCTGTGTCAAAGTTACAGCTTTTTTTTTTTTTTTTTTTGAGACAGGGTCTTTCTGTCACCCAGGCTGGAGTGCAGTGGCACAATCTTGGCTAATTGCCTCCCAGGTTCAAGTGATTCTCCTGCCTCAGCCTCCTGAGTAGCTGGGACTATAAGCACGCACCACTATGTCTGGCTAATTTTTGTATTTTTAGTAGAGACAGGGTTTCACCACGTTGCCCAGGGCAGTCTTGAACTCCTGACCCCAAGTGATCTGCCTGCCTTGGCCTACCAAAGTGCTAGGATTACAGGCATGAACCACTGTGCCGGGCCAGAAAGTCTTAGCATCTTAGTAACATTTACATTTGGCCTCCCTCGTGTGCCCTTAGCTATTCATTACCAGAGGGCAAAGATGGTTAGAACATGATTTACCCACCCTAAAATGCATTGAAGGCATCAGAGGGCACCGTGGGCCACAAGGCCTGGTAGCCACAAATGTTCAGTGGTGGCTGGAGCTCATGATGCATTCTTTGGTGGGACGTCTCTCAGCATTAGGGAGAGTTGAGAGTGGGGTAGAAACAAGGGGTTCCATGTAGCACACACTGTATTTAGAATGACTGGTCCAGGATGAAACCTAATTTGAGTGGACATCCATGGATGAGAAATGCGGATATGGGACTGAGACCAGCTCCTAGGAAAATGTCTGGGTGGGGGAAATCTGGGAATTAGTAACACAATGGCTTACACTTCCTTTGCAGGACAATCTCTATGGGAAGCAGAAGGCAAGGACCCCGGTCATTTTAGGTAGAAACAACAGCATGCTAATGCAAAAAATTATGCAGTGTGCTACTGAACTTCAGAGGTGATCAATAAAAGAAGAATAAAAAGACTAATAAAAGTATATTTGTGTTTGTATTTTTTTGTAGAGACCGAACTGGTCTCTTCCCGAGCTCAAGCAATCCATCTCCCAAAGTGAGCCACCATGCCCAGCCCTTAAAGAGATCTTTGGAGATTTTTTATGATGTAGGATGAATGCTTTGCCTCAAGCAGTAAGTCCCAACACATGACAAGGTTGGACAGTTTCCCCATTTACTTGGGAAACACGGAAGTGAGCAGTATAAAGTTCACACGGAGGGTCTGCTTTGGCTTTGAGCTATCTTCCTTAATCCTTTCTGAGCTGCCTTCTCCCGTGTCAAAATATTGATCCTAAAGTGATCCAGGCCTTGTATATGCAGATGCTGCAACTCATGAAAATAGATGAAACCCATTATTAGAGCAAGTACTAATTCTTAGGCCAACTGGCCTGTTCCATCACACCCCACCACATTCTACCTTCTGGGGCGTGCTCCTACCACACCTGCTAGAGTGCCTTTTCTACCTAGCTGCCAGACTTGCACCAAGTTAGGACTCAAATATGGCAGGTCCTACAAATACTCCAGAGAACCCTGATTTACATACCTACCTGTCAACTGAGAAACCTTGAACTCAGGCTTTAGTGTGTGAATTATCCCAAGCTGCTCATCCCAGTTTTGGATAATCCCAAACTGTCCTATGTGGATAACTACCTGGACAAAGGATTCCTGTGAAGGAAACCAATTTGAACCTTGTTTAAAAGTTGTTCCCTTGGTCTTCAAACTCAAATGGTCAAATGAATGCAGCAGTGTTGTAGAAACATTCATGATCTCCAAAAACAGTCATTATTAAAATCTTACAAATCATATTTCCAAAAAGGTTTCACAATTTTTAAAAAGGAGTCTCTCATCTCCCTCACATCATGCAACCTGGCTTGTCCTTTGGCCTGGCTACATCATGGCAGGGATCTCTGAAGACACTGTGTCCAGGGGCTGCCAGTGACAGTCCATCAGAGCGTCATACAGCTCCTCACTCTGTTCCATGAACTCCTTGTTGGCCTCAGTCACATCCAGCTGTGGCATGGGGTCTGGAAAGCAAGCAAGGATGGGGTCAGGGAAGTCTAGGGACAGCTGCAAGGGACCTGGTTCAGTTCCCTTCTCCCAGAACTCTGTTCTATGGTAAGGTCCCTATCCTGCCAGTTTCTTTCAGGAAGTGAAAGCACTGCCTTGCAGGGTTCTGGGGAAGATGAAAATAGAATAATGTATCTAGAGAATGGGAAAATGGCAGCTGTTAGCCTGCATCTATTAAAAGCTACACCTGTGTCTCTAGCCATCATGTATCCTAGATTTTCTGGTCTGGTCCTCACTTCAAATTTGGGTTTAGAAGGTCTGATCAAAGTTATTAAGTCCAGAGCATCATCTCAAGAACTGACAATAAGTGCATAGTGGAAGAACTTCAGTCAAATATAGGAGCTGAAAGGCCAAGTCCTGTATGTATGTATGTGTGTGTGTATGTACTTTAGAGAAAGGGTCTTGCTCTGTCACACAGGCTAGAGTACAGTGGCACACTTACAGCTCACAGCAGCCTTGAACTCTTAGGTTAAAGTGATCCTCCCGCCTTAGCCTCCCAAAGTACTGAGATTACAGGCATGAGTCCCTGTCCCTGGTGGTAAAATACTATTAAAAATTTTTTCTGCACAGTGGCTCATGCCCATAATCCCAGCACTTCAGCAGGTCGAGGCGGGCAGATCACCAGAAGTCGGGAGTTCAAGACCAGCCTGACCAACATGGAGAAATCCCATCTCTACTAAAAATACAAAATGAGCCGGGCATGGTGGCACATGCCTATAATCCCAACTACTCGGGAGGCTGAGGCAGGAGAATTGCTTGAACCCAGGAGGTGGAGGTTGCGGTGAGCCGAGATGGCACCACTGCATTCCAGCCTGGGCAACAAGAGCAAAACCCCGTCTCGGCCGGGCGCGGTGGCTCACGCCTGTAATCCCAGCACTTTGGGAGGCCAAGGCAGGCAGATCACAAGGTCAAGAGATCGAGACCATCCTGGCCAACATGGTGAAACCCCGTCTCCACTAAAAATAGAAAAATTAGCTGGGCGTGGTGGCAGGCACCTGTAGTCCCAGCTACTCGGGAGGCTGAGGCAGGAGAATCGCTTGAACCCGGGAGGCGGAGGTTGCAGTGAGCCGAGATCACGCCATTGCACTCCAGCCTGGGCAACAGAGCAAGATGCCATCTCAAAAAAAAAAAAAAAATTAGCTGGGCATGGTGACCTGTGTCTGTAGTGCCAGCTACTAGGGAGGCTGAGGCAGGAGGATCACTTGAGCCTAGGAGGTCGAGGCTGCAGTGAGGCATGTTCACATCACTGATCTCAAGTCTGGGCAACAAAGTGAGACTCTGTCTCAAAAAAAAAAAAAAACTGGGCACTGTGGCTCATGCCTGTAAACCCAGCACTTTGGGAGGCCGAGGTGGGCAGATCACAAGGTCAAGGGATTGAGACCATCCTGGGCAACATGGTGAAACCCTGTCTCTACTCAAATACAAAAAATTAGCCGGGTATGGCAGTGCACGCCTGTAGTCCCAGCTACTCGGGAGGCTGAGGCAGGAGAATCACCTGAACCCGGGAGGCAGAGGTTGCAGTGAACAGAGATGGCACCACTGCACTCCAGCCTGGCGACAGAGCAAAGACTCTATCTCAAAAAAAAAAAAAAAAAAAAAAGCCAGGCGCAGTGGCTCAAGCCTGTAATCCCAGCACTTTGGGAGGCCAAGGTGGGCGGACCACCTGAGGTCAGAAGTTTGAGACCAGCCTGACCAACATAGAAACCCCATCTTTATGGGGTTAGAAAAATAGAAATAGAAAATTAGCTGGGCATGCGAGATTGCGCCACTGCACTCCAGCCTGGGCGACAGAGCAAGACTCCGTCTCAAAAAAAGAAAAAAAGAAAATTAGCTGGGCATGATGGCGCATGCCTGTAATCCCAGCTACTCGGGAGGCTGAGGCAGAAGAATCACTTGAACCCGGGAGGCGGAGGTTGCAGTGAGCTGAGATCGCGCCACTGCACTCCAGCCTGGGCAACAAGAGTGAGACACCGTCTCAAAAAAAAAAAAAACAAAAAAAAACATTGGGCCTGGCGCAGTGGTTCACACCTGTAATCCCAGCATTGGGAGGCAGAGGCGGGCGGATCATGAGGTCAAAAGATAGAGACCATCATGGCCAACATGGTGAAACCCCATCTTTACTAAAAATACAAAAATTAGCTGGGCGTGGTGGCGCGCATCTGTAGTCCCAGCTATTCAGGAGGATGAGGCAGGGGAATCGCTTGAACCTGTGAGGCAGAGGTTACAGTGGGTCGAGATCGTGCCACTGAACTCCAGCCTGGTGACAGAGCAAGACTCTCAAGAAAAAGAAAACAAAAAAAGGATTAAAAAGAGATTGGAAAATTCTAAGGACTTATCTACAGATATTATGAGGCTAATTATCTCTAGAAAGAAGGCAATGTCTCCCAGGGGGAAACAACTAGAGACTTGAATATAAAAAGACCGGACTGTCCTGACTTTGCCCCACACTGTGTGACCCTCAGCAGATCACTTGGGCTTTCCGAGCCACTAGTTTCCCATCTGTGAAATGGAGCTCCTGTGTCCTTCCCAGCCCACCCCACAAGGTCACTACAGTTGGCATCACATGAGAGGACACAAGAAAGTGCTTTAAAATGTTATGAACTAGACAAGTTTGTTCATGCCCTAAAAGGGATCTGTTTCCTTTAACGAACATTTTCTTGACAGAAAACATTTTCCCTATGACTTTCTCTTGAAGACGAATCCTCAAAACAGATTTCAAACTTTGAGTCTTTTTGTACCTCAAAAAAAGTTTTGGCCAGGAGCAGTGGCTCATGCCTATAATGCCAGCACTTTGGAAGGCCGAGATGGGCAGATCACTTGAACCTAGGAGTTCAAGACCAGCCTGGGCAACATGGTGAAACCCTGCCTCTACAAAAAAATAGAAAAAAATAGCCAGTTATGGTGGGGCACAACTGTAGTCACAGCTCACTGAAGCCTCAACCTCCTGGGCCCAAGCAATCCTCCTGCCTCAGCCTCCCCCAAGTAGCTGGAACCACAGGCCACCATGCTTGGCTTTCAGTTTTTCTTTCCTTTTTCTTCTGTGAAATTCAGTGAAAATTATAAATACTTGGCCGGGCACAGTGGCTCATGCCTGTAATCAAAGCACTTTGGGAGGCTGAGGCGGGAGGATTACTTGAGGTAAGGAGTTCGAAACCAGCCTGGCCAACATGCTGAAACCCTGTCTCTACTAAAAATACAAAAATTAGCCGAGCGTGGTGGTGCATGCCTGTAATCCCAGCTACTCAGGAGGCTGAGGCAGGAGAATCACTTGAACCTGGGAGGCAGAGGTTGCAATGAGCTGAGATTGGAGACTGCACCACTGCACTCCAGCCTGGGTGACAGAGCAAGACTCCGTCTCCCAAAAAAAAAAAAAAAAAAAGAGATGGGGTCTCGTTATGTTGCCCAGGCTGGTCTCAAAGTTCTAGGCTCAAGCCATCCTCCAACCCACGTTGGCCTTCCAAAGACCTTACAGGCTTTAGCCACCGTGCCTAGACAGTAAATACTGTTGTTTTTTTTTTTGAGACGGAGTTTCACTCTCGTCACCCAGGATGGACTGCAATGGAGCATTCTTGGCTCACCGAAACCTCCATCTCCCGGGTTCAAGTGAGTCTCCTGCTTCAGCCTCCCAAGGAGCTGGAATTACAGGCATGGGCCACCATGCCTGGATAATTTTTTTTTTTTTTTGAGACAGAGTCTTGCACTGTTGCCCAGGCTGGAGTACAGTGGTATGATCTCGACTCACTGCAACTTCCGCCTCCCGGGTTCAAGTGATTCTCCTGCCTCAGCCTCCTGAGGAGGTGAGATTATAGGCGCGCAACACCACGCCTGGCTAATTTTTTTATTTTTAGTACCGGCAGAATTTCACCATGTTGGCCAGGCTGGTCTAGAACTTCCGACCTTAGGTGATCCTCCCGCCGTGGCTTCCCAAAGTGCTGGGAGTACAGGGGTGAGCCACCGCGCCTGGCAATTTTTTTATTTTTAGTAGAGACGGGGTTTCACCATGTTGGCCAAGATGGTCTCGATCTCTTAACCTCATGATTCACCCTCCTTGGCCTCCCAAAGGGCTGGGATTACAGGGGTGAGCCACCGTGCAAGGCTTAAATATTTTTAATTAAAAAATTAATAATGGGCTGGGCACGGTGGCTCACCCCTGTAATCCCAGCACTTTGGGAGGCGAGGCAGGCGGATCACGAGGTCGAGTTTGAGACTAGCCTGGCCAAGATGGTGAAACCCCGTCTCTACTAAGAATACAAAAATTAGCTGGGCGTGGTGGCATGTGCCTGAAATCCCAGCTCTTCGGGAGGCTGAGGCAGGAGAATCACTTGCACCCGGGAGGCGGGCTTGCAGTGAGATGAGATTGCGCCACTGCATTCCAGTCTGGGTGACACAGCAAGACTCTGCCTCAAAAAAAAAAAAAAAAGAAAAAGAAAAAATTAATAATGGCTATTACTATGTTGTAATAGGATATGGGGTGATTTTCAGTTTCATTATACTTTACTATATTTTCTTTTTCTTTTTTTTTGAGACGGAGTCTCGCTCTGTCTCCCAGGCTGGAGCCCATTGGTGCGATCTCGGCTCACTGCAAGCTCTGCCTCCCGGGTTCACGCCATTCTCCTGCCTCAGCCTCCCGAGTAGCTGGGACTACAGGCGCCCATCACCACACCCGGCTAATTTTTTCTATTTTTTAGTAGAGACGGGGTTTCACCGTGTTAGCCAGGATGGTCTCGATTTCCTGACCTCACAATCCACCTGCCTCGGCCTCCCAAAGTGCTGGGATTAGAGGCGTGAGCCACCATGCCTGGCCCATACTTTACTATATTTTCCAAATTTTCCATCCTAACGATGACTTAAAAATCAGGAAAATATGTCTTTTAAAATATATTGAAAAACAGAAAAAAAATAAAATAAATAAAAAATGAATTTTACAAACAGTCAAACAAATAAAAGGTAACAGTATTATCGGCCAGGCACAGTGGCTCATGCCTGTAATCCCAGCACTTTGGGAGGCTGAGGCGGGCGGATCACCTAAGGCTGAGAGTTTGAGACCGGCCAAGCCAACATGGAGAAACCCTGTCTCTACTAAAAATACAAAATAATTAGCTGGGCATGGTGGTGCATGCCCGTAATCCCAGCTACTCGGGAGGCTGAGGCAGGAGAATTGCTTGAACCTGGCAGGTGGAGGTTGCGGTGAACTGAGATCATGCCATTGCACTCCAGCCTGGCCAACAAGAGTGAAACTCCACCACACACACACACAAAAAAAGGGTAACAGTATTATCGTTAGAGGCCCACATACCAGGATAGAATGCCACATGTCAAGGGGGTGATGGGCTCTCCTGGAGCTGCCTGTCCCAGGCTCTCTGGGATCTACACTTACACCTCTGGGTAACACCCGACACATCTTACCATAATTACATATTTGTCTGGCTCTCTAACCAGAATGTAAGTTCTTCCAGAGCAGAATTTATCTTGTCTTCCCTCTAGCTGAGAGCACAGTGCCAGCCACAGCAGTCACCTGATAATGGCTGACAGAGTAAGGAACGTATGAACCCTTACCTTCCAATGCATCATCTCCAACTTCTTCATATGTCTGCCAAGAGACCAGAGATGTGGGTTAGGGGCATGGTGAAATCCTGGCCCAGGACCACAGTGGCTTATATTTTTTATTTTTTTTGAGGTGGAGTCTAGCTCTGTCACCCAGACTAGAGTGTAGTGGCGTGATCTCGGCTCACTGCAACACCCGCATCCCAGTTTCAAGAGATTCTCCTGCCTCAGTCTCCTGAGCAGCTGGGATTATAGGCGCCTGCCACTATGCCCAGCTAATTTTTTGTATTTTTAGTAGATACAGGGTTTCACCATGTTGGCCAGGCTGGTTTTGAACTCCTGACCTCAGGTGATCTACCTGCCTCGGCCTCTCAAAGTGCTAGGATTACAGGTGTGAGCCACTGGGCCCTACCCACAATGGCTTATTTTTAACAAGAGGAACTGGACTGCTTCAACTTTCCCTATTTTTTCTGAAGCCCAAGCCCCTGTCCTTACCAATCCCATCCTAGAGAATGACCTGTTTCTAGAGGAGAAACACAACCCAAGGGGACCAGTCTTGCCAAGTCATGGTTACCTGCATGGTGCTCTGGGTATAGCCATACTGGGGGTAACTGTAGCTGTAGCTGCCTGTGTTCTGGTCATAGCCCCACTGAGCATAGTAGTTCTGGTACTGCTGATAATACTGGTTGTAGCTATAACTGTACATCTGACTATATTCCACTGGCTTTACACGGCTCCTTAAATGAAGACAGAAACAAAAATAAGTGTAAGCAAACATTTCCGTAACACTGCCTATGTGGCCACAGACTATTTTAAGTGCTTTATACCGATTAACTTTTTTTTTTCTTGAGACAGAGTCTTGCTCTGTTGCCTAGGCTGGAGTACAGGGGCGCAATCTCGGCTCACTGCAACCTGCGCCTCCCGGGTTCAAGCGATTCTCCTGCCTCAGCCTCCTGAGTAGCTGGGACTACAGGTGTGTGCCACCACGCCTGGCTAATTTTTTGTATTTTCAGTAGAGACAGGGTTTCACCATGTTAGCCAGGCTGGTCTCGATCTCCTGACCTCGTGATCCGCCTGCCTCAGCCTCCCAAAGTGCTGGGAGCCCGGCCACCAATTAACTCTTTTAATCCTCAAAACAACCATATGCAATAAGTGTATCATTATTCCTATTTTACAGATAAGGAAACTGAGGAACAGAGAGGTTAAGTAATTTGTCCAAAGTCACACAGCTAATATGAGAGTATGGCTCCAGAGACCATGCTTTTAATACAGGAGATTTTAATGGATAGGTTTGTCTCTCTTAACAAACTATGTCAGGACTGGCAAAAGGATATCCTGTTTAAAAAAAAAAACAAAACAAAAAAGGGCTGGGTGCGGTGGCTCACACCTGTAATCCCAACACTTTGGGAGGCGAAGGCAGGTGGGTCACCTGAGGTCAGGAGTTCCAAGACTAGCCTGGACAACATGGTGAAACCCCATCTCTACTAAAAATACAAAAAATTAGCTGGGTGGGATGGCGCGCCCGCAATCCCAGCTGCTTGTGAAGCTGAGGCAGGAGAATCGCTTGAACCTGGGAGACAGAGGTTGCAATGGGCCTAGATTGTGCCACTGGACTCCAGTCTGGGCAATAAAAGTGAAACTCTGTTTCAAAAAAAAAAGAAAAGAGACAGACGTGGTAGCTCACGCCTATAATCCCAGCCACTTGGGAGGCTAAGGAAGGAGAATCGCTTGATCCTGGGAGGCCCAGCTAATTTTTGTACTTTTAGCAGAGATGAGGTTTCACCATGTTGGCCAGGGTGGTCTTGAACTCCTGGCTTCAAGTGATCCACCCAACTCAGCCTCCCAAAGTGTTGGGATTACAGGCGTGAGCCACAGCACCCCGCCTTTTGTTTTCGTTTTTTTTGTTGTTGTTTTGAGAGAGTCTTGCTCTGTCGCCCAGGCTGGAGTGCAGTGGCGCGATCTCGGCTCACTGCAACCTCCGCCTCCTGGGTTCATGCCATTCTCCTGCCTCAGTCTCCCGAGTAGCTGGGACTATAGGCGCCCACCAGCACGCCCGGCTAATTTTTTTTTTTTTTTTTTTTGGTATTTTTAGTAGAGACGGGGTTTCACCATGTTAGCCAGGATGGTCTCAATCTCCTGACCTTGTGATCTGCCCGCCTCGGCCTCCCAAAGTGCTGGGATTACAGGCGTGAGCCACTGCACCTGGCCTTTTTTTTTTTTTGAGATGGAGTCTCACACTGTCACCCAGGCTGGAGTGCAGTGGCACAATCTTGGCTCACTGCAAGCTCTGCCTCCTGGGTTCATGCCATTCTCCGGTCTCAGCCTCTCTGAGTAGCTGGGATTACAGGTGCCCGCCACCACACCTGGCTAATTTTTTGTATTTTTAGTAGAGACGGGGTTTCACCATGTTAGCAAGGATGGTCTCGATCTCCTGACCTTGTGATCCACCCACCTCGGCCTCCCAAAGTGCTGGGATTACAGGCATGAGCCACCACGCCCAGCCTATTTTGTTTTTTAAGAGACACGGTCTCACTCTGTTGCCTGGGCTAGAGTGCAGTGGAGTTATCATAGCTCATTGTAACCTTGAACTCCTAGGCTCAATCAATTCTCCCACTTCAGCCACCAGAGCAGCTGGGACTAGAGGAGTACACCAAGCCCAGCTAATTTAATGTTTTTATATAATAATTTATTTACAACAAATAACATTTTTGGGAGAAGTCACTAAGCCTGATCTTCAATGTATTAAACACAGTTAAACCATAAAGAACCCCTAAATCATTGCTTTCAAAAACATGGCTATTTGGCTGGGCGCAGTGGCTCACGCCTGTAATCCCAGCACTTTGAGAGGCCAAGGCAGGCAGATCACCTGAGGTCAGAAGTTCAAGACCAGCCTGATCAACATGTGAAACCCTGTCTCTACTAAAAATACAAAAATTAGCTGGGCTTGGTGGCACATGCCTGTAGTCCCAGCTACTCGGGAGGCTGAGGCAGGAGAATCGCTTGAACCTGGGAGGTGGAAGCTGAAGTGAGTCAAGATCACGCCACTGCATTCCAGCATGGGCAAAAGAGCAAGACACCATCTCAAAAAAAAAAAAAAAATAGTTCAACTACTCTTAGGGTAGAGTTTCTCAGCCCTGGATCTATTGACGTGGAGGGGTGGGTGGCTGTCCGATGAATTGCATGATGTTTAACAGTATCCTTGGCCGATACCCACTAGGTGCCATTAGTACATCCTTGGTTGTGATAACCAAAAATGTCTCCAGATGTTGTCAATGTCCTCTGGGAGGCAAAATCACTCCAGTTGAAAATCATTAATTTGGCTAAAGGATAAAAGATCTGGCCAGGCACAATGGCTTATGCCTGTAATCCCAACACTTTTGTAGGCCAAGGTGGGCAGATTGCTTGAGCCCAGGAATTCGAAACCAGCCTGGGCAACAAAGCAAGACCCTATCTCTACAAAAAACACAAAATTTGCCTAGCATGGTGGTGTGCACCTGTAGTACCAGCTAATCAGGAGGCTGAGATGGGAGGATCCCGAGCCTGGGGAGGTCGAGGCTGCAGTGAGACATGATCTCCAGCCTGGGTGACTTTGAGATCCTGACTCAGGGAAAAAACAAACAAACAAAAAATCCCATTCAGAGAAAAGTTTGGAGTTGTAAGGGAAGAAGATTTTCTACCTAGCATGACAGGTGTGATAGTGAAGTATATAATGTTCTGTAGAGTGTCTGGAAAATTTTTCTTTTTTATTTGAGACGGAGTCTTGCTCCGTTGCCCAGGCCAGAGTGCACTGATGCCATCTCGGCTCACTGCAACCTCCGCCACCCAGGTTCAAGCGATTCTCCTGCCTCAGCCTCCCGAGTTGTTGGGACTACAGGCATGCACCACCATGACTGGCTAATTTTTGTATTTTTAGTAGAGATGAGGTTTTGCCATGTTGGCCAGGCTGGTCTCGAACTACTGACCTCAGGTGATCCGCCCACCTCAGCCTCCCAAAGTCCTGGGGTTACAGGTGTGAGCCACTGCGCCCGGCCAAGTGTCTGGAATACTAATTCTTATCCATTCCCACAGCATGGAACACTCATAGGAGGGCTGTAGTTTCATTAATATAAATAAGGCTAAAAATGGAAGTAATTTTTTCCCCTTTATTCAAATCTTATTAATTCTATGAATAAGTTCCCAACAATGGGACTACTGGGCAAAGAACAGGGACATCAGGTATGGACAGCCAAACAGCTTTTCCAATGCTGTCACCAGTAATGTCTGAATACATCAGCCTTTCCAAATCATACTCTATCCCCAACTCTAAGTTTCTGCAGGAGTGGGGCTAGTTCAACCCCAGCACCCACAGCCTGGCAAACAGCAGGCATTCAGTACTTGTGACTTGAATTGGATCCCCTTCAGCCTCCCATCCAGCGTATGGATGCCCTGATTCTCAGCAAACAAAAGAGGAGTGTCTGGAGGGGAGTCTAGAGTCTCTCTACCTTCCCTGCAGGACTCACGCTTTAGGGATTGCCACGCTCAGCCGCACAGGCTTAGACCCCAGTCCCACTGCTCCCTGGCACTCCGTCAGGGCTCGCTTCTGTTCCAGTTCATCTGTGAATTTCACAAAACCATAACCCCTGCATGAAAAAAATATACAATTTAGATCACAAATGTGATTAAAGTCTAAGAATGGACACATGAAAAAGAAGTAAGGATAAGAAGGTGGGCAGGAATGTAGAAAGGAAAAGAGGCTGAGAAGAGAAAGAGAGAGTCCATTAAACTAGAGGAAGAAAGGAGAGTCCCATCAACAGGTGTCCACATAGTGTCAAGATCCAAGTACAAACAATTCTAATATCTGCAGGAATTCCCACATTCAGTTCACCATCCTCCTCGACACCTTCACCCCTAGGGAACATTCCCAAATAGGAGCTTCCCCGACACCCTGCTGGAAAGTAACTCATAGAAGAAAATTCAGCAAATATTTACAGTCTGCCCTGTATGCCAGGCACTGTGCTACGCACAGGATGCAGCAGTCACAGAAAGACAACGTTCCTGCTCTCCTGAGCTCAAATTCTAGCAGAGGAATAAATTAATGCAAGCTAACATTTAATAAATATTTATTTCCCTAGCACTGCGCAGAGCATTTTCTCTCTCTTTTTTTTTTTTTTTTTGAGATGGAGTTTCACTCTTGTTGCCCAGGCTGGAGTGCAATGGCGTGATCTCGGCTCACTGCAAGCTCCGCCTCCCATGTTCACGCCATTCTTCTGCCTCAGCCTCCAGAGTAGCTGGGACTACAGGCACCCACCACCATGCCCAGCTGATTTTTTGTATTTTATTTTTTTAGTAGAGACAGGGTTTCACCGTGTTAGCCAGGATGGTCTCGATCTTCTGACCTCATGATCCACCCGCCTCGGCCTCCCAAAGTGCTGGGATTACAGGCATGAGCCACCACGCCTGGCCTGTATTTTTTTTAAAGTGGAGACCTGGGTTTCGCTATGTTGGCCAGACTGGTCTCGAACTCCTGACCTCAGGTGATCCATCTGCTTCAGCCTCCCAAAGTGCTGGGATTACAAGTGTCAGCCACCACGCCCGGCTCTTCTTTTTTTTTTTTTTTTTGAGATGGAGTCTCGCTGTGTCTCCCAGGCTGGAATGCACTGGCACGATCTTGGCTCACTGCAACCTCGGCCTCCCAGGTTGAAGCGATTCTTCTGCTTCAGCCTCCCGAGCAGCTGTGACTACAGGCACGCACCACCATGCCTGGTTAATTTTTGTATTTTTAGTAGAGACAGGGTTTCACCATGTTGGCCAGGCTAGTCTTGAACTCCTGACCTCAGGTGATCCACCCGCCTGTCTCCCGAAGCGCTGGGATTACAGGCGTGAGCCACCGCACCCAGCCTGTGCTGAGCATTTTCTCAGGGTGATCTAATCAAACTGTCTAATAATTCCATGAAAGTGGTATCCACATTTACTGAAGAGGTAACCAGTTCAGTGAGATTTAACAACTTGCCCAAAGTCATGGCAGAAGCATGATTCAAAGCCACACCTGTTGCACTCTCAAAGCCTGAGCATATAACTACCATACTGACCAAGAATGAGCCTTTCTTGAGGTTCTTCGATTTCCATTTTTTCTTTTTTTTTTTATTTGAGACAGAATCTTGCTCTGTTACCCAGGCTGGAGCACAGTTGTGTGATCTCAGCTCACTGCAACCTCTGCCTCCCGGATTCAAGCAATTCTGCCTCAGCCTCCCGAGTAGCTGGGACTACAGGCGCATGCCACCATGCCCGGCTAACTTTTGTATTTTTTTAGTAGAGATGGGGTTTTGCCATGTTAGCCAGGCTGGTTTCAAAGTCCTGACCTCAGGTGATCCATCCACCTCAGCTTCCCAAAGTGCTGGGATTACAGGTGTGAGCCACCATGCCGGGCCAACTTTTTTTTTTTTTTTATGGAGACAGAGTCTGGCTCTGTTGCCCAGGCTGGAGTGCAGTGGCACAATCTTGGCTCATTGCAACCTCCGCCTTCCAGGTTAAAGCAATTATCCTACCTCAGCCTCCCAAGTAGCTGGGACTACAGGTGCACACCACCACATCCGGCTAATTTTTTGTATTTTAATAGAGACGGCATTTCACCGTGTTGCCCGGGCTGGTCTCCAACTCCTAAGCTCACGCAATCCACCCACCTGGGCCTCTCAAAGTGTTAGGATTACAGGCATGAGCCACCACGCCCAGCCTGAAGTGGAACACTTCTAACTACACTGAAAGGCTCAGTAACAATAACAAGCAAAACAGCAAACACCTATAAAGCATTTCAAATGTGACTTACTTATATTATATCCTTTAATCCTTACATCAACCCTACAAGCAGCTATTATTAATCAGCTCCATTTTACAGATGGGGCTGTAAGGGTCACAGAGCTTCAATTCTACAATACTGGCATTCTCCCTCACCTGTATTGGAGCTGGGATTTGAACCAGGCAGTTTGGCTCCAGAGCTTGTGGTCTTAATCGCCATGCTGCAGGGCCTTTCTAAAACACCTCCACTCAGGAGAGAAAGGCTGAAACTAACACAGTTAAGCATCAGTAACAAGTAAGGCCTTACTTAGACACGCCTGTCTGGTCCAAAACCACCTTGCCTCCCCGACAGGAGGGGTAGACTTTGACGAAGAATTCATACAGCATGCCATCATCCACGTCCGGGGTCAGGTCCCCCACAAAGAGGGAATACTCAGGGCTGAGGAGAGAGAACAAGAAGATTCAGAGGCAAAGACCAAAACCTCTGCTCTGAAAAGCTCTTTTGCATATTCCAGGTAAACCTCTCCCAGGCCCCTTAAGGAAAACATTTGATGGGTCTACTTAACCAGCCCCTACTTTGTTTCATCAGAGCAGTCCTGGCAGAAGAGTTAGGGAAATAGTCCCTGCCCCAAATCCCTCACCCACTCCACAGAACTTGTCTGACTTCAAGTATTACATGAGTGCAGATGTGTGGATGGGGTCAGAAGTGCATCTAAGGCACTCAAAAGATAAAACTGCATAAAAACAGCATAATAATGCATTCTGCATTCCTTGTATATTTTAAACATAAATGTTAAAAGACAGAAAAAAAAGAACTAGATCTTATCTTCTAAGGACGTAAAGCCTAGCGAAAATTAAATCCCCAATCTTTTTTTCTGAGATGGAGTTTTGCTCGTTGCCCAGGCTGGAGTGCAGTGGTGTGATCTGGGGTCACTTCAACTTCTGTCTCCCAGGTTCAAGTGATTCTCACACCTTAGCCTGCCGACCAGCTGGGATAACAGGTGCGCACCACCACGCCCAGCTAATCTTTTGTATTTTTAGCAGAGACGGGGTTTCGCCAAGTTGGCCACGCTGGTCTCAAATTCCTGACCTCAAATGATCCACCTGCCTCAGCCTCCCAAAGTGCTGGGATTACAGGTGTGAGCTACCATACCCAACCTCTTAAACCACTGCGAGCTTGTGGGTGATACAAATCAGGCCAAAGTTTACCAACTCCTATTATAGGAGGTCAATTCTATTAAAAAAATAAACGAACACACAAACCTTTGTTATTTTTTTTTTCTTTTTGTTGAAATGGAGTATCACTCTGTCACCTAGGCTGGAGTGCAGTGGCGTGATCTCGGCTCACTGCAACCTCTGCCTTCTGGGTTTAAGCGATTCTCTTGCCTCAGCCGCCCAAGTGGCTGGGACTACAGGCACATGCCACTACATCCAGCTAATTTCCTTTTTTTTTTTTTTGAGACGGAGTCTCGCTCTGTCCCCTAAGCTGGAGTGAAGTGGCGCAATCTCAGCTCACTGCAACCTCTGCTTCTCAGGTTCAAGCGATTCTCTTGCCTCAGCCTCCTGAGTAGCTGGGATTACAGGTGCCCGCCACTACGCCCAACTAATTTTTTGTATTTTTAGTAGAGACGGGGTTTCACCATGTTGGCCAGGCTGATCTCGAACTCCCGACCGCAGGTGATCCACCCTCCTCGGCCTCCCAAAGTGCCGGGATTACAGGTGTAAGCCACCACGCCCAGCCAATTTTTGTATTTTTAGTAGAGACGGGGTTTCTCTATGTTGGTCAGGCTGGCCTCAAACTCCTGACCTTGTGATCTGCCCGTCTCAGCCTCCCAAAGTGCTGGGATTACAGGCGTGAGCCACCGCACCCGGCCTACCTTTGTTATTATCTTATTTCAGGTATGATTATACATATTATACATATTCCTTGTATAATAAGAATACACAAGGCCAGGCGCAGTGGCTCATGCCTGTAATCCCAGCACTTTGGGAGACCGAAGCAGGTGGATCACAAGGTCAAGAGTTCAAAACCAGCCTGACCAAGATGGTGAAACCCCATCTCTACTAAAAATATAAAAATTAGCTGGGCGCATTGGCAGGTGCCTGTAATCCCAGCTACTTGGGAGGCTGAGGCAGGAGAATTGCTTGGACCCAGGCGGCAAAGATTGCAGTGAGCCAAGATCATGCCACTGCACTCCAGCTTGGGCAACAGAGTGAGACTCCATCTCAAAAAAAAAAAAAAAAGAATACACAAAAGCACAGTCCAGGCACGATGGCTCACGCCTGTAATCCCAGCACTTCGGGAGGCTGAGGTGGGCAGATCACGAGGTCAGGAGATCGAGACCATCCTGGCTAACACGGTGAAACCCTGTCTCTACTAAAAATACAAAAAATTTAGCCAGGCGTGGTGGCAGGCACCTGTAGTCCCAGCTACTCGGGAGGGTGAGGCAGGAGAACGGCATGAACCCGGGAGGCGGAGCTTGCAGTGAGCAGAGATCGTGCCACTGCACGCCAGCCTGGGCAACAGAGTGAGACTCCGTCTCCAAAAAAAAAAAAACACAAAAGTGCAAAGAAAAATAAAATTGCTATAACTCAACCACTTGAAGACAATCACAATAAATGCTTTGATATGTATACTTTTGTCTTTTCTTGTGGCTTTTCTTCTAAATGTTCATAAATACGATCCATCGTATTTTGTTTCTAGTATTTTTTTTCATTTTCAACATATTGCCAATATCTTGACATGTCAGTATACTGCAATGACTTGTCAGTGGATACACCGCATCCTAACTAATGACCATAATTTAATCACTTCCCTACTATTAGGTTATTTGGGTTTTCCCCAACTTTAGCTATTATACACAATACTTCAATGAATACATCTGAGGCTAATCTTTGCACACGTCCATGAATAAATACTGAAAAGTAGAATTATAGGGTTAATGCATATAAATGTTTTTTAAGCTTTTGGTACACCGTTTTAATGCTTTCAAATGGCAACCTGAAATTCCAATCAATTTATGTTGCTATAACAGGTCAATTCATTGGGTTTCTTTTTTAAGACAGGGTCTCACTCTGTTGCCCAGGCTGGAGTGCAGTGGCACGATCATGGCTCACAGTAGCCTTGATCATTGTAGCCCTCCCTGGGCTCAGGTGAGCCTCCTGCCTCAGCCTCCTGAGTAGCTGGGACTACAGGCGCCTGCCACCACGCCCGGCTAATTTGTTGTATTTTTAGTAGAGACGGGGTTTCACCGTGTTAGCCAGGATGGTCTCGATCTCCTGACCTCGTGATCCGCCCGCCTTGGCCTCCCAAAGTGCTGGGATTATAGGAGTGAGCCACCACACCCGGCCATTTTTGTATTTTTTTGTAGAGACAGGGTTTTGCCATGTTGCCCAGGCTATTCTTGAACTCCTAGGCTCAGGCAATCTGCCTGTTTCGGCCTCCCAAAGTGCTGGGATTACAGGCGTAAGCCACTGCACCTGGCTAACAAGGCAATTCTTATTGAATAAAACTTCAATACTGTGAGGAGTAGCAGGGTAGGAAGCCAGGGGCAGGGACCAAATACAGAAAAGCCAGGGTCTTGCATGAAGCACACCAGGAAGGTCCACCAGCAAGGAAGGGAGAAGAGCGTCGTCCTTCAGGAGGGAACCAAGTGCAGCCAAACCGGCTCCCCTCCTCCTATATGGCAGTGACAGGCACAGTGACACATCTTATGTCTGTCTAGACATGACTTTGTACCTACCTGTTATCTGGTTGTTTCCCGTAAGTGGCATAGTTCAGTTTAAAACGTTTCGCCTGGAAGTTGAAAAACAAACAAACTAAAACAGAGAAAGGTGTTTCAAGAGTTGAACAATATTTGAAGAAAACTGAAATAAATTACCTTGGCCAAAACATCTCCCCCTCTCTAAGCCTCAGCTTTTTCTCCTGTATAAAATGAGGGGGTTGCACGGATGACCGCTAAGGGCACTGCCAGCTCCATGGTTCTATGAGCCCAGGTGTGCCAGCTGGTGCAGCTGTAAGCTAAGTAACTGTGGGAAGAGCAGAATGCAACTCTCTTGAAATGTGTCCTTGCTGCTGCCAGCCTATTCTAGTTTCCCAATCAGGCAAGAGGTCTAGAGTTTCAAGTCTTCGGTTATGGGAGGCAGCAATGCAGAATGGAAAGGCATGGATTTGGGAGGCAACCAATCTTCAGTCTGAATCCTGGCTCTGCCATTTACTACCTGTGTTGCCTTGGACAAGTTATTTCAATTCCCTGAGCTTCAGTTTCCTGGGCCTACAAAGATAACAATGCCTACTGTAAAGGGTTGTTTTAGGATTAAATAAAATAAGTATACAGTAGGGATTCAATAGATGGTAGTAAGCAATGACAATAATAATGGCAACATCATCATTATCTAAATGTCCTTACAGGTGTGGCTCCTGGAAGGGGTTTCCCATTAATTTTATGCAAACACTTCTCAGCTGTGGCCAAATCTGCAAATTCTACAAAGCAGTAGCCAGCTGGGATCCTGGAAAAAAAGCAAATAGAGAAAGAAAATGGTTAAAGATAAAATGGCTCAAGATGAGGCCAGGCGTGATGGCTCACGCATATAATCCCAACAGTTTGGGAGGCCAAGGCAGGTGGATCACTGAAGGTCAGGAGACCAGCCTGGACAACATGCTGAAACACCATCTCTACTAAAAATACAAAAATTGGCTGGGCATGGCGGCGCACACCTGTAGTCCCAGCTTACTCGGGAGACTGAGGGGGAGAATTGCTGTAACCCAGGAGGTGGAGGTTGCAGTGAGCTGAGATCATGCCACACTGCTCCAGCCTGAGCAACAGGCTGGTTTGAGACTGTTTTAAAAAAAAAAAAAAAAAGGCTCAAGATGGGTCTTGGCCTTGAAGGGAGAAAGAAATGTTTTTCTAATCTGAGCCAACACTGTTTTTGTTCCCTGCCATACCCCAGCTCAGACCTAATTTACAAGCCTGAATATAAGGATTGTCCATCTGGGCCAGTCCAAGATTCGTTTATCTGTATTTATTTATTTATTTATGAGACGGATATCATCTCGATCTCAGCTCACTATAACCTCTGCCTCTCAGGTTCAAGCAATTATCCTGCCTCAGCCTCATGAACACTTGGAATTACAGGTACCCACCACCATGCCTGGCTAATTTTTGTATTTTTAGTAGAGATGGGATTTTGCCATGTTGGCCAGGCTGATCTTGAACTCCTGACCTCAGGAGATCCACCCACTTCGGCCTCCCAAAGTTCCGGGATTACAGGCATGAGCCAAGGCACCTGGCCCCAGACTCATTTAGTAAACATTCATTTATGCATTTTATCATGTGTGAATACTCTTGTCAAAATTGTATTATGCAATCCCATCAAGACTTTAGATCTAATAACCAGTTCCAGGAAATTTTAGAGATAGACTATGCAAAACACCACAAGTAAACAAATGAATGCAGAATGTATGATCTGTTTTTTTTTTCTGAGACCGAGTTTTGCTCTTGTTGCCCAGGCTGGAGTGCAATGACGCAATCTTGGCTCACTGCAACCTCCACCTCCTGGGTTCAAGCGATTCTCCTGCCTCCACCTCCCAGATTCAAGCGATTCTCCTGCCTCAGCCTCCCAAGTAGCTGGAATTACAGGCATGCGCCACCATGCCCAGCTAATTTTGTATTTTCAGTAGAGATGGGGTTTCTCCATATTGGTCAGGCTGGTCTTGAACTCCCGACCTCAGGTGATCTGCCCGCCTCGGCCTCTCAAAGTGCTAGGATTACAGGCATGAGCTACCGCACCCAGCCTCAGAATATAGGCTCTTATAAAGACAACTAGTCTTACCTCCTTAAAAAGTTAAATAGTATGAGGAAAAAAAGAGGTTGGCTTTTATACATTAAAAGAGACTCAAAAAATTAGCCAGGCATGGTGGTAGGCGCCTGTAGTTCCAGCTACTCGGCAGGCTGAGGCAGGAGAATTGCTTGAACCCGGGAGGCAGAGGCTGCAGTGAGCCGAGATCGCGCCACTGCACTCCAGCCTGGGCGACAGAACAAGACTCTGTCTCAAAAAAATAAAAAATAAATAAAAATAAAAGAGACTCAGAAGAACCAAATGCAATGCAGGTTCCTGGATTGAATTATAATTCACTAATAAATGAAAAACTATCAATATTGTGGGGACAATTATAAAAATTTAAATGTAGACCTGCTATGATATGGTATTAGAGAATCACTGATAATTTTGTTAGTGTGATATAAGCATTGTGGTTATGTAAGAAAACGTCCAGTTTCGCCAGGCGCGGTGGCTCACGCCTGTAATCCCAGCACTTTGGGAGGCCGAGGCGGGCGGATCACGAGGTCAGGAGACTGAGACCATACTGGCTAACACAGTGAAACCCCATCTCTACTAAAAATGCAAAAAAATTAGCCAGGCGTGGTGGCGGGCACCTATAGTCCCAGCTACTAGGGAGGCTGAGGCAGGAGAATGGCGTGAACCCAGGAGGCAGAGCTTGCAGTGAGCAGACATCACGCCACTGCACTCCAGCCTGGGCGACAGAATGAGACTCCGTCTCAAAAAAAAAAAAAAAAAAAAAATTAGTCGGGCGTAGTGGTGTGTGCCTGTAGTCCCAGCTACTCGGGAGCCTGAGGCAGGAAAATTGCCTGAACGCGGGAGGCGGAAGTTGCAGTGAGCTGAGATCGCATCAATGCACTCCAGCCTGGATGACACGGTGAGACTGGGTCTCAAAAACAAACAAAAAAAAAATATACGAAAATTAGCTGGGTGGGGTGGTGTGTGCCTGTAATCCCAGCTACTCGGGAGGCTGAGGCACAAGAATTGCTTGAACCCGGAGGGAGAGGTTGCAGTGAGCCAACATCACGCCACTGCACTCCAGCCTGGCAACACAGCCAGACTCCATCTCAAAAAAAAAAAAAAAAAAATACAAAAATTAGCAGGGCGGGCTGGGCACAGTGGCTCACGCCTGTAATTCCAACACGTTGGGAGGCCAAGGCGGGTGGATCAGGAGGTCAGGAGTTCTGACCAACATGGTGAAACCCTGTCTCTACTAAACAAAAAAAAAAAAAAAAAAAAAATTAGCCAGGCATAGTGGCACATGACTGTAATCCCAGCTACTCAGGAGGCTGAGGCAGGAGAACTGCTTGAATTTGGGAGGTGGAGGTTGCAGTGAGTCGAGATCATTCCACTGCACTCCAGCCTGGGCGACAGAGACTCTGCCTCAAACCAAAAAAAAAAAAATTAGCTGGGTGTTGGCCGGGAGCGGTGGCTCACGCCTGTAATCCCAGAACTTTGGGAGGCCAAGGTGGGTGGATCACGAGGTCAAGAGATCGAGACTATCCTGGCCAACATGGTGAAAACCTGTCTGTAATAAGAATACAAAAATTAGCTGGGCATGGTGGTATGTGCCAGTAGTCCTAGCTACTCGGGAGGCTGAGGCAGGAGAATGGCTTGAACCCGAGAGGTGCAGATTGCAGTGAGCTAAGATTGCGCCACTGCACTCCTGCTTGGTGACAGAGCAAGACTCTGTCTCAAAAGAAAACAAAACAAAACAAAACACCAAGATTATAGAAAAGGAGAAAAGATAAGACCCAAGGAAAAATAATATGTAATATAGTCTGGGTGACAAGAGCGAAACTCTGCCTCAAAGTAAAAAAAAAAAAAAAAAAAAGAAACATGTAAGAAACAAGAGTTCCATATCTTATTTCTTTTCTTTTTTTTGAGACAGAGTCTCACTTTGTCGCCCAGGCTGGAGTGCAGTGGTGTGATCTCCGCTCGCTGCAAGCTCCACCTCCCGGGTTCACGCCATTCTCCTGCCTCAGCCTCCCGAGTAGCTGGGACTACAGGCGCCCGCCACCATGCCTGGCTAATTTTCTTGTATTTTTAGTAGAGACGGGGTTTCACTGTGTTAGCCAGGATGGTCTCGATCTCCTGACCTCGTGATCCGCCTGCCTCGGCCTCCCAAAGTGCTGGGATTACAGGTGTGAGCCACTGTGCCTGGCCCATATCTTATTTCAATAAACAGTAAGGTTGGTCCCAGTGGCTCATGCCTGTAATCCAGCACTTTGGGAGGCTGAGGCGGACAGATCACCTGAGGTCAGGAGTTCGAGGCTAGCCTGGCCAACACAGTGAAATCCCATCTATACTAAAAATAGAAAAAATTAGGCCGGGCGCAGTGGCTCACGCCTGTAATCCCAGCACTTTGGGAGGCTGAGGCAGGCAGAGGTCAGAAGATTGAGACCATCCTGGCTAACACAGTGAAATCCCATCTCTACTAAAAATACAGAAAATTAGCTGGATGTGGTGGCACACGGCTGTAGTCCCACCTACTCAGGAAGCTGAGGCAGGAGAATCGCTTGAACCTGGGAGGCAGAGGTTGCAGTGAGCTGAGATCGCACCACTGCACTCCTGCCTGGGTGACAGAGCGAGACTCCGTCTCAAAAAACAAACAAACAAAAAAAATGAGCTGGGCGTGGTGGCAGGTGCTTGTAATCCCAGCTACTCAGGAGTCTGAGAGAGGAGAAGGGCTTAAACCCAGGAGGCGGAGGTTGCAGTGAGCCAAGATGGTGCCATTGCACTTCAGCCTGGGCAACAGAGGGAGACTATGCCTCAGAAAAAAAAAAAAAAAAAAGATTAAAATGTGAGAATCTATGCCAGTGTTTTACTTATTTATTTTTGCAACAAAGTTTCCCTCTGTCACCCAGGCTGGAGCACAGTGGCACAATCTCGGCTCACTGCAACCTCTACCTCCTGGGTTCAAACGATTCTCCTTCCTCAGCCTCTCAAGTAGTTGGAATTACAGGTGTGTCTCACCACACCTGGCTAATTTTTGTATTTTTTTAGTAGAGACAAGGTTTCACCATGTTGTCCAGGCTGTTCTCAAATTCCTGACCTCAAGTGATCTGCCCACCTCAGCCTCCCAAAGTGCTGGGATTACAAGTGTGAGCTACCGTGCCCAGCCTATGCCAGTGTTTTAAAAAGTAGAAAGGGGCCGGGCGCGGTGGCTCACACCTGTAATCCCAGCACTTTGGGAGGCCAAGGCAGGCGGATCACGAGGTCATGAGATTGAGACCATCTGGCTAACATGGTGAAACCCCATCTCTACTAAAAATACAAAAAATTAGCCTGGCGTGGTGGCGGGCGCCTGTAGTCCCAGCTACTTGGGAGGCTGAGGCAGGAGAATGGCTTGAACCCAGGAGGTGGAGCTTGCAGTGAGCCGAGATCGTGCCACTGCACACCAGCCTGGGCCACAGAGCAAGACTCCGTCTCAAAAAAAAAAAAAAGAAAAAAAAATGAGAAAGGTTACAGAATGAATTTTCATACCAGTAGCTGATTATCTGGGGTTTTCTGCTTAGAAGAGCAAGAAGAGAAATATTTAGGTGGGCACGATCTACCAGTCAGAAAAACCTTTTCCTAGGTAATGGGGTTCTGAATACACAAAGTATCTTTCAAATGTCTCATCTCTATTTTTAAACCATTTGATGTTTTAGCAAGCCACATGTAGTAGAGTACCGAGAAAAGAGTGGCTGCTTGGAGAATGGCGTGAACCCAGGAGGCGGAGCTTTCAGTGAGCCAAGATCGCGCCACTGCACTCCAACCTGGGTAGTGACAGAGCGAGACTCCGTCTCAAAAAAAAAAAAAAAAGGAAAAGAGTAGCTGCTTGATAAACACTGACAAATTGATAATTCCCTAAGGAAAACTAAGACCTCAAAGAGAAAGAAGAACATGGAGGCAATAGAGAACCTCTATCTGAAAATACGCATTTGGTTATGTTTACTTATTTATTGTCTCATTCCCCACTAGAATGTAGTAAACTCCATGAGCAGGGGCTATATCTGGATTATTTCAGCCAGGAATGTATAACAGTAGAACACAGTAGTATCTCCACAGATAATTTTTTTTTTTTTTTTGAGATGGAGTTTCGCTCTTATTGCCCAGGCTGGAGTGCAATGGCGCGATCTCGGCTCACTACAACCTCTGCCTCCCAAGTTCAAGCGATTCTCCTGCCTCAGCCTCCCAGGTAGCTGGGATTACAGGCATGCACCACCACGCCTGGCTAATTTTTGGTAGAGACAGGGTTTCTCCATGTTGGTCAGGCTGGTCTCCAACTCCTGACCTCAGGTGATCCACCCTTCTCGCCTCCCGAAGTGCTGGGATTACAGGCATGAGGCACCGCACCCATCCTCCACAATTTTTTAAATGAATGGCATAAGAGTTAAGGGCCCTCATGAGCTTTCAGGATAGACTCGAATTCAAGTCCTGACTTGTTATTTATTATAACTCTTTTTTTTTTTTTTTGAGACAGAGTCTCAGCTGTCGCCCAGGCTGGAGTGGAGTGGAGCGATCTCGGCTCACTGCAAGCTCCGCCTCCTGGGTTCACGCCATTCTCCTGCCTCAGCCCCCCAAGTAGCTGAGACTACAAGTGCCCGCCACCATGCCCAGCTAATTTTTTTTGTATTTTTAGTAGAGATGGGGTTTCACCGTGTTAGCCAGGATGGTCTCAATCTCCTGACCTCGTGATCCGGCCTGCCTCGGCCTCCCAAAGTGCTAGGATTACAGGCGAGAGCCACTGCGCCCGGCTATTTATTGTAACTCTTCAAGTTATTAAGCCTCTTCATAATAGTATTTACCTACCTCAGAAGTTTCTGAGGTTTTAAGGAGATAATGGATGTAAACTGCTTATTACTCAGCAGATCGTAATCTGACTATACTTACTGAGCATATGCTATATGCCATACACTGTCCTAATGATGAATGTGAATTAACTCATTTAATCCTCACCATAACTCTAGGAGGTAGGTGCTGTTATTTCCATTTTTATACTCAAAGTGAATGAGACAGAGCAGTTAAGTAACTTACCCAAGGTCATAGAGTAGAAATAGCTTTCAAACCCAGTCTCGCTTGAGTCCTGCGTTTTTTGTTTTTTTGTTTTTTTTTTTTTTGAGACATTGTTTTGCTCTTGTTGTCCAAGCTGAAGTACAGTGGCACGATCTCAGCTCACTGCAACCTTCGCCTCCCGGGTTCAAGTGATTCTCATGCCTCAGCCTCCGGAGTAGCTGGGGTTACAGGTGCCTGCCACCACACCCGGCTAATTTTTGTATTTTTAGTAGAGACGGGGTTTCACCATGTTGGCCAGGCTGGTCTCAAACTCCTGACCTCAGGTGATCCACCCACCTCAGCCTCCCAAAGTGCTGGGATTACAGGTGTGAGTCACAACGCCTGGCAAGTCCTACCCTTAAGCTACATGCCATCCTTCCACTCATTGGGACCTCAAAATGTTAGCTGTTATAATTTTACAGTGACTATTACTAGGGGTAGTGAGAAGCCATGACTACGATGTTTACATTCTCGTACATGACAGCTGCAACGAGATGTATTAAGAGAGACCTGAGATGAGACTTACCCAGTGAGGCGGTTTCGGATAATTTTGACGCTCATTACGGTCTCCCCCATGGTGGCAAAGGCTCTGGAGATGAAGTTCTCATCCATGTAGGGTTCCAGCTGCGTAAAAACAAGAGCACAGCGGCTCAGGCCGGCGGCCGGGCTTCCCACTCCGGGTTCCAGAGCCCCTCCCGTTCAGCCCAGGGCTGGCTACGCGCCGCTGGGGGAGCGAGGGGCGAGGTTCGCCTCCACTGAGCGGCCTGAAACCCCAGCTCTTTTGGTTCAAGCTTGCCCCGCTTTAGGGAGCCTCCCCTTGGACCTAGAAACCCCACTCCTCCGGTCCCAGAACAGCGCGCCTCAGTCCTTGGATTGCTCCCATTCTATGTCCCCAAAGCACCACCTTTCCCTCCCACGAACCCAGGTGGGGCCCCAGGACCCCTAGCCTCACGGACTCAGCCTCTTCACTTAGATGCTGGAACCCGCTTCTGTGTCACCAAAAAGAACCCCCGTCACACGTCTCCCCTTTCTGGGATCCCAAGTCCCCTCCCACTCAGATCCTTCCTCTCTCGCGAAACCGAGATGCTTCCTTGTCTTCAGACCCCGGACGGCTGCCCTCACTCACGTCGCCCATCCACAGGCTGGCCGCCATACCCGCGCACCGGGGTGGGGCTTTGCGGGCGGGGCTCTGCGGGCGGGGCTCGAAGGCCCGCGCGGGCGCCAATCCTGGCTGCGGAGACCGCTACAGAGCATGCGCCTCCGACGGCTTCTGCGCAGGCTCCCGAGCGCAGCGGCCCGGGTCGGGCAGTGTGTTCAGCTCCGGGTTTTTCCTGCAACCCACTGGGCGCTAGGCTTCCGGATCGCGGTGGGCGGAGTTCAGGCTGGAATGGGGCGGGCCAGATACCACCTGGCCCAGGCGGCTGGGTTACTTGGGTTTATTTCTGACTTTATATATTTAGAAAACAAACAAAACTACACACACACACTCGTCTGACTTTATATAGAAAACAAAACCACACACACACAGACACATATAATTACAACATTAATATATGCTCGTTAGGGCTGGGCACGGTGGCTCACGCCTGTAATCCCAGCACTTGAGGAGGCCGAGGCGGGCGGATCACGAGGTGAAGAAATCGAGACCATCCTCGCCAACAGGGGGAAACCCCCTCTCTACTAAAAGTACGAAAATTAGCGGGCGTGGTGGCGAGCGCTGGTAGTCGCAGCTACTCGGGAGACTGAGGCAGGAGAATCGCTTAAACCCAGGGGGCAGAAGTTGCAGTGAGCCGAGATAGCGCCATTGCACCGCAGCCTGGTGACAGAGCAAGACTCCATATATATACATACACACACACACACACATACACATATATATACACATATATACACATATACACACATAATACACATATACACATATATACACACATACACATATATATACATATATACACACACACACACACATATATATGTATGCTCGTTACTTGGGTTAATTTCTGACTTTACATATTTAGAAAACAAACAAGGCCGGGCGCGGTGGCTCACGCCTGTAATCCCAACACTTTGGGAGGCCGAGGTGGGCAGATCACGAGGTCAGGAGATCGAGACCATCCTGGCCAACATGGTGAAACCCCGTCTCTACTAAAAATACAGAAATTAGCCGGGTATGATGGTGTGCACTTGTAGTCCCAGCTACTCAGGTGGCTGAGACAGGATAATCACTTGAACCCGGGAGGCAGAGGCTGCAGTGAGCCGAGATCGCGCCACTGCACTCCAGCCTGGGCGACAGAGTGAGACTCTGTCTCAAATTAAAAAAAAAACAAAAAACAAAAAACATACACACGTACACACACACACAAACACACACATAATTACAACATTAATATATGCTCGTTGTAAAAAACTGCAGATACAAGTGCATCCAAAAAAGTGAAAATATCCCTCCGGACAACCCGGTTCCACTACCTCCCTATTGTTACCAGGGGTTCTTAGGCTCTCAATCCAACAGAAATTAACATGAGGCCAAAAAAGTTTTCCCAGACAAGTCTTCATTGGAGCTTATGCCTGGGTATAAGGGAGGCAGCACAAGAGAGCGAGAATTCCCTGACTCTCCGAAAAGAGCTGGTTGAGATGTTTTATTGGGCAAAGCACGGAAAGTGATATCAAGTGTAGGGTTTACAGGCTGGGCAGGACAAAGCTCATGAGGGTGGGGTATGAAGGTCAGCATATCCTGTTGTAATGATTATCTTTTTTTTTTTTTTTGAGACGGAGTCTTCCTTTGTCGCCCAGGCTGGAGTGCAATGGCACAATCTCGGCTCAGAATAGCTAGAATCTAGCCTCCTGGGTTCTAGCTATTCTCCTGCTTCACCTCCTGAGTAGCTGGGATTACAGGCGCCCACCACCAGGCACAGCTAATTTTTGTATTTTCAGTAGAGACGGGGTTTCACCATGTTGGTCAGGCTGGTCTCGAACTCCTGACCTGAGGTGATCCACCCACCTCGGCCTCCCAAAGTGCTGGGATTACAGGCGTGAGCCACCCATCGCGCCCAGCCAATGATTATCTTTAGTACTGGGCTACCTGGTAGTTTGGCTGTCAGCAACAAGGCTGTAAATGAAGTTTTCAGCATTTCTTCCTGAGATGAGACATTCCACAACCTTGGTTGGATAATTTGGATCTCCTAAGGCCAGATCCTAGAATTATTTTTATTTTATTTATTTATTTATTTATTCAGTTGGTCAGTCATTCTGAGAGAGGGTCTCTCTCTGTCGCCCAGGCTGGAGCGCATTGGCACAATCTTGGCTTATTGCAGCCTCAAACTCCCGGACTCAAGTGATCCTCCTGCCTCAGCCTCCAGAGTAGCTGGCACTACAGGTGTGCACCCCCACAGCTGGCTAATTTTTTTTTTTTTGCAGAGAGGAGAGCTCACTATGTTGGCCAAGCTCATTTTGGACTCCTAGGCTCAAGCGATCCTCCTGCCTTGGCCTCCCAAAGTGCTGGGATTATAGGTGTGAGCCACAGCGCCCAGCCTCTTTTTTCTTTTCTTTCTTTTTTTTTTTTTTTTTTTTTTTTTGTTTGAGACGGATTACAGCCACCTGCCACCATGCCTGGCTAGTTTTTTTTTTTTTTTTTTTTTTTTTTTATTTTTAGAAGAGGCAGGGTTTCACTATGTTGGCCAGGCTGGTCTAGAACTCCTGACCTCATGATCCCCCCACTGTGGCCTCCCAAAGTGCTGGGATTACAGGCGTGAGCCACCACGCCTGGCTTCTTTTTTCTGCTTTCTTTTTTTTTTGTAGATCCTGGAATTCTTTAATTAAAGGGCATGGTTACACATTATAAGAGCACAAAAGAACAATATATAATGGCTATTTTTCTTTATATGACTAAAGCCTCAGAGTTAGTGGGTATGGTGGTGTGGGTTTTTGTTTTTTCTTTTGAGACAGAGTCTCGCTCTCGCCCTGGCTGGAGTGCAGTGGTGTGATCTCAGCTCACTGCAAGCTCCGCCTCCCAGGTTCATGCCAGTCTCCTGCCTCAGCCTCCCAAGTAGCTGGGACTACAGGCGCCCACTACCATGCCTGGCTAGTTTTTTTGTATTTTTAGTAGAGACGGGGTTTCACCGTATTAGCCAGGATGATCTCAATCTCCTGACCTCGTGATCCACCCACCTCAGCCTCCCAAAGTGCTGGCATTACAGGCGTGAGCCACCACGCCCACCAATTTTTTTGTATTTTTAATAGAGACGGGGTTTTGCCATGTTGGCCAGGCTGGTCTCAAACTCCTGTCCTCAGGTGATCCATCTGCCTCAGCCTTTCCAAGTGTTGAGATTACAGGCGTCAGCCACCATGCCTGGCATCCTTATGAGAATCTAATACCTGATGATCTGTCACTGTCTCCCAACAACCCCAGAGGGGACTGTCTAGTTGCAGGAAAACAAGCTCAGGGCTCCCACTGATTCTACATTATGGTGAGTTATATAATCATTTCATTATATATTACAACGTTACATTAATAATAATAAAGTGCACAATAAATGTAATGCGCTTGAGTAATCCCCAAACCATCCCCTGTCCGTGGAAATTGTCTTCCACAAAACCAGTCCCTGGTGCCAAAAAAGGTTGGGAACTGCTGCTCTAGTCTTGGTGAGCTGAAGCCAAGCCCTGTTCTTACTGTCTCACTGTGACCCAGGGCAAGCCACTGCTCTGTGCAAGCCATTCCCTCACTCCAGGTTTACCAGTCTGAAAAACATGAGTCTTGTTGGAGCCGGAATGGGATTCTTCCTTCATTCCCATATAGGGCCCTGGGGTGGGAGGTGGGAAGAATTAAAAGGAGTGTAAATTGGAGTAACCTTGTCATCTGGCAACCAATCAGTCCCCAAGTTCTGTCACTCTATTTTTATTTATTTATTTATTTATTTTTGAGATGAAG
This sequence comes from Homo sapiens, assembly GCF_000001405.40. Lineage (NCBI taxonomy): Eukaryota > Metazoa > Chordata > Mammalia > Primates > Hominidae > Homo > Homo sapiens. The sequence continues at coordinate 28,549,333 of NC_000001.11, read as the reverse complement.
TTTTGCTCCTGTTGCCCAGGCTGGTGTGCAGTGGTGCTATCCTGGTCACTGCAACCTTTGCCTCCTGGGTTCAAGCGATCCTCCTGCCTCAGCCTCCCAAGTAGCTAGGATTACAGGCTGGCGCCACCACGCCCAGCTAATTTTTGTATTTTTAGTAGAGATGGGGTTTCACCATGTTGGCCAGGCTGGTCTTGAACTCTTGACCTCAGGTGAACCACCTGTTTGGGCCTCCCAAAGTGCTAGGATTACAGGTGTGAGCCACAGCTCCCGGCCTCTATTTTCTTGAGTCCCACTACCCTACTCCAAATCACCTGGAGTTCTGACTAGTCCCAGAACAGTGACCTGCCCACAGTGTGCCGTCATAAACACAATTTAGATGGCTAGACAATCCAGACAGTTTAATTTTGAGATGCTCCTACTCTGGGAGTATCCCAGGCCTCTGACTTACTTTGGTGCCCAGTCGTCAGTATGGAAAGCTTCTTCTGTATGTAGTAATTGGCATCTCTGACAGTGAAACCCACTCCAAGTGTTTTAAGGCCACTTTCTGGGGCTCCCTCTGGACTAATGGGCACCCAAAGTCCTTTCCTACCAGTCTATACATCCTCAACTTAGGATGTTGTGCTCTCAAGCCAGAGACTCATCAGTCTGAAAACCTGAGGTTCAACCACGAGTTGCCATATTTCTGGCCGTATCCTACCATCACTGCAATAGTAGTGTAGTGGTTAGGCATTTTGGCTGTAGATTCAAACAAATGGAGCATAATCCCGGCCCCACCTCTTGCTAATTATTTATTTAACTTCTGGGCCTAATGTGGATAGTGCTTACTTACCCCACAGGGTGGTTGTGAGGAAAAAAATAAGTTGGGAAAGTACTTGGCCCAATGCCTAGCATTCAGTAAATCCTCCAACATGGCAGTTGGAAGCCTTAAAATTATAACTGACAGCTATTAATTTAGTATTATTTGCCAGTCACTGTGCTGTGCTCTTTATTAAAAAAATTTATTTTTGGCCAGGTGCAGGGGCTCACACCTGTAATCCCAGCACTTTGGGAGGTGGAGGCAGGCAGATCACCTGAGGTCAGGAGTTTGAGACCAGCCTGGCCAACATGGTGAAACCCCATCTCTACTAAAAATACAAAAATTAGCTGGGCATGGTGGCACGTGCCTGTAATCCCAGCTACTCAGGAGGCTGAGACATGAGAATTGCTTGAGCCCAGGAGGCGGAGGCTGCAGTGAACCAAGATCATGCCACTGCACTCCAGCCTGGGGGACAGAGAGACACTCTGTCTTAAAAAAATGGAAAGAGACAGTGGTCTCTTACCCTCTGCCCCCGAATTCCCACTCCCTTGAGTCGACTATTTCCAAGTCTTTTTCCTAGAACCTACCTGTGTATTTTAAAATATATACTTTCTACTACACTACTTTTTTACTTGCAGTTTCAGGTATTTAGTGGCTGCCCCCTCCCCATATACATAGACACTTATCTCTCCATCTCCTATGTTTTCTTTTCTTTTTTTTTTTTTTTCGAGATAGAGTCTTGCTCTGTCACCCAGGCTGGAGTGTGCAGTGGCGCGATCTCGGCTTACTGCAAGCTCTGTCTCCCAGGTTCACGCCATTCTCCTGCCTCAGCCTCCCAAGTAGCTGGGACTACAGGCACCCGCCACCACGCCCGGCTAATTTTTTGTATTTTTTTAGTAGAGACGGGGTTTCACCATGTTAGCCAGGATGGTCTCGATCTCTTGACCTCGTGATCTGCCCACCTCAGCCTCCCAAAGTACTGAGATTACAGGCGTGAACCACTGCGCCTGGCTTTTTTTTTTTTTTTTTTTTTGAGATGGAATTTAGCTCTTGTTGCCCAGGCTGAAGTGCAATGGCGTGATCTTGGCTCACTGCAATCTCCTCCTCCCGGGTTCAAGCGATTCTCCTGCCTCAGCCTCCTGAGTAGCTAGGATTACAGGCATGCGCCACCATGCCCAGCTAATTTTGTATTTTTAGTAGAGATGGGGTTTCTCCAAGTTGGTCAGGCTGGTCTGAAACTCCCAACCTCAGGTGATCTGCCCACTTCGGCCTCCCAAAGTGCTGGAATTACAGGCATGAGCCATCGTGCTCGGCCTCTTTTTTGTTTTTGAGACAGAGTCTCGCCGTGTCGCCCAGGTTGGAGTGCAATGGCAGGGTCTCCGCTCACTGCAACCTCTGCCTCCCAGGTTCAAGCGATTCTCCTGTCTCAGCCTCTGGAGTAGCTGGAACTACAGGCACCCGTCACCACACCCAGCTAATTTTTGTATTTTTAGTAGAGATGGGGTTTCACCATGTTGGTCAGGCTGGCCTTGAACTCCTGACCTTAGGTGATCCACCCGCCTCGGTCTCCTAAAGTGCTGGGATTACTGGCGTGAGCCACCGTACCCCAACTTTTTAAAAAACAGGGTCTTGCTCTGTCACCCAGGCTGGAGTACAGTGTTATAATCACAGCCCCTGCAGCTTGGATATCCTGGGCTCAAGCAGTCCTCCCACCTCAGCCTCCCTGCCCTCAATAGCTGGGTCTACAGGTGTGCACCACCACACCCATAATTTTTTTTTTGGTAGAGATTGGGTGCAGGGGGATGTCTCACTATGTTGCCCAGGCTGGTCTCAAACTACTGCCTTCATGGAATCCTCCCACCTCGGCTTCCCAAAATGCTGGGATTACAGGCGTGAGCCACCGTGCCCAGCCTTCCTGATGATATTTTGTTAAAGCACTGTTGAACATCCACATTATTATGACTGTAAGTATTATTTATAGCACAGCCATATGTTGTATTACTTTACATTTATTTCGGGGTAATTAATTCAGGTTGGGAGAGGACGGAGGAAAAGATAAAATTGAAAGTAGGTGATGTGTTTGAACACCCAAAAGATTTATACTTCTGATATATTGGAACTGAATTAATGATACTTATACAAACAAAACAAAGTACATTAAAAACAAGGCAATTATTAACTACAGGGAATATAAAATGTAAAATAATCATAATAGCAAAGAATTGTATAGCATTTACTACGTGGCTGGCACTGTTCTAATATACATAAAACATCTAGGGAACTTTATAACTCTTAGGTACAATATGAGGAAAAAATACTGAGGTTCTGGGCTCAGGTGGAGGCTGAATAGACTATGCACTTGGTAGCCTCCTGACCTCAAGCAAGTCACTTCAACTGGCAGGGACTGTTCCCTGAAGGATAGTAGAGCTGATGTGAGGATTAAACAAGCTATTGCATGTAAAGTGCTCAATACGATGCCTACCCTACTCGAAGTCCCAATGCATATGAGCTATTAAGAATGAGATACTGGCCGGGCATGGTGGCTCACGCCTATAATCCCAACACTTTGGGAAGCCGAGGCAGTTGGATCACTTGGGGTCAGGAGTTCGAGACCAGCTTGGCCAACATGGGGAAACCCCGTCTCTACTAAAAATACAAAAAAATTAGCCGGGCATGGTGGTGCATGCCTGGACTCCTAGCTACTCAGGAGGCTGAGGCAGGAGAATCGCTTGAACCCAGGAGGTGAAGGTTACAGTGAGCTGAGATCGCACCCACTGCACTCCAGCCCGGGAGACAGAGTCTCCAAAAAAAAAAAAAAAGGAGGTACTATTTTCTTTCTTTTTTTTTTTTTGAGACAGTCTCGCTCTGTCACCCAGGCTGGAGGGCAGTGGCACAATTTCGGCTCACCGCAACCTCCCCCTCCTGGGTTCAAGTGATTCTCGAGCCTTAGCCTCCTGAGTAGCTGGGACTACAGCTGCATGCCACCATACCCAGCTAATTTGTTATATTTTTAGTAGATTTAGTAGATACAGGGTTTCACCATGTTGGCCAGGCCGGTCTTGAACTCCTGACCTCAGGTGAGCCACCCACCTCAGCCTCCCTAAGTGCTGGGATTACAGGTGTGTGGGCGGCAAGCCACCCAGCTGCTGAGGCGAGAGACTGAAGGCACAAGCTGTTCCAGTATAATAAAGAAAATCCTTAAAATAAGAATAGGTATATTAGACATAGAATATAGACATGATTTTATATGAATATTATCAATCATTACTTTGTAGCATTACTCTTTATCCCAATATTATAATAATATCTGCTCTACAATTATAACCTAGGAAAAACCAGGCCATACAGAGATAGGAGCTGAAGGGACACGGTGAGAAGTGACCAGAAGACAAGAGTGTGAGCCCTCTGTCACACCCGGACAGGGCCACTAAAGGGCGGTAACGGCAGTGCCCAGGAAGGCACCCGTTACTTAGCGACCTTGGCCTAGCAGTAGCGCCAGTGCCTGGGAAGGCACCCATTACCCATTACTTAGCAGACCGGGAACGGTAGTCTCCCTTTCCCCTGGGGAGTTAGAGAAGACTCTGCTCCACCACCTCTTGTGGAAGGCCTGACATCAGTCAAGCCTGCCTGTAGCCATCCGGAGGCCTAAACGTCTCCCTGTGATGCTGTGCTTCAGCGGTCATGCTCCTGGTCCACTTTCATGTTCCACTCTGTACACCTGGCTCTGCCTTCTAGATAGCAGTAGCAGAATTAGTGAGAATATTAAAGTCTTTGATCTCTCAGAGAAATGCATAGAAGAAATAATGACGTACGCTGTCCCCCCTCTCTCTCCGCCTTGGCTACCAAACAGGGAAGGGCCCCCCCGTCTGGTGGACACGTGACTCACATGACCGTTACCTATCATTGGAGATGACTGACACTCCTTACCCTGTCCCCTGGCCTTGTATACAATAAATAACAGCACAGCCAGGCATTCAGGGCCACTACCAGTCTCCGCATCTTGGTGGTAGTAGTCCCTGGGGCCCAGTTGCCTTTTTTTTTTTTTTTTTTTGAGATAGAGTCTCGCTCTGTCGCCCAGACTGGAGTAGAGTGGTGTGATCTCGGCTCACTGCAAGCTCCACCTCCCGGGTTCACGCCATTCTCCTGCCTCAGCCTCCTGAGTAGCTGGGACTACAGGCACCCGCCACCACGCCCGACTAATTTCTTTTTTTTTTTTTTTTTGAGACGGAGTCTCGCTCTGTCGCCCAGGCCGGACTGCGGACTGCAGTGGCGCAATCTCGGCTCACTGCAAACTCCGCTTCCCGGGTTCACGCCATTCTCCTGCCTCAGCCTCCCGAGTAGCTGGGACTACAGGCGCCCGCCACCGCGCCCGGCTAATTTTTTGTATTTTTAGTAGAGACGGGGTTTCACCTTGTTAGCCAGGATGGTCTCGATCTCCTGACCTCGTGATCCACCCGCCTCGGCCTCCCAAAGTGCTGGGATTACAGGCGTGAGCCACCGCGCCCGGCCGACTAATTTCTTTTTGTACTTTTAGTAGAGTCGGGGTTTCACCGTGTTAGCCAGGATGGCTATGATCTCCTGACCTTGTGATCCGCCCACCTTGGCTTGCCAAAGTGCTGGGATTACAGGCGTGAGCCACCGCGCCCAGCCCAGCTATCTTTTCTTCTATCTCTTTGTCTTGTGTCTTTATTTCTACAATCTCTGGTCTCCACACACGTGGAGTAAAACCCACAGGCCCTGTAGGGCTGGTCCCTACACAGGTGTGACCACCGCACCTGACCAATAACGAAGTACTTTTGTAGGTGTAGTGGCTCACGCCTGTAATCCCAACATTTTGGGAGGCTGAGGCAGGCAGATCACTTGAGTCCAGGAGTTCGACACCAGCCTGTACATCGTGGCAAAACCCTGTAGCTACAAACAAATACAAAAATTAGCCAAGTGTAGTGACACATGCCTATGGTCCCAGCTACTTGGGAGGCTGAGGTGGGAGGATCACCTGAACCTGAGGAAGTCAAGGCTGCAGTGAGTGGTGATCATGCCACTGCACTCCAGCCTGGGTAACAGAGTAAGACACTGTCTCAAAAAAAAAAAAAAAAAAAAGAGGTACTTTCACCCTGCTATATTATATTGCTGAGTGGGAAAACTCCAATAAATATAATTCCAAAGGATTTTTTTGGGGCTGGAGTAGCGGACATACAAGTACTTTTCGCAAAGCAAATATTAAAATATAGTGCCTGCATCAAAACTACAAGTTCAAGAAAAAAGAGTATATATATATATATATATATATATATATATTTTTTTTTTTTTTTTTTTTTTTCTTTTTTTGAGACGGAGTCTTGCGCTGTTGCCCAGGCTGGAGTGCAGTAGCGCGATCTCGGCTTACTGCAAGCTCCGCCTCCTGGGTTCACGCCATTCTCCTGCCTCAGCCTCCCAAGTAGCTGGGACTACAGACACCCATCACCACACCCGGCTAATTTTTTCTATTTTTAGTAGAGTTGGGGTTTCACTGTATTAGCCAAGATGGTCTCGATCTCCTGACCTTGTGATCTGCCCACCTCAGCCTCCCAAAGTGTTGGGATTACAGGCGTGAGCTACCGTGCCTGGCCTTAAATTTTTCTTAAATTTACTTTTATTTTTTATTTTTATTTATTTATTTATTTTTTTTTGAGACGGAGTCTTGCTCTGTCGCCCAGGCTGGAGTGCAATGGTGCTATCTTGGCTCACTGCAAGCTCCGCCTCCTGGGTTCACACCATTCTCCTGAATCAGCCTCCCAAGTACCTACAGGCGCCCGCCACCATGCCCGGCTAATTTTTTTGTATTTTCAGTAGAGATGGGGTTTCACTGTTAGCCAGGATGATCTCGATCTCCTGACCTCATGATCCGCCCACCTCGGCCTCCCATAGTGCTGGGATTACAGGCATGAGCCACCGCGCCCGGCCTATTTTTTTTGAGATGAGGTCTCGCTCTGTCACCCAGGCTGGAGTGCAGTGGTGCAATTGCGGCTCACTGCAACCTCCACCTCCCAGGTTCAAACAATTCTCTGCCCTAGCCTCCCGAGTAGCTGGTATTACAGGCGCTCAACACCACACCTGGCTAATTTTTTTGTATTTTTTAGTAGAGACGGGGTTTCACCATCTTGGCTGGTCTTGAACTCCTGACCTCGTGATCCACCCACCTTGGCCTCCCAAAGTGCCGGGATTACAGGCATGAGCCACCACACCAGGCCTAATTTATTTTGAGATGGTGTCTCACTCTGTCACCCAGGCTGGAGTGTGGTGGCACAATCTCGGCTCACTGCAACCTCCGCCTCCCAGGTTCAAGCAATTCTCCTGCCTCAGCCACCAGAATAGCTGGGATTACAGGTGCACACCACCATGCCCAGCTAATTTTTTGTATTTTTCATAGAGACAGGGTTTCACCATGACGGCCAAGCTGGTTTTGAACTCCTGACCTCAAGCGATCCGCCCGCCTCGGCCTGCCAAAGTGCTAGGATTACAGGCATGAGCCACATATTACATTTTTTTAATATCATATTCATTTTTCCAAGTCTCTGACATCCAATAATCCTCCTGGTGTTAATAAAACTTTCCTGTTACCATACACCGATTCTTTGTATCAGCACTGTCCATTGTAACTTTCTGCAATGGGAAATGTGCTGTATTTGCACAGTCCCATACCACAAGTACTAGCTTGTCACTCGTGACTACTTGAAATGTGGCTTGTACAACTGAAACTGAGTTTTTTGTTTGTTTTGAGATGGAGTCTCACTCTGTCACCTAGGCTGGAGTGCAGTGGCCTGTTATCAGCTCACTGCAACCTCCATCTCCCAGGTTCAAGTGATTTTCCTGCCTCAGACTCCCGAGTAGCTGGGATTACAGGCATGTACCACCATGCCCAGCTAATTTTTATATTTTTTTTTTGTTTTTTTTTCAGTAGAGACAGGGTTTCACCATGTTGGCCAGGCTGGTCTCAAACGCCTGACCTCAAGTGATCTGTCTGCCTTGGCCTCCCAAAGTGCTGGAATTACAGGTGTGAGCCACCACGCCTGGCGAAACTGAGTTTATTTCGTTTTAAATATATATTAATTGATTTTTTTTTTTTTTTTTGAGATGGAGTCTCGCTGTCGCCCAGGCTGGAGTGCAGTGGTGCAATCTCGGCTCACGGCAAGCTCTGCCTCCCGGGTTCATGCTATTCTCCTGCCTCAACCTCCTGAGTAGCTGGGACTACATGTGCCTGCCACCACGACCGGCTAATTTTTTGTATTTTTAGTAGAGAGGGGGTTTCACTGTATTAGCCAGGATGGTCTCGATCTCCTGACCTCATGATCCACCCACCTCGGTCTCCCAAAGTGCTGAGATTACAGGCACGAGCCACCACACCCGGACAATTGATTTCAATGTAAACAGCCACATGTGGCTAGTGACCACTGTATTGCACAAGTCAGCTGTGTGTGATTTTTGTGGGTCAAATGCTTGTGAAAATCTACAGTAATATGTTATCGTTAAGAATTACTGTGTAAGGCATGAAACCCTGTTTCTACTAAAAGTATAAAAATTAACCAGGCATAGTGGCGCATGACTGTAATCCCAACTACCTGGGAGGCTGAGGCGGGAGAATCACTGGAACCTGAGAGGCAGTTGCTGCAGTGAGCCAAGGTGGCGCCACTGCACTCCAGCCTGGGCTAAAAAAAGGCACTGTCTCAAAAAAAAAAAAAAAAAAAAAAGTGCTGGGTGTGGTGGGGCATGCCCTACTTTTTATTATTGTGCAAATAATGATGGTTAAATAAGTACATCAGTTGCTGAAAACAATACACAAGCGGCTCAGTAAGCCTTTTTTTTGAGATGGAGTCTCGCTTCTTCACCCAGGCTGGAGTGCAATGGCGCGATTTCAGTTCACTGCAACCTCCGCCTCCTGGGTTCAAGCGATTCTCCTGCCTTAGCCTCCCCAGTAGCTGGGATTACAGGCACGTGCCACCACGCCTGGCTAGTTTTTTAATTTTTAGTAGAGATGGGGTTTCACCATGTTGGCCAGGCTGGTCTCAAACTCCTGACCTCAAGTGATCCACCTACTTTGACCTCCCAAAGTGCTGGAATTACAGGCGTGAGCCACCGTGCTTGGCCTCAGTAAGCATTTCTAGAGATGGTACTGTGTTAAAAAATCTTGGTTTGGCCAGGCACAGTGGCTCATGCCTATTGTACCAGCACTTTGGGAGGTCAAGGCATGTGGATCACGAGGTTAAGAGATCCAGACCATCCTGGCCAACATGGTGAAACCCCGTCTCTACTAAAAATACAAAAATTAGCTGGCCATGGTGGCGCACGCCTGTAATCCCAGCTACTCGGGATTACTGAGGCAGGAGAATCACTTGAGCCTGGGAAGCGGAGGTTGCAGTGAGCTGAGATCACACCACTGCACTCCAGCCTGGGTAACAAGAGCGAAACTCAGTCTCTAAATAAATAAATTGCTGGGTGCGGTGGCTCATGCCTGTAATCTCAGCACTTTGGGAGGCTGAGGTGGGCGGATCAGGAGGTCAGGAGTTGGAGACCAGTCTGGCCAACATAGTGAAACCCCGTCTCTACTAAAAATACAAAAAAATTAGCCAGGCATGGTGGCACGCGCCTGTAGTCCCAGCTACTCGGGAGACTGAGGCAGGAGAATCGCTTGAACTTGGGAGGCGGAGGTTGCAGTGAGCCGAGATCATGCCACTGCACTCCAGCCTGGGCAACAGAGCGAGACTCCGCCTCAATAAATAAATAAATAATTTTAGAAATTAGCTGGGCTCGGTGGTGTGTGCCTGTAATTCCAGCTACTTCAGACGCTGAAGCAGAAGAATCACTTGAACCCGGGAGGTGGAGGTTGCAGCGAGCCGAGATCACACCATTGCACTCCAGCCTGGGCAAAGAAAGCGACTGTCTCAAAAAAAAAAAAAAAAAAATCGGCCAGGCGCGGTGGCTCACGCCTATAATCCCAGCACTTTGGGAGGCCGAGGCGGGCAGATCATCTGCGGTCAGGTGTTCGGGACCAGCCTGACCAACGGGGCAAGACCCTGTCTCTACTAAAAACACAAAAAAATTTAGCCAGGCATGGTGATGCATGCCTGTAATCCCAGCTACTTGGGAGGCTGAGGCAGAAGAATTGCTTGAACCTGGGAGGCGGAGGATACAGTGAGCCAAGATTGCGCCATTGCACTCTAGCCTGGGCCACGAGAAAAACTCTGTCTCAAAAAAAAAAAATTTTTTTTGGTTTGGTATTAAAAGATCCACCCTGCCTCTATTGTACTATGCAGCATTTAAAAATAATCCAGTGACTCCCAAAACAGAAATACCCAAACAAAATTCAAACAAAACTTTTCCTTACTTCTTGACAGATTTGAAGCCTTTGTTACAGTCACACTGACAGCTGGTTGGCACCTCAGGACATCTTGACATCACTTAAGTTGTAGCCTCAACACCAGGTTTATAGTTTATTCTGTCTTTCCCAGCAGTGCCTGGCACATAATATGTGCTCCCTTAAAAAGCAGGGAATGTGTAGAAAACAAGTGGCCTATTTTATAAAACTCTAAATTTATTCAAAATGTTAAAAGATTTTGTTCTCCCTCCAAAATATTTTACAATTAAAAAAATCAAAACTATATCCTATTTTCTCAGCCACTGTACAAGTTGCTGTTTCCATCTCAGGACTAGTCTCTGGCCCTCCAACACTCTGTCCCTCCCTCAATCCCCCACCTCCTTTCAATATTGCTGTTAAGTTTGTTTATAAAACCCTCCACCCTCTCTCCCCACCCCATACCCTGCTCTGCTCTGCCCAGAGTGGTGTCTCTTTGCGATTCCAGGCCGTTGGCTGCAGGTGAAGCCGAATGGATGGGTACGATGTACACAAGCAACACCTGAGGGGCAAGAGTATGCTTTGTGCTTCTGGGAGAATCACTTTTTTCTTGGTCAAGTGGAGGATCGTTCTTTTTTGTCCCATGGACACCTGTTCTGAGCCAAATATTTGGCTTATAGTTGCCCACAGCCATGTAGCTCTGCTTTTTTCTGCACGTTCCTCTGGGCGTGGGTCCGTGACAGATGGCTCTTATGACTGTACCATTTGTTTGCCTGTGGACTGTTAGGGACAGGAAAGGGGCACATGACTAGAATGGGGCTTGATGGAGCCCCAACTTCTCAGAGAGTGGGCACAAAACCCCAGGGGGGAAGTTTTGGTTTTCTAGTAGGCAAAGCCAGGGCCAACCAGGACCATGGAAGGTAGGGAAAAGGGGAGAAACGTCTAACCATATAGCTCTGAGTGAGCCATGTTCCTTTTGAAAACCCCCTGTCCATCCCCCCCTTTATTCTGTAGGTCCCAGGAAAATTCCAAAGAGGAGGAAGGAAAAGAGGAAAAGGATTCTGTTCTGCTGATGAGAAAAGGCAGGAACTGACACAGTGCTCAGGGCTGGGGAGAGGCCCGCTGCCATCTGCAGCTGTCACTGCTTCCCTGTTCTGTGAGGGAGGTTGTGCAGGACAGAAGCCAGGCCCTCAGAGGCTTCATCAGCTCTGTTCTTTGTCCTTGACTAATAAGACTGTATGCTGGCCCCCGCTGGACACAGATAAGACCACACGGTTCTCCAGCTGTTTGCCCATCATCTCCACAGGGCTCCAGGCGTCCTCATCCTGCCCTGTGCCCAGCTGGTAGTTGGTGCCCATGCCCCAGGCGAAAACACGACCTGCAAGAGAGAGAAATGGGTACAGCTGTCTCCAGGATCCCCAGCCCACCTTTCTGTAGCAGGAGAAACCTGGGACATGGGCGTGGACTGTGGCCTTGGCCAATAGCAGCTTGGCAAGGTACCAGACTCTGGGAGTTCAGGGAAGTTGGGAGAACCCAAGGAGATGATGGATAAAAAAGAACTCTGTAAACCAGAGAGCACAGTCCCTACACACTGCCAAAGGCTGCTCCTAGGCGTGGCATTCAAGGTCCTACCCCACCCTCTGTTCCCAGGACCAGCCACCTTTGAGACTGCCCTGATGTTCCTCTGCCTGGAATGGCATTCTTTGCTTTTCACAAGGAATGGAACCTTCAAGGTACAGTGCAAGCCCCACTTCCTGAGGAAGTCTTCCCAGATAACCTCAGGTCAAGCACCTCTGCCAGCTCCAGGCTTCTACAGGACCTCCATGGCTATCCCCCTCACCCACTCAGGCTTTGGTGGTCACTTGTTCACACCCTCCTCTGCTATAGTTGCTACAACTCTGACTACTAAGCCTTTTTTTTTCTTGATTTAGATTCTAAGTAAAAGTCCCTGGAAAGCGGGAACATACAAGGTGATATATGAAGGGGTCACCCTGAGGGGAGAGAGCAGCCTGGGTTAGGAGTCTGGAGACTTGGGTTCCAGTCCCATTGCCTCCTTAGGCCTCAGTGATATCTCACTCTTTGCTATTTCTCTCCTCTGCATAATAAGTCACCTTTACTAAAATAATTTGTGTACTCATTTCATATTCATCAATGCCAGAGCTTCTGAGAAGCAGGAACAAAGTGCCATCACAAACACTGCTCTCTGTACCTCGGCTCCCCCGAGAGTGGACATCACAGCCTATTGGGGAATTGGGTAAGAACCATGACCCCCAGGTCCCAACTAGACAGAGTGTAGGCAGCCCCACTCACCATCCTTGGTCACAGCATACCCCACAGAGGCCCCACAAGCCACCGAGGAGACAGCAGGCAGCCTGGAGATGAGGGTGGGTATGCTCTTCTCCTCAGCACCCTCTCCAAGGCCCAGCCGCCCATACTCAGCCCGGCCCAGGCTGTATGCTTTTCCTATGGGAGGAGGGAGAGAGATGAGCAATAGCAGAGGGCGTGCTACAGGCAAAATGGGTGGCAGGCTAGGTGAGTCCACCTGTCCATGGGAGTGTGTCCCTGCTCCCAGAGCGATCAGAAGGAGATCTGCAGTGTCTCTTCCCAGTTTTGGAGGAGGCCTAGGAGAATCTACATGGGCCCCCATTGAACTCACACTTGGAAGAACACCAGGACTCTAGGAGGATGAGAGTGACTCTCATGGACCCATGTATGGTACAACCCATGGAACAGACCCAGGCTCCAAGGACCATGGTCTCAGGAATCTGGCTAGGCCTAGGCCAGGGAACACTCCACCCCCAAACTAGAGAAGGACGTAAAGGCCCTACCTTCCGAATCCATGCAGACTGTATGGTGCTGGCCACCAGAGAAGCCCACCCAGGACTTGGTGGAATTCTTGAAGGATGTTAGGTTCTGGGGTATGAAGCAAGATTCTGTGCCCGGAGTTCCTGGGGGAAAGGCCGGAGCCATCAGGGGTGAAGGTGTTCTGAGAGCTGCCCTTCTCAATCTCCTCCCACAGTGAGGCCACCTCCCATCAGGATATGGACATTCTCACTTTACAGATGACAAAACTGGCTTGGAGGGGTTAGACGACCCCGCAAAGGATGCACAATGAATGAGTGGCAGAGCCAGGACAGGAACGCAGGCCACTGGGTCATGCCTGAAGCTGGGCTCGGGGCTCACCAAGCTGATGGTAGTTGGAGAGGCCGAAGCCGTACACGTGGCCCTCATGGGAGATGGCAAAGGTGAAATAGGCACCACAAAAGGCATCCTGGAATCTCACGTGGCCCCGGCTTCCCCTGGATTTCAGCATCACACACTTGGGGACCAGGAGTCGTTCTGCAGGCAAAGGGAAAGCCACGGTCAGTGACAGACAGACACACATGGCTTCTCTCTGCCCCGAGTTTAATTCTCCTCCATTATAAAAGCCCTTGAGAGGCTAAGTAGGGACTCTTATCCCTATTTTATAGAAAAGGAAACTGAGATCAAGAGAATACAAGTGCCTTGCTCAGATTCCCACAGTCATTACGGGTATCATTTACGTGGAACTTACCATCTGCCTGATATTCTTCTCATTAACTCATTTAACTTCACAGCAACCTAATGAAGTAGGTTTACAGGTAGGTAGACTTAGTGATGAAGAAACTATGTTCAGAGTCCCATAGACAGTAGGTGGCAAAACTACCAGAGCAGTCTGTCTCCAAAGTCCTAACCAACACCACAAGCCCATCTGATGCAAGCCTGACCACAGCAAATCCTTCCTGCCTTTGGCCTTCACTGTGGGGGTGGCCTGCCAATTTGCCCTGCTGGAGGTACCAAGGCCACTTACCGAGGCCTTGCCGGCCACCACGGTTGGCAAATAACTCAGGCACACGGCCTAGCTGGCCCTGTTCCCCGCAGCCCAAGGTGTAGAGGTCACCATCAGCTGTCAGCATCACCAAGTGGTCGTTTCCTAAGGATGAAAAGGTAAGGGATGCAGGCCACAACTGTAAGGCCCAAGGCTAGGCCAGCCCCAGAACAAGGTCCTCCAACTCCTGCCCTGAGCAAGTGCCCCCAGACCCACCTGAGGCCACCTTTACCACAGGCACATCCAGCTGCACCTGCACAGGCACCATGCTCTTCTTCATGGGCTCCAACAGTCCAATCACACCGTTATTGTCCTAGAAGGGAGGGACAGGGCACTTATCAGCCAGTCCTGCCTGCCCCGTGCCAGTGAAATCCAGAAGGGCAGTGGCACCAGATGGGGATGGAGAAGTGGGCAGGAGCCAGGCCACATACTCAAATACTTATGAATGAAATCATTTATGGTCTGCGACTTGCATTAAAATAATCAAGGAGTCAGAGAGCGGATGCAAATAGAGATAAACAAGTCTGGCCACAAGCTGATAATCATTGAAACTGTGTGGCAAGTAAATGGGCACTCAATATACTATTCTGGGCCAGGCATGGTAATTCATGCCAGTAATCCTAGCACTTTGGTAGGCCCAGGTGGGCAGATCGCTTGAGCTCAGGACCAGCTTGGGCAACACGGTGAAACCCCGTCCCTACAAAAAATACAAAAATTAGCTGGGCGTGGTGGCACAAGCCTCTAGTACCAGCTACTTGCGAGGCTGAGGTGGAAGAAATCACCTGAGCCCAGGAAGTTGAGGCTGTAATGAGCTAAGACGATGCCATTGCACTCTGGCCTGGGTGACAGAGCAGGATCTCGTCTCTAATTAAAAAAGAAAAGAGGCCGGGCGCGGTGGCTCATGCCTGTAATCCCAGCACTTTGGGAGGCCAAGGCGGGCGATCACGAGGTCAGGAGATCGAGACCATTCCGGCTAACACGGTGAAATGCCGTCTCTACCAAAAAATACAAAAAATTAGCCGGGCGTTGTAGCGGGCGCCTGTAGTCCCAGCTACTCGGGAGACAGAGGCAGGAGAATGGCGTGAATCAGGGAGGCAGAGCTTGCAGTGAGCCGAGATCGCGCCACTGCACTCCAGCCTGGGCGACAAAGCGAGACTCCGTCTCAAAACAAAGAAAAAAGAAAAGAGGCCAGACGTGGCGGCTCAAGCCTGCAATCCAGCACTCTGGGAGGCCCAGACGGGCGGATCACCTGAGATCAGAAATTCACAACCAGCCTGGCCAACATGGTGAAACCCCGTCTCTACTAAAAATACAAAAATTAACCAGGTGTGGTGGCGCATGCCTGTAATCCCAGCTACTCGGGAGGCTGAGGAAGGAGAATTGCTTGAGCCCGAGAGGCAGAGGTTGCACTGAGCCGAGATTGTGTCATTGCACTCCAACCTGGGTGATAGAGCAAGACTCTGTCTCAAAAAAAAAAAAAAAAAAAAAAAAAAAAAAAAAAAAAAAAAAAAAAAAAAGAAAAGAAAAGAAAAGAAAAAAATATAATTCTGATATTCTGATTACTTCCTTTTTTTTTTTTTTTTTTTTTTTTTGAGACAGAGTTTCGCTCTTGTTGCCCAGGCTGGAGTGCAATGGCGCGATCTCGGCTCACTGCAACCTCCGCCTCCCAGGTTCAAACAATTCTCCTGCCTCAGCCTCCCGAGTAGCTGGGATTACAGGCATGCACCACCATGTCCAGCTAATTTTGTAATTTTAATAGAGACAGGGTTTCTCCATGTTGGTCAGGCCGGTCTCGAACTCCCGACCCCTCAGGTGATCAGCCTGCTTCGGCCTCCCAAAGTGCTGGGATTACAAGCATGAGCTACTGCGCCCGGACTTCTTTTTTTTTTTTTGAGATGGAGTCTCGCTCTGTCCCCTAGGCTGGAGTGCAGTGGCGCGATCTTGGCTCACTGCAAGCTCCGCCTCCCGGGTTCAAGCCATTCTCCTGCCTCAGCCTCCCGAGTAGCTGGGACTACAGGCACCCGCCACCACGCTTGGCTAATTTTTTGTATTTTTAGTAGAGACGGGGTTTCACCATGTTAGCCAGTATGGTCTCGATCTCCTGACGTCGTGATCTGCCCATCTTGGCATCCCAAAGTGCTGGGATTACAGGCATGAGCCACCGCGCCCAGCCCAATTCTGATTACTTTCATGTGTTTGAAATTCTCCATGAAAATTTCAAAATAGATGTGATAAGGAAACACCCATCAGGCCGGGTGTGGTGGCCCACGCCTGTAATCCTAGCACTTTGGGAGGCTGAGGCGGGTGGATCACCTGGGGTCGGGAGTTCGAGACCAGCCTGACCAACAGGGGAAACCCCGTCTCTACTAAAAATACAAAATTAGCCAGGCGTGGTGGCGCATGCCTGTAATCCCAGCTACTTGGGAGGCTGAGGCAGGAGAATCACTTAAACTTGGGAGGCAGAGGTTGCAGTGAGCCAAGATTGCGCTATTGCACTCCAGCCTGGGCAACAAGAGTGAAACTCCATCTCAAAACAATACAAAAACAACAACAACAACAACAACAAAAACCCACAATCTGTTTTTTCAACTACACTCCTCTGTACCTTGGAAACTCTGAGATGCGACAATCCCTGCCTCCACACCTCCTTGCCCCATCCAAGCCTCTGGGAAGTGTGGAAGAGGCAGTGCTGGCAAGGTGAGGGGGAGACAGAAGTCAGGGAGATGGGTGAAGACAGCAGGCCTCCTGGATCAGCCTCAACCCAGGGACATCCTTGACCCACTCACTTCCCAGGACAGACACTTGATGACATCGGATTCAAGGAAGCAGCCAGTGGCGTGGACAGGCCCACATGAGGAAGCTAGAGTCCTGGGTCTGGGCCTCAGCTCTACCTGTGGGCTTTCATCTCCCCACCAGTAAGTACCATGGGGGCATGGAAGTGGATTATCTTTGGGGCCCCGCCAATTAATTCTGTCTTTCAGGGACCATGCAGACTTTCAGACCCAGCCTTACCCGGAAGGAGCCCCAGAGGAAGACACGGCCATCATCGGTGAGGGCTGCTGTGTGACTGTCTCCTGCTGACACCTGTACCACCTTCTCTTGCAGCTCCACTTTCCCAGGGACCATCTCCGAGCCCTCCACTGATGTGTCCCTTCCCAGGGCACCCTCATCATTGCAGCCGAAGGAATAGACCTGTGCCCAGGATGCCCTCATTAATGCAACGTCTGGCCTCGCAGTCCATTCTCATGTAGGCCACTCCCCACTTGACTAGCCAGCTCCATTTCCACAGTGAACATGCGTGGTTCAAAAGCCCTGCCCCAAGCCACCCAACCCCAGGCCTTGTCCAACCCTGTGCCAGTCCCCAACACCTACCTGGCCACTTTTGCTTAGACACACGGTGTGCATGCCCCCAGCCTCAGCCTGCACAACATCCTCCGGAATGGATACCAGGGCCGGCTTCTTCCTCTCCATCACATTCTCACCCAGCCCCAGCTGGCCCACGTCGCCCTGGCCTAGTGTCAGCACCAAGCCGGGTTCTGTGCTGTGGGACCTGTGTGAGACTGAAGGGTGAAGAAGATAGACCCTGAGTGTAGAGGATGACGACAGCGAGGAGAGGTCACAGGCTCTGGGATCAGACAAACCTGTGCAGAAGCCCCTGCTCTGCCACAGACTGTTAGTATGAACTTTCTAAGTTTTGTCATCTGTGAAATGGGGACAACAAAAGTACCTCTCTCACAGGATTTTTGTGGAGATTAAGAACTGAGCACATTATTCACGTGAAAGGGGAGAAAGGGAAACAAGGAGACACTGGATACTGTGAAATGAATCTTGGTGGAGAGGGCAAGAAGGGCTGGGTGCGGTGGCTCACACCTGTAATCCTAGCACTGTGGGAGGCCAAGGCGGGCGGATCACTTGAGGTCAGGAGTTAAGAGACCAGCCTTGCCAACAGTAGCCTGTAATCTCAGCTACTCAGGAGGCTGAGGCAGGAGAATCACTTGAACCTGGGAGGCGGAGGTGGCAGTGAGCCAAGATCGTGCCACTGCCGCCTCCAGTCTGGGCGACAGAGTGATACTTGATCTCAAAAAAAAAAAAAAAAAGAAAAAGAAAAGAAAGCTAATTATTGTTATTGTTATTTTGAGACGGAGTCTCCCTTTGTCGCCAGTCTGGAGTGCAGTGGTGGATCTTGGCTAATTGCAACCTCTGCCTCCCGGGTTCAAGCGATTCCTCTGCCTCAGCCTCCTGAGTAGCTGGGACTACAGGCGCGCGCCACCGCGCAAGGCTAATTTTTTGTATTTTAGTAGAGACGGGGTTTCACCGTGTTAGCCAGGATGGTCTCGATCTTCTGACAGGCGTGAGCCACCTTGCCCCGCAGAAAGCTAATTATAATAGCAGAATCTGCACCGAAAGCAAGGGAGACTACGTGGGTCAGAGAACAATCCCCAGTCTCCATCCAAGCCCTCCTCCATGCCCAAGCCGTCCGCCAGTGAATAAGTTCAGCTCCCGGGCAAATCCACTGCAGAAACGGACTCTTCCCTCCACCATCCAGTGGAGAGGCAGGAGGGGCGGGAGGAAGAGCGGACAGCGGCATTTGCGGGAGGTGCGCGCCCGGGGCTCTCTGTGGGCCAAAGGCGGCCCCCCAACCCGCAGCCCCGGGCAGCCAATGGCGCCCAGCCCCTCCCCCGAGGATGTGGCCACCGCTGAGGAGCCCGCGCTGGCAGCACAGAGGGCGCCCCGGGCGCGGAGCCACCTGGTCGGGTTTTCTGGTCAGGAGGGCTCGGCCCGCAGGCACCTTGGCAGGAGCGGGCGCCAGGAACGCGGCGGGAGGCAGCGGCCCTCGTGTCTGCAAAAGACAGACACTGTCTGAGCGTGGGTCCACACTTCCCCTCCCAGTTTGGTGCTGGCTTTTCTCTCCTCCCTGTCCCCCTCCGGGGTCCCAGGACAGAGGAAACCACAGCCACCTCCCTCAAATGCTGCCAGGCCATTATCTCATCTCATCCTCACACAGCCCAGAGAGGGTGACGCTGCTCTGGCTGCCGCCATTTTAAGAAGTTGATAATCCAAACTGCGGGATTAAGTGACTTGCCCAGCAGCTAGAAAGTGGCAGAGCAAGGACTTGAACCCATGTCGGAAAGTCAGTGGTCCTAACCATAATGCATCACTGCCTGGGGTGAAGCCCTAGGGTCTAGTTTTTTTTTTTTTTTTTTTGTGCCAGTGCTGCCTGAGTGCTTTGAGAGGAGTTTCTGCCCACTTTGTGATTCCCAGAGGGTAGGATTCAATGAGCTACAGGAAACCTTCCAGCTGGGTGGGGTCTCTGCACATCCACACCCTTCAGCTTCAAGCCTCAGGAAGAAAGGAGCCCAGTCCCGGGTTCTTAGGGTTTCAAGGGGCCACCTGTACCCACAAAGAGGCCAAGGCCAACTTACCCTTCACCTTCTTGCTTTTGGGGATGGCATCTGCTGGGGGGGACCTTCTTTTAGCTATGCGCTTGGGTGACATCTTCCTGTCCTGAAAGTCAGTCAAATACTACATATGAGAAATGGCAAACATTTTCCTGGGCCAATCAGACAATATTTATCAAACACTCTAGAAATACGTTAAGAGGAATTGCCCAACAATTCCACTTCTCAAAATGTATCCCAAGAACAGAATAATGGATGCACCCACAGATTAATTACACAAATATTCTCTACTGTATCCTTCATAACATTTTAAAAACAACAAAAACAGAACCCGAATGTTCAATAGTAGTGAACTAAATATGTGGTATATTCATGATAGAACAGTATGAAGCCATCAAAAGTGATGTTTTCAGAGATCAATCTATTGAATAGAAAGATGTTCCCCATTGCCAAGTAAAACAAGCAGAATGAAAAACAGACGGCCAGGTGTGGTGGCTCACATCTGTAATCCCAACACTGTGGGAGGCCGGGGCGGGCGGATTACCTGAGATCAGGAGTTCCAAACCAGCCTGGCCAACATGGCAAAACCCCGTCTCTACTAAAAATACAAAAATTAGCCAGGCACAGTGATGGGCACCTGTAATCCCAGCTACTCAGGAGGCTGAGGCAGGAGAATCGCTTGAACCCGCGAGGTGGAGGTTGTGGTGAGCCAAGATCGAGCCACTGCACTCCAGCCTGGGCAACAGAGCCAGACTGTCTCAAAAAAAAAAAAAAAAAAAAAGCCTGGGCGCGGTGGCTCACGCCTGTAATCCCAGTACTTTGGCACTTTCGGAGGCCAAGGTGGGTGGATCACTTGAGGTCAGGAGTTCGAGACCAGCCTGGCCAACATGGTGAAACCCCGTCGCCACCAAAAAAAAAAAAAAAAATACAAAAATTAGCCAGGCATGGTGGTGTGCGACTGTAATCCCAGCTACTTGGGAGGCTGAGGCAGGAGAATTGCTTGAACCTAGGAGGTGGAGGTTGCGGTGAGCCAAGATCATGCCATTGCACTCAGCACTCCAGCCTGGGAGAAAGAGTAGTGAAACTCCACCCCCCAACCAAAAAAAAAAAAAAAAAAAAGGAAGAAAAACAGCCTATCATCCATTTTTTTTTTTTTTGGAAAAAAAATGCATACACAAAAAATATGTGAGAAAAATGTGGGGAAGAAAATATATCCCATATTAACAATGGTAACCTCGGAAAATGGTATTATAGATAATCATTACTTGTTTCGTTTTATCTTCCTATATTATCTAAGATGTTTAACAAGGAGCATTACATGTATTTTTCTGTTTTTTGAGACGGAGTCTCACTCTGTCGCCAGGCTGGAGCGCACAGGCATGATCTCAGCTCACTGCAACCTCCACCTCCCGGGTTGAAGCAATTCTTGTGCCTCAGCCTTCCGAGTAGCTGAGATTACAGGTGTGCATCACCATGCCCTGCTAAGTTTTGTTTTGTTTTTGTTTTTTTGAAATGGAGTCTCGTTCTGTCACCCAGGCTAGAGTGCAATGGTGCGATCTCGGCTCATGCAACCTCTGCCTCCTGGGTTCAAGTGATTCTCCTGCCTCAGCCTCTCGAGTAGCTGGGATTACAGGCACCCACCACCACACCCAGCTAATTTTTGTATTTTTAGTAGAGACGAGGTTTCACCAGTTTGGCCAGGCTGGTCTCGAACTCCTGATCTCAGTGATCCACCCCGCCTTGGCCTCCCAAAGTGCTGGAATTATAGGCGTGAGCCACTGTGCCCAGCCCAAATTTTGTATTTTTAGTAGAGACGGGGTTTCACCATGTTGGCCAGGCTGGTCCCAAACTCCTAATCTCAAGTAATCCACCTGCCTCAGCCTCCCGAAGTCCTGGGATTACAGGCGTGAGCCACTGCGTACAGCCGATTACATGTTTTTTTTTTTTTTTTTTTGAAGCAGAGTTTTGTTCTTATTGCCCAGGCTGGAGTGCCATGGCGCAATCTCGGCTCACCACAACCTCTACCTCCCAGGTTCAAGTGATTCTCCTGCCTCAGCCTCTGGAGTAGCTAGGATTACAGGCATGTGCCACCACGCCCGGCTTATTTTGTATTTTTAGTAGAGATGGGGTTTCTCCATGTTGGTCCCGCTGGTCTTGAACTCCTGACCTCAGATGATCCACCCACCTTGGCCTCCCAAAGTGCGGGATTACAGGCGTGAGCCATCGTGCCTGGCCACATGTATTTAAAAAATTTTTAAGTCTGTTGTAAAAAATTAAAACATTGAAGAACAACATTAAATGAAATATCCATCATAACTCCATTCAACCCCATGTAAGCACCAGTAACTTTGGTAATGTGTTGTTATAATCAGAGGGGGAGAAGAGCTATTTTCTTTTCTTATTTAATTGATTGATTTTTTTTAGAGACAAGGTGCCACCACACCTGTAATCCTAGCACTTTGGGAAGTCGAGGCAGGAGGATCGCTTGAGCCCAGGAGTTCAAGACCAGCGTGGGCAACATGGCGAAACCCCATTTCTATCCAAAAAATTACAAAAATTAGCCGGGCATGGTGGTGCACGCCTGAAGTCCTGGCTACTCAGGAGGCTGAGGTGGGAGGATGGCGTGAGCCTGGGAGGCTGAGGCTAAATTGAGCTGAGATTGTGCCACTGTACTTTAGCCTGGGCGAAAGAGACAGACACTGTCTCAAAAAAACAAAAACACACATGCACTGAAGATCGCGGCTGCTGTGGGAAGGTTACTCTGAGCATCAGTTGCCCGGCATGTGAGTGCCATTCCTTGGGGGCATTTCTGCCACTGCAGCCCTCAGGCCTGCTGCTTCTGGAAGAACAAGTTTGACAAACATATTGTGGTCTGGTTCCGGTCAAGCAAAATTCTGGTACCAGTTCCTCATACCATGCACCTGATGTCACCCAGCATGCGCCCTATTTTAAGGGTACAGCCGTGGTCAATGGAGAGTTCAAAGACCTAAGCCTTGATGACTTTGAGGGGAAATATTTGGTGCTTTTCTTCTATCCTTTGGATTTCTTTCTTTTTTTTTTTTTTTCCGAGACGGAGTCTTGCTGTGTCACCCAGGCTGGAGTGCAGTGGCACGATCTCGGCTCACTGCAACCTCCCCCTCCTGGGTTCAAGCCAATTCTCCTGCCTCAGCCTCCTGAGTACCTGGAATTACAGGCGCCTGCCACGACGCCTGGCTAATTTTTGTATTTTTAGTAGAGATGGGATTTCACCATGTTGGTGAGGCTGGTCTTGAACTCCTGAACTCAGGTGATCCACCCACCTCAGCCTCCCAAAGTGCTGGGATTACAGGTGTGAGCCACCGCGCCCAGCCCTATCCTTTGGATTTCACCTTTGTGTGTCCTACAGAAATTGTTGCTTCTAGTGACAAAGCTAAGGAATTTCACGATGTGAACTTTGAAGTTGTTGCAGTCTCAGTGGATTCCCACTTTAGCCGTCTTGCCTGGATAAATACACCAAGAAAGAATGGTGCTTTGGGCCACATAAACATCGCACCCTTGTCAGATTTAACTAAGCGAATTTCTCGAGACTTCGGTGTGCTGTTAGAAGGTCCTGGTCTTGCACTAAGAGGTCTCTTCATAATTGACCCCAATGGAGTCATCAAGTACTTGTTTTTGTTTGTTTGTTTGTTTGTTTTTTTGAGACAGCATCTCACTCTCTGTTGCCCAGGCTCAAGTGCAGTGGCACAATCACGGCTCATTGCAGGTTTGACCTCTTGAGCTCAGGTGATCCTCCCACCTCAGCCTCTAGAATAGCTGGGACTACAAGTGCGCATCACAGTGTCCAGCTAATTTTTATATATTTTGTAGAGACAGGGTTTTGCCAAGTTGCCCAGGCTGGTCTAGAACTCCTGGGCTCAAGCGATCTACCCGCCTCAGCCTCCCAAAGTGCTGGGATTACAACAGCTGTGAGCCACCATGCCCGGCCGGAGCCACAGTCTTTAAGGTCATGAAAAACAATCAAGTTGTCTAAGCCTCTACCTAATGTTACGAAGGGAAGGAGAACTCCAAGAGCCCTTCTCGGTCTCAGCTCTGGGCCTAACCAGCAGCCCCCTCATTCCTTCCTTCTAGTGGTTCCCGAGAACCTCGCCTCTCTAGCTCTCCCCTCCATGGTATATGGACACAAGGCCAGGCACTTTTCTGCTGATTATCCTGGGGAAGGAGAACTAAATACTAAAGATGGGAAAGTAACCAAAGGTCTAGAATCCTGATAAGCCTTTGCAGGCTGAGCTTCTGCAGGTTGTCACTGGCCCAGTTCTGACTGATGAGGTGGCAGTTCTGAACTTCACCCAACTTTTATTCTCCCAGGGCTGAGAATCCTCCCACCTGTCTTTTGAGACCCCTTGTCCCACACTAAAAAGTGCACATTCTTTGGGATTAGAGGGAACTGGGTTCACCTTCCAGAGCTTGTGGCTGGCCAGTTGCCTTAACCTCTCTGAACTGTATCCTCATCTATAAAAGGGGATGCAATGACTACTTCTCAGGGCTGTCATCAAGACTGAATGAAATGGTTGTAAATCCACAAATATTTATAGTGCTTTACTACTAAGGGAGGAGACCACCCCTCATATTGTCTTATGCCCAATTTCTGCCTCCAAAGAAGTAAAAACTAAAAGGCAGAAATGAAATCCACAGGCAGACAGCCTGGCGCCGCGACCTGTGTCTGGTTAAAGATCGACCCCTGACCTAACCGGTTATGTTATCTATAGATTCCAGACATCGTATGGAAAAGCACTGTGAAAATCCCTGTCCTGTTCTGTTCCGTTCTGATAACCAGTGCATGCAGCCCCCAGTCACATATCCCCTGCTTGCTCAATCAATCACGACCTCTTCATGCAGACCCCCTTAGAGTTGTAAGCCCTTAAAAGGGACAGGAACTGCTCACTCGGGGAGCTCAGTTTTTGGAGACGTGAATCTTGCCAAAGCTCCCAGCTGAATAAAGCCCTTCCTTCTTTAACTGGGTGTCTGGGGGGTTTTGTCTGCGGCTTATCCTGCTACACTACTGCTTGGCTTTGGGTGAGGAGGTGTAGCAAGGATAAAGGAGACTAACCCTTTTTTACTCTCATAATTTGTTCATCCTTTGTATTTATTTTTGAGACAGGGTCCTGCCCAGACTTGAGTGCAGTGGCATGGTCATGGCTCACTGCAGCCTCAACCACCCGGGCTTGAGCCATCCTGGATAGCTGGGACTACAGGTGTGCACCACCACGCCCGGCTAATTTTTGTATATTTTGCAGAAACAACGTCTTGCCATGTTGCCCAGGCTGGTCCCGAACTCCTGGGCTCAAGCGATTCTCTAGCCTTGGACTCCCAAAGTGCTGGGATTATAGGTGTAAGCCACCATGCCTGGCCTTTTATTTTATTTTTTTAAGAGAGGGGGTCTCACTCTGTCACCTAGGCTGGAGTGCAGTGGTGCAATTAGCTTATTGCAGCCTCGAACTCATGGACTCAAGCGATCTTCCCACCTCAGCTTCCCAAGAGCCTGGGATCATGGGCACGTGCCACAGCACTTGGCTTGATTTGTTCATCCTAAAAAAGTCCAGAGGATTCTTGGCAGGCCTGCCCAAGATCCCCCTATGAGCTTGGCCAAACACAAAGACTCCCAGGCTTGGGCTTAAATGACCAGGTAGATGGTAGACTTCCATGTAGTGAGATAGAGAACACTGTTGAACAAACAGGAGAGAAGAGACGTGAAGCTCCATGTTGCTAGGTGTTTTCATTCAATCTGAAGTGCTTGGGAGCCATCCCAGAAAGGATGTCAGGCAGGCAAAGTTAGATGGGGTAGGGATGTGGGATATAAGAGGCATCTTTGTGGCCGGGCACGGTGGCTCACGCCTGTAATCCCAGCAGATTGGGAGGCCAAGGCGGGTGGATCACCTGAGGTCAGGAGTTCGAGACCAGCCTGACCAACGTGGAGGAACCCCATCTCTACTAAAAATACAAAATTAGCCAGGCGTGGTGACGCGTGCTGTAATCCCAGCTACTCGGGAGGCTGAGGCAGGAGAATCGCTTGAACCCAGGAAGTGGAGGTTGTGGTAAGCCGAGTTTGCACCATTGCACTCCAGCCTGGGCAACAAGAGTGAAACTCTGTCCCTCCACCAAAAAAAGAGGCACCCTTGTTTTAGATAGACAGCTGTATGCCAAGGCAAACATCTCATCAGTTCATCAGAATAATCTGTAGCAGTCTGCTGTGCCTGGGAGGGAGACTGTATTAGCATGAAAAGTACTCACAATAAGAAGTCAGGAGAAAAAGCAGGAAACAATTATGTCAGCACAGTTGGTGCTGATGGCTGGGCTGCCATGAGCACAGCCCGGAATGGAGTCAGACACATAAGGGCTATATGAAGTGTTGGTGTCATGGGGCATTAACCAAAAAATCTGTTATCATGGATGGAACAAACCCAGTCAACATCTCCTTAGTTGTGTTTGGCTAATATTCTGGAGCGTTTCACTACAAGCTGGCCACAATGATCCCACTCTACAGAGAAGAAAACTGAGGCTCAGAAAGGTGAAGTATCTCACTCAAGATTGGAAGAGAAGGCCAAGATCTGAACCAAGTTAGTCAGACTCCAGAGCTGGCGTCCTTGAGTGTTATTAGAAATTTCTTCTGGCCGGGCGCGGTGGCTCACGCCTGTAATCCCAGCACTTTGGGAGGCCGAGGCGGGCGGATCATGAGGTCAGGAGATCGAGACCACGGTGAAACCCCGTCTCTACTAAAAATACAAAAAATTAGACAGGCGTGGTGGCGGGCGCTTGTAGTCCTAGCTACTCGGGAGGCTGAGGCAGGAAAATGGCGTGAACCCGGGAGGCAGAGCTTGCAGTGAGTCGAGATCACGCCACTGCACTCCAGCCTGGGTGACAGAGCAAGACTCCGTCTCAAAAAAAAAAAAAAAAAAAAAAGAAATTTCTTCTGCCTCCTTCCTCCCCATGCTCCCTAGTAGTCTCTCAGCTTGCCTGGAACTGTGTCTCCTCCTCCTTTCCCTAGGAAAGACAGCAACTTTTCACTGGTCTTCCGGTCCCCACCCTCATCCCCTCCTCTCATTCTCCAAGTCATTCGTGATCAATAAATATGTGTGTGTGTATATATATACATATATATATTTATTTTTTTTTGAGACAGGGTTTCACTCTGTTGCCCAGGCTGTAGTGCAGCAGCACGTACACGGCTCACTGCAACCTCCACCTCCTAGGCTCAAGCGACCCTCCTGCCTCAGCCTCCAGAGTAGCTGGGACTACAGGCATGTACCACCACGCTTGGCTAATTTGTAATTTTTTTTTTTCTTGTAGAGACAAGGTCTCACTATGTTGCCCAGGCTGGTCTCAAACTCCCGGGCTCAAGTGATCCTCCCACCTCGACCTCCCAAAGTACTGGGATTATAGGCGTGAGGTACCATGCCCGGCCTCATTCATGATCTTTCCAAACCTCAAACCTGAAGCAAGCTGCTGGCCTGCTTGGACTCCTTAGTGGTCCCCTTTTCCTGGAAGATAAAGCCCACATTTCTTAGCTGGGTATTAGAGGTCTCCAACATCGGGTACTGACAGAACCTTTAGCTTCATTTCCTATCTATCACATCCTCCCTTCTCTTCCCACACAATCTCCTTGCCAGACCCACCAGGCCAGAATGCTAACTGTCCTCTCCATACTATTTGCATCTCTTTACCTGGAACGCCTTCCCATCCCTTATCCCACTGGAAGAACATCTACTGGTGTCTCAAAGTCACCTCCTCTGATCCCTCCTCCATCCTGAACTAGTCATTCTCTCTGAGAAACTGGGACAGACTTTTGGATCACAATCACTTTAATTTACATGCCTGTCCACCATACCAATCAACTTCCTAAAATATGAGCCCCTGGGGGCACCGGCTAACTCACTGTATCTTCCATATGCAAAACCCTTTTATTCCTCACAGGAAGCTGAAGAAGGCAGCACTGTCACTCCTATTTCACAGTTAAGGAACTGAGGCTCAGAAAGATAACTTTATCGGCCTAAGTTCACAGAGCAAGTAAAGGGCAGCCTAGAAAAGCAACCCAGGCCTATCTGACTGATTCTGAAGGCAGACCTTGGTCCAGGCAGGGGCTAAGGCAGTCTGGGCAGGCCTCCCCAGTATCCCCTATGCACTTGGCCAAGTCCAAGAAGCAGAGAGCAGAAGCCAGCTGAGGAGAGGATGGTGAGACCAGAGAGGAGACAATGAGGCAGCTAGAGCCTGAGGGAAGGTGGGGTGGGTGGTGACAGATCCACCCACAGATGTGGGGAAGGACAGTGGCGACAACTCCCTGCTGCGGTGGAGACGGCACCTGAGTGCTCTTTGAGTCCCAGAGGCTTCCTCTCCAAAATGGAAGACTTGAGGCCCTGCACTGGGCTGGCAATCGCCAGGGAAGGGCAGGGGATGGAGGGCCACCTTCTTTTTTTTTTTTTTTTTTTTTTCTGAGGTGGAGTCTCGCTCTGTCGCCCAGTCTGGAGGCAATGGCGCGATATCGGCTCACTGCAAGCTCCGCCTCCCAGGTTCACGCCATTCTCCTGCCTCAGCCTCCCGAGTAGCTGGGACTACAGGCGCCTGCCACCACACCCAGCTAATTTTTTGTATTTTTAGTAGAGACGGGGTTTCACCGTGTTAGCCAGGATGGTCTCGATCTCCTGACCTCATGATCCACCCACCTCGGCCTCCCAAAGTGCTGGGATTACAGGCGTGAGCCACTGCTCCCGGCCAGAGGACCACCTTCTAAAAGGTGGAGCCCTGTTCCCGGTACCTGCCTGCACAGCCTCTACTGCACAAATGGGTCTTGTATACAGACTTCTCTCACTGCTCTGGGTGTGTTTTCCTTTATTTGCTTTTCTTTTCTTCTTTTTGAGATGGAGCCTCACTCTGTTGCCCAAGCTGGAGTTCAGACTCACGATCTCAGCTCACTGCAACCTCCGCCTCCCAGGTTCAAGCGATTCTCCCGCCTCAGCCTCCCTAGTGCTGGGACTACAGGCGCAAGCCACCACGCCTGGCTAACTGCTTGGTATTTTTAGTAAAGACGGGGTTTCACCATGTCGGCCAGGCTGGTCTTGAACTCCTGACCTCAGGTGATCTGCCCACCTTGGCCTCCCAAATTGCTGGGGTTACAGTCGTGAGCCACCGAGCCCGGCCTCTCTGGCTGTTTTCTTAACCAGGCAGTGAGTGTCTGGGCTGGGAATAAGGAGTTGGCTTTTGGCATCATGCTTCCCCACCCCGCCCCACACAACACAGCTTCCATCTTCAAGGAGCATACAGTCTCTGGGAGAAGAGTGAGACAGTCACAGATAAGTCGGCTACAGAGTCAGCTTCCACCATCAGGCACTCCTGAATGCCCACAGCTGCCCTTTGAGGTGAGCAGACTCATCCCAGTTTTACAGCTAAGGGGAAGATGAGGCTCAGGGAAAGGTGACCCAGGTCACAGAGAGGTGGAATGAAATCCCAGTCTCATGACCATGCTCCACCAGAGCTGGAGCTGCCCTACCCCCACCTCACCTTCCTTATTTATTGAAGAAAGTGGGTAGGCACGCCAGTCTAGACAGTCTGCCCGGAGCCTGGTGCTCCTGCCCTGACCTCCAGTGACCTCACCACAGCCTCGATTTCTGTAAAAGGAGACAGAGCCCTCCCAGGCCACTGCAGCTGTGCCCTCCGTCCCCCACACCAGGAGGAAGAACTTGCCTGCCAGACTAAGGCTGAAAAATCTCTGTGTGTAAGGTCCCCAGGAGGGAAGGGAGGAGAGGGCTCATGTGTCAACAATATACATTTGGTGAGCTGCTGTTATGCCAGGCACACAGGTGGTATATTTCACACTAGGAGTTTCTCACCTGGGATCCCCGTTCTATACAACCTGTGCCTGGGCCTATGTGTTCATTTTTCCTGGGGGAAGGGACACACAACTTCACTGCTTTATGAAAATTATAGGATATTACTATTCGGGAGGCTGAGACAGGAGAATCGCTTGAACCCGGGAGGTGGAGGCTGCAGCGACTGAGAGCACGACACTATACTACAGCCTGGGCGATAGACCAAGATTCTGTATCAGAAAAAAAAAAAAAATTGGCCGGGTGCGGTGGCTCACACCTGTAATTCCAGCACTTTGGGAGGCTGAGGCAGGTGGATCACCTGAGGTCAGGAGTTCAAGACCAGCCTGGCCAACATGGTGAAACCCCGTCTCTACTAAAAAAAAAAAAATACAAAAATTAGCTGGGCCTGGTGGTGTGTTCCTGTAGTCTCAGCTGCTCAGCAGGCTGAGGCAGAATTGCTTGAACCTAGGAGGTGGAGGTTGCAGTGAGCTGAGATCGCGCCACTGCACTCCAGCCTGGGTAATAAGAGTGGAAACTCCGTCTCAAAAAAAAAAAAATTATATCCTCACCACATGCCCCCTACCATTGCTTTACAGATAAGGAAACCAATGCTCTGGGGGACTGGGTGGGTTGCCCAAGGGCATCTGATGAGAAAGTTGTAACGATGAACAGAACAGGATTCCTGCTCTTGGGATGTCTTTGAAACAGGAGCCTCGTGAACTCCTAATTCATCTGTCCAGGTTTCACTCTGATACCCTTCTTGGGGGAAATCTTCCCTGCCTCCTCCACCCCGCAGAGTTCCTTAGTCTTGCACACAAGACGCTTCGTGACCCAGCCCCTGCTGTATCATCTTGTTACTCTCCTCCTCCAGTCACCTCAAGACCTGTGGTATCCCTGACCACAATACCTATACCTTCATGCCGTTGCACGTGCAATCCCTCTGCCTGTATCACCCTAATCCCACTACCCTCAGACTGCCTGAAAAACTCTGTTCCTTCAAAACCCCATTCAAGAGTCACTTCACCTGGAAAGCCATCCCTGAGCCTCCTGGGCAGGGTGGGGGATCCCCCTGAGGGCTCCCCGTAACACCCCACACACTCAACTTCTGCTAGGGCACACAAGTCACACGTGGTCGAAGTTAGGTCAATATGTGACGTATGAATGACTTGCCAGTAGCGTCCGTCGCCTGGGTTCAAGGGCATAGTTCGCTAATGACACGGGCCTGCTCTTCTCACTACTGTCCCCCAGCCCCGCAAGAGAGGGACGCAATAAATGGCCAGCAAATAATCTGCTGACAGACTGAGCTGCTGCGGAGTTCAAGACACACGGCTCCCAAAGGTCCACAGCGGGAGACCCTCGAGCTCCTACGACCCACCCTCTCCCGGGCAGGGCTCCCTCCCCGATCTGCAAACCGCCTTCTCCAAGCGCATGCCGGACAAAACCATCCTCCTCGCGGCAGAGACCCATCCCCCGCCCGGGCGGCCGCGCGCACCCGGCCCGCCGCGCTCGCGCAGTTTGAATCTCCCGCCTGCGCGGGCGCCGCGGTGCGGGCGTGAGAGGCGCGGCGGCGGAGGGGCCGCGCGGCCCTAGCTCCAGCGAGGCAGCGCCCAGCCGCTGCTGGAGCGCCCCGCGGGGCCGGGGAATCGCGAGCCCGCACCGCGCCTTCCTGCCTCCGGGCTTCACGTGGGGCCGGCGCCGCGCGACACGGGCGAGAGCGGGCAGCGACTTAGGCCCGCGTGGACCGGCCCGTGCTCCGGCTGTGGCCGCTCCGCTTACCGCCCTCTGCCCGGACCCTCCGCGCGTCCCAGGCGAGACCTACCTTGGTGCACGTCGGCCACAAGGAACTCCGGCGCTCCCCGCCGGGCCGCGAACTGCCCCAGAGCATGCGCTCTGCAGGCCTCTGGCCCCGACCCGGGTGAGAAAGGAAAACAAAGAGCCCGGCGGCCCCTGGCGGCCATCCCAGGATCTGCATGTGGCGCGCTCCCGGGCTGGGGGAGCCCTTGGCCGGGCTGGGGGAGCCCTTGGCCAGGCTGGCTCCCCTGGCCCGGTTCCAGTGGGCGTGTATTTTGGAAACCCCAAATCGGGACACGTGGACTAACAACCAGAAAGACTCCTTGAGTTCGGTCTGTTTAGGAAAATCTTGTGCGGTAGGGTCTGTACGGAGAAAAAAGATACTCATCTTCCCTACCCTCAAGAGGGCATGGAGAAGGTTGAAAAATCAGACTATCAACAACCACACAACGCTATGACAGGGATACCCAGAGGGGCATCTGACTCAGTCCGGGGCTTAAGAACAGCTTTCCAAGTTAAGTCTAGGGGGGCAGGACATCCTAGGAGAAGCGACGTTTGCAATGACAGGGAACCACGAGAACCCAGGGAGGTTGTGGGAAACTGCCAAGTAGATGGGAGTAGAGGGTGCCTGTGGGAGTGACAGATCATGGATACAGGGTCTTGTGTGTCTAAGGGGTCCAGCCTCTATCCTGAGGCAGTAGGGATATATGGGAATTTGGGCACGGGAATGGCATGATCAGATTTTTTTCCCCGTGAGTTAACATCAGATGGGTATGTGCCCATGTCTTAACAAGGTTTGAGGGAGGCACATCTCATATGCGTGTGAACACCCAGTCATCTTCTTATGAGCTACAAGAGCATCCTAATATGATCAGATCTTATAGAACAAAATAGAGAATGGACTTGGGGAAAACGGGAGCCAAGTGGGGAGGAGCAAGAGGAATGAGAGAGACCAGATAAAATAGAAGGGTGTGAGTTGGGGTTGGGTTAGAGATGGAAAACAGGTACCAAGAAAAGGCTGTCTCTTATTAACACCCATTCTTCAGGATGGATACAAACAGTTCTTCAGGATTTCAGGTGTTCCCTGAAACCCTTGCAAAGGACGTTTTCTCGATTTCATGTTGATTCAGACTCTGAGTCATTCTACGGCACCCAAAGTCTAGATGGACACTTTTGATGAGTTCTTACCAACTGAACTGAACTTTTTTTTTTTTTGAGATCGAGTCTTGCTCTTGTCACCCGGGCTGGAGTGCAATGGTGAGATCTCGGCTCACTGCAACCTCTGCCTCCCAGGTTCAAGCGATTCTCCTGCCTCAGCCTCCCAAATAGCTGGGATTACAGGTGCCTGCCACAAAGCCTGGCTAATTTTCGTATTTTTAGTAGAGACTGGGTTTCGCCATGTTGGCCAGGCTGAATTCTTATATGCAGAGCCTGCCACAAAGCACTCCCCTGTCTTCAGGGTTTCTTACCTCTCCAAGTTTACCTCTGCCTCCATCATGGACTCCTCTTTTGGATGATGTACTGTGAAATTTCTCCAACTTTTAACCCTGGGATCTCTGATCTCTCTCTCTCTCTCTGCTGTCTTCCTCCAAGATCTTACACATTCATGTAGCTTCATGTAATAATAATAAGTGATTATTATTATTATTGCCTATTTTGTAAGACCCTTTATTTTGTTAACTACAGAAACATCCATGTCAGCTCATTTGTTCCTCACAAAAACCTCATGGCAGTTGGAAGATAAGAAAACTGAAGTTTAAAGAGGTAAAGCAAGTTTTCTGGGGTCTTCACACAAGTGGTGGAAGGAGACCTCAACTCTTTTTTTTTTTTTTTTTGAGATGGGGTCTCACTCTGTTGCCCAGGCTGGAGTGCAGTGGTGCGATCTCGGCTCACTGCAGCCAGGTTCAAGCAATTCTCCTGCCTCAGCCTCCCAGGTAGCTGGGATTACAGGTGCCTGCCACCACACCCAGCTAATTTTTGTATTTTTAGTAGAGACAGGGTTTCACCATCTTGGCCAGGCTGGTCTTGAATTCCTGATCTCATGAGCCACCCACCTCATCCTCCCAAAGTGCTGGGCTTACAGGCGTGAGCCTCCGCGCCCAGCCTTAATTTTTGTACTTTTAGTAGAGATGGGGTTTCTCCATGTTGGCCAGGCTGATCTCGAACTCCTGACCCGCCCAGGCTAGAGTGCAATGGCACGATTTCAGCTCACTGCAACCTCTTCCTCCTGGGTTCAAGCAATTCTCCTGCTTCAGCCTCCTGAGTAGCTGGGATTACAGGCGCCTGCCACCATGCCCAGCTAATTTTTGTATTTTTAGTAGAGACGGGGTTTTACCATGTTGGCCAGCCTGGACTTGAACTCCTAAACGTCAGGTGATCCACCCGCCTCAGCCTACCAAAGTGCTGGGATTACAGGCGTGAGCCACCGCGCCTGGCCATTTTGTGTATTTTTAGTAGAGACCGGGTTTCACCATTTTTGCCAGGCTGGTCTGGAACTCCCGACCTCAGGTGACCTGCCCATCTTGGCCTCCCAAAGTGCTGGGATTACAGGCATGAGCAACTGCACCTGGCCTTTATTTTTATTTTTTTAGTTTTGTATTTGTATTTTTTATTTTATTTTGAGATGGAGTCTCATTCTGTTGCCCAGGCTGGAGTGCAGTGGTGCAATCTCGGCTCACTGCAACCTCTGCCCCCTGGGTTCAAGCAATTTTCCTGCCTCAGTCTCCAGAGTAGCTGGGATTACAGACACGCACCACCATGCCCGGCTCATTTTTGTATTTTTAATAGAGACAGGGTTTCACCATGTTGGCCAGGCCGGTCTTGAGCTCTTGACCTCAAGTGATCCACCCATCTCGGCCTCCCAAAGTGCTGGGATTACACGTGTGAACTACTGCGCCCAGCCCCAGTTGTTTGTCTCAAGAGTCTCACTCTGTCATCCAGGCTGGAGTGCAGTGGCAGGATCTCGGCTCACTGCAACCTCTGCCTCAGCCTCCCGAGTAGCTGGGACCACAGATGTGCACCACCATGCCCAGCTAATTTTTTTTTTTGAGACGGAGTCTCACTCTGTTGCCTAGGCTGGAGTGTAATGGCGTGATCTCAGTTCACTGCAATCTCTGCCTCCTGGGTTCAAGCAATTCTCCTGTTTCAGCCTCCCGAGTAGCTGGGATTACAGGCGTGCACCACCACGTCCAGCTAATTGCCCATCTAATTTTTGTATTTTTGGTAGAGACAGGGTTTCACTATGTTGGCCAGGCTGGTCTTGAACTTCTGAGCCTCAGCAGTCAGCCTGCCTTGGCATCCCAAAGTGTTGGAATTACAGGAGTGAGCCATCGCAACTGGCTGATATGGAGGTTCTGGCTGTAATAATGTACTGTGGGTTTTATAACATATATAAAAGTAAGACACATGACAATATCAAAGACTATATAGTGAGAAATGGAAGAAATATTTATTTATTTTTTCGAGACGGAGTCTCGCTCTGACCTCGTGATCTGCCTGCCTTGGCTTCCCAAAGTGCTGGGATGGATTACAGGCGTGAGCCACTGTGCCCAGCCGGAAGATTGTTTTTTTTTTTTGAGATGGAGTTTTGCTCTTGTTGCCCAGGCTGGAGTGCAATGGCATGATCTCGGCTCACTGCAACCTCTGCCTCCCAGGTTCAAGCAATTCTCCTGCCTCAGCATCCCGAGTTGCTGGGATTATAGGCATGTGCCACCATGCCCGGCTAATTTTGTATTTTTAGTAGAGACGGGGTTTCTCCATGTTGGTCAGGCTGGTCTTGTACTCCCGACCTCAGGTGATCCGCCAGTCTCAGCCTCCCAAAGTGCTGGGATTACAAGTGTGAGCCACCACACCAGGCCGCCAGAAGGTTTTTTTTTTGTTTTTTTTTTGAGACGGAGTCTCGCTCTGTCGCCCAGGCTGGAGTGCAGTGGCGCGATCTTGGCTCACTGCAAGCTCCACCTCCTGGGTTCATGCCATTCTCCTGCCTCAGCCTCCCTAGTAGCTGGGACTACAGGCACCCGCCACCACGCCCGGCTAATTTTTTGTATTTTTAGTAGAGATGGGGTTTCACCGTGTTAGCCAAGACGGTCTTGATCTCCTGATCTCGTGATCCGCCCGCCTCGGCCTCCCAAAATGCTGGGATAACAGGCGTGAGCCACCGGGCCCCGCCTTTTTTTTTTTTGAGACGGAGTCTTGCTCTGTTGCCTAGGCTGGCACGATCTCAGCTCACTGCAACCTCTGCTTCCAGGTTCAAGCAATCTTCTGCCTCAGCCTCCCAAGTAGCTGAGACTACAGGCGAGCACCACCACACCTGGCTAATTTTTTTTTTTTTGTATTTTTAGTAGAGGCGGGGTTTCACCATATTGGCCAGGCTGGGGAAGATTCTTATACTACAAGTGAACTGGTTTAATATCAATTGAATGTGGACTATTGTAAGTTAAAAATGTATAATATGGCTGGGCATGGTGACTCATGCCTGTATTCCTAGCACTTTGGGAGGCCAAGGTGGGAGGATTGCTTGAGCCCTGGAGGTCAAGACCAGCTGGGACAACATCATGAGACCTTGTCTCTACAAAAAATACAAAATTTAGCCAGCCATAGTGGCACATGCCTGTGGTCTTCACTACTCAGGAGACCGAGCTGGGAGGATGGCTTGAGCCCAGGAGTTCCAGTTTAAGGCTGCAGTGAGTCATAATCTTGCCACTGAACTCTGGCCTGGGTGACAGAGTGAGACCCTGTCTTAAAAAAAAAAAGTAAATAGCCTAAACACTCCAATTAAAAGACATAGACTGTCATACTGAAAAACCCAACATGTTACCTACAAGAAATAAAATTTTAAAATAAGGCCAGGCACGGTGGCTCATGCCTGTAATTCTAGCACTTTGGGAGGTCAGGGCAGGCGGACTGCCTGAGCTCAGGAGTTTGAGACCAGCCTGGGCAACATGGTGAAACCCCATCTCTACTAAAATACAAAAAAATTAGCCAGGCATGGTGGTGCATGCTGTAGTACCAGCTGCTCCAGAGGCTGAGGCATGAAAATTGCTTGAACCTGGGAGGCAGAGGTTGCAGTGAGCTGAGATCGCATCACTGCACTTCAGCCGCGCAAACCCCATCTCTACTAAAAATACAAAAAAATTAGCTGGGCGTGGTGGTGCGTGACTGTAATTCCAGCTACTCCGGAGGCAGAAGTTGCAGTGAGCTGAGATTGTGCCACTGCACTCTGGCTTTGGCAACAGAGTGAGACTCTTGTCTAAAAAAAAAAAAGAGGCTGGGCGCGGTGGCTCACACCTGTAATCCCAGCACTTTGGGAGGCCGAGGCGGGTGGATCACAAGGTCAGGAGATTGAGACCATGGTGAAACCCCATCTCTACAAAAAATTAGCAGGGCATGGTGGCAGGCACCTGTAGTCCCAGCTGCTGGGGACGCTGAGGCAGGAGAATGGTGTGAACCCAGGAGGCGGAGCTTGCAGTGAGCCAAGATTGTGCCACTGCACTCCAGCCTTTGGAGACGCAGTCTCCAAAAAAAAAGAAACTAGCAAGGATAGATTTGAACAACACTAATACAACAACAATAATACACTTTCAAGTAGCCCATAGATCAAAGAATAGAAAAGGAACTCAAAAATATTTTGAAATGAATTAAAATGAAAACAAAACATACCAGAATTTGTGTGTTGTTAACAGTATCTGGAGGAAATTTATAGCACTAAATGCCTACATTAGAAAAAAAGAAAGGTCTCCAATCAATGAGCTCAGCTACTAGCTTAAGAAACTAGGAATAGATGAGCAAACTAACCCCAAAATAAGCAAAGAAAATAATAAAGATAAAAACAAATCAATAAAAAAGAACACAGAAAAATTAAATCAGCCAGTGCTTGCTATATGGCAGGCACAGTACAAGAATAAGTACTGAGTTTACATATGCAGTCTCTTGAGGATCCTCCAAGTAGGTTAGATGGACATAAAATGGAAAATAACCAGATCAGAATACTAATGACCAGGAAGAATGATCAAGGTGCCAGCCTGCCTTCAAGAGCCAGTGAGGCCATTGTGGATCCTTAGGGAAAGGGGAGGTGAGGATAGTGGTTAAGAGATCAAGGCTCTGCCGGGCGTGGTGGATCACCTGAGGTCAGGAGTTTTGAGACCAGCCTGGCCAACATGGCGAAACCCTGTCTCTACTGAAAAAAAAAACACAAAAATTAGCCGGGTGCGGTGCAGGCGCTTGTAATCCCAGCTACTTGGGAGGTTGAGGCAGGAGAATCGCTTGAACCCAGGAAGCAGAGGTAGCAGTGAGCTGAGATCACGCCACTGCACTCCAGCCTGGGAGGCAAAGACTCCATCTCAAAAAAAAAAAAAAAAAAAAGGATCAGGCTTGAGGCTAGGCGCAGTGGCTTACGCCTGTAATCCCAACACTTTGGGATGCTGAGGCAGGTGGATCACTTGAGGTCAGGAGTTCGAGACCAGCCTGGCTAACATGGTGAAACCCGTCTCTACTAAAAAATGCAAAAAAAATTAGCCGGGCATGGTGGCGTGCGCCTGTAATCCCAGCTACTTGGGAGGCTGAGGTGGGAGAATTGCTGGAACCCGGGAGGTGGAGGTTGCAGCAAGCCAAGATGGCTCCATTGCACTCCCTCCTGGAGACAGAGTGAGATTAGATCTCAAAAAAAAAAAAGCTGGGCATGGTGGCTGACGCCTGTAAACCCAGCACTTTGGGAGGCCGAGGTGGGCGGATCACGAGGTCAGGAGATGGAGACCTTCCTGGCTAACATGGTGAAACCCCTTCTCTACTAAAAATACAAAAAAATTAGCCGGGTGTGGCGGCGTGCACCTGTAGTCCCAGCTGCTGGGGAGGCTGAGCTTGCAGTGAGCTGAGATTGTGCCACTGCACTCCAGCCTGGGCGACAGAGCGAGACTCCCTCTCAAAAAAAAAAAAAAACAAAAAACAAAAAATTGGATACTGTATCCTTGGTTTCTGAGAAGTCACAAAAGAATGTTATTTAATAAGTGATCATGCTGCTGCACTCCATCTAGAGACCCTAAGAATCTTTTCACAAATACCAACTCCTTTGTCCTTATTACAACTCTATGAGGTAGTTTATCACTTATTTTGTGAACATGAAATTGAGGCAGAGGGGCTGAGTAACTCACCCAAAGTCTCATGAACAGCAAGTGGTGGGATCAGGATTCAAACCCAGTCTAGTACTCCTAAGATAGGCAACCAATACTGTCTGCCTACACAAAGAACAAGGCCAGAAGTGCCTGTTTGGAAAGTCTAAAAAAGGGGTATTGCAAGCTGAAGTTTAGCAGAGTGGGACCTGAACACCTACTGACAGCTTTGCTTCACCTCTACCTTGCAAGTCAATAGAAATTCATTCATTTCCTGCCCAGCACTGCAGTTACCCAAACCCACCTGAGTATATGGATTGAAAACATACTAAAACCACTGGTTCAGAAAAAAATCACTTTACTCAGGTGAGATCTATGTAGTTACAGCAGGACACGGATGGGACTGGGCATACAGACGAATGGGGCTGACTCATCTGGCTTCTTCCTGAGCAGGGAATTTGATGCTTGTTTCTGCAGAGGTGCCACTTCTAGTTGTGGACTTGGACAATTAGTCTTTTGGTTCCTGGGATTCCCCATTGGAATATGCTGTATTAAAGCCCACTTAGTGCTTACCTAGAACAGTGCCTGGCACAGGTAAGCACAAATACAATTGCTTTAGGAAGATGCCTTTTTTTTGAGACTTAACTCTGTCACCAGGCTGGAGCGCAGTGGCAAGGTCTCAGCTCAGTACAACCTCCATCTCCCGGGTTCCAGCAATTCTGCCTCAGCCTCCCACAGGTGCACACCACCATGCCCAGTTATTTTGTATTTTTAGTACAGACAGGGTTTCACCGCGTTGGCCAGGATCTCTAGATGTTGTGATCCGCCTGCCTTAGCCTAAGTGCTGGGATTACGGGTGTGAGCCACCAAGCCTGGCTGCATTTAACATGCCCTCTTAAACACTGCCTCACTCCTCTTAGCTTGTAAGAAAAATCAAGCTGTGTTCCCCCACAATCATAGCTAGTAACTAGCTTCCATTCTCAAACCAACCCTGACCTCAACACCTTGGCAAGCAAGCTCTACAGTCCACCAAACTCCAATCTCACCCACCTCCCTCAAACCTGTCTCCATCAAGTTCCAAATGGCTTAACGGCTGTCCCACCTCCCCTATGCCAGTAGGTAACTTTACCTTCTAGATGATCCCCCTTCAGTCCCATCCTTCAGGGTACTGAACATTTATGTTGGCAGCCAGTGCAGGGGGCTTGACAAAGTTTCCATTGTGACTCACGTCATGAGGCAAGCAATTCTGGCAATCTTCAGGCGGAGGTGCGCCAGGTAGTAGAGGCTCATACAACTCATCAGCTAGGGATACAACCTCCCGTTGCTACCATCGATTTTTCCTCCACTACACTGCAGGAAGCTAAAGAATCGGTCTAACTCATCTTGCACTCAACCCAGACTTACGGTCCTATTGGTCAGGACCTAATATCCATTTTCCCAATAAACTGCCAATATAAAGTGAACCCAAGGGGGACCCACCTGAGACTAGGTTTCAGGGCCTTTAGAACTGAAGCTATCATGCTAGTTTCCTTCAACAGTACCATTCAGATTCTTGGCTGATGTCACCACAGCCACCTCCACAAAAATGAACCACAAACATGCAGTCGTATTTATTTTAATTCATAAATACATTAACATAGCAGATTAGGCAATTTGTTAGGTAAATTACAAATACATTAGAAATCATACAAAAGTGGCCGGGCAGGGTGGCTCACAGCTGTAATCCCAGCACTTTAGGAGGCTGAGGTGGGCGGATCACGAGGTCAGGAGTTGAGAACAGCCTGGCCAATATGGTGAAACCTCATCTCTACTAAAAATACAAAAATTAGCCAGGTGTGGTGCTACACGCCTGTAGTCGCAGCTACTTGGGAGGCTGAGGCAGGAGAATCGCCTGAACCTGGGAGGCGGAAGTTGCAGTGAGCAAGATCATGAAAAGCAAAATACTCAAGGACTTTTAATATAACCACCAACACAGTGTGCCTTCTGGCCAAGCAGAGTCACTTCTGTGGTTCTTAAAGTATGAATGAGGTGAAAGAATGTGCATTCCTAGCTAAATGCCAAATTCCAAAGCCTTTAGTACAAAAACAGCAGACTTTCTGCAAAACAGGTCGACTTTTAAAAGAGGTATGAGGGCTGGGCGTGGTGGCTTATGTTTGTAATCCCAGCTACTTGGGAGGCTGAGGTTGCAGCCAAGATTGCGCCACTGCACTACAGCCTGGGCGACAGAGCAAGACTCTCAAAAGGAGGCATGAAATGCACCTCAATCTTTTGCTCCAAGTCTGCCAAAGATTGTCAAACCCTCCCTGTTAAAAAAAAAAATCAGTTTACCTACTCTCCCTTCTATATAAAGGACCCTAAAATTAAATGTCAATGCCAAAATGCGAAGTGCAGATCGTCTTCTCTCCTAAAAGAAAAGAAATAATGATTAGACTCCTGAAGATCCTACTTCAACTTAAAATCTAGTATACTAGATATGTTTCCTGCATGGTTTGTCTCCCCAGTCATTGTCCACAGGACTCTGGGAAGCTGTAGGAATATGCAGGCGCAGACACGAGGCCCAGCTTCATCTTCAACGTTGTGGAAAGGGACTGTACATCATGGGGCAGAGCCCTAAGCTCCCCTATGCCACTTGGACAGAGCCTGGGGAGAGTGACCTCCCAGGGTATCCACGTTGGAATGCTCATTAGTGAGGAATTGGAGTAACCGACAAATCCAATATTGCTAATCACCCACAGTATTTTCAAGGGCTAGTATCTTTCTCAGCTCAGGCTACACATGTAGATAAAGCCAATTAGGCTTCCTACAGTTCACTAGGGCAGCTTTTACTACTTTGCACTTTTAATGAGCTGACTAAAAAAAGCAATTTTTACAGAACAGAGCATATGTTGAAGTTATGTCAACATGCCTACAAAAATGCAGCAAAGTCGATATTTGGCTATTGCTCTGAGAATGATTAAATGCCTCAGAGGTAAATCCTGACCAACTAGAATAAAAGTCTCTTCAATCCTATTTCCATTACAGAAATCATTGACAAAGAGCTGATAAGCAAAAAACAATTAGCAGATTTACTCACCAAATAAGAGTTACTTGGAATCCTTAACAAATCCTGCAAAACAAGATATTAATCTATTAGTACAGCAAAACCCTAAACTTTTTCAACGAGGGGCCTCATGCTATCGCCTGGGGTTGGAGTACAGTGGCACTGGAGTATAGGTTTGAGTATAGGTCACTCCTGGGCTCCAGCGATTCTCCTTCCTCCAGCTACCTATCATCATGCCTGGCTACTTTTTAGCCAATTTTTCTTAAACATGTATTAAGACTTCAATCCAGCCAGGTGTGGTGGCTCACGCCTGTAATCCCAACATTTTGGGAGGCCAGAGGCTGGCGGATCACAAGGTCAGGAGTTTGAGACCAGCCTGACCAACATGGTGAAACCCTGTCTTTACTAAAAATACAAAAATTAGCCTGGCGTGGTGGCGGGGGCCTGTAATCCCAGCTACTCAGGAGGCCAAGGCAGGAGAATCACTTAGCATAATCACTTGAACCCGGGAGGCAGAGGCAATGGAGTGCGCCACTGCACTCCAGCCTGGGCAACAGAGCGACTCCATCTCCAAAAAAAAAAAAAAAAAAAAAGACTTCAATCCAGATTCAGTGCTCTAGAAGGCTGTTTCCTGCATGGTTTGTCTCCCCAGTAATTGTCGACAGGACTCTGGGAAGCTGTAGGAATATGCAGGCGCAGACACGAGGCCCAGCTTTATTTCCAACGTTGTGGAAAGGGACTTGTACATCATGGGGCAGAGCCCTATGCTCCCCTACGCCACTTGGACAGAGCCCGGGGAGAGTGACCTCCCGGGTGTATCCACGTTGGACAATCAGTGTAACGCATAAATTTACAGAATCCAATAGGAAACAATTTCATCCATTCATGTTACTACAGATCTTAAACAAGAAAGCAAACGAGTTTCCACCCTGTCCACAGTGGGGTGTTAAAAAAAAATCGGTTTCTAGACTGGTAACATGCATATTCAGCTATTCTAATTACTTTACAATAGGCGGTTAGTACTATGTGGAAGGTACCGCAGAAGCAAAGACAACAATTAGGCCCAGCTATCCTAAATTCAAATGAAACACGTGGACTTGTTAATTACCCCCAAATCGGCCAGGCACGATGGCTCACGCCTGTAATCCTAAAAATATAAAAATAAAAATGACCCAAATCACAAAAATACGAGAAAGCATAATTACGAAACGCAATGCTTCCAAATTATGAAAATCTTCGGCCTGGCGTGGCGGACCACAAGGTCAGGCGTTGGAGACCAGCCTGGCCAACATGGTGAAATCCCGTCTCTACTAAAAATACAAAAATAAGCCAGGCGCGGTGGTACACGCCTGTAGTCCCAGCTACTCGGGAGGCTGCGGCAGGAGAATTGCTTGAGCCCAGCAGGCGGAGGTTGCAGTGGTGCGATCAAATAAAAAGAAAAATTGAGAAAATTCTTAAAGGCAAATGAGGATCCAGAATAAAACTGTGTGCAATTATATTGAGAACGACAATGTGCCTACTATGAGGCAGTAAGATAAACAGTGGGGGTGGCGGTGCACCTTCAGAGGCTCGCTGGGTCGGGCGGCAGCCCTGCGGGTCCCGAGGTCTCCATGGCCCACTTCTGGCCCAGGCCCGTCTAACGCGTACTTTAGAGTTGGGACCGATGCCGCCTAAGACACCCATAT
The DNA here is from genome assembly GCF_000001405.40 of Homo sapiens. Classification (NCBI taxonomy): domain Eukaryota; kingdom Metazoa; phylum Chordata; class Mammalia; order Primates; family Hominidae; genus Homo; species Homo sapiens. Next base: position 28,506,508 of record NC_000001.11, on the reverse strand, counting down.
ATAGTTTTAAATTACATGATTTCCGGCCAGGCGCGGTGGCTCACGCCTGTAATCCCAGCACTTTGGAAGGCCGAGGGTGGTGGATCACCGGAAATCAGGAGTTCAAAACCAGCCTGACCAACATAGCGAAACCCCGTCTCCACTAAGAATACAAAAATTGGCCGGGCGTGGTGGCACGTGCCTGTAATCCCAGCTGCTGGAGAGGCTGAGGCACGAGAATCGCTTGAACCCGGCAGGCGGAGGTTGCAACGAGCACTGCAGTCCAGCCTGAGTGACAAACCGACTCCGTCTCAAAAAAAAAAAAAAAGTAAATAAATAAAATACTATATGATCTTCCTAGGGAAGCTCGGCTACTGATCTATAGCATTAGACCCACAACTCCGGTGGCAAGCATCTGATCACACTTACCAAGGATCACACTTACCAAGGAGAAGAAGCGACCACTGCGAATCTGTCTCCAAAAAGGAGAGAGAAAACGCGAAGCATCCTTTTTAAACCTTACGAAGTGCCCGGAAGTCCTGGAATGTCTATTGCGCGTGCGCAGAAGCATGCGCAGTTAGAGAATCAGAAACTCACTGAGGCTTCTGGGAATCTACTGCAGATTGAGCCCCACCCCTTCCTGGCTGGGAGGCCTCTCGCGGTAGTGGATCCTTCCCGCGGGACCTTGCTGGGGAATGTACGTTACAGAAATAGGTTTGTAGGTATGTAGCTGCAGAGGACGTTTACTTCTGTGCAATCACTGGACTCAGTCTGTAGGATATGCCCTTAGATAAACTGGCCAAAAAGTTTTTGGAAGAGTCGAACGCGGTGGCTCACGCCTGTGATTACAGCAGCTCTGAAGGCCGTGAGGGGCGGATCGCTTGAGGCCAGGAGTTCGAGACCGGCCTGGGCATCATGGCGAAACCCCGTCTCTACAAAAAATACAGAACATAAGCCAGGCATGGTGCCGCGCACCTCCAGTCCCAGCTACTCGGGAGGCTGAAGCATGAGAATCGTTTGAACCTGGGAGGCGGTGGTTGCAGTGAGCCGAGATCGCGCCGATGCACTCCATCCTGGTCGACAGAGCGAAACTCTCTCTCCAAATAAATAAGTAAAACGTTGGAATAATAAGAATGCAGAATGAAAAAAATACATATAGAGAAATACGGAGTATCAAAAGGAATTGAATCTGCTCTGTCACCTGTGAAAGAAATAATTTGATAAATGTGAAGGTAAATAAGATGAAAGTGCCCCTAGACGAATCAGATAAAAGTTTAAAAACTCCAGGCCTGGCCCGGATAAAAATAAATAAAAATAAAAAATAAAAAACTCCATTGCACAACAGTGTGAATGAATGTAATTAAAAGCACTGCCCTATACTCTTTCTTTTTTTTTCGAGATGGAGTTTTGCTCTGTCACCCAGGCTAGAGTGGAATGGCGCGGTCTCGGCTCACTGCAACCCCGGCCTCCCGGGTTCAAGCGATTCTCCTGCCTCGGCCTCCCCAGTAGCTGGGATTACAGGCGCCCGCCACCGTGCCTGGCTAATTTTTGTATTTTTAGCAAGACGGGGTTTCACCATCTTGGCCAGGCTGGTCTCGAACTCCTGACCTCAAGCAATCCACCCGCCTCGGCCTCCAAAGTGCTGAGATTACAGGCATGAGCCAGCGCACCTGGACTTTTTTTTTTTTTTTTTTTTTGAGACGGAGTCTCGCTCTGTCGCCCAGGCTGGAAGGAAGTGGTGTGATCTCGGCTCACTGCAACCTCCACCTCCCAGGTTCAACCAGTTCTCCTGCCTCAGCCTCCCGAGTAGCTGGGACTATAGGCATGCCACCATGCCCGGCTAATTTTTGTATTTTTAGTAGAGACCGGGTTTCACCATGTTGGCCAGGCTGCTCTCGAACTCCTCACCTCAAGTGATGCCCGCCTTGGCCTCCCAAAGTACTGGGATTACAGGCCTGAGCCACCACACCTGGCCCCCTATACATTTTAAACTAGTTAAAAATGGCAAGTTTTATGTATATTTTACCACACACAAAACCCTCTGAATATGAAGTAGGCAAGTAAAGAATGCTTACGATATATATACATAAGAAATGTTGCAAATATGATGGAATTTTTAGTGTGGTGTAAGGTGGAAAAACGTTGGCTAGAGAGACAGAGCTATCACAGCTGGGCTATCTTGAGTAGTAACGTTTATGGTGTTCCTCCTACATATTAGATTTTGTTCTGAATGCTTTATTACGTACATTATTTACTATCGCAGCAATTCTTTTTTTTTTTTTTTTTGAGATGGAGTCTTGCTCTGTTGCCCAGGCTGGAGTGCAGTGGCTCGATCTTGGCTCACTGCATTCTCTGCCTCCTGGGTTCAAGCAATTCTCCTGCCTCAGCCTCCCGAGTAGCTGGGACTGCAAGCAAGTGTCACCATGCCCCACCAATTTTTGTATTTTCAGTAGAGACGGGGTTTCACCATATTGGCCAGGGTGGTCTTGAACTCCTGACCACGTGATCTGCCCGCCTTGACCTCCCAAAGTGCTGGGATTACAGGCATGAGCCACCGTGCCCGGCCTACAAATTTTTTTTTTTTTTTAGATGAAGTCTCACTCTGTCCCCCAGGCTGGAGTGTAGTGGTGCGATCTCGGCTCACTGCAACCTCCGCCTCTCAGGTTCAAGCAATTCTCCTGCCTCAGCCTCCTGAGTAGCTGGGATTACAGGCGCCCGCCACCATGCCCAGCTAATTTTTGTATTTTTAGTAGAGACGGGTTTTCAGCATGTTGGTCAGGCTGGTCTTGAACCCCTGACCTCATGATCCACCTGCCTCGGCCTCCCAAAGTGCTGGGATTACAGGCTTGAGCCACTGCGCCCGACCCCGGCCTACAAAATTTTAAAAAAAATGTTAGCTGAGTGTAGTGGCACATTCCTGTAATCCTAGCTACTTATGAGGTGTGAGGATCACCTGAGCCCAGGAGATGGAGGCTGCAGTGAGTCGTGATCATGCCACTGCACTCCAGCCTGGGCAACAGAGCAAGAACCTATCTCAAAAAAAAAAAAAAAAAAAAAAAAAAAAGACATTTCTGATGTAGGGTTTGTCGTCCCACTGGAATTGCAAGGTAAGAGAAGAACTTGAGGATACCAGAGTTTCAGGCTTAGGAGGCTGAACATACTATGGTCTCTAACCTTGATAAGTGGAAATGCAGGCAGTGGGGGAGGAGTAATGTCCACATTGGAGTATATACGAGTTACCTGAGTAACATCTGGTTGTATATAAGTCCAAAGAGCAATTAGATATATGGGGTTGGGCTTCCTGTAAGAAATCTGAGTTGGTGATAAAATATTTAGAAGTTGTAAGAATTAGCATGGTGGCTAAAGTCGTCTTGGAAGAATGAGGAGAGTGATGGGAAGACATGAAACCCCAGCATTTATTTTATTTTGAGACAAGATCTCGCTCTGTTGTTGAGGTTGGAATGCAGTGGTGTGATCAGGACTACTGCAGCCTGGACCACCAGGGCTGAAACGATTCTCTCACCTCAGCCTCTTCTGAGTAACGGGAACTAGAGGCATGCACCACCATGCTCAGCTAATTTTTTAAATTTTTGGTAGAGATGGCCTCTCACTATACTGCCCGGGCTGGTCTTGAACTCCTGGCCTGAAGCGATCTGCCAATCTTGGCCTCCGAAAGTGCTGGGATCACAGGCATGAGCCACCACACCCGGTAAAACACAGCATTCATTTATTTTATTTTATTCATTTATTTTTGGATGGAGTCTCACTCTTGTCACCCAGGCTGGAGTGCAGTGTTGTGATCTTGGCTCACTGCAACCTCTGCCTCCCGGGTTCAAGCAATTCTCGTGCCTCAGCCTCCCAAGTACCTGGGACTACAGGCACATGCCACCACACCCAGCTAATTTTTTTGTAGTTTTAGTAGAGATGGGGTTTCACCATGTTGGCCAGGTTGGTCTCGAACTCCTGACCTCAGGTGAACCACCTGCCTCGGCCTCCCAAAGTACTGGGATTACAGGCGTGAACCATCGCACCTGGCCGAAAACCCAGCATTTAAATGGTGTTCGAGGAAGAAGCCAGCAGCACAGAGAAAGGTCAGTCAGGGAAGGAGAACCAGAAGACAGCGGTGCCTCAGAAGCCAAGGAAGAAGAGTTTTGAGGACTAGAACATTGTCCAAAGCACCAAATGTTGCAAAGCAGCCAAGTGCAATAACCGAAGGCTGAGAAATCCCTGGTGACCACAGGAAAGCCATATTGGTTTGGATTTCGTTTAGATTTTAATGAGCTGAGTGAATATGGCCTTAGGTAGGGAAAACAATGTGCACAGACCAGAGGTTATGAAGCAAGGCCAAGAAGCCTGTTCAGTTTACATCTCCATCACTAGTTCTTCCTCTGTCAATCATTTAGCCCAGCTGCCTGGCCTGAGAACTTGGGTTGTTTAACATTGGAATAGATTGTGTGAAGGGAGTATAGGAAAAGCAGGAGAGAGGGTAATAGATTGAAGAGAAATTGGGGTCACGGGAAGATTGTGTCTTTGTTGCGGGTGAGGGTAGGAAGGAGGTAAGCATTAAATAATTTATTTAATGCTCCCCCTCCCACAATCCTCACTGAGGACTGTGTGTCCTCAGTGCCAAATGAAGGAACATTAAAGCTGTTTGTTCCTGTCAGATGACCTCTATGCTCTACATAGGAGGCAAAATTCTTTGGGGAAGAAATTAACAATATCCACACAAAATGACAGATGGAGCAAGAGGTCTGGGTTGCTGGTCATTCCTGGTTTTCCCTTCATGCCTCCTAGGGCTGAAATGGAATAGAACGTTGAAACAGTGGTGCTGGCTGTATTTTGGCTTCAAGGATAGGATTTTCTTTGTTGCACATTGTCATCTTTTTATGCTTATTATTTCATCCTTTGCCTATTCAGTGTCCATTGGACCTGCTCCTCTTTTTTCAAGAGACAAGGTCTATGTTGCCCAGGCTGGTATTGAACTCCTGGGCTCAACTGATCCTTCCACCTCAGCTTCCCAAGCTGCTGGGACTACAGGTGTGCATCACTGCACCGGGCTGGACCTGCCTTTTCCTGGGGTACAGTTATATAAATCCACAGAGACCCAAAATTCATTCATTGTTTTGGCAAACACTGGGCAATCTTCATCTTCAAAACAGCTTTCTGGAGACAATTTAACCTCAAAAGGGCAATAGCAATTTGAGGCTTCTTTGGAGGGCTAGTAGAAGGACAATCTGGAAGCAGGTGGACACAAGGAGTTCTGACTCATGGTTTCTTTTAACTCTTGGTAAAGGGTGGTGCACTAAACAAGGCCAGTCTCTTAAGTGACAAATAGAAGTGAGTCATTGCTGAGGCCACCTGGACTGAAACTGGGCTGCTTGCTGGAAAAGATAACATGAAGTACTAAGTGTCCTGGGCCGGGTGCAGTGGCTCATGTCTGTAGTCCTAGCACTTTGGGAGGCTGAGGCAGGCGGATCACCTGAAGTCAGGAGTTCCAGACCAGCCTGGCCAACATGGTGAAACCCCGTCTCTACTAAAAATACAAAAAATTAGCCGTGGGTGGTGGCAGACGCCTGTACTCCCAGCTACACAGGAGGCTGAGGCAGGAGAATTGCTTGAATCCGGGAGGCAGAGGTTGCAGTGAGCCGAGATCATGCCACTGCACTCCAGCCTGGGTGACAGAGCAAGGCTCCGTCCTGGGGAAAAAAAAAAAAAAGAAAAAGTACTAAGTGTCCTTTTGTAATGTCATCTTGGGGGTCCAATTATATGTGGTTAATATAAATTCTTTTTTTTTTTTTTTTGAGACGGAGTTTTGCTCTTGTTGCCCAGGCTGGAGTGCAGTGGCGCGATCTCAGCTCACTGCAACCTCCGCCTCTTGGGTTCAAGTGATTCTCCTGCCTCAGCCTCCCGAGTAGCTGGGATTACAGGCATGTGTCACCACGCCTAGCTAATTTTGTATTTTTAGTAGAGATGGGGTTTCTCCCTGTCGGTCAGGCTGGTCTCAAAGTCCTGACCTCAGGTGATCCGCCTGCCTTGTCCTCCCAAAGCGCTGGGATTACAGGTGTGAGCCACTACACCTGGCTTACATATCATTTTTAAGCTGGATTTAATCTTTTGGGATAGAGTGTAATGTAAAAGAAAATACCTCACACCAGAATAGTATAGTTGGTATTTAAAAATTCTAAAATATTTAATAATTAATATTGATGAGAAGACTGATATACAATGCAATTATTTATTTTACAAGGAGATTCTATACATCAGGGAGGCATCTTGAAGTACAATACACCAGGCTTTCATTTCTTCTTTACATTATGATTGTGAGTTTCCATATAAGTTGGTACTTACATGGAAAGGGAACACAAAATCCATTTTTATATACATAAAAACAAAACACCCAAAGAGACTTGACCCCCAAAATGTCTTGTTTCACTTGAAAATAACATGAATGAGACGAAAGATGAACCAGATTACTTGGTGACGCACAGAAGGCGAACAAGTAGCTCAGGAAATCAAATCCTGTTTCAAGCTTGGCACATTAAGGGTAAGAAAGGTAGTGAAAGAAGGGTTCGAAAATATCATCTCAAGCCACAAAAAATCTGGCAGAAGACAGCCTCCAAATCAATAAGATAGAATGGTTAGAAGTCAAGTTAGAGTTATTGTGTGGCTACCTTATATCCAGACCTCTAATAGACTGAGTGGAATTGTCACTTCTCTTCCCTCAGTTATCCCAATTGTTAGTAAACTTCAAGGAGGCTGGGCATGATGACTCACACCTGCTATCTCAGAACTTTGGGAGGCGAAGATGGGCAGATTCCTTGAGCCCCGGTGTTCAAGACGAGCCTGGGCAATATGGCAAAACCTCATCTCTAACAAAACACAAAAATTAGCTGGGCCTGGTGGCACGTGCCTGTAGTCCCAGCTACTTAGACTGAAGTGGGAGGATTGCTTGAGCCTGGGAGGCAGAGGTTGCTCTGAGCCAAGATTGTGCCACTGCACTCCAGCATGGGTAACAGAGTGAGACCCTATCTCCAAAAACAAAACAAAACAAAACAAAACAAAACAAATCAAAACCAAACAAAAAACTTCAAGGAAGGCTCGGCACGGTGGCTCATGCCTGTAATCCCACCACTTTGGGAGGCTGAGGTGGGTGGATCACCTGAGGTCGGGAGTTTGAGACCAGCCTGACCAACATGGAGAAACCTCATCTCTACTAGAAATATAAAATTAGCCAGGCGTGGTGGCTCATGCCTGTAATCCTAGCTACTTGGGAGGCTGAGGTAGGAGAATCGCCTCAACCCGGGAGGCGGAGGTTGCAGTGAGCTGAGATTGCACCATTGCACTCCGGCCTGGGCAACAAGAGCAAAATTCTGTCTCAAAAACAAAATAAAACAAAAAAAACTTCAAGGAGATGTGGATTCAGGGCTTGCTTTCCTTCCTTCCTTCTTTTTTTTTTTTTTTTTTGATGGAGTCTCGCTCTGTTGCCCAGGCTGGAGTGCAGTGGTGCAATCTTGGCTCACTGCAATCTCCGCCTCCTGGGTTCAAGCGACTCTCCTGCCTCAGCGTCCTGAGTAGTTGGGATTACAGATGCGTGCCACCACGCCAGGCTAATTTTTGTATTTTTAGTAGAGACAGGGTTTCATCATGTTGGTCAGGCTGGTCTCAAACTCCTGACCGCCTTGGCTTCCCAAAGTGCTGAGATTATAGGCGTGAACCACCATGCCTGGCCTAGGTTTTGTTTTGAACTGATATTCTGTTTCTTCAGCAAGTCCACATAAGAATGTGGATATGAAAGGATGAAAATCTACTGAAAGATTACATAAAGAACAGATAACAGGGACCCACAGAATAAATCAGAAGAAATCTATGAAATAGCCACAACTTCTTGAACATTAAAGTGAAGGGAAAAAAAGCCACATTCATCAGATTAAACAGAAGCTATTAATTTTTTTCTTCCATTTATAGTGTGGATAGGAATTAAAGCAAAACAGTGAGACTGTATGGTTTTCAATACAAGTTCAAAGAAAGCAACAAAATCTTCTGTTTTAGGAAATCATATTAATATCTATTACAAATGCAGAAAGCAGGGGGGCTGAGTCAATGCCCCAGCACCAACCATACTGGTTATAGTGTGGAAGAGGGGCGGGTGAGGTGGAAGCTGCCAGAGAGAGCAGGAGGATCAGCACTGGAGTGAAGAGGAAGCACGCAGCAGGAGAGGGCAAAGAGCACTGAGAAGAAGAGGGGAGCAGTGGGCCATGATTGTGCCCTTCTTGCTTCTCCAGAGACCCTTTCCTATGCAGCACCCCACACCCAGCCAGACCTTATTGTGATTCTGGCTAGAAGTGTGGGGACTGACAGCTCATAAATGCTCCCACAGAGTTGATACAACTCTGCTTTAAGGAGGAGAATACATTTATTGGTCGAAGTGATTTAGAGAATATCATTTGGTAAATAAAACTACAATAGCCTATAAAATGTAACCTGCTAGTTTTCTGCCACGTTAGCATTAATATTAAGGCTTTTTTTTTTTTTTTGAGACGGAGTCTCGCTCTGTCACCCAGGCTGGAGTGCAGTGGCGCGATCTCGGCTCACTGCAATCTCCACCTCCCAGGTTCAAGCAATTCTCCCGCCTCAGCCTCCCCAGTGGCTGGGACTACAAGGCACAAGCCACCATGCCCGGCTAATTTTTTTTACTTTTTAGTAGAGACAGGGTTTTGCCATGTTGGCCAGGCTGGTCTTGAACTCCTGAACTCAGGTGATCCACCCGCCTCAGCCTCCCAAAGTGTTGGGATTACAGGCGTGAGCCACTGAATCTGGCTAAGGCTTTTTTTTTTTTTTTTTTTGCAAGGAAGGAATAAGGGGATTTATTGAAAATGAAAGTACACTCCACAGTGTGGGAGTGGGCCTGAGCACAGGGGCTCAAAACGCCTTTCTTGTTTTTGTATATAGAAAATATACATGCTTTCTCATCTAACCGATTTTTTTTTTTTTTTTTTTTTTAAGACAGAGTCCCACTTTGTTGCCCAGGCTGGAGTGCAGTAGGCATGATCTTGGCTCACTGCAACCTCCACCTCCTGGGTTCAAGCGATTCTCATGCCTCAACCAGGCGCCACCACACCTGGCTAATTTTTGTATTTTTAGTAGAGATGGGGTTTCACCATGTTGGCCAGGCTGGTCTTGAACTCCTGACCTCAGGTGATCCACCCACCTCGGCCTCCCAAAGTGCTGGGATTACAGGCGTGAGCCACCGCGCCTGGCCTCATCTAACCAATTTGGATTCTGGTTGGAGTTCAGGAAAAACTAAGTTCCCATTACTTCCAGATTATTTTAAAATAAAAAATCATGATGACTTGTGAGGAAAAGGAAGAACATGTCAGATCCTGAGCTTCCTCTCAGGCTTGAGTGCCTCAAGAGGACTGTATTGCTGTGTTACGAGAGGTACAGTGCAATGCTTTCATCTGATATGCCAGTGTGGTAAGAAGGCTTTCCCTGGAGGTAGAGACTCTTTTATCAGAAGGTTGGGGGTCTCCAGAAGGTTTTCCCCACCAGGAATTGGATTTGATGGCTGGAATTTAGAGCCTACACATTTGGGTCTCACAATCAGGGCAGGGCAGGTAAGGCTAATGGTGCAAACTGTGTCTCTGCACAGGCAGTCATCTAGGGGAAGGGGTGTGGTGCAGCCAGTAAAACCTGGAACCTGCAAGTGGTTCAGAACTTTGGTGGCCAGTAAGGGAAAAACTCCTCAAGCATGCTACAATATTGAAAGGTTCAAAAGCACTGACAAAGTGTTGTTTTGCCCCCGGTGCAGCACATAAGACTCTGTTCCAGTGAAATGCTACATTCAAAGTGCTGTCCACCTCAGAAGATCCCAGAGGATGCAATTCTGGCTGTGCTGGGAAGTGCTAAAGTTCCCTCCATATGTCACTTTGGAGAAGGAAGCAGCAAAGCAGCCATGTTGATTCCTCTCTCAACCTTTGGCATCATGGACGATGGTAGCTAAAAGAGATTAAAAAAGAGACAAGTTACCACATGATGTACATTGCTTTGCTATTAATGTATCAGTAGTAATGAAATGTTATACCTAATTAACACTGCCTTTCCTCTGCTCTAATTCGACCTGACCTTTCTGTTGCATCTGATACTCCTCATCTGCTTCCTTCTTAAAACTCTTCTCGGCTGGGCGCAATGGTTCACACCTGTAATCCCAGCACTTTGGGAGGCCGAGGCGGGCGGATCAAGAGGTCAGGAGATTGAGACCATCCTGGCTAACACGGTGAAACCCTGTCTCTACTAAAAATACAAAAAATTAGCTGGGCGTGGTGGCGCGCACCTGTAGTCCCAGCTACTCGCGAGGCTGAGGCAGGAGAATGGCGTGAACCTGGGAGGTGGAGTTTGCAGTGAGCCGAGATCGCGCCACTGCACTCCAGCCTGGGTGACACAGCGAGACTCCGTCTCAAAAAAAAAAAAAAAAAAAAAAAAGAACTCTTCTCTTGGCTTCTGTAACACTATCTTTTCCATAATTTTCTCTCTTCTTCAATTGATCTTTCTCAGTATGCTGTCCTGGTTCATTTTCCTCTGTCTACCCTTTAAATAAAAAACAACTTTCCTTGGCCAGTCACGGTGGCTCATGCCTGTAATCAATCCCAACACTTTGGGAGGCCAAGGTGAGAAGATCATTTGAGACCAGGAGTTTGAGAGCAGCCTGGGCAACATACGGAGACCCTGTCTCTACAAATGATCAAAAAGTTAGCCAGGTGTGGTGGCCTGTGCCTGTAGTCACAGCTACTGAGGAGGCTGAGGTGGGAGGATGGCTTGAACATGAGAGGTTGAGGCTGCAGTGAGCCACGATCATGCCACTGCACTCCAGCCTGGGTGACAGAGTGAGACCTTGTCTCAAAAAATAAAAAAAAAAAAAATAAATAAATAAAAATAAAATCCCCCCTAAAGGTCCACTATCTTCTTTCATTTGTATCTTGAGACTTTGCTTTCTTTCTGGATTCTAGGCTGCATATCTAATGGTCTTCTAGGTATCTCCATGTGTCATAGGCTCCTCAAACTAAACACATGCAATTTATTTTCTAGCTTGTTCATTGTCTGCCTTCTTCTTTTAGAATAAAAGCTTGGCCAGGCATAGTGGCTCACACTTGTAATCCCAACACTTCGGGAGGCCAAGATGGGAGGATCACTTGAGGCCAGGAATTCAAGACCAGCCTGGGAAACATAGTGAGACCCCATCTCTATTAAAAAAAGAAAAAAAAAGAATAAAGCCTCATTGAGGACAGAGACTTTATCTTATTTCCTGCTGTAGCCCAAGGACCTAGCACTATACCTATCGTGGTAGGTGCTCAGTATTTGTTGAATAAACTAAACTGTTCAGCTAAACTTATCACCTTCAAAGACCTCAAAAAATACAAGTTAAAAATATCAGAGTCATTTTGACTACTCCTTTATTTCATCTCTGGAATCCAACAAATTGCCACATCTTGTTGATTCTATGCTTGAAATGTCTTACAAATCTATCACCTTTGCATTCTCACTATCTCTGGTGTGAGCTACCACTATGCTCACTAAGATTATTTCAGATACTTCCTGTTTTCCTTGCTGCTAGTCTCTTCATCCTTCCATATCATCTTTGTTGTTTGCATCAGAGCTTGTTCTGAAATACACAGAATTTCCTGCTTATGAACTGCCAATGGTTCCAACATCCTAGCATAACAGTCAAAGCATTGCGAGGGACTGCAACCCATTTTCTAGTTTATTTTCACCACACTGCCCCAAACATCCTCTGATCCAGCTACATTTTCTGTTACCCAGAAACACCATGTGTTTTCCTCTCTCCCATCGTCTTGCTTAAGCTGGTCCTTCTTTTTCTTTTTTTGAGAGACAGTCTTGCTCTGTTGCCCAGGTTGGAGCGCAGTTGCGCGATCTCGGCTCACTGCAACCTCTGCTTCCGGGGTTCAAGTGATTCTCCTGCTTCAGCCTCCCAAGTATCTGGGACTACAGGCATGCCACCATGCCCGGCTAATTTTTGTATTTTTAGTAGAGACAGGGTTTCACCATGTTGACCAGGCTGGTCTCCAACTGGCCTCAAGTGATCCACCTGCCTCAGCCTCCCAAAGTGCTGGGATTACAGGTGTGAGCCACTGCGCCTGGCTGCACCTTGCTTATTTTTTTTTTAAGTTTATTTTTTGTAGAGATGGGGCTCACCGTGTTTCCCAGGCTGGTCTCAAAGTGATCCTCCCACCTCGGCCTCCCAAAGTGCTAGGATTACAGGTGTGTACCACTGCACCAGGCCCCTGCCTAAATCAAAAAATAGATTTTTTTTTTTTTTGTAGGGATGGAGTCTTACTATGTTGCTCAGGCTGGTGTCAAACTCCTGTGCTCAAGCGATCCTCCCGCCTCAGCCACTCAAAGTGTCGAGATTACAGGCATGAACCACTGCACTCAGCCTCATTTGCCTCTTTTTGTAAATGTTCTAAGAATCATGTAAAGATACTTTCACTGATTCCATTTGTGGCTAGCTGATTCTTTGGATATGGGTGGGTCCTTAATCACAACCGTAATTCCAAATCAAAACACTTGATTTGTTGGCTTGTTGGCTTTGTTGGATTTCTTGGCTTGTTTCATGAAGACAGCTAATTAAAATGTTGTTTATACATTAAGTTGGTAAGATCAACTGTGCTAGACAGAACTGAACCAGAGAGGGCAAGATCTTGTCTAACTTAGCACAGTCTCCTCATTTATAACCTGAGAGAGTAAGGTACAAGGAAGAGAGCACCTCACATCCTTGAAGTCATTGATTTCTTTCTCCGAATCCTGGTTCTGCAATTTACTAGCAAGTCAACCAAGTTACTTAACCATTGTGAGCCTCCATTTCCTCAGTGATAAAATGGGGATGTTAACACATCTTGCATGTTTATTACAAGGATTAAATAATATACATGAAATGCCATAATCAGAATACACATTTACTTATTTTTTTTTTTTTTTTGAGATGGAGTTTTGCTCTTGTCACCCAGGCTGGAGTGCAATGGCATGATCTCAGCTCACTACAACCTCCATCTCCCGGGTTCAAGTGATTCTCCCGCATCATCCTCCCTAATAGTTGGGATTACAGGCGCCTGCTACCAGGCCCAGCTAATTTTTGTATTTTTAGTAGAGATGGGGTTTTGCCATGTTGGTCCGGCTGGTCTCAAACTCCTGACCTCAGGTGATCCACCTGCCTCAGCCTCCCAAAGTACTGGGATTACAGGCGTGAGCCACCGCACCTGGCCTAGGCATTTACTATTGCTTCTTACTTTTCATCCCTTTGAATGCAGTCTTGCAATCAACACTGAGTGTTTTCCTTTTTACTGATGTCATTAGAGCCCTTCATATCTGAACAATTTTTTGGAAAACTCTACCTAGCACATATATGATTGGGTCTTTTGGGTCTTACCGTGTAAAATGTTTGCTCTCTTCATGAACCTCCATCTCGGAGCTTTTAAATTCATTTAATTCTTTTCTTATGGCAGCCTGTGGAGTAGAGACAAAAATGTTTCAGCTTCTTCTGGCTGCTTTGCACAGCAGTGTAACTTGTCATTTTTCTGTACTGTGTTTAACTTTGTAAGTCACTGCAACCCCTCACAGGCAACCCAGACACCAGGTCAACACAATGATACCCATCTGTCTCATAATAAACCTAAAATTTTTAGTTTAATCAAAATACTTGAAAATCTTGAAAGATATATTGTAGCTTTTATAGTTTTGTTTTTATTTTTGTTTTTCCCTGAGATGGAATCTCGCTCCGTTGCTGGGGCTGGAGTGCAGTGGTGCAATCTCAGCTCACTGCAACCTTCAGCTCCTGGGTTCAGGCGATTCTCCTGCCTCAGCCTCCCGAATAGCTGGGATTACAGGTGCGCACTACCACGTCCGGCTATTTTGTATTTTTAGTACAGACAGGGTTTCACCATGTTGGCCAGGCTGGTCTTGAACTCCTGACCTCAAGAGATCTACCTGCTTCGGCCTCCCAAAGTGCTGGGATTACAGGTGTGAGCCACTGCACCTGGCTAGTTTTGTTTTTTTTTTAATTTTAATTTTTTATTTTTATTTTTGAGGTGGAGTCTCACTCTGCTGCCCAGGCTGGAGTGCATTGGCATGATCTTGGCTCACTGCAACCTCCACCTCCTAGGTTCAAGCAATTCTCCTGCTTCAGCCTTCCAAGTAGCTGGTATTACAGGTGCATGCCATCACACCCAGCTAATTTTTGTATTTTTAGTAGAGATGGGGTTTCACCATGTTGGCCAGGCTGGTCTCGAACTCCTTACCTCGAGTGATCCCTCTGCATTGGCCTCCCAAAGTGCTAGGATTACAGGCATAAGCCACCACGCCTGGCCAGCTTTTATAGTTTTTCACAGCATTATAAAAATGAAATATTGGTAATTACTAAAATATATAGCCCAAACTCCCTCTAACCAAACAACCACTGTTTGAAATGTATTTATTCCTTCCAGTATTTTTACTCTGTGAGATAGCAGGGATTTTCTTTCTTTCAGTATTGGTGGTGGAGTTACCAAAACATACTGAGTTAGTATAACATTTTGACTTGTTCAACTTGGCATTTTGTATCTTGATTTGAAATTTAATATTATATTAAAACTAGAAGTTTTGTTTATGGTTCTCCCTTCTAGTTAGTATCTTGGATCCTCCAAATAAAGAGAAAAAGAGAAAGAGAAAAAAAGCAAGAGAGTGCTTTCCAGGTACCTTGTCAGCAGGGGTCAGTTTGGTCCAAGGTTTGTCGGCTCGCCGGTCATAATCTTGAGCATCTGTTACCTCTACATATTCATTAAACCTCAGAATCTTCCTGGCAAGGAGTTCAGCGACAGTTGGCCTTTGACTGAGCTGAAGGAAACGGAGCCTCTTAGTTCACCAAGCCAATAATTAGGCATCAATCATGCATTCAAATTGCCTCTAACCCAGTGCTTCAATCTTCATTGGAATCACCTGGGGGAGCTTTAGACACTATTGATCCCTGGAGGTCCCACCCCCAGTGATTATGGTTATCAGGTGGTTTTTTGTTTTGTTTTTTTTTTTGAGACAGGGTCTTGCCCTGTCACCCAGGCTGGAGTGCAGTGGCACAATCACAGCTCACTGCAGCCTCAACCTCCCAAGCTCAAATGATCCTCCTACCTCAGCCTCCCAAGTAGCTGATATTACAGGCGCATACCACCATGCCTGGCTAATATATATTTTTTTTTGTAGAGGTGGGGTCTTGCCATGTTGCCCAGGCTGCAAATTCATTTTTTTCTTTTTCTTTTCTTTCTTCTTCTTTTTTTTTTTTTTAATGTAGACACAAGGTTTCACTGTTTTCCCCAGGCTGGTCTTGAACTCCTGGGCTCAAGCAATCCTCCTGCCATGGCCTTCCAAAGTGCTGGGATTACAGGCGCAAGCCACTGTGCCCAGCTGTGAATTCATTTCCAATCAAATAGGCCATCCAAATATAACACATATAGTTAACTGAACACACAGGCAGTAGTACCTTTCTAGTGAGCCGACGTTTAATTTCTCGTTTTTCTGCCTGACGATCAGCTTCATTTTTAGCTACAGTTGACAATCAGAAGGAAGGAATATTACTCACAAATGACAATTTGCATATCAAACGTTTTAGTAATTACATTACAGATATTTCTTTTTTGTTTTTTTTTTTTGAGACGGAGTTTTGCTCTTGTTGCCCAGGCTGGAGTGCAATGGTACAATCTTGGCTCACTGCAACCTCGGCCTCCCGAGTTCAAGCGATTCTCCTGTCTCAGCCTCCCGAGTAGCTGGGATTACAGGCACATGCCATGCACAGCTGATTTTTGTATTTTTAGTAGAGACAGAGTTTCATCATATTGGTCAGGCTGGTCTCAAACTCCTGACCTCAGGTGATCCACCCGCCTCGGCCTTCCAAAGTGCTGGGATTACAGGCGTGAGCCACCGTGCCCAGCCCAGATATTTCTTTTTTTTTCTTTTTTTTTTTTGAGATGGAGTCTTGCTTTGTCGCCCATGCTGGAGTGCAGTGGCGCAATCTCGGCTCACTGCAAGCTCCGCTTCCCGGGTTCACGCCATTCTCCTGCCTCAGCCTCCCGAGTAGCTGGGACTACAGGCGCCCGCCACCATGCCCGGCTAATTTTTTTGTATTTTTAGTAGAGACGGGGTTTCACCATGTTAGCCAGGATGGTCTCGATCTCCTGACCTTGTGATCCACTCGCCTCGGCCCAGATATTTCTTATAGGCCCAAATCAGAATAAAATACTAACTTTGGGGATGGCTAAACAAAACAATTTTCTTGTCAACGATACAAATACTTAAAAGCAAGAGTCAGCAAACTATGGCACCACATCTCGCCAGTTGCCTGTATTTTTCCTGCCCATGAACTAAGAATAGTCTTCACATTTTTAAATGGTTTTGTAAGGACCTATTACGTATAGTTGTTCATTTGCTTTTTGGCCTGCAAAACCCAAAATGTTTACTATGTATGCTTTAAGGAAAAGCCTGCAGATTCTTGCTCAAGAGTAACTGCTAAGAATGGACAATGGTGATCACACTGAGTTTTGTGTGATACGTTATAAGGGCTCCCACACTAGAAAATGTACTAAGTTATTAAGTTGTGTATACCCAAGTAGTGCTGAGAGAACAGGGGATGGATTGGTCAGACTGAACATGCTCACAAATAGCCCCAAGGAAGCCCAAACCTTCTCAGTGAGGAGACTTTTAAGGCCAAATTTCACTCTATATTCTGGAAAAACAAATGAAATATGTACTAGATTAGAATGCTATTTCAGGAAATTAATTATGTACACAGACAGCAAATTAAATATATGGTCCCATTTGGTAACTACAGAGGTAAGAAAGTCTTAAGGGATTAAACCAAGAGAAAAGCTGCTGCATTTGGGACTTGCTTTGGGCCCCAGCCCTCACATTCTAGGAATAGGAAGGTCTCCATATGCACAGCTACCTCCTTAGCTCCCTGAAAACAGAAAAATTGGGCACATCTCCCATATACTGTCAAAGCCTCCCAAATGCCCAAGGCAGTTCCAGGATACAGTGAGAACACTGAAACAAAGCTTTCTAGAGTATCACAGCACACTAAACAATACCATAATAGCATCTTCCAAAGGAAGCTTGGTAAGCTCTGTTCCTTCATGGGGAAATAAATAGTCCTTGCCTGGCTGGAACACTCTCCCTTAGCCCTTGTAGCAAACGCTTCTTTTTTCTTTTATGTATATTAAAGTCAGAAACATACAAAGAAAATCTATACAACTTTATTTCCATAACTGGACTCACGTTGCAATATATTGCGTTGTTCTAGTTCTTCTGGTGTTGGTCTTTGACTCAGTCGCCTAAAAATGAGATAAATAAAGGTAATGTTTATGTTAAACCTCCCAATCTTGTTTATAAAGATTTTTTTGGTCACAGTATATATTAGCCCCTATATAAGTAAGAAATCAACAAATTTTCAAACTGATATATTTCATTTATTTATGATTGTTTATAAAACAATTTCACATTAAAAGTGTTAACACAGATATCACATTATAAAAAGGAACTGTATATGCAAACAAGTGGCCAGGATTCTAGTTCTAGACCTTGATAAGAGCTATTAGCACAAAAAAGTTCAGTTAGACCTTGAGTGTCCTCATCCGTGAAGCGAAGGTTTGGACCGAACTGGTGGCTCCTAAACAAATTTGCTCCTTCAGAAGCATTAGAGACTTTTTAGAAAACACAGATTCCCAAGAAACGTTAACAGAAATTCTGATTCAGAAAATCAGGATGAAAAATGAAATTACATATATCTATATATAGATTTTTTTTTTCACAAAACTTCTTCTATGACTCAGATGCCCCTCTTTAGATTTTTTTTTTTTACAATTTTTTGAAAATAGAGATGAGGGTCTCACTCTGTTGCCCAGGATAGTCTTGAACTCCTCCTGGGCTCAAGCTATCTTCCCGCCTTGGCCCCCCAAACTGCTGGGATTATAGGCGCAAGCCATTATGTCCAGCTAGGTTATTTTTGAGATGGAGTCTTGCTCTGTCACCTAGGCTGGAGTGCAGTGGTGCAATCTCGGCTCACTACAAGCTCCGCCTCCCGGGTTCATGACATTCTCCTGCCTCAGCCTTCCAAGTAGCTGGGACTACAGGCGCCTGCCACCACGCCTGGCTAATTTTTTGTATTTTTAGTAGAGACGGGGTTTCACCGTGTTAGCCAGGATGGTCTCGATCTCCTGACCTTGTGATCCGCCTGCCTCGGCCTCCCAAAGTGCTGGGATTACAGGCGTGAGCCACCACGCCTGGCCATGCCCAGCTAGGTTTTTAAATCAGTGGTTTAGGAACCACTGGAATTTAAGTTTGTCTCTTTCTGTGTGATATTCTATAATTCTATGATTTAAATCTCAGTCTTCTCTGTGAAGCATTTGATAAAGTTATCTCACCTCATCACAGTTCTGAGATGTTATTCACCAATAACAATTTGTTGGCCAGGTGTGGTGGCTCATGCATGTAATCCCCAGCACTTTGGGAAGCTGAAGCAGGTGGATCACCTGAGGTCAGGAACTCAAAACCAGCCTGGCCAACATGGTGAAACCCTGTCTCTACTGAAAAATACAAAAATTAGCCGGATGTTGTGGCGTGCTCCTGTAGTCCCAGCTACTCGGGAGGCTGAGGCAGGAGAATGCTTGAACCTGGGAGATGGAGGTTGCAGTGAGCTGAAGCTCATGCTACTGCACTCCTGCTTGGGCGACAGAGTGAGATTCCATCTCAAAAAAAAAAAAAAAAAAAAAAAAAACAACAAAAAACTACAATTTGTCATTTTTGAAATCAGAAAGTTATTCATTTCTTACTTTTAATTTATACTTCTCAGACAGTATTTGGGCTAATTAGCTAGTACTTGCAAAATTTTCAACTCTTCTGTTGCTTGCATAAGGAACTTCCAGTCCCATTCTATATACAACTTTTCTTTCTGAACAAGACCTTCCTTTTTTTTTTTTTTTTTTTGTGTGTGTGTCAGGGTCTCACTCTGTACCCAGGCTAGAGTGCAGTGGTGCGATCACAGCTCACTGCAGCTCCACCTCCTAGGCTCAAATGATCCTCCTACCTCAAGGATCTTCCATTTTATTTATTTATTTTTATTTTATTTTTATTTTTTTTTAGGCAGAATCTTGCTCTGCCGCCCAGGCTGGAATACAGTGGCTTGATCTCGGCTCACTGCAACCTCCGCCTCCCAGGTTCAAGAGATTCTCCTGCCGCAGCCTCCCGAGTAGCTGGGACTATAGGCGCGTGCCACCATGCCCGGCTAAGTTTTTGTAGTTTTAGTAGAGATGGCGTTTCACCGTGTTAGCCAGGATGGTCTCAATCTCCTGACCTTGTGATCCGCCTGCCTCGGCCTCCCAAAGTGCTGGGATTACAGGCGTGAGCCACTGTGCCCCGCCCCATTTTATTTTTTAAAAAGTACGTATGTATGTATGTATGTATTTATTTATTTAGAGACTGGGCTGGCTAATTTTTTTATTTTTGGTAGTGATGGAGTTTTGCCATATTGCCCAGGCTGGTCTCAAATTCCTGGGCTCAAGTGATTCCCCCAGCTCAGCCTCCCAAAGGGCTGGAATTAGAGATGTTAGCCACCACACCCAGCTGGACCTTCCTGTTTTTTTTTTTGAGACAGAGTCTCACTCTGTCGCCCAGGCTGGAGTGCACTGGCGCCACCTTGGCTCACTGCAACCTCAGCCTCCTGGGTTCAAGTGATTGCCCTGCCTCAGCCTCCTGAGTAGCTGAGACTACAGGCATGCACCACTAGGCCCAGCTAACTTTTAATAGAGATGGGGTTTCAGCATGTTGGTCAGGCTGGTCTTGAACTCCAGACGTTAAGTGATCTTCCTACCTCAGCCTCCCAAAGTGTTGGGATTACAGGCATGAGCCACCATGCCTGGCCTGGGCCTTCCTTTTTAAATGTTCTTCGGAAAAACAAAAAACAAAAAACAAAAAACAAACCAGCTTTAATACGATATAACTGACACAATAATACTGTAAATATGTACAACTGTGTACATACTTAACATGTACAATTTGGCCACTTTTGCCATATATCACCTGTGAAATCATCATCACAATTGCAAGAATGAACATATCACTCCTGTATTTATTTCCTTTCCTTTCTTTTTGAGACAGAGTTTTGCACTGTTGCCCAAGCTGGAGTGCAGTGGCCCGATCTTGGCTCACTGTAACCTCTGCCTCCCCGGTTCAAGTGATTCTCCTGCCTCAGCCTCCCAAGTAGCTGGGATTACAGGCATGTGCTACCACGCCCAGCTAATTTTGTATTTTTAGTAGAGATGAAGTTTCTCCATGTTGATCAGGCTGGTCTCGAACTCCCAACCTCAGGTGATCTGCCTGCCTCGGCCTCCCAAAGTGCTGGGATTACAGGGGTGAGCCACCACACCCGGCCTTGTCAGTCTTTTAAATTGCATAACTTTAGCCATCCTAGTGTACTCGTGGTGGTCTCTTATTGTGTGTGTTTTTTTAAATTTCAATCTTATTTTATAGTGATAACACTTACTATGAGATCTACCTTTTGAACAGACTTTTAAGTGTACAATACAGTATTATTATTATTTTTTTTGAGATGGAGAGTCTCACTCTGTTGCCCAGGCTGGAGTGCAGTGGCGTGATCTTGGCTCATTGCAACCTCTGCCTCCCAGGTTCAAGCGATTCTCCTGCCTCAGCCTCCTGAGTAGCTGGGATTACAGGCATGCGCCACCACACCCGGCTAATTTTTGTATTTTTAGTAGAGATGGGGTTTCACCATGTTGGTCAGGCTGGTCTGGAACTCCTGACCTCGTGATACGCCTGCCTCGGCCTCCCAAAGTATTGGGATTATAGGCATGAGCCACCACACCTGGCCAATACAGTATTAACTATTGACTGATTGATTGAGACAGAGTCTCACTCTGTTGCCCAGGCTGGAGTGCAGTGGCACGGGATCCCGGCTCACTGAAACCTCTGCCTCCCGGGTTCAAGCAATTCTCCTGCCTCAGCCTCCTGACTAGCTGGGATTACAGGTGCCTGCCACAACACCCGGCTAATTTTTGTATTTTTAGTAGAGATGGGGTTTCATCACGTTGGCCAGGCTGGTCTTGACCTCCTGACCTCGTGATCTGCCTGCCTCGGTGTCCCAAAGTGTTGGGATTACAGGCGTGAGCCACCGCGCCCAGTCTACAGTATTAACTATAAACACAATGTTGTACAGTGGATCTCTAGAACTTACTCATCATGCATAACTAAAACTTTATACTTATTTATTAGCAACTCCCTATCACCCCTGCCTTCAATCCCGAGCCCCTGACAACTATCTTTCTACTCTCTGCTTCTATAAATGTGACTATTTCAGATACCTCGCAGAAGTGGAATCATGCAGTATTTATTGTTCTGTGACTGGCTTACTCATATTAATGTCCTCAAGGTTTGACTATGTTGTTAGCATATTGGAGGATTTCCTTCTTTTTTAAGATTAAATAATATTCCACTGTATGTATAAACTATATTTTCTTTTGAAACGGAGTTTCTTTTGCTCTTGTTGCCCAGGCTGGAGTGCAGTGGTGTGAACTCAGCTCACTGCAACCTCTGTCCCCTGGGTTCAAGCGATTCTCCTGCCTCAGCCTCCCGAGTAGCTGGGACTACAGGTGCCTGCCACCACCCGGCTAAATTTTTTGTAATTTTAGTAGAGATGGGGTTTCACCGTGTTAGCCAGGATGGTCTCTGTCTCCTGACCTCGTGATCCACCCGCCTCGGCCTCCCAAAGTGCTGGGATTACAGGCATGAGCCACTGCGCCCGACCCATGTTTTTATATTTTTAAAGGTAGGAAAAAAAAAAAGAGAGAGTTTATATGGCCATCAAATCCATATATATATATGGACATATATACACACACGTACACATATATATTACATACACACATATATATTACATACACACATATATATACACATACACACATATATACACATACACACATATATATACACATACACACATATATATACACATACACACATATATTAAATATATTAAATATAACTATATTTATGCCCTGTCTAGTATATAGACTACTGGGCTTAAGTAGTTCTGCTGCCACAGCCTCCCACGTAGCTAGGACTACAGGGGCATGCTACCATGCCTGGCTATTTTATTTATTATTTTTTGAGATGGAGTCTTACTCTGTCGTCCAGACTGGAGTGCCATGGTGTGATCTCAGCTCACTGAAACCTCTGCCTCCTGGGTTCAAGTGATTCTCTTGCCTCAGTGTCCTGAGTAGCTGGGATTACAGGTGGGCGCCACCACGCCTGGCTAATTTTTGTATTTTTAGTAGATGGGGTTTCACCATGTTGGCCAGGCTGGTCTGGAACTCCTGATCTCATGTGATCCACCTGCCTCGGCCTTCAAACGTGCTGGGATTACAGGTGTGAGCCACTGTGCCTGACCTATTTTTATTTTTGTAGTGATAGAGTCTTACTATGTTACCCAGGCTGGTCTCAAACTCCTGGCCTCAAGCAATTCTTCCACACTGGCCTCCCAAAGTACGGAGATTATAGGCATGAGCCACTGCACCCTATCCTAAAATATTTACTATTTGGTTCTTTACAGAAGAAGTTTGCCAAATCCTGGCTTATAGGGTATAGGATTATGGCTGATTTATCTCTCTCTTTTTTTTTTTTTTTTTTTTTGAGACGGAGTCTTGCTCTGTCACCCAGGCTGGAGTGCAGTGGCACGATGTCAGCTCACTGCAAGCTCCACCTCCCAGGTTCATGCCATTCTCCTGCCTCAGCCTCCCGAGTAGCTGGGCTACAGGCCCAGCACCACACCCAGCTAATTTTTTTGTATTTTTAGTAGAGACGGGGTTTCATCGTGTTAGCCAGGATGGCCTTGATCTCCTGACCTCATGATCCACCCGCCTCGGCCTCCCAAAGTGCTGAGATTACAGGCGTGAGCCACCGCGTCCGGCCATGATTTATCTCTTTTTTTTGTAATTTTTCAAACTACCATATAATAAACATGTCTTTCTTTACTTTTTTTTGAGACAAGGTTTTGCTCTGATGACTGGGCTGGAGTGCAGTGGGGCATGAGCACAGCTCACTGCAGTCTTGACCTCCTGGGCCTTGATCGCCTGGGTCTTGACCTCCTGGGCCGACCTTGAGCCCCTCCTGGGCTCAAGCAATCCCCCTGCCTCAGCCTCTTGAGTAGCTGGGACCATAAACGTGTGTCACCATGTCTGGCTAAGTTTTTTGTTTTTTTGTCGAGACAGGGTCTTGTCATGTTGCCTCGAACTCCTGGGCTCAAGTGATCCGCCCACCTCAGCCTCCCAAAGTGCTGGGATTACAGGAGTGAGCCACCGTGCCCAGCCTTCTCCCTTAATTTCAAAGTAGTCAGACCACAGAGGTCATACAGGCTGATAATTATGTTTAAGTAAAGAAATTGCAGAGAACAATTTCTGGATCCAAAAAGTGTCTATTAGAAGACAAAGGGAAAACTTGCCCTGAGGTACAGCATACACAGTAAAGCCAGGTGTCTCTTTTTTTTTTTTTTTGAGACAGGGTTTTGCTCTGTCACCCAGGGTGGAGTGCAGTGGTGCAATTACAGCATACTGCGGCCTTGATCTCTCAGGCTCAAGTGATCCTTCTACCTAAGCTTCCAGAATAGCTGGACTAGAGGTATGTGCCACCATGCCCAGCTAATTTTTTAATTTTTTGTACAGATGGGATCTCACTTTGTTGCCCGGGTTGCTCTGAAACTCCTGGGCTCAAGTGAGCCTCCCACCTCAAGTGAGCCTCCCAAAATGTTGGGATTATAGGTGTGAGCCACCTTGCCCAGCCAAAACCAGGTATCTGCAATAGTACAGAAAAAGAAATTTTAATTAGTAGACATGATCAATTAATTATTTTGTAGGGAACTGTGCCACGAGTTCCAGCTCCTTATCCTCTCTTTACTGGGAGAAACATCTGTGTCAAACAAAAACCCATCTATACAACCTGGATTCTTACACTGTTACATATGCAGAAAGCTGGCTTGCATTCAGTTTCTCTATACTTTTGGTTCCAGTTGACTTGAAAAATATACCAACACTTTGAAAGGAGGCAGTTACACGGAACATATGAAACAGATATAATGCAAATATGGGTGTGACTGTTAATTGGGTTGGCATCTTATGGTTAAGCAACCAGATAAAAAAAGTGACAGAGGAGCCTTTCTGTTCTGGGAACCATTCTGATTTATGTAGAAACTTTTGCAAAACCATATGTCTATCTCATGGTTTAAAGCTCTCACAGGCTGGCCAGGTGTGGTGGCTCACACCTGTAATCCCAGCACTTTGTGAGTCGAAGGCGGGCAGATCACCTGAGTCAGGAGATCGAGACCAGCCTGGCCAACATGGTGAAACCCCATCTTTACTAAAAATACAAAAATTAGCCAGGTGTGGTGGTATGAGCTTGTAGTCCCAGCTACTCAGGAGGCTGAGGCAGGAGAAGCACTTGAACCCGGGAGGCAGAGGTTGCAGTAAGCCGAGATTGCACCATTGCACTCCAGCCTGGGTGACAGAGCGAGGCTCCATCTCAAAAATAAAATAAATAAAATAAAACTCTCACAGGCAGCTACATCTTCAATTTCCAAATTCTTAGAGGATACCCAACTGTGTCCAATATATATTTTTTTGTTTCTTTTCTTTTCTTTTTTTTTTTTTTAGATGGAGTCTCACTCTGTTGCCCAGGCTGCAGTACAGTGGCGCGATCTCAGCTCACTGCAGCCTCTGCCTCTTGGGTTCAAGCAATTCTCCGATCTCAGCCTCCCGAGTAGCTGGGACTATAGGCGCATGCCACCATGCCTGGCTAATTTTTGTATTTTTAGTAGAGATGGGGTTTCATCATATTGGTCAGGCTGGTCTTGAACTCCTGACCTCAGATGATCTGCCTACCTCAGCCTCCCGAAGTTCTAGGATTACAGGCATGAGCCACTGCACCCAGCCTCTTTTCTTTTCTTTTTCTTTTTTTGTAAAGATAGTTAGATGCCACGTAGTAGGTGGCAATGCCTTGTATGTGTGTTGTCAGGCCCAAAGGGCCTCTTCCATCCTTGTCAAGTGGAGTGCTAACCTTCTCTCCTTTCATGCAAAACCCAATATGTATTTTTTAAAATTATACTCAAAGTGATGGGTGTGGTGGCTTACACCTATAATCCCAGGACTTTCGGAGGGCAACGTGGGAGGAATGTTTGAGGCCATGAGTTTGAGACCAGCCTGGGAAACACAGAGAGACCCTGTCTCTACAAAAAATTACAAAAATTAGCAGTGCATGGTGGCGCATGCCTGAGGACCCAGCTAGTCAAGAGGCTGAGGTGGGAGGGTGCCTTGAACCCAAGAGTTGGAGGTGGTGAGCCATGATTGAACCACTGCACTCCAGCCTGGGTGACAGATCAAGACTCTGTCTGAAAAGAAAAAAAAATCACACTAAAAAAGATAAATGAATACTCCACAACAAAGTAAACATATAGACTAGGTATAGGGGCTCATGCCTGTAATCCCAGCACTTGTGGAGGCCAAGGTGGGTGATCACTTGAGGCCAGCAGTTCGAGACCAGCCCGGCCAACATGGCGAAACGCTGTCTTTGCTAAGAATACAAAAATTAGCCTGGCGTGGTGGCAGGTGCCTATAACGCCAGCTACTCAGGAGACTGATGCAGGAGAATTGCTCGAACCTGGGAGGTGGAGGTTACAGTGAGCCGAGATCGCGCCACTACTCCAGCCTGGGTGACAGAGCAAGACCCTGTCTCAGAAAACGAAACAAAACACACACAAAAAAACAACACATCTAACAACATCTAACACAAATACTGGCATAACCAAATCAATCAAGCAAATCTAAGCAAAGGCCTACCGGATCAGTGTGTTTCCAATCTGGTGCCGTATTTCATTCCACTCCTCCTTGCTTTTACAAGGCCAAGAATTCAGGTTCAACTCTGGTTCACTGGGTCTGTGGTTCAACTTCATTGCCAGTGTGTCTTTCCTCTTCACTTTGTTGGCGAGAGCACCTTTGCACACGGGGAAGAAAAAAATGTAGAACTTGAGGCTTAAAGCCAAAGGTTCAACCTTACCTGGAGCTAGTCAAGAGTCTGAACAAATACAATATTTAATTCCCAGTTCCCACCTGGCCTCAAATGATCCAGCTGAACACTGAGGTGGGGGTAAAGCTAAAGACACCTAAAAATCTTTTTAGCCAGGTGGACTAAGATGGTTAAAAGGTATCTTTTCTCTTCTATCAGGCCTCTACATTTTTCCTCCTTGGTAAGAGTTGCTACAGGAGAGAGAATCTAAGCATGGGACAGCCCTCTGAATTAAAACATAAAGGCTTTCATACTAACACCTCATAGTCTATCTGTTTTTAAAGCTGCCTTTCTACTTCAATTAATCAGGACTCAATTATTTGCAAAGATGTGAGGGTATGAAAATGTTTATTTTTCTCTGCCCTGTGGCAATAAGTTCATTAGACCAAAGGGAAAACATCACTTTTATCTTTTCACCTTAGCCCATGTGCCACCTTTCCTCTACTCCATATTGTTGTTGGTTTTTTTGTTTGTTTGTTTGTTTGAGACAGAGCTTTTGCTCTTGTTGCCCAGGCTGGAGTGCAGTGTCACGATTTCAGCTCATTGCAACCTCCGCCTCCCAGGTTCAAGTGATTCTCCTGCCTTAGCCTCCTGAGTAGCTGAGATTATAGGCGTGGGTCACCACGCCCAGCTAATTTTTTGTATTTTTAGTAGACACCGGGTTTCGGGTTTCGTTATGTTGGCCAGGCTGGTTTGAACTCCTGACCTCAGGTGATCCACCCACCTCGGCCTCCCAAAGTGCAGGGATTATAGGCGTGAGCCACCACGCCTGGCCTCTTTTTTTTTTTTTTTTTCTGAGGCGGAGTCTTGCTCTGTTGCCCAGGTTGCAGTGCAGTGGCAAGATCTCGGCTCACTGCAACCTCCGCCTCCCAGGCTCAAGCAATTCTCCTGCCTCAGCCTCCTGAGTAGCTGGGGTTACAGGTGCCTGTCACCATGCCTGGCTTTTTTTTTTTTTTTTTGCGACAGAGTCTCGCTCTGTGACCCCGGCTGGAGTGTAGTGGCACAGTCTTGGCTCACTGCGACTTCCGTCTCCTGGGTTCAAGCAATTCTCCTGCCTCAGCCTCCTGAGTAGCTGGGATTACAGGCGCCTGCTACCATGCTCAGCCAATTTTTTATTTTTAGTAGAGATGGGGTTTCACCACATTGGCCAGGCTGATCTCGAACTCCTGACCTCAGGTGATCCGCCTGCCTCGGCCTCCCAAAGTGTTGGGATTATAGGTGTGAGCCACCGTGGCCAGCCATGCCTGGCTAATTTTTTCTATCTTTAGAAGAGATGGGGTTTCACCATGTTGGCCAGGCTGGTCTCAAGCTCCTGACCTCACCGGCCTCGGCCTCCCAAAGTGCTGGGATTAGAGGCACTTAGGTGAATAGTTTTAAAATTGGGGGCAAACAAAAACCTGAAATTAGTACAGCCATTGTGGAAAACACTATGGAGGTTCCTTAAAAAACTGAAAATAGGCCAAATGAGGTGGCTCATGCTTGTAATGCAGCACATTGGGAGGCCAAGGCAGGAGGATTGCTTGAGGCTGGGAGTTTCAGATCAGTCTGAGCAACACAGCAAGACTGTGTCTCTACTTAAAAAACAAAACAAAACAAACAAAACACCCTTAAAAATAGAACTACCGGGCCAGTCACGGTGGCTCATGCCTGTAATCCCAGCACTTTGGGAGGCCAAGGCAGGTGGATCATGAGGTCAAGAGATCAAGACCATCCCAGCCAATATGGTGAAACCCTGTCTCCACTAAAAAAACAAAAACAAAAACAAAAACAAAAACTAAAATGAGCTGGGCATGGTGATACACACCTGTAATCCCAGCTACTTGGGAGGCTGAGGCAGGAGAATCGCTTGAACCTGGGAGGCGGAGGTTACAGTGAGCTGAGATCGTGCCTCTGCACTCCTGCCTGGTGACAGAGTGAGCCTCCGTCTATTAAAAAAAAAATAGAACTACCATACGATCCAGCAATCCCACTGTTGGGTACATATCCAAAAGAAAGGAAATCAGCAAATCAATCAGTCATGCTTATTGCAGTACTATTTATAATCCCCAAGATATGGAATCAG
Source organism: Homo sapiens (assembly GCF_000001405.40). Classification (NCBI taxonomy): domain Eukaryota; kingdom Metazoa; phylum Chordata; class Mammalia; order Primates; family Hominidae; genus Homo; species Homo sapiens. The sequence continues at coordinate 28,478,316 of NC_000001.11, read as the reverse complement.
ACTAAATGTCCATCAATAAATGAAGGGATAAAGAAAACGTGGTGTATATACACAATTGAAGATTATTCTGCCATGAAAAAGAAAGAAATCCTGTTATGTGCAACAAAATGGATGGAACTGGAGGACAATTACGTTAAGTGAAATAAGCCAGGCACAGAAAGATAAATGTTGTATGTTCTCACTCTTACGTGGGAGCTAAAAAAGTTGATCTCATGGAGGTAATAAATAAAATGGTGGTTACCAGAGGCAGGGAAGGGTAGAGGGGATGGGGGAGAGAGAGACTGGTTAATGGGTATAAAAACAGAATTAGATAGAAGAAATAAGATCTAGGCCGGGCGTGGTGGCTCATGCCTGTAATCGCAGCACTTTGGGAGCTGAGGTGGGCAGATCACTTTGAGCTCACAAGTTCGAGACCAGCCTGGGCAACATGGTGAAACGCTGTCTCTATAAAAAAATACAAAAATGAGCTGGGCGTGGTGGCTCACACCTGTGTTCTCAGCTACTTGGGAGGCTGAGGTTGGAGCATTGCTTGAGCCAGGAAGTGGAGGTTCCATTGAGCTGAGATTGTGCCACTGCACTCTAGCCTGCAGAGTGAGACACTGTCTCAAAAAAAAAGGAATAAGATCTAGTGTTCGGTGGCACAATAGGGTGACTATAGTTAACAATAATTCATTGTATATTTCAAGATAACCAGAAAGGTAGATTTGGAATAATCCCAATACAAACAAATGATAAGTGCTTGAGATGGATAGCCTAATTACCCATACACACATGCTTATATCAAAATATCTCATGTACCCCATAAATATATATTACTATTATATATCTATAAAAATTAAAAATAGGCTAGGCACGGTGGCTCATGCCTGTAATCCTAGAGCTTTGGGAGGTCAAGGCAGGGGGATCACATGAGGTCAGGAGTTCAATAACAGCCTGGGCAGCTGGGCACAGTGGCTCACACCTATAATCTCAGCACTGTGGGAGGTGGGCGGATCACGAGGTCGAGTTCGAGACCAGCCTGGCCAACACAGTGAAGCGCCGCCTCTACTAAAAATAAAAAAAAATTAGCTGGGCCTAGTGGCAGACGCCTGTAATCCCAGCTACTTGGGAGGCTGAGGCAGGAGAATTGCTTGAACCCGGGAGGTGGAGGTTGCAGTGAGTTGAGATCGTGCCCCTGCACTCCAGTCTGGATGACAGAGCAAGACTCTGTCTAAAAAAAAAAAAAAAATTATATATATATCTTTTATGGCCAGGCACGGTGGCTGACACCTATAATCCCAGCACTTTGGGAGGCCGAGGCAGGCAGATCACCTGAGGTCGGGAGTTTGAGACCAGTCTGACCAACATGGTGAAGCCCCATCTCTACTAAAAATACAAAATTAGCCAGGTGTGGTGGCACATGCCTGTAATCCCAGCTACTTGGGAGGCTGAGACAGGAGAATTGCTTGAACCTGGGAGGTGGAGGTTAAACTGAGCCGAGATCGCACCATTGCACTCCAGCCTGGGCAACAAGAGCAAAACTCCGTCTCAAAAAAAAAAAAAAAGAACAGGCTAGGCAACCTAACGAGACCCTGTCTCTACAAAAACAAAAAACAAAACAAAAAATCAAAGAAACCTAACCAGTTGTGGCACACATCTGTCCTAGCTATTTGGGAGGTTGAGGCGTAAGGATCACTTAAGTCCAGGAGTTGGAGGCTACAGTGAGCGACGATTGCACCACTGTACTCCAGCTGGGTGACAGATCAAAACCTTGTCCAAAAAAAAAAAAAAAAATTAAAACAAAAAAAAACAAAAAACCTAAAACCTGAGTGACTCAATCTACTTGGATCCCTGTCTTGGCTTGTTTTAACAGAGGGGTGATAATAGGGACAAGGAGTCCTTCACAGTGGCTTCCAACATCAGTTAGCCAGATGACTTAATGGGAGAAGGTACCTGTTTCCATATCTCTTTTGACACTTGCTAAGATCAGCAAATAGTTTTATCTGGAAAAGAATTCTCTGTTTTGCTTTTCCCTCCCTTTCTTACTCTGATAGCTTTCATCTTCATCTTCTTCATCTCGGTACTGAATGGGACCTTCTGAATCAGAGTCGCTCTCCTTCTCTTCTTCCTCCCGTAGACACTGTGGTAATTTAGGAATGACTGAGGTAGGTGTCATTTCTTCACTGAATGTGGATGGACAGGTTTGCTCCTCTTCTTCTTCATCGTCTGGACTAACAAATTAACATAATTATATTTTCCTTTTAGAAATGAAGAGGATAACTGACTTTTAAGACAAAGGACTGAAATAAAGACTGGGCGTGGTGGCTCATGGCTGTAATCCCAGCACTTTGGGAGATGGAGGTGGGCAAATTCACCTGAGGTCAGGAGTTTGAGACCAGCCTGGCCAACATGGTGAAACCCTGTGTCTACTAAAAATACAAAAATTAGCCTGGCATGGTGGCAGGTGCCTGTAATCCCAGCTACTTGAGAGGCTGAGGCAGGAGAATCTCTTGAACCCAGGAGGCAGAGGTTGAAGTGAACCGAGATTGTGCCACTACATTCCAGCCTGGGTGACAAGAGTGAGATTCTATCTCAAAAAAAAAAAAAAGACAAAGGACTGAAATAACCATAAATACAAAAAAATCTATGGATGAAGTAACTTATAATTAATTCTCTCCCTTAACTTTAACAATCTTACTAAGAAACTTTTTAGCAGGTATTAATCTAAGGGTTCAGATCCCAGCTTTACCACTTATTAGGCACTGGTGCTTTCCAGAATTTGTCTAATGTCATTCTCACAAGCCTACAGAGTAAATATTATTCCCATTTAGAGATGATATAACTAAAGAGCAGAAGGCTTCAGTAACTTAACACTACTATAAGCTAAGAGTGGTAGTGCTGCAATTTGAACCCAGGGCTATCTCACTCCAAGGTGAATGCTCTTAAGCACAACATTATACAATGCCTTCCCTGTAGTATATAAAACTAGCGGTTGTAATTTTTCATGTACATAATTTTGTAAATTTTGTGTCATCACAAAAATCTCCATGAAAAAAAAAAAATCACAAGAGTAAAAAATCAAAATTTGGCCAGGCGCAGTGGCTCACACCCATGATCCCAGCATTCTGGGAGGTTGAGGCAGGCAGACTGCTTGAGCCCAGGAGTTCAGGGTGAGCCTGGGCAACATGGCAAAATCCCATCTCTAACAAAAAATATAAAAATTAGCTGGGTGTGATGGCATGCGCCTGTAGTCACAGTTACTCGGGAGGCTGAGGAGGGAGAATTGCTTGAGCCCAGGAGATGGAGGTTGCAGTGAGCCAAGACTGCACCACTGACTCCAGCTTGAGTGAGAGAGTGAGAACCTGTCTCAAACATAAATAAATAAATAAATAAATAAAAATAAAGTTTTAAGGTAAGATTAAAAAAAGAAAGAGTCCAAATTCTATAACTTATTCTTTTGGCAGAGTATTCTTTGTACTTTAAATTTATTCACAATGCTGGGCGCGGTGGCTCACACTTGCAATCCCAGCACTTTGTGAGACCGATGCAGGTGGATCACCTGAGGTCAGGAGTTCGAGACCAGCCTGGCCAACATGTTGAAACCCCATCTCCACTAAAAATACAAAAATCAGCCGAATGTGGTGGCACATGCCTGTAGTCTCAGCTACTCGGGAGGCTGAGGCAGGAGAATCGCTTGAACCTGGGCGGCAGAGGTTACAGTGAGCGGAGATCGTGCCACTGCACTCCAGCCCGGGTGACAGAGCAGGACTCCATCTCGGAAAAAAAAAAATTATTCACATTTTCTTTTTTTCTGTGAGACAGAGACTCGCTTTGTCGCCCAGGCTGGAGTACAGTGGCACAGTCTTGGCTCACTGCAACCTCCACCTCCCTGTTAAAGCGATTCTCCTGCCTCAGCCTCCCGAGTAGCTGGGATTACAGGTATGTGCCACCACGCCTGGCCAATTTTTGTTATTTTCATCGAGACAGGGTTTTACTGTATTGGCCAGGCTGGTCTTGAACTCCTGACCTCAGGTGATCGGTCCATTTGCCTCAGCTTCCCAAAGTGCTGGGCTTACAGGTGTGGGCCACTAGGCCCGGCCCACATTTTCTTTTTATAAGTAATTTTTTCCAAGCAGGGCTATCTAGAGTAAAGGAGAAATAAGAGGCAAGCTTTAAAGGCACTTACACTTTTAGCATTTCAATAGTGATGGGAAGAGACCTGGTCCGACCCAGCGTACTGCTGTCCTCAGAAAAGCTGTCACTGTTTTCAAAAAGCAACGAATGAGCTCTGTGAGAACCCTCCAGAATAGGAGTCATGGGAAGTGGGCTGGTGAGGGCCTGCTGGATTCGAATATGCAGTGGGAGTGGAGGCAGCCTAGAGGGTATATGGGGCTCCCCAAAGTTCTGGTCCAGTATCCTCTTGGGGACTTCCTTTTTCTGATCTTCCTGCTGGGGAATCTCCTGGTGTAGATCTAAGGATGGTGGAAACTCAATTTCTGGCACAACTTGAAAAGTCTTAGCAGGGAATGGAGGGGTGCGTGGAGGCTCTGGAGGTATATGAGTAGGCAGTGGGGGGGACGGAGAGCGAGGTGAGATCATTGGTAGTAGTTCCGAGCCCATAGAACACGTGCTCTTCTCTCTTTCATCACTTGGTGTTTTTGTGGTGATGGCAGCAGCAGACTCCAAGGTGGGTACTGAGGTTGATGGAATGCCTCTCTTAGGTGGTAAGGGTGGGGACGGTTTTGATAACAATGTACCACTGTTTATTGCTTGGGACAGTTCAGCTGGAAAAGAGAGAGCAACACATCAATTTCACGACTTTCCAATGCTTTGAAGGGCCGGCCCAGGGCCTAGAATTAAAGTTGAGTTCAGTTTTAATCTTTTAAGCAAGTTAAATAATTTCATAGTTTTGCCATTCCCTATATATTTTATCCTGAAATGAAGTTTATATTTATTCAAATAGAAGGCTTAATAAATGTACAGAGGTGTAGGAAGACTGATGAGTAGCTTACTTCATTGCTATGGCAACAGATATGACAATTTTTTTTTTTTTTTTTTTTTTGAGACAGGGTCTCACTCTCTCGCCCAGACTGGAGTGCAGTGGCGCGATCTTGGCTTACCGCAACCTCTGCCTCCCGGGCTCAAGCGATACTCCTGCCTCAGTCTACCAAGTAGCTGAGATTACAGGCGCACGCCACTACGGCCCGGCTAATTTTTGTATTTTTAGTAGAGGCGGGCTTTCACCATGTTGGCCAGGCTGGTCTCGAACTCCTGACCTCAAATGATCCACCTGCCTTGGCCTCTCAAAGTGTTGGGATTACAGGCGTGAGCCATGGCACCCGGCTGACAACTTTTTGTAACTTGATCTTGGTGTAGTTAATATGAATAGAGACAAAAAAAATCTGATAAAAAGTTATCTTGTGGCTGGCACGGTGGCTCACACCTGTAATCCCAATACTTTGGGAGGCCGAGGTGGGCAGATTACTTAGGTCAGGAGTTCGAGACCAGCCTGGCCAACATGGTGAAACCCCGTCTCTACTAAAAAAAAAAAAAAAAAATTACAAAAATTAGCTAGGTGTGGTGGTGGGCACCTATAATCCCAGCTACTCAGGAGAGGCTGAGGCACGAGAATCTCTTGAACCTGGGAGGCGGAGGCTGCAGTGAGTCAAGGTCATGCCACTGCACTCCAGGCTGGACAGCACAAGACTCTGACTCAAAAAAAAAAAAGTTATTTTGTATAACAGTACTCCATTAAAAAATTTAAACATTCAGATAGCATAAAATAAGTATTAGTGGGTATTGTTACCATATCCTGATAATGGTATCTAGATATCTTAGCTCTGTGTTATAAAACTGTCAATACTGACATCTTGAATTTTTATAGCAATTGCAAAGTCCTTTGAAGAAATCAAAGTGTTTTTTGTCCTTGAAGTCATATTCTCCTTATACCACCTGAGGTGACAGGGGAAAAAATATAGCATCTTTACCATTTTTCAGAAGGAAAAGGCAAGGCCACAGAAGCTAGGTGACTTTGCCCAAGATCATACTACAAACTGGCATGGACTCAGCTGGTATCCAAGTCTCTGACTATTTGACTGCATCCTACTGTCTCTAATTTTTTTTTTTTTTTGAGACGGAGTCTTGTCGCCCAGGCTGGAGTGCAGTGGTGCCATCTCGGCTCACTGCAAGCTCTGCCTCCCGGGTTCACACCATTCGCCTGCCTCAGCCTCCCAAGTAGCTGGGACTACAGGCGCCCACCACCACTCCCGGCTAATTTTTTGTGTATTTTTAGTAAAGACGGGGTTTCATCATGTTAGCCAGGATGGTCTCAATCTCCTGACCTCGTGATCCGCCCGCCTCGGCCTCCCAAAGTGCTGGGATTACAGTCGTGAGCCACCGCGCCCGGCCTACTGTCTCTAATTTTTATTGGTATGCACACCTCTTATGTTCCCTTTGCACCTCAGCTTCCCATGTTCACTCTCCACTATATCATGGGCTCCTTGATGGCAGGGCAACCTTGTCTCCATCAACATATCATCCACAGGGCTGTGCACAGTACCTGGCATCTAGTGGACCCTCAATATATGTTTATTAGATGAGAAGCCTTCACCCTGTATCATGACAGTATATATTCCTATAGTTTCACCAAAGCCCACAATGACTCAGCAAAGGTGTTGGTGTTGTTTCAGCAAAGTCCCTTTGGAGGGCTCCAGATGACCTGTAAGAAGTGGATCATCAGATCACACAGGAGTAAAACTGGTAAAGTAATTAAAGGGTAGTTATTTTTTCCCTGCTGACAGGAAAAAAAAAAAAAAAGTAGTTCTTTTGATCACCAACCTCTAACCTTCTACTCAAACCCTTTAGTTTCATCCCACTCAGTATTCTCAAACACTCTCAAAAACTTCCCTTAAATAAAACTGTATTTGTCCTAAATCTCCAAAATTGGAGATGTTCAAAGTAAAAGGCTAGCTAATTATTTTTTTCTTTTTTGAGATGGAGTTTCACTCGTTGCCCAGGCTGGAGTGCAATGGCGCCATCTCGGCTAACTGCAACCTCCACCTCCTGGGTTCAAGTGATTCTCCTACCTCAGCCTCCTGAGTAGCTGGGATTACAGGCATGTGCCACCACGCCCGGCTAATTTTTTGTATTTTTAGTAGAGATGGGGTTTCTCCATGTTGGTCAGGCTGGTCTTGAACTCCCGACCTCAGGTGATCCACCCGCCTCGGCCTCCCAAAGTGCTGGGATTACAGGCATGTCCGCTTTGCCCGGCCAAGGCTAGCTAATTTTATAATTCTTTTTTTTTTTTTCTTTTGAGACAAGGTCTCCCTCTGTTGCCCAGACTGGAGTGCAGTGGCATGAACAATAGCTCACTGCAGCCTCGATCTCCTGGGTTCAAGTGATCCTCTTGCTACAGCCTCCCAAGTAGCTAGGACTACAGGCCCATGCCCCCATGCCTGACTAATTTTTTTAATTTTTAGTAGAGACAAGGTCTCACTATGCTGCCCAGGCTGGTCTTGAGGTCCTGGGCTCCAGTGATACACCTATCTCAGCCTCCCAAAGTGCTGGGATTATGGATGTGAGCCACCACACCCAGCCTCTTTTCTTTTTAAATTTATTTTTATTTTTAAATTAAATTAATTTATTTTAGACAGGGTCTCACACTGTGTCACTGGAGTGCAGTGGCGCAGTCACGGCTCACTGCAATTTTGACCTCCCTGGGCTCAGGTGATCCTCCCACCTCAGCCTCCCAAGTAGCTGGGACCATAGGCATGTGCCACCATGCCCGGCTAATTTTTGGGGGGGGTATTTTTTGTAGAGATGGGTTTCTCCATGTTGCCTAGGCTGGTCTCAAACTCCTGGGCTCAGGTAATCTACCTGCCTCAGCCTCCCAAAGTGTTGGTACTACAGGTGTGAGCCACTGTACCTAGCCTTTTCTTTTTTTTTAGAGACAGGATGTTGCTCTGTTACCCAGGCTAGAGTGCAGTGGTGCAATCATAACTCACTGCAGCCTTGAACTCCTGTGCTTACCCAATCCTCTTACCTCAATCTCCCAAGTAGCTAGAATTACAGGCACATGTCACCATGCCCAGCTAATTTTTAAATATTTTATAGAGATGGGGTCTTGCTACGTTGCTCAGGCTGGTCTTGAACTCCTGGCCTCAAGTGATCTTCCCACCTCGGCCTCCCCAAATGCTGGGATTATAGGCATTGAGCCACTGTGCCTGGCCTAATTTTGTAATGTTTTAATGTCTCTCATCATAAATAATTTTTTTTTTTTTGAGACAGAGTCTCGCTCTGTTGCCTAGGTTGGAGTACAGTGGTGCAATTTTGGCTCACTGCAACCGCCACTTCCCGGGTTCAAGTGATTCTCTCCTGCCTCAGCCTCCTGAGTAGCTGGGATTATAGGCATGCACCATCATACCCAGATCATTTTTTGTATTTTTAGTAGAGATGGGGTTTCACCATGTTGCCCAGGCTGGTCTCAAACTCTGGGCCTCAAGCGATCTGCCCACCTCGGCCTCCCGAAGTGCTGGGATTACAGGCATGAGCCACCATGCCTGGCCCCATAAATAAATTTTAAAAAAGGCTTTCTAGAAAAACACTGCATACACACACAAAAAGATTCTAAAAATGTGAATTTTAGGAGCAGTGAAAGAGATATTTTTGGAAAGATTGGATTTTTGCTGATTCTCTAAAAATAGCTGTTAGCTATTCCATCTACAACAAAACTCATTCCTGATGAGACCATAAATGAATATTTTTACTTTTGAATTAATAAAATAAATTCTATTTGGTAATTTGAGGAAGGCATATATGTTAAGGAAGTAAATTCTGGTATATATACCCTGACAACAGCATCTGGCTGTAGTTCTGTGGAAAAATTTCAGAGTGTTTCTGGGATGGGTAATAATTCCCTTTCACCCGTTCAGCTATTGCTGGTGGTTTTTCCTTAGTCGTAATACTCCATGTTATATGGATGAGAAGACAGTAGTACTTCTGAAGCAATGATTTCCAAACTTTTGGATTTCAGTGACCAAAACAATAACAAAAATCTTGATCAACCTCAGATTGTTGGTTTTTTTTCTAGTGTTTTTTTGAGGTTGTCATTTTCTAAGATTTCCAAATAAGGCTTGATATTAAGTAAACCATTTATGATCATAATCCTTTTGTGAAAGAAATGGCATTTTAACACCAAAGGATTAGGAAGGTTGTAATTTTAGAATAAAAGAGAGTCCTTTAAATTAAATCTATTTAGCTCTAAGAAATGCTCTGTGAACTGTTCTATTTTTCTTCTTTTGTTGAGGACCCCTCATGGACTAATACTGATTCCTCAGTTACAAGGTCTATTGTTTTGGGCTATTTACCTCAAGCTAAGAATGAGCTCTGCAGTTTAGTCCAGGGTATCATACACAAATTATCATTTTATATGTTGCCTTAACTTGAAAAGGGTGGTATGCCACTGGTGTAGAGCAGAGGCTCTTAATGTGTGCTCCCTGGAGAGCAGCATCAGTGTCATCTGGGAACCTATTAGAAAGGCAAATTCTCAAGCCCATCCCAGGCTTACTAAAATCAGAAACTCTACGGGTAGTGTCCAGCAGTCTGTTATCATAAGCTTTCTAGGTGATCCTGAGGAGAACACCAGTTTGCAAACACTACTGTAAGGAACAGAGGTCTGGACCTGAGAGTTGAAAAGCCTATGTTCAGTTTCTATCTTTCACTAACTACAACCTTCTTCTTTTTTTTTGAGATGGAGTTTTGCTCTTGTTGCTCAGGCTGCAATGCAGTGGCACAATCTCAGCTCACTGCAACGTCTGCTTCCCACGTGCAAGCAATTCTCCTGCTTCAGCCTCCCGAGTAGCTGGGATTACAGGTGCCTACCACCATGCCCGGCTAATTTTTTGTATTTTTAGTAGAGATGGCGTTTCACCATGTTGGCCAGGCTGGTCTTGAACTCCTGACCTCAGGTGATCCACCCGCCTCTGCCTCCCAAAGTGCTGGGATTACAGGCATGAGCCACTGCGCCTGGCCTACAACCTTGAATGAGTCACAATGTCTTCATGTTCTAATTGCCCTACCTATGGAAAAGATAAAATTGGTTTCCTGCAGCACAAGGTAGTTTTGAAAATAAGTATGTGAAAGCTCCCCAAGTTCCTCACAGATAAGTCAACATGACACTATCCATCCAAAGTGGTGGTAATAACAACTTCATCCTGTTTTCATCAAGCTACTCCAAACTGTCATACTCATAAAATATTCTAAGCCTGTTTTTCAAGGTTTGAATCACTCCACCCAACATGGTGATATTAAATATTTAATGAGTATAGTTTTTATTCATTCGTTCAATCGTGAACAAGAACTTTAAGCAATACTAAGCCTAGTATCATTTTTCCTGAAAAAACTATATTTTTATTAGCTTTGAAGCACTCATTAGCTTTCCTCTCCCTTTCTTGAAAATTCTTCTAAGAAATTGTGCATTTATATAAAGAAAGTAGACTTAAATAGAACTTTGGGTAAATGCAAAAAATTTACTAAACCCATACAAATTTTACTGATTATATTCCCTGCTTTCTCTACCATCACTTATTTTAACATAAGAATAGCATTCTTAATTCTCCCAAGATAAAACATGATTTTATCAGAACAATTTAAGTAATAGCTTCTGCAGTTCCCTGTGAAGATAACTATGCCAGACACTGAATCCCAAATTCCACTGGCATCTACAGAATCATCCTTTTATCTACTAGACTCATTAATGCTTATGGAAGGCATAGGTAGTTTTAAGTAGATTTAAAAATTTTCATTTGAAAAGTTTGCCTTGCCCCTTGTGAGCTGAGGCATTATTCTAATTTTTCAGCAAGTGCCACAGATAATTCCATGCAGGTGGAATCTGTTATGGTTTTCACATATCCAGTCCAATTACACACACACACACACACACACACACACACACACACACAAATATGTATAGTGTTTTGGAATCATTGTTTTAGAAAAACAGATTAAATATTAGATTAAAAAATAGGTTAAAACCCCCAAAACTTAAATCTAATCTTAGTGATGTTTACATTTATGGCCATCTGCCTCAGTTTCATGACTTTTTTTGTTTGTTTGTTTTTGTTTTTTTGAGACGGAGTCTCTCTCTGTCGCCTAGGCTGGGGTGCATTGGCACAATCTTGGCTCACTGCAACCTCCGCCTCCTGGGTTCAAGCAATTCTCTTGCCTCAGCCTCCCAAGTAGCTGGGACTACAGGCACGTGCCACCACGCCTGGCTAATTTTTTGTATTTTTAGTAGAGATGGGGTTTCACCATGTTGCCAGGATGGTCTCAATCTCCTGACCTTGTGATCCACCCACCTCGGCCTCCCAAAGTGCTGGGATTACAGGCGTGAGCCACCGCACCTGGCCTATTTTTTCTTAACCTAAGACTTTTCTCCATATTGAGGTCATTCAAAGGGACAAGATATGGAAAATTCTCACAGACCAAATCAATGTTGTACCAGTTATCAAATAAAATAACCATCCAACATCAAACCAAACCCAAAACACTGGAAGCCTAAAGACTTACTTACCAATGACAGGGTTGCTATTTCTGTGAGCTGGTTTAGGGGGAGGGATAGGGGGCTGCTTGGCAGGGACCATATGAGTGAGGCTTGGGGTAGCAGTAGTGTTAGTGCTGGCAGGAGCAGCAGGCAGAGTCCTGGGTGCTGGGGAAGGGGTGACAGAGAGATTAACAGTCTTTGCAAGGCTTGTGGCAGCAGTGGTGGCAGCGGGTGCTGTGGTGATGGAGGTGGAGATGATGAACCTTGCCGTGCCGCCAGAGGAAGTGGCATCCTTTGCTTGCCCTTCACTTGCTTCATGAGAAGAGGACAAGGGTCTTTTGGGAGGAAGTAAAGGTGGTTTGGGTACATTCTCAGGAACAGACTCTGCTTCAGAATTAGGCTGGCTTCCAGTTGAGCCTGTGTAATAACATGTATGGTATAAAAAGGGAAGAGAGAGTAACAAGAGAAACTGAAAAAGCTAACACATCTATGAATTTGTGGCCAATTTCACCAATTAATTTATAGATTAGCTTATAGGTTACCATTCTCAATGCCTCCCAACCTCCCCATACTTAAGAAATGTCAGTAAGAAAGGCTCACTAAGAGATGCTCATTGTGGTAGTGATTCTTCACACAAGGGCCAGGCTACTGGAGGAGAGCCACAACAAAATTCCTTGGGTGAAAGAAGTGGAATGTGTAGCTGGAAAAAATCCTATAGGTATCTGATACTTAACATCCTCTTCCCTTCTTGAGGATCACAAATTTAGGTATTTAGTGAATAAAAGCGGGGTGGGGGAGGAAATTCCCCTTGAAGTTGCTAGTTAAGGTATTGTTAAAGGAGAATGTAATTCTCTCTAGATTTCACTTTTCCCTGTTCTCTTGCAAACCCCTTATGTAAGGAGAATAACTGGCCCGTGGCTCTTAAACTCAAAAATCCAGAGTTTCTTACCTAGTCGTTTCTTTAGGTCCTCTTCTGGAATAGCTTTCCTAAGACTTGCTAATCTTACTGGCTCTTCCTCTACTTGGACTGGACTAGATGATCTGGCATTCCCTATGGGGGTGGTATGGCCATTCTTTAACATGGCATCGCTTGGCTTTCCTGGATCCTCACCACCTGCAAGGTGAAAGAAGAGTACAAAGTGATGAAGTTGGCATGAACAGATAGAAAGAAGAGTTAGTAATTTCTTTTTTTCTTTCTCTCTCTTTTTTAAATTGAGACAGGGTCTCACTATGTTGCCCAGGCTGGTCTTGAACTCCTGGGCTCAAGCAATCAGCCCGCCTTGGTCTCCCGAAGTGCTAGGATAAATGGCATGAATCACTGCGCCTGGCCAGAGTTGGTGATTTGAGACAGGGTCTCACAGACCAGGCTGGAGTGCAGTGGCATGATCTTGGCTCGCTGCAGCCTCTGCCTCCCGGGTTCACGCCATTCTCCTGCCTCAGCCTCCTGAGTATCTGGGACTAGACGCCTGCCACCACGCCCGACTAATTTTTTGTATTTTTTAGTGGAGACGGGGTTTCACCGTGTTAGCCAGGATGGTCTCGATCTCCTGACCTCGTGATCTGCCCGCCTCAGCCCCCAAAGTGCTGGGATTACAGGCGTGAGCCACCGTGCCCGGCCCAGGGTTGGTGATTTCTAACCTTTCTTATCTTCTTTCCCTCGTCTTCCTGTTTTAGTTTATTATTGAGATCTAGATTATCTGGATGCTTAAACAGAAACAAGTGATTTCTTTTTCCAATACATGTTTGATAGCCTACTATGTGCCAAGTACGTTGTTATATGAATAAGACAAATAAAAGCCGGGCGCAGTGTCTCACACCTGTAATCTCAGCACTTTGGGAGGCTGAGGCAGGTGGATCACCTGAGGTCAAGAGTTCGAGACCAGCCTGTCTAACATGGTAAAACCTTGTCTCTACTAAAAATACAAAAATTATCCAGGCATGGTAGCAAGCGCCTGTAATCCCAGCTATTCAGGAGGCTGAGGCAGGAGAATCAACTGAACCCAGGAGGCAGAGGTTGCAGTAAGCCAAGATTGTGTCATTGCACTCCAGCCTGGGCAGCAGAGCAAAACTTCCAACTCAAAGAAAGAAAAAAAAAGACAAACGAATAGGGCAAACTTATATATAAGTAACTACAATGTTAAATGTCAAGAGCTCTAATTAGTGAAGTACTGTGGTAGGAATGAAGAAGAAATCATTTTCCTGGAGTGAGAATAGAGTTAGGAAGGCATCACAGAAAGTATCTGAGCTGGAGTTGAGATGGTCTTGCTATGTTACCAGAATGGGCCTTGAACTCCTGGGCTCAAACAGTCCTCCTCTCTCAGACTCCCTAGTAGATGGGACTATAGCACACACCACCATGCCTTGCTTTGAACTGGATCTTGAAGGAGTAGGAGCCTACCACACTGAATAAAGACAGTCTGTTTGGAAGAAGGACAGCATGTATAAAGGTGTGAAGTTATTCAACGTGTTTGGGGCACTGGCAACTAGTTTGGTCTGGCAGGAGAATAGATTCACATAAGAAATGGTTATGGGGGGCCGGGTGTAGTGGCTCACGCCTGTAATCCCAACACTCTGGGAGGCCGAGGCGGGTGGATCATCTGAGGTCAGGAGTTTGAGACCAGCCTGGCCAACATGGTGAAACCCCGTCTTTACTAACAATACAAAAATTATTCGGGTGTGGTGGCAGGTGCCTGTAATCCCAGCTACTCGGGAGGCTGAGGCAACAGACTCCATCTCAAAAAAAAAAAAAAAAAAGAAATGGTTATGGGCTGGGCACAGTGGTGCTCATGCCTGTAATCCCAACAATTTGGGAGGCTGAGGCGGGAGGATCGTTGAGCCCAAGAGTTTGAGATCAGCCTGCGAAACATAGTAAGACCCTGTCTCTACAAAAAAGTAAAAAAACTAGCTGGGTGTGGTGGCACATGCCTAGTCCCAGCTACCTGGGAGGCTGAGGTGGGAGGACTGTTTGAACCCAGGAGGTCAAGGGTACAGTAAGCCATGATCAGACCACTGTGCTCTAGCCTGGGTGACAGAGTGAAATCCAACATCATTCTTCATGAAGTTCCAATAAGAGGTGGAGTGTAGGCTCAAAGTAATGAAGATTCTAAGGCAAGTGAAAAGGTACTTCTAAAGCCAAAGTAATCTGACAACTACTTTTTATTTTTAAAACAGGGTGGGGGTAAGATGACAACAACTATACAAAAATAGTAAGTTACTGCCCATGTTTAACAAAAACAAGATTTTCTAGAATACTGAAGCAATGATTTCAAAGTCAACAAAGGCTGCTCTTTGTGAAAACAACATAATAAAGTTTAAGACAGTGTTAATTAGTTTCTACTCAGCACACACTAGTGAAATACATGCAAAAGTGATCAGTTATCTCAAGTTACTTAATCAGGGATGTCTACTTTGCAGTATCATTTCTTATATTAAATATAGAGGGTTCTGCAATGTTAATGAAGTGGAGTAGTACTATGGGGCTTTAACATCACTGAATGTTCTCCCTAAACCCAGAAAATCAATTAAAATCAATTAAATATTTTACAGTACAGTCAAGTTAGCACTATAATCAAGCCAAAAGCCACCTTTTTTTAAAAAAAAAAACAGGGTCTCACTCTGTCGCCCAGGCTGGAGTGCAGTGGTGCAATTAATACTTACTGCAGCCTTCAATCTTCTGGGCTCAAGCCATCCTCCATCTTTTGGGCTCAAGTAGCTAGGACTACAGGCCTGCACTACCATACCTGGCTAATTTAAAAAATCTTTTATAGAGATGAGGTCTCACTATGTTGCTCAGGCTGGTCTGGAACTACTGAGTTCAAGGGATCCTCCCACACTGGCCTCCCAAAGTGCTGGGATTACAGCATGAGCCACCGCGCCAGGCCAGCCAAAAGTTCCCTTTAAGTATGCAGAGGACTTCAAGGTTCAAACACTACTTTTGGCCTAAAATGCAGATCTATAAGCCAGCATGAGGCCCATCCCTGTTTTTAGATACAGAATAAAGCTTAGGTCATTTATCTGGTTGGCAGAATGGCATCTTGTCCAATGGCTGCAACTCGTTTATTAATTGGGCCTGTGAACTTGTAGGCTAAAAACAACTTGGATTAGGGGCTAATAGAAAGTATAGGGCAAAAGATCATCAGGCGTGGTGGCTCATGCCTATAATCCCAGAACTTTGGAAGGCCGAGGCAGGTGGATCACTTGAGCTCAGGAGTTTGAGACCAGCCTGGCCAAAACGGTGAAACCCTGTCTATTAAAAATACAAAAATTAGCTGGGTGTGGTGATGCATGCCTATAATTCCAGCTACTCGGGAGGCTGAGGAAGGAGAATTGCTTGAACCCAGGAGGCAGAGGTTGCCGTGAGTGTAGGGCAAAAGAGACTGAAGGTGAAAAACAAGAAATGAGTAATGTATGTGGTTTATGATAAGTGAGCAAGAAAGGTGAAAAGAAAGGCCATGGAAAGTGGAACAGCTGTATCAAAAAAGCAAGGGCCAGGCCAGGCATGGTGGCTCACGCCTGTAATCCCAGCACTTTGGGAGGCTGAGGTGGCTGGATCACTTGAGGTCAGGAGTTCGAGACCAGTCTGGCCAACATGGTGAAAACCCCAACTCTACTAAAAATACAAAAATTAGCCAGGTGTGGTGGCGGATGCCTGTAATCACAGCTCCTCGGGAGGCTGAGGCTGGAAAATTGCTTGAACCCAGCAGATGGAGGTTGCAGTGAGCCAAGATCACACCACTGCACTCCAGCCTGGGAGAGAGAGTGAGACTCTGTCTCAAAAAAGAAAGCAAAGCAAGGGCCAAAGAGGTGCTACAGTGAAACCATTAAAGTAGTACGTAACTACCTAAATACTGAGAAGATTTTGTGTCCTAATGTAAAAAAACAAATAGAGTTATATAAAACAAAAGTTATATATGCTCATAACTAGTCACATACAAAAAAAAAAAAAGAAAGAAAGAAAACATCGCATAGCACCTGGGCACAGCAGCTCACGCCTGTAATCCCAGCACTTTGGGAGGCTGAGGCAGGAAGACTGCTTGTGCTGCCCATGAGTTTGAGACTAGCCTGGGCAACATAGGGAGACCCTGTCTCAATTAAAAAACAAAAAAAAAGCCCACCCATGTTCCCACCTCAACTTCAGAGGTAACCAATTGTAATAATATTTCAAATTGCTCCTTCAAGCTTGTTGTCTCTGGTTAGTTTTTATACAGTTGAGATAATAAATCTTCAATACATACAATTTAATTTTTTGAATAGGCAATATATTCGCATGGTTTAAAGCCCAAAAAGTATACAGTAATACTCCATCTATTTGGTTCCTTTCCCCTATTCTTCAAAGGATATGATTTTTTAAATTTTTTTGAGAAGGAGTCTTGCTCTGTTGCCCAGGCTGGAGTGCAGTGGCGCCATCTCAGCTCACTGCAACCTCTGCCTCCTGAGTTCAAGTGATTCTCCTGCCTCAGCCTCCCAAGTAGCTGGTACTACAGGTGCCTGCTACTATGCCCTCCTAATTTTTTGTATTTTTAGTAGAGATGGGGTTTCACCATTTTGGCCAGGCTGGTCTCAAACTCCTGACCTTAAGTGTTCTGCCCGTCTCGGCCTCCTAAAATACTGGGATTACAGGCGTGAGCCACCATGCCTGGCCAGTATACAATATGGCTTTCAGATTTTGCCTCATGCAACATAACTCAGATGAAGAGAAATGAGATGCAACCAATGTACTATACTTTCACATTTGCAATAACTTGCTTCATAGAGTCACACATTGAAGAAAGTCTTGACATTATTAAACAAACAATGACTGGTAGACTGGTGCAGTGATATGGGCATGGGGACAAATGTGTTCAAAAAAGAAAATGAGCTGGGCGCGGTGGCTCAAGCCTGTAATCCCAGCACTTTGGGAGGCCGAGGTGGGCAGAACACCTGAGGTCAGGAGTTCGAGACCAGCCTGGCCAACTTGGTGAAACCTCATCTCTACTAAAAATGAAAAAATTAGCCAGGCACAGTGGCTCACACCTGTAGTCCCAGAACTTTGGGAGGCCAAGGCGGGCGGATCACCTGAGGTTAGAAGTTCAAGACCAGCCTGACCAACATGGTGAAACCCCATCTCTACTAAAAAGTCAAAAGTTAGCTGGGGGTGGTGACAGGTGCCTGTAATCCCAGCTACTTGGGAGGCTGAGGCACGAGAATTGCTTGAACCCAGGAGGCAGAGGTTGCAGTGAGCCAAGATTGTGCCACTGCACTCCAGCCTGGGCAACAGAGCAAGACTCTGTCTCAAGGGGGGGAAAAAAAAGACACGCAATATTGTAGCTGGCACAAAGTTGAGGATGTACACAGAGGAAAGGAATGTTTGCCCCAAGGAAGGAAGGGTGAACTTTTTTTTTTAAAGGCCACCCTCCAACCCAAAAATAGCAATATAAAAGAAAGAAAGAAAATTCAAATATCTCGTCAGACCCAATCAAAGACCAAGTGCACAGAGACAGGCATATGCTATTTATTTGTAAACTCACCTTGCTCAGGGTCTTCCAACAGAACCCCTCTTTTAACCAGCTCTTCTCTTGGCTTTCGCATAGATATTTTCCGTTCTAAAACTAACATTAAATTGGAAAATGGCACTCAGAAATGTGACAGTTGAAAGTCAACCTTACACTTAGCATTCTAATTCTACAGGTAAAAGAATAAAGTAGTTTAAGTTTATATTCTCAGGAAAGAAAATAACTAGCAGACTAACTTCAAATTAAAACTCTTAAATTTCTTTTATAACCTGTGCTGTCAGGAAAGCATCACTTCCAAAAAACTAGCCTTACATAATTGTAACTTAAGAGAAAATTTCATTAGTAAGTTATTTACGGATGAACTTTGTGTGGATGGGCAGAGTAGAAAATAAGCATTTTATTTATGTATGTATCAACTCATTCAGTCATTTTCTTCACCAAGTTCTGATGGAAAGAAGCATCTTAGATTTGCGACAGTTCAGGAACTCCATTCACCACTCAATAGATACTTATATGCCATCAAAATACAAACCTGGGAATGAGGGTATACAATATTAGGTTTAGTACATGACCATTTTGATGTTTAATTCTAAAAGATTAAACTCTGGCCAGCCACAGTGGCTCATGCTTGTAATCCCAGCACTTTGGGAGGCTGAGGTGGGAGGATCGCTTGAGCCCAGGAGTTCAAGACCAGCCTGGGAAACATAAGGAGACCCCATCTCTACAAAGAATTTAAAAATTAACTGGGCACAGTAGCTCATGCTTGTACTTCCAGCTACTTGGGAGGCTGAGGCAGGAGGATTACATGAGCCCAGGAGGTTGAATCTGCAGTGAACTGTGATTGCGCCACTGTACTCTAGCCTGGGCAACAGAGGGAGATCCTGTCTCACCAAAAAAAAAAAAAAAAAAAAAGAAGAAGGAAAGAATAAAACATTAAATACCCTCTTCAAATAGAGGACTACAGAAACTTGGGAAGATAAGGAAAAATTAAATACATCTAACATAGAGAATTCTAACTCAGAACACACATTTAACCCTTAATATCTCACCTTCTGAAGTCTCTTTAAATTTATCACTACTTTTTTTTTTCCTCCATTTCCAGGGCTTGAAGATCTTGCCAAAGCCTGAGAACTTGCTCTTCCTTTTGGTAGGAGGTGTTGTGTCTCCTGCTTCCACACTGTCCAGGACCATGCCTGGCTCTGTAGTGGGCTGGTCTGCTTCCTCTGTTACATGAAAAGAAGAGAGGGAAGGAAGCAAATGTATTATTTCAGCATAATCTCTAAAATGTCCCTTCCCCTCTCTTCCTGTGGTAGTTGGAAAGGATCGGAGCAACGATAAACAATCATGCAGACAGGGAGACTCCTGGACATCACATGGACACCAAACATCAAAATCCATTAACAGATAAACTACTAAGGAGAAAAAGGAACCAAACCAAGCTGACATCATTTTAGGACAAAATCTGGTGAAATGATCAGAGCCGGCTCAAAATCTTTTAAAGGCGCATGTATACAAAATGTGGATATCTTAACAAATGCATGAGATCTTGCCTTACTGAGGCAGGGAATTCCTGCCTCATTAGTGAGTGAATCATTTTCTCTATTAAACATTGCCCTTTCCCTGCCCTTTTCAGGATATAAATAGTTCAGGGAGAGGTAACACATTGTTAGTACCTTACTTATATCTGCTCATCAAATTATTTTCTCCCTTCACAAAAGGACCCTAGGTATTGGAAAGTGCTCAGGGTTGCGGGGCAGAAGCATTAGAAAGCGGGTACATTAAATTGGAGGGAAATGTTTTCAGAAAGTAGAGGTGAGATTCCAATTTGTTTACCATAGTAGTGCCTTAGAGACAATCATAGGCTGAGCACAGTGGCTCATTTCTGTAATCCCAGCACTGTGGGAGGCTGAGGCAGGCAGATCGCTTAAGCTCAGGAGCTTGAGATCAACCAGGGCAGTAAGGTGAAACCCTGTCTCTACAAATAATACAAAAACAAAAATTAGCTGGGCATGGTGGTGTGCACCTGTAGTCCCAACTACTCAGGAGGCTGAGTTGGGAAGATGGCTTGAGCCTGGGAGGTCAATGCTGCAGTTGGCTGTGATTAAGATACTGCACTCCAGCCTGGGCAACAGAGTGAGAGCCTGTCTCAAACACACACACACACACACACACACACACACACACACACACACACACACAAACACACACACCATAATATTAAGGATTTGACATAAAACATAACTGACATGATACATGTGCAGAACTGAAATAAAAGGCCATGAACCCCTCATAATGACCATGCATGCAGGGTTTAGTTAGTTAGTTTTAATGGCAGAGAAAGGAGAGCCAAGGCGGGGCCAAGAATTTAAAGAAAGGAAAAAAAAAAAAACCAGCAGGAAGGCAACCAAAAAAAAGCAGGAAGGTACACAATGCAGCTTTGCACTCCACCTACTGTTCCAAGGTTCTCTGGAGAAGTCTAGAGAGGAAGAAAAAAAGAGTCATGTGGAAAAACCATCCTGAAATTAAAGTGGAACCTCTACTTTGTAGAAATACATCAAGGAACAGCATATGATAAGCTAACATGTTGACTGTAAACAATTTCACATCTGAAGCAAGTAACACTTTTGGAGGAGGGTAAAAAGGTCATAATAGTCACTAAAACATCTTTTTTAAAAAAATTTATTATTATTATTATTATTATTTTAGAAACAGGGTCTCACTCTGTTGCCCAGGATGAAGTGCAGTAGTGTAATCACAGCTCACTGCAGCCTCAAATTCCCGATCTCAAATGATCCTCCTGCCTCAGCCTCCTGAGTAGCCAGGACTATAAGCATGTACCATCACTCCTGGCTAATTACAAAAACAATTTTGTTTTGTAGAGATAGGGTCTCACCAAATTGCTCAGGGTGGTCTCAAATGCCTGGTCTCAAGAGATCCTCCCTGCTTGGCCTCCCAAAAGCACTGGGATTAAAGGTGTGTACCACCACACCTGGCCTCTCTCTCTTTTAAAACTAGGTATTTTCAAAAGAGAAAATATACAACCAACAGCATTAAATTTTTAAAAGAAACAACTGCCAAATTCAATCTTTTTTTCACTTGATTGATGGAGGTTTAGGGAAGTTTTTCAATAAAGGTTAGATTTATACAATCGTAATTATCACAGTAAATGCAATGGTGACTACTGATGCATTAGTTTGCTATGCCCAGAAGACTTAGGCAAAATAGCATCCTCATTACTAAAGTGCAAAAGATGGAAATGACAAGAGGACAGTGACTCTTCCTAGTTGCATGACTTATACAAGGACATTCTGGGTCTCAATTACTTTAACACTTTACATGAAATACACTAGAATCTGATTATCTATCTATCTATCTATCTATCTATCTATCTGTCTCTCTATCTATTTATCTAGTTATTTTAGAGACAGGGTTTCGTTCTGTTGCCCAGCATGGAGTGCAGTGGCACAATCACAGCTCACTGAGCCTTCAACTCCAGGACTCAAGCAATCCTCTGCCTCAGCCTCCTGAGTAGCTGAGATTACAGGCAAATAGTTGAAATTATGAGAATGTCTCAGATTACAGACACTGGCTACAGCATCTGGCTTCTCTTCTTTTTTAGGTAAAGAAAGACCAGCCTGGGGAACATGAAGAAACCCTGTCTCTTAAAAAAAAAAAAAAATTAGTTGGGCAGGGTGCCATGTGCCTAGTCCCAGCTACTTGCGAGGCTGAGGTGGGAAGATCGCTTGAGCTCAGCAGGTCCAGGCTGCAATGAGCTGTGATCGTGCCACTGCACTCCAGCCTGGGCGACAGAGCCATACTGATATAGTTTAGATATGTGTCCCGCTCAAATCTCAGGTTGAATTGTAATCTTCAGTACTGGAAGTGGGGCCTGGTTGGAGGTGACTGGATCATGGGGGTGGATTTCTCATGAATAGTTTAGCACCATCCATATGGTGCTGCCTTAGCAATAGTGAGTGAGTTCTCGTGAGATCTGGTCGTTTAAAAGTATGTGGCATCTCCCTCTTTGCTCTCTTGTTCCTGCTCTGGTCACGTGACATGCTTATTCCTGGTTGGTTTTCTGTCATGATTCATGATTGTAAGTTTCCTGAGACCTCCCCAGAAGCAGGGCAGTTGCAAGCATTATGTTTCCTGTACAGCCTACAGAACCACGAGTCAAATAAAGCTCTTTTCTTTATAAATTATCCAGTCCCAGGGATCTCTTTATAGCAATGCAAGAATGGCTTAATACAGGGACCTTGTCTCAAAAAAAAAATAGTTGATACATAAGCAAAATATGTATAAAAAAAATAAAGCCACTGAATACAAAAAACAGAGCAACATTTTCTTTGCTTCTCATGCAAATGTGCTTGATTTTCACTTTTACAAAACTTTTAGAGGCAGATGTCCTTCTTTCCTCTTACCTCCTGTGTTGGGGTAGAGCCACACCTGGCCCTGACTCAGTTATCTCAAATTCACACATACATATTCATATCCTCATATTCTCCCTCCTTCCTTCCCCTCTTTTTCCTACTCTCCAGGACAAACAGTACATTATTTCCAAGACTCCGAAATCTGTCCAAATACTTGGAATCAGCCCAATTGCCTTTTCAAAATACAGAATCTCCAGGAGGTAGGACTTTCAGAATCTGTTTTAAAAAATCTCTCCAGGTCAGCCTAGGGTCCTAAGGTCAGTCAGGTGTGTTAAACCCAATACCAGATTATTATCTGGAAACCTCATGGAGGTTAAAAGAGACAGAGGCAGACATTTTCTGGCTATAGGCTGCTTCTTTGTTGAAGAAAAATGAATTAGGGGCCAGGCATGGTGACTCATGCCTGTAATCCCAGCACTTTGGGAAGCCGAGGCAGGCAGACCACCTGAGATCAGGAGTTTGAGACCAGCCTAGCCAACATGGTGAAACCTCGTCTCTACTAAAAATACAAAAATTAGCTGGGTGTGGTGGTACACGCCTATAATCCCAGCTACTCGGGAGGCTGAGGCAGGAGAATCTTGAACTTGGGAGGCGGAGGTTGCAGTGAGCCAAGATCACATCACTGCACTCCAGCCTGGGTGAAAGCAAAACTCTGTCTCAAAAAAAAAAAAAAAAAAAAGAAAGAAAGAAAAAGAAAAAGAAAAATGAGGCCAGATGCGGTGGCTCATGCCTGTAATCCCAACACTTTGGGAGGCCGAGACAGGTGGATCACTTGAGGGCAGGAGGTTGAGACCAGCCTGGCCAACATGAGGAAACCCTGTCTCTATTAAAAATACAACAACAAAAAAAAATTAGCTGAGTATGGTGGCAGGCACCTATAATCCCAGCTACTTGGGAGGCTGAGGCAGGAGAATGGCTTGAATGCGGGAGGTGGAGGTTACAGTGAGCTGAGCTGGTCTCAAACTGCTGGGTTCAAGTGGTCCTTCCACCTCAGTCTCCCAACGTGGTAGGATAATTGGAGTGTTTAGGCCATTTATATTTAATGCTTTTCCTATATATCTCAAATATGGTCCAAGTTGCAAATAAACAACAGAAGCTTACAGTTGTTTCTTCCCAAATTTATAATACATTATCTCCAATTATGTGTTATTGGAAAGTGTATTGTGCAATTGTTGGGTATGGTGTTCTAAATATGCCAATTAGGTCAAGGTGGTTAATCATATACAAATCATTAAGATCCCTTCTGATTTGTTGTCTGTTTGCTCTATCAGTAACTGAGAGAGGTATGTTAACATCTCTAATTATGAAAGTGATGGCCGGGCGCGGCGGCTCACACCTGTAATCCCAGCACTTTGGGAGGCCGAGGTGGGCGGATCACGAGGTCAGGAGATCGAGACCATGGTGAAACCCCATCTCTACTAAAAATACAAAAAATTAGCCGGGCGCAGTGGCGGGTGCCTATAGTCCCAGCTACTAGGGAGGCTGAGGCAGGAGAATGGCGTGAACCCGGGAGGTGGAGCTTGCAGAGAGCCGAGATCACGCCACTGTACTCCAGCCTGGGCGACAGAGCGAGACTCCGTCTCAAAAAAAAAAAAAAAAAAAAAAAAGACAAAGTGATTTCTCTCTTAGTTCTATTAATTTTTGCTTTATATACTTTGAAGCTGTTATGAGGTATATACAAATTTAGAGTTATTATATCTTCCTTTTGAATGGACTTTTTTATCTTTCTGGGTTCAATCAATCCTCTGGCCTCAGTCTCCAGAGCAGCTGGGATTAAAAGCGTGTGCCACTACACCTGGCTAATTAAAAAAAAAATTTTTTTTTAATAGAGACAAGGTCTTGCTATCTTGCCCAGGCTGGTCTCAAACCCCTGAGCTCAAGGGATCCTCCCACCTTGGCCTTCCAAAGTGCTAAGATTACGGGCGTGTGCCACCGTGCCTGGCCGTGTTCCATGTATTCTTTTCCTGCCTGAATTACATCCAGGGTCCTCTTCTTTTGGTCCTGATCCAGTAGCAACTTTTATGCTTTGTCCACAGCTTCAAAAGCCTTTTGTGCTCTGTCAGCATCATGATTTTTGTCAGGACGCACCAATGTGGATAACTGCTGAAACCTCTTTTTTTAATTTCTTCATCTGTAACTTCAGGATCTAACTGAAGAACCTCAAATGGGTTCAAATTGAAGTAAGAGGAACCAGGACGGGTCCATCTTTCAATCTGATTTTTGGATGTTAGAACCGAGTCTCTCTTCTCTATTTGTTTCACCTCACTGTAGAAGGTCAGAAATGCATCCACTGTGCTGCCTCTGCTGCCCAAGTCCCACTCTCTCGTGAAGCCGCCATTTCCCCAGCCCAGCCACCACCTATGTATATATACTTATAAAAATGGCAGGCAACTGCAGCTACAGACCTCAATCTATGGTATGCATCACATCAGGCGATTCAACTTTTCCTTGTGTTTTCTCTTTTTTTCGTTTTCAACTTTTTCTTATAATGTCATGACTCTTCTCTGCTTCTTAAGAGCAATTCCAGTATCATTAGTGGCACGTGTTGTAGGTCCCGTGGTGTTATTCAAGATTTATGATATTGCACTAAGCTATGAAGAACTGCTCACTAGAAAATTAGCATCATACAGCATTTTAAGTGGATACTGGCAATACTTGAGCTCACTTCAATAGTAATAGGAGGTGGCTATGAAATTACAGCAGTACAGTATATGCTAGTTAATTTAATTCATTTTTATTTTTATTTATTTATTTTTTTGAGACAAAGTTTCATTCTTGTTGCCCAGGCTGGAGTGCAATGGCGTGATCTCGGCTCACCACAACCTCTGCCTCCTGGGTTCAAGCGATTCTCCTGCCTCAGCCTCCCAAGTAGCCGGGATTACAGGTACGCAAAACCACACCCGGCTAACTTTTGTATTTTTAGTAGAGATAGGGTTTCGCCATGTTGGCTAGGCTGGTCTCGAGCTCCTGACCTCAAGTGATCCACCCACCTTGGCCTCCCAAAGTGCTGGGATTACAGGCGTGAGCCACTGTGCCCGGACTTATTTTTATTTTTATTATTTGTTTGTATTTTTTATTTTTTGAGATGGAGTCTCACTCTGTCTCCCAGGCTGGAGTGCAGTGGTGTGATCTTGGCTCACTGCAACCTCCGCCTCCCAGGTTCAAGTGATTCTTCTGCCTTAGCCTCCTGAGTAGCTGGGACTATAGGCGTGTACCACCACGCCCAGCTAATCTTAGTAGAGATGAGGTTTCAACATGTTGGCCAGGCTGGTCTTGAACTCCAGATCTAAAGTGATCTACCCACCTTGGCCTCCCAGAGTGCTGGGATTACAGGCATGAGCCATTGTGCCCAGCCTCTTTTTAAAATTTTTGAGACAGCATCTCACTCTTGCCCAGGCTAGAGTGCAGTGGTGAGATGAGAGCTCACTGCAGCCTCCAACTCCTGGTGGGATCAAGTGATCCTCCCACCTCAGCTGTCTGAGTAGCTGGGACAACAGGCATGTGCCACCACACCTGGCTAATTTTTTAATTTTTTGTAGAGATGGGGTCTCACTATGTCGCCCAGGTCGACCTTGAACTCCTGGCCTCAAGTAATCCTCTTGCCTCAGATTCCCAAAGTGCTGGGATTACAGGCAAAAGCCACCACATCTGGTCTGCCTGTGAGTTTTTTTTTTCAAATTGTTGTAAATCTCCAAACAATCTGTCAATACATTTATTGAAAAACATCCACACATAAGAACCCACACAGTTGAAACCTGTGTTGTTTAAAGGTCAACTGTAATCTGGATTCTAAGAGTTCTTTTAAGTATATTCTCCTAGTTTGCCACAAGTAAAATATTGTGCTAAAGGAGCTAGAAACCAAATTTAATGAAGATCTAAATATGCCAGGTAAAAGTGTTTTAGCTGTATAATAAAGAGTTTTGAAGAATGCATAAATTTGCCAGGCATGGTGGCTCATGCTTTTAATCCTAGCACTCTGGGAGGTCGAGGTAGTGGGGATCACTTGAGCCCAGGAGTTTAAGATCAGCTTGAGCAACATAGGGAGACCCTGCCTCTACAAAAAAAAAAAATTAGCCAAGTGTGGTGCTTGCCTATAGTCTTAGCTACTTGGGAGGCTGGGGCAGGAGGATCCTTTGATCTGAGGAGGTTGAGGCTGTAGTGAGCTGTGATTGTGCCACTGCACTCCAGCCTGGGCAACAAGTGAGACCCTGTCTCAAAGAAAAAAATTAATGCATAAGTGCTTCATAGCAGTGGCTGATTAGATCTAATTAAGCCATTTATCTCTAAAACTGCTACAATAACACTGGGCAGGGCACAGTGATGCGCACCTGTTGTCCTAGTTACTCAGGAGGCTGAGGCAGGAAGATTGCTTGAGTCTAGGAGTTGAGGCTGTATTGTGATATGTATCATTGCACCTGTGAATAGCCACTGCACTCCAGCCTGGGCAACACAGCAATACCCTGTATCTAAAATTAAAAAAAAAAAAAATCCTGCTACAATAGTTCAAGCTTCAAGCTTCTTAGTATGAATTTCTGTTTGACAGGAGGATTCAATTGCAATGCTTAGAAACTGTAATAGAAACAAAGAGAAACTGACAGATGAATACATTACAGAACAAAGAGTAGGCTGGATGCAGTGGCTCACGCCTGTAATCCCAGCACATTGGAAGGCCAGGTGGGTGGATTGCTTAAACCCAGGAGTTCAAGACCAGCCTGGGCAACATACTGAGACATCATCTTTACAAAAATACAAAAATTAGGCTGGGTGCGGTGGCTCGTGCCTATAATCCTAGCATTTTGGGAGGCCGAGGTGGGCGGGTCACTTGAGGTCAGGAGTTGGAGACCAGCATGGCCAACATGAAACCCTGTTTCTACTAAAAATACAAAAAAAAAAAAAAAAAAAAGCTGGGTGTGGTGGTACATGCCTGTAGTTCCAGCTACTGGGGAGGCTGAGGCATGAGAATCTCTTGAACCCGGGAGGCAGAGGCTGCAGTGAGCTGAGACAACTCCACTGCACTCCAGCATGGGCCACAGAGCAAGACTCCCTCTCAAAAACAAAACAAAACGAAAACCACACACACACACACAACAATTGGCTGGGCGTGGTGGCATGCACCTGCAGTCCCAGATACTCGGTAGGCTAAGGCGAGGGAACTGCTTAAGCTCAGGTGGTTGAGGTTGCAGTGAGCTGTGATCATACCACTGTACTACAACCTGGGTGACAGAGGGAGAACCTGCCTCAAAACAAACAAACAAACAACCAAAAAAAACAAAAACAAAAAATATACTCAGGTATCCAGAAATCATCACTGTTTTTTAAAAAATTATATAAGTACACCCAAATTTGTTTTATACTAATAAAGGACTAAGAAAGATGGGCCTGAAACTGTTCATACGCCAATTCTGCACATAAATCTTTGTTCTCAGCATCTGATTTTATAAAATGCTCCCTCTAATTTCCAATTTGACAGAGAACATATAGGCATGCAGTCACATTTGGATAGACTGTTGTTTCTGTTTAAACTAGTTATGGCATTTTAAATGGCCTATGGCCCCATTCTGTTTTCTATGAGTGAAAAAAAAAAAAAAAGGTAGTTTTCCTTTGTTTGCCAGAAATCAGGGTGTAGGATGCTGGGTATAGTTTTACAATTGTGTGTTCCAAAGAAAACACCTTTTTCTTTGAGTCATGTAGCTACAGGCCATTAGGAAAGCACGTCACAGAGTTGACAGTCTTGGTGTTTTTTGGAGGGGGTGGAGGCTGGGAGTGGAAGATAACTAACCAAATTACAGTTTGGAGTTTCCTGTTTGAGTAGTACCCTGAAACCAGGCCTGGTATTTAAACTACTTACTCCCTCATTCAAGTTGTAGCACCTCACATATCATAGGCTTGTTTCTTACATCATTAATTATGCAGAGTTCTAGTAGTTTCTTCAACCACCATATTTTTCCTAGTAAATATTTAATTGAAGTTTTTAAGTGCAAGTGTAGTTGTTTCATATGAATTTCAGGGGTGATTTTTTTTTTTTTTATACAGAGTGTCACTCTGTCACCCTGGCTGGAGGGCAATGGCACGATCTCAGCTCACTGCAACCCCTGCCTCCTGGGTTCAAGGGATTCTCCTGTCTCAGCCTCCCAAGTAGCTGGGATTACAGGTGCCCACCACCACGCCTGGCTAACTTTTGTATTTTTAGTAGAGACAGGGTTTCACCATGTTGGCCAGGCTGGTCTCAAACTCCTGACCTCAGGTGATCCACCCACTTTGGCCTCCCAAAGTGCTGGGATTACAGGTGTGAGCCACAGCACTGGGCCATTGGCTGTGATTTTTAAATAAATGTATGATATTTATAAAAACCACTTAGCACCTTTCATCTTCGGATAAAGTATTCATTAACTATTTGCTATAGATACATATTATACCTGCATAACTTGATGGAGATATGAGATAAAACAGGATTAAACAATATGCCCTAGGTCAAAGATAATGTTAATTTTAGAATTAGATTTACAACCAATTATTTATTTTATTATACATATATATTTTTATTTTTTAGATATGGGGTATGTTACCCAGGCTAGAGTACAGTGGCTATTAATGGGCGCGATCATGGCACAGTGCAGCCTCAAACTCCTGGTCTCAAGCAATCCTGCTGCTTCAGCCTCTCAAGTCACTGGGGCTCTAGGGGTGCACCACTGCACCTGGCACAGCCAGTTGTTGTTGTTGTTGTTGTTTTGTTTTGAGACAGTGTCTCACTCTTTCACCCAGCTTGGAATACAATGGCATGATCATAACTCACTGCAACCTTGGACTCCTGGGCTCAAGCAATCTTCCTGCCTCAGCCTCTGAGAAGATAGAACTACAGGTGCAGACCACCTTATCTGGCTAATTTTTTTAGTAGAGATCAGGTTTCGCTATGTTGCCCAGGCTGGTCTCGAACTCCTGGTCTCAAGCAATCCTCCTGCCTCAGCCTCTCAAAGTGTGTGAGCTACCATGCCTTGTCCCCCCACCCCCGCCCCCCGCTTTACTTGACTTGGTAATAAGTAACAAAGTTATTGGATCTGTATGAACTCTCTGTATGTTTTACACCTTATCAGGTTTTTTTTTTTTTTTTTTTTTTTTGAGATGGAGTCTCGCT
This sequence comes from Homo sapiens, assembly GCF_000001405.40. Lineage (NCBI taxonomy): Eukaryota > Metazoa > Chordata > Mammalia > Primates > Hominidae > Homo > Homo sapiens. The sequence continues at coordinate 28,448,745 of NC_000001.11, read as the reverse complement.
CTGTCGCCCAGGCTGGAGTGCAGTGGCACGATCTCGGCTCACTGCAAGCTCCACCTCCCGGGTTCACGCCATTCTCCTGCCTCAGCCTCCCAAGTAGCTGGGACTACAGGCGCCCACCACCATGCCCAGCTAATTTTTTTTTTTTTTTTTTTTTTTAAGTAGAGATGGGATTTCACTGTGTTAGCCAGGATGGTCTCGATCTCCTGACCTCATGATCCGCCCTCCTCGGCCTCCCACAGTGCTGGGATTACAGGCATAAGACACAGCGCCCGGCCACCTTATCAGGTTTCCTTTCCTTTCCTTTCCTTTCCTTTCCTTTTTCCTTTCCCCTTTCCTTTCCTTTCTTTTCTTTTCTTTTTTTTTGAAACAAAGTCTTGCTCTGTCACCCAGGCTGGAGTGCAATGGTGTGATCACCTGAGGTCAGGAGTTCCAGCCAGCCTGGCCAACAGTGATCTATCCGCTTCGACCTCCCAAAGTGCTAGGATTACAGGCATGAGCCACCGTGCCCAGCCTATTTGTCCAAAATTTTAATGTATGATTTTATTCAACAAGGTATACATACTTCACTGTGAAGAAGTACCAAATATCTTCATAATATAATGGTTTAGTCTGTTTTTAAGCCCACCTAGCTGGAAACAGATTTGCTATAAACAACCTTTTCACAGTATCAGAACATTGTAAACGTAGAACATTCATTTATGGTATTTACACTACTGTACTTATTCATTTTTGCCTTCTAAAAGAGGATTATTATTGGCTTTAAACAACTGTTTCAGAAAACTTCGGCAAAATTACAGAAAATAAACCTGCCACTAATGAACAAAGCAGGCTTTGTATAGAGAAGGCCCACAACTTCCTGTGGAAATATTGCATAGATCTGACCCTTGGGAATTAGAAAGAACTCGGTAAAGCCGTCAGGAGAAGATAGTCAGGTGGAAGGTCTCTCTCTGAACTTGCAGGTACAGTTATGTCTGAGATTCTACCTCTGGAAAAATAGTTTTCTGCCTATGATTGTATCAAGAAGTGAAGTTGCTTTACCACTGGCAACTTAATGTGCACACTGTTCTGACAAAAAATTCCAGGTTAAGGGTATGTTTTTATAGTGAAGGGCCAGAATATAAGCTATTCACTCATGGAAAAAAAACTTCAAACTTTCCAAAGTTTACTTGCAAGTAGAAAGACGAAATACATAGCCAGGCATGGTGGTGGGCACCTGTAATGCCAGCTACTTGGGAGGCTGAGGCAGGAGAATCACCTGAATCCAGGAGGCAGAGGTTGTAGTAAGTCGAGATCGTGCCACTGCACTCCAGCCTGGGCGACAGAGTGAGACTGTCTCAAAAAAAAAAAAAAGAAAAAAGAAAGAGGAAATACATATGTAGGTTGTGATAATAGGTCTATTAGTCCATTCTTGCATTGCTATAAAGAATTACCTGAGGCCAGGTACAGTGGCTCACACCTGTAATCCCAGCACTTTGGGAGGCCAAGGCAGGAGGATCACCTGAGGTCAGGAGTTCAAGACCAGCCTGGCCAATACGGCGAAACCCCGTCTCTACTAAAAATACAAAAAGTAGCCAGGCTTGGTGGCACGCGCCTGTAGTCCCAGCTACTCAGGAGGCCAAGGCAGGAGAATTACTTTGAACCCAGGAGGTAGAGGTTGCAGTGAGCTGAGATCGCACCACTGGACTCCAGCCTGGGCAACAAAGTGAGACTCTATCTAAATAAATAAATAAATAAATAAATAAAAAGAAATACCTGAGACTGGGTAATTTATAAAGAAAAGAGGCTTAATTGGCTCATGTTTCTGCAGTCTGTATAGGAAGAATGATGCTAGTATCTGCCTGGCTTCGGGGGAAGCTGCAGGAACTTACAATCATGGTGGAAGATGAAGGGGGAGTAGACACGTCACATGGCCCAGAACAGGAGCAAGAGAGCAAGGGGGCAGGTGCCACACACTTTTCTTTTTTTTTGAGATGGAGCCTCACTCTGTTGCCCAGGCTGGAGTACAGTGGCGCAATCCTGGCTCACGACAACCTCCGCCTCCAGGGTTCAAGGGATTCTCCTGCCTCAGCCTCCTGAATAGCTGGGACTACAGGCACACGCCACCATGCCCGGCTAATTTTTGTAGTTTTAGTAAAGACAGGGTTTCACCATGTTGGCCAGGCTGGTCTTGAACTCCCGACCTCATGATCCACCTGCCTCGGCCTCCCAAAGTGCTGGGATTACAGGCATGAGCCACTGCACCCAGCCTCCACACACTTTTAAATGACCAGATCTCATGAGAACTTACTATCTTGAGGACAGTACTAAGTGGATGGTGTTAAACCATTCGTGAGAAATCCACCCCAATCACCTCCCACCAGGTCCCACTTCCAACACTGGGGATTACAATTTAACATGGGATCTGGTTGGGGACCTAGATCCAAACCTTATTAATGGCCTATTTAGAAAATCCACTGGAGCAGAGAGAGGGATCAATAAGTTTTGGTTGGTAGTCCAAATTTGATAACAGAGAATCTTTTAAGGAGTTTATGACAGACCCCTATATTGCCACCTCCTCCTGAACACTGGATTACATGAGGAAAGTATGCCTGTTTCTCCTTTTTTAAAAGAAAGCATTTACTGTTAGATAAACAGCAGACAGGTATGAGAAATGTCTTTATAATTCTGATAACCAAATACTACTAAGCCTTTTTCTCCAAAATCTCATGAAGTACTTTATTTTAAATTAACCTATTATTTACTCCAGTTTTATTGTTGTTATGTAGCTATGTTAAATTTTATTCATCCTGCAATCTCCTTAGGATTTTGCCTCTAAGTGATAATATATTTCTTTTCCTTTCTTTTTTGTTTTTCAAACACAGTCTCGCTCTGTTAGCCAGGCTGCAGTGCAGTGACATGATCATGGCTCACTGCAGCCTCAACCTCCTGGGCTCAAGTGATCCTCCCATCTCAGCCTCCTGAACAGCTGGGACTGCAGGTGTGCACCACCACACCTGACTAATTGTTACATTTTTTTTGTAGAGATGGGGGATGATATATTTCCAAATCACGTTCCCCAAAACTGCTTCCAGTATCATAAGGGTGAGAACCCCATAACTCCAAGTTTCAGAGAAAATAAATCAAATGGTTATGGAAAAGGAATGTAGGAAAGAGAACATACAGTATCTTTTATAGCAATATATTATTATGCAAAAGAAAAGTGGGGGGAAAAGTTAATTAGTGAATTAGGGTAAATGAAGGGGCAAAAAGGAAAAAAAAAGAGAGGTAAAATGGAAAGACAGAGAAGGAAAGTTCCAAGCCAAATGGTTGGAGAGAATTTATTAAAAATCTTTGGTCCTTCTAATTAGAATTAGGAAGGGCTGGGTGCAGTGACTTATGTTTGTAATCCTAGCACTTTGGGAGGCCAAAGTGGGAGGATCGCATGAGCCCAGGAGTTCAAGACCAGCCTGGGCAACATAGCGAGACTCTGTCTTAAAAAAGAATAATTAAATATGGCCAGGTGAGGTGGCTCACGCCTGTAATCCCAGCACTTTGGGGGGCTGAGGCAGGTGGATCATGAGGTCAGGAGTTCAGGACCAGCCTGGCCAAGATGGTGAAACCCCGTCTCTACCTAAAATACAAAAATTAGTCGGGCATGCTGGCAGGCGCCTGTAATCCCAGCTACTCAGGAGGCTGAGGCAGAGAATTGCTTGAACCCGAGAGGTGGAGGTTGCAGTGAGCTGAAATCGTGCCACTGCACTCCGCCTGGGCAACAGAGAAAGACTCTGCCTCAAAAAAATAAAATAAATAAATAAATAGTTAAATAATATAAAAATGGGAGGCTGGGCGCAGTGGCTCACACCTGTAATCCCAGCACTTTGGGATGCCGAGGCAAGTGGATCACGAGGTCAGGAGATCGAGACCATCCTGGCTAACACGGTGAAACCCCGTCTCTACTAAAAATACAAAAAAAAAAAAAAAAAATTAGCTGGGTGCGGTGGCAGGCGCCTGTAGTCCTAGCTACTTGGGAGGCTGAGGCAGGAGAATGGCGTGAACCCGGGAGGTGGAGCTTGCAGTGAGCCGAGATCGCGCCACTGCACTCCAGCCTGGCCAACACAGCGAGACTCTGTCTCAAAAAATAATAATAATAAAAATAAAAAAATAAATAATATAAAAATGGGAAAGACCAAATGATCTGAAGAGACATTTCTCAAAAGAAGACATAAAAATGCCCAAATAGGCCAAGGGCTGTGGCTTATGCCTGTAGTCCCAGTACTTTGGGAGGCTGAAGTGGGCGGATCACAAGGTCAGGAGATCAAGACCATCCTGGCCAACATGGTGAAACCCTGTCTGTATTAAAAATACAAAAATTAGCTGGTCATGGTGGCACGTGCCTGTAATCCCAGCTACTCGGGAGGCTGGGGCAGGAGAACAGCCTGAACCAGGGAGTCGGAGGTTGCAGTGAGCCAAGACTGCTCACGCCACTGCATTCCAGCCTGGCGACAGAGCAAGACTCTGTCTCAAAAAAAAAAAAAAAAAAAAAAAAAAAAAAGCCAAATATATTTTTTTAAATGCTCAACATAACAAATCATCAGGTGAATGCAAATCAAAACCACAATGAGGTATCATCTCACCCCAGTTAGGAGGCTATTATCAAAAAGACAAAAAGTAGCCAGTGCTGGTGAGGGTACAGAGTAAAGGGAACACTATACACTGTCGGTGGGAATGTAAACTAGTATAGCCACTATGGGGAACAGTATGGAGGGTCCTCAAAAGAAAGAAAAACTACAAATAGCGCTACCATATGATCCAGCAATACCATTACTGGGAATATATCCAAAGGAAAGGAAATCATTATACTGAAGAGATATCTGCACTTCCATGTTTACTGTAGTACTACTCAACAACAGCCAAGATATGGAATCAACCTAGGTGTTCAACAACAGATGAATGGATAAAGAAAATGTGGTATATATACAAAATGGAATACTATTTAGCCATAAAAAAGAATGAGCCAGGTGTACTAGCTCACAACTGTAATCCCAGCACTTTGGAAGGCTGAGGCAGGAAGATCACTTGAGTCCAGGTCCAGGAGTTTGAGACCAGCCAGGGAAAGAGAGTGAGACCTCGTTTCGTCAAAAAATAAAAAAAACTAGCCAGGTGTGGTGGCATGTGCCTGTAGTCCCAGCTACTTAGGAGGCTGAGGGGGGAGGATCGCTTGAATCTAGGAGGCTGAAGCTGCAGTGAGCTATGATTGTGTCACTGTACTCCAGCCTGGGTGACAGAGTGGGATTCTGTCTCAAGAAAAAAAAAAAGAATTAGCTGGGTATGACAGTGTGCACCCGTAGTCCCAGCTACTCGGGAGGCTGAGGCAGGAGAATTGCTTGAACCTGGGAGGTGGAGGTTGCAGTGAGCCGAGATCGCGCCACTGCACTCCAGCCTCGGTGACAGAGTTGAGACGAAAGAACGAAAGAAAGAAAGAAGAGAGAGAGAGAAAGAAAGACAATGAAATCCTGTCATTCTCAGCAACATGGATGGAACTAAGGACATTATTTTAAGTTAAATAAGCTAGGAACAGGAAGTTTAACACCACATGTTCTCACTCATACATAGAAGCTAAAAAAAAGTTGATCTCATAGGAGTAAAAAGTACAACAGAGGCTACTAGAGGCTGGGAGAGATAATGGGAAGGGATGGGTAGGGAAAGATTTGTTAAAGAATACAAAATTACAGCTAGATAAGAGGAAAAAGTTCTAGTGTTCTATGCCACTGCAGAATGACTATAGTTAATAATATGTAGTTTCAAATAGCTGAGGAGGATTTCAACCTTCCCAATATAAATAAATACATGTTGGAGATGATGAATATGCTAATTACCCTAATCTAATCACATCATACATATGGAAATATCCATTATGTAGCCCATGAACAGGTACAATTATTTTCAATTAAAAAAAAAATTTGCCAGGCACAGTGGCTCACACTTGTAATCCCAGCACTTTGGGAAGCCAAGGCAGGCGGATCACTTGAGGTCAGGAGTTTGAAAGCAACCTGGCCAACATGGCGAAACCCCGTCTCTACAAAAATACAAAAATTAGCCAGGCTTAGTGGTGGGCACCTGTAGTCCCAGCTACTCGGGAGGATGAGACAGGAGAATCACTTGAACCTGGAAAGCAGAAGTTGCAGTGAGTCGAAATCACGCCACTGCACTCCAACTTGGGTGACAGAGTGAGACTTCATCTCAAAAAAAAGTAAATAAATAAATACACAAACAAACAAACAAAAACTTTTTTTTCTTTTTTTTTGAGACAGAGTCTCACTCTGTCGCCAGGCTGGAGTGCAGTGGCACGATCTCGGCTCACTGCATCCTCCGCCTCCTTGTTTCAAGCGATTCTCCTGTCTCAGCCTCCTGAGTAGCTGGGACTACAGGCACGCGCCACCATGCTCAGCTAATTTTTGTATTTTTAGTAGAGACAGGGTTTCACCATGTTGGCCAGGGTTGTCTCATCTCCTGACCTCGTGATTCACCCGCCTTGGCCTCCCAAAGTGCTGGGATTACAGGCATGAGACACTGCGCCCAGCCAAAAAAATACATTTAAAAAATAAAAAATAAATTGAAAAAATTCTTCGGTCTTGTGCCTAATTTAAGGATATGTGATAATTAGCTAGTTGTTTTAATATGACACATAGTAAAGAATTTTGGTGAGCAAAAAAACAGTTTTTATGTTCATTAAGAACTACAAAGTAGGATTTGAAAGTTTGTGTTTCTTTTTCTTGAGACAGTGTCTCCCTCTGACACCCAGGCTGGAGTGCAGAGGTACAATCATGAGTCACTGCAGCCTCAACCTACCAGGCTCAAGCGATCCTCCCACCTAAGCTTCCCAAGTAGCTGGGACTACAGATAAGTACCACCACAGTGGCTAAATTTTTATTTTTGTAGAAACGGTGTTGCCCTATGTTGCCCAGGCTGATCCCAAACTCCTGGACTCAAGTGATTCTCCTGCGTCAGCCTCCCAAAGTGCTGGGATTATAGACACGAACCAATGCACTCTGCCCTGATTGCAATGTTTTATCTAGATAAATCTACATGCTTCTCCTATGAACGTATTTTATTTAATTTTTTTCAATGAACTGATGAGAACTTATTTCCTTGAATGGATACCACAGCATAGATTCCTAATGTACATTCAAATACTCAGTTCACCAGTTGTTAGAAAGATCCTACAGTAGAAACTCTGGTTGGATATGGTTATAACATCTCATAAATTTGCATATGAATCCTCATGCAAAGGTTATTTATTTGAAAGCAGACTCTTTGGTTAATAGCGCTGGCCTTCCATTACAAGTCAAGGGAATCAATTAACTTAAAGGAGTGGGTCCTTTTTTTAACTGCAGGACTGGTGGCTCACACCTGTAATCCTAGCACTTTGGGAGCCCGAGGTGGGAGGATCAATTGAGGCTAGAGTTCGAGACCAGCCTGGTCACGACAGTGAGACCCCATTTTCACACACACAAATATTTTTTAAGTAAAAAAAAAATAAAATTAAATTAAAAAAAAAGAAGTATGCCTTAATCTTTAAAAAAATTTTACAAATATTTTGGATACTTTTTCATATTTTAAATTCTCAACTAGAAGACAAACTTCTTGAGGGCATAGACATGAATAATATCTACATAGGGGCCTCTATGTTATTCACAGTGCCTGAAAGTAATAATAAATCAATTCAATATATTCATTCATGTGTTTTGCATCAGTTGACTTGCTAAATCTAGTACTATTAATTTCAAAGCTCAAAACTAAGTGCTGTATTATAGGCCTAGAATAGTAAACAGATAATTTAGGTTTTAATTTACTTTGTATATTTATCATTCCAAGTAAAATGGTGAGATTTTCCAAACAGCTACCCACATAAAGGCTTTGAAAATTAAATTAAGAAACTGTTGTTTGGTGAAAACCTTTATTGGAATTGGTATAGTCCTCAAGGTTTTCAGTTAAGCCTTCATAACCTGGTCCTGATCTGCTCAAACAGAATACATCCTGAATTATAAATAGCATAATAATGGAGTCAGTCCATGAAAACTGCTGATAGTCAACTACTTATTATCTAGGTAATAGGAAATAAAACCCCAAAATTAAATCCAGAGGAAACATAAAAAACTTAGTTAAGCTCCTGATTTCTATTTCTTCCTCAAATGTCTTTTATTAGGGCTACTGGTAGGAATAGAATTGATGAATTTCAGCTACTCGGGAGGCTGAGGCAGGAGAATGGCGTGAACCCGGGAGGCGGAGCTTTCAGTGAGCCGAGATCAAGCCACTGCACTCCAGCCTGGGCGACAGAGTAAGACTCCGTCTCAAAAAAAAAAAAAAAAAAAGAATTGATGAATTTGATTCTTACTTTTTTTCAGAAGCATACAAATACCAAACGTTACTCAGATGAACTTTTTTTTTTTTTTTTTTTTCTTTTTGAGACGGAGTTTCGCTCTGTCGCCCAGGCTGGAGTGCAGTGGCACGATCTCGGCTCACTGCAAGCTCCGCCTCCCGGGTTCACGCCATTCTCCTGCCTCAGCCTCCCGAGTAGCTGGGGCTACAGGCGCCCGCCACCACGCCCAGCTGATTTTTTTGTATTTTTAGTAGAGACGGGGTTTCACCGTGTTAGCCAGAATGGTCTCGATCGCCTGACCTCATGATCCGCCTGCCTCGGCCTCCCAACGTGCTGGGATTACAGGCGTGAGCCACCGCGCCCGGCCTCAGATGAAGTTTTTAATACAGTATATAGATCTTAGATGGGCATTCTTCTTAAATACCACCACTCACCACTAAATTTTACTTGCTTTACAATTTATTGTTTGTCAAAGCCCTTTCATTTCCATCTCATAGATAAATGCCTAGCATTGAGTCCTTACTATACTTGCTAACAAACAACTAATGTTTGGCGTAGAAACCACAGGAGAATTTACAGCCCAAAAGTGAGTTATTTATCAAATATAGGAGAGTGTTTAATTCTGGAAACAAAGAAGCAAAATGTCATCAGAAGGGAATGCAGAAGAGAAGGATAGTGTGAGGTTTATCTTTATGTTCTAAATTTCATCTGTTAGGCTGGGGAGTGGCCCCAGATGATTCTTTATATTTTTCTTTATACCTTTTTCTATTTATGAAACATTTCATTTTTTTAAATGAGTTAATGAATTGATAAAGACACAGCCCTAGTGATCAAGGTAAAGTGAGTCAAGTCCTGACTTCAGTTCTGAAAATCTGTTGCTGAATGACTCACTTTGTGATCCATGTGCCTCAGTTTCAATAATACATGAAAAATACTGAAGATATTTCATCTAGGAAGCTCTCAGGTGAAAATACTACCTTTAGAAACAAAATCTCACTACATTATGAAACATTTGGGAGTGTTACCTGTGTTTCCACACTTTATGCTTTTTTTTTAAGTCACCAACATTTTTTGTTTCTGAAAAACAAAAAACAAAAAATGCAGCCTAGGACTGAACATGTTTTCTGCTGCTCCATAAATCAAAGTGAAGGTATAAATCTTTCTTAAATATTATAATGTCTAGAAATGATTCACAGGCTTTCCCTAGTTTTGCTTATACTTAAGCAACCCTTTAATGAACATCTGCTTAAAACTGTTTTTCCCAATTTATGATTGTCATATAAAACCCTACAAGATTAGGAAAATGAGCTTGCAGTGACAAGTGACTACCATTTCACATAGAAGATTTGAAACTCTGAGCTATACTCACAATCAGCTTGCTCTCTAGCTATCCCTTAGTAACATTTCAAATGTAAAGTACTAACTTCAGAAAAGTTTATATCAAAGTGTTGACTTAAGAGAAACGGAAACACTAGTGCAATGGAAAATGCCTGAGACTTATTAGGAAAATGTATAACCAAGTCTAAAAACTTAATTCTTAAAAGTGGTTCTGTCTATAGAAGTCAACAGTTCTATTTTCCAAGTTCTGTAAAATACTAACAAAATATCTCTGAATTCTAAATAAGTTTCTGTAGCATTTATCTTTAGTAACGGCAAGAAATTAACAGATAATTCCTTAGCAATATAATATAAAAAACTTCAAAGAGATCAAGTAAAACAAAACTGTGAGCGATAAATTAATAAACTGAATTTAAGTTTTTAAGTTTTAAAAAACTTAATTTTTTAAAGTTTCTCGCCATGTTCCGCATGACTTCATTCATTCTTCACAAACATAAACATTTCAAAGTTGGGATCATCAACATTCTCGTGTTTAACTTCACATAAATACTCAAGTTCACCTGTAAATCTGCCTTGCTTCTGTCAAGATTTTCTGTTTCTCTGCCTTCTATTACTCACCAACTGCATCTGGATTTACCGGTCTGGAGACATCAGCTTGTCCCATGATTATATTGTCTGATGTATCTCACGACAACAAACTGTCCCGGACAAAAGCAAACTTTTCATAAAAGATAAATCCACATAAAGAGGGGACATGCGGTCCTCTTTCAGTGTCACTGCCAAACATCAGGAAATGGCATAAGGTCAGTTCATCTGCTGAAGTTTCTGTTTCCCATACAGCCTGAGCACTTGCAGTTCTTACAAAACTGTCTTCACACTGGCACTCTTCACACAGGAATGCCTGTCATTCCAGAATGCACACTGTGTAGAGCTGAAGTGCAGGAAGGGGAGGAGACTGCCAACCACATTCTGGCTGCTGACTGGCATAGCCCAAAAGTCCACACCCCCGTTCCTGACTTTTGAGCTTGGCTGCAACGCTCCAGGCTCTGAGTCACAGAAGAAAGGGAGCCTGCTCAAGAGTACACCAAAGAATTTACAAATTTAATCACACAAAAACACCAGGATGGTTTTGAGTAAAAGGCTAATAGGAGCAGTAGTCCATTCAAAGGTGTGTTTTAGACACAGGTTTACCTCAAAAGTATCAGATTTCACTGTGTTATGGACTGAATGTTTGTGTCCCCTTACAATTTATATATGGAAATTCTAATGACCAATGTGATGGTGATAGGAAATGGGTTCTTTGGGAGATAATTAGGTCATTGAGGGTTTTAAAGCCCTCACTAATAGGATTAGTACTTTATCAAAAAAGACCCAGAGAGTTCTCTTTTTCCATCATGTGAGGCTACGCAAGAAGACAACTGTCTGGAAACCAGGAAGAAGGCCCTCACAGATACCCAGTCTCCTGGCACCTTGACCTTGGACTTCCCAGTATCCAGAACTGTTAGAAATAAATGTCTGTGGCTGGGCCTGGTGACTCATGCCTGTAATCCTAGCACTTTGGGAGGCCAAGGCTGAAGGATTACTTAAGCCCAAGAGCTCGAGATCAGCGTGGGTAACATAATGAGACTCTGTCTCTATAAAAAATTTAAAAATTAGCCAGGCATGGTGGCATGTGCCAGTAGTCCCAGCTACTGGAGGGAGGGGAGGTGAGGTGGGAGGATTGCCTGAGCCCAGGAGGTGAGTTGTGAGCTGTGATTACACCACTGCACTCCAGCCTAGGCAACAATGCAAGACCCTGTCTCAAAAATAAATAAATAAAAATAAAAGAAAGAAAGAAATGTTTGTTGTTTAAGCCCCCCAGTCTATAGTATTCTGTTATAATAGCCTGAACAGACTAAGACATGCTGCTTATTCTAAAATTTTATTTCCTACCTGTAGGTGGGCATGCCTAAAGCAAGGTGAGATCTATGTACTGGGAATTAATAACATTAGAAACAGTATTTTAGGATTGAATATACCTTTTCTGAGAATACAAACAAATATTTCTGAAAATCTGCTTACTAAAACAATAAACGAAATAAATATTTGGAAGGTATTATATAACAGTCTCTTCTTGCTAAAACTCAATAATTTCCATATGATCTTGGGGAATAAAAAATTACAAAGAGTAGCCCTACATGCTGGGCATAATACATGGAAAGATCAGCTAATCACATGCAGCAAATGAACGTCCAGTTTGCACATTGATTTTTCCTTTTTTATCCGTAACTAACTTACATATAGCCAAGTACATAAATATTAAGGATACAGCTTGATAAATTTTTATTTAGTATACTAACACTAAATTTTCTAAATGTAAAAAAGACACACATAACACAACCTTAACATAACCTCCACATAACCTGGATTATTCCACTAACATCTGAAGGTAAAAGAGGAAGCTAACAATTCTGAGTAATATATTAAGGAGTTTTACACTTGTTACTGCATTTAATCATCACCACAACTAACCATGCATTGTGAGGTATATTTATTTACCCTATTTTCAGGTAAGAAAACTAGGGCTAGTAAGGTCAAATCCTGTGTCTAATATCACCAAGCTAGTAAGTACCAAAGCCCTAATATTCCTTCAATAAAAGACAGCTACCACTGGGTGGAGTGGCGTGCACCTGTAGTCTCAGTTACTCAGGAGGCTGAGGTGGGAGGATCACTTGACACCAAGAGTTTGAGTCCAGCCTCGGCAACACAGTGAGCCCTGTCTCTAAAAAAAAAAATTAAAATAATTTTTTAAAAAAAGACAGCTACCAAAAAATGGGAGTTTTTCATTTAAATCTTTATTCTCCAAACTGAGATCCCAGAAAGATTTCTAGCATCTGAACTTTCCTGTACTTAGCTTGTCCTTGGTACAATCCCTTCTCTATTATCTTAGCCCCATTATCTGCTTTTGATAGAGAAAAAACAGCAAAGGTAACAAATAAGAAAACCTCAATGCTAAGGCATCAGTAAGGGAAAAAAGTACAGAAACATTCAGACAACATTAAATTGTTAATACTGGTAGTAATTAGAAAAACATTATGATGTTGACCATTAAAACAGGAAAGAAAGTAAAAGGAAAAATGCACTGAAAGCACAATTCAATAATGCCCAATACTTTGGAACCTAGGTACTTATACTTATTAGCCTAAAAGCAGACCATGAGCAAAAGCAGTTTCCACTATTGTAAAATGGGAATGCAAAAGGTGGCAATGCATTGCTTGTCACTCAGGAGGTGCTCAACATATTGTAATTAACAACATCGTTATCACCATCATCATCATCATGGAACTAACACAGTATATTGCTTAAGAGCATGAGCTTTGGAGTCAGATTGAAATTTTAATTCCAGCTCTACCACTTATTAAGTGTTAACACTAGACAAGTTACTTCACCTCTCTAAGTCTCAGTTTTCTAGTATTATAAAAGTATACAACAATTACTAGTACAAGGCTGGACGTGGTGGCTCACGCCTATAATCCCAGCACTTTAGGAGGCCAAGGCAGGCAGATCACCTGAGGTCAGGAGTTTGAGACCAGCCTGGCCAACATGGTGAAACCCTGGCTCTACTAAAAATACAAAAATTAGCTGGGAGTGGTGGCACATGCCTGTAATCTCAGATACTCAGGAGGCTGAGGCGTGAGAATCGCTTGAACTCAGGAAGCAGAGGTTGCAGTGAGCCATGATCATGCCACCGCACTCCAGCCTGGGCAACAGGGCGAGACTCTGTCTCGAAGAAAAAAAAATTGTTAATACAGGGAATTTGTAAGGATTAAATGACATGAACAGAAATAAAGTGCTTTGTAATGTTCCTGGTACCTGAAAACCTCTCAATAAATGCAAATCGAGAAAGGAGGGGCCAGGTCAAGAGTATGACTCCAGGGAGCAAGTTGGAAGAAGCAGGCCAGAGAGAAAGTCTGAACACAACCAGTTGGTGTATAGAAATATTAAGCAAATGGAAGGACCCAGATAAAAGCATTACCTTGAATATTTGGGTAAGTTCAAACTGGGCACATTGAAAATACACACACACACACAGCCCAGAAACAGTACCTTCTAATCTAATTTATGTAGACATGACCATACAAGAGTATAACAAGATAGATTTATGGATCTAGGTATAGCTGCTAAAACCATCTGCCAAATTTAAATGCCAAAATAAAAACGACCTGCCAAATGTAAAAGGCCAGGCACAGTGGCTCATTCCTATAATCCCAGCATTTGGACAGGCGAAGGTAGGAGGATCCCTCGAGCCTAGGAGTTTGAGACCAGCCTGGGCAATATAGTAAGGCCCTGTCTCTAATAAATAAAATAAAATAAAAGCCAAATCTTGGCATGGCTCACTGCTGATTCTACGATATTGTGAGAGTGTCAATAAAACTTAAAGAATGAAAGGGGCTGGGCACAGTGGCTCATGCCTGTAATCCCAGCACTTTGGGAGGCCAGGGTAGGCAGATCGCAAGGTCAGGAGATTGAGAACATCTTGGCCAACATGGTGAAATCCCGTCTCTACTAAAAATACAAAAATTAGCTGGGCTTGGTGGTACGTGCCTGTAGTCCCAGCTACTCAGGAGGCTGTGGCAGGAGAATCACTTGAACCTGGGAGGCAGAGGTTGCAGTGAGCCAAGATAGCGCTACTGCATTCCAGCCGGGGTGACAAGAGTGAAACTCCATCTCAAAAAAAAAAAAAAGAAAGGATTCTTAGCAATCTTTTGGCTCAATTTCAATCTCCTACTTTTTGCAGAAGGAGGAAACTGAGGTTCAAAGAGGTTAAATGCCTGCTCAGAGCCAGGACTAAAATCCAGGTATCCTTAGTCTGACTCCCGGACTTACTGAAACTCTTGTATAAATGGCCAAGAATTTTTAAGCTCCAAAAGAAATATTTATTTTCCAAGGAAGTCCATGCTCTACAACTAATCTCTTAGAAATGCTAAATTTAGACAGGTGCAGTGGCTCACGCCTGTAATCCCAGCACTTTGGGAGGCCAAGGTGGGCGGATCATGAGATTAGGAGTTCAAGAAGAGCCTGACCAACATGGTGAAACCCCTCTCTACTAAAAATACAAATATTAGCCGGGCGTGGTGGCGGGAGCCTGTAATCCCAGCTACTCAGGAGGCTGAGGCAGGAGAATGGCTTGAATCCAGGAAGCGGAGGTTGCAGTGACCAAGATTGCACCATTGCACTCTAGCCTGGGTGACAGAGCGAGACTGTCTCAAAAAATAAAATAAAAAACAAAATAAAATGAAATGCTAAGTCTAGGCCCGGTGCAGTGGCTCACTCCTGTAATCCCAGCACTTTCAGAAACCGAGGCGGGCGGATCACCTGGGGTCAGGAGTTTGAGACCAGCCTGGCCAACATGGAAAAACTCCGTCTCTACTAAAAATACAAAAAGTAGCCGGGTGTGGTGGCTGGCACCTGTAGTACCAGCTACACAGGAGGCTGAGGCAGGAAAATTGCTTGAACCTGGGAGGCAGAGGTTGCAGTGAGCTGAGATTGTGCCAGTGCACTCCAGCCTGGGTGACAGGGCGAGACTGTCTCAAAAAAAAAAAAAAAGAAAAAAAGAAAAAAAAGAAAGAAAGAAATGCTAAGTCTGTTGCCTATGTGCCAAGACACTACATGTTCCCTGACCATCATGTTTCATTTTTCTTCTAACAATCAGTATTTACTCTGTGCTAATTGGTAAGTAGACAAGCAGAAAGGTAGGACGATACTGGCACACTAATGACATTAAAATTAACAATAAAGCCTTGAGTTCATTTTAGTCTTCCATGCATTATGTTTTAGAAATGTAAAAGGAAGAATCACTTTAACTTTGTAAGAAGTAGACAGCTATCTCTTGTTATTTGTTAGCTAATAAGATACTCCCTTTTTAGAGTACTTATTCTCCCCAGCTTAGTCCCTCAAGGGGAAGTAGCAGAATTAAAATTTGTGATTCTCTTCCTATTTTACTTAGGGAAAGAACAAGAAACCTTAGGTCAGGTGCAGTGGCTCACGCCTCTAATCCCAGCACTTTGGGAGGCCAAGCGGGGGTTGCTTGAGTCCAGGAGTTCAAGACCAGCCTGGGTAACATGGTAAAACCCCATCTCTACAAAAAAAAAAAATACAAAAATTAGTCAGGCATGGTGGCACATGCCAGTGATCCCAGCTACTTGGGAAGCTGAGGCAGAAGGATTGTTTGAGCCCAGGATGCGAAGTTGCAGTGAGCTGAGATCGTGCTATTGAACTCCAGCCTGGATGATAGTGAGACCCTGTCTCAAAAAAAATAAAACACCTTAGAAAAATAAGATTTAATAGGCAAAGGAATTGAAGCTACCATTGAGATTTAGACAGCACTTAAAGCCCTCTAATGAGAGCCTTTTTTCATTTTTATTTTTTTTTACAGACAGAGTCTTGCTCTGTCACTTAGGCTGGAGTGCAGAGGTGCGATCATAGCTCACTGGAACTCCTGGCCTCAAGTAATCCTCCCACCTCAGCCTCCGGAGTAGCTAGAACATCAGGCATGTGCCACCCACCCAGCTAATTTTTTAATTTTTTTTTATAGAGACAGGGTCACACTATGTTGTCCAGGCAGTCTCAAACTCCTGGACTCAAGAGATCCTAGTGGGAGAAAAATTTAAAGTTTTACTCAAAAAAAAAAAAAAAAAGAGAGAGAGAGATCCTCTAGCCTCAGCTTCCCAAAGTGCTGGGATTATAGGCATGAGCCACTGCACCCGACCTAAGCCTTCCTTGTTTTATTAAAGAACTGTTTCTAATTACCACATATAACCTATAAATTGCTGGGCATACCAAAGATATTCTTTTTTTTTTGATACAGAGTCTCGCTCTGTCACCTGGGCTGGAGTGCAGTGGCACGATCTCGGCTCACTGCAACCTCCACCTCCTGGGTTCAAGTGATTCTCCTGCCTCACCCTCCTGAGTAGCTGGGATTACAGGCGTGAGCCACCACACCCAGCTAATTTTTGTATTTTTAGTAGAGATAGGGTTTCACCATGTTGGTCAGGCTCGTCTCGAACTCCTAACCTCATGATCTGCCCACTTCGGCCTCCCAAAGTGCTGGGATTACAGGCGTGAGCCACTGTGCCCGGCCAAGATATTATTTTCCTAAAAGCCCAGATTTGGACAGTTCCACAGGTAGTGCTCAACAGAGAAACTTAAGATCATCAGCTAACAGCACAAGTTGCTCCAAAGCAGGCCACATAAATGTGAACTGAATTTCTCATCAGGAAGCCATGAATTGTTCCTTCCCTCCATTAAGCTAATGCTGATTTGTTAAAATTGTTTATAAGCAGTAAGACACTGTGGAATATCTTTCCCAGGTTCCATCCAGAAGATGTGGAAGACTTTATCTTCCTTTTCCTGAACAAAGTATAGTTTGAATTGTCTTCTTATATGTTAGTCATTGGGCTTCATTACTAAAGACAGACTGAGATCACGGTAAGCTTTTACTGTTGGTGTCTGACTCAGAGTTCTTTTTGGAATGTGGTGTTTGGTGTTTTAAATTCACTATAAAAATTGTATTGTAGTGGCTGGTGCGGTGGCTCACGCCTGTAATCCCAGCACTTTGGGAGGCCGAGGCAGGTGAATCACGAGGTCAAGAGATCAAGACCATCCTGGCTAACATGGTGAAACCCTGTCTTTACTAAAAATACAAAAATTAGCTGGGCATGGTGGCACGTGCCTGTAGTCCCAGCTACTTGGGAGGCCAGAATGGTCTAGATCTCCTGACCTCATGATCCACCCGCCTCGGCCTCCCAAAGTGCTGGAATTACAGGCATGAGCCACTGCACCCAGCCCCATGTTTATATATATATATATATATTTTGGTTTTTTTTTTTTTGAGATGGAGTCTCGCTCTGTGGCCCAGGCTGGAGTGCAGTGGCGCGATCTCAGCTCACTGCAAGCTCCGCCTCCTGGATACACTCCATTCTCCTGCCTCAGCATCCCGAGTAGCTGGGACTACAGGCGCCTGCCACCACGCCTGGCTAATTTTTTTGTATTTTTTAGTAGAAACAGGGTTTCACTGTGTTAGCCAAGATGGTCTCGATCTCCCGACCTCGTGATCCGCCTGCCTCGGCCTCCCAAAGTGCTGGGATTACAGGAGTGAGCCACTGTGCCCAGCCTATATTTTTAATAAGCAGTTTACAAGATCAATCACAAGAGTAGAATGCTTTAAATTAAATGTATTTTTATGCTGAAGTATGAATACAAATTGGATTACCTAGGAAAATCAGCTATTGACTATTTTAATTATAGCTCCCTCAGCTTAATTCAGCATACTTCTTTCTTATGGCTTGAGATGTCTGAGGGAGGTAAACTCCAGTGAGGGGTTAGGAAGAAGTCACTTTCCTCTAGGACGTGATGACCAACAGAAATTACTAGCAAATCACACAAATACATATTCACATCAAAGACTAATTTTCAACCTCTGAATATATAATTAGGGGAAAGAGCAGCTTTCTTTTCTTTACCCCATGATCTACTCTAGGCTGGCTGGCACTGGATAGTTAAGGGAGGTAACATCCTACAATTGATAACATGTGCCTCAAGCTACATGTGGAAATTAGAAAGCCTTGCTGGTAATCTGCAAACTCTTCATTTCTCATCTATTTGTACAAATTGCTCCCTTCGCCAGGAATTTCTCTCCTAGATATATTTGGCAAATTCCTACCCATCCATTAAGAACTGTCTGGAAGGCCGGGCGCAGTGGCTCATGCCTGTAATCCCAGCACTTTGGGAGGCCGAGGCGGACAGATCACGAGGTCAGCAGATCAAGACCATCCTGGCTAACATGGTGAAACCCTATCTCTACTAAAAATACAAAAAAAATTAGCCTGGTGTGGTGGCGGGTGCCTGTAGTCCCAGCTACTCGGGAGGCTGAGGCAGGAGAATGGCGTGAACCCGGGAGACGGAGCTTGCAGTAAGCCGAGATCACGCCACTGCACTCTAGCCTGGGTGACAGTGCGAGACTCTGTCTCAAAAAAAAAAAAGAACCTGAAAGAGTCAGCCATAGGAGGGATGACAGAAGTGAGAAATAGGTACAAGCATCAAGGGATAATACAGGAGAGGTAAAGAGCTAATCATAACTATGGTTTTCTGGACACACCACCAAAAAAAAGTTTTTTTCTCTGACCTCAGGACAAAGCTAGACACACTTACACCTACCAATATATGTTGGCACAGTGCCTAAGTTATCATACTCTGTTATTAAGTACACCAGCCTGAAATGCAGTAATCTTCAGACTTCTCAATTAAGCTAGAAATTCCTTGTGGGCAGGGCCCATGATGTATTTATCCTTAAACTCTCAATGCTTGTCACATTTGATGTACAGTATACACGCACCGAGTATTATTAATCTTGAGTATAAGGAAAGAAACAGCATTCTTTAATTTTAAACTTTTCTCAGAGATTCTATTCTACCATAGACTATTTTACCCTGGCAGAATATTCATCCACTATATTCATCCAAGGTAGGCTATTCATCCACTATTCTACCATGGATAGAATAGCCCATCATCTCTACATTTCTTCCGACCTCCAACAGTGGAACTTTTCTCACGGAGGCCAGAAAAAACGTCGAGACCATAGACTACTCTATCATTCCACACAATCCTGGGAGCTGCTGTGAAACTCTTGCTTTTGTGGGGAAAAAATGGTATGTTCATGTGGTTTTTGAGAACATACTGCTTTGCAAGTAGTAAGAAAGGGGATAGATTTGTCATATGAAGCTTCACATACTCCCTCATTTAATCACAACTGTGAGGCTCAAGATCCTTAGTAGGAAGTGTTTGTACTTCATGTGAACTAGCCTGAAGAACAGGCTGAAAGCGACAGAAGGTTAAAGTTAAGGCAGGGCCACTGGAATCACCAGATACTCATGCCACTTACCACAAATAATACTGGTTTATTTATGTGGCTAGCTCACTGGATGTGAAAAACAAACAAACTGCCTCCTATTCTACATCAAACGCTGTAACTCTTGTTCCCTCCCTTGCCTCCACTTCTAGAAGGCAGCATGGCTTACCAATGGAAAAAAGCACAGGGTTTACAGTCATATAACTATGTAAAATCTCAGCTTTCCCATTTACTGATTAGGTTACTCTGGAAAGTTACTTTACTTACATGCACTTCAGTTTACACATCTGTAAAATGAAGAAAACTGCTCATAGAGTTATGAGGATTAAATAAGAAAAATTTCCAAAGACTACCTAATGATTAGAGGTGCTTAATATATTTTGGCTCCTCTCCTTCCATTTAGATTCTCTATATAAATGAACCCCACCTCCCCAATAGTTTAAATTAAACCACCACAGTTCTTTAGGAAAAACTGGAGAGGTTCTGTCATGCTTTTATGTCACAGAAGCTACATTATTTCTTCTTCTCTCAATAATGGTAGGCATGAAGTAATGTATATGTTTAAAACCTACAATATGTTGGACTTTTATTAGCGAGAGAAACTGAAATTATGCCAGCAGGATGGCTTTCAGCTCCACAAAATGAAAGATCACACTCAAAGAAACTGGAGATATAGGGATTCTGCCTTGTTGCTTTCTCTTCAAGTTTTGGTTTTCAGGCCAATAAGCTCTTGAGGATATCCCAGGGGATAGGGAGAAGATTCTGGAACTGAGGAAGGAGTTATAAGAAATCATAATCAACAGGAAAGTTTCAGTTAATATTGGATAGGGATTTGAGGAGTTCCTTAAGGTCCAGTAAAGTCAGTGGGAAAGGCAGGCCTAGAAGAAAGTGAGAACTAGCTGAATGGAGATGAGAAGATGTAGAAAAAGTAAGTGAGCAAAAGGTTCATATGTTGTGGGATGAAGGAAAAGGGGAAATGAGAAGAGGATGTAAATGACACTGATGGAACTTTAAACCACCATGTGACATCAGACAACTGATTCAAATCATTGCCAAGTCCCTTCCAACCAATGATTTAACCGATTCAATATTCTGTTTTAAATAATGGTTCAAAGAAATGTTTTTAGTTTTCTAAATTTTTTTCTTGTCAGTGATTTGAAGCTCACAAAGAAATAAATGTTTTACTATGGAAAGGGTAGTGACCATAGTGTACTCTATATAACTAATCTAACTCAATGCTTGCTATATGCAAAATAAGTGTTAAATGAATTAGATTATAATTATTGAGAAACCACAACCCTCACTTATTCACTCCACAAATACTTGCTGAGTACCTCTAATGTGTCAGGTATCATTCTAGGTGTTGGGACACAGCAGTGAATACAACAGGGGAAAATAATCCCTGCCCTCTTCCCATTACATTAGATGGTGACAAGTACCACAGAGTAAAAAAGGGAGGAAAGGAAAATAAGGTGGGCTGAAAGGAAGGGTGCTAAATTATAAACTGGGTGAGCGGAAGGGCCTCAGTGGGAAGATGATGTATAAGTGAAGACCCGCAGTAAACAACACATTCCTAAATTAACTTCCTCTGTCTTCTTCCTAATACTATAGCCTTTTTATTTTTTATTTTTTATTTTGAGACAGGGTCTCGCTCTGTTGCCCAGGCTGGAATGCAGTGGTGCAATTTCAGCTTACTGCAACGTCCGCCTCCCGAGTTCAAGTGATTCTCCTGCCTCAGGCCCCCAAGTAGCTGGGATTACAGGTGCGCACCACCATGCCTGGCTAATTTTTGTATTTTTAGTAGAGACGGGGTTTCACCATGTTGGCCAGGCTGATCTCAAACTCCTGACCTCAAGTGATCCACATCCCGCTGCCTCCCGAAGTGCTGGGATTACAGGTGTGAGCCACTGCGTCCGGCCAAATATTATACTGTTATTGGTTCTAATGGCAGCAAAACAAAAAGCAACATTTCCAAGCATACTAAAAGTAAATAAGAATTACATTATTTTAATCATTGGTAGAGAAGTATTGGTTATCAAACTTGCTGCTCAGTTCTCAAATGTCTATGTGTACTGTCCAATACTGTGGCCACTAGCCACACATGATTATTTACATTTGTATTATTAAAATGAGATACAATTTACAATTCAGTCTCTCACTTTTACTAGCCACATTTTAGGTGCTCAGTAGCTAGCTACATATGACTACACATGGGAGAGTGGCAGATACAGAACATTTCCATCTTTGCAGAAAGTTCTACTGGACATGCTGAACTTAAAAGGATTTTTAAAGCCCACTCAGAATTCTTCCACGGCCAGGTGCAGTCCAGGTTCATTACTGTAATCCCAGCACTTTGGGAGGCCAAGGTGGGAGGATTGCTTGAGCCCAGGAGTTTGAGACCAGTGGGGGCAGATCTTGTCTCTATTAAAAAAAAAAAAAAAGTCTTCCAGTAATAACAGAGTATCTCAAAGAACCAATTCCACGTTTCTTTTTTTTTTTGAGACGGAGTCTCGCTCTGTCGCCCAGGTTGGAGTGCAGTGGTGCAATCTCGGCTCACTGCAAGCTCCGCCTCCCGGGTTCACGCCATTCTCCTGCCTCAGCCTCCAGAGTAGCTGGGACTACAGGCGCCCACCACCACGCCTGGCTAATTGGGTTTTTTTTGTATTTTTAGTAGAGATGGGGTTTCACTGTGTTAGCCAGATGGTCTTGATCTCCTGACCTCGTGATCCACCCGCCTCAGCCTCCCAAAGTACTGGGATTACAGGCGTGAGCCACCATGCCTGGCCTCCCAATTCCACGTTTCATCAGCATGTGTTATCTGTTTTTCATAGTACCAACTACTATTGGTAGTATGCGCTGAAGAAATCTTCACAGCTAAATAAAAGTTTCATTTTATTTAGTTTCAAACTATTGGACTATTTATATTCACAATTTTTTTTTTTGAGAAGGTTTCTCGCTCTGTTGCTCAGACTGGAATGCAGTGGTGTGATCTCAGCTCACCGCAACCTCCGCCTCCCGGGTTCAAGCGATTCTCCCGCCTCAGCCTCCCGAGTAGCTGAGATTACAGGCGCCTGCCACTACGCCTGGCTAATTTTTGTATTTTAGTAGAGACTGGGGTTTCACCATGTTGGTCAGGCTGGTCTCGAACTCCTGACCTCAGGTGATCTGCCCATCTCTGCCTCCCAAAGTGCTGGGATTACAGGCGTGAGCCACCGTGCCCGGCCCAGTTGACATCTATTAAGGAACCAAGAGGTATCACTGATGTGTAGAAACTAGTCAGAAATCAAGGAGCCCACATCACAGAGGTTTGAAACATGTGACTATGACTAGTGACTCAAAGAGATGACTATTAGCCACTGCCAATTATTCTTCCTTCTCTCTCTTTCACAACTCTTCCTAATTCGGCTGGCCCTCAATATTCACTTTAAGTGAGTGAGAAAGAAACCTGAATATTACCAACACTAGATATCCAGTGGGAACACAGTATGTGTCTGATGACAGCTAGCTATAACATTTGTAAAAGTTATGCAGAAATTCCTAACAAGAAATCTCCTTAAACAATATCATTTTCCAGTACATGAATAGGAGAATATAGCCTTCATTCTCTACTAAATAAAAATTCTCAGTAATGAACACCTAGTTACACTACGACTCAATAAAAATTCCTGTAGAAGAACTAGGATGACTATATAAATAGTGTTTATATCAAACCTCTTCAAGCCAGTAATTCAAAAGCACTTTGTTGTGGTCAGGCTTGGTGGCTCACTCCTGTAATCCCAGCACTTTGGGAGGCCAAGGCAGGCAGATCACGAGGTCAGGAGTTTGAGACCAGCCTGGCCAACATGGTGAAACCCTGTCTCTACTGAAAATACAAAACTTAGCTGGGTGTGGTGGTGGATGCCTGTAGTCCCAGCTACTGGGGAGGCTAAGGCAGGAGAACTGCTTGACCCTGGGAGGTGGAGGCTGCAGTTAGCTGAAGATCGTGCCAATGCACTCCAGATTGGGTGACAGTGAGACTCTGTCTCAAAATAAAGAAATACATAAATAAATAAATAAAATTTAAAAAATAAGGCTGGGCGTGGTAGCTCATGCCTATAATCCCAGCACTTTGGGAGGCCAAGGAAGGTGGATCACCTAAGGTCAGGAGTTCGAGACCAGCCTGACCAACAGTGAAAATGCCATCTCTACTAAAAATACAAAAATTAGCCGGGGTGGTGGTGCATGCCTGTAACCCCAGCTTCCCAGGAGGCTGAGGCAGGGAGAATTGTTTGAACCTGGGAGGAAGAGGTTGCAGTGAGCCTAGATTGCACCACTGCATTCCAAGCTGGGCGACAGAACACGACTCCATCTCAAAAAAAAACACAACAAAAAAACAGGCCAGCCACGGTGGCTCACACCTGTAATCCCAGCACTTTGGGAGGCTGAGGCGGGCAGATCACAAGGTCAGGATATCGAGACCATCCTGGCTAACACAGTGAAACCCCATCTCTACTAAAAATAGAAAAAATAAGCCAAGTGTGGTGGCACGTGCCTGTAGTCCCTGCTACTTGGGAGGCTGAGGCAGGAGAATCGCTTGAACCCAGGAGGCGGAGGTTGCAGTGAGCTGAGATGGTGCCACTGCACTCCAGCCTGGGTGGCAGAGAGACTCTGACTAAAAAAAATAATAAATAAAATTTAAAAATAAAAATAAATGAAAATAGCTCTTCAGCTGGATATGGTGGCTCACACCTGTAATCTTAGCACTTTGGAAGGCTGAAGTGGGAAGATTGCTTGAGCTCCAGAGGTGGAGACCAGCCTAGGCAACAAGGTTGGGAGTGGTGGCATATGCCTGTGGTTCCAGCTACACAGGAGGCTGAGGCAGGAGGGTCACTTGAACTCAGGAGGTGAAGGCTGCAGTGAGCCCTGTTCACACCATTGTACTCCAGTCTGGGCAACAGAGTGAGACCCTGCCTCAAAAATAAAAATAAAAAAATAATTAATTAATAATTTTTAAAAATAGCTCTGCTTTTCTAGTTCCTGTAAGAAACACTTAGAAGGACAAAACTGCAGCACTACCAGTTTTTAATCACTCAAAGCTGATTTCTGTTCTCTATTTCTTCTCTCCTTGATTTATGTTTCCTGGTTTCTGATCATTTCCCTAAATGGTAAAAACTGGTATCTGAAAAATTAGAACATAAATAAAATAAAGTTAAGTTCAAATTTATCTACTCTGTTATGTGTGAAAAGATTTGAAGAAAGCTAAAACTTAGAAAATAAACTAAATTCAACTTCCCAAGTATTCCTTCTCCCAATTCTGTTTGAATAATAATAGCTAACATGAATTGAACGTGTGTTATAATCCCAACGATTATTCTAAATATTTTACATATACTAACTTGTCTAATTCTTACAAGTCTATGAGCAAGACAGCATTTATTATTCCCATTTTGTATATGAGGAAACTGAGTCACATAGGAGTAAACTGGTCTAAGTTAAAAACTGGCAAACTGGCAAAGTTAGGATTCACATCTAAGTAATCTGGATCTGAGTCTCCATTCTTTGCTACACCATAAACCTACATATACAACAAAAACTCTCTAGCCATAGTCTTTCATGAGAAACCCAAAATTACTGAAGCACAGGTTTATATAACCTTTTAACCATACTTATGCTACATGGAGCATTATTATTAGCAATGTACAAGTATGTTTTATGAGAGCGCAAGATATTTATTTACTCATTTATTTATTTATTTATTTATTTATTTATTTATTTGAGGCAGGATCTTGCTCTGTTGCCCAGGCTGGAGTGTAGTGATATGATCATGCTTCACTGCAGCCTCGACCTCCCTGGCTTAAACAATCCTCCCATCTCAGCCACTTAAATAGCTGGGACTATAGGCATGCACCACCACACCTGGCTAATTCTGTTTATTTTTTGTCAAGACAAGGTCTTGCTATGTTGCCCCAGAAAGGCCTTGAACTCCTGGGCTCAAGGGATCCTCCCGCCTCCCAGAGTGCTGGGATTACAGGCATGAGCCGCCATGCCCAGCCCTATCTATACTCTCTAAGGTAGTTAAGAAGTCTCTAGTTTTAGGCCGGGTGTGGTGGCTCATGCCTGTAATCCCAGCAATTTGGGAGATGGAGGCAGGCGGATTACCTGAGGTCAGGAGTTTGAGACCAGCCTGGTCAACATGGGGAAACCCCGTCTCTACTAAAACTACAAAAACATTAGCTGGGCGCAGTGGCATGCGCCGGTAGTCCCAGCTACTTGGGAGGCTGAGGCAGGAGAATTGCTTGAACCCGGGAGGTGAAGGTTGCAGTGAGCTGAGATGGCACCACTGCACTCCAGCCTGGCGACAGAGTGAGACTCTGTCTCAAAAAAAGAAGTCTCTAGTTTTTACCTATTTCCCCAGGGTCACCAAATTCTCTTTTTAGATACAAAACAAACACGGTAAAACAAAAAACTTGCCCTAAAGAAATCGCCACTAAACTGTTCAAAGAACACAGATACAGGAAAAGAAATATGGGCTGGTCAGAATGCAGTGGGGTTTACAACTAATTGATCACAACCACTTAAGATTTCTTTGTTCCTTCTCCCCTCCCACTGCTTCATTTGACTAGCCTTAAAAATAAAAAGTAAAGGAAAAGAAGGGAAATACAGTCATCCTTCAGTATCCAAGGGGGATTTGTTCCAGGACTCTCCTTGGACACCAAAATCCATGGATGTTTAAGTCCCTTATATAAAGTGGCAAAGTGTTTACATATAACCTATACACATCCTCCATAATACTTAGTCTTCTCTAGATTATTTATAATACCTAACAGTGTAAATGTGATGTAAAGTTTTTATACTGTATTTTTTAAAAATTGCATTATCATTTATTGTTGTATAATTATTATTTTTTCCCCAAGCATTTTCAATCTGTGGTTGGTTAAATCCATGGATGTGAAACCCTCAGAAACAGAGGGCTGACTACACATGCTATACAATTAAGTTTTAATAATTTCCACAAGTACAAATCATGCTGAATAACATGGCAGGAAATTCCAATAACACAAGTATTTTTATTTGTATAAAATAACTTCACTCTGTCTCACATTAAAAGTTCTCAATCTCCTCTTTGAGAGCTGAAAATGTAACTTACTCATCTTTTTCCTGCATGGCAGTTAGGGCAGTGAGCCAACAAAAATTTATTGAATGAATTAATAAGTCATTCAGTCAGCCAATCATACATCCATCCATCATTCACCTTTGGGGTGGGGTTAGGATAGTAACTGGCCTTCACTGAAACCAACATTAAGCCATGTATCCCGGATGTATTATGAGATTATAACCAGAACTAAACAAATACACACCTTTAGTATTAAGCCAAGCTCCCCATCCTAGCAGGAATGTCCTTCCTTTGGTGCCACTTTTGTCTTATACTATTTAAGACATAATTCTTAAGCCTTCTTGCTATTTGTGCCCTTTGATTACTGAGCTCTAAACTGAAGTGAGGAAAAGACTGACTCACCCTGTGCGGGGAAATGGACAAAATAAAGCAGCCAGGCCTACGTTTTAGAGCATCTAAATTATTTTAAGAAATCAATGAAAAGAAACAGAATATAGCAGCATTAAAGGAAACCTAAATAAGAAATCTAAAAATTCTTAAAGAGGTCAAATATAATATTAATTTTTATGCAATAGTAAAAAGGAAAGCTATAGCTATAGATTACAATCTGATATGATGTTACTCTGGCTACCGCAAGATAAAACACTGGTTTGATGAGGAATCAAAAAAAAAAAAACAAAAAAACCCACGAATCTTCAACGAGGATTAGAGGCCATCAGCACCATCTACAAGATGGTCCATTATACTACCATTACTTTCATTCAATGGAAGCCTCAATTATAACATGTGAGTGTGTATGTGTGTGTATATATGTGCACATGCCCATGTGCTCTGGTTTCATTGACGTTTCAAACAGTAATCTTGTAAAAATTACCCTGCCTTTGGGTCAACTCAAAGCTCTGATCATGAAAGGTCATTTTGAATAAGATAGGACATGCAGAAGTCAGCCAGTGACGTTGTTTTGACTGTAGTAATAAACACATTGTAGAACTGGTACAAAAACTGACAAATTGTTCAACAGAAAAGAACATAAAGTCCAAAAATACACCCAAGACCTTACAAAACTTAGTGTGACCAAACTGGCATCATAAACCCATTAAAAAGGGGAGTTTGTTAACTTCTTAGCTTTAATTTTTTTCTAAGTTATATTTGATCATCACTTTGTCAAATATCAAAAGCTAATGTAAGTTCTCTTCAACTATTAATGTTGTATTAAACATATATAATAAATTTAGGAATAAATGACACCAATAACTTTTCCAGTTTTTCCCATTACTTGACATAATGGATCTATTTATTTATCTACAGCACACTTCTAGTTTTATCATATGGGCTATGTTGCTGAGATCACTCCTAGGTATTTTATAATTTGGGTTGTTATTGTAAATAACTCCTTTAGATTTTCTATAGATAACAATCCTCTTTTATTTTGAGACAGGGTCTCATCCTGTCACCCAGGCTGGAGTGCAGTGGCACAATCATGGCTTGTATTAGTTTGTTCTCACACTGCTATAAGGAAGTGCCCAAGACTGGGTAGTTTATAAAGGAAAGGGGTTTAATTGACTCACAGTTCAGCATGGCTGGGGAGGCCTCAGGAAACTTACCATAATGGTGGGAGGTGAAGGAGAAGCAAGGTGTCTTCTTTACAAGGTGGCAGGAAGGAGAAGGGCTGAGTGAAGGGGGAAGAGCGCCTTATAAAACCATCAGATCTTGTGAGAACTCAGTATCATGAGAACAGCATGGGGTAAACTGCCCCCATAATTCAATTACCTCCACCTGGTCTCTACCTTGACACGTGGGGATGATAGGCATTATGGGGTTTACAATTCATGATGAGATTTGGGTGGGAAGACAAAGCCTACCCATATCAATGGCTCACTGCAGCCTCAATCTCCCAGGCACAAGTGATTCTCCCAGCCTCCTGAGTGGCTGGGACCACAGTACTGCGAGACCACTCACAGTTCATTTTTGTATTTTTTGTAGAGATGGGGTCTCACAATGTTGCTCAGGCTGCGCTCAGACGATTTGCCTGCCTCAGCCTCCCAAAGCACTGGGATTACAGGTGTGAGCCACTGCATCTGGCCTAGAGAACTGGTCTTGATCCTATCAAAGTATGTAAGCAATGTTGTAACAGAAAAAAATGAACTAGAAGGATATACACAACATTCGTGGTATGTATGGGTTGTCACTAGACAAAGGTGGTCAAAGGAGACTTTATCTAACAAGTTTTACTTTATAAAATGTGTCTTAATGTTATCAATTTTTAAATCAATTTGGTAGAAATGCAGATGTTGATATTATTTAAGTATTTAAGAATAAAAATACATTATCCTATTCCTAGGGTAACTAAAGCTTTTAACTAGAAGAGTTGAATTTTCCCATCTACAAAGATAAGCAAGCATATCATTTTCGTTCTAGTTTTTGACCTATCAAGGTAATAATTTGTAACTATTTATAGATTAGCCAGGCATGGTGGCTGCTCACCTATAGTCCCAGCTACTCGGCAGGCTGAGGCAGGAGAATCGCTTGAACCCAGGAGGCAGAGGTAGACTTCATCTCAAAAAAAGTGTGTGTGTGTATATATACACACACACATACATGTATCACTTTATATATGTTTTTTACACTATATACACATATATATTTACACTTTATATGTGTGTGTGTATATATATGTGTAAAGTGATAATATATCTACATAATCCTTAGATATTGCAATAAATCCTCTTGGGTCATATTCTTTCAATATATTTATAGATTTGACATATCAAATGGGGACAAAAACAGGCCAGCCACGGTCGCTCACGCCTGTAATCCTGGCACTCTGGGAGGCCGAGGCGGGTGGATTACTTAATTTCAGGAGTTCGAGACCAGCCTGGCCGACATGGTGAAACCCTGTCTCTACTAAAAATACAAAAAAATTAGCTGGGCATGGGGGCGGGCACCAAACAAGCAGAAAACAGCTAGCTATAAATTGGCATGTTAAAAAATGTAACTACTGTACATAGAAAACTTCCCTAGAAAAAAATCATAAAAGTAGATATATCAAAATGTTATTAGTAATTACCAATGGATAGAAAGGTCAAATGATTTAAATTTTTCTCCTTTTTTTATTTTTTGAGATGGAGTCTCTCTCTGTCACCCAGGCTGGTGTGCAGTGGCACAATCTCAGCTTATTGCAACCTCTGCCTCCAGGGTTCAAGCAATTCTCCTGTCTCAGCCTCCCAAGTAGCTGGGACTACAGGCGCACACCATCATGCCCGGCTAAATTTTGTATTTTTAGTAGAGACAGGTTTCCACCATATTAGCCAGGCTGGTCTCGAACTCCTGACCTCAGGTGATCCACTGCCTCAGCCTCCCAAAGTCCTGAGATTACAGGTGTGAGCCATTGCACCTGGCCTTAAAATTTTCTCCTTTATGCCATATTTTCTCATTTTTCTCAAAGAAATATATATTGTTTTTGTAATAAGAAAAAATAATGATTTGTTGGATTTAATCTACATGTAATTTATATAGACTTTCTACAGCTGTATTAAGTGGAATAGAACAAATGTATTTGTTTGTTTGTTTTGTTTTGTTTTTTGTTTTTGAGATGGAGTCTTGCTCTGTCACCCAGTCCAGAGTGCAGTGGCGCAATCTTGAGTCACTGCAACCTCTGCCTCCCAGGTTTAGATGTTTCTCCTGCCTCAGCCTCCCAAGTAGCTGGGGTTACAGTTGCCTGCCACCACGCCCAGCTATTATTATTATTATTTTTTTTTTTTGTATTTTTAGTAGAGTCAGGCTTTCGCCATGTTGGGCAGTGTGGTCTCAAACTCCTGACCTCATGTGATCTGCCTGCCTTGGCTTCCCAATGTGCTGGGATAGGCATGAGCCACCACACCCAGCCGGACAAATGTATTTTTCTACTATCTTTGTCAGCATTTATTTATTTAGAGATAGGGCTGTGCTCTGTCCTCCAGGCTGGAGTGCAGTGGCACAATCTCATTTCACTGCAGCCTTGACCTCCTGGACTCAAGCAATCCTCCCACCTGAGCCTCCCAAATAGCTGGGACTATAGATGTGTGCCACCATACCTGGCTAACTTTTTAAAAGATTCTTGTGTCTTTTTTTTTTTTTTTTTTGTAGGGTCTCCCAATGTTGCCTAGGCTGTTCTTGAACTCCTGGGCTCAAGCAATCCTCCCGTATGGGCCTCCCAAAGGACTGAGATTAGAGGCATGAGCCACTATGCCCAGACTGTCAGCTTTTAGTTATCAAGATTTTGCCAACTTTATAAAATAAACAGGTATACTTTCTTTTTCTCTGCTATACTGATTGATATAGCATTATAGAGCTGTCCCCTCTTATCTGTGGTTTCACTTTCTGCAGTTTCAGTTACTTGTGGTTGACTGCAGTCCAAAGATATAATATGGAAAATTTCTAGAAATAAATAACTTGTAAGTTTTAAATCATGTGCCACTCTGAGTATCATGATGAAATCTCATGCCATCCTGCTCTGTCCTGCCCAGGGGTGAATCATCCATCACCTTGTCCAGCATATCCACACCGTATGTGTTCACTGCCTGTTAATCACTTAGCAGCCATCTCAGTTGCCATATCAACTGTGGCGGTATTGCAGTGCTTGTGTTCAAGTAATCTTTGTTTTACTTATTTGTTCTATTTTATTATTAGTTATTGTTATTAAATTCTTACTGTGCCTAATTTATAATCCAAACTTTATCACAGGTACATATGTATGTATGTATATACAGGAAAAAAACAGTACATATTGGGGTTCAGTATTATCCATGATTTCAGGGATCCACTGGCATTCTTGGTCTTGGTATATCCCCCATAAATAAGGAGGGACTACTGCAATCATCTGCTTCATCAACATGAATTAAATTGTCCACAAAACCCCTGGCCTAATCACATTTTAACACTAGTCTACATAGGATTTTTATTTCTTGAGTTCCTTTGGCAAATTATATTTTCCTAGAAAATTACCCATTTCAGGGGGAAGGAAGGGGGGAACAGCAAAAAAAAGAAAAAAAAAAGCAAGAAAGAAAATTACCAGTTTCATCAGGAATTCAACAGGGTGTCAAGGTAATTCAGTGGACAAAGGAGAATATTTCCAACTTTGTACCATATCTAAAAATTAACTCAAAAAGAATCAACAACTTAAAATAAAACCTAATCTTTGGTTAAGCAAAGATTTCTTCAAGAAAACACAAAAATTATGAACTATAAAAGAGAAAATGGATTAAATTGGATTGCATTACTTTAAAAGCCTCTGAAAGCAAATAGACAAGCCACAGGCTGGAAGAAAACATTTGTATGACATATATCATCGTCTGTCCAGGGTGCATGACACATTGATAAGGGCTCAGTTTGCAGCAATAAATTCAGATGGAAACCAGTCCATGCATTTAGTCAACCTATCCCACTTGCTATGATTTTCTAGGAGTAAGACGTAGTCAGAAGTGATAAAAAGTGGTGAGAGGACACAGGCAATAGTCCAGAATGTCAGCATTACTGCCTTTCCAGGCTTCTACTACTACTACTACAGCTCATCTTTTTCTACTGACAGAAAAAATAATTACATAATATCTGTTATTCAGGTTCACAGAATTTGGTGCCTGTGTACTCTGTTTTCCTTAAGATTGGTAATTCTATCTTATGCAGAAAAATTAAAACCACTGGAAGAAACACATACAGATATGTATTGTGTGTTTACTACTGGGCAGTGGGTAGGATGTAACAGTAAAAACATGTTGACCTTTATACCCCTTCAGGAAATAAGATGACAGAGGATATTTAATATATATTTATAATAATGCTATATTAAATTTCTCATCAAGACCACTAGGAGAAAAAATGGAACTAGCATCAATTTTGGCATCATGTAATACTGGAGGAATTTAACTCCTACACCCTGAGGACCTCAAAACTAATTAAGCTTGTATTTTGTCTTTCATTCTTAAAGAGGAGGGAGGGAAGGACTATGTTACTGGCATATTTTGAGCTTCAAGTGATAACAACATAACATCAAAAATGTTTTCCCATGAACTTTGAAGTGCATTATGTCTTGAGTTTGGCTCCTTGGCAAATGTTCTTAAACAGCTAGAAAAAAACTCCTTTATAGCATCATCATAATAATTCATAAATTCAGATACAGAATAAGAAAAAAATAATTGACTTTGTTTAGGAAATAATAAATTCTATTTGCTACCTTAACAAACTACTTCTCCTATTTCCTATATGATACAAATTCTAATCAAAAGGAGGTATTATCTTATAAATTTGTTTCCAGAATGCCATGCATATGAATAAAGCCTTTGCAACTAGCTTTAAATTCAGAATGCAAACTGATAATCTACATCTCATTAAACAATCACCAAACACACCCAAAAAAGTATTTTCAACAAGTCATGTTCATATTTATACAAGAGAGGGTATATAGAAACTTAATGAAGTATTCAGATGATTTAAAACATTTTGGGAAGGCAATTAGTATGCAGATCCTCCTCCACCTCAAAAATCTTTAGAAGGAAGTCACAACTCAGTACTTTTAAATAAGTGATATGCTAGGGTTTCAGTCCCTTTTGTTCTGGTATGCTCTTGGGAGAATGACTGTTAACTCCATAAGCAGTTGAAAAGGGAGGAAGAAAGCAGAAGCACGAATTAGCTATTTTTGAAAGTAGTGGGGTGTGGAGCATCATGGTAGCACAAATTCTATGCACATCCTCTCTGGATCCTTCCTTCACTCAGCACTTATGTACAGTGTAGCCATGAATTTTTTTCTTTCTTTTCTCTCTCTTTTTTTTTTTTTTGAGACAGAGTCTCGCTCTGTTGCCCAGGCTGGCGTGGAGTGGCGTGATCTTGGCTCACTGCAACCTCCGCCTCCCGGGTTCAAGCAATTCTCCTGCCTCAGCCTCCCAAGTAGCTGGGACTACAGTAGCACGCCATCATGCCTGGGTAATTTTTTGTATTTTAGTAGAGGCGGGGTTTCACCTTGTTGCCCAGGCTGGTCTCGAATTCCTGAGCTCAGGCAAACCGTCCACCTCGGCCTCCCAAAGTGCTAGGATTACGGGGGTGAGCCACCGCGCCCAGCCTAATTTTTTCTTTTAACTGGTAGTATACACCAGTATAGGTTAACAAGTAATACATTCATTGTATTTTATCCAGGTCTCTGAAATGAGATGAAAGGGAGGTGACCTAAAATCAGGAGAAGCAAGGTAAAAGCTGTTTGATTCCTCTATCACTTTCCCTACTCCATGATCTTCAATGTCTGTCCTACACTAACTCTGGCGGAATTTTGGAATCTGTTTTCCAAGAAAGTGTAAAGCAAATGGTCTCTGGAAAGGGGTCGCAAAAGGCAACTGATGGTAGGGATATGGTACAAAAAATGGAAGGGGTTGGGTGCAATGGCTCATGCCTGTAATCTCAACTTTTGGGGAGGCCGAGGTGGGAGAATCACTTGAGCCCAGGAGTTCAAGACCAGCCTGGGCAACATAGGGAGACTGCATCTTTACAAAAAGTAAAAAAATTAGTCAGGCATGGTGGTATGTGCCTATAGTCCCAGCTACTTGGGAGGCAGAGGTGGGAGAATTGTTTGAGCTCAGGAGGTCGAGGCTGCGGTGCTTTTTTTTTTTTTTTTTTTTTTGAGACAGAGGAAGACTGACCCCAAAAAATAAAAATAAAAAAATAAAATGAAAAAGAAAATAAGGCCAGCTGCAGAGGCTCATGCCTGTAATCTCAGCACTTTGGTAGGCCGAGGCAGGCGGATCACCTGAGGTCAGGAGTTCGAGACCAGCCTAGCCAACATGGTGAAACCCTAAAACTACAAAAATTAGCCAGGCAGTGATGGGTGCTTGTAATCCCAGTTACTCGGGAGGCTGAGGCCAGGAGAATCATTTGAACCCAGGAGGCAGAGGTTGCAGTAAGCTGAGATGGCGCCACTGCACTCTAGCCTGGGTGACAGAGCAAGACTCCATCTCAAAAGATAAAAATAAAGTAAAATAAAATACAAATACAAGTAAAATTAAAAATGGAAGAGAATTAAGTGAAAATATGCATAATTAATGCTGAATGCAGCAGTCTCTTCAGTCAGTTTTCTTCACCCCTTACCATCCAAACACAGTGGGAAGACTGTGCCCCTTAGACCCTGATACTGATATGAGAATGTTCATCAACAATAAGGCCAAGAAGCTCACCCAAAGGCAACCTGCCTATACATTTAAAGCTTCTAACTGGCTATTTAGTCCCTCACTTTTAACCATCAGCAGACAGTTAATTATTACTAGACATCAGAGAAAAACTCTAACATAAAAGAAACCAAATCAATATTTAAAAACAATGTTAGGAAAAAAAGAGACTATGCAGGGCAAGGAAAATCTGTTGAAAGAATGAAAGGATAGTATAAAAAGAAACATGCAGAGACTTCAAAAAGACCTCCTGGAGATTAAACTCTAATAGTAGAAAAGAAAAATTTAATAAAAGTAGAAGATAAAGTTGAATAAATCTTGCAGGAAACATATCTAAAGGAAAAAGAAATGAATTAGATAATTATTCCAGGAGGTTCAACATCAAAAAGCTACTGGCAACCAAGACAGAGGAAGACATGAGGGTTTAGGAAACAAAGGAGCTAACACAGGAAAGAAGCAAAGCTGTCAGGAAAATGGAGACTGGATAACCCAGGATGACAGTTGCGTACCACCTCTACAGACTGCAAGGCCACCTGTACACAGACTGGAGCAATGTGACTCAAGAGATATATTGAAAGCTGTCATCACCAATATCTCTGCTGCTATTTATCCTTTTTAAAGCTAAGAACACAGTACCCAGGTGAGCCTGGCCCTCAGCCTGTCTTGACTAAATGCTTATGGATTTCTTCTTTGAACATACTTGATTGCCTAATGAGTTCCAGACTCATTTCGCTCCACAAAAGTTTCTTTAACCCAGCGGTCCCCAACCTTTTTGGCACCAGGGACCAGGTTCATGGAAGACAATTTTTCTACAGACGGGGGTGTTGGGGTGGTTTGGGATGAAACTGTTCCACCTAATCACTGATCTGACAGGAGGTGGAGCTCAGACTGTAATGCTCACTGGCCCACTGCTCACCTCCTGTGGCCCGGGGGTAGTGGTGCAGGGTACTCCTGCTTAGGAGAAACCACAGAGCTAATCACTCCCTCTGACCATATTTCTGTCAAATGTCCAAGACCTAGTCCACACTGAAACCCTGCCCAATACAATCTCCAGGATTAAATCTTAACTTTACTCATGACTTCCATAGAAGGGCCTCTAGGAACCTCAGGAAAATGAAGCAAGTATAATCTGCTGATCTCTGGGGATCCCTGAGATCCTTTCAGAAGTCCAAGAGGTAAAACTAAATACATAAGAATACAAAAAAATTATTTGCCTTTTCCACTGTGTTGACACTTGCACTGATGGTACAAAAGCAATGGTGAGCAAAACTGTTAGCACCTTAACACAAATCAAGGCAACAGCACCAAACTGTAGCAGAAATCATTGTATTCTTCACAACTACACAGTTACAGTGAAAAATAAATTCAACTTTAAGAATGTCCTTGATAAAGCAATAAAAAATATTAGTTTTAATAAATATCAACCCTTTAGTACATATATTTTTATTACTGTTTATGATGAAACAGAAATATGTATAAAGCACATTTGTATACTAAGTATGATGGTTATCTCCAGGAAAGGCATTTGTGTGACTGAGTTGCAAACTGAACTAGACAGTTTTCTTCATGGAATACTATTTTTACTTGAAAGACTGAACAACAAGCTATGTTATTCAAGCTTAGATAGCTGACAGGCATTTTCTCAAAAGTAAGCCTGTCACTAATAAAGAAAATTAACAGTATTTGTTGCTAGTGATAGAATTCAAGCTTTCAAGTGAAATTCCTATTTTGGAAAATTTACATCCAGAATGAGCTTGACAGCTTCCCAACATTTAACATTTTTTTCAACGAGACCAATAGTGATATTAACGAACATGATATTTAAATATTATATAATGAAATGTGTAAGCATCTGTCCAGGTAGAAAAGGTCCTAGAGACCTTAGGTCTATCCTTCTGGTACTTTATTCGTAAAAATCCCTCACTACTTTTATTTCCAGAATACCACAAATAATTCTTTCTTTCTTTCTCTTTCTTTCTTTCTTTTGTTCATTCGTTCTTTCTTTCTTTTGTTCATTCGTTCTTTCTTTCTTTCTTTTGGGTGGTTTCTGTTTTCTTTTTTTCCTTTTTTATGTCATTTTTTACTTCAATAGGTTTTGGGGAATGGGTAGTATTTGGTTACATGAATACGTTCTTTAGTGGTGATTTCTAAGATTCTGGTGCAACCATCATCCAAGCCGTGTACACTGTACCCAATGTGTAGTCTTTTATCTCTTTTTCAATATTTCTACTTAATTATTAGCTAACTTGATTATAACAAAATTCTCACTCCACCAAAAGAAACAAACTCATTTTACATCCTCAATTCTTTTCTTTGTCAAATGACACTGAGTACACCAAATTCTTATCATATGTATATGTGTGTATATGTATAGTAAACAACTAAGAAAAAAATCATTATAACATTTAGAAGGAAAAATGGAGACAGAGGAGAATGGTAGTTAAATATGAGTCATTTCTGTTTTCCTATAAACTCCATATTATGATTGAATGAATGTTAATTTACAAATTCCAAGATTTAAATAAGTGTTTAGAAAAAAATAATCTCAGGCCGGGCTCACACCTGTAATCCAAACACTTTCGGAGGCCGAGGCAGGTGGATCATCTGAGGTCAGGAGTTCAAGACCAGCCTGGCCAATATGGCGAAATCCCGTCTCTATTAAAAATACAAAAATTAGTTGGGTGTGGTGGCAGGTGCCTGTAGTCCCAGCTACTTGGGAGGCTGAGGCAGGAGAATTGCTTGAACCCAGGAGGCGGAGGTTGCAGTGAGCCGAGATCACACCATTGTACTCCAGCCTGGGTGACAGAGCAAGACTCCACCTCAAAAAAACCCCCAAAAAACAAAAACAAACCAAAAAAATAAAAATAAAAAATAATCTCAGCCGGGCATGGTGGCTCACGCCTGCAATTCCCGCCACTTTGGGAGGCCACGGCGGGTGGATCACCTGAGGTCAGGAGTTCAAGACCAGCCTGGCCAACATGGTGAAACCTCATCTCTACTAAAAATACAAAAATTAGCTGGGCATGGTGGCAGGTGCTGGTAATCCCAGCTACTCAGGAGGCTGAGGCAGGAGAATCACTTGAACCCGGGAGGTGGAGGTTGCAGTGAAGTGAGACTGTGCCATTGCACTCCAGCCTTGGCGACAAGAGCAAAACTCCGTCTCAAATAAAAAAAAGAAAAGAAAAAGAAAAAAATAATCTCACTAGCACAGAACCCAAATTTCTACCTATCTTAGTAAACAATCAAAAGCACATTTCACTTTATGCCTCAATTGACTACTGGTCAACTATAACTTCTATAGCAACTCTCACGTTGATACTCCCTAGAAAATTTAAGTTATATTTAAGGTTAATTTCAGTTTAATTTAATTGTTTAATAATAAATTTGATTGATAAGATTATATTAAAATTTAGGTTATGTTTACTTAAGTGAAGCAAGGAGGTCACTCAGAATGAAAACTTAGGTTTCCAGTACAAACCTACGGAGTTGTCATGTATTATTCTAGTTTATCATATGGTCATGTTCTTTAGAATTTGTCACCAGACTACTATAATAAAACTCAGTTTACCAAATTCTTCAAGATTTAACCTGGTAATGAAGCTACAAACTTTAGGAATAAGTGGCTGGGCACGGTGGCTCACGCCTGTAATCCCAGCACTTTGGGAGGCCAAGGTGGGCAGATCATGAGGTCAGGAGCTCGAGATCATCCTGGCCAAGATGGTGAAACCCTGTCTCTACTAAAAATACAAAAAATGAGCTGGGTGTGGTGGCACGTGCCTGTAGTCCCAGCTACTCGGGAAGCTGAGGCAGGAGAATGGCTTGAACTCGGGAGGCGGAGATTGCAGCGAGCCCAGATCACCCCACTGCACTCCAGCCTGGGGACACAGCGAGACTCTGTCTCAAAAAAAAAAAAAAAAAAAAAAAAAAAAAAAAAATTTATGAAGAAGTACAGACTGCCCTCTTGTGTTCAAACTAAGGATGGATCTAATTGATGATGGATCTAATTGATGAACTAGGCATAATCCTAAAAACTACTCTTCAGGGGGGAAAGAAAGCCAAGGTCCTAAAGAAATTATCTAAGGTCGTTAAAAGCAGAAAAATTCTGATATTACAAAGTAATAAAGGGCAGTCTTCTCAAAGCAAGACAAAAGCTCTTAATCTGAGCCAGATGATTGCTAGTACTAGTAGCCCAAAAAGCCTAACCTCAGTTAGTATTATATAGTAGTATTTTTACTATACTTCCTCAAGCTGCACTGGCATAAAAAGGGATTCAGACTTCTTTCCGTGTGATGAAGGATCAGAAAATGCTTGAATCGGATGCTTCCTCCAGTACGCTGAAATTAAACAAGTAAAACTGCCTCTGATTTCTTTTTTTTCTTTTTTGCTAATGTGTATTTTAAAATGAAAAGTACTTCCTAACTAGTCTTCCTAGTCAATGTTATGGTTTCAAAAAATCTGATATCCTAAGACATATCTCTCACTTTGAAATGAGCATCAGTTAAAAATAGGGCCAGGAGTGGTGGAGTATGCCTGTAGTCCTAGCTACGTGGGAAATATGCATAATTAATGCTGAATGCAACAGCCTCTTTACTCAGTCTTCTTCACCCCTTACCATCCAAACACAGTGGGAGGCTAAAGCAGGAAGACTGCTTGAGCCCAGGAGTTCAAGGATGTAGCATGCTATGATTGCTTCTGTGAATAGCCACTGAACTCCAGCCTGGGCAACACAGTGATATCCAGTCTTGGAAAAAAAAAAAAAAAAGAAAGAAAGAAAAGGGGTTCCACACACAGTAAATGACTTTATCGCCAAAAAGGCAGACATTAAACCTTTGTATATCTAGACTTACATTCCTTTACTCATGTTGCTAGATGAAATATACACAGGCTAAACTTAATTAGAAATATTAGGCTGGGTGCAGTGGCTCACGCCTGTAATTCTAACACTCTGGGAGGCCAAGGCAGGTGGATCCCTTGAGCCTATGAATTCCAGAGCCGCCTGCTCAACAAGGCAAAGCCCTATCTCTACCAAAAAAAAAAAAAAAAATCAGTCGGGCATAGGGGTGCACACCTATAGTCCCAGCTACTCAGGAGGCTGAGTTGAAAGGATTGCCTGAGCCCGGGAGGTCAAGGCTGCAGTGAGCTGTGATGGTGCCACTGCACTCCAGCCTGGGCGACAGAGTGAGACACTATCTCAAAAAAAATAAATTAAAAAAAAATATATATATATATACACACACACACATATATAGACACACACACGTACATATATATTACACATGCCTGCTATTATGATTACTTCCACGTTATCTTTCTCTTTTCTTTTCTTTTAAGACAGAGTCTCCCTGTGTTGCCGAGGCTGGAGTGCAGTGGCATGATCCCGGCTTACTGCAACCTCCGCCTTCCAGGCCTCAAGTGTTTCTCCTGCCTCAACCTCCTGAGTAGCTGAGATTACAGGCACCCACTACCATGCCCAGCTAATTTTTGTATTTTTAGTAGATGGGGTTTCACCATGTCAGCCAGGCTGGTCTCAAACTCCTGACCTCAAGTGATCTGCCCATCTCAGCCTCCCAAAGTGCTGGGATTACAGGCATGAGCCACTGCGCCCAGTCACTTTCATGTTATCTTCCATTGGCCAAGTACTAATGAAGCACTACAAAGCACACATTGTTTCTGAAATATGAGCAGAACTACATTTCCAACCAAAGAGAAGTATACATAAGTTACTGAGTGATTAAGACAGAGTTTATTTACTTATTTTTCTTTTTTTGAGACAGAGTCTTGCTCTGTTGCCCAGGATGGAGCGCAGTGGCGCGATCTCAGCTCACTGCAACCTCTGCTTCCTGGGTTCAAGCGTTTCTCATGCTTCAGCCTCCAGAGTAGCTGGGATTACAGGTGTGTGCCACCATGCCCAGCTAAATTTTTGTATTTTTAGTAGAGACGGGGTTTTGTCATGTTGGCCAGGCTGGTCTCGAACTCCTAGCCTCAAGTGATCTGCCTGCCTCAGCTTCCCAAAGTGCTAGGATTATAGGCGTGAGCCACCACTCCTGGCTAAGATAGAGAAATTTAAATTTCTCATTTTATCTTGTCAAATGGTTCTTGATTTTTTTAATTAAAAATGTTATTTGTGTAATATATAATGGGTTTATCAATGTTGTTTTTAAACAAATTAATATTTTTAAAGTTTCTCAGGTTTAATTTGTAATACAGCAAACATCAATAGATATGTCACATAAACAAAAGGTAATTGGCACTCTATCATTAAATATATAACTGAATTCTTATAGAAGCAAAAAGTTTGAGACCCATTATTCTAGAGAGTAGCATACTGAATATGAAAAAAAACCAATTTACTCTCAAAGCTTTAATGGAGGTGAGGATAAAACAGAAATGTCATTTACTAAGAACAATGTAGGTGATACTCACCAAATGGATCTTCCATGCCACTATTAACCAGTTTAGGGAGGTGAGATACTGTTTCTAAAAAGAGAAAAAGGTAAATGATACACTTAATACATATAGTCCATCACCTTTTATGCTTTTAAAAAAATAATCCTAATTCAGTAACATTGACTATAGTTTAAAAGTGGAACATTATAGAAATGTACAACTTATTAAATGATAGTTTTTTTTTTTTTTTTGAGACAGGATCTCCTTATGTTGCCCAGACTAGATTTTAATTCTTGGGCTCAAGTGAGCCTCCCATGTCAGCCTCTTGAGGATTACAACAGCCTGAGACTGTGCCAGGCTGGGAGTTATTTTAGGGGAATTGAGATACAGATGTACAATACTAGATTATCATAAAACATTTAAGGCTAATTTTTGTCTTAAAATATATTATTGTCAGTTTCCTCAAATAAGCTCCCTTTCCAATCCTCATTTTGAATTTACTAGAGTATAGGGAAAAAGGCAAGTTTTTTTGTAAGAAAAATACAACACCTGAGAAAGGGCATGAGGAACATCTTTGAAGAAGGGAATTGGTTTTGCCTAAGGAAAATGGAAGTTATTTTAGACACAGGAGGATGGTTCAGTAAGCTGTAAGTTTATCCACTCAAGTATGAAAATAAAACAAAAAACGTTTCAAAAGAAAGTTGACTAAGTATAATATACAACCTCCTGCACCCCCAATCAAGGCAAGTGTCAAATCTGCCCTACCCAGCTTCCTACTCCTCCTGTGGTTTTTATCCTAAGGTCATTCCCTAACAGTCTAAATACTAAACTCCAATTCAGAGCCTGCTTTTTATAAGTCACAACCTACTGACAGGAATGACTGGAGAAACTTGGGAGTAAGATGCAGTTGTAGGGCCGGGCGCAGTGGCTCATGGGCTACTCGTACTAGCAATCATCTGGCTCAGATTAAGAGCTTTTGAGAAGACTGCTGTTTATTACCTTGTAAGATCAGAATTTTTCTGCTTTTAACAACCTTAGATGATTTCTTTAGGACCTTGGCTTTTTTTTTCCCCCTCAAGAGTAGTTTTTACCTAGTTCATCAATTAGATCCATCCTTAGTTTGAACAGTCTGTTCAAAAAGGGCAGTCTGTACTTATTCATAAATTTTGTAGCTTCATTACCAAGTTAAATCTTGAAGAATTTGGTAAATTGAGTTTTATTATAGTAGCCTGGTGACAAATTCTAAAGAACATGACCATATGATAAACTAGAATAATACATGACAACTCCATAGGTTTGTACTGGAAATGTAAAGTTTTCATTCTGAGTGACCTCCTTGCTTCACTTAAGTAAACATAACCTAAATTTTAATACAATCTTATCAGTCAAATTTATTATTAAACAATTAAATTAAACTCAAATTAACCTTAAATATAACTTAAATTTACTAGAGAGTATCAAAGTGAGAGCTGCTATAGAAGTTATGGTTGGCCAGCAGTCAATTGAGGCATAAAGTGAAATATGCTTTTGATTGTTTACTAAGATAGATAGAAATCTGGGTTCTGTGCTAGTGAGATTATTTTTTTCTTTTCCTATTCCTTTTTTTTTTAAGATGGAGTTTCGCTCTGTTGTCCAGGCTGGAGTGCAATGGTGCAATCTCAGCACACTGCAACCTCTGCCTCCTGGGTTCAAGTGATTCTCCTGCCTCAGCCTCCTGAGTAGCTGGGATTACAGGCACCTGCCACCATGCCCAGCTAATTTTTGTATTTTTAGTAGAGACAGAGTTTCACCATGTTGGCCAGGCTGGTCTCGAACTCCTAACTGGTGGTCATTCCCTGGTCACTGAATGTGAAATTGAAATACACATACTTGGGGCCAGGCGTGGTGGTTCACACCTGTAATCCCAGCACTTTGGGAGGTCGAGATGGGTGGATCACCTGAGGTCAGGAGTTTGAGACCAGCCTGGACAACATGGTGAAACCCTGTCTCTACCAAAAATACCAAAATTAGCTGGGCATGGTGGCCTGTACCTGTAGTCCCAGCTACTCAGGAGGCTGAGGCATGAGAATTGCTTGAACCTGGGAGTCGGAGGTTGCAGTGAGCTGAGAACATGCCACTGAACTCTAGCCTGGGCAACAGAGTAAGATTCGGTCTCAAAAAAGAAAAAGAAAAAAATTTAAAGTTTTGTGCTTCAAAGGACACCATCAAAAAAGTGATAAGGCAACCCACAGAATGGGAGAAAATTTTTGCAAATCATCTATCTGATAAGGAACCTATATCTAGAATACATAAAGAACAATAACTCAATAACAAAAAGACAACCCAATTTAAAAATGGGCAAAGGATGTATATAAACATTTCCTAAGAGAAGATATACAGTCAATAGGCACATGAAAAGATCTTCAACATCTCATTTTTAGCCCTACAGGAAATGCAAATCAATGTCACAATGAGATAACACTTTACACCCATTATGATGGCTATAAT
Source organism: Homo sapiens (assembly GCF_000001405.40). Lineage (NCBI taxonomy): Eukaryota > Metazoa > Chordata > Mammalia > Primates > Hominidae > Homo > Homo sapiens. Next base: position 28,405,012 of record NC_000001.11, on the reverse strand, counting down.
AAATAAAAGAGGTAATAACAAGTGTTGGGAGCTAAACCGAGAACACATGGATACTAGGAGGGGAACAACAGACACTGGGGCCTGCTTGAGGGTGAAGGATGAGAGGATCAGAAAAAATACCTATCAGGTGTTATGGTTATTACCGGGGTGACTAAATTATCTGTACACCAAACCCCCGTAACACACAGTTTACCTATATAACAAACCTGCAAGTGTACGTGTAACCTGAACGTAAAATAAAAGTTAAATAAATACATAACAAGTATTAGGAAAGATGCAGAGAAACTGGGGCCTCAATAAACTGCTGGTGAGAATGTAAAATGATGTAGCCGATTTGGAAGAGTAACAGTTCCCCAAACAGTTAAACATAGAGTTTACCATATGACCCACTCCTAGGTATATATCCAAGAGAAATAAAAACATATGTCAAGGCCAGGTGCGGTGGCTCACGCCTGTAATCCCAGCACTTTGGGAGGCTGAGGCGGGCAGATCACCTGAGGTCAGGAGTTCGAGACCAGCCTGGTCAATATGGTGAAACCCTGTCTCTACTAAAAATACAAAAATTAGCTGGGCGTGGTGGCAGGTGCCTGTAGTCCCAGGTACTCAGGAGGCTGAGGCAGGAGAATCGCTTGAACCCAGGAGGCGGAGGTTGCAGTGAGCTGAGATCGCGCCACTGCACTCCAGTCTGGGTTACAGAGCAAAACTCCGTCTCAAAAAAAAAAAAAAAAAAAAAAAAGGATGTTCATACAAAATCTTGTACACAGGCCAGGTGCAGTGGCTCATGCCTGTAATCCCAGCACTTTGGGAGGACAAGGCAGGCAGATCACTTGAGGTCAGAAGTTTGAGACAAGCCTAGCCAACATGGTGAAACCCCGTCTCTACAAAAAATACAAAAATTACTTGAGCATGGTGGCACGTGCCTATAGTCCCAGCTAACTACAAAAACAAACGTCCCCCAAAACAAACAAACGAAAAACTTGTATACAAATGTTCATAGCAGCATTATTCATAATAGCTAAAAAGTGAAAACCACCCAGTGTCTTTCCACTGATCACTGGATAAACAAAATTAATACAACGGGACATTCAGCATAAAAAGAAATTAAGTATTGATACGTGTTGTAACATGGATAAACGTTTAAAACACACTAAATGAAAGGCTAATCACAAAGGACCATGCAGCGTATTATTCCACTTACATGAAATGTCCATAATAGGTAAGTCTATAGAGACAGAAAGTTTGCGGTGGCCTATGTTGGGGGTGGGTGGGGAGGAGATTACAGAGTGACAGCTAAGGGGAACAGAGTTTTTTGGGGGGTAATTAAAATGTTCTAAAATTGGTTAGAGTGATGGTTACACAACTTGCAAATATATTAAAAGCCATTGAGTTGTATACTATAAACTGTAATTATAAATTTTACAATAATGAATTATATCTCAAAAATACTGTTTTTTTGTTTTTTAAGTAGTAGATCTGAGCAACACAAGGGTATACTGTGGTAGCATGCTGTTGCACTGGCTGGATCCTCCATTAAGGAATGACAGGACTGCTGTTGGGAGACAGCCTACAACTGTCAATCCTTTCAGGGAGTGCCTCAGATATGAAGAGTTGACTCAAGGAAGGTCACAACCTTCTCAGGGGTCCACATCCAATCAAGACCAGGGTGTAAGCCCAGCCGTTACAGCACATATAAGACAACTCTAAAAGGTCATTTTAGCTCCAGAGCCCCCGTGGGGTCCACTAAGGCTCCTGTTGGATCTCTATTGCCACTTGACTTCTCCCTATGGCCAAATACTGCTGCTCCTGTCCCCTCCCTTCTACGGGTGTTGATCCCAAGGGCACTTCCTAATAAGCATTCTTCAGGCTATACTATCAGAGTCTGCCTCAAAGATAACCCAACCTAGGACAGTACTCCTTTAAGAATAGGACTTTACTGACAGTTTGCCAGCCATCTGATACCTTCCAATTCTAATATTAAGCTATCGAAATCACAGATCGCAATTTTCAATACCACATGGTCCTTTCACATGTTCCAAGGGACTCTTATAGACCTTTAATTTCTCTATTAGATTATACTGAACTCTTCCAAAGCCACAGAAATCATTTACTTCTTTTGATTGATGTTGTTATAATATCAATCCTAGGGGATGATCCTGGTTTGTGATGGAAAGTTTCCATTAACAAAATACCCCTGTTCTTACAGAATCACAAACAGAAGCATGTCTTGCTAGAAAAATCCTGTGTAGTTTTTGCAGAGGAGAAGCCTACTTTGTGTTTCCACTAACTGGACACCTGTGCAAGACAGAAATATTCCTATGGCCTCTGTAACCACCCATAAACAGATGATGCTCAAACCTATATGGTGAGCCACAGCACCTAGTAAGCACCAAATTAGGTGCCCGGCCTAAATTTTTAAAAATTTTTGTAGAGACGGGGTCTCACTATGTTATCTAGGCTGGTCTCAAACTCCTTACCTCAAGTGATCCTCCCATCTTGGCCTCCCAAAGTGTTGGGATTACAGACATAGGCCAACATGCCTAGCCTAGTTCTACCATTTTTAATACCCCCTATATACACTGATGATACAAACAAATTCTTATTTCCAGGCTGAACATCTCCCCTGAACTTCAACAGACTGATATATCTACAGCATACTCAATACTCTATTTGGAAATCTAGGAAGTTTCATAAACTTACTATGTTTTAAAGAACAAACTCTTGATTTCCCACTCCCAATTTTTTCCCCCCCAGGTATTCCCTATTCATGAGTAGGGCAACAGATGTAAAGCACTTAGAAAAAGAGCTGGCATCTGTGTTAGCTGCTATTTTGTATCATTTCAGTAAAATGGCAGCTTAAGTTTTCTAGTTGTTCAACAAGGTGTCATCCTTGACTCTTCTCTTTCTCTCACAGCTACAATTAAATCATTACCAAGTCTTATTGCCTCCACCTCCAAAAGATATCCATAATTTAACCACTTCTCACTCTAGTCTAAGCTATCACCATCTCTTGCTAGACTAGTACAATCAACCCCTAATTAACCTCCCTTCTTCTCAGACTCTTATATTCTGTTATCCTCAGACTGGCCTGGGTGATCCTTTCAAAAAGTAAAGCAGAGCTGGATGCAGTGGCTGATGGCTATAATCGCAGTACTTTCAGATACTGAAGTGGTAGGATCACTTGAGGCCAGGAATTCAAGGCCAGCTTGGGCAACATAGTAAAATCCCTGTCTCTAAAAAAATTTAAAAATTAGATGAGCGTGGTGGTGCGTGCCTGTAGTCCTAGCTACTCTGAGGCAGGAAGACAGCTTGAGCCCAGAAATTTGAGGTTACAGTGAGCTATGACTGCACCACGGCACTCCAGCATGGGCAACAGAGCCAGACCCTGCCTCTATTAACAACAACAAAAAAAAGGGCATGGTGGCTCATGCCTGTACTCCTAGCATTTTGGGAGGCCAAGGCGGGCAGATCGCCTGAGGTCAGGAGTTCAAAACCAGCCTGGCCAACATGGTGAAACCTCGTCTCTACTAAAAATATAAAAATTAGCCGGGCATGGTGGCGGGCGCCTGTAATCCCAGCTACGTGGGAGGCTGAGGCAGGAAAATGGCTTGAACTCGGGAGGTGGAGGTTGCAGTGAGCCAAGATCGTGCCACTGCACTCCAGCCTGGGTGACAGAGCGAGACTCCATCCCCCCCAAAAAAAAAAAAAAAAAAAAGTAAAGCAGGTCATATATCCCTGTTGTAGCCAAGTATCTCAGCCTCAAAATGCGTTTTAAAACTTTTTTTTCCTTTCTTGCTTTCAGCCTTGAAACATACTTTGAAACTCTTTGTTTCCCTTTCCTACCAGGTACTTCCATGAACAATGCTCACTTATCTAATTATGTGCTTGCTTACAAATTCCAGGGGCCAATTTTGAAACAAATCAGGCAGAGAGAGCCAGTTGCAGAATCCTCCCACCTAAGGGGAGTTCTGAACAGTTGGCTCACCACTATTAGGCAGAAATCAGGATGAAAAAACCAGAACTCCAGACAGGTGATTACTCAAGACAGCCATGGGAACAAGATTTGAAGGCCTATCCCCTCCTGCACCACTATCACATATTTCCCATATCTTTGCCTTCTTAAAACCCTTCACTCAGGCCGGGCGTGGTGGCTCATGCCTGTAATCCCAGCACTGTGGGAGGCCGAGGCAGGCAGATCACCTGAGGTCAGGAGTTCGAGACCAGCCTGGCCAACATAGGGAAACCCCGTCTCTACTAAAACTACAAAAATTAGCAGGGCGTGGTGGCGCGCGCCTGTAGTCCTGGCTACTCTGGAGGTTGAGGCAGGAGAATCGCTTCAATCTGGGAGGCAGAGGTTGCACTAAGCTGAGATTGCGCCACTGCACTCCAGCCTGGGTGACAGAGTGAGACTCCATCTCAAAAAAAATCCTTCACTCAGCCCAAAAAACTGGAATGGTCTTTTGAAGGCATGAGCCTGGCCATTCCCCAGCTCCTAGCATTTGATTAATAAAACTGCTTTCCTTAAACCGCACCTGGCTTCTCTTTTTTTTGGCCTCTGAGTGGCAAGCAGCCAGACTTAAGCCGGCTACATTATTACATCTGAAATTAACTCCAGATTTCTCTTTTTTTTTTTTTTTTTAATTGAGATGGAGTCTTGCTCTGTCACCCAGGCTGGAGTGCAGTGGCACGATCTTGGCTCACTGCAACCTCCGACTCCCAGGTTCAAGCGATTCTCCTGCCTCAACCTCCCAAGTAGCTGGGATTACAGGCGTGCGCCAAGACGCCCGGCTAATTTTTGTATTTTTAGAAGAGATGGGGTTTCACCATGTTGGCCAGGCTGGTCTTGAACTCCTGACCTCAAGTGATCTGCCCACCTTGGCCTCCCAAAGTGCTGGGATTACAGGCATGAGCCATTGTGCTTGACAACTGCAAATTTCTTACCACGGCCTATAAGATCCTACATGTCCTGGTCCCTGTCTGCTCCACTGACCACATTTCCTACTTCTCTTGCTCACTCTGTTTTACCCATACTGAGCTTACTATTGTTTCTGTAACATAACAAGCACATTCTTACCCTAGGGTTTGCAGTTGTTATTCAGTCAGCCTGGAATGCTCTTTTCCCAGAAACTGCGTGATTTGCTCCATTATTTCAGGTCACTCAAGTGTGACTCCCTCAGAGAGGCCTTTCCTTGGCACCCCCTTTTCAAAACATTCTATCCATTTACCCTGTTTTATTTTTATTTTAATGTATCACTATCTGATGGTATACTATCTGTAATTTATCTATAGATATGCTTACCTAAGTTCTTATTGTGTCTCTCCCAATCTAGAAAGTATCATTAGATACTTTATCTGTTCTGTTCACTACTATATCCCTGCATTTAGAAGGTGCATACACTAGGTACTAAGAAAATACTTACTGAATAAATAAATGAACACTAGCACCAAACAGTACTACATAGTCCGAGACCAACAAGAAATTAATAGAAATGGAATTAGGTAAGTATCCATGACGTATGTGAGCCATGAGAAAACCAAATAACTTCAAAGGAACAAGTTTCCTGGCAATGTGAATACCGAAAAGTGGTAAAAGAAATAAATCATGCCATATCACTTAACAGTAGAGACATACTAAACTCAAAAAATATTTATACACAGCAGAAATTTCATCAACACAAAATTATTCATCATATATATATTTTTTGAGACAGAGTCTTGCTCTGTCGCCCAGGCTGGAGTGCAGTGGCATGACCTTGGCTTACTATAACCCCCGCCTCCTGGATTCAAGCGATTCTCCTGCCTCAGCCTCCCCAGTAGCTGAGATTACCGGCATGTGCCACCACACCCAGCTAATTTTTGTATTTTTAGTAGAGATGGGGTTCCACCATGTTGGCCAGGCTGGTCTTGAACTCCTGACCTCTGGTGATCCACCCGCCTCGGCCTCCCAAAGTGCAGAGATTACAGATGTGAGCCACCGCACCCAGCCTTTCCTACCTCTTTACACAGCTAATTCCTTTAAATCTCAAGCTTGGCTAACGTGTCTTCCGGAATACCTTCTGTATTAGGGTTCTTCTCAGAAACAGAACCAGTAGGATGGATACAAAACATACATATTTGAGATCTGATAAAACTATTGCCTCAAAAGTGCTTCTTTTTGAATATCAGTATTTAATTAATTAAATTTTTTTTTCTTTTTTGAGACAGAGTCTTGCTCTGTCACCCAGGCTGGAGTGCAGTAGCGCGATCTTGGCTCACTGCAACCTCCAGCTCCCAGGTTCAAGCAATTCTCCTGCCTCAGCCTCCCAAGTAGCTGGGATTATAGGCATGTGCCCCCACGCCCGGCTAATTTTTGTGTTTTTGGTAGAGACAGGGTTTCACCATGTTCACCAGGCTGGTCTCGAACTCTTGACCTCAAGCGATCCGCCTGCCTTAGCCTCCCAAAGTGCTGGGATTACAGGCATGAGCCACCGTGCTCGGCCTATTTTATTTTTTGAGACAGGGTCTGTCTACTCTGTTGCCCAGGCTGGAGTGCGGTGGCATGATCTCGGCTCACTGCAACCCTCCGCCTGTGGGGTTCAAGTGATTCTCCTGCCTCAGCCTCCTGAGTAGCTGGGACTACAGACACATGCCACTATGCCTGGCTAATTTTTTGTATTTTTAGTAGAGACGGGGTTTCACCATGCTGGCCAGGCTGGTCTCAAACTCCTGACCTCATGATCTGCCCACCTTGGCCTCCCAAAGTTCCAGGATTACAGGCGTGAGCCACCCCGGCCAGCCACCCAACAGATATTTAATGCTGCTGTTGCTAATGGCAGCCACAGCCTTGGTGGTGTTAACATAGGTATATGAGAATTCTAAAATATATTATCCTCTTCCCACCTTTAACAGAACTCTTCGAATGTATCAATTCCTCAACTTGGTAACTGTGGCTAGGTCAGTTCAGTGAAAGAAACACAGAAGCATGTACTGCAGGCTAGAAACTTGATATTAAAAGCAAAAATTAGGCCAGCGGCGGTGGCTCATGCCTGTAATCCCAGCACTTTGGGAGGCCGAGGCGGGCGGATCATGAGGTCAGGAGATCAAGACCATCCTGGCCCAAATGGTGAAAACCCGTTTCTACTAAAAATACAAAAACAACAACAACAACAAAAAATTAGCAGGGCATGGTGGCACGCACCTGTAGTCCCAGCTACTCGGGAGGCTGAGGCAGAGGAATCGCTTGAACCCAGGAGGTGGAGGTTGCAGTGAGCCGAGACTGCGCCACTGCACGCCAGCCTGGCGACAGAGAAAGACTCAAAAAAAAAAAAAAAAGCAAAAATTATTTTTTTCTCAATTACCCTAATAATAGCTTCATTCCTTGTTTCATTTTGAATGTCCAAGATAGCCTCAGATTGTACATACAAATATAAATTAATCTACTCAGATGGAAACCGTCAAGAATGAAATTATTTTCTGCCTTTTCTATTCCTTTCTGGGTAATTGCTGTAACGCTAGACCCGTGTTATTCAAAATAACCTTCTCCCTCCTGAGAAAGCTTAACAAGCCAGGCAAAAATCAAAAGAACAAAAGTTTACTGGTTAAGAGAACTTGCATTATCTTTCATTGGACAAATTAGCACAAGTTAGTTTCAAATATCAATCATATACAAACTGGTTAATGATTTTGGTTACAAAAGATAATATTGCAGAATAATTTAACCTTCTTGTCTTTGGGGATTCAAGTGGGATTAATAATACTCATCTTTAATGAGAATCTCATGAAATAGCATTTATTATAAAATAAAACAGGAAGAAATGGGCTGTGCCTGGCATATAGTTGGCAGTCTTAAAGCTCACCTCACTCCTCCATTTCAGTTCTAAAACAAAAAAAGCAGTTTTTAATTCTATCATGATTCAAAGCCTGATCAAAATACACAATGTCTAAAAACACCATCAAGATAATGAAACCTAAATTTACATTGGCAGACTGAACAACTAAAGTGTTATTTCCACATTTTCTTGGACTTGATTTAAAAGCATATCACGGCCAGGCACGGTGGCTCACACCTGCAATCCCAGCACTTTAGGAGGCCGAGGCGGGTAGATCACCCGATGTCAGGAATTTGAGACCAGCCTGGCCAACACGGTGAAACCCCGTCTCTACTAAAAATACAAAAAAAAAAAAAAAAAAAGAAAGAAAGAAAGAAAGAAATTAGCCGGGCGTGGTGGTGTAAGCCTGTAATCTCAGCTACTCAGGAGGCTGAGGCAGGAGAATCGCTTGAACCCAGGAGGCAGAGGTTGCAGTGAGCCGAGATTGCGCCATTGCACTCCAGCCTGGGAGACAAGAACAAAACACCGTCTCAAAAAAAAAAAAAGCACATCACTAGAGAAAATTAAGAAAGTAATAAGGTATCTATTCTTCTAGAGTGACCTTCAGATGCTACTACATTAATATAAGGAGTAAATACTGTAATCTACACGCATCTTTATTATCTTCTTTTTTTTTTGAGACAGAGTTTCGCTTTGTCACTCAGGCTGGAGTGCAATGGTGCGATCTCAGCTCACTGCAACCTCCGCCTCCCAGGTTCAAGTGATTCTTCCGACTCAGCCTCCCGAGTAGCTGGGATTAAAGGTGCATACCACCACGCCCAGCTAATTTTTGTATTTTTGTAGAGACGAGATTTCACCATGTTGGCCAGGCTGGTCTTGAACTCCTGACCTCAAATGATCCGCCTGCCTCGACCTCCCAAAGTGCTCGGATTACAGGCATGAGCCACCGTGCCTGGCTACATGCATCTTTATTATCTGTCACCAATTTACCCTTTTCCCTGGAAATCTGGAAGTGTAGAAAACCTCTACATTTCCCTAAAATAACTTTCTTTGCTATTTCTAAACTATTTTTGTTACACTTAGCAGAGAAATTTAGTAGCTACAAATAAAAGCAGTTAATAAAGAACTTAATTTGTTTTTGCCTATCACAAAGAAAATGAAACATTATATAGAGACTTACAATCATGTTCTTAGTAAGGACTGAGTTTTACAAATGGAAAAGCCTGTTCAAAAAAAAAAAAGTTGGCCGGGCGTGGTGGCTCACGCCTGTAATCCCAGCACTTTGGGAGGCCGACGAGGCGGGCGGATCACGAGGTCAGGAGATCGAGACCATCCTGGCTAACACGGTGAAACCCCGTCTCTACTAAAAAAAAAAAAAAAAAAAAAAAATTAGCCAGGCGTGTAATTGTAACAGTAGCTGGCAGGTGCCTGTAGTCCCAGCTACTCGGGAGGTTGAGGCAGAATAGCATGAACCTGGAAGGTGGAGCTTGCAGTGAGCCAAGATGGTGCCATTGCACTCCAGCCTGGGCGACAGAGTGAGACTCTGACTCAAAAAAAAAAAAAAAAAAAGTTATGCTTAAGAAAAGTTTGTTTTTAAGCACAAATATTCAATATGTAACATATTACTGAGGAGTAAAGACATAAAAATGAAACTTTCTTCTTTGAAGAAAAACTGACCTCCTCCTCTTTGTTAAACATAGTACTTCTGTTACCACTAAGAAGCATGAATCAGCTCTTTAAAACAGAGGTGTGGCTTATTGATAAGCAAAAGCATTGCGTGCTAATCCAAATTATCCCAGAAAATAACACTAGTGAGTTATAAAGGACATTAATTTCAGAAAACATGCTTACAGAGCACAGGAAGGGCAATTCATCATCATCACTGATCATGACAAAATCAACACCCACAAAAATGAAGCCGTATATATTTCTGGCATCGTTATGTATCACATTTTGAGGAAACCTCAAAGACAAAACATACTTTTAAAAGATGGCCAGCCGGGCCTGGTGGCTCATGGCTGTATCCCAGCACTTTAGGAGGCCAAGGCAGGCAGATCACCTGAGGTCTGGAGTTTGAGACCAGCCTGGCCAACATGGCGAAACCCCATCTCTACTAAAAGTACAAAAATTAGCCAGGGTGGTGGTGGGCGCCTGTAATCCCAGCTACTCAGGAGACTGAGGCAGGAGAATCGCTTGAACCCGGAAGGCAGAGATTGCAGTGAGCTGAGACCGTGCCACTGTACTCCAGCCTGGTCAACAAGAACAAGACTTCATCTCAGAAAAAAAAAAAAAAAGAAAAAAAGGATGGCCAGGTCCAGGCATGGTGGCTCACCCCAGTAATCCCAGCAATTTGGGAGGCTGAGGCAGGTGGAACACCTGAGGTCGGCAGTTTGAGACCAGCCTGACCAACATGGAGAAACCCCATCTCCACTAAAAATACAAAATTAGCCAGGCGTGGTGGCACATGCCTGTAATCCCAGCTACTCGGGAGGCTGAGCCAGGAGAATCACTTGAACCTGGGAGCCAGAGGTTGTGGTGAGCCGAGATCGTGCCACTGCACTCCAGCCTGGGCAACAAGAGCAAAACTCCATCTCCAAAAAAAAAAAAAAGAAAAGATGGCCAGGAGAGGTGGCTCACACCTGTAATCCTAGTGCTTCTGTAGGTCAAAGCAAGAAGATCACTTGAGGCCAGGAGCTTGAGACCAGCCCAGGCAACATAGCAAGATCCCATCTCCATAAAAACAATTTTTTAAAAATTAGCTTGGTGTGGTAGGACACATCTGTTGTCCCAGCTATTCAGGATGATAAGTCAGGAGGATTTCTTTTCTTTTTTTTCTTTTTTTCTTTCTTCCTTTCCTTTCCTTCCTTTCTCTCTCTGCTCTGTCTCTCTCCTCCCTCTTCCTTCCTCCCTCCCTCCTTTCCTTCCCTCCGTCCCTCTTTCTTTTTTTTTTTTTTTTACTTTCTAAAACTTTTTGTTAAAAACTAAGACACTAACAACACATTAGCCTAGGCCTCCACAGGGACAGGATCAAGAATATCACTGTCTTCCACTTCTACATCTTGACTTCTTGAAAGGTCTTCAGGGGTACTAACAGGCATGGAGCTGTCATCTCCTATGATAACAGTGCCTTCTTCTAGAATACTTCCTGAAGGACCTGCCAGAGGCTGTTTTACAGTTAACTTTTTTAAAAAATAAGGCTGGGTGAGGTGGCTCACACCTGTAATCACAGCACTTTGGGAGTCCAAGGTGAGCAAACTGCTTGAGCCCAGGAGTTCAAGACCAGTCTGGGCAACATGGCAAAACCTTGTCTCTACAGGGAAGAAGAAAAAAAAAAAGTTAGCCAGTATGGTGGCATGTGCCTGTAGTCCCAGCTACTTGGGAGGCTGAGGTGGGAAGATCACCTGAGCCTGAGAGGTCAAGGCTGCAGTGAGCCCTAATTGTGCCATTGCACTCCAGCCTGGGCAACAAAGTGAGACCCCATCTCAAAAATAAAAATAAAATAAAAATATGTGTGTGTGTGTGTGTGTAGAAGGAATACACACTAACAATTAAAAAGTATAGTAAATATATAAACCAGTAATATAGTCATTTATTATCAAGTATTATATACTATACATAATTGTATGTGCTATAGTTTTATATGACTGCCAGCACAGGTTTGTTTACTACCAGCATTACCACAAACGTGAGTAATGCATTGTGCTATAACATCATGATGGCTACATCACCAGGCAATAGGAATTTTTCAGCTCCATTTTAACCTTACAAGACCACCATCATTTGTGCAGTCCAGCATTGACAGAAGTGTTATTATGCAGTGCATTCATTTAATAGAATGAGCCTACTATAGTGGTTTGCATTTACCAATAAATTAGTGTTGCCATAGTGGAAGGATGAACCCTTCTCCCAAGTATATAAAGATGTTGTCCCAGAAGTCCTATCTCTTACCTAATTTTATTTAAGAAGGTAAAGTATGTAAAAGATTGTTAGTAAAATTCCCAATCTTATTGGTATCACCAATAGCTTAAAAGAGATTGTGCCATATTTTGTTTAACTGACAAAAATTATATATAGTTACGGTGTGTAAAATGACATTCAGAAATACAGTAGTCCTCTCTTATCCTTGAGGGATACATTCCAAAGCCCCCAGTGGATAACTGAAACAATGGACAGTACTGAATCCAATTGCACTCAATCAAAGTACGTTTTTGTTCATGTCTCCCACCCACAAATTTAGTGTCTTTTCCATCTTCACTAGGAACTTACTGTGCACTGTGATTGTAACTTCTGCAATGTGGAGTACAACAGCAAAACTAGCACAATTTTCTTTTTTCGTCTTCACAATTTCACAGATAGAAAATTCATTCTTTCAAATACAATATGCAGGGTTCATAAAAAACAAAAAAAAAATCATTTTTACTATAGATTTTAGCAATCTTGGCATAAGATTTTTTTTTCCTTAGTAAGTCTAGAACTTTCATCTTTTTGCTTAAAGGATACACTTAATAGCTTCTTGGCTGGGAGTGGTGGCTCACACCTGTAATCCCAGCACTTTGGGAGGCTGAGGTGGGTGGATCACTTGAGCCCAGGAGTTCGAGGTAACATGGCAAAACCTCATCTCTACAAAAAATACAAAAATTAGCCAGGCATGGTGATGCACATCTGTAATCCCAGCTACTCTGGAGGCTGAGGTGCAAGGATTGTTTGAGCTCAGGAGGTGGAGGTTGCAGTGAGCAATGATGGGGCCACTGAACTCCAGTCTGGGCAACAGAGCAAGAGTCTGTCTCAAAAAAAAAAAAAAGAAAAAGGAATTTATCCTTGGTATATCCAAATTGCCAGCATCACTACTCTTGCACTTTGGGGCCATTATTAAGTAAAATAAGGGTTACTTGAACACGAGCCCTGCAATAGCCTGAGTTAATTTGACAACCAAGTCTGCTACTAAAGGGCATGTAGCAGACTCAGTGTGGAGACACCGAGCAAAGAGATGATTCATGACATACGCAGGACGGCAAGAGAGATTTCATCACACTACTCAGAATGGCATGCTGTTTAAAACTAATGAATTGTTTGTTGCTGGAATTTCTTTTTCATATCTTCAGACCATGGCTGATCTTGGGTAACTAAAACCACAGAAAGCAAAACTGTGGATAAGGGGGAGCGCTACTGTATGTGAAGACTGTGGAATGGCTAAATCAAACTAATGAACATATCCATTACCTAAAATAATTACGTTTCTTTGTGGTGAGAACACTTAAAATCTACTCTCAGCAATTTGCAGGTACAGAATATATTTTTAGTGGCCGGGCGTGGTGGCTCACACCTCTAATCCCAGCACTTTGGGAGGCTTAGGCAGGCAGATCACCTGAGGTTGGGAGTTTGAGATCAGCCTGACCAACATGGAGAAACTCCGTCTCTACTAAAAATACAAAAAATTAGCTGGGCATGGTGGTGCATGCCTGTAATTCCAGCTACTTGGGAGGCTGAGGCAGGAGAATCGCTTGAACCTGGGAGGCAGAGGTTGCAGTGAGCCAAGATCATGCCATTGCACTCCACCCTGGCCAAAAAGAGTGAAACTCTGTCTCAAAAAAAAAAAAAAAAAAAAAAAGAATATATTTTTACTAAGGTCACTATGTTGTACAACAGATTTCTTGTGCTTATTCCTTCTGTCTAACAGAAATTTTATATCCTTTGACCAACACCTTCCCAATCTCCACTCCCACCCAGCTCCTGGTAACCACCATTTTATTCTCTGCTTCTATGAGTTTTACTTTATTATTATTATTATTATTTTATTTATTTATTTTTTGAGACAGAATCTCCCTCTGTAGCCCAGGCTGGAGTGCAATGGCTTGATCTCAGCTCACTGCAACCTCTGCCTTCCGGGTTCACACCATTATCCTGCCTCAGCCTCCCGAGTAGCTGGGACTACAGGTGCCCACCACCACGCCCGGCTAATTTTTTGTATTTTTAGTAGAGACGGGGTTTCACCATGTTAGCCAGGATGGTCTCCATCTCCTGACCTCATGATCCGCCTGCCTCGGCCTCCCAAAGTGCTGGGATTACAGGCATGAACCACTGAGCCTGTCCTATTTTTATTTACTGTTTTTAGACAGGGTCTCACTCTTGTCGCCCAGGCTGGAATGCAGTGGCACAATCACGGCTCACTACAGCCTCAACCTCCCTGGGCTCAGGTGAGATCTTCCCACCTCAGCCTCCCAAGTAGCTGGGACTACAGGTGCACACCAACACACCCAGCTAGTTTTCGTATTTTTTGTAGAGATGGGATTTCACCATGTTGCCCAGGCTGGTCTCAAACTCCTAGGCTCAAGCAATCCGCCTGCCTCCACCTAGCAAAATGCTGTGTTACAGGCTTGAACCACCTGCGCCCAGCCTGGAATTTTTTCTATTTTTTGAGATGCAGTCTCTTTCTGTTGCCCAGGCTGGAGCGCAGTGGCGTGATCTCGGCTCACTGCAACCTCCACCCCTGGGGTTCAAGTGATTCTCCTGCCTCAGCCTCCTGAGTATGTGGGATTACAGGTATGGGCCACCACGCCCGGCTAATTTTTTTGTACTTTTAGTAGAGATAGGGGTATCACCATGTTGGCCAGGCTGGTCTCAAACTCCTGACCTCAGGTGATCCACCCGCCTCGACCTCCCAAAGTGCTGGGATTACAGGCATGAACCACCATGCCCTGCCCCAGCCTGGAATTTTTATTAGAATTATATTCTGTAATACTAAAAGCCTTGGTCTACAGTTTACCCAACAGATATTTAATGCTCCTGTTGCTAATGGTAGCCACAGCCTTGGTGGTGTTAATATAGGTATATGAGAATTGTAAGATTGAGTTTGACATTTTAGATTCCATATATAAGTAAAAGCATGTGGCCAGCCATGGTGGCACCTGCCTGTAGTCCCACCAACTCAGAAGGCTGAGGCAGGAGGATCGCTTGATACCAGGAGGGACTTCGAGGCTATAGTGTGCTATGATTGCACCTGGGAATAGCCACCGTACTCCAGCCTGGGCAACACAGCAGCAAAAAACCCTGTCTGTAACAACAAAATAAGAGCATGCAGCATTTGTCTTTCTGTGCCTGGCTGACTTCACTTAATGTAATATCCTCTAAGTTCATCCATGTTGTCCCAAATGACAAGATTCCCTTCTTTTTCAAGGCTGAATAGTATTTCGTTGTGTATATATACCAAATTTTCTTTATCCATTCATCTACTGATGGACACTTAACACTGATTCTGTATCTTGGCTCTTGTGAATAATGCTGCAATGAACATGAGCGTACAGATACCTCAACATACTGATTTCATTTCCTTTGGATATATACCCAGTAGTGGAATTGCTGAATTGTATGATAATCCTATTTTCAATTTTTTGAGGAATCTCCATACTGTTTTCCATAGAACAGTAGTGTACAGGCCAGGCGCGGTGGCTCACGCCTGTAATCCCAAAACTTGGTGGGGGGCCGAGGCAGGCGATCACGAGGTCAAGAGATCAAGACCATCTTGGCCAACACAGTGAAACCCCATCTCTACTAAAAATACAAAAATTAGCTGGGCGTGGTGGCACGCGCCCGTCGTCCCAGCTACTCGGGAAGCTGAGGCAGGAGAATCGCTTGAACCTGGGAGGCGGAGGTTGCAGTGAGCCGAGATTGCGTCACTGCACTCCAGCCTGGCAACAGAGCGAGACTGTGTCTCAAAAAAAAAAAAAAAAAAAGTAGTATACAAATTTACATTTCCACCAACAGTGCATGAGGGTTCCCTTTTCTCCACATCCTTGCCAACACTTGTTATTTTTTTTCTTTTAATTTTACATTTTTTTCTTCACCAGTATGGTATCCCACAAATCTTTCATCTTTCTGATAAAAACCATTCTAACACGGTGTGAGGTAATATCTCATTGTGGTTTTAATTTGCATTTTCCAGAGGATTAGTGATACTGAACATTTTTTCATATACTTGTTGGCCATTTATAGGTCTTCTTTTGAGAAATGTCTATTCAGATCTTTTGCCCATTTTAAAATGGGATTGTTTCCTTGCTGTTGAGTTCCTCATAACTTTTCCTATTAACCTCTAATCATACATATAGTTTACAAATATTTTCTCCCATTCTATACGTTGTCTCTTCATTCTGTTGTTTCCCTTGCTGTGCGGAAGCTTTTGAGTTTGATGTAATCCCCTTTGACTATTTTTGCTTTTTGTTGCCTGTGCTTTTGGGGTCATAATCAAAAAATCATTGCCCAGACCAAGTCATGAAGCTTTCTCTTGTGTTTGCTTCTAGTAGTTTTACAGTTTCAGGTCTTACATTTAAGTCTTTAAATCCATTTTGAGTTGATTTTTTTTTTGAGATGGAGTCTGGCTCTGTCGCCCAGGCTGGAGTACAATGGCATGATCTCAGCTCACTGCAACCTCCGCCTCCTGGGTTCAAGCGATTCTCCTATCTCAGCCTCCCAAGTAGCTGGGACTACAGGTGCACACCACCACGCCCAGCTAATTTTTGTATTTTTAGTAGAGACGGGGTTTCACCATGTTGGCCAGGATGGTTTTGATCTCTTGACCTCGTGATCTGCCCGCCTCAGGCTCCCAAAGTGCTGGGATTACAGGCGTGAGCCACCGTGCCCAGCCAGAGTTGATTTTTTAAGATGGTGAGAGACATGGATCTAATTTCATTCTTCTGCATGTGGATATCCACTTTACCCAACATCATTTACTGAAGACACTGATTGTCCTTTCCCCACTGTGTGTTCTTGGCATCTTTGTCGAAAATCAATTGACCATACCTACGTGGACTTATTTCTGGATTCCCTAGTCTATTCAATTTGTCTATGTCTTTTTATGGCAGATCCACGCTGTTTTACTTCAGTTTTGTCGCATATTTTGAAATAAGACAGTATGATGCCTCTGGCTTTATT
Organism: Homo sapiens; assembly: GCF_000001405.40. Taxonomy (NCBI): domain Eukaryota; kingdom Metazoa; phylum Chordata; class Mammalia; order Primates; family Hominidae; genus Homo; species Homo sapiens. The sequence continues at coordinate 28,388,282 of NC_000001.11, read as the reverse complement.
CTTTTAGCTCAAAATTGCTTTGACTATTCAGAGCCTTTTTGTGTTCCATACAAATTTTAAGATTATGTGACATCTTTTTTTGGTGTTTTTTTTGAGACAGAGTCTCACTCTGTCGTCCAGGCTGCAGCATAATGGCACCATCACAGCTTACTGCATCCTCAGTCTCCTGGCTCAGGTGATCTTCCTGCCTTAGGCTCCCAAGTAGCTGAGACCACAGGCCCACGTTGCCATACTTGGATAATTAAAAAAAACAAAGGCCGGGCATGGTGGCTTACACCTGTAATCCCAGCACTTTGGGAGGCCAAGGCGGGTGGATCACCTGAGGTTAGGAGCTCGAGACCAGCCTGGCCAACATGGAGAAACCCTGTCTCTACTAAAGATACAAAAATTAGCCAGGCGTGGTGGCGTGCACCTGTAATCCCAGTTACCCAGGAGGCTGAGGCAGGAGAATCGCTGGAACCTGGGAGGCAGAGGCTGCAGTGGGCCAAGATCGTGCCATTGCACTCCAGCCTGGGCGACAGAACAAGACTCTATCTCAAAAAAAAAAAAATTGTTTTTTGTAGAGACAGTGTCTTGCTATGCTGCCCAGGCTGGTCTCAAACTCCTAGCCTCAGGCAATCCTCCAGCCTCAGCCCCCGCAAAGTGCTGGGATTACAGGTATGAGCCACCATGCCCAGCCTTTCACCCTTTAATACATACAGCAAAGGTGCACTGATATCCTGAATCATAATGCTCACCCTGAAATAAATTCAAATTTAGAGGAAGGGACAGGAGGCAAAATTGGGTATGTGCAAGTAAAAGGAAGAAGAAAGTCCTTTTATATCCTATGATTGGTTCTATACAGTTATTCTTTGCTATTTACTGGCAGCATTTTTAACAGGGATTAATCCATGAATGAAGGGAAGAAGATGTAAGGCTATTTTTAAATATTATCTCTTGGAATCCTCCCTCTTTCTATTTGTCACTCACTGGAGGAGGGGGAAAACTGTTTGAGGGCTCTAATTTTTTTTTTTTTTTTTTTTTGAGACAGGGTCTCGCTCTGTTGCCACACTGGAGTGCAGTGGCACAATCTCAGCTTACTGCAACCTCTGCCTCCTGGGTTCAAGTGATTCTCCTACCTCAGCCTCCCGAGTAGCTGGGACTATAGGTGCGTGCCACCACGCCCAGCTAATTTTTGTATTTTTAGTAGAGACAGGGTTTCACCATGTTGGCCAGGGTTGTCTCGATCTCTTGACCTCGTGATCCACCTGCCTCAACCTCCCAAAGTGCTGGGATTACAGGCGTGAGCCATCTCGCCCAGCCTGAGGGCTCTAATTTTTAAGCTTGCTTAATAAACAATCAACTCACCTAAGCTTTCCCAAAGAACAACCATTTCTCTATGAGCCCTATACTCAGGTAAACAAGAAATATACACATCATCAACACTAGTGTAAGAAAGATACTTCACTATTTTTTTAAATATCGTTGGTCCTATATAAAGTGCAGATTTTAAATATCTAATGACCTAGGTGGATACTAGTATCACAAGACTAATAAAAACACGTCATTATTTGGTGTCTTACAAGGTTCAAAATGCCCTCACAAATCAATTGCTACTGAAAATAATTGGATAGCATTATTTAAAAAAACACAAGGCTGGGCACGGTGGCTCACACCGCCACATATATATACCCAACATAGGAGCACCCAGATTCATAAAGCAAGTTCTTAGAGACCTTCAAAGGGACTTAGTTTCCCACAAAATAATAGTGAGAGTCTTTAACACCCCACTGACATTATTAGATCATCGAGACAGAAAATTAACAAAGATATTCAGGATTCAAACAGCAGTGGGTGAAAGGGACCTGATAAGACACCTACAGAACCCTCCATCCAAAAACAACAGAATTGGTCAGGCGTGGTGGCTCATGCCTGTAATCCTAGCACTTTGGGAGGCCGAGGCAGGCAGATCACTTGAGGTCAGGAGTTCAAGACCAGCCTGGCCAACATGGTGAAACCCTGTCTCTACTAAAAGTCCAAAAATTTGCTAAGATTGGTGGCACATGCCTGTAGTCCCAGCTACTCGGGAGGCTGAGGCAGGAGAATTGTTTGAATCTGGGAGGTGGAGGCTGCAATGAGCCGAGATCGCACCACTGCACTCCAGCCTGGGTGACACACCAAGACTCTGTCTCAGAAAAACAAACAAACAAATGAAAAACAGAATACACATTCTTCTCATTGCCACATGGCATATACTCTAAAATTGGTTGCATAATCGGAAGTAAAACACTTCTCAGCAAATGCAAAAGAACTGAAATCATAGTAAACAATCTCTTGGACCACAGCGGAATCAAACTAGAAATTAAGACTAAGAAATTCACTTAAAACCAGCCGGGCGTGGTGGCTTACGTCTGTAATCCCAGCACTTTGGGAGGCCAAGGAGGGCGGATCACCTGAGGTCAGGAGCTCAAGATCGGCCTGGCTAACATGCTGAAACCCTGTCTCTACTAAAAATACAAAATTAGCTGGGCGTGGTGGCACACACCTGTAATCCCAGCTACTCGGGAGGCTAAGGCATGAGAATCGCTTGAACCCAGAAGCGGAGGTTGCAGTGAGTTGGAATCGCACCACCGCACTCCAGCCTGGGCAACAGAATGAGGCTCCGTCTCCAAAAAAAAAAAAAAAAAAATTCACTTAAAACCATACAATTACATGGAAATTGAATGACCTGCTCCTGAATGACTTTTTTTTTTTTTTTTTTGAGACAGAGTCTTGCTCTGTCGCCCAAGCTGGAGTGCAGTGGCACGATCTCAGCTCACTGCAACCTCCGCCTCCAGGTTCAAGCAATTCTCCTGTCTCGGCCTTTCAAGAAGCCAGGACTATAGGCATGCACCACCATGCCTGGCTAATTTTTGAATTTTTAGTAGAGATGGGGTTCTACCATGATGGCCAGGCTGGTCTCAAACTCCTGACCTCTGGTGATCCACCTGCCTCGGCCTACCAAAGTGCTGAGATTACAGGCATAAGCCACTGTTACTGGCCCTGAATGACTTTTGAGTAAATAATGAAATTAAGGCAGAAATCAAGAAGTTCTTTGAAACTAATGAAAACAAAGATATATCATACCAGAATCTCTGGGACACAGCTAAGGCAGTGTTAAGAGGGATATTTAGAGCACTAAGTATCCACATCAAAAAGTTACAAAGATCTCAATTTAACAACCTAACATTACAACTAAAAGAACTAGATAACCAAGAGCAAATCAATCCCAAAGCTAGCAAAAGAGAATAATCAGTATCAGAGCTGAACTGAAGGAGATTGAGACACTGAAAACTCATTCAGAAGATCAACAAATCCAGGAGGGATTTGGGTTTTTTGTTTTATTTTATTTATTTATTTGTTATTATTTTTTGAGATAGAGTCTCACTCTGTTGTCCAGGCTGGAGCACAGAGGTGCAGTCTTGGCTAACTGCAACCTCCACCTCCCAGGTTGAGGCGATTCTCATGCCTTAGGCTCCCAAGTAGTTGGGATTACAGGTGTGCACCACCATGCATGGCTAATTATATTCTTAGTAGAGATGGGGTTTTGCCATGTTGGCCAGGCTGGTCTGAAACTCCTTGCCTCAAGGGATCCATCCACCTTGGCCTCCCAAAGTGCTGGGATTACAAGCATGAGCCCTTGCGCCTGGTGGAGTTGGGTCTTTGAAAAAAGTAATACAACAGACTGCTAGCTAGACTAATAAAGACAAAAAGAGAGAAGATTCAAATATAATCACAATCAGAAATGAAAAGGGGCTATTACCACTGACCCCACAGAAATACAAATAACCATCTGATAATATTATGAACACCTCTATGTACATAAACTAGAAAATCTAGAAAAAATGGATAATTCCTAGACACATACACCCTCCCAAGACTGAACCAGGAAGAAATTGAATCCCTGAACAGACCAATAACGAGCTCTGAAACTGAGTCAGTAATAAATAGCCTATCAGCCAAAAAGAGCCCAGGACCGGATGGATTCACAGCTGAATTCTACCAGATGTACCAAGAAGAGCTGGTACCATTCCTGCTGAAACCATTCCAAAAGAATGAAGAGGAGGGACTCCTTCCTAACTCATTCTATGAGGCCAGCATCATCCTGATACCAAAACTTGGCAGAGACACAACAAAAAAAAGAAAACTTCAGGTCAACATTCTTGATGAATATCAATGCAAAAATCCTCAACAAAATACTGGCAAATCAAATCCGCAGCACATCAAAAAGCTTACCCACCACAATCAAGTAGGCTTTAGCCCTGGGATGCAAGGTTGGTTCAACATATGCAAATTCGTAAATATGATTCATCACATAAACAGAACTAAAGACAAAAACCACATGATTATCTCAACAGATGCATTAAAGGCTTTCGATAAAATTCAATACCACTGCACGTTAAAAATTCAATGAAGTAGGTATTTAAGGGCATCTAAATAGGAAGAGAGGAAGTCAAACTATCTTTGTCTGTAGACAACATGACCCTGTATCCAGAAAACCTCATGGTCTCAGCACAAAAGCTCCTTAAGCTGATAAACAACTTCAGCAAAATTTCAGGATACAAAATCAACGTGAAAAATCACTAACATTCCTATACCTCAACAACAGTCAAGCTGACTGCCAAATCAGGAACACAATCCCTTTCACGACTGCTACACACACACACACAAATACCTAGGAATACAGCTAACCAGGGAGGTGAAAGATCTCTACAAAGAGAACTACAAAACACTGCTCAAAGAAATCAGAGATGACACAAACAAATGGAAAAACGTCCCATGCCTATGGATAGGAAGAATCAATATTGTTAAAAGGGCCGCACTGCTCTAAGAAATGTATAGATTCCATGCCATTCCTATTAAAATACTATTGACATTCTTCATAAAACTAGAAAAAAAAATTATTTTAAAATTCATATGGAACCAAAAGAGCCAAGGAAATCCTAAGCAAAAAGAACAAAGCTGGAGGCATCATGCTATCCAACATCAAACTATACCACAGGGCTACAGTAACCAATACAGCATGGTACTGGTACAAAAAAAGACACATAGACCAATAGAACAGAATGGAGAACTCAGAAATAAAGGCCACACACCTACAAGTATCTGATCTTTGATAAGCCAGACAAAAATAGGCAATGAGGAATTCCCCATTCAATAAATGGTGCACGAGGCCAGGCGCGGTGGCTCATGCCTGTAATCCCAACACTTTGGTAAGCCAACGTGGGTGGATCACTTGAGGTCAGGAGTTCGAGACCAGCCTGACCAACATGGTGAAACCCTGTCTCTACTGAAAATACAAAAATTAGCCAGACATGGTGGCGGGGCCTGTAGTCCCAGCTACTCAGTAGGCTGAGTCAGGAGAATCACTTGAATCCAGGAGGCAGAGGTTGCAGTGAGCCAAGATCGTGCCACTGTACTCCAGCCTGGGCAACAGAGCGAGACTCTGTCTAAAAATAAATAAATTAATAATAATAAACAGTGCTGGGATAACTGGCTAGTATGCAGAAGATTGAAAATGGATCCCTTCCTTACTCTATATACAAAAATTAACCTAAGACAGATTAAAGACTTAAATGTAAAACCCGAAACTACAAAAACCCTGGAAGACAAGCTAGGCAATACCATTCTGGACATAAAAATGGGCAAAAATTTCATGATAGGCCGGGCGCGGTGGCTCACGCCTGTAGTCCCAGCACTTTGGGAGGCTGAGGCGGGCGGATCACGAGGTCAGGAGATCGAGACCATCCCGGCTAGCACGGTGAAACCTTGTCTCTACTAAACATACAAAAAATTAGCCAGGCGTGGTGGCATGCGCCTGTAGTCCCAGCTACTCGGGAGGCTGAGGCAGGAGAATGGAGTGAACTCAGGAGCCGGAGCTTGCAGTGAGCCAAGATCGTGCCACTGCACTCCAGCCTGGGCAACAGAGGGAGACTCTGTCTCAAAAAAAAAAAAAATTTCATGACAGAGACACCAAAAGCAATTACTACAAAAGCAAAAATTGATAAATGGGGTCTAATTAAAGAGCTCCTGCACAGAAAAGGAAACTATCAACAGGGTGAACAAACAACCTACAGAATGGGAGAAAATTTTTGCAAACTATGCATCTGACAAAGGTCTAATATCCAGCATCTACAAGGAACTTAAACAAATTTGTAAGAAGAAAACTAAACAACCCCATTAAAGAGTAGGCAAAGGGCTGGGCGCAGTGGCTCACGCCTGTAATCCCAACACTTTGGGAGGCCAAGGCAGGTGGATCACTTGAGGCCAGGAGTTCGAGACCAGCCTGGCCAACATGTTGAAACCTCATCTCTACTAAAAATACAAAAATTAGCCTGGCGTGGTGGTGTAGTCATCCCAGCTACTCAGGAGGCTGAAGCACAAGAATCATTTGAAGCTGGGAAGCAGAGGTTTCAGCGAGCCAAGATTGTGCCATTGCACTCCAACCTAGACAACAGAGCAAGACTCTGTCTCAAAAAGAAACAAGAAAAAAGTCGGCAAAGGACATGAACTGACATTTTTCAAAAGAAGACATACATACAGCCAACAATCATATGAAAAAAGCTCAACATCACTGACCATTAGAGAAATGCCAATCGAAATGACAATGAGATACCATCTTATACCAGTCAGGATGACTAGTATTAAAAAGTAAAAAAATAGGCCAGGCCAGGCGCAGTGGCTCATGCCTGTAATCCCAGCACTTTGGGAGGCTGAGGCGGGCGGATCACGAGGTCAGGAGATCGAGACCATACTGGCTAACATGGTTTAACTGCGTCTCTACTAAAAACACAAAAAATTAGCCAGGCGTGGTGGCATGCACCTGTAGTCCCAGCTACTCGGGAGGCTAAGGCAAGAGAATCGCTTGAACCCGGGAGGCGGAGGTTGCAGTGAGCTGAGATCACGCCACTGCACTCCAGCCTGGGTGACAGAGCAAGACTCCGTCTCAAAAAAAAAAAAAAGGCCAGGCGCAGTGGCTCACGGCTGTAATCTCAGCACTTTAGGAGGCCGAGGCGGGCAGATCACGAGGTCAGGATTTCAAGACCAGACTGCCAACATGGTGAAACCCTGTCCCTACAAAAATACAAAAATTAGCCGGGCGTGGTGGTGTGGGCCTGTAATCCCAGCTACTGGAAAGGCTGAGAGGAGAATTGCTTGAACCCGGGAGGCAGAGGCTGCAGTGAGCCGAGATCACTCCACTGCACTCCAGCCTGGGTGACAGAGCAAGACTCTGTCTCGGAAAAAAAAAAAAAAAATTCAAAAAATAATGCTGGCGAGATTGTGGAGAAAAAGAAATGCTTATACATTGTCAGTGGGAGTATAAATTAGTTCAACTATTGTGGAGGACAGTGTGGCAATTCCTCAAAGACTTAGAAATACCATTCAACCCAGAAATCCCATTACTGGTTATATACCCAAAGGAATATAAATCATTCTATTATAAAGACATATGCACACATATGTTCACTGCAGCACTATTCACAACAGCAAAGACACGGAATCAACCTAAATGCCCATCAAAAGTAGACTAGATAAAGAAAAGGTGGTATGTATACACCATGCAATACTATGCCACCATAAAAAACAACAAGATCATGTCCTTTGCAGGAACATGGGTGGAGCTGGAGGCCATTATCTTTAGCAAACTAATGCAGAAACAGAAAAACAAATATCACATGTTCCAAATATTGCATGATGAGAACACATGGACACAGAGGGGAACAACACTCACTGGTGCCTATTGGAGAGTAGAGGATGGGAGCAGGGAGAGGATCTGGAAAAATAACTAATGGGCACTAGGCTTAATACCTGAGTGACAAAATAATATACACAACAAACCTCCATGATACAAGTTTACCTGTATACCAAACCATGCACATATATCTCTGAACATAAAAGTTACATTTAAGGCCGGGCGCGGTGGCTCACGCCTGTAATCCCAGCACTTTGGGAGGCCGAGGCGGGCGGATCACGAGGTCAGGAGATCGAGACCATCCTGGCTAACACAGTGAAACCCCGTCTCTACTAAAAATACAAAAAATTAGCCGGGCGTGGTAGCGGACGCCTGTAGTCCCAGCTACTCGGGAGGCTGAGGCAGGAGAATGGCGTGAACCTGGGAGGCGGAGCTTGCAGTGAGCCGAGATCGCGCCACTGCACTCCAGCCTGGGCGACAGAGCGAGACTCCGTCTCAAAAAAAAAAAAAAAAAAAAAAAGTTACATTTAAAAAAACACAGAATAACATTTTTATCCCACACATCTAAATTAGTCTGTCCAAAAGTTAAAAAAAAGTTGATAATAGAAACACAAGTTGAGAATATAATATTTACTCCACTTATGGAAAAATAATTTTACAATTATGGAATATAAGAAATTATAGGCTGGGCGCGGTGGCTCACACCTGTAATCCCAGCACTTTGGGAGGCCGAGGCGGGCGGATCACGAGGTCAGGAGATCGAGATCATCCTGGCTAACACGGTGAAACCCCGTCTCTACTAAAAATACAAAAAATTAGTCGGGTGTGGTGGCGGGCGCCTGTAGTCCCAGCTACTCGGGAGGCTGAGGCAGGAGAATGGCGTGAACCCGGGAGGCGGAGCTGGCACTGAGCCGAGATTGTGCCACTGCACTCCAGCCTGGGCAACAGAGCGAGACCCCATCTCAAAAAAAAAAAAAAGAAAAGAAATTATAGGCCAGGGCCAGCCACAGGGGCTCACACCTGTAATCCTAGCACTCTGGCAGGCCAAGGTGGATGGATCACTTGAGACCAGGAGTTCAAGACCAGCCTAGGCAACATGGCGAAATCCCATCTCTACAAAAATTTTAAAAAATCAGCCTGGCGTGGTGGCCCGCACCTATAGTCCCAGCTACCCGGGAGGCTGAGGTGGAAGGATCACCCACCTGAGCCTGAGGAGGTAGAGGTTGCAGTGAGCTGTGGTCGCACCACTGCACTCCAGCCTGGGTGACAGACTGAGACTCTGTTTCAAAAAAAAAAAAAAGAAAGAAAGAAATTATAGGCTGGCCATGGTGGCTCATGCGTGTAATTCAAGCACTTTGGGAGGCCCAGGCAGGAAGATCGCTTAAGCCTAGGAGTTCAAGACCAGCCTAGGCAATGTGGCGAAATCCCATCGCTACAAAAAACCCAAAAATTAGCCAGGCATGGCGGTATGCCTGTAGTCCCAGCTACTCAGCAGGCTGAGACAGGAAGATTGCTTGAGCCCAGCAGGGGAGTTGAGGCTGCAGTGAGCCATGACTGTGCCACTGTACTCCAGCTTGGGCAACAGAGCAAGACTCTGTCTTAAAAAAATAAATACATACATAAATAAAAATAAAAATAAATAAACCTAGATCAGTGCCTGGGTAATAACAGTAATCAACTGGTAACAACTACTCTTATTTCACCTTCCATGTCCACCACTTCCAAATATATCTTCTCTCACCCTTTATTTCTTCATATTCCTCTTCAAAGTTTACTGTTTCATGAGCTTTTCATTCTATTTCCTCCTAAGACTTCTTCATTATCTACATTTTCTCTGTGCACATCTCCAATATCTGCCTCTCTGCTGGCTGCTTTCCCTTTCCCTTCAAACATGTCAAACCTCTCCCATCCTTAAAATCAAAACAAAACAAAACATTCTAAATACTTCCTCTATTTTTTCCCCCTTGTGCCCTTGGGTTGTTAAAAAAAAAGGGGGGGGGGGCTGGGGGGAGAAAGAAAGAAAGAAAAACAAAAAAATGGTTAAAAAAAAAACTTTTTTCTTTTTTTTTGAGATGAAGTCTCACTCTGTCACCCAGGCTGGAGTGCAATGGCATGATCTTGGCTCATTGCAACCTCCGCCTCCCGGGTTCAGGGATTCTCCTGCCTCAGCCTCCTGAGTAGCTGGGATTACAGGCACTTGCCACCACACGCAGCCAATTTTTTTTTTTTTTTAGTAGAGACGGGGTTTCACCATGTTAGCCAGGCTGGTCTCGAACTCCTGACCTCAGGTGATCCACCCGCCTCAGCCTCCCAAAGTGCTGGGAATACAGGTGTGAGCCACTGCGCCTGGCCAAATTTTTTTTTTTTTTTTTTATGAGATGGAGTCTCGCTCTGTCACCCAGGCTGGAGCGCAGTGGCACAATCTTGGCTCACTGCAAGCCGTGCCTCCCAGGTTCACGCCATTCTCCTGCCTCAGCCTCCCGAGTAGCTGGGACTACAGGCACCCACCACCATGCCCGGATAATTTTTTGTACTTTTAGTAGAGACGGGGTTTCACCGTGTTAGCCAGGATGGTCTCAATCTCCTGACCTCGTGATCCGCCCGCCTCAGCCTCCCAAAGTGCTGGGATTACAGGCGTGAGCCAACACATCTGGCCAAAAATTTTTAACAAGTACATAAATACCTTCTCTAAACCCTCTCACCAACCATCAAGATAGTAAGCAATTTTTTTTTTTTTTTTGAGATGGTCTTTCACTCTGTCTACCTGGGCTAGAGTGCAGTGGCGCAATTACGGCTCACTGCAGCCTCAACCTTCCAGGCTCAGGCAATCCTCCCACCTCAGCCTCCAGAGTAGCTGGGACTCATAGAAGCGTGCCACATGCCAAGCTAACTTTTTTGTAGTTTTTGTAGAGACAGGGTTCTGCCATGTTGGCCAGGCTAGTCTTGAACTCCACCTTGTGGCCTCATGATCCTAGGATTACAGGCCGCAGCCACCACTCCTGGCCTACAGATCATTTCAAAAAGCTTTGATGGGCTGGGTGTGGTGGCTCATGCCTGTGATCCTGGCACTTTGGGAGGCTGAGGCGGGCGGATCACTTGAGGTCAGGAGTTCAAAACCAGCCTGGCCAACATGGTGAAACCCCATCTCTACTAAAAAAAAAAAAAATTAGCAGGGCATAGTGGTGCACGCCTGTAACCCCAACTACTCAGGAGGCTGAGGCAGGAGAATCACTTGAACCCAGGAGGCGGAGGTTGCAGTGTGCTGAGTTCACGCCACTGCACTCCAGCCTGGGTGACAGAGCAGGACTCCCGTCTACAAAAAAAAAAAAAAAAAGGCTGGGTGCGGAGGCTCACGCCTGTAATCCTACCACTTTGGGAGGCCAAGGTAGGTGGATCACCTGAGTTCAGGAGTTTGGAACCTCAGGACCAGCCTGGCCAACATGGCGAAACCCTGTCTCTACTAAAAATACAAAATTTAGCCGGGCATGGTGGTGAGCGCCTATAATCCCAGCTACTTGGGAGGCTGAGGCTGGAGAATCGCTTGAACCCGGGAGGCAGAGGTTGCAGTAAGCTGAGATCACACTGTCACTCCAACCTGAGTGACAAGAGCAAAACTCATTTCAAAAAAAAATTAAGGCCGGGCGCGCTGGCTCACGCCTGTAATCCCCACACTTTGAGAGGCCGAGACAGGTGGATCACGAGGTCAGGAGATTGAGACCATCCTGGCTAACATAGTGAAACCCTGTCTCTACTAAAAATACAAAAAAATTAGCCGGGTGTGGTGGTGGGCGCCTATAGTCCCAGCTACTTGGGAGGCTGAGGCAGGAAAATGGCGTGAACCCGGGAGGTGGAGCTTGCAGTGAGCCGAGATTGCACCACTGCACTCCAGCCTGGGCGACAGAGCAAGACTCCGTCTCAAAAAAAAAATTAAAAGGTCTACATAGGCCCAGCGCAGTGGCTCACGCCTGTAATCCCAGCACTTTGGGAGGCCAAGGCGGGTGGATCGCTTCAGCTCAGGAGTTCAAGACTGGTCTGGGCAACATAATGAGACCTTGTCTCTACTAAAAGAAAAAAAAAAAAAAGAAAAAATTAGCCAGGCATGGTGGTGCATGCCTGTAGTCCCAGTTACTCAGGGGGTTGAGGTGGGAGGAGTGCTTGAGCCTGGGAGAGAGGTCAAGGGTTCAGTGAGCCCTGATCATGTCACTGGACTCCAGCCTAGGTGACAGAGTAAGACTCTGTCTCAATTTTTTTTTTTTTTTGAGACAAGGTCTCACTCTGTCACCCAGGCTGGAGTCCAGTGGCACAATCTTGGCTCATTGCAACCTCCACCTCCTAGGCTCAAGTGATTCCTGTGCCTCAGCCTCCTGAGTAGCTGGGACCACAGCAGTGAAAAAAAAGAAAAAGAAAGAAGAGAAAAGAAAAAGGTCTACATAATTTGGTTATGGTAGCCCCTGTGAAGACACGGCTGTGAAAGTTTTTTTTGTTTGTTTGTTTGTTTTTTTGAGATGGAGTTTCGCTCTTGTTGCCCAGGCTGGAGTGCAATGGTGTGATCTCAGCTCACAGCAACCTCCGCCTCCCGAGTTCAAGCCATTCTCCTGCCTCAGCCTCCCAAGTATCTGGAATTACAGGCGTGTACCACCACGCCTGGCTAATTTTGTATTTTTAGTAGAGACGGGGTTTCTCCATGTTGGTCAGGCTGGTCTCCAACTCTGGACCTCGGGTGATCCACCCACCTCGGCCTCCCACAGTCCTGGGATTAGAGGCGTGAGCCACCGCGCCTGGCCGATTGTGAAAGTTTTACAACAGGACTTTAGAGCTCCCTCAGAATAAAGAATCCATCCATTCCCTTCTCTCTTTCCTATTTTACTTATTTACTTATTTTTTGAAACAGGGTCTCCAGCTCTGCCACACAGGCTGTAGTGTGGTGGCACAATCATAGCTCACTGCAGCCTCAAACCGTGGAGCTCAAGTGATCCTCCTATCTCAGCTTCCTGAGTAACTGGGAGTACAGATGTCCACTACCATGCCTGGCTGATTTTTAATTTTTTTTTTTGTAGAGACAAAGTCTTGCTATGTTGCCAGGCTGGTCTCAAACTCCTGGGATAAACATAAAGTGATCCTCCTGCCTTAGCCTCCCGAAGCACTGGGATTACAGGCATGAGCCACTGGGCCCAGCCTCTCTCTTTATAAATAATCTTCTTCCAATGCTCCTTGTTTTCTTTTCTTTTGTTTTTTTTTTGGGGGGGTGGGTGGGGGCGGGCAGGGGTGGTGGGAGGATGGAATCTTGCTCTGTCACCCCGGCTGAAGTGCAGTGGCACAATCTCTGCTCACTGCAACCTCTGCCTCCTGGGATCAAGCAAGTCTCATGCCTCAGCCTCCCAAGTAACTGAGACTACAGGCATGGGCCACCACCCCCAGCTAATTGTTTTATTTTTAGTAGAGATGGGGTTTCGCCATGTTGGCCAGGCTCGTCTCGAACTCCTGGCCTCAAGTGATCTGCTTGCCTTGGCCTCCCAGAGTGCTGGGATTACAGGCGTGAGCCACCGTGCTGGGCCTCTTCTTCTAATAGTAGTAAAAATAACTTGCTACAGGAATTTGAAGCGAATAATGTATCCAAATACTTATTCTACTCCCTCTTAGAAACAATCCACAAGATAGGAAGAGCAGGAATCAATTACATCCATGTTAAAGACAAGAAAACTAAAGCTCAAAGAGGTTGAGTTGCTCAAGGTTGCAGTTATATGAGGGAATTTTATTTATTTAGTGCTTATTTACTGTCAGACTCCTTCCTCTTCCCAGCCAACCCTAATCAGTAGGTAAACCCCAAGAGGGAAAATACTTGTTTTCACTGTTTTGTCCTCAATGTCTACAACAGTGCCTAGAATATAACAGACTTTCCGTATTTGTTGACTGAATGAACAGATGGTTTTGGAAATGAAGTAAACCAACAGCAAAAGCACAAGGAAAAAAAGTTCTTTCCCATTATAATGCAATAATAAAAGATTTCAAACAGGCTACTACCAGTTAGAAAGGCTAGACTACATAATTGTATTGACTCAATTCCATTGGCATGTTATGCATTTTACCTAATAAGTAAGGGAGGTGAAATAGGTTTCTGTTTCTGATGTCACATTCATGGCATGTACTAACATAAATCCAAGACTTAACTGCAGGTTTGAAACTGATTAAAAGTTTTTATTAAAAGCAGAAACTAGAGAGAGCATTCTCTTGAGTCCCGATGGTCTGACTAAAAAAGTACAGTATCTTAATTTTGGTTCTGTCTTCAATGTTAGTTTCAGCAGCCAAAGCTATTGTATTTATGTTCTCCAACATATTTAATAAACCTTATAGCAAAGATTAGGGGGAACCAAAACTGAGTAACTCACCACTTTTTGAGCGTTGCATAAAACTGCCATTCTGCCTAGGCACAAGGTAATCACAGCATATGAGAAGACAAAGTAATGGGACCAATGTTCAATATAATTTAAGAGAAAGACTCATTGTTTATGGTTCCAGAAATTCCAGTTCCTTGTAAATCAATTTGCCTTAATTGGAAAATATTTTCCATTTTCTCCAATATTTAGATTTTAGCAAATTAAAGCTGTTGGTGCTGCTAAGATTAGTAGCTGTAATAAGTGTGAGGTAACTGAAAGAGGACTAGATTTGAAGTATGGTTTACTCTGATATTTCCTACCTGGGTTAACTATAACCTTGGGCAAGTCACTTCAACATTTTAGAGGCTAGGCTTTATCAGCTGTAAAATGAGAGTAACAACCATCTCACAGAACTGTAGTGAGGATTAAATGACACAATGTGTATTAATTTGTTTAAAAAATGGTACTGGGAGGCCGGGCATGGTGACTCATGCCTGTAATCCCAGCACTTTGGGAGGCTGAGGTGAGAGGATCGCCTGAGCCAAGGAATTTGAGACCAGGCTGGGCAACATGGCGAGACCTGTCTCTATAAAAATTATAAAATTATGGGCCAGGCGTGATGGCTGACGCCTGTAATCCCAGAACTTTGGGAGGCTGAGGTGGGCGGATCATCTGAGGTCAGGAGTTCAAGACCAGTCTGGCCAACATGGTGAATTCCCGTCTCTACTAAAAATACAAAATTAGCCAGGCATGTTGGCACATGCCTGTAATCCCAGCTACTCAGGAGGCTGAGGCAGAAGAATCACTTAAACCCGGGAGGCAGAGGTTGCAGTGAGCCAAGATCGTGCCATTGCACTTCAGCCTGGGCAAAAAGAGTGAAACTCCATCTCAAAAAAAAAAATTATGTTTAAAACAAACAAAATAAATGAATAAATATATAGCTAGACACACTGGCTCACGCCTATAATCCCAGCACTCTCGGAGGCTAAGGTAGGAGGACTGCTTGAGTCCAGGAGTTCAAGACCATCCTGGGCAACACAGGGAGACCTCGTGTCCACAAAAAAATTAAAAAATTAGCCAAGTGTGGTAGTGTGCACCTGTAGTCCCAGCTACTCAGAAGGCTGAAGTGGGAGGATCATTTGAGCCCAAGAGGTTGAGGCTACAGTGGGCCATGATCATAGCATTTTACTCCACCTGGGGGACAGAACAAGACCTTGCCTCAAAAAAATAATAATAATCATAAAAATAAATAATATTGAGAAAATTGTCATGTTTGTACAATTAAGCAATAGTCAATAGTAACTGCTGTTTCTTAGTTTATTATTTCTGTGTTTTTTTTTTTTTTTGAGACTGAGTCTCCCTCTGTCGCCCAGGCTGGAGTGCAGTGGCGCAATCTCAGCTCGCTGTAACCTCCGCCTCCCAGGTTCAAGTGATTCTCCTGCCTCAGCCTCCCAAGTAGCTGGGATTACAGATGCCCACCACCACACCTGGCTAATTTTTATATTTTTAGTAGAGATGGGATTTTACCATGTTGGCCAGGCTGATCTCGAACACCTGACCTTAGGTGATCTGCCTGCCTCAGCCTCCCAAAGTGCTGGGATTACAGGTGTGAGCCACCGCGCCCAACCAGTTTATTATTAAAACTAGAGCAATTCTGTGGTTGCTTCTTCAAACTATAGCCAGGAAAACACAAAAGACCCTCACTCACTGCTGGATTAAAAATTGAAGAACTGCATTAAGGATCTACCATCCCTATACAGTATTACTAATACAATCTAGGATTCTCAAGAGTAAGTCACTTCCATTATGAGATATCAAACAAAGTAATACAGGGTGAAGGGCTTTATTTTGCCTACTCGGCTAGGGCAGGAATTAACCTATCTAACTTCAGTAACCTTCCCTGATTCATGTAAAGGGGTCCTCCTGGCTGTCCTCATCCCAGAGACTTGAAACACGAATTAACCTATTTTTCAAAAGGGTTATTTGCAATGACCTTCTTTAGAATTTTTTATTGGCCAGGCACGGTGGCTCACACCTGTAATCCCAGCACTTTGGGAGGCGGAGGCAGGTAAATTACTTTAGGTCAGGAGTTCCAGACCAGCCTGGCCAACACGGTGAAACACCATCTCTACTAAAAAAAAAAAAAAAATTAGCCGGGAGTGGTGGCACATGCCTGTAATTCCAGCTACTCGGGAGGCTGAGGCAGGAGAATCGCTTGAAACCAGGAGGAAGAGGTTGCAGTGAGCCAAGATCACGCCACTGCACAGCCTGAGCAACAGAGCAAGACTCTATCTCAAAAAACAAATACAGTATTCTTTATCTTAAGGTTTAATACCAGCACTTTGGGAGGGAGGATCACTTGAGCCCAGGAGTCCAAGACCAGCCTGGGCAACAGAGTGGGACCCCAATCAATACAAAAATTTTTTTAAAAATTTTTTTAATTAGCTGCGCTGGTGGCCTGTGTCTGTTGTCCCAGCTACTCTGGAGGCAGAGGCTTGAGCCCAGGAGGAGGTCCAGGCTGCAGTGAGCAGTGCTCAACTCACTGCACTCCAGCCTGGGAAACCCAGCGAGACCCTATTTCAAAAAATAAATACATAAAAATTGGCCAGGCACGGTGGCTCACGCTTGTAATCCCAGCACTTTGGGAGACCGAGGCGGGTGGATCACCTGAGGTTAGGAGTTCAAGGCCAGCCTGGCTAACATGGTGAAACCTTGTTTCTACCAAAAATACAAAAACTAGCTGGGCATGGTGGCACACACCTGTAATCCCAGCTACTCAGGAGGCTGAGGCAGGAGAATCGCTTCAACCTGGGAAGTGGAGGTTGCAGTGAGCCAAGATCGTGCCATTGCATTCCAGCCTGGGTAACAAAGTGAGATTGTCTCAAAATAAATAAATAAATATAAATAAATTAAATTAAATAGTCGGGCACAGTGGCTCATGCCTCTAGTCCCAGGCATCTGGGAGCCTCTGGTGGAAGGATGGCTTAAGCCAAGAAGTTCGAGGCTACAGTGAACTAGGAGCTCTCCACTGTACTCAAGCTTCAGCAACCAAGCTAGACTCTTGTCTCTTAAATGAAACAAACAAACAAATTTTACCTTAAGCTGATTCTAGCAATGCAGTCTTCCAACAGGAGGACATACACAGTTACCATTATCTAGCCAAATTTGATCGAATCCACAATCCACGCAGTTCCGCGGTTTCCGGTAAGAATCTACCACACCTCATCCCCTAAACTGGCTTCATTTCTAAACGGGCTTCATTCCTTTTTTTTTTAAGATGGGGTCTTGCTGTGTTGCCCAGGCTGGTCGCGAACTTCTGGCCTCAAGCGATTCTCCTGCCTCAGCCTCCAGAATAGTTGGCATTACAGGCGCGCGCCACCACGCCCGAAATTCATTTCTTTAATTTGGCGAAAAAGTAAGTGACTTCTAGAAGCCACTGGGTTTCTGGTTCCTCTATAAAGCAAATTCTTCCACTGAAGGACTTTTTCCTTCCACTGTTTGTTTTAAAAAGAACAAGAAAAGGAAGAGGTTGGAAGGAGCGAGGAGCTGAGTGTCCGAATGAAGCACTGGAGGGTTTTTTTTTTTTGCAAGCAATCAGTGATGCCCTGTAAGTCACTCTCCTCCGAGATTTGGGAGGTGCGTGAACTGCCATTCTACCATTCACCACTGGTTCTTTGGTCCACCGATCACAGATGTGAGCTGCACAGACATCGCAGCAAATTCGATGCCTTCCCGGTTTCCCGGAGCCGGGGTGTAGAGGGTGGGAGAGAGGGGTCGCTTCTTTTCCTTAATCTCATCTCTCCACCAAGAAAAACGTCGGGAGTTTCGTGCCCTGAAGCCGCCCAGGCTGATGTTTGAAAGTTAAATAATAACCTCCAGGTTTTTACAGAAACTCCGCCTGGCTCCGAAGCCCCCGTTCTGCCCAGCAGGGGTGCAGAGGTCTGAGGCAGGACGGTTTTGAAAAATGTACTTTGACCCGATCCGGTTACTGTAACCGGATCCCCAGGGAGCAGTCCCTGTTGGGGACCGGGGGAACAGGCTCCCCCGTGGCGGAGACTCCATGCACGGACACAAAGGGGGAGCAACGCAGCCCAGACAAAAGGGCCCAGCCAAGTCTCGGGGGGCGGAGAGGGCGAGCCTGCGCGGGCCCTGCCTCAGGCGGAGAAGCCCGGGTTGGACCGTTGTGGGAGGGCCGAGGAGGGAGGCGGCGGCCCCGCCCCGCCCTGGCCCGAAGCGACGGCGACCCGGGCCGTTACCTTCTGCCCGGACCGGGACCCTCTCGCAGAGCCAAGAAAGGGGCCGCAGCCTGAGAGGAGGCCGCAGCCTGATACTGAGCGCGTCCTGCTCACTTTCCCTTGCTCGCTGAACTTACCCAGATCTCCGCCGCCGCCTCCTCAGCCTCCACAGCAGCCTCTCCCGGAAATCCTACCTGGCCCGTTGGCCGCCAGGCAGCAGCCGGAGCCCTTGGCCCCCGGGGAGGGGGAAAAAGGGAGCCGGCTGGACAGTGTAGGGTAGGACGTGCCGCCGCGGAGGCTTACGGGACTTGTAGTCCCCAGCAGGGGCCGGTTGCCCGGCAAGCTGAACAAAATGGCGGGAAGCGTGCGTCCTTTCTCTCCGGGCGGTCGTCCTCCTTACGACCTCTCTGGGCATGCGCTGGCCGCTCTGCGCACCTTGTGTGTAAAAGAACTTGGGCACCTTTCCTGGTACTATGGGAGGCAAAGGTCTTTGGGCTTGGGAGGACAGGGTTCAATACTGGGCTCCAGGCAGTACCCAAAAAGGGAACTGATACAAGAGTGTTGTTTGAGAAAACTGTATCCCTGACTGGCCAAATTTCAATCATAACCTCCCCAAAGGAAAAACTATTTATTGAGGACCAATTTGAAGTGCAAAAAACGTACAAGCAAGTTATCTACCCTCAGTGTTGTGCGTAAGAAACCCAGGAATCATTCTGGACACTTCCCTCAAGCCATTAAGTCCAGTCATTCTACATCCCCAGTATTTTAATTCATTTCGATATCCTTCACTACTATCACCTAGTGAAAGCCACCATCACTTCTCTCCAAGTCTCAGTAGTTTCAGGCCCTAGGCTATCACCCTCCGAAAACCTTCCTTGCTGCTGCCAGAGGACCCTTCTAAATGCAAACCCATTGTATCACACAACCTAAATTAGACCTACATGTAAAACTTGAAGCTACGGCACATCTAGAGGACATTCCAGGAGAAAAATCGATGTGACTTTTCAAATACACTATCCATAAAATTAAAAAAATTGGCCAGGCGCGGTGGCGCATGCCTGTAATCCCAGCTACTCAGGAGGCTGAGGCAGGAGAATCGCTTGAACCCAGGAGGCGGAGGTTGCAGTGAGCCGAGATCTTGCCATTGCAGTCCAGCCTGGGCGACAGAGCAAGACTCCGTCGCAAAACAAACAAACAAACAAACAAACAAATTATCCGGGGCCTAGTGCCAAGCTCCTGTAGTCCCAGCTACGTGGGAGGCTGAGGTGAGATGATCACTTGAGCCTGGGGGGTCGAGATCGCACCAGTGCACTCCAGCCTGGGCAGCAGAGCAAGACCCTGTCTCAATAGAAAAAGAAAAAAGAAGAAAAAAAAATTGGCCGGGTGCAGTGGCTCACACCTCTCATCCCAGCACTTTGGGAGGCTAAGGCGGGAGGATCCCTTGAGCCCTGGAGTTTGAGACCAGCCTGCCAGCCTGGGCAACAGAGTGAGGCCCCATCTCTACAAAAACAATTTTAAAAATTAGCTGGGCATGATGGAACGTGCCTGTAGTCCCAGGTACTCAGGAGGCTGAAATAGGAGGATTATTTGAGCTGGGGAGGTCCAGGCTGCAATGAGCTGTGATGGTGTCGCTACACTCCAGCCTGGACGACAGAGGGAGACCTTGTCTCAAAAAAATATTTAAAATATATTTATTGGCCTGGCACGGTGGCTCACGCCTGTAATCCCAGCACTTTGTGAGGTTGAGGCTGGTAGATCACCTGAGGTCAGGAGTTCGAGACCAGCCTCTCCAAAATGGTGAAACCACATCTCTACTAAAAATACAAAAATTGGCCGGGCACGGTGGCTCACACTTGTAATCCCAGCACTTTGGGAGGCTGAGGCGGGCGGGTCACGAGGTCAGGATATCGAGACCATCCTGGCTAACGCAATGAAACCCTGTCTCTACTAAAAATACAAAAAATTAGCCGGGCGTGGTGGAGGGCGCGTGTAGTCCCAGCAACTCGGGAGGCTGAGGCAGGAGAATGGCGTGAACCCGGGAGGCAGAGCTTGCAGTGATCTGAGATCGCGCCACTGCACTCCAGCCTGGGCAACAGAGCGAGATCCCGTCTTAAAAAAAAAAAATACAAAAATTTATTGGGCGTGATGGCCCACCCCTGTAATCCCAGCTACTCAGGAGGGTGAGGCAGGAGAAGCGCTTGAACCCAGGAGGCGGAGGTTTCAGGGAGCCGAGATCGCACCATTGCACTCCAGCCTGGGTTACAAGAGGGAAACTCAGTCTCAAAAATAAAATTAAAAAATATATTTTTTTAAATTAATAGGCTACACATGATAACTCATGCCTGTAATTCCAGCACTCTGGAAGGCCAAGGCTGGAGGGCTGGTTGAGACCATGGGTTCAAGACCAGCCTGGGCAACACAGTGAGACTCCATCTCTAAAATATAAATAAATAAATTTTAAAAAGAAAAAAATTGCCGGGCGTGGTGGCTCACGCCTGTAATCCTAGCACTTTGGGAGGCCGAGGCAGGTGGATCACAAAGTCAGGAGATTGAGACCATCCTGGCTAACACGGTGAAACCCCATCTCTACTAAAAATACAAAAAATTAGCTGGGCGCGATGGCGGGCTCCTGTAGTCCCAGCTACTCGGGAGGCTGAGGCAGGAGAATGGCGTGAACCCGGGAGGCAGAGCTTGCAAGTGAGCCGAGATCTTGCCACTGCACTCCAGCCTGGGCAACAGAGCGAGACTCCGTCTCAAAAAAAAAAAAAAGAAAAGAAAAGAAAAGAAAAAAATTGAATAAATTGTATATCATCAAAATTTCAAACTTTAGTCAAGACTGTTATGAAAATAAAGATAAAACCGGGCGCGGTGGCTCACGCCTGTAATCCCAGCACTTTGGGAGTCCGAGGTGGGCAGATCACGAAGTCAGGAGATCGAGACCATCCTGGCTAACACAGTGAAACCCCGTCTCTACTAAAAATACAAAAAATTAGCCGGGCGTGGTGGTGGGCGCCTGTGGTCCCAGCTACTCGGGAGGCTGAGGCAGGAGGATGGTGTGAACCTGGGAGGCAGAGCTTGCAGTGAGCGGAGACTGTGCCACTGCACTCCAGCCTGGGCGACAGAGCGAGACTCCGTCTCAAAAAAAAAAAAAAAAAAAAGAAAAGAAAGATAAGCTGGCCAGGCTCAGTGACTCACCCATGTAATCCCCACACTTTCAGAGGCTGAAGCGAGTGGATCACCTGAGGTCAGGAGTTCAGGACCAGCCTGGCCAACATGGTGAAACCCCATCTCTATTAAAATACAAAAAAATTAGCCAGATGTGGTGGTGCATGCCTGTAATCCCAGCTTCTTGGGAGGCTGAGGCAGGAGAATTGCTTGAACCCAGGAGGCTGAGGTTGCAGTGAGCAGAGATTGCGCCATTGCACTCCAGCCTGGGCAAAACTCCGTCAAAAAAAAAAAAGAAAGAAAGAAAGAAAGAAAAGAGAGAAAGAGAGAGAAAATGAAGACAAGCCACAGATCAGAGTAAAATTGCGCAAAACATGTAACCATTACCTGGAAATATACAGAGTTATTTCAACTCAACAAGAAGACAAACAACCCAATTTGAAAAACAATTAGCAGAGACAATTTACCAAAGAGAGAAACTAAATGGATGGCAAATAACATGAAAGATGTTGGGGGGAAAAAAGGAAACGCAATGAGATTACACTACACACCCACCAGAATGGCTGAAAGGACTGGCAATACCAAGTATTAGCATGAATGTAGAGCAACAACAATTCTCATACACTGATGGTACCATTTTAAGGTGATAAAACCGCTTTGGAAACTGGTTTGGCAGGTTTTTTTTAATATCCTGATTGTGGTTATGGTTTCAAGGGTGTATGGTTATGGTTTCAAGGTTGTATAAATATATCAAAACTCGTCAAGGCTGGGTGCAGTGGCTCCTGCCTGTAATCCCAGCACTTTGGAAGGTTAAGGCAGGCAGATCGCTTGAGCTCACTAGTTCGAGACCAACCTGGACAACATGGCAAAACCCTGTCTCTACAAAAAAAAAAAAAATACAAAAATTAGTCTGGGCGCGGTGGCTCACGCCTGTAATCCCAGCACTTTGGGAGGCCGAGGCAGGTGGATCACAAGGCCAGGAGATCAAGACTATCCTGACTAACACAGTGAAACCCCATCTCTACTAAAAATACAAAAAAATTAGCCAGGCCTGGTGGCGGGCACCTGTAGTCCCAGCTATTCAGGAGGCTGAGGCAGGAGAATGGCATGAACATGGGAGGCAGAGCTTGCAGTGAGCCGAGTTTGCGCCACTGCACTCCAGAGCCTGGGTGACAGAGCGAGACTCTGTCTCAAAAAAAAAAAAAAAAAACAAAAATTAGTCAGGTATGGTGATGGGCACCTGTAGTCCCAGCTACTTGGGAGACTTAGTTGTGAGGATAGCTTGAGCCTGGGAGGTGGAGGTTGAAATTGTTGTAACCAAGCGAGTTATAGAGAAATGCCACACTTTGAGACAAATTAAAGAGTCCTTTATTAGCCGGCAATCGAGAGGCAGCTAATGCCCAAAATTCTCTCGGCCCCGAGGAAGGGGCTAGGTTAGTTATTATACCTTGGTCTAAATAGGGGTGGGGGGCTTTTAACTGAAACAATTTTTACAGAAGCAGAACTGGCAAAAGGTTAAAAAATTAATTGGTTACAAATGCAGTTACAAAAAAATAAACAGTTCCAGGTGCAGGAACTTAAGCTATCACAAAGAGATAAACGCAGGGGTGTTGGGTGCCATCCACCGCGCACACCCCCAGGAACTGCTGGTGCAGCTTGCCTCACCATCTTATCAACAGGTGCATTCCTGGACATGCCTTGAGTCAGATTTACACTAGCTATGCCTGGAGGGAGGTGAAAGGGGTTACAAGTGAAGAAACTAAAATGGAGTCTGTCTGGCTCTCTTTCTGCTAGGAGAGAGTCACTCAGGTTAAAACAAGGTAGCGTATCACAAAATGAGTCAAAATCATGCCACTACACTCCAGCTTGTGTGACAGAGCAAAAGCCTGTCTAAAAAAAAAAAAAATTCATTTTATTGCTCATCAATTATACTTCACTAAATCCGAAAAATAGTACAGTAGAAAAAATGTTTAAAAGAAAGAAAATTCATCAATGGCTTTCCAGTACCCTCAGGAAAAAGACAAAATTATTTTGCCACAGAAACTCTATTGTAGGCTGGGCGCAGTGGCTCACGCCTGTAATCCCAGCACTTTGGGAGGCCGAGGCAGGTGGATCACCTGAGGTCAGAAGTTTGAGGCCAGCCTGGCCAACATGGTGGAACCCCGTCTCTACTAAAACTACAAAAAAATTAGCTGGGTGTAGTGGCAGGCACCTGTAATTACAGCTACTCAGGAGGCTGAGGCAGGAGAATCACTTGAACCCGGGAGGCGGAGGTTGCAGTGAGCAGAGATCACGCCACTGCACTCCAGCCTGGGCAACAAGGGTGAGATTCCGTCTCAAAAAAAAAAAAAAAAAAAAAAAAAAGAATAGAGGTTGAGGCAGGAGAATTGCTTGAACCTGGAAGGCAGAGGTTGCAGTGAGCCGAGATCACGCCACTGCACTCCAGCTTTGGTGACAAGAGTGAGACTCTATCTCAAAAAACAAAAAACAAAACAAACGAAACTCTATTGTAGAGCTTCAATATCATCCATGGTTTCAGGGAAGAGGACTAATGGATGGCAACTTGAAATCCTAGGTAATAATAACAGTGGGAACAGTAGTAGCAGTAATAGTAGTAATAATAAAACTGCTATTTTTTCTTGAATACCTACCATGTAGCAGATATTTTGCACACATCTTAAGATTCCGTCCAGAGGCTGGGCGCAGTGGCTCACACCTGTAATCCCACCACTTTGGCAGGCCAAGGCGAGTGGATCGCCTGAGGTCAGGAGTTCGAGACCAGCCTGGCCAACATGGTGAAACCCCATCTCTACTAAAAAAATACAAAAAAAAATAGCTGGGCATGGTGGTGGGTGCCAGTAATCCCAGCTACTTGGGAGGCTGAGGCAGGAGAATCGTTTGAACCCGGAAGGCGGAGATTGCAGTGAGCCAAGATCGCACCATTGCATTCCAGCCTGGGCAACAAGAGCAAAACTCTGTCTCAAAAAAAAAAAAAAAAAGATTCCATCCAGAAAGTAGAACCTAAGACAGGTGTTAGTTACAGGTAATTTACTTAGAAGGTGATCCCAGGGATTTAAAGTAAAAGTCCAGAATAAAATAGGAAGAGGAAAAAAGCCAACACAAGGATGTATTAACAAGGTGTTCACTGCTGTGGGCACCTGGGGCTGGATCCTACCAAGCCCATCTGATAATTTTCTTTCTTTCTTTCTTTTTTTCTTTTTTCTTTTTTTTTAAATTGGGCAGCCTCCTGAACCAAAGCGGGCTCAGAGACTCCCCATCTGAGTTCTGTAATGCCTCTCATTATGGTCTTCCAAAAGACTGCCAGAGAAGCATTTAACCCTTGGTTTATATCCTCCATTGGTTTGGATTTCCCCAGGAGGCATCAACTTCCCTTGCACTTCTGGGTAGGCACTCACCAGTATCCTACATTATGGTTTAGGAAAAGCTCCAGAACAGAGAGAAAGATACAAGGAGAATTGAAGCCCTCACTGAATTGTTTTCAAAAGCTTTGCCCATTGGGAAGGCTGAGAGGATGGAAGGAAAGGTACAAAACCTCCCAGACCATCCCTTGCAGTGCTCAGATTCATCCATGTGCTCCATTAGATCCAGTCCATCACCTAGTTTTCAAGATAATGGCTAGCTATCATCTTGACAGAAAACTCAGTGGTGCTAAAAATTCTTTGCAAAATGTTTGTTGTCCCTTACGCCTTTTGTGCCCTATAACATACCATACTCAACCATATAGATGATTCTCACAAATAATGTTAAGTGAAAGAAGCCAGACCACAGTACTATGTTTGATTTCATGTGGATAAAATACAAGACAAGCAAAAATATTCTGTTCAAGGCCAGGATAGCAGCTACCCTTTGGGGTGAGAGAGCAGTGTCTAGAAGGGGGAATGAGAGGAGATTTTGCAGGTGATACTTATCAGATATGTGATTTACAAATATGTTCTCCCAATCTGTGGCTTGTCTTTCCTTCTTCTTTATTTTATTTATTTATTTTTTTTTTGAGACAGAGTCTTGCTCTATCGCCAGGCTGGCGTGCAGTGGCGCTATCTTAGCTCACTGCAACCTATGCCTCCCAGGTTCAAGCGATTCTCCTGCCTCAGCCCTTCAGCCTCCCGAGAAGCTGGGATTACAGGTCTATGCCACCACACCCAGCTAATTTTTGTATTTTTAGTAGAGACGGGTTTCACCATGTTGGCCAGGATGGTCTCGATCTCTTGACCTCGTGATCCACCCAACTCGGCCTCCCAAAGTGCTGGGATTACAGGTGTGAGCCACTGCGACCGGCCTGTGGCTTGTCTTTTCATTCTCTTTACAGAATCTTTCACACAGCAGAATTTAAAATTTTTGAAGGCTAGGCATGGTGGCTTACACCTGTAATCCCAACACTTTGGGAGGCTGAGGCGGGCAGATCACCTGAGGTCAGGAGTTCAAGACCAGCCTGGCTAACATGGTGAAACCCCGTTTCCACTAAAAATACAAAACAATTAGCTGGGCGCGGTGGCGCACGCCTGTAATCCCAACACTTTGGGAGGCTGAGGCGGGCAGATCACCTGAGGTCAGGAGTTCAAGACCAGCCTGGCTAACATGGTGAAACCCCATTTCTACTAAAAAATACAAAAAAATTAGCTGGGCGTGGTGGTGCAAGCCTATAATCCCAGCTACTCAGGAGGCTGAGGCAGGAGAATTGCTTGAACCCAGGAGGAGGAGTTTGCAGTGAGCCGAGATCGGGCCATTGCACCCCAGCTTGGGCAACAAGAGCAAAACTCCATCTCAAAAAAATAATAAATAAAATAAAAATAAATAAATAAAATATTTGAGTAAGTCCAATATTTCCATTTTTTAATCTTATGGATGGTATCATATCTAAGAAATCTTTGCCTAATCCAAGATCACAAAAATGTCCCCCTAAATTTTCTTCTATAAGTGTATAGTTTTATTTTTATTTTTATTTTTTTGATATGGAGTTTCACTGTTGTTGCCCGGCTGGAGTGCAATGGCGTGATTTCGGCTCACCGCAACCTCCACCTCCTGGGTTCAAGCGATTCTCCTGCCTCAGCCTCCAAGTAGCTGTGTTTTAGTGATCCCTAACCCTTGCCACCACCATGCCCGGCTAATTTTTTGTATGTTTAGTAGAGATGAGGTTTCACCATGTTGGTCCGGCTGGCCTCGAACTCCTGACCTTAGGTGATCCACCCACCTTGGCCTCCCAAAGTACTGGGATTACAGGCATGAGCCACTGTACCTGGCCGTGTATATTTTTAGATCGCCATTTTTTAAAAGGATTATTTGGGATAGAGTCTCACTCTGTCACCAGGGCTGGAGTGCAGCAGCCGATCATGGCTCACTGCAGCCTTGACCTCCCAGGCTCGGGTGATCCTCTCACCTCAGCCTCCAAACTAGCTGGGACTACAGGTGCACACCACCATACACTGCTAATTTTTTTGTGTTTTTTGTAGAGACAGAGTTTTGCCATGTTGCCCAGGCTGGTCTTGAACTCCTGAGCTCAAGTGATTCTCCCGCCTCGTCCTCCCAAAGTGCTGGGATTACAGGCGTGATCCACCACACCTGCCCATGCATATACTTTTCTATTCAGTCTAAACCTGAAAGAATACACAGCTTTCCTCTGGGGTAGGAAGATAGTGGGATTTGGGGTAAGTATGCTAGAAAGATTGGCTTTTCACCGTATACCCTTTTGTGCTATTGAATTTTTTTTTTTTTTTTTTTGAGATGGAGTTTCACTCTTATCCCCCTAGGCTGGAGTGCAATGGCGCTATCTCGGCTCACTGCAACCTCTGCCTCCCAGGTTCAAACGATTCTCCTGCCTCAGCCTCCAGAGTAGCTGGGATTACAGGCACATGCCACCATGCCCAGCTAATTTTTTGTATTTTTAGTGGAGACGAGGTTTCACCATGTTGGCCAGGCTGGTCTCAAACTCCTGACCTCAGGTGATCCACCTGCCTCAGCCCCCCAAAGTGCTGGGATTACAGACGTGAACCACTACACCCAGCCAAATAATTTTTTAAAACGCAAACTCAAAAAGGGTTGGGAATCACTAAAATACAGTTCCACTGAACAGTTTAAAATCACCATAATGGGCCTGGATCAGCACTTTGGGAGGCCAAGGCAGAAGGCTCACTCTTTTTTTTTTTTTTGAGATGGAGTCTCGCTCTGTTGCCCAGGCTGGTGTGCAGTGGCACGATCTTGGCTCACTGCAACCTCCGCCTCCCGGTTCAAGCAATTCTCCTGCCTCAGCTTCCTGAGTAGCTGGGACTACAGGCGTCTGCCACTGCACCTGGCTAATTTTTTGTATTTTCAGTAGAAACTGGGTTTCACCATGTTAGCCAGGATGGTCTCGATCTCCTGACCTCGTGATCCTCCCGCCTTGGCCTCCCAAAGTGCTAGGATTACAGGCGTGAGCCACCACGCCCGGCCAGAAGGGTCACTCTTGAGCACAGGAGTTCAAGACTGGCCTGGGCAACACAGCAAGACTCCCATCTCTATAAAAATTAAAATAATAAAAATGAGCCAGCTGTGGTGGATGCCTACAGTCTCAGCTATTCAGGAGGCTGAGGCAGGAAAATCGCTTGAGCCCAGGAGTTTGAGGTTACAGTGAGCTATGATCGTACCATGGCACTTCAGCCTGGGCGACAAAGTGCGACCCTACATCTAAAAGAAATAAATAATAATAATAAAATAAATAAATAAAATCACCACGATGCTTGTTGGATTGGATGATTTCACTGCAGCTTCAAATCCTGAGGGTTCTCTCAAGCCTGGCAGTTCTCACTGAGCTAAGAAACTAAAAGTCACATTTATTGGCAAAGAATGGATTGGGCCCATCAGAAGATAATATGCAAATGATGAGTGTGAATTTATAGTTTCCTCTCTATAGCTTTGAACATTGCTGAATTTAGAGAAGAAACTATGAATGTTGCTGCCACCTGCCGGCCACATCTCTCAATATCAGGTTCCTGGAAGTACCTGGTGGGATTCTTCTTTCAATTGAGTCCTCTATTAGGCTCTGGATTGGAGAAAGACTGATTTACAGATTTCTCCCTTTTTGCTGTCATCATCCCATAATCTGCCACAAAACCAAATTGCTAAAAGCAGGGAGCTGTGGCATTCAATTGTCTGCATTTGAATTCTGTCTTTACCTCGGGTAAATCAGATACCTGTTCTATACCTTGGGTAAATCAGATACCTATTCTTTTTTTTTTTTTTTTTTTGAGATTGAGTTTCGCTCTTGTTGCCCAGGCTGGGGTGCAATGGTGTGATCTCGGCTCACTGAAGCCTCCGCCTCCTGGGTTCAAGCAATCCTCCTGCCTCACAGGCGCCTGCCACCATGCCCGGCTAATTTTTTGTATTTTTAGTAGAGACAGAGTTTCACCATGTTGGCCAGGCTGGTCTCTAATTCCTGGTCTCAGGTGATCTGCCTGCCTCAGCCTTCCAAAGTGCTGGGATTACAGGCGTGAGCCACCGTGCACAGCAATCAGATACCTATTCTACACTTCAGTTTCCTCATCTATAAAATGGGGATGATAACAGCAGCTCCTTTACATAGGTGTTGTGAGGATTAAATTAGATCACATAAAGCGCTTAGCACAAGGCCTGGCACACAGTGAGCACGCAACAAATATTAATGGTTGTTGTCATTGTCAGGCAGAGCTTCAGAGCCTCTCTCATCCTTTTTTTTTTTTCCAGCTGAATTTAAGATTCAAGGCCCTCCCATTCTAAACTGACAAATTGTACCTGGACACACAAAAGTCTATTGGAAAGACCTATAGCATCTGGTTCCACCACTTCCTGACCGTGGGCAAGCGTCTTAACCTCTCTGAACCTTACTTGACCTCACAGATGGTTTTGGAGATTACATGAAATCATCTGCGTAAAGCACCAAGACAGTGCCTGGCATGGAGTGGACAGTTAATAAGTGGAATGATGATGGAGTGATGATTAACACAGAAATACTTACCAAGTATAGCTAAAGGTTGAGCAGCACAGGTTGCAAATAGGCAGGCCATAGGCAGTCACTAACCTACAGATATTTGGCCCACAGTGATTTACATTTTAACCCCAGGAATTTTACATTCAAGTCTGAATTCTTAATTTCTCTTTTAAAATGTGAAGATCTGCCGGGTGCAGTGGCTCACGCCTGTAATCCCAGCACTTTGGGAGGCCGAGGCGGGCGGATCACCTGAGGTCAGGCGTTCGAGACCAGCCTGACCAACACGCAGAAATCCCGTCTCTACTAAAAATACAAAATTAGCTGGGCGTGGTGGAGCATGCCTGTAATCCCAGCTACTCCGGAGGCTGAGGCAGGAGAATCGCTTGAACCCGGGAGGCGGAGGTTGCGGTGACCTGAGATCGCACCACTGCACTTCAGGCTGGGCAAAAAGAGCTAAACTCCGTCTCTGGGCCGGGCGCAGTGGCTCACGCCTATAATCTCAGCACTTTGGGAGGCTGAGACGAGGGGATTGCTTGAGTCCAGGAGTTTGAGACCAGCCTGGGTCAACATGGCGAAACCTCGGTCTCTACTAAAAATACAAAAAATTAGCCGGGTGTGGTGGCACGCATCTGTAGTACCAGCTACTTGGGAGGCTGAGGTGGGAGAATCATCTGAAGCCTGAGAGGTCGAAGCTGCAGTGAGCCGAGATCGCACCACTGCATTCCAGCCTGGGCAACCAGAGTGAGACCCTGTCTCAAAAAAGATTTTTTTTAATTTTTATTATGTTTTAATTTTATTTTATATTTTATTTTATTTATTTTATTTTATTATTTTATTTTATTTTATTTTTTATTTATTTTAATCTGTGAGAGGGAGTCTCGCTCTGTCCCCCAGGCTGGAATGCAGTGGCACCATCTCTGCTTACTGCAAGCTCCGCCTCCCAGGTTCACGCCATTCTCCTGCCTCAGCCTCCCGAGTAGCTGGGACTACAGGCGCCCGCCACCATGCCCGGCTAATTTTTTGTATTTTTATTTTTATTTATTTTTATTTTTTATTTTTTTTGGAGACGGAGTCTCGCTCTGTGGCCCCGGCTGGAGTGCAGTGGCAAGATCTTGGCTCACTGCAAGCTCCGCCTCCCGGGTTCACGCCATTCTCCTGCCTCAGCTTCCCGAGTAGCTGGGACTACAGGCGCCCGCCACCACGCCCAGCTAATTTTTTTTTGTATTTTTAGTAGAGACGGGGTTTCACCGTGTTAGCCAGGATGGTCTCCATCTCCTGACCTCGTGGTGCGCCCGCCTCGGCCTCCCAAAGTGCTGGGATTACAGGCGTGAGCCACTGCGCCTGGCTTTTGTATTTTTAGTAGAGACGGGGTTTCACCGTGTTAGCCAGGATGGTCTTGATCTCCTGACCTCGTGATCCACCCGCCTCGGCCTCCCAGAGTGTTGGGATTACAGGCGTGAGCCACCGTGCCCCCGGCCAAATTATTTATTTGTTTATTTATTTTTGAGACGGAGTCTGGCCCTGTCGCTCAGGCTGGAATGCAGTGGTGGATCTCGGCTCACTGCAACCTCCGCCTCCCAGGTTCAAGCAATTCTCCTGCCTCAGCCTCCTGAGCAGCTGGGACTACAGGCACACCCACCACACCCGGCTAATTTTGGTTTTTGGTTTTTTGTTTTGTAGAGAGAGGGTTTTACCATGTTGGGCAGGCTGGTCTCGAACTCCTGGCCTCTGGTGATCCGCCTGCCTAGGCCTCCCAAAGTGCTGGGATTAAAGGTGTGAGCCACTATGCCCAGCCTGGAAACAATTTTTGTAAATTAAGAAATAAATAAGGCCGGGCGTGGTGGCTCATGCCTGTAATCCCAGCACTTTGGGAGGCCAAGGCAGGTGGATCACCTGAAGTCAGGAGTTCGAGACCAGCCTGGCCTACATGGTGAAACCCTGTCTCTATTAAAAATACAAAAATTAGCCGGATGCGGTAGCGCGTGCCTGTAATCCCAGCTACTCAGGAGGTTGAGGGAGGAGAATCGCTTGAACCCGGGAGGCGGAGGTTGCAGTGAGCCGAGATTGCACCACTGCACTCCACCATGGGCGACAGAGCAAGACTCTGTCTCAAAAGAAAAGAAAAGACAAGAAAAGAATTAAATAAAATACAATAAAATGTGAAGTCCTGACAGTGTATTACACTGATCTATACGGAAGGTGGCATATAACAGAGAAACCTAATTTCTTCCAAGGAAGCTAAGTAATGCTCCCTGAAGAAGTGCTGCTAAAGCTGAAACAGGAGTTGACTGGGGGTGAATCCGATAAAGAGGTGGGGATGCTGCTCCAAGCGTAAGGACTGTTGGGTCCAAAGGCCTTGGTCAGGGAGATTCGTGCCTCTGGGAAACCTCAGGGTAGCCAGGTGGCCGGAGCACAGTGAGCAAGACAGCAGGAAGAAGATGAGGCTTCCATTAGCATCTTAAGGATTTTGGTCTTTATCATGAGGACAAATGTATTTCAAAGCTAAAAGCTGGGAGGTAGCCAATTGGTGTAACAAACTGAGGAGCTAGACAGAAATAGAAGGGAGAAAGGTCAGGGGTCAATAATAGCTGAGAAGGCAGAGAAGCACAAGGATAGTATGGAATCTAGAAACTGGGGGCACGCAGGACAGCATTTCAGGTGTGGTCTGGCAAAAGGCAGACTTTACGGCAACCAAGTTAAGTGGGACACCAGGATGAATATCTTATGTTCATTTAAATAGTGGAAAAATGAGAAGAACAGACATTTCGTCAAGGGCATATCACAAGTGAGATACGGAGCTAGATTCACAATACCTATCTTAATTTGTTGCTCTTCCCATTAGTTTTCTCAAGGCAAGTAAACTCAGTACAATACTCTGTTGTTAATACTACTAACAAATCTCATTTATTAAGAGTTTGCTAAATGTTGGGCTCTGTATTTATGTGCATTATTATCTTGTTTTTTTCACAGAGTTAACGAGAACAGTCCACCCAAAATATTATGAACCAAGAGACTATTAGACATTGGAGACAGGAATAAATGAAACAGACACTATCCCTCTCCTTTGGGAATTCACAGTTCAGAAAGGAAGGGAATAGTTTAAGAAGTAATTATAGGCCGGGCACAGTGGCTCATGTCTGTAATCCCAGCACTTTGGGAAGCAGAGGCAGGTGGATCACCTGAGGTCAGGAGATCGAGACCAGCCTGGCCAACACGGTGAAAACCCGTTTCTAATAAAAATACAAAAAAACTTAGCCGGGTGTGGTGGCAGGTGCCTGTAATACCAGCTACTTGGGAGGCTGAGGCCGGAGAATTGCTTGAACCCAGGAGGCAGAGGTTGCAGTGAGCTGGGATCTCGCCATTGCACTCCAGCCTGAGCAACAGAGCAAGACTATTTCCACACACAAAAAAAAAAAAAAAAAAAAAAGAAAGTAATTATAAAGAGTAATTGACAGGTGCTACAGGGAGAGTATAACAGTGAACCCAACCTACCATGGGCGGCAGGGAAGGCATTCTGGAAGAAGTGACAGTCAAGCTGAAAAATCGGGGGAATTAACAAGGTGAAACATGGAGGCCAGGCAGGGTAGCTCAAGCCTGTAATCCCAGTACTTTGGGAGGCCGAGGCCGGTGGATCACTTGAGGTCAGGAGTTCGAGACCAGACTGGCCAACATGGTGAAACCCTGACTCTACTAAAAATACAAAAATTAGCTGGGCAGTAGTGGCACGTGACTGTAATCCCAGCTACTTGGGAGGCTGAGGCAGGAAAATCCCCTTGAGCCTGGGAGGCGGAGGTTGCCATGAGCTGAGATCACACCACTGCACTCCAGTCTGGGTGACAGAGTGAGACCCTGTCTCAAAAAAAAAAAAGAAAAAAAGAAAAAAAGATAATTTCAAAAAATAAATAAAAATACAAAAATTAGCTGGGCATGGTGACACATGCCTATAATCCTAGCTACTTGGGAGGCTGAGGCAGGAGAATAGCTTGAGCCTGGGAGGCGATGGTTGCATTGAGCCAAGATCAAGTCACTTCACTCCAGCCTGGGCGACAGAGCGAGACCCTGTCTCTCTGTCTCTCTCTCTCTCTCTCACACACACACACACACACACACACACACAAAATCCAAACATGGGGTTTCACCCTTCATGAAACGAGTGTTTCAGGCAAAGAGAACAGCAGTTGGAAGGCACTATTCTCACAATAACTTCATTAAATAGATTCTATTATTATTCCCTTCTCACAGATAAGAAAACTGAAACTCAGAGATTAAGTAACTGACCCACTAGGTGATATTGAAGCCAGGATGTAAGCCTCTATCTACCTAGACTAGAGCTCATTCTTTTAGTTGCTAAACCAGATATTTCTATTAGTTTGCCCTTTCTTTCTAAGGATCATGTGAGTGGAATGGGATTATTAATTGAGATGTCTGCAATGCAGGAAGTTGAAATCGTGGCTTACAAACTATGCAAGCATGTCTGTGTCATTGTTGTCTGTAAATTTTGCAATGACAGCTATTTAGTGACACAGCTCTTGTGCTAATGTCTGAATGGATATTCATTTCAATTTAATATGATTCAACAGCTATGTACTGAGTGCCTACTACGTGCCAGGCATGATGCCAGGCATGGTGCCAGGCCTTGTCAGTTACCAAGATGATGAGACAAGTTCCTAGGTACTAGGCTAAAGATCGTGTTAATCACTAACAATTTTTAAAAAATAAATAACAAAGCCATAACCCTAGCAGTTGGAAACTGTAGGTAACTTATTGCAATAGCTATAGGTTTGAGCATCAACCATGTGCCAAGCACTGCATGAAGTACCTTAATGAAAATTTAAATGGTCATGATCGGCCGGGCATGATGGCTCAAGCCTGTAATTCCAGCACTTTGGGAGGCTGAGGCAGGCAGATCACCTGGGGTCAGGAGTTTTGAGACCAGCCTGGCCAACATGGTGAAAGCCTGTCTCCACTAAAAATACGGAAAAAAAAATAAAAAAGCTGGGCGTGGTGGCATGTGCCTGTAGTCCTAGCTGCTCAGGAGGCTGAGGCAGGAGAATTGCTTGAGCCTAGGAGGCGGAGGTTGCAGTGAGCTGAGATTGCACCACTATACCCCAGCCTGGGCAACAGAGAGTCTCCCATCTAAAAAAAAAAAGATCATGATCATAGCTAAAAATTAAAAGTGCTTACTCTGAGCTCTGTGTTAAGCAGTTTACATTATTATCTCCTTTAACTCTCATGTTCATTCCAAAAGGCTGATATCATAGTTTAATTATATTATTATTTCTCATTTTACAGGTAAGGAAATGAGCTTTGGAGATTTCATCTACTTTTTTCTTTTTTTTTCTGAGATGGAGTCTTGCTCCATAGCCCAGAGCTGGAGTGCAATGGCGCAATCTTGGCTCACTGCAACCTCCACCTCCCGGGTTCAAGCAATTCTCCTGCCTCAGCCTCCTGAGTAGCTGGGATTACAGGCATGCGCCATCATGCCCGGCTGATTTTGTATTTTAAGTAGAGACAGAGTTTCACCATGTTGGCCAGGCTGGTCTTGAACTCCTGACCTCTGGTGATCCGCCCGCCTCGGCCTCCCAAAGTGCTGGGATGACAGGCGTGAGCTACCACGCCCAGCCACTTCATCTGCTTTTACCTGGGCCAAATGGCCATTCTTCTGTTCAAATCTGTTTAAAAGCATGGACTGTGCCACACACCCAGTATCCATCCAAAAACAAGGACTGCACCCTAAATTCCAAATACCAGAGACTGAAATTTTCAGCCTTGCTAAGGGAACACCTCGGTCTTTGAACCTTTATTGTGTTTTGTACAGGGCATTCTCTGTACTAGTTTGTTGTGATTATAAAACACTTAGCAAAATTTAAAAAAGGAAGAAAGAAACTTGTAGGAAATTGAGACAATGCAGAGAGAAAGCTTTTTCTTAATTTATTTTAATTAAATATTTATTTATGGCCGGGCGCAGTGGCTCACGCCTGTAATCCCAGCACTTTGGGAGGCTGAGGGAGGCTAATCACTTGAGGTCAGGAGTTCAAGACTAGCCTTGTCAACATGGTGAAACCCCGTCTCCACTAAAAAATACAAAAATTAGCCGGGCATGGTGGTGGTCACCTGTAATCCCAGCTACTCGGGAGGCTGAGGCAGGAGAATCGCTTGAACCCAGGAGGCAGAGGTTTCAGTGAGCCAAAATCGCACTACTGCACTCCAGCCTGGCAACAGAGACTGTCTAAAAAAAAAAGTTGAGGAGATATCATAAAATAATTTAAAATATTTTCCACAAATTTCCAGATTGAAAGGGCCCACTGTGTGCCTAGCACAATGAATGAGAATAAACCTATATCATGACTCACCACTGACATGTCAGGACCTGCAGACAAAGACAAGATTCTATCAGTTTCCAAACAGAAAAGATACAAGTCCCACATAGCAGATCAGAGATCAGAATGGCTTTAGACCTCTCAATGGCAACACTTGAAGTAAAAGAAGGGAGGAATGCCTTCAAAATTCCGAAAGGTGATGATTTCCAACCTAGGATTCTGTACCTTGTTAAAACATTAACATCAGCCGGGCACGGTGGCTCACGCCTGTAATCCCAGCACTTTGGGAGGCCAAGGCGGGCGGATCACAAGGTCAGGAGATTGAGACCATCCTGGCTAACACGGTGAAACCCCGTCTCTACTAAAAATACAAAAAATTAGCCGGGCGTCGTGGCCGGCGCCTGTAGTCCCAGCTACTCAGGAGGCTGAGGCAGGAGAATGGCGTCAACCTGGGAGGCGGAGCTTGCAGTGAGCCGAGATGGCGCCACTGCACTCCAGCCTGGGCTAGAGTGCGAGACTCAAAAAAAAAAAAAAAAAAAAAAAAAAAAAATTAACACCATCGTTCAAACATGTGGGTAAAGACATAATCAGATATACAAGATCTAAACATTTTTACCTCTGATGCATCATTTCACAAGAAACTACTGGCAGATATGGTCTACCAAAACCGGAGGGCAAACAAAGATACAGTTCAGGTAACTTTAGATAAAATTCTGGAAACAGGAAATGGGAAAGTCAATACAGGAGAAAAGCAAAAGGAATCCTCAAGAGGAGGGAGGGGCTGGGTGTAGTGACTCATGCCTGTAATCCCAGCACTTTGGGAGGCGGAGGTGGGTGGATCACGAGGTCAGGAGCTCGAGACCATCCTAGCTAACAAGGTGTAACCCCATCTCTACTAAAAATACAAAAAATTAGCTGGGCATGGTGGCATGTGCCTGTAGTCCCACCTACTTGGGAGGCTGAGGCAGGAGAATCGCTTGAACCCGGGAGGTGGATGTTGCAGTGAGCTGAGATCATGCCACTGCACTCCAACCTGGGTGACAGAGCGAGACTCTGTCTCAAACAAACTAAAAAGGCCGGGCGCGGTGGCTCACGCCTGTAATCCCAGCACTTTAGGAGGCGGAGGCGGGTGGATCATGAGGTCAGGAGTTCGAGACCAGTCTGGCCAAGATGGTGAAACCCCGTCTCTACTAAAAATACAAAAATTAGCCAGGTGCTGTGGTGGCCGCCTGTAATCTGAGCTACTCGGGCAGGAAAATCGCTTGAACCCAGGAGGTGGAGGTTGCAGTGAGCCAAGAGTGCGCCACTGCACTCTAGTCTGGGCAACAGAGCAAGACTTCCATCTCAAAAAAAAAAAGGTAGTAATACTACAACTTCTGGTCTAGCGCAACCGTTGCCATCCACTCGCCACACCAATATCCTCCCCGCAGGAGGCCACTAGGATAATCTAGGGTCTCCAAAAGAAGATGGGCTTCCTGGTATTGAGAGGAGGAAAATGTTATACTTTAAAAAGGAAGCAAAGACATCACAAGCAAATGTAACATGTTGACCTTGAGTGGATCCTGACTCAAACAAACCATAAAAAGACATTTTTAGGCCAACAGTGGTGGCTCACGCCTGTAATCCCAGCACTGTGGGAGGCTGAGGCAGGCGGATAACCTGAGGTTGGGAGTTCAAGACCAGCCTGACCAACATCGAGAAACCCCATCTCTACTAAAGATACAAAACATTAGCTGGGGATGGTGGCACATGCCTGTAATCCCAGCTACTACTACTTGGGAGGCTGAGGCAGGAGAATCGCTTGAACCCGGGAGGCAGAGATTGTGGTGAGCCGAAATCTTCCCATTGTACTCCAGCCTGGGCAATAAGAGCTAAACTCTGTCTCGAAAAAAAAAATACATTTTTGAGGCAATTATGGAACTGCGAATAATAATTGGGTATCATGTGATATTAGGAAACTGTTGGCCAGATGAGGTGGCTCATGCTTGTAATCCCAGAATTTGGGGAGGCTGAGGAGGGAGGATCGCTGGAGCCCAGGAGTTCGAAACCAGCTTGGTCAACAAAGCCAGACCCTGTCTCTACAGAAAAATTTAAATACTAGTTGGCATGGTGGCATGCACCTGTAGTTCCAACTACTCGAGAGGCTGAAGTGGAAGGATTGCTTGGGCCCAGTTTCCTAATATCACATGATACCCAATTATTATTCACAGTTCCATAATTGCCTCAAAAATGTATTTTTTTTTTCGAGACAGAGTTTAGCTCTTATTGCTCAGGCTGGAGTACAATGGGAAGATCTCGGCTCACCGCAACCTCTGCCTCCCGGGTTCAAGCGATTCTCCTGCCTCAGCCTCCCAAGTAGTAGTAGCTGGGATTACAGGCATGTGCCACCATCCCCAGCTAATTTTTTGTATCTTTAGTAGAGATGGGGTTTCTCAATGTTGGTCAGGCTGGTCTTGAACTCCCAGCCTCAGGAGGTAGAGGCTACAGTAAGCCATGATCACACCACTGCACTCCAGCCTGGGCCAGAGAGTAGGACCCTGTCTCAACCCTCTTCCGCAAAAACATACAAAGAAACAAAACTCATAGCCGGGCGCGGTGGCTCACACCTGTAATCCCAGCACTTTGGGAGGCCGAGGTGGGCAGATCACCTGAGGTCAGGAGTTCGAGACCAGCCTCAACATGGAGAAACCCCATCTCTACTAAAAATACAAAAAATTAGCTGGGCGTGGTGGTGCATGCCTGTAATCCCAGCTACTCGGGAGGCTGAGGCAGGAAAATTGTTTGAACCTGGGAGGCGGAGGTTGCGGGGAGCCGAGATCGTGCCATTGCACTCCAGCCTGGGCAACAAGAGCAAAACTCTGTCTCAAAAAAAAAAAAAGAAACAAAACTTATAAAAAAGCGATATGAACAAAAATTAAATTATGCATAATCCCACTACCTATTAACCATTTTTGTATCTCTTTCTAGTAGACACATGTGTCACTATGTTGCCCAGGCTGGTTTTGAACTCCTTGGGCTCAAGTGATCCTCTTGCCTCAGCCTCCCAAGTAGCTGGGATTATATGCATGATACATTAAGTTTTTCTACAATAACACTTTAAATAGTTGCATGGTTTTCGCTATGTAAATTGTTTCCTATCATTACTGTAGGATATATTGATTCCTTCTAAATTTTTTTATTATTGTTTTATTTTTGAGACAGGGTCTCACTGTTGTCCAGGCTGGAGTGCAGTGGCATGATCTCGGCTCACTGCAACCTCTTCCTAGGCTCAAGAGATCCTCCTACCTCAGCCTCCCAAGTAGCTGGGACTACAGGCACATACCACCATGCCTGGCTATTTTTTGTAATTTTTGGGTAGAGACAGGGTTTTGCTATGTTGCCCAGGCTGGTCTCAAACTCCTGGGCTCAAGCAAT
This sequence comes from Homo sapiens, assembly GCF_000001405.40. Classification (NCBI taxonomy): domain Eukaryota; kingdom Metazoa; phylum Chordata; class Mammalia; order Primates; family Hominidae; genus Homo; species Homo sapiens. The sequence goes on along the minus strand of NC_000001.11, from coordinate 28,349,106 downwards.
CCACTCACCTCAGCCTTTCAAAATGCTGGGATTATAGACATGAGCCACCACATCTGGCCTTTTTTTTTTTGTACAGATGGGGCCTTGCTATGTTGCTGGCCTTGAATTCCTGGGCTGAAGCTATCCTCCTAACTTAGCCTCCCAAAGTGCTGGGATCACAGGTGTGAACCACCGTGCCTGGCCTGCAGCTTTAATTAATTAATTTACTTATTTATTTAAGAGTGAGACAAAGTCTCACTCTGTTGCCCGGGCTGGAGTGCAGTGGCACCATCGTGGCTCACTGCAACCTCCACCTCCCGGGTTCAAGCGATTTCTGGCTAATTTTTGTATTTTTAGTAGAGACTGGGTTTCACTGTGCTGGCCAGGCTGGTCTTGAACTCCTGACCTGAAGTGATCCGCCCTCCTCGGCCTCCCAAAGTGCTAAGATTACAGGTGTGAGCCAAGGCGCCTGGCCTGCAGCTTTAATTTAAATTCTAGAAGTTGAGGAGATGGCTGGGCTCAAGTCACAAAGAAAGCATCTCCAATTTGGGGGCTAAGTGGAGTTGTTTAAAAATGGAAACTGCTATGGGAAGCATGCAGGAGTGATGCAGGGTACAGGCTTGTATGTGTCTTTCCAATGACTATGTTGAGTTATTGTCCACCTGGAGTGCTGGCTGGCTGGCCCCATTTCAGCTGCAGCGGGACTGTTGATTAACCTCACTGAGGTAATCTCATGGGGAAGAATTCAGCGCTGGGTCTCCATGCCTGGTTAGTTTCAAGATCAGCCCCTGGAATGAACTTTTTTCTTTTTTTTTTTTTTTTTGAGATGGAGTCTCGCTCTGTTGCCCAGGCTGGAGTGCAGTGGCATGATCTCAGCTCACTGTAACCTCTGCCTCCTGGGTTCAAGCGATTCTCCTGCCTCAACCTCATGAGTAGCTGGGATTACAGGTGCCCGCCACCACCACGCCTGGCTAATTTTTGTATTTTTAGTAGAGACAGGGTTTCACCATGTTGGTCAGGCTGGTCTTGAACTCCTGACCTTGTGATCCACCCACCTTGGCCTCCCAAAGTGCTGGGATTACAGGCATGAGCCACTGCACCCGGTCAGCCCCTGGAATTTCTAAATGAACATATACTCAGATAGGTGTGCATGGTACAACAAAGTGTCAGGTGGGAAAGGGAGGGAAGATAATTCTAAAATAGGTTTCAAGGCTACATCTTAAAATTAAGAAGGAAGGCCAGGTGCAGTGGCTCATACCTATAATCCCAGCACTTTGGGAGGCCGAGGTGGGTGGATCACCTGAGGTCAGGAGTTTGAGACGAGCATGGCCAACATGGTGAAACCCCGTCACTACTAAAAATACAAAAATTAACCAGGCATGGTAGTGGCTGCCTGTAATCCCAGTTACTCGGGAGGCTAAGGCAGGAGAATCACTTGAACCTGGGAGGCACAGGTTGCAGTGAGCAGAGATCACGCTATTGCACTCTAGCCTGGGCAACAAGATCGAAATGCGGTCTCAAAAAAAAAAAAAAAAAAAGATTAAGAAGGAAAGGAGGAGAAAAAAACAAAATACATTTTAAGGCTGAGATACTCAGTTAAAATAATAATAATTTTAATGGCTGCATAATATTCCATCAAATGGGTTTGCCAAAATTTATTTAACTGCTTCTCTCTCTTTTTTTTTGTTTTTGTTTTTTTTGAGACGGAGTCTCACTCTGTCGCCCAGGCTGGAGTGCAGTGGCATGATCTCGGCTCACTGCAACTTCTGCTCCCCAGGTTTAAGCAATTCTCTGCCTCAGCCTCCTGAGTAGCTGGGATTACAGGCACGTGCCACCATGCCCAGCTAATTTTTTGTATTTTTAGTAGAGACGGGGTTTCACCATCTTGGCCAGGCTGGTCTTGAACTCCTGACCTTGTGATCCACCCACCTTGGCCTCCCAAAGTGCTGGGATTACAGGTGTGAGCCACCGCGCCCGGCCAAATGCTTCTCTGTTTCAAGATTTTTATTACTAAGAAATATAAGTGGCTGGGCGTGGTGGCTCAGGCCTGTAATCCCAGCACTTTTTGGGAGGCCGAAGCGGGCGGATCACCTGAGGTAGGAGTTGAAGACCAGCCTCGCCAACGTGGTGAAACCTGGTCTCTACTAAAAATACAGAAAAATTAGCTGGGCGTGGTGGCAGGCACCTGTAATCCAAGCTACTCAGGAGGCTGAGGCAAGAGAATTACTTGAACCCGGGACGTGGAGATTGCAGGGAGCCGAGATCACGCCACTGCCCTTCAGCCTGGGCAACAAAAGCGAAACTGCATCTAAAAAAACAAAAAAAAACCCCATTTTAGGGCCAGGCATGGTGGCTTATGCCTATAATCCTAGCATTTTGGAAGGCTGAGGTGGGAGGATCACTTGAGGCCAGGGTTCAAGATCAGCCTGGCCAACCTAGCAAGAGTAATGGGTATACTTTTTTTCTTCAAGAAATACCATACCTAAAATAGTACCGTAAACCTATTTTGAAATCAATTTGTTTGACATCTCCCCAACCCACCCCAAAAATCCAATGATTACTTGAACAATGCTAAAGTGTTCATTTATCAAAATAAATACTTTGAAGGAAACTACTTATTTAAATGTTTATCTTCTGATATATTTGTTTGTTTTTCTAAATTAGTCTTGTCAGTTCATATTCATACCACGGAGGACAAACACAGAAACAATTATAGTCAACTTGACGAAAGGCCAGTGTGATGACTCACATCCTGTCTCTGCCTCTAGAGTTAAATGTTGGTTCTTTATCCTTGGGCCCCATATTTGATCTGTCAAGAAACTGTTGGCTGGGAACTCCTGAGGTCAGGAGTTCGAGACCAGCCTGGCCAACATAGGGAAACCCCATCTCTACTAAAAATACAAAAAATTAGCTGGCCATGGTGGCTGGCGCATGTAATCCCAGCTACTTGGGAGGCTGAGGCAGGAGAATCGCTTGAACCTGGGAGGCAGAGGTTGCAGTGAGCCGAGATCGCACCACTGCACTCCAGCCTGGGTGACAGTGCAAGACTCCGTCTCAAAAAAAAAAAAAAAGAAACTGTCATTGCCTAAAAGCATCCTGGGGATCCTTTCTCATTTGAAAAAAGAGGAGATCACTTTTCAAAGGAGATGGAGAAGGCTGACTCCTCCTTCACACTCATATACTGGCCACAGGGGCTAACAAGCATGGCACAGGCAAGGTGGAAAATCCCAGACATCCTTACTCCCCTACTAAAGCAACACTCTTTCTCTGTTTTATGTTTTCTTTGTGTGTGTTGTTGTTGTTATTGTTTGAAATGGAGTCTCACTCTGTTACCCATGCTAGAGTGCAGTGGCGACATCTTGGCTCACTGCAACCTCAACCTACTGAGCCCAGGTGATTCTCCCACCTCAGCCTCCCGAGTAGCTGGGATTACAGGTGTGTACCACCATGCCCCCCTAATTTTTGTATTTTTTTGTAGAGACAGGGTCTTGCTACGTTGCTCAGGCTGGTCTCAAACTCCTGACCTCAAATGATCCATCTGCCTTGGCCTTCCAAAGTGCTGGGATTACAGGTGTGAGCCACTTATTAACGTTTTGAAATATTTACTTTCATACCATTATATCTATGTACATGTACTATAAAAAAGTAGCATATTAACATACTATTTTAAAGCTTTTCTTACAATAATTACAATTTATATGTATATAATGTTTACTCTAGGCCAGGTACTATCCCAAATGTTATTACATATAATAACTCATTTAAACCCCATGATAACACTATAAAGAAGGCACTATTAGTATCCCATTTAATGATAAGGACACTAAGGCAGAGGAGTTAAGTAATTTACCTTAGGCCACACAGTTAATAAGTTAACTATCTGGGATATTTTTCCATTAAATTCATTTCTACAAATTCTTTTTGTATAGCTGTATCTTATTATATGGATGTGCAGTTTCATTTAATTATTCCATTCCCTTTTATTAGACATCAAGATTATTTCCGCTAAGCATGGTGGTGCACGCCTATAACCCCAGCACTTTGGGAGTCTGAGGAGGGAGGATTGTTTGAGCCCTGGAGGTCAAGGCTGCAGTGAGCCATGTTGGCACCACTGTATTCTAGCCTGGGCAACAGAGCGAGACCCTGTCTCAAAAAAATAAATAAATAAAAAATGGAAAATTATTTCCATTTTTTGCTAAATCACACACATCACTAAGATAAGCATCCTTATACTAAACCTTTGTGAAAATTCTTAATTATTTTCTTAGGCTAAATGAGCTTAAGAAGAGTTGGCATTGATTTTTATTTCCTCCAAAAATGTACTCCTTTCTCCATGTTCTCCGTGACCTTAAATGTTGTAAATTTTAACATTTTTGCCTAGAGCAACTTTTTTTTTTTCTGTGACGGAGTCTCGCTCTGTTGCCCAGGCTGGAGTGCAGTGGCGCCATCTCGGCTCACTGCAAGCTCCGCCTCCTGGGTTCACGCCATTCTCCTGCCTCAGTTTCCCGAGTAGCTGGGACTACAGGCACCTGCAACCATGCCCGGCTAATTTTTTGTATTTTTATTAGAGGCAGGGTTTCACCGTGTTAGCCAGGACGGTCTCAATCTCCTGACCTTGTGATCCACCTGCCTTGGCCTCCCAAAGTGCTGGGATTACAGGTGTGAGCCACCGCACCCGGCTACCTAGAGCAACTTTTTAAAATTTGTTTTTTCAGTTCTGAGAAATAAATTAGAGTACTAAAGCGTGAATGGCTTCTTCAGAGTGAAAAAGCCACAGCTGGCCAGGCACAGTGGCTCACACCTGTAATCCTAGCACTTTGGGAGGCCAAAGCAGGCAGATCGCTTGAGCCCAGGAGTTCAAGACCAGCCTGGCCAACGAGGCGAAACCCTGTCTAAAAATTTTATCTAAAAATACAAAATATTTAGCTGAGCATGGTGGTACATTCCCAGCTACTTGGGAAGCTGAGGTATGAGAATCGCTTGAGGCACGAGAATTGCTTGGGAGGCAGAGGTTGCAGTGAGCCGAGATTGTGCCACTACTCTCCAGCCTGGGTGACAGAGTGAGACTCTGTCTCAAAAATAAAATAAAATAAAATAAAATAAAAAAATAAGCCAGGCATGGTGGCTCACGCCTGTAATTCCAGCACTTTGGGAGGCCGAGGGGGGTGGATCACCTGAGATCAGTGGTTTGAGACCAGCCTGGCCAACATGGTGAAACCCTGTCTCTACTAAAAATACAAAAAAATTAGCTGGGTGTGGTGGCGCATGCCTGTAATCCCAGCTACTTGGGAGGCTGAGGCAGGAGAATCGCTTGAATCTGGGAGGTGGAGGTTGCAATCAGCTGAGATTGCGCCACTGCACTCCAGCCTGGGCAACAGAGAGAGACTCTGTCTCAAAAAAAAAAAAAAAAAAAAGGAGAAAGCCATGGTCAAAAAGCTACCCCCTTTCCACAATTTCCTCCTGCTTACTACAGATGCTGAGCCTCATGGCGTACATACCACCTCATTGAAGAGGAATGTTAACCTGGGACAAACCAGCTTACACAGGCAAGATTCTTTTGGTCTCCAAGTCAGCATTCACAAGTTCACTCACTCATTCACTCAACAAATATTTGAAAGGTCAATTATATGAGTAGTACTAAGCTAGGTAGGGGTTATGGGGTTCATAGAAATAAAAAGTATTTAGAACACTGCTAAATAAAACATTTAACACAGTGCCTGGCATAAATATTTATTTATTGATCAATTATTATGTCCCAGGCACTGTGCTAAATGAGTAGATTATCTCATTTAATCTCTACAACAATCTCTAGGAACAGTCTATGATCATATGCATTTTGCAGACAAGAAAACTAAGGCTTACGGAGGTTTACCCAGCTTGAACAACATACATGCAGTGGAGTTTAGATTTAAACCTAAGATTCCAAAGTTTGTGCTCTTAATCATTATGCTATACTACAAAACACAGCTCCTCTCCTTAGGAAGCATACAGTCTTGCTAATAATACTAAAATTGGGCCGGGCATGGTGGCTCATGCCTGTAATCCCAGCACTTTGAGAGGCCAAGGTGAGCAGATCACTTGAGGTTGGGAGTTCGAGACCAGCCTGACCAACATGGAGAAAGCCCGTCTCTACTAAAAATACAAAATTAGCCAGGCATGGTGGTGCATGCCTGTAATCCCAGCTACTCGGGAGGCTGAGGCAGGAGAATCCCTTGAACCTGGGAGGTGGAGGTTGCAGTGAGCCAAGATAATGCCATTGCACTCCAACCTGGGCAACAAGAGTGAAATTCCATCTCAAAAGACAAAAATTAAAAATAAAAAATAATAAAGTCAGATAGTAATATGAAAAAAAAGGCCGGGCACGGTGGCTCACGCCTGTAATCTCAGCACTTTGGGAGGCCAAGGCGGGTGGATCACAAGGTCAGGAGATCGAGACCATCCTGGCTAACAAGGTGAAACCCCACCTCTACTAAAAATACAAAAAATTAGCCGGGCATGGTGGCAGGCTCCCAGCTACTCGGGAGGCTGAGGCAGGAGAATGGCGTGAACCCGGTAGGCAGAGGTTGCAGTGAGCCGAGATCGCGCCACTGCACTCCAGCGTGGGTGACAGAGTGAGACTCCATCTCGAAAAAAAAAAAAAAAAAAGAAAAAAAATAAAGAGGCTGGGTGCGGTGGCTCATGCCTGTAATCCCAGAACTTTGGGAGGCTGGGACAAGTGGATTGCTTGAGGTCAGGAGTTCGAGGCCAGCCTGGCCAACACAGTGAAACCCCAACTCTACTAAAAATATAAAAATTAGCTGGGCATGGTAGTACACGCCTGTAATCCCAGCTACTTGGGGGGCTGAGGCAGGAGAATCGCTTGAACCCGGGAGGCGGAGGTTGTAGTGAGTCCAGATGGTGCCACTGCACTCCAGCCTGGGCAAGAGAGTGAGACTCTGTCTCAATAAAAAAGAAAAAAAAAAGATAAAGGGATAGAGAGTAGAGAATGACAGAGAATGAGTTTGCTACTTAATTCTGGATGGTCAGGGAAGCTTCTCTGACATTTTAGCAGAGACCTAAAAGGTGAAGAAAGCCAGCCACACTGAATTCTGGGCAGGAAATGTTCCATGAAAAGATGTTGGTTCTCTTCCAAATTAATCAATACATATTCAATGAAATTCCAATAAAATTCCAGTAGTAATGTTGAGAATCTACAACTTACTCTAAAATGAATATGAAAGAATAAAGGCCTATGAAAACCCAGTCTATATTTGTGTTGTTGTTGAGACAGGGTCTCAATGTGTCACCCAGGCTGGAATGTAGTGATCTCATCACAGCTCACTGCAACCTCAACCGCCCAAGCTCCAGAGATCCTCCTACCTCAGCCTCCCACATAGCTGGAACCACAGGTGCATGCCATCACACCTGGCTAATTCAAAAAAAATTTTTTTGGAGAGATAAGTTCTTGCTATGTTGCCCAGGCTGGTCTTGAATTCCTGGCCTCAAGTGATCCTCTTGCCCCGGCCTCCCAAAGTACTAGGATTATAAGCATGAGCCATCATGCCTGGATGCTAGATCTATTTTCTTTTCTTTATTATTATTTTTTGAAATATTACTACACTATAAGTCTATTTTAGAGGACAAAAAGGTAAGGGTACCTGCCCTATTGGTAGAAATGGCTCTACTATAAAGCCATAACAATAAAAACATTGTGTTGCGGGCACTGAAACAAAGAAATAAAAAATGAAATAGAATGGAGAGCTTAAAAATAAAGTATATACGAGGAAACCTAATATGTAACAACGGTAGCATCAGAAAGCACTGAAAATTGTTTTTCAGATGGTGGTAGAAAAACTAATTCACTGCAAGGAGAAGAAAGCTGGATTTTTACTTGAAACCACCTAGAAGATAGACTCCAGATGGATTAAAGACCTAAATGTGAAAGTTAAAACTATAAAGCTAAGAAGGAAAATCTGTTCCCTAAGGGTAAATGAAGACTTCCTACACAAAATTCTATGCCGGGCGCTGTGGCTCATGCCTCTAATCCTAGCACTTTGGGAGACTGAGGCGGGAGGATTGCCTGAGCTCAGGAGTTCGAGACCAGCCTGATCAACATAGTAAAACCCTGTCTCTACTAAAAGTAAAAAAATTTAACTGGGCGTGGTGGCATGCACGTATAGTCCCAGCTACTCAGGAGGCTGAGGCATGAGAATTGCTTGAACCCGGGAGGCAGAGGTTGCAGTGAGCTGAGATCCTACCACTTCACTCCAGCCTGGGCAAAAGAGTAAGACTCTGTCTCAAAAAGAAAAACTAAGGAACAAGATTCCAAACCATAATATAGTCAAAATTTAGGATCTCTGCTTAATTAATGACATCACAGATAAAGTTAACAGAAAGGTGACAGACTGAGAGAAGATATTTGCAATGTTTTAAGCAAAGGATTAATATCTAGAATATACAAAGGTTCTGCAGATCAATACCATTGAAAATAAAATATAAAAAATGGGCAAAGAATATAGATACCTTAGTTTCACATACTAAAAAAGTCTATATACTGTTACATACAAAGAAAGAAATGAAAAGATTCAAATGTAATTATAACCAGAGACAAGCAAATCAAAACAACCAAGAGCTGCCATTTTACATCCATCAAACTGGAAAAAACTAGAAAGACGGGTCATGCCACATCACACCAACTGGTGAGGATGTGGCTATGAGTTCTTGTTCACTAGCAATAGGAAAGTAAATGTTACAGACATTCTGAAAAGTAACCTGCAATAGTTGGCAAATGTGAGCATGCTCATAGCTATACAGCCCAGGGGATTTTTTTTTCTTTTTTTTTTTTGAGACAGAGTTTTGCTCTTGTTACCCAGGCTGGAGTGCAATGGAGTGATCTCGGCTCACCGCAGCCTCTGCCTCCAGGGTTCAAGCGATTCTCCTGCTTCAGCCTCCTGAGTAGCTGGGATTACAGGCATGCGCCACCACATCTGGCTAACTGCATTTTTAGCAGAAACGGGGTTTCTCCATGTTAGTCAGGCTGATCTCGAACTCCCGACCTCAGGTAATCTGCCCACCTCGGCCTCCCAAAGTGCTGGGATTACAGGAGTGAGCCACTGAGCCCAGTCTTTTTTTTTTTTTTGAGATGAGGTCTCTTTCTGTTGCCCAGGTTGGAGTGCAGTGGCGCAATCTCAGCTCACTGCAGCCTCCGCCTCCACCTCCCAGATTCAAGCAATTCTCCCACCTCAGCCTCTCGAGTAGCTTGGATTACAGGGGCATGCCACATGCCCGGCAATTTTTTGCATCTTTAGTAGATATAGGGTTTCACCATGGTGGCCAGGCTGGTCTTGAACTTCTGACCTCAGTTGATCCACCCACCTCGGCCGCCTGAAGTGCTGGGATTACAGGCATGAGCCACCGCGCCCAGTCATCCAGGGGAATTTTTATAACAATCTACGAATTTGCTTATTTTAGCATTTTTTATGGTAGTGAAGAGTTGCAGGCAATCTCAGGTGTTTTTGTTTTTGTTTTTGTTTTTTTTGAGACAGAGTCTCGCTTTATCGGCCAGGCTGGATTGCAGTGGCACAATCTCAGCTCACTGCAACCTGTCTCCTGGGCTCAAGCAATTCTCCTGCCTCAGTCTCCTAAAGAGCTGGGATTACAGGCGTGTGCCACCATGCCCAGCTAATTTTTATATTTTTAGTGGAGATGGGGTTTCACCATGTTGGCCAGGCTGGTCTCAAACTCCTGACAGGTAATCTGCCTGCCTCGGCCTCCCAAAGTGCTGGGATTACAGACATGAGCCACTGTGCCCAGCCAGGTTTGTTTTCTATTGTTGTTGTTGTTTTTAATAGATACAGGGTCTCGCTGTCCCTGAGGCTGGAGTGCAATGACACCATAATAGCTCTGCAGCCTCAACCTCCTGGGCTCAAATGATCTTCCTGCCTCAGCCTCCCAAGTGGCTAGGACTACAGGCCTGTGCCACCATGCCAAGCTTAAAAAAATTTTTTTTTTAGAGATGGGGTCTCACTATGTTGTCCAGGCTGGTCTCAAATTCCTGGCCTCAGGCAATCCTTTCACCTGAGCTTCCCAAAGTGCTGGGATTATAGGCATGAACTACGCACCCAGCAGCAATCTAGGTTTCTATGATATAAAGGGACTAAATGAATAAAACATGGTGGATACACAGTGATTACGTGTCTAGATTGTGGAGATGATCTGCCTGATTTGAAATTCAGGCTCCACCACTTACTAGTTCTGACTTTGGACAACAGAAAAAAGAAATTTGAAGTTGGTTGTAGTGGCTCATGCCTGTAATCCCACCATTTTGGGAGGCCAAGGCAGGCGGACTGTTTGAGCCCAGAAATTTTAGACCAGCCTGGGCAACGTGGTGAAACCCTATCTCTACAAAAAAATGCAATAATTAGCCAGGTGTGGTGGTGCATGCCTGTAGTCCCAGCTACCTGGGAAGCTGAGGTTGGAAGACCACCTGAGCCTGGGATGTCGAGGCTGCAGTGAGCTGTGATTGTGCCACTGCGCTCCAGTCTAGGCAACAGAGTGAGAAGACTATCTGAAAAAAAAAAAAAAATTGAGAAACCTCTCTGTATAACCTCATCTATAAAATGGAAATAATAACAACTCACAACCCTCATACAGTTGTTATGAGAAGTACATGAGTTGAAACATTTAAAGTACCTGTCATGGCTGGGTGCGATGGCTCAAGTCTGTAATTCCAGCACTGTGGGAGGCCAAGGCAGGTGGATCACCCAAGGTCAGGAGATCAAGACCATCCTGGCTAACATGGTGAAACCTCATCTCTACTAAAAATACAAAAATTAGCTGGGCATGGTGGTGGCCGCCTGTAATCCCAGCTACTCGGGAGGCTGAGGCAGGAGAATCGCTTGAACCCGGGAGGCAGAGGTTGCAGTGAGCTGCGATTGCATCATTGCACTCCAGCCTGGCAACAAGAGCAAAACTCCCTCTCAAAAAAAAAAAAAAAAAATCAAAATTAGCTGGGCGTGGTAGCACATGCCTGTAATCCTAGCTATCCAGGAGGCTGAGGTAGGGGCATCGCTTGAACCCGGGAGAAGGAGGTTGCAGTGAGCCGAGATGGCACCACTGCACTCCACCCTGGGTGACAGAGCAAGACTCTGTCTCAAAAAATAAATGAATTAATAAATAATAAAAATAAAGTACCTGTCATGGAGCAAACACTATTTAAACACTAATACTTTTATTAGTATGAAAGCATATGCAAGTTGGAAGTTATGAGTTAGATTTACATAGAGTAACAAGTACATATCAGGCCAGGCACAGTGGCTCATGTCTGTAATCCCAGCATTTTGGGAGGCTGAGGCAGGCAGATCACTTGAGTTCAGAAGTTCGAGACCAGCCTGGCCAACATGGTGAAACCCCCTCTCTACTAAAAATACAAAAATTAGCTGGAAATCACCTGAACCCAGGAGGCGGAGGTTGCAGTGAGCTGAGATCATGCCATTGCACTCCAGCCTGGGCGACAGAGCAAGACTCTGTCTCAAAAAAATAAATAAATAAAAGCTCTATTGTTACACAGCTTATAAAAGCAAAAAAAATGGGATCAAACTGAAAATCATAGAGGATTCAATTAGATAACTTATAGCAAATCCATATGATGAAATAGAAATAGCAATTATAATTGTCAATATTTAAATACCAGCTCTGCCAATCAGTAGCTGTATAGCTCAGGGAAAGTTAATTAATCTATATGTACCAGTTCTCCTGTTTACAAAACGGGTTTAACATACCTGAAGCACTTAGGATAGCACTGACACATAACAGGAACTCAATAAACTAGCTTTAAAAAGAAAAAAATTTTGGCCGGGTGCGGTGGCTCATGCCTGTAATCCCAGTACTTTGGTGAGGCTGAGGTAGGGAGTTCGAGACTAGCCTGACCAACATGGTGAAACACCGTTTCCTTCTTCTTTTTTTTTTTTTTTGAGACGGAGTCTTGCTCTGTCGCCCAGGCTGTACTGCAGTGACGCGATCTCAGCTCGCTGTAAGCTCCGCCTCCCGGGTTCAAGCAATTCTCCTGCCTCAGCCTCCCGAGTAGCTGGGACTATAGGCGGCCGCCACCACGCCCGGCTAATTTTTGTATTTTTAGTGGAGACGGGGTTTCACCGTGTTAGCCAGGATGGTCTTGATCTCCTGACCTCATGATCTGCCCACCTCGGCCTCCCAAAATGCTGGGATTACAGGCGTGAGCAACGCGCCCTGCCCGAAACACCGTTTCTTAAAAACACAATGCCACTGCACTCCAGCGTGGACAACAGTGAGACCCTTTCTCGAAAATAAAAAATATAATACAAAAAATTAAGGCCGGGCGCGGTGGCTGACGCCTGTAATCCCAGCACTTTGGGAGGCCGAGCGGGGCGGATCACGAGGTCAGGAGATTGAGACCATCCTGGCTAACACTGTGAAACCCCGTCTCTACTAAAAATACAAAAAATTAGCCGGGCGTGGTGGCGGGCGCCTGTGGTCCCAGCTACTCGGGAGGCTGAGGCAGAAGAATGGCGTGAACCCGGGTGGCGGAGCTTGCAGTGAGCCGTGAGTGCGCCACTGTACTCCATCTCAAAAAAAAAAAAAATTAGCCGGGCATGGTGGCCCATGCCTGTAATCCCAGCTACTTGGGAAGCTGAGGCAGGAGAATCACTTGGACCTGGGAGGTGGAGGTTGCAGTGAGCTGAGATCATCGCAGTACTGCACTCCAGCCTGGGCAACAAGAGCGAAACTCTGTCTCAAAAAAAAAAAAAAATTTTTTTTAACAAAAGGGGAGTGTAGACAAATGTCCTGGAAAGATGTTAATGATAGATGAATGGGAAAAAAGGGTTATAAACCAGTATATATGGAATCTTTTTATAAAATAAACACATTTCATATACATAAATTTATAAAAAAATAAAGACTAGATGGATATATACCAAAATAGAACTAGTACTTCTCTTTGGATAATAGGTGTTATTTTCTATCTGTACTATATTTTAAAAGTTTTCAACAATAAATATGCTACTTTTATGAAAGGTGAAAACTCTCATCCTCATCTCTGCCACAATTAAAACTAGGAACTGTCATTTTTTTTGCTTCAACTGGTAATGAATCTACCCCAAATTTACAGGGTAAGGGAATAAAGAATCAGAATTACACAGACATGTCTCTTCATTGGCTTTATTACCATGTAACACAAGCTCACAGCCTCTAATGTTACCAACCTTATACACAAATGGCCAAACAAGAAATTGTCCTTTCCAAAAGATAATTTATTCTGGTTTCCCCTCTTCATTTTTATTTTTTTTTGAGACGGAGTTTCGCTCTTCTCACCCAGGCTGGAGTGCAATGGCGTCATCTCTGGTCACTGCAACCTTCACCTCCTGGGTTCAAGCGATTCTCCAGCCTCAGCCTCCCAAGTAGCTGGGATTACAAGCGCCTGCTACCATGCCCGGCTAAATTTTGTATTTTTCGTAGAGATGGGGTTTCACCATTTGGCCAGGCTGGTCTCAAACTCCTGACCTTGGGTGATCCACCTACCTCAGCCTCCCAAAGTGCTGGGATTAGAGGTGTGAGCCACTGCGCTTGGCCCGGTTTCCCCTCTTAATACAGTGGGATTAGATAGATTCTCCGTGACATCCTGAGCCTTTAATATAGAAAGGCTGTCATGAAAGTGAAATCGCCACATGAGGAGAACAGTGCAAAGAACCAATTAATTCTCACCATCCTCTCCCTGAAGGAAGAATGCCTGCCTGGCAATGGTGAAATGGGACATTTAAAACATATTTTTTTGGCCAGGCGTGGTGGCTCATGCCTGTAATCCCAGCACTTTGGGAGGCCAAGGTGGGTGGATCACGAGGTCAGGAGTTCGAGAATAGCCTGACCAACATGGTGAATCCCCATTTCTACTAAAAATACAAAAATTAGCTGAGCATGGTGGCATGTGCCTGTAATCCCAGCTACTCAGGAGGCTGAGGTGGGAGAATTGCTTGAACCCAGGAGGCAGAGGTTGCAGTGAGCCGAGATCGTGCCACTGCACTCCAGCCTGGGAAACAAAGCGAGACTCTGTCTCAAAAACAAAACAAAACAAAAACCAAAAAAAGCAAACATATTTTTTCAAACAAGTAAGGATAGGCCCCAAATGTGGACAGATCCTCTTAGTCACATGAGCCTCTTGGGGTCTATTTTCTCTAGGTGAACCAGAGGTTTTAGCTGTTCTGCGAAGTTCTTCATGTCATCAGAGACCATGTCCTGCCCAGCGGGTGCTACCACACTTAATTCCACGAGATAGGAGAGTGACAAGGCCTCAGTGCTGTCTGTGTTCCCTGGCACCAGGATGCGGAAAATCTTGTACACCATAATCTTCATGATGCCCTTACGGAACAAATGTCCCTTAGCAACAAACTCATGGTCCATGCGGAAGCCCATTTCCATCAAGAAGTCGGTGAGGTTCTCAGATGTGGCAATGTCCACGCAGTTTCGCACCAGGGCATGGCGGTTCTTGTCTCCCATTTCTGGCTGTCCCAGGTAGCGCAGATGCCAGGGTGCCCCTGCCCTGTCCATAGAGCGTCGGGCCCTGAGAACAAATGGGCTGGCTTGCTGGCCCTTAAGGAGGAATACCATCTCATGGTCAAGGAAAGTCTCAGGTTCCATGTTGTCACACAAACCACGAAGGCGGTGGATGAGGCTTTCCAAACTGTGATCTAAAACACTTCCTGAAAACGGAAAAAGCACCACTGAGTCCTGTCTTTCATTTTAGGTCATGGAGTTAGTATACAATTGAAAAAACTTAAATGAAAAACCAAAACAGTTTAGTGAAGCATTTCATAAAACATACAGCCAAACATGAGATTTTACAGAAATTACACTACCAAGGTATTGTATAACGTTGTGAGAAAGTTATTTTCCTTTTCAATTTTTTTGGAATTTTCTTATTTAGCACTACAAAGTCTTTAGGCCTCTTCTAATGCTCATCTCCAGCAGGCCTGGGGCTTAGAGCCTTTAATCAGCGACAGTGTCTATCTAGAATGTAATAATACTGTTTTAGTTATGTATTTATTTATTTTTGTAGAGTTGGGGTCTTACTATGTTGCCCAGGGTGGTCTTGAACTCCTGGCCTTGGTCTCCCAAAGTGTTGGGATTACAGGCACAAGCCACCATGCCCAGCCAATAACACTATTTTGTTGTTATATATTTTAACAATTGCCTTCTATTTCCAACAAATCAAAGTCTTCCATTTATAGAAGAAATATAAAGTCTCCCCCGCTTTTTTTGAGACGGAGTCTAGCTCTGTCTTCAGGCTGGAGTGCAGTGGTGCGATCTCAGCTCACTGCAACCTCCACCTCCTGGGTTCAAGCGATTCTCCTGCCTCAGCCTCCTGAGTAACTGGGACTACAGGCGTGTGCCACCACGCCCAGCTAATTGTTGTATTTTTAGTAGAGACAGGGTTTCACCATGTTGGCCAGGATGGTCTCGATCTCTTGACCTCGTGATCCGCCTGCCTCAGCCTCCCAAAGTGCTGAGATTACAGGCATGGAGCCACTGCACCTGGCTAAAGTTTCCTTTTTATCAGGAAAAGTTTTCCTCTTCTGTATGTAAGTAGAAGAGAGTGAATTGCTTCATAGAATCTTCATCCTCTTGGCAACATCTGACATAATTGTTACAGTAGATTATACCCACTATGAAATCTATTCTTCCCTTGGCCTCTGAGACACAACTTTCTTGTCTTCACTTAACTTGCTGACCATTCCGTTTAAGTCTTCTTTGCTTGGTCTCTCTCATCTTCCCCAAACACTGGAGGACTAGGACTCAATCCTGGTCCTCTTCTGTATCAATACTCTTTTCCTGCCTAGGTGACTTTATTTGGTCCCATGGCTTTAAATATCATTTAGGCCCTGAGGACTCCCACGTTTTTATCTCTGAACTACAGATGAAAACATCCAACTTCCTACTCAGTTTCCTCACTTGGATGCCTAACAGACATCTTTATCTTAACATGTTCAATATCAAACTGTTGATTTTTTCCTCCAAAATCTTATTCACCCTACAGTCTTCAACATCACAGTAAATGGCAACTCTCTGTTTTTAGTTGGTTACCCAGGCCAAAAACCAGAAAATCATCTTTGACTCACACCCTCTTTCTTTCTCTCATACCCTCCATTGAATCCGTATTTTTGAAATAAATGCAGAATGCAATCACTTCTCACTCATCTGGTCACTTCAACCTAGTCCCTTCAAATGAAGTCACCCTCATTTCTTGCCTGGTCTTTGCAATCGCCTCTTTCTACCTTTGCCTTCTTCCTCTCTTCTCCATATGAAAGCCAAATGGTCTATTAAATTATTGGGCAGATAATAACACTCCTCTACTCAGGACACTACAGTGGCTTCCTGTGTCATTCAGAATAAAAGCCAACATCTTTACCGTTGTCAACAAGGCCCTACATATTATGGTCTCTGCTACCTGCCAAACATCATCTCCTTCTATTCCTCCCCTTGATCATTCTCTCCAGGAGTGACCTTCCTGCCACACCCCTTCTCCTATTCTCTGTGCTTAGGATGTTCTTCCCATCTGCATGTCTACTCTATCACTTTTGTCAGGTCTCTGCTCAAGTGACTTTATCATCAAGGCCTTTTCTGATCACCCTAATAAAATAGTATGTGTCCTACCAATCTCTAGCCACTTTCCTGCTTTATTTTTATGGCATAGTTTTGTTTTTTTTTTTTAGGTAGGGTCTCACTCTGTCTCCAGGCTATAGAGCAGTGGCGTGATTATAACTCTTTGCAGCCTCCATCCCCTGGGCTCAAGTGATCCTCCCGCCTCAGCCTCCCAAGTGGTTCAGACTACAGGTGCGCACCACCATGCCCAGCTAATTTTTTTTTTTAGTAGAGATGAGTTCTTGCTATGTTGTCCAGACTAATCCTGAATTCCCGAACTCAAGCAGTACTGCAGCCTTAGCCTCCCAAACAACTGGAATTACAGGCATAAGCCTGTAACAGCTGGCTTGACATACATTTTTTTAGTCATCTTTCTGCCTCCATGGCTATGGCTCAAATGTTAGGAACATATTCAGATACTTGTTTACAAAATCTGGCTGGGCGCGGTGGCTCACGCCTGTAATCCCAGCTCTCTGGGAGGCTGAGGCAGGTGGATCACCTGAGGTCAGGAGTTCAAGACCAGCCCGGCCAACATGGAAAAACCCTGTCTCTATTAAAAATACAAAAATTAGCTGGCCATGGTGGTGCACACCTGTAATCCCGCTACTCAGGAGGCTGAGACAGAAGAATCGCTTGAATCTGGGAGGCAGAGGCTGCAGTAAGCCAAGATTGCACCACTGTGCTCCAGCCTGGGCAACGGAGTGAGAATCCATCTTAAAAAAAAAAAATCAGAGAAACAGGACCTAGAAAGATAGTTGCTAAGGGTTTGGCATAGAGGGGAGTGGTAATTAGTGTTTAATGGGTATAGAGTTGCAGTTTTATAGGATGAAAAACTTAAGTATTTTAGGCCAGGCGCGGCAGCTCATACCTGTAATCCTAGCACTTTGGGAGGCCAAGGCAAGTATATCACTTGAGGGCAAGAGTTCAAGATCAGTTTGGCCAACGTGATGAAACCACAACTCTCTACTAAAAATACAAAAATTAGCTGGGCGTGGTGATGCACGCCTGCAATCCCAGCTATTTAGGGGGGCTGAGACACAAGAATCCCTCGAACCCGGGAAGTAGATAGAGGTTGCAGTGAGCTGTTATTGTGCCACTGCGTTCCAGCCTGGGTGACAGATTGAGACTCTGTCTCAAAGAAATAAAAAGTTGTACTAAGTATTTTTTCAAGCTACTCACAATAAACCAAAGTTCTAAAGATCTGTTGTTTAACAATGTTAATATACTTAACAATACAGAACTGTACACTTAAATATGTTAAGATGGCAATTTTTTTTTTTTTTTGAGACAGAGTCTCACTCTGTCGCCCAGGCTGGAGTGCAGTGGCGCGATCTCGGCTCACTGCAACCTCTGCCTCCCAGGTTCACACCATTCTCCTGCCTCAGCCTCCTGAGTAGCTGGGACTACAGGTGCCCGCCACCACGCCGGGCTAATTTCTTTTGTATTTTTAGTAGAGACAGGGTTTCACTGTGTTAGCCAGGATGGTCTCCATCTCCTGACCTCGTGATCCGCCCACCTCGGCCTCCCAAAGTGCTGGGATTATACGCGTGAGCCACCATGCCCAGCCAAGATGGCAAATTTAGTATGTTTAGTGCATATAAAACTATAATTTAAAGTAACAGTTAAAAACATAGCTGGGTGCCAGAAACTGTGCAGGCTGCTTTTGTGTTAAGTCTCTCATCTTAAGGGAAGCTGAACAGAGAAGAGGAAAACAGGTAATCCAAGTTCCCTAGTTCACTTACCCTGCAACAGGTACTCCATCATGTTAATGGTGCCCCCAGTGACAGGCATCATGGTGACTGGAGGTGCCTCCATGGTGTCTAAGTTGAAGACAACACAACTGGACTCAGAGCCCCCAGTCAGGTAAGGCACGGGATATACCTGGAAAAGAGTTCACTTGTTTATACATCAAAGTGGTGGAGAGAGACCAGATCTGTTGTGGCACTGGCCTTCAAATCAAAGATTCATTCATTCAAAAACGTTTGAGTATTTCCTTATATGGCCAGTTCCAGGAACTGATGACACAGAAATATAGAAAGGAGATCTGGTCATGGAGTTACAGCATTACCTTCTAGTCTCAAGTTCTGAAACCTCCACATTACCTGTGCAATCTTGAGAAAGTCCTATCTATAACCCCTCACCCTGGGACTCAATGTCTTCCTTATAAAATGAGGCCAGTGATTTTTTTTTTTTTTTTTTTTTGAGACGGAGTTTCACTCTTGTCGCCCAGGCTGGAGTGCAATGGCGCAATCTCTGTTCACTGCAGCCTCTGCCTCCCAGGTTCAAGCGATTCTCCTGTCTCAGCCTCCCGAGTAGCTGGGATTACAGGCGCCCGCAACCAAGCCCAGCTAATTTTTTTTGTATTTTTAGTAGAGACGGGGTTTCGTCATGTTGGCCAGGTTGGCCTCGAACTCCTGGCCTCAGGTGATACTCAGGTGATCCGGCCTCCCAAAGTGCTGGCATTACAGGTGTGAGCCACCGTGCCCGGCCAAAGGCCAGTGATTTTTAACTCCCAAGGCTATGTGGCTCAAACGAGATAATAAAGAGGCAACAAAATTCAGAAGAACTGAAAAAGTGACTTAAGGGACCTTCGTTTTATAGATGAGGATATTGAGACTTGGAGAGGGACAGAAGGATACACACAGCAAGTTGGTAGCAGAGTTTGGACCAAACTAACATCTAGGCGTTCTATCTCTCTGAAAATGCCTTCCCCCGTACGCTTTTCTTTTTTGGTGACAGGATCTCGCTCTGTAGCCCAGGCTGCAGTGCAGTGGGGAGTTCCTAGCTCACTATAACCTCGAACTCCTGGGCTCAAGCCGAGTAGCTGGGACTACTACAGGCGGGAGACCACACTGCGGCTAGCCTAAAAATGCCTTTTAAAGAGAGCCAAGGCCGGGCGCGGTGGCTCACGCCTGTAATCTCAGTACTTTGGGAGGCCGAGGCCGGCGGATCAACTGGAGGTTGGGAGTTCGAGACCAGCCTGACCAACATGAAGAAACCCCGACTCTACTAAAAATACAAAAAATTAGCCAGGCCTGGTGGCGAGCGCCTGTAATCCCAGCTCCTCAGGAGGCTGAGGCAGGAGAATCGCTTGAACCCGGAAGGCGAGGTTGCGGTGAGCCGAGATCGCGCCATTGCACTCCAGCCTGGGCAACAAGAGCGAAACTCCGTCTCAAAAAAAAAAAAAAAAAAAAAAAGAGAGAGAGAGCCAAGGGGAAGTTATTTTAAGATGATGGTATATAGGTCCTTCTAAGCCGGCATCCATAACACGTATCCAATTAAACACTAGAAGCACACCTCCTTGAGGCTGTAGTGTCTTCTCGAGAAGCCGGGAATTATATCCACCCGCGCACCTAGGAGCTTTTGAGCGACGATTAGATACCAGCACTCCGGTTACCCGAGCCCGGGAAGCCCCCAGATCGGTGCAACCAGCCAACTTCCTCCTCTTCTCACTTCCGGTCGGAAGCCGACGTCTCACAAACCTCGAAACTGCCGTTCCCAAACGTATGGGTGCCGAGAAGGCCGAAGAGCTTCATTGCGGACAGACAATCAGAGGCGCATGCGCAAAATTCCGGGCTGCTGTATGAAAGATGGCGGCCTCCTTTGGCGCTTTCCTCCGGGCGCTACCTGGATCCTTGACGTCATAGGCCATGCTCTAGGAAAATCTTTTTAGGTTTGACAACCTGGAGATGTATTTGTGTAGAAAGTCTCTTGGAACTGATAGGACTTACAGAGATTATAGTGGGTTTCAAAAGAAAAAAGAACTGAGGGGTTGGGCGCGGTGGCTCACGCCTGTAACCCCAGCACTTTGGGAGGCCGAGGCAGGCGGATCACTTGAGGTCAGGAGTTCGAGACCAGCCTGGCCAAGATGGTAAAACTCCGTCTCCATTAAAAATACAAAAATTAGCCGGGCATGGTGACGCGCGCCTGTAATCCCAGCTACTAGGGAGGCTGAGGTGGGAGAATCGCTTGAACGCGGGAGGCGGAAGTTGCAGCGAACCGAGATCGCGCCACTGCATTGTAGCCTGGGCTACAGAGAGAGACTCTGTCTCAAAAAAAAAAAAGAGTCTGGAAAAGGAGTAGGTCCAGATCCAGGAGTACTCTGCAGTGCCATACCAAAGAATACATGTGAGCTTTAAAAGAACCCTGGCTACAACATGGAGAAAAGTTTGGGAAAGGAGAGAGCCTAGAGAAAAAAGACCAGGCCGGACACGGTGGCTCAGGCCTGTAATCCCAGCACTTTGGGAGGCCAAGGCGGGCAGATGGCTTGAGTTCAGGAATTCAAGACCAGCCTGAACAACATGGTGAAACCCTGTGTCTACAAAAAATACAAAAAATTAGCTGAACGTAGTGGCTCGCACCTGCAGTCCCAGCTACTTGGGAGGCTGAGGTGGGAGGATTGCTTGAGTCCAGGAGGCAGAGGTTGCAGTGAGCTGAGATAGCGCCACTGCACTCCAGCCTGTGCAACAGAGGGAGATCCTGTCTGGAAAAAAATTAAAGAAAAACGACCAGTTAGGCGCTTTGGTACAACTCCAGCTGAGAAACAAATGTCAGAAAAAGATTTTAAAAATGTAAAAAGAGGACAGGCGCGGTGGCTCACGCCTGTAATCCCAGCACTTTGGGAGGCCGAGGGGGGTGGATCACGAGGTCAGGAGATCGAGACCATCCTGGCTAACGGTGAAACCCTGTCTCTACTAAAAATACAGAAAATTAGCTGGGCGTAGTGGCGGGCGCCTGTAGTCCCAGCTACTTGGGAGGCTGAGTCAGGAGAATGGTGTGAACCTGGGAGACAGAGCTGGCAGTGAGCCGAGATCGCACCACTGCACTTTAGCCTGGGCGACAGAGCAAGACTCCGGCTCAAAAAAAAAAGTAAAAAGAGGAAATTAGCCGGGTGTGGTGGCACACGCCTGTAGTCCCAGCTACTCAGGTGGCTCAGGTGGTCAAGAGACCAAAATTGCTTGAACCCAGGAGGCAGAGGTTGTAGTGAGCTGAAATTGCACCACTGCTCTCCAGCCTGGGCTACAGAGCAAGACTCTGTCCTCTATATATATATGGAAAATAATTCTTTAATGACTAACCAGAGGTAAAGACAGAGATGAAGGAGTCACAGATGTCTTGGGTGGCTATCGTAGCACTTTTTTTCTCTAAGCTAGGAAACACAGAGCAGTGTGGGTGAGACAGGAAAGATGAGTTCATATGTAGACCCACTGAGCATCAGGTGTCTGTGGGACACCCAAATGGCAAAGTTCAGGGGAGAGAAATGGGCTACAGATAGAGATTTCAAAACCATAGCCTCATAGATGGTAGCTAAAAGCCATGACATTGAATGAGATCATCGTGAAAGAGTGTACTAAGTAGGAAAAGAAGATTGACAAGGATTGCGTATGCCCTAGGGTTTAGGATGTGCCTCCTGATCAACCTGGTGATTCACAAGATTGGGCAGAGTGACCAGCTCTCAAGTGCTGTAATGATTAGAGGAGGCTGTGAACTTCTTTGGCCTCTCTTTTCCTATACAGACACTAATTGCAGCATAGAAAGTCCAGTGAATTACAGGTCATTTGAGGCACCATAGGGTTTACCCAGATTTTAGCTGGTATTTTAAAGAAGGGTAAATTTTTTTAAAAAGGTAGGGGAGATAGACAGAAAATGGGTAAACAATATGATAATACCTGAAGGAGGCCTGGAGATTACAGGGATGGGTTTCTCTGATAAGGATATGATGCCTAGAGCTTAGGATGGGGCCCACCCCTGTACTTTGCCACTACCCAGCTGTGCAACCATGGGCATTCACTTCCCCTCCCTGAGCCTCAGCTTCCTTTTTTTGTAAAATAGAGATAATAATAGTACTTTCAAAGGAGTTTGCCAAAATCAAATGAGATGGTTATAAAGCATTTAACATAGTGCTTGGCTTATTGTAAGCACTTAATATTTTTATTTTCTTTTATTTTTATTTAATTTTATTAATTTTTTTAGAGACGGAGTCTCACTATGTGAGACCCAGGCTGGTCTCAAACTCCTGGCCTCAAGCCATCCTCCCATCTTGACCTCGTAAAGTGCTGGGATTACAGGCATGAGCCATCATGCCTGGCGTGTAGGCATTTAATAAGCAGTAGTTATTAGCTTTTTTTTTTTTTTTTTTTGAGATGGAGTCTCGCTGTGTCGCCCGGGCTAGAGTGCAGTGGCGCAATCTCGGCTCACTCCACTTTCCGGGTTCACGCCATTCTCCTGCCTTAGCCTCCTGAGTAGCTGGGACTACAGGCGCCTGCCACTACGCCCAGCTAATTTTTTGTATTTTAAGTAGAGATGGGGTTTCACCGTGTTAGCCAGGATGGTCTCGATCTCCTGACCTCGTGATCCACCCGCCTCGGCCTCCGAAAGTGCTGGGATTACAGGCATGAGCCACCGCGCCCGGCCTTTTTTTTTTTTTTTTTTTGAGGCAGAGTCTTGCTCTGTTGCCCAGGCTGGAGTACAGTGGCGCGATCTTGGCTCACTGCAACCTCCGCCTCCTGGGTTCAAGCTATTCTCCTGCCTCAGCCTCCCAAGTAGCTGGATTACAGGTGCATTCTATTTTATTGTTTTCACTCTTTTTTAAATTCATTTTTTCAAAATTATTTTTTTCATTTTTCGGGGGAGTCACTGGATCTGTGAATGTATTTTGTGCATGGCTTATCTCCCTGGATAGATTGTAAACATCTTGAAGTGAGGAATCATATATATATACACATATACACACACACATATATATATATACACACACATATATACACATATATACACATATATATACATATATAAAAATGTATATCTACACATAAATATATATATATATATATATTTTAAACAGTCTCACTCTGTCACCCAGGCTGGAATGCAGTGGCGCCATCTTGGCTCACTGCAACCTTCGCCTCCTAGTTTCAAGTGATTCTTGTGCCTCAGCCTCCTGAGTAGCTGGGATTACAGGCGTGAGCCACCACGCCTGGCTAATTTTTGTAGTTTTAGTAGAGATGGGATTCACCATGTTGGCCAAGCTGGTCTTGAACCCCTGACCTCAGGTGATCTGCCTGCCTCGGCCTCCCAAAGTCCTGAGATTACAGGCGTGAGCCACCGTGCCCAGCCCCAGCCTTTTTTTCTTTCCTTTTTTTGTAGAGACAGGGTCTCACTATATTGACCAGGCTGGTCTCCAACTCCTGGGCTCAAGAAATTCTGCTGCCTAGGCCTCCTAAAGTGCTGGGATCATAGGTGTGAGCCACAACACCAAGTCAATATTTTTTTATATAGAGTACTTGCTGAAATGATAATATTTTGGATACTGGGGTTAAATAAAAATATTTTATTACATTTAATTTAACTTGTTTATTTATTTTTATTTATTTGTTTTGTTTTGTTTTGTTTTGAGACGGAGTCCTGCTCTGTCGTCCAGGCTGGAGTGCAGTAGCGTGATCTTGGCTCACTGCAACTTCTACCTCCCAGGTTTAAGCAATTCTCCTTCCTCAGCCTCCCCAGTCGCTAGGACTACAGGCGCCCGCCACCACATCTGGCTAATTTTTCTATTTTTTAGTAGAGACAGAGTTTTACCATGTTGGCCAGGCTGGTCTTGAACTCCTGACCTCAGGTGATCCACCTGCCTCAGCCTCCCAAAGTGCTGGGATTACAGGTGTAAGCCACTGAGCCCAGCTTATTTTTACAGGGTGCTACTAGAATATTTATTTATTTATATTTTTATTTATTTGGAGACAGAAGTCTTGCTCTGTCTTCCAGGCTGGAGTGCAGTGGCACAATCTGGGCTCACTGCAACCTCTGTTTCCCAGACTCAAGCAATTCTCATGTCTTAGCCTCCTGAGTAGCTGGAACTACAGATGCATGCCACCATGCCCGCCTGATTTTTTTTTTTTTCTTTAAGTAGACCAGGTTTCACCATGTTGGCCAGGCTGGTCTCAAACTCCTGTCCTCAAGTGATCCTACTACCTGGGCCTCCCAGATTGCTGGTGTGAGCCCCCATGCCTGGCCTAGAATATTTAAAAGTATATATGTGACTCACATATTTCTGTTAGACAGTACTGCTATAGGATCTAGATTTGAAGGTGTGGCTTTACAGTCAGACAGATCTATAATTCTGGCAACTGCTTGTGTGGGTCTAGGCAGTTTATTTAACTTCTTAGGCCTTTGGCAGTGCCTGGTATATACTGTATATTGTAGGTATGCAATGAATCAGATTTACTGTTAGGAGAATGGTTTAGGAATTGGGGAATGTTTAATTAGAAAAGACTTACGAAGGGTGGACATGACATCTGTCTTCCAGTATATGAATATATGACAAAGCCAGTGGGGACTGAGGAGAGATGAAGAGGAAAGGGCTAGGGTTAGGGTTAGAGTATATTTAACTCATTTAACTCTCACAACCATGGGGACTTCAGCCCACTTAGCAAATGAGGAAATAGGCTCTGAGAAGTTAAGTACATTGCTGATAAGTGTCAGAGTCAGGTTTAAAAGCCAAATCTGTCTGCCTCCAGAGATTTATTGTACTAAGACTTTGCTCTGTGTTAGTTTGGATTGCTATAACAAGTTACCAAAGACTGGGTGGCCAAAACAACGAATGATTTCACATATTTCCCGGAGGCTGGGAAGTCCAAGATTGAGGTGCTGATAGATACAGTGTCTGGTGAGGGTCGGCTTCATGAATTGCAGATGGCTGCATTCTCATAGCATCACATGGCTGAGAGAAAAATCATCTCTCTTGTTTTTTCCTACAAGGGCACTAATCTCATTAATGAAGACTTCACCCTCACGACCTAATTATCTCCCAAAGGCTCACCACCACATTGGAGGTTAGGATTCTTTTTTTTAAAGGCCCTCCAGGTGTACACAGTGCCTATGTAGTGCTGGGCAAATTTCTACTTCTCCCAGGATTTAGCATATGAATTTTGGGGAGACACAAACTTCAATCTGTAATAGCCTCCTGAAAAAAACTAACTGCTTTTGTATAGTTCCAGAGGACAGGACTAGAATTGTTGGGTGAAAATTATAGGGATATAGATTTCAGCTTAATAAAAGGAACAACTTGTCGCAATGGTGGTGTCCAGTAGTGGAAGGGGGGCCCGGATATGAAGTAGACTCCCTTCCAGTGGAAATACTGAAGGAGAGACTGTGGTAGAAAGAATTATTGGCTGGGCGTGGTAGCTCATGCCTGTAATCACAGCACTTTGGGAGGCCTAGGTGGGCAGGTCACCTGAGGTCAGGAGTTCAAGACCAGCCTGGCCAACATGGCGAAACCCCATCTCTACTAAAAACAGAAAAATTAGCTGGGCATGGTGGCACATACCTGTAATGCGAGCTATTCAGGATGCTGAGGGAGGAGAATCGCTTGAACCTGGGAGGCAGAGGTTGCAGTGAGCCAAGGTGGTGCCACTGCACTCCAGCCTGGGCAACAGAGCGAGACTCTATCTCAAAAAAAAAGAAAAGAAAGAATTCTTGTTCCGAGTGGGAGAGATTGAATTATCATATTTCCTTGATTCCTAGACACTGTCCACTCTAAGTCATAGTATTGATTTAATAACAGAGTTTCAGTCGATTGATAAACACTCTCTCTCTATGTGTGTGTGTGTGTATATATATATATATATATATCTGTTATAAATTGAAGCCCGATAAACCCAGACACAAAATGCATCTTAGAGTTGAGAAAATGCAGTAGTCGAACTTTATGATTTCATAGATACTTAGCCTTAGTAATTCTATGCCTTTGGATTTTTTTCCTATTATGACAACTACAGCATTATTATTAATAGTAATGACCATCAGCAAACACCCAATGACAAATAAGAAATGACACCATTCTTAAGGAGTTTAGTTTGCTGAGAGACAGGTAAAACACCTCATATAATTTTGTGCCTAGTGTTCTTCATTGGGTGCTGACTCAAGAAATTCACCTCCCCACCCCACTGGCTGAATGACAGGCAGCATTAGCCATTTAATTCTCTTAATCTCAAGGCGGGGCCCTAAGAAAGTCTGTTGCAGAAGGGTAATTGGCCTATTTACTTGCTCCCTTCCTCTTAGCCCAGCCAACCCAACTCTAGCCTCTGGTTGACCAGGTGTTGAGGTGCCTTGAGGGGATAAGCTATAATAGTTAATGTATTACATGTATCCATAAAAGATTAAAGATTAGCTCTGTTTTAGCTGAACTGTAACTGTCTGTTTGGGTTTCTCCCCTCCCGGGCTGTCTGGGGAAATCAGTGTTGGTTTTAGTCTGAAGATAATTAACCGATAATTAACCCACTGGGTCTCAAATTTCCTGGACAGCTCCCCTTGAGTGTGTGATTACTGGGTGCCAGGCTCTGTGGTAAGCACTTTCTGTGAATCTGTATTTTTTTTTTTTTTTTTTGAGATGGAGTCTTACTCTGTCACCCAGGTGGATGTGCAGTGGCATGATCTCGGCTCACTGCAACCTCCACCCACCAGGTTCAAGTGATTCTCCTGCCTCCGCCTCCCAAATAGCTGGGATTACGAGCGTGCACCACCACACTCAGCTAATTTTTGTATTTGTAGTAGAGACGGGGTTTCACCAAATTGGCCAGGCTGGTCTCGAACTCCAGACCTCAGGTGATCCACCTGCCTCAGCCTCCCAAAGTGCTGGGATTACAGGTGTGAGCCACCATGCTCAGCTGAATCTGTATAATTCATTTCCTCCTCATACTAGCTCTCAGAAGCAGGTGGTATTCTCTCCATCTCACAGCTGCCAGAATTGCAAGTCTGCTGTATAATCTATGTGGAAGTAAAAGAGTTTGTTTCTGGTCCCCTAAGATCTCATCACAATTACCCCCTTCCTTGGGTCAAATGGTTTTATGCCATTATTTATGCCATCAACTCAAATGTTTTCTGGAGGAGACTCTTTGTACAACCCAGAGGAGAGGAGAAAGCCCAAAAAGACTTCATGGAGAAGCAGAAGGGCAGAGGTTAACACACTAGTGCTTAGGACTTAAGATGGGTCCTGGACATGGTGGATCATACCTGTAATTCCAGCACTTTGGGAGACCGAGGCAGGTGGATCACTTGAGCCCAGTAGTTCAAGACCAGCCTAGGCAACGTAGGGAGACCCCATCTCTACAAAAAATTAAAAATTAGCCAGACATGGTAGCCCTCGCCTGTAATTCCAGCTACTTGGGAGGCTGAGATGGGAGTGTCATTTGAGCCCAGGAGGTCAAGGCTATAGTGAGCTGAGATGCTTCCACTGCACTCCAGCCTGGGTGACAGAGCCAGACTGTCTCAAAAAAAAAAAAAAAAAAGAGAATTAGTGAAAAGAACATTGTAAGGAGAGTTGGCATATTCTCCATATGGGCATAGCAAGCACATTGTGGCACACAATACAGTCAGCACTTACTATGTGCCTGCGGTAGGAGAGGCACCATGCTGAACTTTGGGAATATAAAGAATAACTGGGACAACCTAAACCCCTGCCCTGAGAGAGTCCACATTCTAGTGATAAAATATTAAATAATATTAAAAATGGTTACAAAAGAAAGAAGGTGGAAAATATTTATGATATAATATTAACTACTCAAGCCAGTTACAAATGTACAGTGTGATTTTAATTATATAGAGTCCTTAAAACATCTTTACACAGGAGAAGAAAACATAGCACTCTAATACTAACAATAATTGCCTTTGTTTAACTTTGTTTAATGGGACCAGAGATTATTTTATCTCCACTTGTCTCTGTTTTCCTTTTATTTTTTTTTTGAGATGGAGTCTCACTGTGTCACCCAGGATGGAGTGCAGTGGCGCAATCTCAGCTCACTGTAACCTCCACTTCCAGGGTTCAAGCGATTCCCCTGCCTTTTTTTTTTTTTTTTTTTTTCGAGACAATGTCTCACTCTGTCACCCAGGCTGGAGTGCAGTGGCAAGATCATAGCTCACTGAAGCATCAATCTCCCAGGCTCGAGCAATCCTCTCGCCTCAACCTCCCAAGTAACTGGGAGTGAGCCACCACGCCCAGCCTATCTTCCAAATTTTTGATGAGTGTGGGTTACTTAAAAAGAGTAAAAGAAAATAACCTTTTTTTCCTTTTAAATGAAAAAAAAATGGCCAGGCGCGGTGGCTCATGTCTGTAATCCCAGCAATTTGGGAGGCCGAGGCGGGCCGATCACTTGAGGTCGGGAGTTCAAGACCAGCCTGACCAACATGGAGAAACCCCGTCTCTCCTAAAAATACAAAATTAGCAGGGCGTGGTGGTGCATGCCTGTAATCCCAGATACTCAGGAGGCTGAGGCAGGAGAATCGCTTGAACCCAGGAGGTGGAGGTTGCAGTGAGCTGAAATCGCGCCATTGCACTCCTGCCTGGACAATAAGAGAGAAACTCTCTCAAAAAAAAAAAAAAAAAGCCTGCGCAGTGGCTCATGGCTGTAATCCCAGCACTCTGGGAGGCCAAGGCGGGTGGATCACGAGGTCAGGAGTTCAAGACCAGCCTGACCAATATGGTGAAACCCTGTCTCTACTAAAAATACAAAAATTAGCTGGGTGTGATGGCACATGCCTGTAGTCCCAGCTGCTCGGGACGCTGAGGCAGGAGAATTGCTGAACCCAGGAGGCAGAGGTTGCAGTGAGCCGAGATGGTGCCACTGCACTCCAGCCTGGGTGACAGAGAGAGACTCCATCTCAAAAAAAAAAAAGAAAAAAAAAAAAAAAAAACTTGAAACAAACAAAATGTCCACACACAAGTGGATAAACAAATTGTGATTTATTTCTACAATGGAATACTACTCAGCAATAGAAAAAAACTACTGATGTACATAAGAAGATAGATTAATCTAAACTGAGCGTGGTGGCATGCAACCATAGTCTCAGACATTCTGGAGGCTGAAGCAGGAGGATCCCTTGAGCCCAGGAGTTTGAGGCTGCAGTGCGCTATGATTGTGCCACTGCACTCCAGCCTGGGCGATGGAGCAAGACCCTTTCTCTAAAATAATAATAACAATATTCTAAGTGAAAGAAGTCAGACACAAAAGAATATGTAATTTATGATTCCATCTATGTGATATTCTAGAAGAGATAAAACTAATCTACAGTGAGAGAAATAAAATCGTGCTTGTCTAGGGCAGGAAGTAGGGAGGACTCATTGCAAGGAGACATAAGGGACCTTTCTGGAAAAATGGAAATATTTATATTTTGATTGTGATGTCAGGTGCTCAAGTGTGTATATTTGTCAACACTCATCAAGATGTACATTTAAATAGATACATTTTATTTTATTTTATTTATTTGTTTTGAGATGGAGTTTTGCTCTTGTCACCCAGGCTGGAGTGCAATGGCATGATCTCGGCTCACTGCAACCTCCGCTTCCCGGGTTGAAGCGATTCTCCTGCTTCAGCCTCCCAAGTAGCTGGGATTACAGGTACCCACCACCATGCACAGCTAATTTTTGTATTTTTAGTAGAGACAGGGTTTTGCCATTTTGCCTAGGCTGGTCTTGAACTCCTGACCTCAGGTGGTCCACCTGCTTCGGCCTCCCAAAGTGCTGGAATTACAGGTGTGAGCCACTGCGCCCGGCCTACCCAGATGCATTTTAATTGTATGTAAATGTAAATGTATCTCAATAAAATTGATTAAAATAATGAAAAACATTTATAGTTTTTTTTCTGGTTACAAGAGCATTATGTGCTCATTGTAAGAAATTCAAATGTATTTTATTTTATTAATTATTTATTTTGAAATGGGATCTCACTCTGTCACCCAGGCTGGAGTGCACTGGGCACTGCAACCTCCACCTTCCGGGCTCAAGTGATCCTGCCACTGAAGACTCCCAAGTAGCTGTGAATGGCTGGGCGAGGTGGCTCACACGCCTGTAATCCCAGCACTTTGGGAGGCCGAGGTGGGTAGATCACCTGAGGTCAGGTGTTCGAGATCAGCCTGGCCAACACGGTGAAACCCTGTTTCTACTAAAAGTACAAAAATTAGCTGGGCATGGTGGTGCGTGCCTGTAATCCCAGCTACTCGGGAGGTTGAGGCAGGAGAATCGTTCAAACCTGGGAGGCAGAGGTTGCAGTGAGCTGAGATCACGCCACTGTACTCCAGCCTGGGTGACAGAGTGAGAATCCATCTAAAAAAAAAACCCAAAAAAAACAAAAAACAAAAACAAAACAAAATACCAAGTAGCTGGGGACACAGGCACCCACCACCATGCCTGGCTAATTTTTTCTATTTTTGGTAGAGATGGGGTTTCACCATGTTGCCCAGGCTGGTCTCAAACTCACAAGCTCAAGCGATCCTCGCGCCTTGTCCTCCCAAAGTGTTAGGATTACAGGCATAAGCCACTGTGGCAGGCCTAGAAATTCTAATATTTTAGAAGAAAACTCTAAAATGTACAAAAAAAATACTTTTTCCATTTTGAGAAATTAGAAAGTCACTACAATTCTAAGCACAGGGTTTGGTACACAGTAAATATTAGTAAATAAAATAACAGAGTAAGAGTAGGAGAGATAATCCCATCAGGAAGCAGAGAAGAATGAATAGACTGGAGTGTCCAGAAATCCCAGGTTTCTGCAGAAATCTAGAAGTCCTGCTAGAGGATAAGATTGTCAGTTGTGGCAGACAGGTGTGTGACTTTGACAGGTGGGAGAGAAGTGAGAATGGAGGTTAGACAGGTGAGCTCATAAGGAATCAGTGTTTGAATGGCTTTTCTACAAACTCTTAGGATTCTCTTCTCTCATTTCCTAGGGGGAAAGAGTGAGAATGTGAGGCCAGCGTGGCGGCTCATGCACTTTGGGACACCGAGTAGGGAGGAATGCTTGAGCTCAGGGGGCATTTGTTTGTTTGTTTGTTTGTTTTTGAGTCTGTCATCCAGGCTAGAGTGCAGTGGTGCGATCCCAGCTCAATGCAACCTCCGCCTCCTGGGTTCAAGTGATTCTCCTCCCTCAGCCTCCCCAGTAGCTGGGACTATAGGCACACGCCACCATGCCCGGCTAATTTTTGTATTTTTAGTAGAGAGGGGGGTATTGCCATGTTGGCCAGGCTAGTCTTGAACTCCCGACCTCAGGTGATCCACCCGCCTCGATCTCCCAAAATGCTGGGATTACAGGCATGAGCCACCATGCCTGGCCGAGCTCAGGAGTTTGAGACCAGCCTGGGCAACATAACAATAACTCATTTCTACTAAAAATTAATAAAAATTAGCCAGGTGTGATGGCACATGCCTGTAGTCCTAGCTACTTAGGAGGCTGAGGCAGGAGGATCGCTTGAGCCTGAAAGATAGAGGCTGCAGTGAGCTTGATCACGCCACTGCACTCCAGCCTGGGCAACAGAGCAAGACCCTGTCTCAAAACAAACAAACAAAAGAGAGTGAGAATGTGTCAGGACAAAAATGACAAAAGTCATAACGGCAAAGGAAAGCTAAGAATATGAATGGGCGTGGTGACTCGTCCCTATAATCCCAGCACTTTGGAAAGACGAGACAGGTGGATTGTTTGAGCCCATGAGTTCAAGACCAGCCTGGGCAACATGCCAAGGCCTCGTCTCTACAAAAAATACAAAAATTAGCCAGACATGGTGGTGTATACCTGTGGTCCCAGCTACTCAGCTTCCCAGCTGAGACAGGAGGATTGCTTGAACCCGAGAGGTCAAGGCTGCAGTGAGCTGTGATGGTGCCACTGCATTCCATCCTGAGCAACAGAGTGAGACTCTGTCTCAAAAAATAAAATATGCCAGGCACGGTGGCTCACGCCTGTAATCGCAGCACTTTGGGAGGCTGAGGTGGGTGGATCACCTGAGGTCAGGAGTTCGAGACCAGCCTGGCCAACATGGTGAAACCCCATCTCTACTAAAAATACAAAAATTAGCCAGATGGCCAGAGGTGGTGGCTCATGCCTGTAATCCCAGCACTTTGGGAGGCCCAGGTGAGTGGATCACCTGAGGTCAGTAGTTCGCGACCAGCCTGGCCAATATGGTGAAACCCTGTCACTACTAAAAATACAAAAAAATAGCCTAGCGTGGTGGTGGGTGCCTGTAATCTCAGCTACTGGGGAGGCTGAGGCAGGAGAGTTGCTCGAACCCGGAAGGCAGAGATTGCAGTGAGTCAAGATCGCGCCATTGCACTCCAGCCTGAGCAACAAGAATGAAACTCCGTCTCAAAAAACAAAACAAAACGAAACAAAAAAAATTAGCCGAGCGTGGTGGCAGGCGCCTGTAATCTCAGCTACTCGGGAGGCTGAGGCAGGAGAATTGCTGGAACCCAGGAGGCGGAGCTTGCAGTGAGCCGAGATTGTGCCACTGCACTCCAGCCCAGGCGACAGCAGCAAGACTCCGTCTCAAAAAAAAAAATAATAAAATAAAATAAAATAATGAAAAGACAAAATCTAAGACTAAATAAAGGGGGAAGGCTGGGCGCAGTGGCTCACGCCTGTAATCCCACCACTTTGGGAGGCTGAGGCGGGTGGATCACTTGAGGTCAGGCATTCAAGACTAGCCTGGCAAACATGGCGAAACTCCGTCTCTACTAAAAATACAAAAAATTTGCAGGCATTGTGGTGGACGCCTGTAATCCCAGCTACTCGGGAGGCTGAGGCAGGAGAATTGCTTGAACCCAGGAGGCAGAGGTTGCAGTGAGTCGAGACTGCGCCATTGCACTCTAGCCTGGGCAACAGAAGGAGACTAGGTTAAAAAAAAAAGGGGGGGGGGGCGGGAAGTGGGCATAGCTGCTTGGCAATGACCAAGCCAACCACAGAGCTAATTCTCAACATTGTTGTCCTTCCTGCTTGGCCGGAATATTATTGACTAATTCCACCTGCTTGTCCTTAGCGAATAGAATTATATCAGTCAGCAATTATGTACCAAGAACCCATAGAAAGGCCCACATTGGCATTATTTGTGGATGCAAAAACAGTTGAAGACTCAAGTCCCAGCTCCCATTATAATGGGAAAAAGCGAGCCAGTAACATCGGGTCACCAGGTGCTTTTCATTCATCATTTCAGTGCATTCTCCCACCATCATGGCTAGGAGAGGAGAAGCAGTATGGCGAAGGGCAAAGAGGCAGACATGCCTAGGCTGAGACAGCAGCTCCACTTCCTATAAACCGGGTGGCCTCAAGCAGTGACATCGTCTTCTAGGTCATTATAAGATAAAGAGGAAATGTAGATGACGCACCTAGCACAATGGTGTGTACTGTGACTGGGTTGCTGGTACTATGGTCATCCCAATTTCACAGATGTGGACATGGCTCAGTGGAAGTCACAACAAAGTTGTCATGTGCAAGAGCTGCAGCTTGCTAATCCCAGCACTTTGGGAGGCCGAGGCGGGCGGATCACGAGGTCAGGAGATCGAGACCACGGAGAAACCCCGACTCTACTAAAAATACAAAAAAATTAGCCGGGCGCGGTGGCCGGCGCCTGCAGTCCCAGCTGCTCGGGAGGCTGAGGCAGGAAAATGGCGTGAACCTGGGAGGTGGAGCTCGCAGTGAGCCGAGATGGCGCTACTGCACTCCAGCCTGGGCGACAGAGCCAGACTCCATCTCAAAAAAAAAAAAAAAAAAAAAAAAGAGCTGCAGCTTGCTAGGAAATCTCCTGCTGTCTGCTCTTCCCCCAGAGGAAGTTCAAGAGTGGGCTGTACGGGAAGCAAAGACCACACTCTAGGCGTGACTGAGGGAAAGGCCTTCTGCGTAAAATCTTAGGACCATAGACTTAAAGGCGAAAGAGGCCTCCAGCCTCATTAGTCCAGCTTCCTATCTCCCACCCCACAGAACGGATGGGGAAACCAAGACCCACAGAGTGACCCACAGAGTGGAAGGGACTTGCCTAAATTACTCAGCAGGGAATTACAGGCCCCGAGCCATAGCCAGACTTTTCTCCTGAACATTTCCTTCTGAACCCACACTCTTTAGTCATACAGACTTAGGGTTGATTCCTGACCCTGCGCTAACCAGCTGTGTGACTTTGGTGAGTGACGTAACATCTCTGATCTTCAGTACCTGCATTTGTAAAATGAAATAATAGCATCTACCTCACTGGTTTGCTATAAAGATTAAATGATACAGGGCATGTAGGATGCACAATAATTTAAATATGTATGTAGTTCCCATCTTACAGATGAGGAACTGGAGCTTGTTGAAACTTCCCTTGGCTCAGGATAATACCTCAGGTTAAAGAGAGAGCCTACAAGAAGAGAAAGAAAACTCGGGTGAGAACTGGATGGGTACAGGTGAGCCAGGCTCCACCTTTCTGTCCAGGAGCTCAAGGTGACATGGGCCACCCAGTGACCTTTCCTGCCTCTGCTGCCTCAATGCACAGACAGGTTGGTTGTGAAACACCCCTGGGCGGTGACTCAGCCTGGAGGCCTGCTCTGCTGGTCAGCGCGGGCAGGCTGGAGCTGTTTGGTTGAGCCTGGAAAGGACAACATGTCTAACAAACACATTGCTTGTCAAAGCTCTGACGGGGGTGCCAAGCACAGACTGTGAACTCTGGTCCTTGAGGCATCACAGATGACTGAAGTGGGGTGCCTAAGTTGCATGCAACATCTCCTGGTTGTTGTTCTGGTCTAACAACCTTCCAGGGCCAATGTCAGGAAGAGGGTAATGTTTTAGAGGCTGGGGAGCTCCTATTTCTCAAGAGGCAGCTTGGCACGGTGGCCAGGACCTGGGCTTTTGGCATCCATATCATGCAGACCTGAGTTCACATCCTGGCTCTGGCTTCTCACTGGCTATAAGACTTTGGGCAAGTGGCTTAATCCTTTCAGATTTAAACTTCCTTATTCTATAAAATGCCCACCTTTTTATTTTTATTTTATTTATTTTTTTGAGACAGGCTCTTGCTCTGTTGCTCAGGTTGGAGTGCAGTGGCGCTATCTTGGCTCACTACAGCCTCAACCTCCCAGGCACAAGCGATCATCCTACCTCAGTCCACCCCCTGAGTAGCTGGGACCACAGGCATGTGCCACCAAGCCTGGCTCATTTTTTAATTGAGATAGGATCTCCCTATGTTGCCCAAGCTGGTCTCAAACTTTTGGACTCAAGTGGTCCTCCTACCTCAGCCTTCTAAAGTGCTGGGATTACAGGTGAGAGCCACTGTGTCCAGCCAAAATTGTCTTTTAGAGATAAAAGATGTAAAATTCATGAAACATAGAAACTCTTCATAAACAATTATTAGAATCCTGCGCCCAAATCTGCCCCTTCCTTCACTCCAAATGGAAATTGCCCCTCCTGGCTGGGTGCGGTGGCTCATGCCTATAATCCCAGCATTTTGGGAGTCTGAGGCAGGCGGATCACCTGACATCAAGAGTTCAAGACCAGCCTGGTCAACATAGTGAAACCCTGTCTCTACTAAAAAAATACCAAAACTTAGCCAGGCGTAGTGGCGAGTGCCTGTAATCCCAGCTACTCGGGAGGCTGACAGGAGAATCGCTTGAACCCAGGAGGCGGAGGTTGCAGTGAGCCGAGATCACACCACCGCACTCCAGCCTGGGCAACAAGAGTGAAACTCCGTCTCAAAAAAAAAAAAAAAAAAGAAAAAAGAAAAGAAATAATAAATTGCCCTTCCTGCTCTCTTGCTATTGTAGTGTACTTTCTCATTCACCCAGAGGTAGTAAAAAAACCACCCATTCCAGGCCGGGCGCGATGGCTCATGCCTGTAATCCCAGCACTTTGGGAGGCCGAGGAAGGTGGATCATGAGGTCAGGAGATCGAGACCATCCTGGCTAACACGGTGAAACCCCGTCTCTACTAAAAATACAAAAACATAAGCCGGGTGCGGTGGCTTATGCCTGTAATCCCAGCACTTTGGGAGGCTGAGGCGGGTGGATCACGAGGTCAGGAGATCGAGACCATCCTGGCTAACACGGTGAAACCCTGTCTCTACTAAAAATACAAAAAATTAGCCGGGCGTGGTGGCAGGCGCCTGTAGTCCCAGCTATTTGGGGGGCTGAGGCAGGAGAATGGCATGAACCCGGGAGGCGGAGCTTGCAGTGAGCAGAGATCCTGCCACTGCACTCCAACCTGGGCGACAGAGCAAGATTCCGTCTCAAAAAAACAAAAACAAAAACAAAAAAACATTCCCAATGGTCTTGAGGTCTAATAACAACAACAACAAAAAGCAACCAGCACGCACTTATATATATATATTTATGGATAAGTACAAAAAATAAATCCTGTTTTGCATCCCAGAACTCATTGTTCAGTATGAGTTTGTTTTTTTTTTTTAATTGGCTGGGTATCGAGGCATGTGCCTGTAGTTGCAGCTGCTCAGGAAGGGGAGGCAGAGGCAGGAGGATCGAGCTCTGGAGTTGGAGGCTGTGCTGAGCTTTGATGGCACCACTGTACTCCAGCCTGGGCAACAAAGACAGACCCTGTCTCTTTTTTTGGGATGGAGTTTCAGGCTCTTGTTGCCCAGGCTGGAGTGCAATGGCGGGATCTCGGCTCACCGCAACCTCCGCCTCCCAGGTTGAAGCGATTCTCCCGCCTCAGCCTTCCAAGTAGCTGGGATTACAGGCATGTGCCACCACGCCCAGCTAATTTTGTATTTTTTGTAGAGATGGGATTTCTCCATGTTGGTCAGGCTGGTCTCAAACTCCCAACCTCAGGTGATCTGCCCGCCTCGGCCTCCCAAAGTGCTGGGATTACAGGCGTGAGCCACCATGCCCGGCCGACCCTGTCTCTTAATAAAAAAATGTTGATTCTAGGATTGTAGAATAGATAATTTAAAAGCATAGGATATGAGGGAAAACCTCAGCTATATTAATTTTGTATTTCAATTTCATGCTGACTTGATACATAAGATGGCTTTTTGTTTTAAAGGCTTTTATCTTGAGAACACGATATCTGGAGTTAAAGGTATTGGCATATTCCACACATCTGTACTTATTCTTGAGTGTGATTGCTTAGGAATGAATATGATTTAAACTCATTCATGTTTAGAGAGGGTGTCAAATTGAGAACCAGGAAGATCCACGTACGCTAAAAATGACCCTAAAGTAAGTTGGTTAAAAAATTAGATTCCAAACATTCTTGGTGAATTTTGAAGTCTTCTTCAGTGTACCCATATTATTATTATTATTATTTTTTTTTTTAATTTTTTTTGAGATGGAGTTTTACTCTTGTCACCCAGGCTGGAGCACAATGGTGCAATCTCAGCTCACTGCAACCTCCGCCTCCCAGGTTTAGGCGATTCTTCAGCCTTGCCTGCTGAGTAGCTGGGATTATAGGCATGTGCCACCATGCCCAGCTAATTTTTTTTTCTTTTTTTGAGGCGGAGTCTCGCTCTGTCACCCAGACTGGAGCGCAGTGGCGCAATCTCAGCTGACTGCAACCTCCACCTCCCAGGTTCAAGTGATTCTCCTGCCTTAGCCTCCTGAGTAGCTGGGACTACAGACTCCCAACACCACACCCAGCTAATTTTTGTATTTTTAGTAGAGACGGGGTTTCACCATGTTGGCTAGACTGGTCTTGGACTCCTGACCTCAGGTGATCCGCCTGCCTTGGCCTCCCAAAGTGCTGGGATTACAGGCGTGAGCCACCACGCCCAGCCTAATTTTGTATTTTTAGTAGAGATGGGGTTTCACCATGTTAGCCAGGCTGGTCTCGAACTCCTGACCCCAGATAATCCACCCACCTCAGCCTCCCAAAGTGCTGGGATTACAGGCAGGAGCCACTGTGCCCAGCTACTATATCCACATTAAAAGGAGATGACAGAAGCCAAAATAAAAGAATTATGGGCTGACAGGACAACTAGATTAAAATATGCCTCAGTTCCATTAAAAAGGGCTAACTTGAAGATAAATTTTGACTCCAGCTCTTTAGAGGATCTATAGTGACCTTGGTGGACAGTGGGAAAAAATCACAACATGAAATTCCTTGAATAAAAATGTACTGACTTAAAAAAACAAAAAAAAGCAAAGCACAACTATCATAGACAGAAGCACCAGGCTGGTTGTATCACTGTTATCCTATTGATCACTTGATTCATTTCCTGGTGTTAGAAGAGAAAAGACATTTTGTTTATTTATTTATCTATTTATTCATTTATTGAGATGGAGTCTCACTCTGTCACCAGGCTGGAGTGTAGTGGCGCGATCTCAGCTCACTGCAACCTCCACCTCCCAGGTTCAAGCGATTCTCCTGCCTCAGCCTCCTGAGTAGCTGGGACTACAGGTGCCCACTACCATGCCCGGCTAATTTTTGTATTTTTAGTAGAGATGGGGTTTCACCATGTTGGCCAGGATGGTCTCAATCTCTTGACCTCATGATCCGCCCGCCTTGGCCTCCCAAAGTGCTGGGATTACAGGCGTGAGCCACTGTGCCCAGCCAAAAGACATTTTAAATCAAGGAGAGTGGTAGCCTGAATAATCCCTCTCAATGATGCTCAAGCCCTAATCTCTGGAACCTGTCAGTGTTACCTTATATATAACATAATTGCTTTGCAGAAGGGATTCAGTTAAGAATGTTGAGATAGGGAGATTATCCTGGATTATCCAGGTGGGCCCTAAATGTAATCATACATATCCTTATAAGAGGGAAGTAGAGAAGGATTTGACTGCAGAAGAGAAGGCAATGAGATGATGAAAGCAGAGATTGGAGTGATGCAAACTCAAGTTGAGGGATCCAACAGCCACCAGTCGCTGGAAGAGGCAAGGCATAGTTCTTCCCTGGAGTCTTTAGAAGCAACCAGCCCTGCCAATGCCTTGATTTCAGCCCCTTAAGACTTATTATACACTTCTGGCCTCCGGAACTGCAGGGGAGTATATTTCTGTTGTTTTAAGTCACTAAATTTGTGGTAATTTATTGCAACAGCTATAAGAAACTAATTCAAGGGATGTGGTTGAATCATTATTATTATTATTACTTTTTTCTCTTTTTTTGGAGACAGTCTCATTTTTGTTGCCCAGGCTGAAGTGCCGTGCACTGGTACAATCACAGCTCACTGCAAGCTCCACCTCCTGGGTTCAAGCAATTCTCGTGCCTTAGTTTCTGGAGTAGCTGGAATTACAGGCATGCACCACCATGCCCAGCTAATTTTTGTATTTGTAGTAGAGATGGGGTTTCGCCATGTTACCCAGGCTGGTCTTGAATTCCTGGCCTCACTTGATCTGCCTGCCTCAGCCTCCCAAAGTGCTGGCATTACAGGCATAAGCCTCTGCACTCAGAGTATTATTATACTTTTAGAGATAGAGTCTCAGTTTGTTGCCCAGGCTGGTGTGCAGTGGCAAGATCACTGTGTGAATTATTTATTTATTTATTTATTTTTTGAGACAGAGTCTCGCTGTGTCACCCAGGCTGGAGTGCAGTGGCGCGATCTCGGCTCACTGCAAGCTCTGCCTCCTGGGTTCACGCCATTCTCTTGCCTCAGCCTCCCAAGTAGCTGGGACTACAGGCATGTGCCACCACACCCGGTTAATTTTTTGTATTTTTCAGTAGAGACAGGGTTTCACCATATTGGCCAGGCTGGTCTCGAACTCCTGACCTTGTGATCCACTGGCCTCAGCCTCCCAGAGTGCTGGGATCACAGGCGTGAGCCACCATGTTCAGCCACTGCATGGATTATTGATTATAAAAATTAATACTTGTGGTATATCCACATATGGAATATTATTCAACAATAAAAAGGAATGAGGCATATGAAATGTCCAGAATAGGCAGATCTATAGGAACAGAAAGTATATCAGTGGTTGCCTAGGGCTGGAGGGATGTAAGGGGTGGGGGAGTGATGGCTAAGTGGCACAGGGGTTATTTTGAGGGTAATCAAAATGTTCTAAAGTTGATTGTGGTGACAGTTGCACAACTCAACATTCTAAGAAGCAATGAAATGTGCATTTGTATAGTATATGAACTATATCTCAATAAAGCTGTTCAAAAATACTGAAAGCTAACATTTAGCTAATGTATACTGAACACTTGCCATTACTGTGCTGCAATTTATGTGCCTTCTCATTTAATCCTGGAATAATAATAATACTGTATACCTAGCATTAGCACTTGCTACATGACAGGAACTTTTTTTTTTTTTTAAGACGGAGTTTCACTCTTGTTGCCCAGGCTGGAGTGCAGTGGCACAATCTCGGCTTGCCACAACCTCCGCCTCCTGGGTTCAAGTGATTCTCCTGCCTCAGCCTCCAGAGTAGCTGGGATTACAGGCAGGCGCCACCACGCCGGGAAAATTTTCTATTTTTGTAGTAGAAACGGGGTTTCTTCATGTTGGTCAGGCTGGTCTTGAACTTCTGACCTCAGGTGATCCGCCGCCTGCCTTGGCTTCCCAAAGTGCTGGGATTAAAAGCTTGAGCCACTGCGCCCAGCCAGGAACTTGTTTTTTTGTTTTGTTTTTTTCGAGAAAGGGTCAGCCAGGCGCGGTGGCTCAAGCCTGTAATCCCAGCACTTTCGGAGGCTGAGGCGGGCGGATCACGAGGTCAGGAGATCCAGACCATTCTGGCTAACATGGTGAAACCCCGTCTCTACTAAAAAAATACAAAAGATTAGCCGGGCGTGGTGGCGGGCGCCTGTAATCCCAGCTACTCGGGAGGCTGAGGCAGGAGAATGCTGTGAACCCGGGAGGCGGAGCTTGCAGTGAGCCGAGATTGCGCCACTGCACACTCCAGCCTGGGCGACAGAGAGACTCCGTCTCAAAAAGAAAAAAAAAGAAAAAAAAAGAGAAATGGTCTTGCTCTGTCACCCAGGCTGGAATGCAGTGGCACAATCATAGCTCACTTCGTACTTGATCCTGGGCTCAAGGGATCCTCCTGCCTCAGCCTACCAAGTACCTGGAATTACAGGCATGAGCCACTCTGCCTATTTTTTTTTTTTTTTTTGAGATGGAGTCCACGCCCGGCTAATTTTTGTGTATTTTTTTTTAGTAGAGACGGGGGTTCACCGTGTTAGCCAGGATGGTCTCGATCTCCTGACCTTGTGATTCGCCCGCCTTGGCCTCCCAAAGTGCTGGGATTACAGGCGTGAGCCACTGCGCCCGGCCTTTTTTCTCTCTCTCTCTCTTTTTTTTTTTTTGGGACGTAGTTTCCCTCTTGTTGCCCAGGCTGGAGTACAATGGCGCGCGATCTTGGCTCACCGCCACCTCTGCCTCCTGGGTTGAAGCGATTCTCCTCTCTCGGCTTCCTGAGTAGCTTGGATTACAGGCATGCACCACCATGCCCAGCTAATTTTATATTTTTAGTAGAGACGGGGTTTCTCCATGTTGGTCAGGCTGGTCTCGAACTTCCGACCTCAGGTGATCCGCCCGCCTCGGCCTCCCAAAGTGCTGGGATTACAGGCATGAGCCACTGCGCCCGGCCTGCCTGACTCCTTTAAAGCATTTTTTATATGCATCAACTCATTAATCTCCATATGAACCTAATACTGTAGATGCAATTATTACCCCATTCTATTTTATTTTATTTATTTTATTTTATTTTATTTTAGACAGGGTCTTGCTCTGTCACCCTGGTGGGGCGCAGTGGTGCAATCATGGTTCACTGCAGCCTCAAGCTCCCTGGCTCAAGTGTTCCTCTCACCTCCGCCTCCCAAGTAGCTGGGACCATAGGTGGGTGCCACCATGCCTGGCTAAATTTTTTTTTTTTTTTAGAGAGACACAAAGTCTCACTATGTTGCCCAGGCTTATTACCCCATTTTAAGATAAGGAAACTGGGGTCTGAGAGGTTAAGTAACTTGCCTAGGGTCACATGGCTTGTAAGTGGTAGAACCAGGATTTCAACTCAAGTTGTTGGACTCCTGAGCCCAAGATCTTATTTTGTTTGCCTGCAACTACACTTGCACCATGGGACTGGCCCCCTGGGCTGGCTGATTGGATCTGCAGAACTCTCCATTTCCTAACTCCAGTCCTTTGCATGGGTCAGCTGCACCTCCTGTACCTTCAGAAAGAGAGTTCCCTTTCTAGCTTAAAGCTGAGGAGGTTTCTGTTACTTACCTGATTCAAAAAGGATAATTTCTGCCTACAGGGTAGCACAGGGGCTTCCTAAGAGCTCAGTGAGCAGCGAACATGTGATCCTGGCATCTGAGGACCCACAGAGACCACATGCCAGAGAAAAGATGAAGTGCTTAAGCTTCCGGAAGGCCAACAGCTCAGCAGCCCTTGGCTGTATGTATTTCAATGTGTAAGTGTCCTGTGAAGAGTTTTTAAAATAAAAAATAACTTATATTGCTGTTTTTTTTTTTGTTTTGTTTTGTTTTGTTTTGTTTACTGTATGCTTACTAAAGTTCATCACAGCCATAACAGGAAGAAAATTTCTTTTTATTCTTTTAAAAATAAAAGATTTTATAGGTTAATTTATAAGCAGTAGAATAGTGTGATTAAAATCCTGGGCCCTGCACTCTGGAAAACTTTGTCAGTTTCTTTTTCTTTTTCTTTTTTAAGACAGAGTCTCGCTCTATCGCCCAGACTGGAGTGCAGTGGCGGAATCTTGGCTCACCGCAACCTGTGCTTCCCAGGTTCAAGTGATTCTCCTGCCTCAGCCTCCTGAGTAGCTGGGATTACAGGCGTTCACCACCATGCCCGGCTAACGTTTGTATTTTTAGTAGAGACGGGGTTTCACCATGTTGGCCAGGCTGGTCTTGAACTCCTGACCTCAGGTGATCCACCTGCCTCGGCCTCCCAAAGTGCTGGGATTACAGGCGTGAGCCACCGTGGCTAGCCTGTCAGTTTCTTAAAAAATGAACCGCATAGGCGGGTACAGTGGCTTGTGCCTGTAATCCCAGCACTTTGGGAGGCTGAGGGAGGTGGATCACCTGAGGTCAGGAGTTTGAGACCAGCCTGGCCAACATGGTGAAACCCCATCTCTAGTAAAAATACAAAAATTAGCTGGGAGTGGTGGTGGGAGCCTGTAATCCCAGCTACTCAGGAGGCTGAGGCAGAAGAATCGCTTGAACCCAGGAGAAGGAGGTTGCAGTGACCCAAGATCCTGCCATTGCACTCCAGCCTGGGCGACAAAAGTAAAACTCCATCTCAAAAAAAAAAAAAAAAAAAAAAAAAAGAATCACACAGCTACCATACAACCTGGCAATTGCAATCCTGAGCATTTATCCCAGAGAAATGAAGACTTACATTAAGACAAAAACCTGTAGTTGAATGTTTAAAGCAGTTTTATTGGTAGTATCCCCAAACTGGAAACAATCCAGATGTTCTTCAATAGGTGGATGGTTAAACAAACCATGGTACATCCACAGAATACCACTCAGCATGGAGTATTACCCAGAAATAAAAAGAAACGAGGCCGGGCATTGTGGCTCATGCCTGTAATCTCAACACTTTGGGAGGCTGAGGTGGGAGGATCACTTGAGCCCAGGAGCTCAAGGCCAGCCTGAGCAACACAGGGAGACTCCACTTGTACAAAAAATTACAAAAATTAGCTGGGCATGGTGGCACACACCTGTAGTCCCAGCTACTCGGG
The DNA here is from genome assembly GCF_000001405.40 of Homo sapiens. Lineage (NCBI taxonomy): Eukaryota > Metazoa > Chordata > Mammalia > Primates > Hominidae > Homo > Homo sapiens. Next base: position 28,305,122 of record NC_000001.11, on the reverse strand, counting down.
AGGCTGAAGTGGCAGGATCACTTGAGGCAGAGAGGTCGGTGATGCCAGTGAGCTCTGATTGCGCTACTGCACTCCAGCCTGGGTGACAAAGCCAGACCCTGTCTCAAAAAAAAAAAAAAAAAAAAGAGAGAGAACAAATATGAATACTTGGAACAATCTGGATGAATTTCCAGAGAATCATGATGAGTGAAAAAAAGCCAGTCTCAAAAGATTAAACACTGTATGATTTATTTATATAAAATTCTTGAAATGACAAAATTATAAAAATGGAGACAGAATTACCAGTGTAAAGGAGGAGGTAGAGGCAGGAGGAAGTGGGGTTGGCTATTGAAAGGTCAATATGAGGAATCCTGGTAGTGTTGGAAATACTCTGTGTCTTGACTGTATCAATGTGAATATCTTGGTTGTGATACTGTGTTGTATTTTTTCAAGAAGTTACCATCGGGGGAAACTAGGTAAAGAGTACACAGGATCTCTTTGTTCCCTCCCTCCCTCCCTCCCTCCCTTCCTTCCTTCCTTCCTTTTTTGAAACAGGGTCTTATTCTGTCACCGAAGCTGGAGTGCAGTGGCACAATCATGGCTCACTGCAGCCCCGGCCTCCTGGGCTCAAGCTATCCTCCCACCTCACCCTCCCAAGTAGCTAAGAACACAGGCGCGTGCCACCACTCCTGGCTCATTTTAAAACATTTTTTGTAGAGATGGAGTCTCCCTATGCTGCCCAGGCTGGTCTATGACTCCTGGGCTCAAATGAGCCCACCTCAGCCTCCCAAAGTGCTGGGATTACAGGCGTGAGCCACCTTGCCTGGCCTATATTATTTCTTATAGCTGCATGTGAAGCTATAATTATCTCAAAATTAAAAGTTTAATTAGGAAAAAATCCTAGACCCTATGCTTAAAACATGCTGTGTGTCCTGGAGTAAGTTGCTTTTCCTCCCTGTCCCTTAGTTTTTACTTGTCTTATAGATTTGTTGTGAGAAATAAGAAATAAGTGATATTATGTATATAAAATGCTTAGTACATTGTATATTAGCGTTAGTACTGATACACTGTAAGAACCTAATAAATATTAGTATGATTACAGAAAAATTACAAAATATAGATAATCAAAATGAAGAAAATATTTTAAACAACCATAATTCTACCACTTTTAACACCTGTATCAATTTATATGTTTTTAGCTGCAAGTAAAAACAAAATCAACAACAATGAAGTACCACTTCAAATGCATTAGGATGGCTTTAACAATTAAAATAATAATAATAATAACTGCTGGTGGGAAGGCCAAATGGCTCAGCCTCTGTGGAAAACATTTGAGCAGTTTCTCAAGAAGTTAAACATAGACGGCCAGACACAGTGGCTCACACCTGTGATCCCAGCACTTTAGGAGGCTGAGGTGGGCAGATCACTTGAGGTCAGGAGTTTGACCTCATGGAAGCTGGGCTCTACTAAAAAAAAATACCAAAAATTAGCTGGGTGTGGTGGTGTGTGCCTATCGTCCCAGCTACTCGGGAGGCTGAGGCACGAGAATCGCTTGAACCCGGGAGGCAGAAGTTTCAGTGAGCCAAGATGGCCCCACTGTACTCCAGCCTGGGCGAGAGAGACTCCGTCTCAAAAAAAAAAAAAAAAAAAGTTAAACATAGAATTACCATATAACCCTGCAATTCCATTCCTAGGCATACACCTGAAATAATTGGAAAAATGTACTCCAACAATTATTTGTACACACTTTTTCATAGCAGCACTAGTCAAAATAGCCAAAGTGTCCATCAATGGATGGCTCATACACAAATTGTAGCAAATACATACAAAAGAATATTGTTTAGACATAAAAAAGAATGAAGTGCTGATACCTGCTATGATCTAAATAAGCCTCAAAAAATTTTATGCTAAATGAAGGAAGACAGGCACAAGAGATCATACACTGCGTAATTCTATTTATATGAGGCATTCAGAATAGATAAATCAGGCCGGCGTGGTGGCTTACACCTGTAATCTCAGCACTTTGGGTGGCCAAGGCAGGCAGATCACTTGAGGCCGGGAGTTCAAGACCAGCTTGGCCAACATGGTGAAGCCCCGTCTTTACTAAAAATACACAAATTAGCTGGGTGTGGTGGCACATGCCTGTAATCCCAGCTACTCTGGAGGCTCAGGCACCAGAATCCCGTGAACCTGGGAGGCTGAGGTTGCAGTGAGCTAAGATCGCACCACTGCACTCCAGCCTGGGCAACAGAGTGAGACTCTGTCTCGAGAAAAAAAAAAAAAAAAAAAAGATAAATCTACAGGGACAAAATGCAAATTGGTGGAATAATGAAAATGTTTTGGAACTAGATAGAGGTGGTGGTTGCACAGCATTGTGACTGTACTAAAGACCCCTGAATTGTTTACTTTAAAATGGTTAATTTATTTTTTAAGACAGAATCTCACTCTGCTGCCCAGGCTGGAGTGCAGTGGTGAGATCTTAGTTCACTGCAGCTTCAAACTCCTAGGCTTAAGGGATCCTCCTGCCTCAGCCTCCCAAGTAGCTGGAACTACAGGTGCATGACACCATGCCTGGCTTTTTTTTTTTTTTGCAACGGATCTTGTTTTGCTCTTCAGGTTGGTCTCCTGGCTTCAAGTGATCCTCCCTCCTCGACCTTCTAAAGTGTTGGGATGACAGGCATGAGCCACTGCACGTGGCCAAAATGGTTAATTTTAATTAGTTGGGCTTGGTGATGTGTGCCTGTATTTCTAACTACTAAGGAGGCTGGGATCGGAGGACTGCTTGAGCCCAGGAGTTTGAGGCTGCAATGAGCTATGATTGTGCCATGGCACTCCAGCCTGGGCAACCGAGTGAGACCCTATCATACCCCTCCCCCAAAAGTTAACTTTATGGTTATGTGGATTTTACCTCAATAAATTACTAGAAATAAAATATGTCAGAATTATTTAAGAAAAATTTATTACGTCTTATATTAAGAAGCCCCAAAATAGAGAAGCTCTAGAATTGGTTCTTTCAGTAGCTCCAAGATTTTATCAAGGACCTGAATTCTCTGTTTTTCCATTCTTGTCACGTTGCCATTTTTCATTCTTCCGTGGTTAAAAGATTGTTTTCATAGTTCCAAGAACTGCCTGAGGACATGACATCCAGCTCCACTAGATTGTAATGGAACAAAGAAGGGCTACCGATTCCTGGAAATACCTTCCTCTCTTTTTAAAATAATATCTTTATTGAGATACAATTCACATACCATATAATTCACCCATCAAATATACATCCCAAACTCATCTAGTTGTATATGTTAAATAAGTGCAGCTTTTCATGTATCAAGAAAAAAAAAGTTAATGGTTTGTAGTATGTTCACAGAATTGTGCAACAATCACCACACTTAGTTTTAGAACATTTTTATCATCCGCCACGGAAATTTAGCACCTATTATCTGTCATTCTCTAGTTTTCCGCAACTCTCCTCCCCTCCACCCCAGGCAACAGCTAATCTACTTTTTGGTGGTTTATGCCTATAATCCCAGCACTTTGGGAGGCTGAGACAAGAGGCTTGAGCCTTTTGGCTTGCTTTGGGAGGCTTGAGCCCAGAAGTTCGAGACCAGCCTGGGAAACACAGCAAAACCCTGTCTCTACAAAACATACTAAAAAAAAGAAAAAAAAAATTAGCCAGGCATGGTGTCCCAGGTACCCAGGAGGCTGAGGCAGGAGGATCACTTGAGCCTGGGAGTTTGAAGCTGCAGTGTTATGCTATGATGAGCACACTTCAGGTGGGTGACAGAATGAGATTCTCTCTAAAATACAAAACAAAACAAAAAAACCCTCCTATTTTCTGTCCCTATAAATTTGCTTATTCTGGTCATTTCATATAAATGGAATCATAAAGTATGTGGTATTTTGTGCTGACTTCTTTTTACTTAGCATAATGTTTTCAAGGTTCATTCATGTTGCAAAATGTATCAGTAGCTCATTTCTTTATATTACTGAATAATCTTCCATTATATAGACATACTATATATTTTTTACCCATTCATGGTTGGTGGATATTTGGGTTGTTTCCACTTTTGGCCTTTTTTTTTTTTTTGGAGACGGAGTCTCGCTCTATTGCCCCGACTGGAGTGCAATGACGCAGTCTCGGCTCACCGCAACCTCCTTCTCCTGGGTTCAAGTGATTCTCCTGCCTCAGCCTCCCGAGTAGCTGGGATTGCAGATGCCGGCCACCATGGCCGGCTAATTTTTTGTATTTTTAGTAGAGACAGGGTTTCACCATGTTGGCCAGGCTGGTCTCAAACTCCTGACCTCAGGTGATCCACCCGCCTTGGCCTCCCAAAGTGCTGGGACTATAGGCCCAGCATTGTTTTTGTTGTTGTTGTTGTTGTTTTGTTTTTTTGGTTTTTTTCTGTTTGTTTTTTTGATACAGAGTTTCACTTTGTTAACTAGGCTGGAGTGCAGTGTTGGGATCTCAGCTACTGCAACCTCCGTGATTCAACTTCCCGGGTTCAAACGATCCTCCCTCCTCAGCCTCCCGCGTAGCTGGGACTACAAGCGTGCGCCACCGCCCGGCTAATTTTTAGTAGAGAAGAGGTCACCATGTTGGCCAGGCTAGTCTGGAGCTCCTAACCTCAGATGATCTGCCTGCCTCGGCCTCCCAAAGTGCTGGGATTACAGGCGTGAGTCACCGTGCCCTGCCTCTCTTTGTTGTTGGTTTTTTTGAGACAGAGTCTCACACTGTCACACTGGCTGAAGAGCAACGGCGCAATCTCGGCTCATTGCAAACTCCACCTCCCAGGTTCACGGGATTCTCCTGCCTCAGCCTCCCGAGTAGCTGTGATTAAAGGCGCCCACCACCACACCCGGCTAATTTTTTTGTATTTTTAGTAGAGACGGGGTTTCACTATGTTGACCAGACTGGTCTTGAACTTGTGACTTTGTGATCCGCCCACCGCGGCCTCCCAAAGTGCTGGGATTACAGGCGTGAGCCACCGCCGCCCAGCGTCTTTGTTGTTTTTTAAACCAGGAAACTCTTCCCTCAGGCTTCCCAGCGGACTCCCTTTCCCATCTCATTGGCCAAAACTCCCTCACGTGAATGCCCCTAGCCCAATCACTGGCATTACCATAATTGACTTAGAATTAAGCCTCCAGCTAACCTCTGGCTGTGGTCACCTTTTCTGAAAGGTGAATACCTAAACAAACTTGAGGGTTAATGAACAAAGAAGAAAGGAGAAAGAGGTAATGATACTCTGTTTCAATGTCTTTTGGGTATTTTTCTTACAGACATATAAAAATATAAATATATATATATAATATTTAGAGACATGGTCTTGTTATGTTGACCAGGCGGGACTCGAACATCTGGACCCAAGTGATCCTCCCATCTCAGCCTCCTGAGTAGCTGGGGCTACAGGTCTGTGCCACCATCCTGGTTCTACATATAAATCTATTTTTATTTTTTATGTATTTATTTTTGTTTTTTCTTATTTATTTTCTTTATTATCAACCCTATTAACTGAATATGTATATTTTTAAACAAACAAAAGAAATCATACCGGGGCAGCCCAGGCAGATGACTTGAGCCAGAAGTTTGAGCCTGGGCAACATGGCAAAACCCCATCTCTACATAAAAATACAAAAAATTAGCTGAGTGTGGTGGTGCCTGCCGGCTACTCAGGAGCTGAGGTGGGAAGATCACCTAAGCCCGTGAGGTCGAGGCTGCAGTGAGCTGTGATGGTGCCACTACACTCCAGCCTGGGTGACAAAGTGAGACTCTATCTCAAAAAAAAAAAAAAAAAAAAGAAAAAGAAAAAAAGAAATCATATAGTCCATACTGTTTTGTAACTTGGTTTATCACTAAACAATATGCTGGATCTATCTTTCCATGCTCATACTATTCACTGATAACATGATTTTATTGTATTTTTTTTGAGACAGAGTCTCGCTCTCTTGCCCAGGCTGGAGTGCAGTGGCACAATCACAGGTCACTGCTGCGTGGACCTCCCAGGCCCAAACAATCCTTCCGCTTTAGCCTCAGCCTCCTCAATAGCTGGAACAACATGTGTACAACACCATGTCGAGTTAATTTTCTTGTTTTTGTAGAGATGGAGTGTTGTCCATGCTGGTCTCAAACTCTTGGGCTCAAGCAATCCTCCTACCTCAGCTTCCCAAGTAGCTGGGACTACAGGTGTGAGCCACCACACCCGGCTAATTTTTGTATTTTTAGTAGAGCCGGGGTTTCACCATGTTGGCCAGGCTGGTCTCGAACTCCTGAGCTCAAATGATCTACCCGCCTCGGCCTCCCAAAGTGCTGGGATTACAGGCATGAGCCACCGCACCCGGCCTGCCTTCTCTTCTACTTCCAATTCTTTCTGCCCTCTAGGGAGCTTGTTTCAGTAATTATCACATCTTTTTCCTTCTCACTGGCTATTTTCCCCTCTCCCTTTCATGTCTTTCTAGAACCTATGTAGAATTCCTTAGGATGAGATTTGAGACTCTTTGTATCAGTCAGCATTCTTCCAGCTGCAAGTGACAAAAAACCCAACCAAACCTGTCTTACTCATAAAAGAGAATGTTTTGCTTATGGAATTGAATAGTATAGGTGAAGACTTCAGGCATAGCTGGATCTAGAGACTCAAATATTATTTTTATTTTATTATTTTTTGAGATGAAGTTTTGTTATTGTTGCCTAGGCTAGAGTGCAGTGGCATGATCTTGGCTCACTGCAACCTCTGCCTCCTGGGTTCAAGCAATTCTCCTGCCTCAGCCTCCAGAGTAGCTGGGATTACAGGCACACGCCACCATGCCCAGCTAATTTTTGTGTTTTTAGTAGAGATGGAGTTTTGCCATGTTGACCAGGCTGGCCTTGAGCTCCTGACGTCAGGTGATCTGCCCACCTCGGCCTCCCAAAGTGCTGGGATTACAGGTGTGAGCCACCATGCCCAGCAAGACTCAAATATTATTATAAAGAATCGGGCCTGTAATCCCAGCCCATTTTCACCAAATAATCTTGGCCCAATTTATCAACTTTCCCTGCCAGATCTGTGACCACCCTGACATGTACACATCCTATGGCCCAACACAATGGTCACACTTCTTGGAACTTCAGTCTCTGACTGTGCTTTCAATCTGACTCACCTTCAAAGACCAGCTGAGCCACCACTTCCTCTGTGAAGCCTTCCTGATTGCCACCAGCTGGAATTGACCTCAGTCGTACCTTAACCACACCTGAATGCTCTTTATTTATTATTATTATTATTATTATTATTATTATTATTATTATTTTTGAGACAGAGATTCTCTGTGTTGCCAGGCTGGAGTGCAGTGGTGCAATCTCAGCTCACTGCAACCTCCGCCTCCTGGGTTCAAGCAATTCTCCTGCCTCAGCCTCCCAAGTAGCTGGGACTACGGGTGTGTGCCACCACCCCCAGCTAATTTTTGTATTTTTAGTGGAGACGGGGTTTCACCATGTTGGCCAGGATGGTCTTGATCTCTTGACCTGGTGATTCACCCGCCTCGGGCTCCCAAAGTGCTGGGATTACAGGCGTGAGCCACTGCGCCTGGCCGCTGAATGCTCTTTATTAGCACCTCTCATTGTCTCTTTGCTGGAAATTAGACTTTTACCTGCCTTTATCTCCTCTATGAGACCCCAAGCTTGTTGAAGTCAGGGACTCCATCTTACTCATCTTTCCATCTCCCTAAAAGCCTGTCACAGTGATCCTCTGCTACTTAATTAGTCCTATGACATTGGACAAAGTCCTTCACCTCTTTGAGCCTTGGTTTATTCTTTTGTAAAATAGGAATGGTAATAGCTCTTACCATAAATATCTTTTTGTGAGGACTGAGACATACGTACACCCATAATTTATTGCATGTATACCATGTGTTTCAGAGAGATGATGTTTCTTGCAAAGGACACACACCTAGTGCTGGCAGGGCTGGGATTCAAATGTCCTCTACATAGAGACTGTCCTCCTAACCTCTATTCCAAAGGGCCTCCCACGTAGGAGAGGAAGAGGCTGGCACAGTAGGTGCACAACGAATGTTGCTAAATGCTTGACTCTCTTGAATCAATTCTGCTTTGACTGCACTTTCCTCTGGACTATGCTTTGCCCTTCTCCAGTTCATCCTGGCTGTGTCGTCAGACCACGTGACACACACTCCCCTCGGGGGCCCTACTTAATTCCTGCTGACCTGGAATGTCTTCCAAACACTCCGGTAAACTGGGAGGAGTCTGTGGGCTGTAAATCCTGGATCTTGGGCAGCCCAAAGGTCTCTGTTTGCGCTGACCCAGACAACAGCTGGAACTCCAGCCAGGGGAGATGCTGCCTGGCGGGGGAGGAGGCATGGAACGTGCGAGCCTTCCCATCCTCCCCCACACAGAGGAGTCCAAGGTCCAAGGCTACAGGTCTGCTGTCTTGAACATATTGCTCACTTTTTGGTTTCCGTGGTATTTATGTGATAAAACCAGTTGTTCTTTGTTGTGAGCCTCCTCACGTCATAACAGCCTTGTGGTAGATATTTGGGAAAAGGACCATGATGATTTGGATCCATCAAACTCAGATTGCTCCTCCTGAAAACACGTTTTTTCCCCAAAGTCTATTTGTTTTCCATTTACTAAGCAGTTGATATGTGCCAGGTGTTGTATTGAACACATTACGTGCATTATATAATTCAGAATTTCTCAAGCTCAGGGCCATTGACTTTTTGGACTGGATAACTCTGTGTTCAAAGGGACCACCCTATGCATTGGAGGATGTTTAGCAGCTTCCCTGGCCTCTACCCACTGAGATGCCAGAGGCCCCCTGTAACAGCCAAAAATGTCTCCAAACTTTGCCAAATATCCCGTGAGGACAAAATCATCCCTAAGTAAGAACCACTGATTTAACTGAATAGACATAAGGATCTTATGAACTATTATCCCTTTTCCCAGAAGAGTAAACTGAGACTAACAGAGGTGAAGTGACTCACCTAAAGTCATACAACAAATGGTAGAGCTGGAATTTGAACTCTGGCTCCAGTGCATAGGGTTTTAATCACTAGACCAATGTCAACAAGACTGTCAAAAGACTGACAATACCAAGTGTTGGCAAAGATGCAGAGCAACTGGAACTGGAGCTGGGTGCAGCGGCTCATCTCTGTAGCCCCAGCATTTTGGGAGGTCAAGGCAGGAGGATCACTGGAGCCCAAGAGGTCTAGACCAGTCTGGGCAACATAGGGAGACCCTCATCTCTACAAAAAATAAAAAATAAAAATAGCTGGGTATGTCCACATAAATAGCAGGTTTACTCATAATAGCCAAAATTGGAAACAACTCAAATGTCTATCAACTCATGAATGAATAAATGAATTGTAATATATCCATACAATAGTATTGTGCTCAGCAACAAAAAGGAATGAACTATGGATACACACGACAACATGAATTAGCTTCAAAAGCTTTATGGTAACGAAGAAGACAAACACAAAAGATTACACAATGAGGCCAGGTGTGGTGGCTCAGGCCTGTAATCCCAGCACTTTGGGAGGCCAAGGTGGGCGGATCACTTGAGCTAGGGAGGTTGAGGCTGCAGTGAGCCATGATCGTGCCACTGCACTCCAGCTTGGGCGGTGGAGTGAGACCCTGTCTCAAAAAATAAGAATAATAACAAATATTTGTTAATAGAAAATATTGCCATTTATATGTCATCATTTCTCAAGAAGTGATCACGTTATCTATGTACTTATTGTAAGTTTTTTAGGTATAATTTTTTTTTTTTTTTTGAGACAGAGTTTTGCTCTTATTGCCCAGGCTGGAGGGCAATGGCACAATCTCAGCTCACCGCAACTTCCGCCTTCTGGGTTTAAGTTATTCTCCTGCCTCAGCCTCCTGAGTGGCTGGGATTACAGGCATGTGCCACCACGCCCGGCTAATTTTTTTTTTTTTTTTTTTTTTTTTTTTTTTTTTTTTTGAGACGGAGTCTCGCTCTGTCGCCCAGGCCGGACTGCGGACTGCAGTGGCGCAATCTCGGCTCACTGCAAGCTCCGCTTCCCGGGTTCACGCCATTCTCCTGCCTCAGCCTCCCGAGTAGCTGGGACTACAGGCGCCTGCCACCGCGCCCGGCTAATTTTTTGTATTTTTAGTAGAGACGGGGTTTCACCTTGTTAGCCAGGCTGGTCTCGAACTCCCAACCTCAGGTGATCCACCCACCTTGGCCTCCCAAAGTGTGGTATAATTTTTTTTTTTTTTTTGAGATGGAGTTTCGCTGTTGTTGCCCAGGCTGGAGTGCAATGACACGATCTTGGCTCACCACAACTTCCGCCTCCTGGGTTCAAGCGATTTCTCCTGGCTCAGCCTCCCAAGTAGCTGGGATTACAGGCATGTGCCACCACACCCGGCTAATTTTATATTTTTAGTAGAGACAGGGTTTCTCCATGTTGGTCAGGCTAGTCTCAAATTCCGACTGTGATCCACCTGCCTCGGCCTCCCAAAGTGCGGTATAATTTTTTTGAAATGGAATCCTGCAACATTGCCCAGGCTTTTCTGGAACTCCTGGGGTCAGCTTCAGTTTTCCCACCTCAGCTTCCTGAGTAGTTGGGATTGCAGATGTAAACCACCACACCCGATGTGTAGGTATAATTTTTATTAATGGTCAAACTCTCTTCAGTAAATGTGTAAATTATGATTATTATAGTTCTTTTCTTCAATAGGTTACTGTCAATTTATCTAATGACCTCTGCATTCATTAGCAAACACTCCACAATGACAATATTGTCTTAAGACTAGTGAATTAATACATTTTGTTGCATTATGTTTGTGTTCTAAACTTAAAAGCTAATTTTTGAATGCAAAACTTTGTCATCTGCTAAAGAATTAAATGGATTAAGAATAACAACAAAAACAAAAACAAAACTAATTTGTAATAACAGAAAGCTGATAGTGGGTGCCTGGGGCCAGAAAGCAGGATGGGATATTCACTGCAAAGGAGCACAAGGAAATTAGATTTGGATGGTAGTTGCATAGGCGTATGCTTTTCTCAAAACTCATGGAAATGTCTGCATTTAAAATGAGTGCGTTTTGGCCGGGCACGGTGGCTCGCGCCTTTTATCCCAGCACTTTGGGAAGCTGAGGCGGGCGGATTGCCTGAGCTCAGGAGTTTGAAACCAGCCTGGGCAACATGGTATAACCCCGGCTCTACTAACAATACAAAAAATTAGCCAGACGTGGTGGCGGTCGCCTGTTAATCCCAGCTACTAGGGAGGCTGAGGCAGGAGAATCGCTTGAACTCGGGAGGCAGAGGTTGCAGTGAGCCAAGATCATGCCACTGCCCTCCAGCCTGGGTGACAGAGTGAGACTGTCTCAAAAAAAAAAAAAAAAGTGTGCATTTTATTATATGCAGATTCTACTGTATAAATTTGGTTTGAAAGGAAAAAATAAATTGCGGCAGGGAAATGCAGATTGGAGGAAGATATCAATGTGAAACAGGAAAAGAGGCTTAGAGGGTTCTTCTTTGGTTGGTCAGTGACTTTGGCTCTGAGATTTGTTTCCCCAAATTCTTACCCAGGAGCACCGGAGGCCCAGCTGAAATGCCACCACTTCTAGGAAACTTCCCTGGCTTCCCCAGCCCACAGTGTCTTCTGGGAAGAATGTTCATTCTGCATATTAATATTTAAAAATTCCTTCATCGGCAGGGTGCAGTGGCTCACGCCTGTAATCTCAGCACTTTGGGAGGCCAAGGCGGGTGGATCACTTGAGATCAGGAGTTCAAGACCAGTCTGGCCAACATGGGGAAACCCCATCTCTACTAAAAATATAAAATTAGTGGAGCATAGTGGCGCACACCTGTAATCCCAGCTACTTGGGAGGCTGAAGCTTGAGAATTGCTTGAACCTGGGAGGCGGAGGCTGCAGTGAGAGGAGATCGTGCCACTCCAGCCTTGGCGACAGAATGAGACCCTGTCTCAAAAACAAACAAACCTCCTCCATAAGTGAGTGCATTTCAGTTTATTAAATGCTTTCAGCCTATTATTTCAGCTGATTCTTTAAAAAAAAATTTATTATTATTTTTTAATTTACCACAACATGTCAGTCAACTCAGCTGATTCTTAACCACTGATCAGGTCAAAGATTCTCCCCATTTTAGAGATGGGGAAACTAACATTTTCCTTCAGGGAAAGAAGTGACTTGTTTACATCTTAAAGCCACAAATTAAGACAGTGCCTGGACTAGTACCTGGGCCTGCAGTGCTCCTTCCCTTGGAAGGCAGTGGAAGGGTGGGTGGAAAGAGCACTTTCTGGAGAGTTTAGAACTCCTGCTCATTTGCTTGGGACATGTCTGGGCAATGTTAATATTGCTAGACCTCAGCTTTCATAGCTAAAAATTGGTAAAATCCTCACTTTGCCTATGTCTCAGGATTGTGGTTAGGATTGCCTAGAACAGTCTTGGCTCATAAATAAGTGATTAAAAAAAAATATATATATATATAGGCCAGGCGCAGTGGCTCACGCCTGTAATCCCAGCACTTTGGGAGGCCAAGATGGGCGGATCACAAGGTCAGGAGATCGAGACCATCCTGGCTAACAAGGTGAAACCCCGTCTCTACTAAAAATACAAAAAATTAGCCAGGCGTGGTGGCAGGCGCCTGTAGTCCCAGCTACTAGGGAGGCTGAGGCAGGAGAATGGCATGAACCCGGGAGGTGGAGCTTGCAGTGAGCTGAGATAGTGCTACTGCACTCCAGCCTGGGCGACAGAGCAAGACTCCATCTCAAAAAAAAAAAAATATATATATATATATATATTTATATTTATATATGTATGTGTATATTTAGATATTGAGACATGGTCTCACTCCATCACTCAGGCTGGAGTGCAGTGGTGCAATCACAGCTCACTGCAGCCTCGACCTCCCAGGCTCAAGCGATCCTCCCACCTCAGCCCCCCAAGTAGCTGGGACTACAGGTACGTGCCTCCACCTCCAGCTAATTTTTCTATTTTTTGTAGAGTCTGGGTCTCATTCAAGACCAGGGGCTGGTCTTGAACCCCTGGGCTCAAGCGATCCTCCCACCTCAGCCTACCAAAGTGCTGGGATTACCAGTGTGAGCCACTCCACTCTGCCGCCAAAATATTTAATGACTCCTTGAACCTAAAATAAACGGGAAGAAAAAAAATGTAATGAAAACAACAAACATTTATTGAGCACTTATGCTAGCATATGGTAGACATTGGGATACAACGGTGAACATGGAGACAGGCAGGAAACAATAAAGATTATGAAACGTGTTGAAGAGAAAAGAAATGGGAAGGGGCAGGGTGAGGCTGAGAAACAGGGGTCAGGTCCGAACTCTCTGATGAGACGATGTTAAAGGTGAAACTGCAGGTTTAGAAAGAGCTTGTCTGGAGAAGAGCATTCCAGGTTGTGGGAATTCTATACTATCTTTTATCTCACAACTCCCATTTCATAGATGAGGAACCTGTGGCTTTGAATCTAAGAAAATGGTACTGACTCTGTCTTCTGCTGAAAAGAAGAACTTAACTAAACAGGCACTTTATAATCATTTTCTCTTTCTCTTTTTAAAGCCTGGCCTATGGAATCCAACATTTTCTCATTTGATTCTGACAATTTTTTTTTTTTTTAAGGCAGAGTCTCACTCTGTCTCCCAGGGCGGAGTGCAATGGTGCCATCTCAGCTCACTGCAACCTCCACCTCCCAAGTTCAAGCTATTCTCCCACCTCAGACTCCCAAGTAGCTGGGACTACAGGTGCCTGCCACCAAGTCCAGCTAATTTTTGTATTTTTAATAGAAACGGGGGTTTCACCATGTTGACCAGGCTGGTCTCAAACTCCTGACCTCAAGTGATCCACCTGCCTTAGCCTGCCAAAGTGCTGGGATTACAGGCATGAGCCACCGTGCCCAGCAATAATTTTTTTTTATGTAGATGGTAATGTTCCCATTTTATAGATGAAGAAATTAAAGGAAGTTACCAAGAGCCATACGGGTACTTGATCTTGTTTATTTAAATTCTGCCTCATTCCAGATGGCTTTGCACTCAGATTTGAGCCTCATTTGTCTGGTTCCAAAGTCCAAGCTCTTTCCCCGACACCAGACTGGTGCTGAGTATCTGAGAGCTGGCCATTTAACAGACAACCAGGCAGGGAGAGACAGCCAGAGCAGAGGCCATGTCCACAGCAGCAGGAGGCTATTGTTTCTTAAGCACTGCCACCTGGGCCCAGAACTAGCCCAGGTATCCTGGTGGATACAAGCATGTATTCCACACCTATTTCTTCAACCCCTGCTACATGTCAGGCCCTGTGCTAGGCTCTGGAGATAAATGCAGTAGAGAACATACCAGACAAAAATCCCTGCCTTCCTGGGACCCCCAATTGAATGGGGAGATGACGAAGCCACACAAATGATTATAATTTTAGAAAAAAAAATGCCTCAGAAAACAGAAGCACTTTGTAAGGGTTAAAGAAGGAAGATGGATCCTCTGGGTGGTGTTTGGGATCCACTTTAAAATGGAAATAATAGGCTGAGCACGGTGGCTCACACCTGTAATCCCAGCACTTTGGGAGGCTGAGGTGGGTGGATCGCTTGAGCTCAGGAGTTCTAGACCAGCCTGGGCAACATGGTGAAACCTGGTCTCTGCTAAAAATACAAAAATTAGCCGGGGGTGGTGGCACGTGCTTGTAATCCCAGCTACTCGGGAGGCTGAGGAAGGAGAATGGCTTGAGCCTGGAAGGCAGAGGTTGCAGTGAGCCAAGATTGCGCCACTGCACTCCAGCGTGGGTGAAAGGGCAAGACTCCATCTCAAAAAAAAAAAAAAAAAAAAAGGCCAAGTGCGATGGCTCATGCCTGTAATCCCAGCACTTTGGGAGGCCGGGGTGGGTGCATCTCACAAGGTCGGGAGTTCAAGACCAGCCTGGCCAACATAGTGAAATTCCATCTCTACTAAAAATATAAAAATTAGCCGGGCCTGGTGGCAGGCGCCTGTAGCCCCAGCTACTCGAGAGGCTGAGACAGGAGAATCACTTGAACGCGGGAGGCAGAGGTTGCAGTGAGCCGAGATCGCACCACTGCACTCCAGCCTGGGCGACAGAGCGAGCGAAACTCCATCTTAAAAAAAAAAAAAAAAAAAAGGCCAGGCCTGTAATCCCAGCAATTTGGGAGGCTGAGGCAGGCGGATTACCTTAGGTCGGGAGTTCGAGACCAGCCTGACCAACATGGAGAAACCCATCTCTACTAAAAATACAAAATTAGCTGGGTGTGTTGGCACATGCCTGTAATCCCAGCTACTTGTGAGGTTGAGGCAGAAGAATCGCTTGAACCCAGGAGGCAGAGGTGGCGGTGAGCCGAGATTGTGCCATTACACTCCAGTGTGGGCAACAAGAGCGAAACTCCGTCTCAAAAAAAAAAAAAAAGAAAAAAAATGCTGGGCGTGATGGCTCATGCCTGTAATCCCAGCACTTTGGGAGGCCGAGTTGGGCAGATCACCTGAGGTCAGAAGTTTCAAGACCTGCCTGGCCAACATGGCGAAACCCCATCTCTACTGAGATACAAAAAATAGCTGGGCGTGGTGGTGGGCGTCTGTAATCCTGGTTACTTGGGAAGCTGAGGCAGGAGAATTGCTTGAACCTGGGAGGTGGAGGTTGCCGAGATCACTCCACTGCACTCCAGCCTGGGCAGCAAAGCAAGACTCCATCTGGGAAAAAAAAAAAAGGAGCTAATAGTGGGCTCTACTATCTAGTGCGGCAGTGAAAATTAAATAAGATCCTGCCGGGCTGGGTGTGGTGCCTCACGCCTGTAATCTCAGCACTTTGGGAGGAGAAAGCAGGAGGATTGCTTGAGCACAGGAGTTCAAGATCAGCCTGGGCAACATAGCAAGACCAACGTCTCTGCAAAAAATAAAATAAAAAATTAGCCAGGCATGGTAATTTGCACCTGTAATCCCAGCTACTTGGAGGCTAAGGCAGGAGGATGGCTTGAGCCCAGGAGGTCGAGGCTACGGTGAGCTGTGATGGTGCCACTGAGAGAGACCCTGTCTCAAAAAAAAAAAACTAAAACAAAAACGAAAAACATGCCTGTGATGTACTTCATGGGCTACTTGGCACAAAGAAGTTCCTAAATAAGCCTTACTACTTTCTCCACTCTTTCTTCTAATAAATACAAACTATTTTGTAATAAACAGCAAAATTTCCTTTGAAGACTTCCCATTGCCCATAGGGTAAAGTCCAAAATTCCTGATGTACCCTGTGAGGTCCTGCTAGATCTGCCCTGGGGCTTTCTTCTCAGCCTCAGCCTTTCTTATGTTCTCCCAGCTCCTTCTGTCCCTACAAGGCTGCCTTCTCCTTCCTGCTTCAAATCCTTTCCCCATGCTGTTTCCTCTGCCAGAAGTTATCTTTGCTCCATGCTCTTTTCTCCCCTCTCATCCTTGGCCGATCCTTTCTTATCCTTCAAGTCCAGGGTAGGCTGTACTTTCTCATAGCTCCCTGTGCTCTTTCTTTCCCCAGGGCTTATCACAAGAATTTGTGTGACGAGCTGGACGTGGTGGCTCACGCCTGTAATCCCAGCACTCTGGGAGGCCAAGGCAGGCAGATCACTTGAGGTCACGATCAACCTGGCCAATATGGTGAAACCCTGCCTCTACTAAAAATACAAAAAGCTAGCCGGGCGTGGTGGCACACGCCTGTAATCCCAGCTATTCAGGAGGCTGAGGTGGGAGGATCGCTTGAACCCAGGAGGCAGAGGTTGCAGTGAGAAGAGATTGTGCCACTGCCCTCAAGCCTAGGTGACAGAGTGAGACTTCATCTCAAAAAAAGAAAAAAAAGAATTTGTGTGATGTTCATTTTTCCCACTGGGGTTTATAGGCCCATGAGGACCACAGCTGTCTGTCTTATTCACTGCTGTACTGCCAGCATGAGCAGGGGCTGGGACACAATAAAGTACTTGATAATGTTGGCATGAACAAAGAAAAGAGCTTCCTGCTGGGCGCAGTGGCTCATGCCTGTAATTCCAGCACTTTGGGAGGCCGAGGTGGGTGGACCACGAGGTCAGGCATTCGAGACCAGCCTGGCCAACATGGTGAAACCCTGTCTCTACTAAAAATACAAAAATTAGCCGGGCGTGGTGGCACACGCCTGTAATCCTAGCTACTCGGGAGGCTGAGGCAGGAGAATTGCTTGAACCTGGGAGGCGGAGATTGCAGTGAGCCGAGATCATGCCACTGCACTCCAGTCTGGGTGACAGAGCAAGACTCTGTCTCAAAAAAAAAAAAAAAAAAAAAAGGGAAAGAAAAAGAAAAGAGGTTCCTTCTTGAAATGTGAGTTTGGAAACTCAGAAATGGGACAGAACTCAAAGCTCCCCACCACCACTCCAAATATAATCCAACTGTGAGGTCAGAGGTGATTCAAACATGGGCGGAAGGAATTTCTGCTGCCATCACCAGCTGAGACATGGTTTTTCTCAGGACCAGGCACATTGCACAGAGGTAGACTTGAGAGAAGATGTTGAACTCAGGCAATACTTAACCTCCCCAGAGAGGGGAATTGACTTGTCCAAGGTCTCCAGCCATTGGAGTGAGAACCTATTCTGGCCACTACAGCTGTTGCCTCTAGCCTCAGGCAGGGCAAGTCAAAGCAGGAAGTTGTAGGACTGTGGCACAGGGTGGTGACAGACTATGAAGAGGATCTGAAGGTTCAGGCTTGTGAGACCTCAGGTAGGTCATTTCCCCACTCTGGTCCTTATTTTAACCATCTGTAATAAGAGAGTGTTTTAAGTACTCTTTTAAGGAGACTGAGATGGAGATTTGCCTACAGAGGGTTTACTGGGGAATCATATTACAGGACAGTGAGAAGCATAACTGGGCAGAAGTTGGGCTGCAATGCTGCTGCAATGGAGGATTCATCTGATCCTAAGGGGTACAATAAAGCTGGGATAATCCTTCAGAGTTGTTTCAAATGGAGGCTGAGGGTCCGGGCCTCTGTACTCTTCTCTCCCATCAACCAGTCATTGGAGGCAGACTGCTGGAAGGAGGCGTAACCATGAGCTAAGTGGCTCCCTTCAACTCAGGATAGTGGCCAGAGAGAGACTCAGCTGAAATTCTTCAGCAACTTGATGGAGTGGGAGATGTGGGAAAACGAGTGCCATAGTCTGGGTAGCACATGACAGCATCCACTACAGAGGAATATGAATGAGCAGTTTTCGAACTCTGTTCCATGGAGCCCTGAGATTTCAAGAAGGTGCTTCAGTGCATGGGAAATTGCTGTTCTTGGATGTGTTGGAGCTTCTGCAAAAGTCCAACATATTTCCTTGGAAGAAAAGGCTCTCCTGCTAGGTGGTGAATGCCCTCACAGCACCTCATATTTTCCCTTTGAGGTGCCAATCAAAATTGTAATTTAAATAATTTGTCCAGGCATGGTGGTTCACGCCTGTAATCCCAGCACTTTGGGAGGCTGAAGCAGGTGGATACCTGAGGTCGGGAGTTTGAGACCAGCCTGGCCAACATAGTAAAACCCCGTCTCTACTAAAAATACAAAAATTAGCCAGGCATGGTAGCGCATGTCTGTAATCCCAGCTACTCAGGAGGCTGAAGCAGGAGAATCGCTTGAACCCAGGAGACGGAGGCTGCAGTGAGCCAAGATCACACCACTGCACTCCAGCCTGGCTGACAGAGTGAGACTCCATCTCAAAAAAATTAAAAAAAAAAATAAAAAATAATTAGTTGCATAACGGTCTAAGGTCTGTCTCTTTCACTTGACAGTAAATCCCAAGAAAGCAGGAACCATGTCTGTCTCCTTCACTGCTAAGTCTCCAGGACATGTGACACATTAGAACCATAACATCTGTTCAAAGAACTCATACCAAGGAAGCTATTAAAGATGCAGATTGCTGAGCTCTGCCTCCAACCACTGGTTCTCTAATGAGATTCTAAGGCACAAAACAGTCTGTGAACTACTTCTCTAATCCACCTGCTCTAGGGCTCTGGTGAATGTTTGCAACCTGCTGGAGGAGACTCACTTGGCTTTTTTTTTTTTGGTCGGGGAGAGAAGGAGTTTCACTCTTGTTACCCAGGCTGGAGTGCAATGGCGCGATCCCGGCTCACTGCAACCTCTGCCTCGCAGGTTCAAGCGATTCTCCTCTTTCAGCCTCCTGAAATAGCTGGGATTACAGGCATGCACCACCACATCCGGCTAATTTTTGAATTTTTGGTAGAGACAGGGTTTCACCATGTTGGTCAGGCTGGTCTCAAATTCCTGACCTCAGGTGATCCACCTGCCTTGGCTTCCCAAAGTGTTGGGATTACAGGCTTGAGCCACCATGCCCAGCCCCGGCTCCTTTTTCTACTCACTCTCACCAGTTCTCAAATCAAGCATGGTTCCAAAAGACAAAAGAATTAGCTGGGCGCAGTGTTGGGCGCCTGTAATCCCAGCTACTCAGGAGGTAAGGCAGGAGAATCACTTGAACCTGGGAGGCAGAGGTTGCAGTGAGCCAAGATCGCACCATTGCACTCCAGCCTGCGCGACAGAGTGTGACTCTGTCTAAAAACAAAAACAAAAACAAAAACAAACAAGCAAACAAAAAAAAAGAAAAAGAATTGAGCTACCGACAACCTTCTGCAAATTCCAACCTGGGTAGATGTGCACAGGTCTTGAGTTGCAGGCTACAGAAGTCTAAAATAGATTCATTAGATCCAGTCTGAAGCTGAGTTTTCAACTCCATTTGCAAATTTAACATGATTTTAAAAATATTTATTTATTTATTAGACAGAGTTTCATTCTGTCACCCAGGCTGGAGTGCAATGGCGCTGGGATTACGGGCGCCCACCACGACACCTGGCTAATTTTTGTATTTTGAGTAGAGACGGGGTTTCACCATGTTGGTCAGGCTGGTTTTGAATTCCTGACCTCAAATGATCCGCCTGCCTCGGCCTCCCAAAGTGCTGGGATTATGGGTGTCAGCCATCAGGTCCAGCCTAATAAACATGATTTTTTTTTTCTTTTTTTTGAGAGGAGTCTCCCTTTGTCGCCCAGGCTGGAGTGCAGTGGCGCAATCTTGGCTCACTGCAAGCTCCGCCTCCTGGGTTCACGCCATTCTCCTGCCTACAGGCTGGGACTGTAGTCCAGCCTACGTGGCATGCATTGAGTGTGACTGTTGCCAAATGTTTTCAAATTTAATCTCGCAATCTTCGCAACAACCGTGTGAGGAAAGGGTCTGTTCCCATTCTATAGATGTGGAAATGGAACCTCAAATGAGAATCTGGGGAACACCAATTTAACAGACAGACCCAAATTCAAATTCCAGCTTTGACATTTAATATCAGTCTGATCATGAGCAAGTTGCTTCAATACTCCCTCCTCAATTTCCTTATCTGTGGGATGGAATTAATACCTAAGGTTACAGGAGGGTTGTGAGGATTAAATAATACTGGGTAGCTGGGATTACAGGTGCCCGCCACCACGCCCGGCTAATTTTTTTTTTTTTTTTTTTTTTTTTTTTTTGTATTTTCAGTACAGTTGGGGTTTCACCGTGTTAGCCAGGATGGTCTGGATCTCCTGACCTCGTGATCCACCCGCCTTGGCCTCCCAAAGTGCTGGGATTACAGGCGTAAGCCACCGTGCCCAGCCATTATTTTTTTTTAAATGCATATTGAGGATTTAGGCACTTTGGAGACAAAAATAATGCAATACAGGGTTGGGCATGGTGGCTCATACCTGTAATCCCAGCACTTTGGGAGGCTGAGGCGGGCAGATCGCTTGAGCCCAGGAGTTCAAGACCACCCTCGGTAACATGGCAAAGGAGTTCAAGACCACCCTTGGCAACATGGGGAGGCTGGGGCAGGAGAATCACTTGAACCTGGGGAGGTTGCTGTGAACCGAGATCACACCAATGCACTCCAGCTCCATCTCAAAAAGAAAAAAAAAAAAGCAATACAAAGAACTCTGGAATCAGAATGAGAAGGATTCAAATTCTACCTCAGTCGCATGAGCTTGGGCAAATTTCTGAATCCTGAACAGCTTGCGAATGCTAGATGCCAGGTACCTGAACTGTGCTAGGTGGTTTTTATGCATTATTTAATCCTCACAACCCTCTTGTAACCTTAGGTATTAATTCCATCCCATAGATAAGGAAATTGAGGAGGGAGTATTGAAGCAACTTGCTCATGATCGGACAGACATTAAATGTCAAAGCTGGAATTTGAATTTGGGTCTGTCTGTTAAATTGGTGTTCCCCAGATTCTCATTTGAGGTTCCATTTCCACATCTATAGGATGGGAACAGACCCTTTCCTCACAGGGTTGTTGTGAAGATTGGGAGATTAAATTTGAAAACATTTGGCAACAGTCACACTCAATGCATGCCACATAGGCTGGGCGCAGTGGCTCATGCCTGTAATCCCAGCACTTTGGGAGGCTGAGGCACGTGGATCACTTGAGCTCAGGAGTTCCAGACCAGCTTGGCCAACATGGTGAAATCCTGTCTCTACTAAAAATACCGAAATTGGCCGGGCGTGATGGTATGTGCCTGTAATCCCAGCTACTAGGAAGGCTGAGGTGGGAGAATTGCTAGAACCTGGGAGATGGAGGTTGCAGTTGAGCCGAGATTGTGACACTGCACTCCAGCCTGGGTGACAGAGCGAGACTCCATCTCAAACAAACACCCAATGCATGCCAACTGGAAAAGAAATGGAAAACTTTTATCCCCATTTCTATGGCTGAGGAAACTTGAGGCACAGGGAAATTAATCAATCTCCCCAGCGATATAGTGAGTGGCTCAATCAGAACCAGAATCCAGGTTTTGTACTCCAAGTGTGATTCACTTTCTCCCACACCCTCTCAAATGACTCTAGAGGAAGGGGAAGTGTATAGGAATCCTGCGAAAATGAACAGATACCTCAAGGGGAAGGGGAACACAAAGTCCACTAGGGGAGGCTGCCTGGAAGAGACCTAGTGTTCTGACAGCGGTATTTATAGGAAGTAGGAAGCCCGCGGGAGTGGTCTTAGCTCTTACATGATGTGGTTTTCCTGGTAAGCTAACTAGTTCCTGGTACCCAGAGAAGTTAAGAAGCTTGACCAAGGTCACACAGCCATAAACGGCACTGGCACAGCTTGGGGGTTGCACCTCTTTGTTCCTGGCGTTGTCTCCTTGGTGCTGGAGGCGGTAGGATGAGAAGCAGGTAATCATAATGTGGTGGGGTTGGGGACACAAGGGGGTCCTTCCAGATTCAAACAGCCTCTTTGTCACAGGGGAAGTCCAGTAGTGGGCAAAACAGCAAGGTAAAATGTCAAGGCCTCAGGGTCAAGCAGAGCAGGGGGGAATCCTGGCTCCCCCACCGATTAGCCATGTGGCCTCAACAACGTCAGTTCACCCGTCTCAATTCTCCTACAGGATTGCTGCAAATTCAGAGGAATGGTCTCCAAGTACCCAGCCCATGGCCAGGCTTAGAAAAACACCATGGTCATTATTACTCCACAGTGCCAGGGCAGCCGCAGAAGGGTGACAGGACTGGATGTCCAAGGGACAAGTAGACTTTCAGTGCCAACAGTCCCAACCTACAATCACTGGGCACAAGTTCTCGGCAGGGCAGGGGCTATCAGGTCAGGCCCATGATGCAATCACAGCTCTCTGCCTATGCTACAAGGTGAACCATGACCTTCAGGAAATTGAAAGAACAGCCCATAAAAAGGGAGTATGAAACAAAACCTCAGCGAACGTTTATTTCTCATCATATGGAACTGGTAGCAAAGCCAAAGATTTCTGCACTTGAACACTGGATACCACTCCCTACCCACCCAGTGAACATTTACAGTCATCACATGCCCTCTAGAACCCAGATCCCCATGCCGGGGCCTCTTCTCTCCTGCACACCTTCTTGCAGGGAGGGCTTTCAGGCCGGAAGGGGGTGCCGGTTGCTTCTCCGCGCCTGCACGGGTATTTAATGTGGCACACTGGCCAGGCTCCTCTCCTGCCCCGCCCAGCAGCAGCACGGCCCTTGCCTTTCTTCAGTGCCCTCCAAACTGGTCAGAGAGGAGGCACAGACTGCTAGAAGAAGGGCAAGAGAAGTCGTAATTCACAGTCATTTGCTACAGAAAGTGCCTGGAATCGGTCCTTGGCTGCTTCTGCCTGGAAGCAACCCACTTAAGCCCCAGGAGAGGG
Source organism: Homo sapiens (assembly GCF_000001405.40). Lineage (NCBI taxonomy): Eukaryota > Metazoa > Chordata > Mammalia > Primates > Hominidae > Homo > Homo sapiens. Next base: position 28,282,025 of record NC_000001.11, on the reverse strand, counting down.
GACAGATGAGATACTGGGATGGGGGTGGGAGTCCTCAGAAGGCACCCAGGAGACACTGGCTGCAGAAATGGGGTCCCTGATCTTGCAAGAAAATCCGCTTGCTGTTGGCAGGTTGGCCTGAGAATCCCAGGGGCAGCTTCAGACATTGTGGGGACTCAGACCCACCCTCTCAGTCTGCAGCTGTGGCAGTCAGAGGTTTGGCAATGTAGCCATGGTCACCTGGCCATGGCCCAGGGGCAGGGTCCAAACAAGAACCCTGGTGCCTCCCGCCCCTCCTGCTGAGCCATGGTGCCACCTAAGCCATCTAGAAAGGCTCAACTTTTTGGGAGACATCTGCGGCAGGGCCACTGGAGGCAGGAGAGTGGGGTGCTGGCCTCTGCGAGGCAGGTGCAGCTCTGGGAGAACAGAATTCTCCCTCTCCTCCTCCTCTCACACACTGTGGCTCCAGGTTGGAACCTCAAGCATAAAGGACCAAAATAAAGAGGATTTATAATCTAATACTCCCTCCTCTTCAGAAGGCAATGTGACCAGCAAAGGCTCAAACTCTCTAGAGATAATCTGCTTTTTTTTTTTTTATGTACTTGGCCTCTCTCCTGACGCCTCACACCATTAAGCATGGAGAAAAGGGAAAAAGGGCAAAGGAAGTCAAAAAACTGAACTAGGATTCGGGCAACAGCCTCAGGCTGCCCAACAGAACAGGCTTTTAGGGAACTGGACACACAGACCAGCTGTGACCCTGACTTTCACATTGATGGGTGAATGGCAAGTAGGAGGTAATGAAATCTGGAAATGACAGGGGAGAGAAGGCAAAGCTGCCTGGAGTGTCAGTCCCGGAGGCATTTGCCCCTCTCCCCCGGGGGCCAGCCAGGGACTTCCCAGTTCAGGAAGGCCACAACACTTGTGGCACATTAATTCCGAGCTTGGCCCGGCTTCTTTCCTGTGCCCTCTGCCTCTGTGGGCAGGGGAAGGAGGAAGGGTGTGGTCCCTTAGGATCTCCAAGTGCTCTTCCAGCTCCCAGGAGCAGGGCTGAGATCCCAGAGTCAGTGCAATGAACTGTCCATTCCAGTGAGGAAAAGGGAGGGTGTGGCTTCGGGACTGCACATCACACACAAGCCCACTGCAGCGTGGGGAGGGTGGGCATGGGACACAAAAGGGTCTGGGGCTGTCTCCAGACAGAGAAGTCCTTGTGGGGAGCTGAACCGGGCCCAGGTCCTGCTCAGGAGTCAGGTCATGTAGCGGGTGATGGCACGGAGGGCGTACAGCAGAGCGGCTTGCATGCGCGCCTCCAGGAGCAGCAAGTTCACGTGGACCTGGGGCACAGAGGAAGGCATGTTGGCAACTGATGTCACTCCTCACCCCCACACCCCTCCCAGACTGCCTTGATCCCTGACCCACTTACCTCACCATTTCCTTTCCTACAGAGCTGCCCCAGCATCTGCTAAGGCTCTGAGCAGTTTAGTACAAGGACAAGCACATTCATTCCTATCATGACTAAGCTCTGTATTCCCTAAAGGTAAAATGGCCAGGTGCGGTGGCTCACGCCTGTAATCCCAACACTTTGGGAGGCCAAGGCGAGTGGATCAGGAGGTCAGGAGTTCGAGACCAGCCTGGCCAACATAGTGAAACCCCATCTCTACTAAAAATACAAAAAGTTAGCTGGGCATGGTGGTGGATGCCTGTAATCCCAGCTACTTGGAAAGCTGAGGCAGGAGAATTACTTGAACCCGGGAGACAGAGGTTGCAGAGGTTTATGTACATTTTTTTATTTTATCTTCCCAGCAACCTTGAAATACAGCAGTATTTATTCCCATTATAAAAATGAAATCCCAGCTACTTGGGAGGCTGAGGTGAGAGGATCACTTGAGTCCAGAAGTTCAAATACAGCCTGGACAATATAGTGTGACCCCATCACAAAAACAAAAAACTTTGAGAGGCTGAGGCAGGAGGATCATTTGAACTCAGGAGGTTGAGACCAGGATGGACAACACAGTGAGACCTTATCTCTACTAGGAATTTAAAAAATCAGGTGGTGTGTACCTCAGGCCCTCTGGGGGCTGAGTTGGGAGGACACTTGAGCCTAGGAAGTGGAGGCTGCAGCGAGCCGAAATCACACCGCTGCGCTCCAGCCTGGGCAACAGAGCAAGACTCTGTCTCAAAAAAAAAACAGGATAAAAAGCTCAGAGAGGCCAGGCACGATGACTCACACCTGTAATCTCAGCACTTTGGAAGTCCGAGACAGGTGGATCACAAGGTCAGATCAAGACCATCCTGGCTAACACAGTGAAACCCCGTCTCTACTAAAAATACAAAAAATTAGCTGGGGATGGTGGCACACGCCTGTAGTCCCAGCTACTCAGGAGGCTGAGGCAGGAGAATCGCTTGAACTTGGGAGGTGGAAGTTGCAGTGAGCCAAGATCGTGCCACTGCACTCCAGCCTGGGCAACAAAGGGAGACTCATCTCAAAAAAAAAAACAAAAAAACTCAGCGAGATAATGTGACTTGCCGAAAGTCACACTGCTATCAAGAGATAGTGTTATGATTTGAACCCAGGTCCACCAAGCTACCACTAATGTGAAGCAGGCACCCTCATTCCCATTTTACAGGTGAGTAAACAGACTCTGAAATCACACAGTGGAATAGGACTTCAATCCAGAGGAATAGGCCCAGGTGTCCCACCTAGCAGGACAGACTCAGTCTGGGGACTCTCACTGGGTCCTAACCCCTTGCCCTCTCCACTGGCTTGGCCTGTCTACTTCCATCCTGCCCTGCCTGTATAGGTCATACCTTCTCTGAGTGGCGGAAGTGCCTCCAGAAGAGGTTGTACATTCTTCGGGTGGTCTTCTCTGGGTAGCAGGCCACTGTCTTGATATAGACCTTGAGGTTCCGCTCCAGGAGCTGGTTCACCTCCCCATAATCATAGTCATCATATCTGGATGGAAAGGTCCCAGCAGCATTACTCATGCTTTCTTCCCAAAGGCAGCTCCCTCCCCGCAACCCCACCCTACAGAGGGAAGAACAGAGTGTTGAGAAAAATCAGAAGGTAGAAGCAACAAGAAGCCTAGTTCCTCTTGGAGAAACAGCTGATATCGTGTTATCACAGGCCGCCACATTGGCAGGGGACCACGTCAAGGAATGCAGAGAATGAGCATGCTGTATTGAATACCAACTATGTGCCATGTGGAATCCTCAAAACTACTCTACACTACTGTGTACATGACTGGATGGTGTATGCAATCTGCTACATTCATCAACCCCATGTTATAGATGAGGAAACTGAGATTTAGAGAAAGGAAGTCACTTGCCCTAGTTAATACAGCAAGGAATGGTCTTTGTTTTTGTTTTTTCATGATCAACAAGGCAGTTTTATTTAAAGGAGGAGATATAACTTGATTTCAGAGTTGCAGAAAGCTTAGCTCACATTTTTTTACATTAATTTCAGTATGTTTTTGTTTTTCTTTTGAGACGGAGTCTCGCTCTGTTGCACAGGCTGGAGTGCAATGGCGTGATCTCGGCTCACCGCAACCTCAGCCTCCTGAGTTCAAGCAATTCTCCTGCCTCAGCCTCCTGAGTAGCTGGGATTACAGGTACATGCCACTGTGCCCGGCTAATTTTTGTATTTTTAGTAGAGATGGGGTTTCACCATGTTGGTCAGGCTGGTCTCGAACTCCTGACCTCATGATCCGCCTGCCTCAGCCTCCCAAAGTGCTGGGATTACAGGCGTGAGCCACCACGCCTGGACAGGAATGGGTTTTAAACCCAGCTCTGCCTAGCTCAGGGGCCATAACCACTACTCTGTAGTAAAGGCCATGGAAGGTAGAGGAGGAGGTCAGTGGAGGAGAAGGAAGAGGATAAGGGTAAAAAGGTGCTTGTACTCATTCTACAAATGGGCAACCTAAGCCCTGGAGAAGATGACTAACTTCTTCAAAGCCAAAAAGCAAGTTGATGATGAGTCTAGAAGCCACTTAGTTATCCCCAGTCTAGTGAGTGAGGGGAGCCAATGTCAAAACAGATCAGTGTAGACAGAGGAATGACTGGCTGGAAACTGGAGGGCAGATTTGGAAGACAAAGAAATAGGAGCAAGAACCATGTTGGAGAGCAGAGAAGCCTGGACCTGAGGGCTGGGCGGAAACCAGCCCAACTCACATTCTAAGAAGCCTGTCCTTGGCCAGCCATGGGTTGGAAACCTACTAGTGACTAGAGTAAGAGGATGGTTCATTAAGTATAGCTCAACCCATTCAGTGAAATATGATTTACAGCTAGTAATACACAGAAACACAAACTTTCTACAAGGAGCACGTACCTTTTTTAAAATTGGGGGATAATTTTTTGGTGTTTGGTATAAACTGTTAAGTGAGAAAGGCAGGAAAAAAAATCATGGGTTCACTAAAACATGCTCATGTTTGAGTAAATGAATAAAACAACTGAAATGAATAGGTAAGGAAATGGCAACTGATCTTGTTTTTGTAAATTATATATGCTTTGGTTACTTGTGCATAGAAAAAAAGAAAGGTGCCAGGTGTGGTGGCTCCCGCCTATAATCCCAACACTTTGGGAGGCTGAGGCGAGCGGATAGCTTGAGGTGAGGAGTTCCAGACCAGCCTGTCCAACATGGTGAAACACCATCTCTACTAAAAATGCAAAAATTAGCTGGGCATGGTGGCACCCACCTATAGTTCCAGCTACTAAGAAGGATGAGGCAGAAGGATCAGGCAGAAGGATCACCTGAGCTCAGGAGCTGGAGGTTGCAGTGAGCTGAGATCACTCCACTCTACTCCAGCCTGGGTGACAGAGCAAGACTCTGTCTCAAAAAAAAAAAAAAAGCCAGGCGCAGTGGCTCACGCCTGTGATCCCAGCTCTTTGGGAGGCCAAGGTGGGCGGATCATGAGGTCAGGAGATCAAGACCATCCTGGCTACCAGGCTGAAACCCCATCTCTGCTAAAAATACAAAAAACTACCTGGGCATGGTGGCATGTGCCTGTAATCCCAGGTACTCAGGAGGCTGAGGCAGGGAGAATTGCTTGAACCTGGGAGGCGGAGGTTGCAGTGAGCAGAGATTGAGCCACTGCACTCCAGCCTGGGCAACAGAGCGAGACTCCGTCTCAAAAATAAAGAAATAAATAAATAAATTAAAAAAAAAAAAAAAAAAAGGCTGGGCGCAGTGTCTCATGCCTGTAACCCCAGCACTTTGGGAGGCTGAGGCGGGCAGATCACCTGAGGTGAGAAGTTTGAGACCAGCCTGGCCAACATGGAGAAATCTCATCTCTACTAAAAATACAAAATTAGCTGGGCGTGGTGGCACATGCTGGTAATCCCAGCTATTCGGACGGCTGAGGCGGGAGAATCCCTCGAATCCGGGAGGCGGAGGTTGCAGTGAGCTGAGATCACCCCATTGCACTCCAGCCTAGGCAACAAGATTGAAACTCTGTCTCAAAAAAAAAAAAAAAAAAAAAAAAAAGGAAAGAAAAAGACAGGAAGGAGATAACTGATAATAATAACAGCAGATAGTATAATGGATAATTTTTTTTAAATTTTATTTTGTATTTTTTTAGTGAAGGGTCTCGCTGTGTGGCCCAGGCTGGAGTGCAGTGGTGCATTCATGGCTCACTATAGCCTTGAGCTCTTGGGCACAAGTGATCCTCCTGTCTCAGCCTCTAGAATACCTGGGACTATAGGCATGCACCACCACACTCAGCTAATTTTTATTTTTTTGTAGAGATGGGTCTTAATTATGTTGTCCAGGCTGAGGCACAAACTCCTGGCCTCATGTAATCCTCCTGCTTCAGCCTCCCAAAGTGCTGGGATTGCAGGTGTGAGCCACTGCACCCAGCCTTTATTTTCTTTTTTGTTATCTGTATTTTTCAATTTTATTTATTTATTTTGAGATAGCGTCTTGCTCTGTTGCCCAGGCTGGAGCACAGTGGTATGATCTCAGCTCACTGCAACCTCTGCCTCCCAGGCTCAAGGGATCCTCCTGCCTCAGCTTCCTAAGTAGCTGGAACTACAGGCGTCAGCCACCATGCCTGGCTAATTTTTGTTATTTTTCATAGATATGGGGTTTCACCATGTAGCTCAGGTTGGTCTCGAACTCCTGGACTCCAGTGATGCCACCACACAGGCAAATTTTTTAATTTTTTGTAGAGATGGGGGTCTCACTATGTTGCCCAAGCTCGTCTTGAACTCCTGGTCTCAAGCAATCTTTTCACATTGCCATCCCAAAGTGCTGGGATTACAGGCATGAGCCACCGCGCCTGGCCTCTATTGTAATTTTTTTTTTGAGACAGAGTCTTGCTCTGTCACCCAGGCTGGAGTGCAGTGGCACGATCCCAGCTCACTTCAGCCTCCGCCTCCCCGGTTCAAGCGATTCTCCTGCCTCAGCCTCTTGAGTAGCTGGGATTACAAATGTCTACCACCACACCCAGCTAATTTTTTTATTTTTAGTAGAACGGGGTTTCACCATGTTGGTCAGGCTGGTCTCGAACTCCTAACCTCATGATCCGCCCGCCTCGGCCTCCCAAAGTGCTGGGATTACAGGCATGAGCCACTGCGCCCAGCCTATTGTAATTTTTAACAGCTGCATAGTATTTCACTGAATAGACGTATCATTATTTAAAGTCCCCTACTGAGCATTTATGTTGTCCTTATTTATTATGGGAGAATTACTACTCAGAATGGAAATACAAACATAACTCTCTCTACATATATATATAGTGTGTGTGTGTGTGTGTGTGTATGCATGTATATGTGTATATATGTGTGAGTATGTGTGTGTGTGTATATATATGTACATAAATATCAAACAATAATTATCTCTGGGAGTGCAATTAAAGAGTTTCATTTACAACGTTCAAACAATGAGTACTGTCATCTTTTAAAATCACAATTTGCTTTGAAAAACAGTATAGGCAAGAAGAAAGGAAAAGAAAAAAACAAAAAGAAAATGGAAACAACTGTGAACCCAGAGTGAAGACTTACAGTGCACACATGCCCCAAATGAAGGGATATGAGCTCACCTGATGCCAAAGACGCAGTGGATATAGTTCCAGATGGCCCTGCGGAGCACGGAGGTGTCCACACCACTGTGCATGGCGATGGTATTGTAGGTGAGGCTATAGGCTGCCTGGAACTTCTCATCCAGCAGCTGCCCACCCTCAGGGTAAAGCCGCTGGATCAGCGAGTAGCCATGGTCTTCCCAGGTATAATCCTTAGGTAGGTGGGAAGGGATTGGTGAGTCTTTGGAGCCCAAGACCAGCCAGAGAGACCCCCATCCTCTGGACCTGGGATCTCCATGATTCTCCTTCCTGGTGCCATAAACCTAACGTGCTGCTTGCTCTGGGCCTGAGAGGTCAAGGAAGGTATACTTTGGTGATGACCTTCTCCTTATGATCAGCAACCCCTGAGCTTAGGGTATAGATGGGTCCCTTAAGGATTCACAGGGACCCCACTGCCCTCGTGGAATCTTGAGGGAAATAACGTACCCAACTCTGTTTTTTTTTTTTTGAGACAGGATCTTGCTGTCACCCAGGCTGGAGCGCAGTAGCGCGATCACAGCTCACTGCAGCCTTGATCTCCCAGCTCAAGTGATCCTCCCACCTCAGCCATTCAAGTAGCTGGGACTACAGGCATGCGCCACCTTCCAGTTAATTTTTTAAATGTTTTTGTAGAGACAGGGTTTCGCCATGTTGCCCAGGCTAGTCTCAAGCTCCTGGGCTCAAGCAATCCTCCCACCTTGGCTTCCCAAAGTGCTGGGATTACAGGTGTGAGCTACCATGCCCAGCTGGGTACCTAACTCTGTAACTACTCAAACTATCCACCCACTGCTTGTTCGTAAATGTGGAGCAATGGCCAAGACTAGTAGAGAGAGCCCTACCTGGGCCCGGAAGGTAGGGGGTGCCTGAGCCCCTCTCCGAGTGAAGTCCTCATATCCGAAAGTAGGGTCTTCCACAAAGCACAGCATGTCTGGGTGTGGAGAGGGCTCCAGGATGTCAGCTGAGGACCAGAAAGAGGTCACAGTGAGGCTGAGGCATGGGGCATGCAGGGGTCCATTCCTGATTAATCACCAAAAGGGGGAGGGGAAGGCAGAATAGAGGGCCAAAAAAAGCCCCTTGCTATAGTGAGTGGGGCAAGATTTCAGCTGGAGCCAGGCCTTGGGGAGGGGGTGGATCAGGCCCATGGACCCATGAAGCGAGGCCCCTGGTAACAACAATAGTGGCAGTTATTTATGGAGCGGTTCCCCCTGGGCCAGGCTCTGCGCTAAGATCTTTGCTTCTACTGCCCCACTAACCCTACACAGCAATCCTGAAGCCCTGAGCTAGGAAGTGACTCGTCAGTGGTCGCACAGCCGGAAAGGCTAGCAGCCCAGGATTCAAAGCCAGGTCTGAGCCCAAGGCCCATGCTCAGAACCTCTTGGACGGGAGGTTGAGAAGTGGCTGCCTCTGGAATGCAGGAGGTGGCTCCTCCTCACCAGAGATAGCCTAAGAAGGAGCAGCCACGGGAGCCTGGATGCCTGTGACCCTGTACCTGAGGGGGTCACCAGCAGGCTCTCTGACTTCTCCAGCTCAAAGCGGCTCTCCATCTCCTCCTGGGACGTCCCCTCATCCCGCAGCAGGCTCTCCTGCAGCTGCTGCATGCGCTCCATCAGCGCCTCCACGTCGCGGGCAGACTCAAAGCCCTGCAGGAGAGGCCCCGTGGTGACCAGCTACTCCTCCTCCTTCAGCCTCTGGGAAGCTCCACTCATCCTTCCCAGAGGCCAGGCCTTCCTAATGCTCACAAAGGCCCAGGGCATCCTCTGTGCCAGCCACTGTGCTGGACAGCACATGGGGTCTGTGCTTCCTAAAGTGACGTTTACAAAGCTACAGAATAGACACATCTTCCCTGAGCAGGAATTTTTAAAGTATCTGTATTTTTGTATTGAAACATACAAGGCCACATTACAGAGTAAAAGGTAAACTTTGTAGTTTTAAAGTGCTAAAACCAACAGGCTTTGAGCCTATGGCATATACACAGTGTCAGTCACATGGTATTTCATTTAACCCTCACAGCCCAGTGTGAGTAGAGGGTCTTTATCTCCCCATTTCACAGATGAGGAAACTAAGCTTCAAAGTCAAATAACTTTTCTATGGTCTCTCATAGCAGCAGGTAGTGCAGATACGAGATTGGGAAGCAGTAGCTTCTACCTAAGGACCAGAGGTCATGCCCGCTTCCTCCCCGATCAAGACCCAGGCCCGTGACTTACCCCAGAGTTGTTCAACGGGTCCCTGCTTGGGGGGCTGCTCTGTTCACTAGGGGGTGTAGGTGCCTGGGGGGCAGGGCTGCCATCTGCATCCCCCTCAGGGAGGATGCCACAGCCAAACACGAAGGAGGAGAGCGAGTGGCAGTGGGTGAGCAGGACCAGAGCCTGAATGAGCTCGGCCAGGGACCAAGTGTGCTCGCCGGTCTTCAGCAAGGCCTGGAAGGGACAAGGGGGGAGGTCAGAGCTGCTCAGTGCCTGCCCTGGGTTACCCACCAGGCACCAGCCAGGCCTCTGTGCTCCCTCAGACACCCGCCTCTCTGCCCCCTGCACCTGGATGTGTTCCTTGGTGATGAGCCATGGCCGATGCGCCAGCAACTTGTTGATCTCGCTGAGTTTGCGCAGCTTCTCGGGGGCCCGGTGGAGGCCCAGCAGCCACTCAGGGTCACCACCAGTCTGCAGAAACTCGGCCATGTGGGAGCCTACCAGGTAAGAACACTGATGGCGGGCGGCAGCCTGCGGAGGTAGTGGACACAGCCTGAGTCACCCTCCTCCTTTTGTGCCTGGCTCAGGGTGGGTACCCCATCAGGGGAGAGGTTGTAGGGCTCACTGTTCCCCAAGAGGCAGGAAATCTAAGTTCTAAGTAACCCCAGCTCTGCCACCAGCTTGCAGGCCACCTGATTCCTTTTTGCACCTCAGTTTGCCAATCTGTACCTAACACAAGCACTAACGATGCCTTTCTTCAAAACCTAAAATTTTCCTTCTGAGAAAAAATAAAAACAAAAAACCCAAAACTCTACAGTTAGATAAAGCCAGGGCTTTCCCTGCTTGTCTATGGAATCAGCTCACAAAGCTCCCAGAAAAGAGATCAAAGGACAGAACCCACCACAAAGCCACCTCTCCAAGTGTCAGGCCCAGAGAGGCTCACCATGATGGCAATGTAGTGGCGCCAGGAGCTGGCCAAGGGACCATCCGTGTGCAGCAGCAGGTAGTGCAGGCGCCAGAAGCTGGTAAAGTAGTCAGGGTGCAGGCCCATCACCACTGCCAGGTTGTCTACTCGCCCAGAGGACATCAGTGCCTCCAGCCCCAGGTGCTGCTCGAGGCTCTCAGCCCCCTCCCGAAGGACCTGCCAACCAAAGGGGAGGAGAGCATGGGTTTCCCTCCTGCCCCACTCATCAAAGAGACCAATGTATTCTTCCAGTGGGTTTTTAATGGCAAGAAACTAAAAACCACCACCGTGTCCAAAAAGAAAGAATGGGGAGGATCACATATTTTAATAAGTGATTCAATAAATACTTATTAGGTACCTTATATAATAATGGCCAGTACTTACACATACAATGCTATGTGCCAAGCACTGTTCAAGAATGCATATTTTAACTTATTTAACTCTCACAACAACTATAAAACTGGAGTTCTGTTTCTCCACTTTTAGGTAGGAAAAATCAGGCACAGAGAGTAAAAGTACAGTTTCTCCTCCCTTCATGGAGTGTCTATTCTAACACTGCAAATGCATATAACCATGGGGGCGGGTGCAAAATAGTTCACATTTCCTGAGTGCTGTCTCCATGCCATCCCTGAGCTTACAGTTTTCTCCGCGTGATTTCATGGGATCTAGCCAATAAGCCTGTGAGGTGAATACTATTATTTCCCCCACTTTGCCAGATGAGGAAACCAGGAAGTTTTCTTCCTTGCTCAAAGTCACAGATCTGATAAATAACAGAAGCAGATTCAAATCCAGATGAACTCCAAAGCCTATTTCTTTTTAACTTTTTTTTTTAATACAGACGGGGTCCCACTATGTTGTCCAGGCTGGTCTCGAACTCCTGGGCTCAAGTGATCCCCAAACCTTGGCCTCCCAAAGTGCTGGGATTACAGGCATGAGCTACTGTGCCTGGCTGCCTGTTTCTTCTCTTTATTATAAAAGAGTGGGCTGGGCACGGTGGCTCACATCTGTAATCCCAGCACATTGGGAGGCAGAGATGGGCAGATCACCTAAGGTCCGGAGTTTGAGACCAGCCTGACCAACATGGAGAAACCCCATCTCTGCTAATACAAAATTAGCTGGGCGTGGTGGCTCATGCCTGTAATCCCAGCTACTCGGGAGGCTTGAGGCAGGAGAATTGCTTGAACCTGGGAGGCAGAGGTTGCGGTGAGCCAAGATCGTGCCATTGCACTCCAGCCTGGGCAACAAGAACAAAACTTCGTTTCAAAAAAAAAAAAGGTGGTCACTTATAAATGAAAAAATAAAAGACAAGAGCAATACTTGAGCTTAGAATTCTGGGTCACAGACATAAATAATCGGCAAGTGGTTGTTCGCCTTATATTTACAAAGGAGTAGAGGAACAAGGGGTTTAGAAGGAGGGTAAATGTTTGTTAGCTCCTTAACCACTCGCCCTACACATTTAGGAAAAGCAAAGAGAGGAAACAAATTTTTTTTTTTTTTTTTGAGACGGAGTCTCACTCTGTCACGCAAGCTGGAGTGCAGTGGCGCGATCTCGGCTCACTGCAAGCTCCGCCTCCCGGGTTCATGCCATTCTCCTGCCTCAGCCTCCAGAGTAGCTGGGATTACAGGCGCCCGCCACCACGCCTGGCTAATTTTTTGTATTTTTAGTAGAGACGGTGCTTCACCGTGTTAGCCAGGATGGTCTCGATCTCCTGACCTCGTGATCCGCCCGCCTCGGCCTCCCAAAGTGTTGGGATTACAGGCGTGAGCCACTGCGGCCGGCAAAACAAAAAATTTGTCCTTGTTCACTGATGGCCAAATAAAATGAGGAAACTAGTTTTACATTTTTCTGCATGTTTTGAAGGTAACTCCACTATCCCAACACACTAGAATGTAAGCTCCATAATGGCAAATATTTTTGTCTGTCTTGTTCACTACTATATCCCAAGCAACCAGAACAGTGCCTGACATAGATTAATCATTTAATAGATATGTTAAGTAAATGAATGAATGAACTGACTCAGTAGATGAAAGATGTCTTTCTTGTATTAAGTGAAAAACAAAACAAAAAAACACGTTGTAAACTATGACCTTGGTTCTGTACTGAAAGTAAGTATTGGCTTGAAAAAAGCACAGTAAACAGTGGCAAATGGTTAACAGTGATGATCTCTGCAGGGTGCAGGAGGATACAGGAGATCAGAGCTTTCTGAAACAATGGAAATTTTTAAAATAATAAACATATATTACTTTTAAAACAGAAAAGAGCGTGTAATATATGTATGGTCATGGATGAGATAGATAGTTCTATCTTCTTAAGGGAAAGCAGGCACTGATCTAGGAATCAAAAGTTTGAGCATGAAAAAAAAAAAAAGTTTGGCCACTACCTGGCTATTAGCACTTGATTTCTTTGAGCCTGTTTCTTCCCAGTAAAATGGAGTTGACAGTGCCTGCTTCACAAAGCCGTTTTGTGAATTAAATGAATCAGAAATCAGAAAGGAATAGCTTAAAAGCTGCAATTTAAAGAACAGGAAAAGATGCCTGCCTACCAATATGCCATGTCCTTTCTTCCCAGGGACCAAAGATCCCTAACCCCTTCCAAGCTTACCTCCTCCACGGGGATGAAGGCGCTGGGCCCTCGAGGGCCTCGCCGAGCCCGGCTCTCCCTCTGCTCCTGGGAGGAAACATATGAGGTTAGTCCGTAGTAGAAGGGAGAATAAAGAGGATTATTACCTATCCAGCCTCTTCCTCCTATCCAAGGGGCTACACTGAAGTGTTAAACCCACCTTTCTAGCATACTTTGGATGGTGGAGCCAGATGGGAGATATACACATGTTTGGAAGGGTAATCAAGAAAGAGGGCTCACTCCAGGCTGAGTTCTTCAGGAACTGGGTTGGGACCCAAGAATCCCAGCATTGCGGGATGGGAGGGTCCTGGAAAAGGAACTATATAGCCATCATGCTGCACATCTCCAGGAGGCCACCTTCTTAGTGGTCCCAGAGAACTTATACAAGAACACACCACAGTTTGCACCCTGAAGCCAGGTAACCAAGTACCCCAGATGCTTCAGAAGCAGCTTCAATTTCTCTCACATGTTCGTTCGTTCCTTCCTTCCTTCCTTTCTTCCTCCTCCTCCTCCTTCTTCCTTCCTTCCTTCCTTCTCCTTCCTTCTTTTGCTTCTTTTTTTTTTTGAGACGGAGTATCGCTCTTGTTGCCCAGGCTGGAGTGCAATGGTGCGATCTCAGCTCATTGCAACCTCTGCCTCCTGGGTTCAAGCGATTCTCCTGCCTCAGCCTCCCGAGTAGCTGGGATTACAGGCATGCACAACCACGCTCACCTAATTTTATATTTTTAGTAGAAACTGGGTTTCTCCATGTTGGCCAGGCTGGTCTCGAATCCCCAACCTCAGGTGATCCGCCCACCTCAGCCTCCCAAAGTGCTGGGATTACTGGAATGAGCCACCACGCCTGGCCTCTTCTTTAGTGGTGCAGTCATAGCTCACTATAGCCTCAAACTGCTGGGCTCAATGGATCCTCCTGCCTTGGCCTCCCAAAGCACTGGGATTACAGATGGGAGTCACCATGCCTGGCTGCTTATCTGTCCTCCCACCACCACCACCTCATTAACTACCACCCCCTCTTGTCTGGACCACTACTCACAACCTCGCCAGTTGTCCCCCGGCCTCCTTAGCCCTGGCCTCTCCTATCCATCCTCTACCCAGTAGCCACATTAACTTTCTGAATATAAATCCGATCAACTGGCTTAAAACCCTACCTCCCCCTCCCATGGGCTTCCAGATACAACTGGCCCAGTCCCAGTGGTCACTCCTTTTGCAAAGCTAAACCACAATAGTCTAGGAACCTTTTTCTGGCCCTCACCTATGACCCCAAAATTCCCAGGGCTTTTGCTTCTAAAAACACTGTCATCAAATTGTCTGTTTTGTTTCCCTGACACCAGATCACATTTAGTGGAGAGCAGCGCCAGGTCATTCATACTAGTCTGTGAATGAAGACAGAGAAAGCAGAAAGGCACGGAGGGAATCTGAGCAGGGTGTACAAGGCTGATGGGAGCAACTGTTTTGACCTGTTATATGCTGCAGCCTCTTTAGAAACCACTAATATCAGGTACTCACTACATCTGCTTCTCCTAGTCCTAGAGATGGGGTTCAGGAAGGATGCTCTACTTATTAATTTATTTTGTTAATCTGAGAGTGGAGGTGGCTCTCAGCACTGGTCTTGTTTACAGTTTACCCAAATCAGAGCCATGCTCTCACTGGACAGGGATAGGAGGCGCCCAGTTCTCCCCTTCCCATTAAGATCCAGACTTAGTACCAGCCCTCAGGTATCCGGGAACCAAAAACTATAATTGAACCTTCCTTCTCAGATGGCCAAAAGCCCACTGAGGAGGCAGAGCTCTGGGACTCCAGAAGACTACAAAGTCTCTGGAATAGGTACCAATTCTGCAACTAACTTGCTATGTGGCTCTGGGAAAGTTAAAGGCCTAAACTCTCTTTACCTACTAAACTGGTAGGTAAAGTAGCCCAGCTACCTTCAAAAAGGGAGTTGAGCTGACCGTGCAGGCCCCCTTCAGCCCACACTTCTGGGAACTTCCGGGCCAGGCTGGTCCAAGTTCAGCGTAGTAACCAACACAATCCCTGAGCACTCCCCTTTGGAGCTTCCCTCCCCCTCACCAAAGAAAAAGCCCAACAGCTCTGTATAGGAGATAAGGATTGCTGACTCCACAAACTGGGCCTCCACCTCAGGGGACCTGAGGACAGAATAGCAAGCCACAGCAGGGTAGGGTGGAGCAAAACTGGGGGAGGCAGAGACGGCCCATCAGGGGTGCTAGGGAAGGATAGGAATAGCCTTGGGAATCCCAACTCACTCCAAAATCTGACCCAGGAATTGTCAAAAGAAGGAGCTCTAAGTCATCGGTCTGGATCCATCAACACTTTCAGCAATAACAACAACAACAACAATATACAATGCAGTTAAAAGATAGGGGCCCTTGGCTGGCGCAGCAGCTCATCCCAGCACGTTGGGACACTGAGGCAAGAGGATCGCTTGAGGCCAGGAATTCGAGACCAGCCTGGGCAACACAGTGAGACCCCTGTCTCCACAAACAGTAAATTAGCTGGGCATGGTAGCACACAACCTGTAGTCCCAGCTACTCAGGAGGCTGAGGCAGGAGGACTGCCTGAGCCCAGGAGTTTGAGGTTACAGCAAGCTATGATCGCACCACGGCATTCCAGCCTGAGCAACAGGGCAAGACCCTGTCTCAAAAAAAAAAAAAAAAAAAAAGATGGGGCTCTTGACACAAATTGCATGAGCTCAAATGACAGCTCCACCACCTGCTATCCCTTAGCTTTATGAGCCTCAGTTTCTTTACCAAATAATGGGGATAGCAGTAACTACTTCCACTGGCCAGTGATGAGGATTTCATGAGATAACACTGTGTAGCTTACCTCAATACCTCCATAACAATAAGCACTTAATAAAAAGTCAGGTATCATTAACCTCCTTGCTGTATCAAACAAGGGCTTCTCAACCCAAGCGGTACATTAGAATCCTTTGAGAAGCTTTACAAAAATAACAATGCCAAGGTCCCACCTCCCGCAATTCTAATTTAGTTATCTGGGGTGGGGCCCCAGCATAACAGCCAGGGTGAGGACCATTGTTTACACCATTTATTGATCACTTTCTCAAGTATAAGGCACTATGCTAAGTGCTTTCTAGGTGGAAACAGAATTAATTTGTTCACTCAACAAATATTTTTGATGGCTATATTGCAAGCAGCAAGAATACAGCAGTGAAAAGACAAAGCCCTTGGCCTTCATATAATTCAGAATCTGATAAACAGGATTTCAAAGCACAGATTCTATAAAGTGAGTGAAATAAACAGTAACTGTATGATGGGGAGGGAGAGTGTGCAATATTTTAGTGTAAGTAGACAGGAGAAGCCATTGAGGAGGTGGTCTTTGAGCTGTTATCTAAATGATGAGAAGACAGCAAGGCCTGTAAAGATCTAGGGGGCCTAAGTGGGGTGGTTCACACCTGTAACCCCGGTACTTTGGAAGGCTTGGTGGTGGAGGATCACCTGAGGCTAGGAATTTGAGAACAGTCTGGACAACACAGCAGGACACCCTCTCTTAAAAAACAAACAGGCCGGGCGCAGTGGCTCACGCCTGAAATCCCAGCACTTTGAGAGGCCGAGGCAGGCGGATCACCAGAGGTTGGGAGTTCGAGACCAGCCTGACCAACATGGAGAAACCCCGTCTCTACTAAAAATACAAAAAATTAGCCAGGCATGGTGGTGCATGCCTGTAGTCCCAGCTACTCGGGGGGCTGAGGCAGGAGAATTGCTTGAACCCAGGAGGTGGAGGTTGTGGTGAGCTGAGATCGCACCATTGCACTCCAGCCTGGGCAACAAGAGTGAAACTCCGTCTCAAAACAAACAAACACACACCCCAAAAACTAGGGGGACCAGCATTCCAGCCAGAGGGAACGCGAGTATAAAGCCCTGAAGGCAAAACCAAGTAGATTTGAATCCATGGCTCCAATACCCTGAATGCTTCCCCGATCCTGACAGAGGAAGCAGGCAGGGCAGCATACCACTGCCAAGAAATGACCCCTCCAAGTCAGCCCTCCCTGCCCAATTCCCTGGACTGGGGAGTCAGTAATAACAATGGTGCATAACAAGGCTGGTTACCACTGGCTAAGCATTAATTTCACATGCACTACCTGGACTTTAGGGCAGAAGCTACTACTAGGGCTTCCATTTTACAGATGAGGAACAAGGCTCAGAGAGGTCAACTCACTTCTGGCTACTCAGGCAGGAAGGCAGTAGCAGGGCTGGGATACAACCCAGGTTTCTGCAAGTGCAGAAATGATTCCCCATTCTCTAAACTTCTCAAGGTCTCAATAGTCTCCAGGCTGCTGCATCTGGGACTCACCAAGAATGAGAAGCTCCAGTCACAGCACCTGTCACACTTGGGGGCACACACTGAATCTAGTTCTTTGTTGTTACCCCAGTGCCTAGCATAGCACAGTCCAACAGAATTTTCTGCGATGATGGAATGTTTTATATCTGTACTGTCCAAGAAATGTGAGTCTCTAGTCACTGTGGCTGAGCATTTGAAATGTGACAAATGCAACAAAAAATTTTCATTTTATTTAATTTTAATTTATCTAAATTTAAATAGCCACATGTAGTGAGGGGTTACCATATTGGATGGTACAGGTTCAGTAGACCTGATAAAGGCATGATTCCAGTTCCACGTAACAGAACAAGAAAAGTGCAACACAGAGGGGTCAGGTCACCTGTCCAAAATAACAGCTAGTGTGGGACAGAGGGAGAACCAGTGTTGGGTATTTTTATAATTTCAACTAAACAGATCACATGGGGCAACAGGAACACTAAAGTTAACCCTTTAGGTGGTCATTCAACATGAAGGTCTTCACACAAACTGTAAAAAGAGGATAATGGCCCCAGACCTGTGCCTGGCTCCTAATTTTTTCTTTTTTTTTCTTTTTTTCTTTGAGATGGAGTCTCGCTCTGTCACCCAGGCTGGAGTGCAGTTGCGTGATCTTGGCTCACTGCAACCTCCGCCTCCTGAGTTCAGGCAATTCTCCTGCCTCAGCCTCCTAAGTAGCTGGGAGTATAGGCATGCGCCACCAAGCCCGGCTAATTTTTGTATTTTTAGTAGAGACATAACCTGCTCACCTTGGCCTCCCAATATGCTGGGATTATGGGCGTTTGAGCCACCGTGCCTGGCCTTTTTTTTTTTTTTTTTTAAATAGAGATGAGGTCTCACTGTGTTGCCAAGGCTGGTCTCAAACTCCTGGGCTCAAGCGATCTTCCCACTTCAGCCTCCCAAAGTGCTGGGATTACAGGCATGAGCCACCATGCCTGGCATGGATCCTAATTTAAGCACTTACTATATGTTAACTTTTAAATTAGCTCAGGTACTTGCACACAGGTTCCATCTAATTTTCATCTGTTTTGGGGCGGCGGCAGAGTCTCTATTTTGCACACAAGACTAAGGGTTCAAAGGTTAGGCACCAGCTGACAAGTAGCCAATCTGAGATCTGAACCCACGGCTGCCTGGCTTCTAAGGTCCATTCCACTTCATAATAACAGCTTTGGGAAGCAGCCCCAGCCTTGGAGAGTTGAACCCAGCTCAGTCTGGCTTCCAAGGGTTCTGTCTACTACCCATATCGGCTTCTTGGAGAAGCCCCAGACTTTATTCTCGGTTACCCTATATTATCCTTTATAGAGCCTGTAAGTCCCTGGTCTCAGCTACAGACACCTGGTTACCCACTCTGCCAGCTGGGAAGGAACAGACACTATTTCTCCTTCCCTCACCCCCAGCTGAATTCAGATATTTTCCTGGGTTTATGCCTGAGAAGACGATACGGAAATACAGCCCAAGCAGCCCAGGACCTCCAGCCTTGGAGTGGGCAGGGTGGAGGGGGTGTGAGTGAGTGGTGCCATACACTTGTCTGCCCATCATGAGCTGGGAACCACGCTAAGTGCTTTACACATCTGATTGTGCCAATTCCTCCCAACCACCCAGAGGGAAACAGTTCTTATAATCCCTTCTTCGGAAACAGGTCAGAGAGGCTCAGAAAGGTCCTCTTCCAAATGGGCACAATTCAGATCTGACTCCACGGCTGGAATAGTTCACAAGGGTCAGCTAAGCCAGCAAGGGGCAACTAGTCACGAACACTTATTAGGTGCAAAGAGCAGTGCTGGGGATGAGACTTGCAGGGTATCTCCAGCAAGGGACTATTTCACATAATTGGGACCAAAGCTCCTACAATGGAGGGAATGGAGGAGGGTGTGCAAGGGGACTTATCTAGTGGGGGAGGAAGGGCTTCCCTGAAGAAGAAATGATGTCTGAGAAAGTTTGTTTTGTTTTGTTTTTTTTGAGACGGAGTCTCACTCTGTCACCCAGGCTGGAGTACAGTGAAGCGATCTCGGCTCACTGCAACCTCTGCCTCCCAGGTTCAAGCAATTCTCCTACCTCAGCCTCCGGAGTAGCTGGGAGTACAGGCGTGTGCCACCACGCAGGGTTAATTTTTTGTATTTTTAGTAGAGACGGGGTTTCACCGTATTAGCCAGAATGGTCTCAATCTCCTGACCTTGTGATCCACCTACCTCGGCCTCCCAAAGTGCTTGGATTACAGGTGCGAGCCACCGCGCCCAGCCTGGTTTTTTTTTTTTTTTTTTTTTTGAGACAGACTCTTGCTCTGTCACCCAGGCTGGAGTGCAGTGGCATGATCACAGTTCACTGCAACCTCCGCCTCCCAGGCTCAAGCAATCCTCCCACCTCAGCCTTCGAAGTAGCTGGCGCACACCACCACGCCTGGCTAACTTTTGTATATTTTGTAGAGACAGGGTTTCAGGCTGGTTTTGAACTCCTGGGCTCAAGCAATCCATCTGCCTCGGCCTCCCAAAGTGTTAGTATTACAGGCATGAGCCACTGCATCTGGCCGAGAAAGTTATTCGGGAGCCCAATACTACCAGTACTAGAGTGAAGCCCTTGGAACTTTCTGAAGATACACACATCTGAAGGCAATGAGCTCCTGAAAGGGAGTGTGTGGTGAAGTGACAGGGAGTTAAGGGAGCTGCACGCCTGGGTCTTCTCTTGGACCTCGGGCACCTGACTCAAAGATCAGCACCCTGCTGTCTTCTAAGGATGCCACCACTCAAAGCAGAAACCGTCCGAAGGTCCTCTTTTCTCGAGAGAGGAATACACAGAAATCTCCCAGATAGGCCAGGTGCGGTGGCTCATGCCGGTAATCTCAGCACTTTGGGAGGCCAAGGCAGGTGGATCACCTGAGGTTAGGAGTTCAAGATCAGCCTGGCCAACATGCTGAAACTCTGTTTCTACTGAAAATACAAAAATTAGCTGGGCATGGTGGCGGGTGCCTGTAATCCCAACTACTAGGGAGGCTGAGGCAGGAGAATTGCTTGAACCTGGGAGATGGAGGTTGCAGTGAGCTGAGATCGTGCCACTGCACTCCAGCCTGGGCAACAGAGCAAGACTCCATCTCAAAAAAAAAAAAAAAAAAAGATAAGAAAAAGAAACCTCCCAGATAGCAGCAGTTTTCTCCACTGAGGAAACATGGCTTCTGTGTAAAGATCCCTCCCTCAAAGCCTTTTCTCCCTAGACCAGGCACTGACCCAGAGAGGGGTGTACAGTGTCTGATCTCAGGAACAGGCTCAGGCACCCCCTTGTGAGACACTCTGGAGAAAGCTGTGCGTGCCATGGCCACGTTCTGATAATAGCAAGCAAGTATCACGCAGTTACTATGTTCCAGTCACAGTGCTTCAGCTTTTGCTTGTATTCTGAGTTAATTCTCCCAACAATCCCTTAGAGATACTGTAAAATCCCCATGGGAAGAAACCACAGATCAGAGAAGTGATTACTGGCTAAGCCACACACTGCAAGTTAGCAGGAGGGCTGGGACATGAACCCAGCACTCTTGCTCTCTAGTGTTCAGGTGTTCTCAATAGTAACATTATTTCCATCTTTCCAAAGAAGTCACACAGCTGAGAAGCTGCAGGAGAAGAGCCATTCCTCCACATGGCGCTCCTAAATCACGGCAGAGAAGGGTAAGCAAGCTAACAAAAACCAGGGCACAAACTATACACCGACGGAGGTAGGATCCCCAGAAACCACGTTACTAAGAGAAAAGCAGGGATTTTCCTGGGGTCATAGCACTCCACCAAATCCCAGGTCCAGAATACAACTTCCACCACACTCTAGGCCTGTAAACTAAAGCAACTAGAAGCTCCTAGTGCCGTGCAATCTCCGAAATCATAAGGCCAAAGAACAAGATATTCAGTGGGGTTAATGAAGAAAGCCTCTTTCTGAGCCCATCGTGGGCCTCAATGTTCTTCCTGTAAAATGGGGCTATAGCGTAGCTTGTATTGCTGGTTTAGTCCTGAGGACTTAGGTTAAAGGCGAAAAAAACTCAGAGCCTGGTATCTAGTAGGTGCATAATAAATGATAAGATGTCCATTATCGCTGCTGCTGGTAGTGGTGGGGGAGTGCGAACTGTCAGTCTGGTTAGGTCCAGCCTAATTCCCGGTCTCCCTGCAAAGCCCCTGCGGGCTATGCCGGGATGCGAATGCGGGGGGGTGGAGGGGAGCGGCGCGAAGGGAGGGTGGGGGAGGAATTTCTGGAAAACAAACTTCTGGGCCTTCAGACCACTTACTTAGCAGGGCGCAGCCTAACCCGCGCTTGGCTTCGGAAGCCGCGACCAGGGTTGTCCCCTCTCCCCCCAGCTTTGGCTGCCGCCGCCGCGTACCGGGCGGCCCGCCAAGCCCCCAGAGCCCCTGCGCTCTCCCTCCAAAGCAGGAGTGCGGTGGACATAGGATGAGGTCGACTTTCACTGGCCAGTCCCAGGTGCCTACGCCCCGCGCTGGGGGACAGGAGCCGGGAGGCACCCCAGGAAGGGTCCTCTGCCCGCCGGCCCCCGCGAAGAGGAAGGGACTCCGCGGAAGGGGGCGGGGAGGAGGAGTGGTCTGGCCGCTCCGGCCGGGATTTGCCTGGACTTGAAGACGCTCAGGAGCCCAAAGCTCGGAGAGCCTCCAGAAGGCTTCTCCCTCATTGGCCAGGAGTCCGAGGGAGCCGAGGAAGGATCCGCGGCCCTGGGGTGGGGCGGTGAGGGAGAGGGGGAGAGGGAGGGAGGAGGGGGAGAGGGAGGGGGAGAAGGAGGGAGAGGGGAGACAGAGTGGGGGAGGGGTGCCGAGGGCCGCGGCTGCCAGTTGATGCAACCCGGGTCCCGGGTTACGCGCTCGGCTTTCCCTCCCCGAGCCCAGGACACACCGACTCAGCTCCGGACAGCCTGAGGCTCAGACGCGGTTCGGGGTTCCAGGGAAGAGGGGCGTCGCGCGGCCGCCGCTTACCTCTCCGGGGCCCGAGTCGCCGACGCCGCCCGGGGCGAACCGCAGGTAGTCCTTGAGCTCTGCGCGGCACTCGGAGTCCGCCACGATCATGGTGCGCGCCAGGACCCGGTCGCGGCTCGCCGACGACCCGTGCACCCGAGTGGGTTTCGGAGGGACGCCCGAATGAAGCCGGGACTGGGCGCCGCCGGGGAGCTTCTAGAACCCCGGGGCGTCTCTCGGGGCTCCAGAACGCTCCGGAATCCGAGAACGGCCGCTTTGGTGCTGGACTCTTCCCCCAGTCGGGCTTCGGGAACGGCGAACGGCCTCGGGGGCCTGGGAAGGGCCGCAGCGCAGGGGTTTTCACGGCCTCGGAAGTCCGCAGGGGCCAGGGCTGCTCCCGGACCCAGCGCTCCTCAGCATCCCCGCCGCGGAACTGCCAGCGCTCGCCGGGCTCTGACACCAGCAGTTCAGCCCGCTGCGGTCCCCGGGGGAGGGCGGGGACACAAAAGCCCGGCGGTCCAGCCAATCAGAGGTCTGTTTCCCCGGGGAGGCGGGGGAAACTCCGCCCCCTGGAGTCACGGGCTCCGCCAATCAGCACCGGGGAGCGCCCGGAATTCTGGGAGTTGTAGTCCGCCTCGGGTGAATGCTGCAAACTTTTGCAAGACGGTTTAGTCAGATCCCTGGCAACACCAGACGGCAGTGACAGCCCTAAGAGTCATTAGGGTTGCGTGATGAAAAGGGACTTCACTGGGCTAGGCCAAACAGCCGAGTGTGAAATCTCCTAAATGAATTCTTCATCTTTTCAGTTCCTGGAGGGACTGGCTAGGGTTAAGAGAGGTTTGGCTCGCGTCCTATCCGGTGCTGCTAATTATAGAACTGAACCCCAGATATTTAGAGGTCAGAGGGCACAACCCTGCTCCCCCTGGCCTCGGGGAAGCTCCAAAGATGCGAGACACAGGGAATTCACCTTATTTGTGGAGCCTCAGGAAAAGCCTTCATTCCTTGAAATGTCATTGGTAACTTCGTGTGGAACCTCAATCCCTATTGCTGGAAGTTTTCTTCCTTCTGCTACCCGTCCTGGCTTCCACCCCTCCCACCCTCCTCGAAACTTTGTAACAAGGTGTTCTGCTGGATCTTTGCTCACCTCTCCCTCTGGCCTTCTCTGACTCCTCTTTCACCACCCACTTCCTAAAACGTGGGTGCTTCCCCAGTTTGTTTTTGCCCCTCTTCCCTCCAGACACTCTCCCTGATCTCATTCACTTCCTGGCCTTCAACTCGCCTCTTGCCAGAAAGTTGCCTCTACCAACACCTCAGCACCTCCAAGCTAAATTCATTTTCTATTCATTTCAAACGGAGCCTCTTCCTTCACAGTTTTCCTTCAGAGCTCCTTTTTTTGTTTCCATTTTAAAGTTATTGTTTATTCTAGACAGGGAATCCTGCCAGGGGTGAGGGTGGATAAGACCCCCAAGTCCCCCTCTGAGACTTCTAAGTCTAAGCTTACAATTCCAAAGATGAAACCGACTTGGTTTCCTGCCTCCAGATTCTTGGGAAAAAGAGATTAATCTCACCCTCCCCTGAGCTCCCAAGGCACTTGAGCTGGATCTCTTTTCACATGTATCACATTCTACCTAGTTTTTTTTGTTTTTTGTTTTTTTGTTTTCTGTTTTTTTGTTTTTGTTTTTTGTTTTTTAGTAAATAGAGACAGGGTCTCAATATGTTGCCCAGGCTGGTCTCAAACTCCTGAGCTCAAGCGATTCTCTCACCTCAGCCTCCCAAAGTGCTAGGATTATAGGCATGAGCCACCATGTCCAGCCACATTCTGCCTTGTATTGTAATTTTCTATGTACATGTTTTATCTGACCCTTTTTTCTTTTTATTAGTATTGTTTTTTAGAGATGGGGTCTAGCTCTGTCACCCAGACTGGAGTACAGTGGCATGATCATAGCACGCTGCAGCTTCAAATTCCTGGGCTCAAGCGATATTCCCTCCTCAGCCCCCCAAATCAATCACTGGGGTTACAGGTGTGCACCACTGAGTCTGGCTTATCTGATCTTTTTAATTGTAAACTCCTTGAGGGCAGGGTCAACATCTTTTTTTTTTTTTTTTTTTTTTTTTTAAACAGAGTCGCACTCTGTCTCCCAGGCTGGAGTGCAGTGGCCCGATCTTGGCTCACTGCAACCTCTGCCTCCCAGGTTCAAGCAATTCTCCTGCCTCAGCCTCCTGAGTAGCTGGGATTACAGGCAAGTGCCACCACACCCGGCTAATTTTTGTATTTTTAGTGGAGACAGGGTTTCACCATGTTGATCAGGCTGGTCTCGAACTCCTGACCTTGTGCTCTGCCCGCCTCAGCCTCCCAAAGTGCTGGCATTATAGGCATGAGCCACCGCGCCTGGCTGGCAGGGTCTACATCTTGACATCCATCTCCTGCTCTATGTCACCTAGCAAAATGTCCTGACAATCATATGCCCTTGGTCACGGAATCTTCCTTTGCATCAACTTCCTCTCTAAACTACCCTGTGTCAGCTTCAGCTTTCATTTAAAAAATTTACTATGTGGCCAGGCGTGGTGGCTCACGCCTGTAATCCCAGCACTTTGGGAGGCCGAGGTGGGCGGATCACGAGGTCAGATCAAGACCATCCTGGCTAACATGGTGAAACCCCGTCTCTACTAAAAATACAAAAAATTAGCCAGGCGTGGTGGCGGGTGCCTGTAGTCCCAGCTACTTGGGAGGCTGAGGCAGGAGAATGGCGTGAACCCAGGAGGCAGAGCTTGCAGTGAGCCGAGATCGTGCCACTGCACTCTAGCCTGGGTGACAGAGTGAGATTCTGTCTCAAAAAAAAAAAAAAATTTACTATGTAATGTCAAAGTCCAGATCAAAAGGCTTCACTGGTATTTCATCAGCTACAGAATTAAGATCAAACTCCTTGGGTGGGCATGGTGGCTCACGCCTGTGATCCCAGCACTTTGGGAGGCAAAGGCAGGCAGATCACCTGAGGTCAGGAGTTCAAGATCATCCTGGCCAACATCGTGAAACCCCATCTCTACTAAATATACAAAAATTAGCCAAGCGTGGTGGTGCACGCCTGTAGTCCCAACTACTCGAAAAGCTGAGGCAGGAGAATCGCTTGAACCCGGGAGGCAGAGGTTGCAGTGAGCTGAGATCGTGCCACTGCACGATCTGGGTGTCAGAGCGAAACCCTGTCTCAAAAAAAAAAAAAAAAAAAATCAAACTCCTATCTTAACATTCAAGGTTTGCCAAGATGCACCTAATTTACCCTCCCATTCTTACCACCTGCAACATCCATGTTTCTTGTTTGGCCTTCAAATCTTTCTTTCAGTACTCTTCTTGCAAATCTCTACCCATTGAAATAGTATCCATCATTCAATGCCTTCATTCCTGTTTGTGGCCTGAAGCAAGACTTTAAATGACACCTCCTCCAAAAAGCTCAGCTGAAAGTAATCTCACCCAGTCCTCAACATCTTCAACACATTCTTTTTATCTCTTTCTACCACTGATCTCCAAACTTGGTGTATGCTTGATATCATGTGTATATATCTCACCACTTCCCTCCAACTGATGATAAAAATCTCTCATTGACCACGTGTACAAAGTGAGAAAACTTGAGCTCAGAAAGGTAAAATTGGCCAGGCTTGGTGGCTAACATCTGTAATCCCAGCATCTGGGGAGGCCAAAAGGGAGGATCCCTTGAGCCCAAGAGTTCGAGACCAGCCTGGTCAACATGGAGAAACCCTGTATTCACAAAAACTACAAAAATCAGCAGGGTGTGGTGGCATGTACCTATAATCTCATGTACTTGGGAGGCTGGCCAACATGGTAAAATCCCATCTCTACCAAAAACATAAAAATTAGCCGGGTGTGGTGCGAGAGCCTGTAATCCCAGCTACTCGGCAGGCTGAGGCAAGGGAATAGCTTGAACCTGGGAGATGGAGGTTGCAGATTGTGCCACTGAATCAAAAATAAAAATAAAAATAAAAACAAAAATTGCTTATCAGGGTCACACAGTATCTTCTTTTGACTGCACAAGGCTGTGTTAGAGCACTTTTTTTTTGTTTGTTTGTTTTTTGTGAGACGAAGTGTCCTTCTTGTTGCCCAGGTTGGAGTGCAATGGTGTGATTTCGGCTCACGGCAACCTCCGTCTCCTAGGTGCAAGCAATTCTCCTGCCTCTGCCTCCCGAGTAGCACCACCACGCCCGGCTAATTTTTTATTTTTAGTAGAGATGGGGTTTCTCCATGTTTGTTAGGCTGGTCTTGGACTCCCGACCTCAGGTGATCCACCAGCCTCAGCCTCCCAAAGTGCTGGGATTATAGGTGTGAGCCACGGTGCCCAGCCGGCTGTGCCAATTTCTTAAAATAAGACAATAATAAAGTTGGCCACAAGGATCCACTCTTCCTTCCATGAAAGATTTCTCTGTAGCATGTGATACTGTTTGGTAACATGTTACCTACAGCAGAACTTCTTTCAAAATTGGAGTCAATCTTCTCAAACCCTGCTGCTGCTTTGTCAACTAAGCTTATGTAATATTCTAAATCCTTTGTTGTCATTTCAACAATGATCATAGCATCTTCACAGGAGTAGATTCCATCTCAAGAAACCACTTTCTTTGCTCAGCCATAAGAAGCAACTCCTTAAAGAAACAAAAAAAGAAAAGTCAGCCTGGGCCAACATGGGGAAACCCCGTCTCTACTAAAAATACAAAAATTGGCCAGGCGCAGTGGCTCACGCCTGTAATCCCAGCTCTTTGGGAGGCTGAGGTGGATGGATCACGAGGACAGAAGTTCAAGACCAGCCTGGCCAAGATGGTGAAACCCCATCTCTACCTAAAATGCAAAAAATTAGCCAGGCATGGTGGTGGGTGCCTGTAATCCCAGCTACTTGGGAGGTTGAGGCAGGAGAATCGCTTGAACCCAAGAGGTGGACGTTGCAGTGAGCTGAGATTGCGCTACTGCACTCCAGCCTGGGAAACAAGAGCGAAACTCCATCTCAAACAAAACAAAACAAAACAAAAGAATAAAGAAAAAAAGAATAAAAAGAAGAAGCAACTCCTCATCCATTCGAGTTTTATCCTGAGATTGCAACAATTCAGTCACATATTCAGGCTTTATTTCTAATTCTACTTCTCTTGTTATTTCTTTTTTTCTTTTTGAAGACAGAGTCTTGCTCTGACGCCCAGGCTGGAGTGCAGTGGTGAGATCTCGGCTCACTGCAACCCCTGCCTCCCGGGTACAAGTGATTCTCCTGCCTTAGCCTCCCAAGTAGCTGGGATTACAGGGATGTGCCACCATGCCTGGCTAATTTTTATATTTTTAGTAGAGATGGGGTTTCGCTATGTTGGACAGGCTGTTCTCTTGCTATTTCGAACACACCTACAGTTACTTCCTACATTGAAGTCTTGAACCACCTCAAAGTCATCCATGAGAGTGAAATGAGCTTCTTTCAAACTCCTGTTTATGTTGATTTTTTTGCCTCCTTCTATGGATCACATTTTTTGTTTGTTTTTTGAGGCGGAGTCTCACTCTGTTGCCCAAGCTGGAGTGTAATGGCATGATCTTGGCTCACTGTAGCCTCTGCCTCCCAGGTTCAAGCGATTCTCCTGCCTCAGCCCCCCATGTAGCTGGGATTATAGGTGCGCACCACCACGCCTGGCTAATTTTTGTATTTTTAGTAGAGACGGGGTTTCGCCATGTTGGCCAGGCTGGTCTTGAACTCCTGACCTCAAGTGATCCACTGCATCGGCCTCCCAAAGTGCTGGGATTACAGGCATGAGCCACCACTCCCGGCCTGTTCCATTTATAGAGCACAGGTAGAGTAAATTTAGCATAATTCTTAAAGGCCCTAGGATTTTCAGAATAGTCAATGAGCACTGGCTTAAACTTATAGTCACCAGCTGCATTAGCCCCTAACAAGAGAGTCAACCTGTGCTTTGAAACTTGGAAACCAGGTATTGGCTTCTGTCTCTTTTTTTTTTTTTTTGAGATGGAGTTTCCCTCTGTCACCCAGGCTGGAGTGCAGTGGCACAATCTCGGCTCACTGCAACCTCCACCTCCTGGGTTCAAGTGATTCTCCTGCCTCACCCTCCCTAGTAGATGGGACTACAGGCACATGCCACACGCTCAGCTAATTTTTTGTATTTTTAGTAGAGATGGGGTTTCACTATGTTGGCCAGGATGGTCTCAATCTCTTGACCTCGTGATCTGCCCGCCTCAGCCTCCCAAAGTCCTGGGATTACAGGCATGAGCCACTGCTCCCAACCTGGCTTCTCTTTAGCTATGAAAGTCTTAGATGGCATCTTCTTCCATTACAAGGCTGTTTGTCTACATGGAAAAATCTGTTGTTTAGTGTATCTACCTTCATCAGTTATCTTAGCTAGATCTTCTGGATAACTCACTGCAGCAGCTTCTCCATCAGCATGGGCTGCTTCACCTTGTATTTTTCTGTTATTGAGAAGGCTTCTTTCTTTCAACCTCATGAAGCAAACTATGCTAGGTTTAAGCTTTTCTACAGCAGCTTCCTCACGTCTCTCAGCTTTCCTAGAATTGAAGAGAGTTAGGGCCTTGCTCTGGATTAGGTTTTGGATTAAGGGAATATTGTGGACGGTTTGATCTTCTATCAAAGTCTGAGACCACTCAAACTTTCTTCCTATCAGCAATAAGGCTGTTTGCTTTCTTATCATTCATGTATTTATTGGAGTAGCATTTAAAATTTTTCTTTAAGAATGTTTCGGCCGGGCGCAGTGGCTCACGCCTGTAATCCCAGCACTTTGGGAGGCCGAGGCGGGTGGATCATGAGGTCAGGAGATCGAGACCATCCTGGCTAACAAGGTGAAACCCCGTCTCTACTAAAAATACAAAAAATTAGCCGGGCGCGGTGGCGGGCGCCTGTAGTCCCAGCTACTCGGGAGGCTGAGGCAGGAGAATGGCGTGAACCCGGGAAGTGGAGCTTGCAGTGAGCCGAGATTGCGCCACTGCAGTCCGCAGTCCGGCCTGGGCGACAGAGCGAGACTCCGTCTCAAAAAAAAAAAAAAAAAAAAGAATGTTTCCTGGCCGGGCGTGGTGGCTCACACCTGTAATCCTAGCACTTTGGGAGGCCGAGGTGGGCGGATCACAAGGTCAGGAGTTCGAGACCAGCCTGGCCAATATGGTGACACCCCGTCTCTCCTAAAAATACAAAAATTAGCCAGGCATGGTGGTGGACACCTGTAGTCCCAGCTACTCGGGAGGCTGAGGCAGGAGAATCGCTTGAACCTGGGAGGTGGAGGTTGTAGTGAGCCGAGATCAGGCCACTGCACTCCAGCCTGGGAGACAGAGCAAGACTGTCTCAAAAAAAAAAAAAAAGAATGTTTCCTTTGCATTCACAACTTGGCTATTTGGCTCAAGAGACCTAGCTTTTGGCCTATCTTGGCTTTTGGCACATGTTCTTCACTAAGCTTAATGATTTCTAGCTTTTGATTTAAAATGAAAGACATGCAGCTGGGCTTAGCGGCTCATGCCTACAATCCCAGCACTTTGGGGGGCCATGGCAAGAGAACCGCTTGAGCCCAGGAGTTTGAGACCAGCCTGGGCAACATAGCGAGACTCTGTCTCTACAAAAAATAAGAAAATTGGCTGGGCGCAGTGGCTCACGCTTGTAATCCCAGCACTTTGGGAGGCTGAGGCGGGTGGATCATGAAGACAGGAGTTCAAGACCAGCCTGGCCAAGAGACCAGCCTGGCCAATATGATGAAACCCCGTCTCTACTGAAAATACAAAAATTAGCTCGGCGTGGTGGTGGGCACCTGTAATCCCCGCTACTCAGGGAGGCTGAGGCAGGAGAATTGCTTGAACCCGGGAGGCAGAGGTTGCAGTGAGCCAAAGATCGCGCCATCGCACTCCACCCTGGGGGACAGAGTGAGACTCCAACTCAAAAAAAAAAAAAATAGAAAATTAGCTGGGCTTGGTGGTGCATGCCTGTAATCCCAGCTACTTGGAAAGCTGAGGCAGGAGGATTGCTTGAGCAAGGCACTCCAGCCTGAGTGACACAGCGAAACTCTGTCTAAAATAAATAAATAAATAAATAAAGTGGGTCGGGCTTGATTGATTGCTTGAGCAATGCATTCCAGTCTGGGCGACAGAGCAAGACTCTGTCTCAAAAAAACAAAAAAACAAAAAAATGCATTATCTACAAAGCACAGTAAAGTGCAGCACAATAAAACAAGATATGCCGGCCGGGCACGGTGGCTCACGCCTGTAATCCCGGGACTTTGTGAGGCCGGCCGAGACGGGTGGTTCACGAGGTCGAGATCAAGACCATCCTGGCCAACATGGTGAACCCCGTCTCTACTAAAAATACAAAAAAAAAAATTAGCTGGGCGTGGTGGCGTATCCCTGTAATCCCAGCTACTCAGAAGGCTGAGGCAGGAGAATCCCTTGAACCAGGGAGTCTGAGGTTGCAGTGAGCCAAGATTGCGCCACTGCACTCCAGCCTGGCGACAGAGCAAGACTCCGTCTCAAAACAAAAAGACAAAAAAACAAGATATGCCTGTAGTGAGTCCTTAGTGAATATTTTTGAATGAATGTGTATGAGTTACTCTCCTCTGTTGAATAACTCCTTAGAATCTTTAAGGCAGTCACTAAATCATTCCCAAAGCTTCATTTACATAGTAACTTTGTGAGAAGAAAAAGCAAAAAATTCTTAGAATTTTTTTTTTCTTTTTTGAGACAGTCTCCCTCTACTCACTCTGTCACCCAGGCTGGAGTGCAGTGATGTGATTATAGCTGACTGTAACCTCAAACTCTTGGGCTCAAACTATCCTCCCAAGTAGCTAGGACTACAGGTGTGCACTATGCTGTCCGGCCAATTTCTTTTTATTTTTTGCAGAGACGGGTCTCAGTATGTTAACCAGGCTGGTCTCAAATTCCCAGTCTCAACTTCCTAAAGTGCTGGGATTACAGGTGTGAGCCACTGAACCTGACCCAAAATTCTTTTTTTTTTTTTTTTGAGACAGAGTCTTGCTCTGTCGCCCAGGCTGGAGTGCAGTGGCGCAATCTTGGCTCACTGTAACCACTGCTTCCTGGATTCAAGCAATTCTCCTATCTCAGCCTCCTGAGTAGCTGGGACTACAGGCACATGCCACCACGCCCAGCTGATTTTTGTATTTTTAGTGGAGACGGGGTTTCACCATGTTGGCCAGGCTGGTCTTGAACTCCTGACCTCAGGTAATCCACTCGCCTCAGCCTCCCAAAGTGCTGGGATTACAGGTGTGAGCCACCGCGCCGGCCTTTTTTTTTTTTTTTTTTTAACACAGGGTCTCAGTCTGTCTCCCAGGCTGGAGTACAGTAGCACAATCACTGTTTACTGCAGCCTCAACCTCCCAGGCTCAGGTGATTCTCCCACCTCAGCCTCCCAAGCAGCTGGGACTATAGGTGCACACCACCACACCTGGCTAATTTTTGTATTTTTTGTAGAGACGAGGTGGGGGGTGGGGGGTGGGGCGGTTCACCACGTTGCCCAGGCTGTTATTGAACTCCTGAGCTCAAGCAATCTGCCCATCTCGGCCTCCCAAAGTGCTGGGATTACAGGTGTGAGCCACCACGCCCAGCCTTGATATTATCTTTTGTGACCTGGTCTCCAAAAAAGAAAAGCCAGGAAGAAGCACAGACATTAAGAGTTACTGAGCTCCAGCAAGAATTCAGGATACATCACTGTCTCAGGTAACTCTCACCACAACGTTGTGAAACAGGCTATTGTGTCTCCATTTGACTGATGAGAAAACTGAGACTCAAGAGGTAACACGTCTGGACCAAGGTCAGATAGGTTAGTAATATGCTGAGTAAGGATTCCAACCCAGGCAGGAATGACTCCTATGCAGAAACTCCACCACTCCATTGATGAGACAAACACATGAATATGTAAGAAGCCGGCTGGCAAAAGGAACTGATGCTTAAAGCAGATATATTAATTGGAAGTGAGAAACATAACTGTCAAGCGACCTGTAATTGAGAGGCCAGGGCATTCCTCTTTGTAGGAGAGCCTTTACTGAAAGGCAAATTTATCATCTGAAGGTGGCTAAGGCAGCTGGAATCTGAGCAAGTGAAAGGACGAATTATTGAACTGCTCTACTCAGCAACTATCTGCTGGTCAGGGCTCCAGTTCCTTCCTTCCTTTTTTCATTCAATAAATATTTATTTACCATCTTGTGTGTACCAGGCACTGTGCCTGGCTCTGGGAAATCCAGTGGTGAAGCTAGCAGCCTAGCAGGGCATGGCAGGGTGCCACTGGCTGGGCACATTCCTCCCCTCCCCACTGCCTTGTATTTTTGGTTGGGTAAAGATCTCCTTCTTCTGTTGCCACACTCTCAACTCTTGCATCAGCTATGTTGAGGCCACTGATTGGCCAGCTATTTATATTCCTCAATCACCTTCCAGTCCCAAAGATACACCTACCTAGACTGGATTTGAAATGTTTTTGAGATGTCTTCAGCCTTAGATCCATTTCAGATTATGACCCTAATATGATTGTCATCTGTTCTGTATTCATTCTTCCTGAATTAGTTTTCTAGTCTCAAATTCTGAGATCACTTTACTATAATGACCTTGTAATGGGACCATTCGGGGGGCTGTGATTTATCACCCCAGATGTCATTTTCTGAGCTCTTCTTATTGTTTCCCCCCTCCCCACCCACTAATCTCAGATACAATTCCTGCCCAGGGGGAACTTTCAGGAAAGAAGTTCCACTCCAATTGGTTTGATAAAGCCAAAGAAGACCCATCCTTCAAGGCTTAGTCACACATTAATTCAATTACTCATGAAGCAGGCATTGTGCTAGGTGGGGAGGGAGGTCCTTCCTGCACAGAGCTGACAGGTGCCGAGCTGTCAAGCTACACAACCAAAATTGTCCTTTGGAGTTGTGCATTAGCAGGCAGTACAACCACAGACTCCCAGAAACAAAGCCAACTATCTCCTAAGAGCACTTCCCAGGAGTCAGGCAATTCGGGTGCCAGCTTTTAGCCAAGTAACCCAAACTGAATTTTTTTTTTCCAGCTCTTTGAATCTGTTTCCCTATCTGTAAAACAAAGAAATAGAAATTAGCTCTAAACTTGCAGAGTCATTATGGAGAGAACTGGTGCCATAAAGAACTGGCAGTGTATATAATTCGTCTTCTCGATTGCATACTGAGGACAGAAATCTTCAGGTTTGGAAACGTTTACCCTTCTTAAATGCAAAAACTAACGCACTGGGTGCTTTTGGGCAAATTGCTTGGTTGATTTAGTTTAGTTTTGTCGGCTGAGTGGTTCCTCAACGCCCCCTGCAGGCCAGATCCTGCTATAGCTAAGTCAGAATGGAGTAGGAAAGGGCTGGCCCAAACCGTTTTGAGTTTATAGGATTGTTAGGGTCCATGTCACCGCCTGAAGGTCTTGAAAAGAGGCCAGGCAACAGCTAAGTAAAGGTCTGTGGTTGCTGAAGATTCCCCCTGCTGCCAGCAAGGACCAGAGTCCTAAAATACTTCACAGCCCGAATGCACTTTCCATTGTTTTGGCTTACTACCTCTCTTACAAGGCAGGAAGCCTCAGGTCGAGAGAGAGGAATTTGCCCAAGGTTCCCTAGGAAGTTGGCCACAGAGTGGAGACTAGAATCTCGAGGTCCAGGGCTACCTACACCTTAATAGGCTGCCCCAGGAGAGAAGCCTCACATTTTCAGAAAGAACAACTTCTCCCTTTCCTCTGGTCTCCCTTCCTTCCCCAACCCTCCACTCCTAGAGGCTCTATACATCCTATTCTCAGAGAACCACCCTGAGGCTTGTCCCTGGAGCAACGCCTCTGGCCTCCCACCATCCTGTCCTACCTTTCCCTATCCCCAGCGGAATTCTGTACCCCGACCCCCTCCCTAAAAAGGCCACACTTGGAATCAGGATATCGGAGTTGAAGGTTCCAGTTCCAACCCTTTCTTTGTGAACCTCAGCAAAACACTTCACTTCTCTGAACCCGTTTCCTGTTTTTTTGTTTTTGTTTTTCTTTTATTACGTTTTTGTTTTTCTGAGACAGGTCTCGTTCTGTTGCCCAGGCTGGAGTGCAGTGGCGCGATCATAGCTCACTTAAGTTTGGAGCTCCTGGGTCCTCTCACCTCAGCCTTCCGAGTAGCTGGGTCTACAGGACTGCATGTTAAATGTTAAATGGGGCAATAGTTTACCTCCACCGTTCTATTGTGAGAATGAGAGCTTATGCATGGAAACCCCTTAACAAGGCTTGATGCAGATGAAGTGCTCAATAAACTGTAGATTATCTATATTTTTACTGTTATTTTGAAGGATCTGGCTCAGTGACTGGCTGATAGTGGTGGGTGTTCAAGAAAGGTGCCTACAACCATTAATATTAAAAGTTTGGCGCACATAGCCTGGCATTTAGTTGCAGTTTAATAAACTGTGGCTAGTATTGTTTTTTTGACCCCAGGACGCCCAGTGCGGTTTCAGCGTTAACAACTCCTTAGCGAAAATTGCAGAACAGACTTTTCGCTCAGCAACAGGCTCCTCTTACGTAAACCGCACCGGCCAATGAGCAGGAAGATGGGCGGGGTTTCTTGGCAGCCAATAGTAGCCCGCAGCGGCGCGCAGGATAGGCCCAGGCTGGTTTCCAGGCTGCGTACGGAAACGAATCCCCGGGGCTCTTTGACTGGGGGCGAGTCTTCGAAGTCGCCAGGCTCTGCCTATCAACCGGGTCCTGATTGGTGCAGGCTGTGGCGGTCCGCCCCTGACTCCGTCTAGCCCCGCTCCGCGAGAAGAGGCTGAACTGCCCCATCTGCTTCTAATTTCTTTCTTTCTTTCTTTCTTTCTTTTTTTCCCCTCTTTTCCTTTTCTTCTTTTAAATATACGTTTGGAAATTTGCCGGGCGTGGTGGCGGGCGCCTGTAATCCCAGCTACTCGGGAGGCTGAGGCAGGAGAATCGCTTGAATCCGGGAGACGGAGGTTGCAGTGAGCCGAGAACGCGCCACTACACTCCAGCCTGGACGACGAGAGTGATACTCCGTCTCAGTCAATCAATCAATCAATCAATCGTTTGATTTTCGTTTTATGCTTTTACTTCCAAATTTATATTTATTGCAAAAAATGTGGAATATAACAAAGTGTAAAGGTGAAACTGAAATAACCCGAAATTATATTTCCCCCTCTGTGGTTTTTTTTTTTCCGTCTCTGTGTTTTTCAATGTTTTTCAGGCCTTCTGTCTTGAGCTCGTATTACTGCTGTTCACTGATGTATTGTAAAAGCGTAAAACCGGACGTGACCCAAATGTCTATCAAAGGAGACTGATGAGAGAAATAAACGGATTTGTTCACACAACGGCTTCTACAGCAAAGAAACAGAAGGTAGCTCCAAGTGCTCTGAAATGGAAAGGTATGCAGGATTTCCTGTTAGGTTAAAACAGAACGAAGCAAAAACCGAGGTTGCGCAATGATACATATAGAACAGTCTCATAGTTGTATACATAGTTACACAGAGGAAACAAAGATCTGGAAAGATGTGTAGTTTGCACCTGTTACCATTGGTTAGCTCTGGGGTGGACGGAGAAGGGAGAAGTTTTAAGATTCTTTATATAATACACTTATTTAATATCTATCTATGTGCTAAGTTGTATTACATTTGTTGTTTTTTAAAGAGATCCTTTTAAACAGAGAAGGGAGAACTCCCTCAAATCCCAATTGCACTACAAAGAGAAACCAACATGTTGGTTATTTTTATAGCATATAAGTTTATATACCGTATTAATAATGTATAGCTATATAGCCTGCTTTTTCCACTTAGCACATTTCATAATTTTTGTAATATTAAATATTCCTTAAATATAATTGTTAATGGTTGCAGACTATTCATGTATGCTATAATTTATTAATCCTTATTGAGAACATTTAGGGTTTTCTTCCCAATTTTTCACATATTTCAAGATGAGATAAAACTCTTAAATAATTATATTCCTGATTAATTAAATTCCTAGAAAAATTCGTGAGTTGAAGACTATGAACAAATAAATTTAAGGCTTTTTTTTTTTTAAGAGAGGGAGTATTGCTGTGTTGCCCAGGTTGGTCTCAAACTCCTGGGCTCACATGATCCTCCTGCTTCAGCCTCTGGGGTAGCTGGGACTACAGGCCACTGCACCAGACTTTAACACTCTTGGGCCAGGCACGGTGGCTCATGCCTGTAATCCCAGCACTTTGGGAGGCTGAGGTGGGCGGATCACCTGAGGTCAGGAGTTTGAAACCAGCCTGACCAACATGGGGAAACCCCGTCTCTACTAAAAGTACAAAATTAGCCGGACGTGGTGGCACATGCCTGTAATCCCAGCTACTCGGGAGGCTGAGGCAGGAGAATCGCTTGAACCCGGGAGGCAGAGGTTGCGGTGAGCCGAGATCGCGCCATTGCACTCCAGCCTGGGCAATAAGAGCAAAACTCCATCTCAAAACAAAACAAAACAAAACAAAAAACCCAAAAAACAAAAGACTCTTAATGCTAATTGTAAAACTTTTTTTTTTTTTTTGAGATGGAGTCTCCCTCTGTCGCCCAGGCTGGAGTGCAGTGGGGCTATCTCGGCTCACCACAACCTCCACCTCCCAGGTTCAAGTGATTCTCCTGCCTCAGCCTCTCGAGTAGCTGGGACTACAGGCACGTGCCACTACGCCCGGCTAATTTTTTGTATTTTTAGTAGTGACAGGGTTTCACCGTGTTAGCCAGGATGGTCTTCATCTCCTGACCTCGTGATCTGCCTGCCTCGGCCTCCCAAAGTGCTGGAATTACAGGCGTGAGCCACCACGCCTGGCCGAAACTCTTGAAAGTTTGTTTCTGTGAACATTATTGATGCCTAAGATGGGCCTGTGCTATCCTTGTGGGGGTGTCGGTGTGTGTGAGAACAGAGCTGAGTAATGGCCAAAATCTGGCTGCCAGGATCAGACAGGTGACAAGAGAGGCAAATATAAATAGCTCAGATAAGCAAAGACATCCAAAAATACTCTGACCCAGACACTTCCGGGCACAAAACTCTTTCTGTCTTGCATTGTCCTGGTTGTACTTGGACATGCGATGGGTCAGAATTTGGTTTACTTAATATATATTATTCAGTCTTCTGGGTTTGAAGAATTTACTAAGATTTTAAAATCTCCAATTTATGATTTCCCTTGGAAAACAGGAAGTTCTGGTAACACTGAGACTGCATTCGAGGGTCCCACAAACCAGACTTGGTTTCTCACTTCCCGTAACAGTAACGAATGGAAGACTTGATGATTTACATTACCTGCCTGGCCCCTGTAGCAACTTGAGTTCAAAACTGTTGGACAGGGTCATGATTCCTTAACATGGTATTCAAAGCTTCATGATTGGCTGGGTGCGGTGGCTCACAGTTGTAATCCCACCACTTTGGGAGGCCGAGATGGGTGGACCACTTGAGGTCCAGGTTCGAGACCAGCCTGGCCAACATGGTGAAACCCCGTCTCTACTAAAAATACAAAAAAATTAGCTGGGGTGGTGGCAGATGCCTGTAGTCCCAGCTATTCTGGAGGCTGAGGCAGGAGAATTGCTTGAATCTGGGAGGCGGAGGTGGAAGTGAGCTGAGATTGTGCCACTGCACTCCAGCCTGGGTGACAGGGTGAGACTCTGTCTCAAAAAAAAAAAAGGAAAAAAAAAAAAGCTCCTTGATAGTCTTGTGCTTTCCCCCTTTCATCTTTGTTTCCTTCCACTCTTGCTCACCCTTGCTCACACACACACTTCCTCAAGGTAAAAGTGTAAGGCAGGCAGAATGAGACTTAACAACTAGCATTTCTTATGTCATTATCCAGCCTTTTCTAACTAACACATTTGCTTGTTCACTCATTAACTTGAGGCATTTATTTTTCTTGATAAGACCAGGCCAAAGTCAGCCAATTGGATCAAACCAAATGGAATGGAGTGTCCAGAAGTAGAAATTTTGCTGCTACAGGGTGTGTGCAACTTCACATACAGCTCTTGCCCCTTATTTCCTGTGTCTTTCCTGCTTGCTCACTCTGCTCCAGCTATACTGGTCACTTTGTTGTTCTTTTATTTCTTATTTTAGACAGGTTCTTGCTTTGTTGCCCAGGCTGGTGTGCAGTTGTGCAATCATAGTTCACTGTAACCTCAAACTTCTGGGCTCAGGTGATACTCCTGCCTCAGCCTCTGGAGTAACTGGGACTACATCTGAATGCCATCAAATCCAGCTACTTAAAAAAATTTTTTTTTTTTAGGCCAGGCACGGTGGCTTACGCCTGTAATCCCAGCACTTTGGGAGGCCGAGGCGGGTGGATCACTTGAGGTCGGGAGTTCAAGAACAGCCTGACCAACATGAAGAAACCCCATCTTCACTAAAAATACAAAATTAGCTGGGCGTGTTGGTGTAATTCCAGCTACTTGGGAGGCTGAGGCAGGATAATCACTTGAACCTGGAAGGTGAGGTTGCGGTGAGCCGAGATTGTGCCATTGCACTCCCGCTTAGGCAACAAGACTGAAACTCCTCTCAAAAAAAAAAAGAAGAAAAATTTAAAGATTTTGAGCTGGGCGTGGTGGCTCACACCTGTCATCCCAACACCTTGGGAGACTGAGGCAGGTGTTTCCGTTGAGCTCAGGATTAGGTTTTGGCTTAAGGGAATATTGTGGATGATTTGATCTTTTATCAAAGTTTGAGATCACACAAACTTTCTTCCTGTCAGCAATAAGGCTGTTTTGGTTTCTTATCATTCGTGTAGCATTAAAAATGCTACTCCAATAAAGGCTGGAGTGCAGCGGCATGATGACTGAACTCCTGAGCTCAAGGGATCCTCCCGCCTCAGTCTCCCGAAGTACTGGCATTACAGGCGTGAGCCACTGCACCTGGCCAGCTTCAGACTTTTCTTGTGCAGCCTCCTCACCTCTCTTAGCCTTCTTAGAATTGAAGAGATTTAGGGCTTTTCTCCATATTCGGTTTTGCCTTAAGGGAATGTTGTGGCTTGCTTGATCATCTATCCAGATAACTCAAACTTTCTCCATATCAGCAATAAGGTTGTTTTGCTTTCCTATCATTTGTATGTTCACTGGAGTAGCATTTTTAATGTCCTTCAAGAACTTTTTCTTTGTATTCACAACTTGACTGGTGCAAGAGGCCTAGCTTTTGGCCTATTTCTGCTTTCTTTTTTTTTTTTTTTTTTTTTTTTTTGAGACGGAGTCTCGCTCTGTTGCCCAGGCTGGAGTGCAGTGACACAATCTTGGCTCACTGCAACCTCCACCTCCCGGGTTCAAGCGATTCTCCTGCCTCAGCCTCCCGAGTAGCTGGGACTACAGGCGCGTGCCACCATGCGTGGCTAATTTTTGTATTTTTAATAGAGACGGGGTTTCACCATGTTAGCCAGGATGGTCTCGATCTCTTGACCTCGTGATCCGTCCGCCTCAGCCTCCCTAAGTGCT
This sequence comes from Homo sapiens, assembly GCF_000001405.40. Taxonomy (NCBI): domain Eukaryota; kingdom Metazoa; phylum Chordata; class Mammalia; order Primates; family Hominidae; genus Homo; species Homo sapiens. The sequence continues at coordinate 28,242,531 of NC_000001.11, read as the reverse complement.
GGGATTACAGGCGTGAGCCACCACGCCCAGCTGCGGAAGAGATTTTAAAGCTCTCCACATATTTCAGTGTGCCACCTGTGCTAAGAACTACAACTTTATTATTTTATTTTATTTTACTTGTTTTTGAGTTGGAGTCTGGCTCTGTCGCCCAAGCTGGAATGCAGTGGTGCAATCTCGGCTCACTGCAACCTCCGCCTCCTGGGTTCAAGTGATTCTCTTGCCTCAGTCTCCCAAGTAGCTGGACAGGTGTGCGCCACCATGCCTGACTAATTTTTGTATTTTTAGTAGAGACGGGGTTTCACCACATTGGCTAGGTTGGTCTCAAACTCCTGACCTCAGGTGATCCGCCTGCCTCGGTCTCCCAAAGTGCTGGTATTACACATGTGAGGCATTGCGCCCGGCCTGAGAACTACAACTTTAGACTTACTGTTGTGAAAATCTCAAACTAGCCTCTATTGCAAACATGTGTTTGCATCATATAGGCATGCATAGACATGCTGACGGGGTTTATGTTACAGCCAAAAAGCTAATGCCAACACCAACCGCTGGCACTTCTATATTTACTTCCAGGAGCCCTTGCCTTTACCACCCATACCCCGCTACCCATGTACCTCCCACTCCCCCAGATTGAGGAGGGAGCTAGCTAATAGGCAACTGAAGCACTGGATTGGAACTGCAACTCAAGGTTGTGGGAGCAAGAGTTCTGAAGTGAAGACCTTGATCAGCACAAACCTGATCATGTGACCTTGTGAAAGTTACTTCACAATTCCCTGCTTCGGTTACTATGGTTATAAAATTAAACTAATGGAATGGATCTATTTGCTAAAAATATGAGATTTAATGAGCAAATAATTTTAAAGTGCTCCATTAATTCTGCGATTGTTAAATAACTTCACTGCATAAAATTCTATAGAACTCTTTCAAATATATAAAAAAAAGCACCCCAATGATTCTTTTTTTTTTTGGAAACAGGGTCTCACTCTGTTGCCTAGGCTGGAGTACAGTGCCATGATCACAGCTCACTTCAACCTCAGCCTCCCAGGTAGCTGGGACTGCAGGCCTGTACCGCCATTATTATTATTATTATTATTATTTTGTATTTTCTGCAGAAATGGGGTTTGGTCATGTTACCCAGGCTGGTCTCAAGCTCCTGGGATCAAGTGATCCGTCCGCCTTTGCCTCCCAAAGTGCTGGGATTACAGCGGGGAGCCACTGCGCCCAGCCCAGCCAGCCCGATTCTGACCCAGAGGGTTTAGAAGTTGCTTAGACAGATCTGCTCCTGTAAGTTCACAGAACTCCTCTGGCTACTGCTGTCCCTTTTTTTCCTGAGTCTTGTTTGCTGAAATCTTCTTGAGATTCTGTGAGACAATAGCCCCTATTTCTTCCAGTAAATTACTCTTTTTCTTCCCCTTTAGACAGCCAGTGCTGGTTTCTGTTACATGTAAACAAAAAGGATTTTATTTTTTATTTTTTTAGGCTAGTCAAGTGAAGCAGTGGGAGGCGGAGGACAAAAAGAATTTTGACTAAGGCAATAAATATATTATACAAGTGAAGTATTTCCCAAACTGTATTCTGTGGAATGCTGTGTTCTCAAATGTTAACAAGTTCCATACAAGAACCATTTATTTCTAAATTCTAAAGTCACATTCATATTATGAATTATATTAAACATATATAGTTACTTTTATTATACCTAATAATCTGTCTTTATAAAAGTGTTTACCCAAAAATGCCAGCAGATTCCATGAGAAACTACCTGTACTACAATGATCGTCAAACTTTGGTGCATACATGACAGAATCAACCGGAGGGCTTGTTAAAGGATTGCTGAGTCAAACCCCTCGTTTCAGCAGGTTTGTGGTGGGGCCTGAGAATTTACATTTCTTTTTTTTTTTTTTTTAGACGGAGTCTTGCTCTGTTGCCCAGACTGGAGTGCAGTGGTGCGATCTTGGCTCACTGCAACCTCCGCCTCCCGGTTCAAGCGATTCTTCTGCCTCAGCCTCCCGAGTAGCTGGGACTACAGGTGCCCGCCACCATGCTCAGCTAATTTTTGGATTTTTAGTAGAGACGGGGTTTTACCATATTGGCCAGGCTGGTCTCGAACTCCTGACCTTGTGACCCACCCACCTCGGCCTCCCAAATTGCTGGGATTACAGGCAAGAGCCACCGCGCCCTGCCGAGAATTTGCATTTCTAACAAGTTCCCAGGTGATGCTGACACTGCTGGCTCATGGAACCACTGCTGTAGTATTTTCCAAATTATCCTGATTCTAAGAACCACCTATGACCTGTGCTGTTTTTTCAGTGGTTACTGGCTCATGTCACATAAATTCTTTTAGGATTCAAACATGTTTGTGATATTACTCAGTATTTACATCTTGCTTTTACTGCAGCATGATAGAAAAATTAACCACAGGTATATCATAACAAAAAGACCATGAGTTACCATTTTCACAAAGTTCAGATATATTTAAATTAGCCTATTTAATCTTTTTTTGGTTGTTGTTGAGATGGAGTCTCACTCTGTCTCTCAGGCTGGAGTACAGTGGCACAATCTCAGCTCACTGCAACCTCTGCCTCCCAGGTTCAAGTAATTCTCCTGCCTCAGCCTCCCGAGTAGCGGGGATTACAGGTGCCCAACACCACACATGGCTAATTTTTGTATTTTTAGTAGAGATGGGGTTTTGCCATGTTAGCCAGGCTGGTCTTGAACTCCTGACCTCAGATGATCCGCCTGCCTCGGCCTCTCAAAGTGCTGGGATTACAGGCATGAGCCATCGCACCCAGCCTATGGTACACCTTTACTGAGGAAACAATTCAGGAACATCACTCTTAGTAAGGCAATTGTTGATTATAAGTCAAAAAAACACCATCATGTACAAATTCAGGGGATTTTGTATACCTTGTTTTTTTGGTTACAAATATGCAAAATTAAAGATGTTTGCTAATACTTGTTTCCAATTTTTAAACTTTTCAAGTGTTGCACTGTTAATAATGTTAAAATAAAAGGCATTTGACTTAGTATGATTGTTTCTTGAACTTCATCTTTTCAGGTTATTTTGTTGCTGGCCACTTGCAAGATTTATAGGCACTACTGAGGCCTCAGTGCTGAGATTCAGCAACATTATAATCATTATAATTCAAAGTTTAGTTTTTTGTTTTTTGTTTTTTTTTTTAAAGAGATGGGGTCAAAATGCTGCCCAGGCATGTCTGGAACTCCTGGGCTCAAGCAATCGTCTTGCCTCAGACTGCCAAGTAGCTGAACTGTAGGCACATACCACACCTGGCTGTGTTCAGTTTCATGGGCAAGTCAAACTATCTAGTGTTTTGTCTGTACAGACAAGGTCAATGCGACTTCTCCAAGCTTTTATCACTCAATGGTCCTACAGGCCCTTGTGAGATAGATAGGGTCTTAGAACAAATAACTCATTACAATCCTGGGCAAATACTCTACTGAACTGGTGAACTGAAAATGTTTTGCTAATGGCCCAAATGTCACCTCAAATTTTTTTGCCTAGAGGAGTTACACAACTAGTTTGTATAATAATTTAGTTATACTAGGCCCTCAAGTCTAATTTGAAACAAAATACTTGGCAAAGCAAAATATAACCTAAGAAATAATTCTGATTTTCTGCTAATAACAGACTTGGTTTAGTAGTCAAAAAACCTGGACACAAGTCTCACTGCCAAGGTGCTGAGTGACTGTATAAATCACATGATTTCTAATTCCAGTTCTCTCAATCTACAAAATTAGAACAAGGATGACTAGCTCATATTAAGTATCCTCTAAACCATTTTAAAAATGCAAAATGCTGTTTTAACTGATGGTACTTTCAATTGTATCTTTTTTTTTTTTTTTTTTGAGACAGAGTCTCATTCTGTCACCCAGACTGGAGTGCAGTGGCACAGTCTCGGCTCACTGCAACCTACACCTCCCAGGTTCAAGTGGTTTTCCTGCCTCAGCCTCCTGAGTAGCTGGGACTACAGGTGCGTGCCACCACACCTGGCTAATTTTTGTATTTTTAATAGAGATGGGGTTTTACTGTTGTCCAGGCTGGTCTTGAACTCCTGACCTCAGGTGATCCACCCACCTTGGCCTTCCAAAGTGCTGGGATTACAGGCATGAGCCACCGCACCTGGCCTAATTGTATCTTTTGAAGCAATGACTCCTTCGGATCTCCAGGATCCTCCTGATCTTTATGCTTCAGATTGGGATTTATCCTTCAGGAAGCTTTCTCTGAACACCTCTAATTAGACGGGGAGGGGTACTTTGTCTGTGTCACACCTATCCCCCCAACTCGTGTTGTTTCATAGCACTTATCACACTGTGCATTGTCTGTGGGTTCCTGGATGCAGGGACGCCTCTAATCCATTTTAGCAGTCCATTGGTGTCTGTCTATCTCTTCCAGATAGAAGAAGGCATCAAACACAGTTCACTGATGACAATTTATTATAATCTGTTAGTAGCACACAGACAAATATTAGTTAAACCAGAACCATGTCTACACAGAAGTGGGCAATGACATGTGCCATTCTATGGCACACGGTGTGCACTTAATCATCATGTTTTAGCATTTTGATCTTCTGCTTATGGCGCTCAATTTCTTTCTGCAGACGCTCAATCTCCTTCTTATGATGAACGATTTCTTCTTCATGGTGTTTTTTCAAAGCTGCCAGTTGTTCTCTACTCTGTGCTCTACAAGGACACGGTGGCTCAGGGTTTAATTTCAATCCTTCACCCCAAAGAGATCTCAAAGCATAACCTGTAATGTCTAAGCAAGGAATAGGAGTTCCAATTCCATGGGAGTCTAGCTGGTCATCCTCTTCTACTCCTCAACTAGTGAAAGAATACCCCATCTTAAATTGAGGTGTAGCCATCTTAAGAAGACCAAAGAGCTTATTGCTTTCAGATTCCTCTTTAAAATAGAAAACTCCAGAGAGATGTGACACAAGTCCCTAATACCTTATGAGGGGAACAACCCAGGGAACTTGACTCCCCTTTAGGGAAAAAAAAAGGAACAAAATGAGGAAGACAGACAAAGGGGTGTAGCTAAAAGGCAAATATCCATTTCCTATTCCAATCTGTCTAGAGCTTTCTTTGCCTATAGAAATGAATGGCCCACTGTAAGGCCAATAAAGGGTCTCTTGCATGCGCAGTACTTGGCAGTTCAATTTAGGTTCCAAGAAGGGACTGGATTACAATGTTGGTTTGGTCACATTTAGGCCTCAGTTTTCCTTAACTACAAAATGTAGGGGCTCAATTAGATAGTCTCTAACGGCTGTACCTTGGCTCTCTATACGGTATGGCAGGTGTCATGGTGATAATTCTCAACAGAAGGCAGAAGTGAAAGGCCAAAGGACAAGCAAAAGCAAGATTAATTCCTCACTGCTCTCCAGAGTGGACAGAAGTCAGTTAAAGATAACTCAAGGCTGGCAAAGGGAGGCCCAGCCCACTCCATACTCCTAAGCAGGAGAGGGAAATCTACAGGTCTAGGTTGGGCTGAGTAGGGCAAAAGCCTTTAGAAGATGGTGTCCAACCATAAGTAGCTCCCATGACCAGCTCCCATCATCCTCACTCTTGCGGAGTCGGGGGTCTAGAAACACCTGAGAAGCCTGAATGCATGCAGGCTTGCAAAGCTAAGGCGTGCTGGCGAGGAAGGAGAGCGTAGAGGGGGTGACAGGTGGGTAAGGGCCGAGGGAGTCAGGCTGGGAGGCAAACGTTGGGCGGTCGGATCTAGACACTGTGCGAAGAATCTGGGGGTGTTTCGCACGACCTGAGGAGAACTCCACGCGGGAGATGGTAATGATAAAGGAGGAGTTGAGCCGTGGGTTGTTTTGGAGACCCGCCGGTGGAAACGGTTTGGGGGCCTGAAACTGTTGTGCAGGTAACTGGGAGTGCCCTATACGTGGCAACGGTCGGGACATCAAGGGTTAGGGTATACTGGATTGGGGCCCGGGAGTTCTGTTGGGGGATGGGGCGCCCAAGGCACCAGGTAGGAACGGGTGGGGCGATTGGCAGTTTAAGGATTGGAAGGCCATTGGGAGATCCAGGGCTGGACTTGGGACCCGGTGAGCCTCACCGGAAATATCGTTCCTCTTCAGCCTGCTCTCTCTTTCCGAAGGCCCCACCGGCTTCCCGGATGGAGCCCGCGCCCCGGTCGACATTCTCGGACTGCAGAGAGACAGGGACACTGGTAAAGGTACGGAAGCAAAGATGGGATCCGCCCGCGGGGCTGGAGCAGCGGACACTGCCGCAGCGTACCTGATCCGAGCCGAAGCCTCGGGCTTGCATGGTCCTCACGCCCCACACGCCAAGCCACGTCCGCGCCGCCAACGCCGTCACTGCCATTGCTGCTGGAGCTGCACCTCTGGCGTCTCTGCCGCAGCAAGCAGTCTCTCGTTACGCGCTAATGGCAGGGACGGCCAAGCACCCAATCTGGTCGACGGAGGGGCGGATGAACACAGGAGTAGCGAATCACGGGAGAGCGGAGGCGGGCTTCCCGGAGCTCACAGCGAATCCCGAGCAAGAGACGGGTTTCTTCTTAGCCAACCGCTAGCAAGGGCTTAGGGCCAAAGGACTGGAAAGAGGAATGATGGAGGAGTTTAGAGAGCTGAGTGAGGAGAGTGCCAGAAGCCGAAATTTCGGCTCTTGGACCCATCAGAATGAGGCGTGGCGTCCACCTCCAGCCCACGATTTCAATTCTAAAGTCGTTATTATTCAAAGCCCAAAGGAAGTTTTCCCTTCCCTGGCCTGCTAGCATCAATAAAATGGGGGAATTCGGGGTTTGGGAGCTGTGTCCAGGATGCTGATGTCCAGGATACCGACGTCCAATGTGCCCTGGCTTAGATATACATAAATCGCGTTCATTTGTTATGAGAAGTGTCAGTGTTCTGGCTGGGCGCGGTGGCTCACGCCTGTAATCCCAACACTTTGGGAGGCCGAAGTGGGTGGATCACCTGAGGTCCGGAGTTCGAGACCAGCCTGGCCAACATGGGGAAACCCCGTCTCTACTAAAAATACAAAAATCAGCCGGGTGCGGTGGCACGCGACTGTAATCGCAGCTACTCAGGAGGCTGAGACAGGAGAATTGGCTTGAACCCGGGAGGCGGAGGTTGCAGTGAGCCGAGATTGCGCAACTGCACTCCAGCCTGGTGACAAAGCGAGACTCCGTCTCAAAACAAAAAAAAAAAAAAGAAAACCCAAATTATAACTTGACCACCTCAGGCACAGTTTCCTAGGACCTCTTGAGGCTGTGTTTCCCCAAGCTATGGTCACTCATCTTGGCTCAGAATAAACCTTTTAAAAATATTTTAGTTTGTTTTTTTCGTTAGCAACATATTGTTGAATGGGCTTAATAACTGCACTTTTGGCAATGTGGTGCAATGCAGTAGAAAAGAGCAGGCCAGGCGCGGTGGCTCACACCTGTAATCCCAGCACTTTGGGAGGCCGAGGCGGGCAGATCACCTGAGGTTGGGAATTCGAGACCAGCTTGACCAACATGGAGAAACCCCATCTCTACTAAAAAAAAAATATGAAAAATTAGCTGGGCATGGTGGCGCATATCTGTAATCCCAGCTACTCGGGAGGCTGAGGCAGGAGAATCGCTTGAACCTGAGAGGCAGGGGGTGCAGTGAGCTGAGATCACGCCATTGCACTCCAGCCTGGTCAACAAGAGAGAAACTGTCTCAAAAATAAATAAATAAAAATAAAAAATAAATTAGCTAGGCGTGGTGGCACATGCCTGTAATCCCAGCTACTTGGGAGGCTGAGGCAGGAGAATGCTTGAACCCGGGAGGCTGAGGTTGCGGTGAGCTGAGATCACGCCATTGCACTGCGGCCTGGGTAACAAGAGCGAAACTCTGTCTCAAAAAAAAAAAAAAAAAAAAAAAAAAAGGATAAGTAGGAGTCTAGGGAAAGCTTGACCTTAACCTCCCTTCATCCATCTAATGAATGTGAACAAGACAACAGTAGTCTTTACTCTCATGAAGTTTATAGCTCTTCTCTAACTCATTTTCTCTTCTCTGTTTCTTCTTTTTTAGATGAGAGAATTGGGCCAGATTATCTACCTGATTGATGATTATAAAAATACCTTCTTTGGGGCTGGGCGTGGTGTCTCACACCTGTAATCCCAGCACTTCGGGAGGCCGAGGCGCATGGATCATGAGGTCAGGAGTTCGAGATCAGCCTGACTAACTCCGTCTCTACTAAAAATACAAAAATCAGCCGGGCGTGGTGACATGCGCCTGTAATCTCAGCTACTCAGGAGGTTGAGGCAGGAGAATTGCTTGAACCTGGGAGGCGGCGGTTGCAGTGAGCCAAGATCATGCCACTGCACTCCAGCCTGGGCAACAGAGCAAGCCTCTGCCTCAAAAAAACAAAACAAAACAAAACCTTCTTTGTTTTCTATGAAATAGTAAAACTGGCTTTATTGATTATATTTTAGTTGAGAAAATAGCAGCCCTACCTGGTATTTTGTTTAATTCCATTTATGTGAAATACGTATTCACATATTGTTTAACTCCATTTATGTGAAATATCCAGAATAGGTAAATCCATATAGATAGAACACAGATTGCTTGTTTTCAGGGACTGGGGAGAGGGGGCGAATAGGGAGTAACTGCTTAATAGGTACTAGGTCTCCTCGGCCAGGCGCGGTGGCTCACGCCTGTAATCCCCGCACTTTGGGAGGCCAAGGCGAGCGGATTACGACGTCAGGAGATCGTAGACCATCCTGGCCAACATGGTGAACATCCGGCTTTACTAAAAATATAAAAATTAGCGGGGCATGGTGGCGTTTGTCTGTAATCTCAGCTACTCGGGAGGCTAAGGCAGAATTTCTGGAACCGGGGAGGCGCCACTGCACTCCAGCCTGGGTGACAGAGTGAGACTCCGTCTAAAAAAAAAAAGTAGATACTAAGTCTCCTTTTGAGGTGATGAAACTATTTTGGAACCAGGTAGACATGGTGGTTGCAGAACATTGTGAATGTTCTGAAGACAGCTGAGCCGGTCCGGCGCGGTGGCTCATGCCTGTAATTCCTGTACTTTGGGAGGCCTGGGCAACATGGCAAGACCCCGTCTCCACAAAAGTACATAAAATTAGCCGGGCATGGTGGCGCGCGCCTGCAGTCCCAGCTACTCGGGAGGCTGAAGTGAGAGGATCGCTTGAGCTTGGGAGGTCGAGGCTGCAGTGAGCTGTGATTGCACCACTCGACTCCAGCCTGGACGACAGAGATCCTGTCTCAAAAATAAATAAATAAATAAACCCACTGAATTATTCACTTTTTCTTTTATTCTTCTTATTATTTTTTACCTAACAATAACTTAAGCACATTATTTACTTTAAAGTGGTTAATTATATGTTATGTGTAATTCGTTTAAATTTTAAAAAGCCCACCTACTTTTAAAGTGCCTGGCTGGGCTGCGAGCCCTTTAAGAACCTCTCAGACGGGAGGCGGGGCTAGAGGAGCGGACCTGTAAGAATCACGTGAGGCGACGCCTGCGCAGAAGGGTCACGTGGTGGCTGGGCCGGGGAAATGGCGGCTTCAGGAGAGAGCGGGACTTCAGGCGGCGGAGGCAGCACCGAGGAAGCATTTATGACCTTCTACAGTGAGGTGAACACAGAGTGAGGAGTAGTGGCACCGGGGCGACCGCTCCCGGATCTGCTTTCCCAGTGGACAAAGGCAGTGGCCGCCTGGCCTGGACCGTTGGGCGATTCCTTCAGTCCAGTCTTCGGGGTGGCGGGGGTCTGGGGGTGTGTGAGCGTCTCCCACTGATAGCTGCTGGGAGATCCCCCGGGGCAACGAAAGAGGGAATGGTGTTCGATCTATCGAGGGAGGTGGCGAGTGTGTCCAACATAGTGCGGGCGCGCGGGCAGAGTGCCCCAAGTCCGCGGAGTCGGGGGCTGGCAGAGGCTGGGCCCTTCCTGGGAGTGACTTAGCCTTCTTGGCCCCCGAGACGTTTCTTAGTCCTTTGTAATGAGTTGTTTTAGTGGTTGTTTCTGCCATTCACGAACGCCAGGCACTGTGTATCATGCCAGTTAGGCATTATATTACCCCCATTTTACAGATGACGAACCTGAGCTTTAGGGAGGTGAAATAGTTTGGGGCCTTACAGTAGGTTACAGCTTGCTTGGTGGTATGTTAGGACAGCAGTGGGCTTGTTCTGAGCCTCCTTTACTATCGCATCTCCAGCGCATAGTATGTAGTGGATGCTCAGTAAATATTTGTTGAGTGAATGAATGAATAAATGAAATAAAAGCATGCCGTTTGGAGTCAGAATCTCAGATTAAATTATTGCAAGGGGCTGGGCACAGTGGCTCACATCTGTAATCCCAGCACTTTGGGAGGCCCAGGCGGGAGGAACCCAAAAGCTCGAGGCTGCAGTGACCTATGATCGGACCACTGCACTCCATTTTTGGCGAGAGTGAGACCCTGTCTCTTTAAAAAGAAGGAAAAAAAGGATAGAAAAAAAAATTCTTGGTTGGGCGCGGTGGCTCACGCCTGTAATCCCAGCACTTTGGGAGGCCGAGACGGGCGGATCACGAGGTCAGGAGATCGAGACCACGGTGAAACCCCGTCTCTACTAGAAATACAAAAAATTAGCTGGGCCTGGTAGTGGGCGCCTGTAGTCCCAGCCACTCGGGAGGCTGAGGCAGGAGAATGGCGTGAACCCGGGAGGCAGAGCTTGCAGTGAGCAGAGATCGCGCCACTGCACTCCAGCTTGGGTGACAGAGCGAGAGACTGTCTAAAAAAGAAAAAAATTCTTGGAAGACAGTTAACCTGACTGGACTGGGATTGAATTCTTTTTTTTTTTCCTAAGGCGGAGTTTTGCTCTTGTTGCCCAGGCCTGGAGTGCAGTGGCACGATCTTGGCCCACTGCAACCTCTGCCTCCCTGGTTCAAGTGATTCTCTCGCCTCAGCCTCCCGAGTAGCTGGGATTACAGGCGCCTGCCACCACGCCTGGCTAATTTTTGTATTTTTGGTAGAGACGGGGGTTTCACCATGTTGGCCAGACTGGTCTTGATCTCCTGACTTAAGGTCCTCCCGCCTCGGCCTCCCAAAGTTGCTGGGATTACAGGCTTGAGCCACCACGCCTGGCCGGGATTGAATTTGTTCAAGACATTAATTTTGCAGATCTTCATATTCCACATCTGTAAAAACAAGAGAGTTAATTTAATTTAATTTATTTATTTTGAGACAGAGCCTCACTCTTGCCCAAGCTGGAATGCACAACCTCTGCCTTCTGGGCTCAAGTGATTCTCCCACATCAGTAGCTGGGACTACAAGCTCAGGCCACCATGCCTGGCTGATTTTTGTATTTTTTTTGTTGTGACAGGGTCTTGTTGTGTTGCCCAGGCTGGTCTTAAACTCCTGGGCTCAAGCAATCCTCCCGTCTTGGCCTCCCAAAGTGTTGGGATTACAGGCATGAGCCACTGTGCTTGGCAAGAGAGTTAATTTTAAAATAAACATTTTCATGAGGACTAAAGTTATTGTATAAGAAAGCGTTTCATAAAAAAATAAAGCAGAAGCATCTTTCTCAGGGTTAAACAAGGCAGAAGATGGGACCTCTGTAGGGTGGCATGGGTTTGAGGAATGGAGTTGCCCCCCAGCAGGCTGTGAGCTATTCAGGGTTAAGGACCATATCACATCCATCTTTTATTTCTTGCAATTGTAACAGTACTTGTTACATAGTAGTTTCTCCAAAGTATTACATTTAGGTCTAGACACCTGGCAGGCACTGCCTGTAGTCTCAGCTGCCCGGAAGGCTGAGGCAAGAGGACTGGAGGATGACTTGAGCCCAGGAGGTGGAGGTTGCAGTGAGCCATGATCTGTCTTCTGTCACTGCAGTACACCCTGGGTGACAGAGCAAGACCCCTTCTCAAAAAACAAAAACAAACAAAAAACCAAATGGCAACCTTTGTTTGAATTGGATGGGAAAAAATATCTAAGGAAGGGTAATTCAGTCATTTTTTTAAAAAATAGAGACAAGGTCTTGCCATGTTGCTCAGGTTGGTCTTGAATTCCTGCACCCAAGTGATCCTCCTGCCTCAGACTCCCAAAGTGCTGGGATTACAGGCATAAGCCACCACACTGGCCTCATTCATTTAACAGATGTTTATTGAACATTGGAAATGTACTAGTTTGCTATTTAGGTGTTGAGGATACGGTAGTGAACAAGAGAGAAAAAAAATCCTGTTTTCATAGAGTGAAGAGGGAAGATGTCTAGAAGGAATGACTTTTTATGTTAATGAAATTCTTTCCAACCTTGTTTTGGCTATAGGAATAAAGATGGCATATAGCATACCAGAGATTCATTCCAACTAGCATTCCAACTCTGACAGTGACACCAAGAATGTTTTCCTGGGACTGCCTGGTGCTTGTTCTCCCTGGCATTGTCTTCAGGTCAGGGATTTTTCTTTTTTCTTTCTTTCTTTTTTTTAAATTAAAAATAGAGATGGGGTTTCGCCATGTTGCCCAGGCTTGTCTCAAACTCCTGAGCTCAAGCAATCCACCCACCTCAGCCTCCCAAAATGTTGGGATTACAGGTGACAGCTACTCCGCCTGGCCAAGTCAGGGATTTTTTCTAACACTATTAGAATTAGGTGGTGGAGTTGTTTGTTCCTTCCCATCAACAGTTTTAAATGCTGCTCATAGTTTATGTCTTACTGTGATTGTATTTTTCCTTTTTTTGCTCTTTAAATTTTTTTCTTTATTTTTTTTCCTCACAGAGAAATCTCTTACTTTTTTTTTTTCTTTTTTGAGACGGAGTCTCGCTGTGTCTCCCAGGCTGGAGTCCAGTGGCGCGATCTTGGCTCACTGCAACCTCTGTCCCTGGGGTTCAAGCGATTCTCCTGCCTCAGCCTCCCAAGTAGCTGGGACTACACGCCATGCCACCATGCCCAGCTAATTTTTTGTATTTTTAGTAGAGACGGGGTTTCACCATGTTGGCCAGGATGGACTCCATCTCCTGACCTCATGATCTGCCCACCCCCCAGCCTCCCAAAGTGTTGGGATTACAGGCGTGAGCCACTGTGCCCAGCCTATTTTTTTTTTCTTAAAATTAAAAGCTATAAATGAAGTATAATCACACACAAGCACATCTTCCATCATTAAAGTGGAAGTTCTTTAAAGGCTGTGACTTATTTATCTTTGAATCCTCTTGATGCCTGCTGTGGGGTCAAACTGTTGGGGTTAAAATTCTGGCTTACAAGTTGGGTAATTGGGAACAAGTCAGTTACCTTCTCTAAGCCTCAGTATTCTTATCTGTGAATTGGGTATAACAGCAGTATCTACCACATAGGGTTGTTGAGATTAATAAATACATGTAAGGTTTTTATATTAAAATTCAACAAATGGTAGTTTTAATTTCTCAAAGCATTTAGCAAAATGTCTTGCACATGGTAAACACACAAATAAATGTTTGTTGAACATATCAGTGAACATTTTGTTAAGATAATTCAGTTTGTTATTGAATTCTATTAATGAAGTTTTTAATCCTCATAATTTTAGGTGAAACAAATAGAGAAGAGAGACTCGGTTCTAACTTCGAAAAATCAGATTGAAAGACTGACCCGTCCTGGTTCCTCTTACTTCAATTTGAACCCATTTGAGGTGAGCCGATTGATGTTGCTAGGGCCTCTGTAATGGGGGAGATTTGCATAGCTGCAGGCATACCTACATCAGAATACATACCTAATTTATATCATAGTTAGGATTGAGAAAAATGGTGGAGTAAAGTGATGGAATCTGTATAGTACAAAATTGAGTATTCCTTATCCAAAATGCTTGGGACCAGAAGTTTTTTGGATTTTGGATTTTTTTGGGATTTTGGAATATATACATACATTCTGCTTACTTACTGGTTGAAGCATCCCAAATTAGAAAATTCAGAATGTTAATGAGCATTTTCTTTGAGCATCAGTTGACTCTCAGAAAGTTTCAGATTTTGGAGCATTTTGGATTTTGCATTTTTGGATTAGGGATATGTAACCTGTATATAGATTGTCTTTAAACTTGGGTGATTGTACCGAGCAGAACTGGAGAGACAGCATGTTAAGGAAAGTGAGATGGTCACATATCTTTCATCATCTTTTAGCAACCCAAATATATAAGGATTTAATTTCAGATGTGAAGGGGTGGCTAGCTCTAATAAGTTTAGGATTCTTTTTTTTTTTTTTTTTTTTTGAGACGGAGTCTTGCTCTGTCCCCCAGGCTGGAGTGCAGTGGCGCGATCTTGACCCACTGCAACCTCCTTCTCCCAGGTTCAAGCAATTCTCCTGCCTCAGCCTCCCGAGTAGGTGGGATTACAGGTGCCCACCACTGTGCCTGGCTAATATTTGTATTCTTAGTAGAGATGGGGTTTCACCATGTTGGCCAGGCTGGTCTCGAACTCCTGACCTTGTGATCCACCCGCCTCAGCCTCCCAAAGTGCTGGGATTACAGGCGTGAGCCACTGCGCCCAGCCTAGGATTCTTGATTTAAACTACTTGTTAAAACTTCTGTTTCACTATAATAAATGCCAAAAACCCAACAACAACAAAACAAAGATCACAAGATTTTAGATAAATGAATATACTTTTTGATTTTCTTAATTTTATAGCTTTAAACTTTTCCTGGTTATAAAAGTAAATCATATTTGTTGCAAATGTACAGAAAGCAAGAATAATCATATATAATCCCACCTAAGAGAAATAGCCACTCCTGTTTACACTCAAACTGTTTTGCTTAAAAACAGGGAGCATCATACACTTAATCCTTCTTCTTCTTCTTCTTCTTTTTCTTTTTTAAAGAGATGGGGCCTCATTATGTTGCCCAGGCTGGCTTAGAACTCGTGGGCTTAAGTGATCTCCTTGACCTGCTCAGCCTCTGGAGTAGATGGGATTACAGGCATATGACACCACACCTGGCTCAGCTCAATACGATTTTATTTTATTTTATTTTTTTGAGACAGGGTCTCACTGTCACCCAGGCTAGAGTGCAGTGGTGCAATCATGGCTTACTGCACCCTTGAACTCCTGGGTTCAAACGATTTGCCCACCTTGGGCTCCCATAGTGCTAGGATTACAGCCATTCGCCACCATGTCCAGCCTCAGTGCTGTTTTAAATGCTTTTTTTTTTTTTTTTTTGAGATGAAGTCTCACTCTGTCACCTAAGCTGGAGTGTAATGGTGCAATCTTGGCTCACTGCACCTCCGCCTCCCAGATTCAAGTGTTTCTCTTGCCTCAGCCTCCCGAGTAGCTGAGATTACAGGTGCCTGCCTCCATGCTTGGCTAATTTTTGTATTTTTAGTAGAGACGGGGTTTTGCCATATTGTTCAGGTTGGTCTCGAACTCCTGAGCTCAGGCGATCCACCTGTCGCGGCCTCCCAAAGTGCTAGGATTATAGGTGTGAGCCACCGCGCCTGTCCAAAAAAAAAAAAAAAAAAAAAAGAGAGAGAGAGAAATTCTTTTTTTTTTTTTGCAATGCTTGACAAGATGTTAAATCTGTTAACATCTTTAATCATAAATGAACTCTTCAGAACTCAGTACAGACTAACATTACACGGAAAGTGAAAATAAAAGGAACAGAGGAAAATGGAATAGTACAAATGAGTTATAAGGCTATATGAAGATGATATATAGTTAATACTAATAGTTGAGAAAGCAATTTTATTATAAATTACATTATTTGTGCTTACAAATATTGATATCTGATGTTGGTACAGCTTTAGAAAATGAAGAATTCTCAAATACTGAGGAAACTTACTCTAGTCATGAGGAGTTTACTCAAAAATGTAGATTTGTGCATAAATTTGGCCCCAGCAGTTCCAAACCACAGCAATCACTCCAACAAAGTAGTTGGGTACACACACATATACATACATGTTTACTACACAATAGATGTGTAAGTAATATGTCACCCCCCAAGAAACTTTTTATGAACTGGTTATAAAATAATAGACTGGGGGGTAAAAAAAATTCCATATAATTTATTTAATCATTTCTTTATTGTGGAATAGTTTAGCTAGTTTATTTCTTTCTAAAATTTTTTTTTTTGAGATGGAGTCTCTGTCGCCCAGGCTGGAGTGCAGTGGCGCAATCTCGGCTCACCGCAACCTCTGCCTCCCGGGTTCAAGCGATTCTTCTGCCTCAGCCTCCCGAGTAGCTGGGACTACAGGCATGTGCCACCACGCCTGGCTAATTTTTGTATTTTTTGTAGAGATGGGTTTCACCATATTGGCCAGGCTTTTCTCAAACTCCTGACCTTGTGATCTGCCTGCCTCGGCCTCTCAAAGTGCCGTGATTACAGACGTGAGCCACCACACCCAGATCTTTAAAAAGTTTTTTTAACAGGCGGCCCTCTGAACCAGAATAGGTTCAGAGAGACTCCCTAAACTACTTTCTAATTGTTCACATTTACAAATAATTTTGAAGTGAATATTTTTGTATCTGTTAAATAATAGAAACAACACTTATTGGGCACTTAGAAAAAAACTCCCCTCACTTTTTTTTATTGTGGAAAAATATATATAACATAAAATTTGCCATTTTGGCCAGGTGTGGTGGCTCACGCCTGTAATCTCAGCACTTTGGGAGGCCAAGGTGGGAGGATCACTTTAGGCCAGGAGTTTGAGACCAGCCTGGCCAACATGGCGAAACCCCATCTCCACAAAAATAATACAAACATTGCTGGGCATGGTGGTGCATGCCTGTAATCTCAGCTACTTGGGAGGCTAAGGCCCAAGAATCACTTAAACCCAGGAGGCGGAGGTTGCAGTGAGCCGAGATTGTGCTACTGTACTCCAGCCTGGGCGACAGAACGAGACTGTCTCAAAAAAAAAAAAAAAAATTACCATTTAAATTTTTTTTTAGTTTTACAATTCAGTGGCATTAAGTACATTCACAGTGTTGTGTAACCATCACCACTGTTCATATTCAGAAATTTTTCGTCACCCCAACCAGAAACTCTGTATCCACTAAACAGTAACTCCTCATTTTCTCCCTGACCCCTGGTAACCTCTACTCTACTTTGTCTATGAATTTGCCTCTTCTAGGAAACCCGTGTAAGTGGAATGGTACCGTATTTGTTACTTTGTGTCTGGCTTATTTCACTTAGCATGATATTTTCAAGGTTCATCTGTTTTCTGTTTTTTGAAGAGTAATTTTTCAAGAATTTTTTCATTTATAAATAATCTCAGATTAACAAATATTTCAAATACAATATGAAGACTTTTCCTTGAACTCTTTAAGAGTAAATTGTTAGTATGATGGTCCATCACCCTGATATACTTTAATGTGATTTTTCTACAAATATCCTCTTACTGAACCACAATATAAACTATCAAAATCAGGAAATGAACCCTGATACATTGTTACTATGTAAATCATCAGACCCCATTCAAATTTTACTAATTGTCCCAAAAAAGTCTTTCTCAGGGCCTCTCTGGATACATTGTTACTATATAATCATCAGACCCCATTCAGGTTTTACTAATTGTCCCAAAAAGGTGTTTTTCAGGGCCTCTCTATCACTCCGCTCACTGTATAGCTCACTGCAACCTCGAACTCCTGGGCTCTGGGCTCAATTGATCCTCCTACCTCAGATTTTCAAAATACTGGGATTCAAGGTGTGAGCCACTGTGTTTGGCTCTTTGGTTTGTTTGTTTGTTTCGTGACAGAGTCTCACTCCACTGCCCAGACTGGAGTGCAGTGGCGCAATATCGGTTCACTGCAACCTCCGCCTCACGGGTTCAAGTGATTCTCCTGACTCAGCCTCCCTGGTTGCTGGGATTACAGGAGCGTGCCACCATGCCCTGCTAATTTTTTGTATTTTTAGTAGAGATGGGGTTTCACCAAGCTGGCCAGGCTTGTCTCGAACTCCTGACCTCATGATCCGCCCTCCTCAGCCTCCCAAAAAGTGCTGGGATTTCAGGCGTGAGCCACCACACCTGGCGTGTTTGTTTTGTTTTGTAAGATGGGGTCTCCCTGGCCAGGCGCGGTGGCTCACACCTGTAATTCCAACACTTTGGGAGGCTGAGGCGGGCAGATCACTTGAGGTCAGGAGTTCAAGACCAGCTTGGCTAACATGGTGAAACCCTGTCTCTACTAAAAATAAAAAAATTAACCGGGTGTGATGGAGTGCCCCTGTAATCCCAGCTACTTGGGAGGCTGAGGCAGGAGAATTGCTTGAACCTGGGAGGCAGAGGTTGCAGTGAGCCGAGATTGCACCATTGCACTCCAGCCTGGGCGACAGAGTGAGACTCCATCTCAAAAATAAAAAGAAGTGTCATGAGGTTACTATTTTTCCCCTTTGTAATGAATAAGTATTTTATGTGGAGGTGCTTTGAAACTTGGTAAATATCCTGTCCATATCAAAATTTTAGTTCATTTATTTGCCAGTATGGACTTAGGTTTTTCTATTTTATTCAGTACGTTGTAATTTTATGTTTATTTTGATGCTCAGATTGTCTCAAGTTTGGCCAGTGGGTTACCTTTCAATCTAGCTCCTGTGTCTTTCATATGTCTTCATCATTCTTTGATTAGTAGGCACTTTTGTGTTTTTCCTGACCCAGCCTGGAATTAACCATTTCACCAAGGAGCGCTGGTTCCTTTTGGCAGAGAATGATATATAGAAATCAAGATTTGAATGCTAGGTAGATTCATTGCTGTTGGGATATCACAGCTTACAGACCCTGGAGTCTGTGTGTTTGTGTGTGTACATATATGTTTACACCCAACATCCATTTTCAGTCCAACCCCACAGGATTTATTCTAATAGTTAGAAACCTGGTTCCCACTATCTTTTCTTTATTATTATTCTTTTTTTCTTTTTTTTTTTTTTGTAAAGACAAGGTCTCACTATGTTGCCCAGGTTGATCACAAACTCTTGGCCTCAAATGATCCTCCCTTGGCCTCCCAAAGTACTGGGATTGATTATAGCATTACAGCCAGTGCACCTGGCGCTGGCTCCTACAGAATTTAATATCTACATTTACTTAATTGATCTCTCTGTATGCAACTAACTTCCCACTGCCACTCCTTCCCTCTGAATGCTCTCCTCACCCCGCTGTACTCTGATACCAGCACCAGGATATGTCTATGCAAAAACCTTTCTCACCACACCTGGGCTCTGAACTCCCATGTCAGGCCACCCTTCCATGTGGCTCTCTGGCTTTCTGAGCCTGCTCTCTTCCTGCTGGGGGCCCTTTTCACTGATCATGGGCTCCAGCATCCCACACTGATCCTCCCCGCTGAGTAGGCATCTTCCCTACCCTGCTCTGGCTTTGACATCCTCCGTCAAGCCACCTTCTTCCATGAACACCTTTCTCCTCTTACTCGGGGTCTGGCTCCACATACCATGTCTCTTTTCATATTTTTTGGGCTCTGAACCTTGTGTTGGGCTGCCTTTTCACACTGGATGCCCTACTACTTGGACACCCTTCTCACCATACCAGGCTTCCATACCCCATGCTTGGCTGCCCTTTGTGGGAATGTCCTTGCTTGGGTTCTTGTACCCTGTGCCAGGCTACCTTCCCCTGTGGACACCCTCCGTACCTTGCTTGGTCTCAGACACCCTGTGTTGGATTCTACTTCCACACGGATGCTTTCCTCATCCCTCTTGGGCCCTGATATCCTGCGCTGGCTGCCCTCCCATGCTGACATTTTCCCCCTGCTTAGGTTCTGATGTTCCTGTGCTGGCCTCCCTGTCTATGGGGATGCCTTTCTGAACTTCTTTGTACACCATGTTAGGCTGTCCTTCTCTGTGGATGCCCTTCTCACCCCATTTGGGCTTCAGCACCCTGTGACTAGCCACTACTTTCTGTGTGGTCACTGCCTTCCTTGTTCCAGGTGGGCTCTGACACTGTGCTCTGGGCCATGTGACTCCCACCCAGAGTAGACGTCTGTTTTGCCTGACCCCACTTAATGGATTTGGATTTATTGCTTAGGAAGGGAAGGGGGAGATAAAAAGCTTGAAGATTACTTTTTTTTTCAATTTTTAAAATTGTAAAATACACATAACATAAAATTTACCATCTTAACCAGTTCATTTTTTTTTTTTTTTTTTTTTTGAGATGGAGTCTTGCTTTATCACCCAGGCTGGAGTGTAGTGGCGTGATCTCGGCTTACTGCAACCTCCGCCACCTGGATTCAAGCAATTCTCCTGTCTCAGCCTCCTGAGTAGCTGGGACTACAGGTGCATGCCACCACATCCGGCTAATTTTTGTATTTTTGGTAGAGATGGGGTTTCACCATGTTAGTCAGGCTGGTCTCGAACGCCTGACCTCAGGTGATCCACCCGCCTCAGCCTCCCAAAGTGCTGGGATTACAGGTGTGAGCCACTGTGCCCAGCCAGTTCATTGTTTTTAAATACACTCATAGTGTTGTCCAACCATTACTATTATCCATCCTCATAACTCTTTTCATCTTGTAAAACTGAAATTGTATACCCATTAAACAATAATTCCGCATTCCTCCCTCCCCAGCCCCTGGTAACCACCATTCTACTTTTTGTCTCTATGACTTTGACCAAGTACCTCATATAAAAGGAATCATAGTGTTTGCCTTTTCGTGACTGGCTTATTTCATCTAGTACAATGTCTTGGGTTCTTCAATGTTGTAGCATATTGTAGAATTTCCTTCTTTTTAAGGCTGAATGGTAATCTGTTGTATGGATATACCACATTTTGCCTATTCATTCATCCGCTGATGGACATGGGTTGTTCTACATCTTAGCTATTGAGAAAAGTGTTGCTATAAACATGGATGTATAAATATTGAAGAGTACTTTTGATATGATTTTGGGGAGGGCCTAGGGGAAGATGATTTGCTGGAGAGATGATAAAGAATTTATGGTATGTTCTTTCTATCTAGCCATACTTTAAAATCGAGCATAGTACCATGAAAGGGAACATATGACCATATAATTTATTTTTTGTTAAGGTAATTAGTATCTCCTGTGGGGACCTGATGGATGAGAAGGGACAGATTGTTGGGCATCAGTGTGAAACGCTAGGATTTTAGTGCCCTATTAGTTATTGTAGTTCTGAAAGTGGAACTCATTGCCCTGTAGCCTTTGTTCTCACTATAGGAAGTATGTTTAGATGTGTGACGATATGGTGAGTTTGCACGCTCTGAAAGCTGCAAGATTGTGTTTGAGTGGGCAGGACTCCCTGACTGTTCTTTCTTTCTTTGTTTCTTTCTCTTTTTCCCTTTTTGAGACAGAGTTTCCTTCTTGTTGCCCAGGCTGGAGTGCAGGGGCACGATCTCGGCTTACTGCAACCTCCGCCTCCCGGGTTCAAGCAATTCTCCTGTCTCAGTCTCCCGAGTAGCTGGGACTACAGGCGCCCGCCACCACGCCCGGCTAATTTTTTGTATTTTTCATAGAGACGGGGTTTCACTATGTTAGCCAGGATGGTCTCGATCTCCTGACCTCGTGATCCACCCGCCTCAGCCTCCCAAAGTGCTGGGATTACAGGCGTGAGCCACCGCGCCCAGCCTGGATTCCTTTTTCAAGCAGAAGATCCTAAAGGAGATGGCTGTTACATTTTGAGTTCAGGAACTTATCTGAATGCAACAGTTAAGCATTTTTGTTTCTGTGTGATGATTAATTAGCTCCCTGAGGTTCAAAACTGTGGGTCTCTCCCTCCATATCCTAAAAGCCTGAGACGCAACAGGAGTTCAGAAAAACCTTCCAAGAATCTGAACAGACCTGTGTGCTTGGAGCCATGTTGGTAATAAGGCATTTATCATTTTTGTCAGAATTACTTGTTACTTGTCTCTCCCTTATCTACTGTGAGAACAGTAATTCTTAAATTCTGTGAGGACAGTAGAGCTGTGGTTAGAATGTGTCCCCCAAATTCATGTGTTAGAAATTTAATCCCAATGCAACAGCTTTTCAGGGTAGGGCCTAATAAGAGGTGATTAGGTCTCTGCCCTCACAATTGGATTAATGTCCTCATCTTGGGAGTGGATTAGTTATCTCAAGAATAGACTTGTTACATATGTGAGTTTAGCCCCCTCTTGCCCTTACCTGATGACGGCCACTCAACCTTGAACTTCCCAGCCTACAGAAGTATAAGAAATACATTTCTTTTCTTTATAAAGTGCCCACTGTATGGGATTCTGTTCTGGCAACACAAAACAGACTAAGAAAAGTAGTGAGCACAGTATCTAGCTATCTTAGAAAATTTTTGTGCTCTACAAGTTGGTACTGAATGTATAAAGCTGGCTTCAAAGAGGACCGGCCGCAGGTAAAAGTCCATTGTCTTCACCATGCCACGTGTGGCACCTCCAGCTCTTAAAGACAAAAGAGGAGTTGGATTGGCTTTGAAGGCACTCAGTGAATATTTGTTCTGATATAACTCTTGGAAAAATAACTTTTGGAGTGTGTGTTTGTATGTGTATGTAGGTATATATACTCTCCTCCTTTTTGCCCAATCATGTGGTGAAAGTAAGCTCCAGGTGTTGTTAACACTTAATGCCTAAATACTTTAGCATGCATCTCCTCGAAACAAGAACAATTCCGTGTAACCACAACACTATCACCCATTGGAAAATAACACTAAGAAAGAATAGAAAGGCCGGGCACAGTGGCTCACGCCTGTAATCCTAGCACTTTGGGAGGCTGAGGTGAGCAGATTGCCTGAGTTCAGGAGTTTGAGACCAGCCTGGCCAACATGGTGAAACCCCATCTCTACTGAAATACAAAAAATTAGCTGGGCATGGTGGCAAACACCTGAAGTCCCAGCTATTCAGGAGGCTGAGGCAGGAGAATTGCTTGAACCAGGAGGCGGAGGTTGAAGTGAGCTGAGATTGCTCCACTGCACTTGACAGAACAAGACTCTGTCTCAAGAAAGAAAGAAAAAAAGAATAGAAATCGTCCGAACTTCACAAAAAAAGCCTCTAATAAAACTAGAGCTTAAGAAACTTTAGCCATAGGAAAACCACATCAAGTTACTTTATCCAGCATACAGTCCACATGCAAATGGGCCCAGCTGTCCCCAAAATCTCCTTTATAGCTATTTTAGTTTAATTTATTTATTTATTGAGACAGAGTCTCACTCTGTTGCCCAGGCTGGAGTGCAGTGGCACGATCTCGGCTCACTGCAAGCACCGCCTCCCGGGTTCATGCCATTCTCTTGCCTCAGCTTCCTGAGTAGCTGGGACCACAGGCGCCCGCCACCACACCTGGCTAATTTTTTTGTATTTTTAGTAGAGATGATGTTTCACCGTGTTAGCCAGGATTGTCTCGATCTCCTGACCTAGTGATCTGTCTGCCTCCGCCTCCCAAAGTGCTGGGATTACAGGCGTGAGCCGCCACACCTGGCCAATTTTAGGGTTTTTTTTTTTAACTCAAGAACCACTATAACCATTTTACTGTCTGTATATATCCCATAACATCATGTTGTAATCCCCAAATACACACAGCAGAATTTATTTTTTAAAAAGAAATCAACCAGGGTTTATGAATTACATTTGGCATGATTAGTTGTAAGCTATAATCTTATCAGAGGCTTTTTTTGTGAGGGTGGGACAATTTCTGTTCTTTCTCATTTATTTGGGCGCCTTCTGGGATTTGTTGGACTTTGGTTTGCCCCTAGAGATTCCTTTTCCTCAGAACTAGTGGTTTTCCTATGAATATTTTTGTTTGAACAGTTACAGTCCCTCGTCTGTAAATCTTATGTGACTTTGCTCTTCCTATTGAGTGACTTTCCCAATTCCTTTCTCCTTGGGAAGTTATGAGAGTGGGGCACACTGACATGAAAATTCTCATTTTC
Organism: Homo sapiens; assembly: GCF_000001405.40. Lineage (NCBI taxonomy): Eukaryota > Metazoa > Chordata > Mammalia > Primates > Hominidae > Homo > Homo sapiens. The sequence continues at coordinate 28,218,777 of NC_000001.11, read as the reverse complement.
ATGCACCACCATGCCTGGCTAATATTGTATTTTTAGTAGAGACGGGGTTTCTCCATGTTGGCCAGGCCTGTCTCAAACTCCTAGCCTCAAGTGATCTCCCTGCCTTGGCCTCCCAAATCACTGGGATTACAGGCGTGAGCCACTGTGCCTGGCCAGGGAGACCCCATCTCTAAAAACATTTTAAAAAGTCACCAGGCATGGTTGTGTGCTCCACGCACTTACAGTCCTAGTTGCTCAAGAGGCTGAGACCAGAGGACCACTTGAGCCCCAGAGCTCGAGGCTGCAGTGACCTATGATTATGCCACTGCACTCCAGCCTGGGCAACAAAGTGAGACACTGTCTCAAAAAAAAAAAAATTATTTGTTTAAAGAAGTGTTGCTTAAGGCTGGGTGCGGTGGCTCACGCCTGTAATCCCAGCACTTTGGGAGGCTGAGGTGGGCAGATCACCTGAAGTCGGGAGTTCGAGACCAGCCTGACCAACATGGAGAAACCCCGTCTCTACTAAAAATACAAAATGAGCCGGGCGTGGTGGCACATGCCTGTAATTCCAGCTACTCAGGAGGCTGAGGCAGGAGAATCGCTTGAATCCCAGAGGCGGAGGTTGCAGTGAGCCAAGATCACACCATTGCACTCTAGCCTGGGCAACAAGAGCGAAACTCCATCTCAAAAAAAAAAAAAAAAAAGAATAGAAACCATCCGACCTTCATGAAAAAAGCCTCTAATAAAATTAGAGCTTAGGAAACTTTAGCCATAGGAAAACAACGTCAAGTAACTTCATCCAGCATACAGTCCACATGCAAATGGGCCCAACTGTCCCCAAAATCCCCTTTATAGCTATTTTAGTTTTTTTTTAACTAAAGAACCACTATACTATAACCATTTTACTGTCTGTATATATCCCATAACATCATGTTGTAATCCCCAAATACACACAGCAAAATTTATTTTTAAAAAAGAAATCAATCAGGGTTTATGAATTACATTTGGCATGATTAGTTGTAAGCTATAACCTCATCAGAGGCTTTTTTTGTGAGGGTGGGACAATTTCTGTTCTTTCTCATTTATTTGGACGTCCTCTGGGTTTTGTTGGACTTTGGTTTACCCCTAGAGATTCCTTTTCCTCAGAACTAGTGGTTTTCCTATGAATATTTTTGTATGAACAGTTACAGCCCCTCGTCTGTAAATCTTACGTGACTTCGCTCTTCCTATTGAGTGACTTTCCCAATTCCTTTCTCCTTGGGAAGTTATGAGAGTGGGGCGCACTGACTTGAAAATTCTCATTTTCATGCGCCACCATGCCCGGCTAATTTTGTATTTTTAGTAGAGACGGGGTTTCTCCATGTTGGCCAGGCCTGTCTCAAACTCCTAGCCTCAAGTGATCTCCCTGCCTTGGCCTCCCAAAGTACTGGGATTGCAAGCGTGAGCCACTGTGCCTGGCCAGGGAGACCCCATCTCTAAAAACATTTAAAAAAGTCACCAGGCATGGTTGTGTGCTCCACGCACTTACAGTCCTAGTTGCTCAAGAGGCTGAGACCAGAGGACCACTTGAGCCCCAGAGCTCGAGGCTGCAGTGACCTATGATTATGCCACTGCACTCCAGCCTGGGTAATAAAGTAAGACACTGTCTCAAAAAAAAAAAAAAATTATTTGTTTAAAGAAGTGTTGCTTAAGGCCAGGCGCGGTGGCTCACACCTGTAATTCCAGCACTTTGGGAGGCCGAGGCAGGCGGATCACCTGAAGTTGGGAGTTCAAGACCAGCCTGACTAACATGGAGGAACCCCATCTCTACTAAAAATACAAAATGAGCCGGGCGTGGTGGCGCATGCCTGTAATCCCAGCTACTCGAGAGTCTGAGGCAGGAGAATCGCTTGAACCTGGGAGGCGGAGGTGGCAGTGAGCCGAGATCACACCATTGCACTCCAGCCTGGGCAACAAGAGCAAAACTCCGTCTCAAAAAAAAAAAAAAAAAGAAATCGCCCCACCTTCACAAAAAAAGCCTGTAATAAAATTAGAGCTTAGGAAACTTTAGCCATAGGAAAACAACATCAAGTAACTTTATCCAGCATACAGTCCACATGCAAATGGGCCCAGCTGTCCCCAAAATCTCCTTTATAGCTATTTTAGGTTTTTTTTTTAACTCAAGAACCACTATAACCATTTTACTGTCTGTATATATCCCATAACATCATGTTGTAATCCCCAAATACACACAGCAAAATTTATTTTTAAAAAATCAATCAGGGTTTATGAATTACATTTGGCATGATTAGTTGTAAGCTATAATCTTATCAGAGGCTTTTTTTGTGAGGGTGGGACAGTTTCTGTTCTTTCTTTTATTTGGGCATCCTCTGGGATTTGTTGGACTTTGGTTTGCCCCTAGAGATTCCTTTTCCTCAGAACTAGTGGTTTTCCTATGAATATTTTTGTATGTACAGTTACAGTCCCTCGTCTGTAAATCTTACGTGACTTCGCTCTTCCTATTGAGTGACTTTCCCAGTTCCTTTCTCCTTGGGAAGTTATGAGAGTGGGGCGCACTGACTTGAAAATTCTCATTTTCATGCGCCACTACGCCTGGCTAATATTGTATTTTTAGTAGAGACGGGGTTTCTCCATGTTGGCCAGGCTCGTCTCAATCTCCTAGCCTCAAGTGATCTCCCTGCCTTGGCCTCCCAAAGTACTGGGATTACAGGCGTGAGCCACTGCGCCCGGCCAGGGAGACCCCATCTCTAAAAACATTTTAAAAAGTCACCAGGCATGGTTGTGCGCTCCACATACTTACAGTCCTAGTTGCTCAAGAGGCTGAGACCAGAGGACCACTTGAGCCCCAGAGCTTGAGGCTGCAGTGACCTATGATTATGCCACTGCACTCCAGCCTGGGCAACAAAGTGAGACACTGTCTCGAAAAAAAAAAAAATTATTTGTTTAAAGAAGTGTTGCTTAAGGCTGGGCGCGGTGGCTCACACCTGTAATCCCAGCACTTTGGGAGGCTGAGGCAGGCGGATCACCTGAAGTCTGGAGTTTGAGACCAGCCTGACCAACATGGAGAAACCCTGTGTCTACTAAAATTACAAAATTAGCCAGGTGTGGTGGCACGTGCCTGTAATCCCAGCTACTCAGGAGGCTTAGGCAGGAAAATCGCTTGAACCGCGGAGGTGGAGGTTGCAGTGAGCCGAGATCTCGCCATTGCACTCCAGCCTGGGCAATAAGAGCGAGACTCCATCTCAAAAAAAAAAAAAATAGAGTTGTTCCTCCTATTGGCCCTACCCCTGCTCTATGGGGTTGGAATCAGACTTTCGTAGAGTGGGCCAGCCATTGCTCACAGGTTTCCACAGGTGATTCTAATATTCACTCTGATTGAGAACCACTGGGCCTTGTAAATTATAAAGTGTCCATTGGGCTATTTTTTTCTTTTTTGAGTTATTACGGTTTCTCGACATTTGCAAAAATAAAGGGAGGGGGAGTTAAACTCTTTTAATGAATGAAGGAGAAATGCAAAATTTTCTCATGTAAAAATGTCTCTGGGTGTAAAATAAATTATTATTTTTATGATGAAAATAAGCATTATGTTATTTGAGTACCATAAGACAATATAATTGTTATTCTGTTGATTTGATCATTCATATTTCTTTAGCAATTTCTAGAACTGTGTGCCAGCCTGTGTTCTAGAACATGGGGTACTATTCTAGATGCTGATTATAATATATATAATTACTGAGCAACTCTTAAATATACATGTAATTTATTTTCACCTTTTTTATGGTTTTGATTTTGATACTTCCAGGTTCTTCAGATAGATCCTGAAGTTACAGATGAAGAAATAAAAAAGAGGTTTCGGCAGGTACAGTACTATTTCCCTGTTTGAACTTTTTGAAAATGTATGAAGCACATGATTCTTTTATCACTTGCTATTATTGACTTGATATGTTTGGGCCAAAATTTAACTTTTTTTTAAGGCTGTGTAACTGTTTTGTAAAAAAAAGCTCATAATAATATATAAAATCTTAAATAATTTAATGACCATAGCTTACCTATGAATAGAATGAATTTTATATCCAAATAGAATCTCTGCAACTCCTTAATTAAGAGGGATAAGTATAAAGTAGAATAATAGAGCTTGCATGGAGTTGTAACTACCAAACCCCCTGTCTTCTAGGAGGGAACATATCAAATGATTCATAGCACATTTTTATCTTTAAGACTCCATTTGTCTGTAATTTTATCTTTTATTTTTATTCTTATTTTTCGAGACAGAGTCTTGCTTTGTCGCCCACGCTGGAGTGTAGTGGCATGATCTCAGGTCACTGCAACCTCCACCTCCTGGGTTCAAGCAGTTCTCCTGCCTCAGCCTCCCAGGTAGCTGGTATTACAAGTGCATGCCACCACACCCGGCTAATTTTTGTATTTTGGTAGAGACAGAGTTTCCCTATGTTGGCCAGGCTGGTGACGAACTCCTGACCTCAAGTGATCTACCTGCTTCAGCCTCCCCAAAATGCAGGAATTACCGGTGTGAGCCACTGCACCCGGCCGTAATTTTATCTTTTGCCAACTTAAATGAATACCTAAGAGATAACTGGTATAAAGAGTGCTTTTTGAAAGTTCTCCAGGAAAGGAGATCTATAGCTTCTGAATCTTGCCCATTCGTAGGTTTAATAACTGGAACTACAAAGTTTTAAAGTAAACTTAAAAAAAAAATCCTTCCAGTTTTGACAGCTGAGTAACCCTCCCCCCAGCCTTTTTTTCTTAAAAATTATTATTATTTTTTGAGACAGGGTCTCACTCTGTCACCTAGGCTGGAGTACAGTGGTGTGATCTTGGCTCACTGCAACCTGTGCCTCCTGAGTTTAAGCAATCCTCCCTCCTCAACCTCCCCAGTAGCTGGGACTACAGGTGTGCATCACCATGCTCAGATAATTTTTGTATTTTTTGTAGAGACAGAGTTTCGCCATGTTGCCCAGGCTGGTCTCAATTCTGGGCTCAAGCGATCTGCTGGCCTCAGCCTCTCAAAGTGCCATGATTACAGGCATGAGCCACCGTGCCTGGCTACCTTTTTTTCTGAGTTGAATAATCGTAGTCCCTATAATTTGCCTTTGCAAATTGGATTTTCTATATATTCCATGTCTTTTAAAAAAACTTTCCTTAGCTTCTTTATAGTCTTATGTACTTCATATTTTAATAGGGTCTGACCAGAGCTGAATGTAATTTTCAGCTTCTGATGAGATACTTGTTAATATCCAGTGGTGTGCTTGTTTCTTCAGTACAGTAATTTTCCCCATATTGCTGACTCATAGTCATTTTCTGATCTACAGTTAAGCCAAGATGTTTTTTAACTTGGTCTACGTAATCATATCCCATTATATAACTTTATAGCTTTTTTTTTTCCTTCCTAAGCTCTACTCTATACTTATATTTAGCTTTTTCCTTTTTCTAAAATTTCAAATTTTCTAATATGCATTACTAATCATTCCCATATTAATAAGCATTTAAGTTCATAGTCAAAACAATTTTTTATGTAGCTACATAAATAATAAGAGTTAAGAATTCTTAATAAATCATTAATATGGACTGATAGTTAAGAGTGTGCATATTGGAGCTATACAACTAGTTTAAATCTTGACTGTACCACTTAACAAGCAGTGTAAACTTGAGCAAGTTACATTTAACCTTTCCGTGTCTGTTACCCCGTTTGTAAAATGTAATAATGGTGTCTATCCCATGAGTTTGTTGTAAGAATTTAAATGATGTATTACACAGAAGGCATTTAGAGTAACTCTTGGCACATAATGTATCCTCACTATATGCTAACTATTGTCAGCGTGTGTTAGTCTGCTAATTTCTTTACTTGCATTGTTTGTTTCATTCTTATATCAGCCCAATTAGATATAGGTACATAGTATTATCTCATTTACAGAGCAGGAAGCGGAGGCAGAGATAGGTTAAGTGATTTGCTCGAGGTCTCATAGCTAGTAGGTGATTGAAGTTGGAATTAGAACCCAGCATAATGGTTCCAGTAATGCTGAACGGAGCGTTAGATTCCCATTTGTTCTCATTCCCCGACATAGTTCCCTGGGTTCCAACTAGTTGGTTTCTGTCAATTGACAATATGTCATGGTTTTTAACTGTGAGTATCTGAATTACCTATGAAAGTTCTTTTTTTTTTAGCTGGTTTATTATAAAAATTTTATATAGAAAAAAGAATGGACAAGCATAGTGGCTCATGCCTGTAATCCTAGTATTTTGGGACATTGAGTCGGGCAGATTGCTTGAGCTCAGGAGTTCGTGACCAGCCTGGGCAACATGGTGAAACCCCGTCTCTACAAAAAACGAAAAACAACAACAGCAAAAGCCAAAAATTAGCCGTGCCTGTAGTCCCAGCTACTCAGAAGGCTGAGGTGGGAGGATCACTTGAGTCCAGGAGATTGAGGCTGCAGTGAGCTGGGATAGCACCATTGCACTCCAGCCTGGATGATAGAGCAACACTCTGTCTCAAAAAAAAAAAAAAAAAAAAGAATAGAACAACGAATATTCATGTATCCACCATCTATATTGAATAGTTAATTTCATTTATATATATATATATATATATATATATATATATATATATATATATATTTATTTATTTATTGAGACGGAGTCCGGCTCTGTCACCCAGGTTGCAGTACAGTGTTGCGATCTTGGCTCACGGCAGCCTCCACCTCCTGAGTTCAAGTGATTCTCTTGCCTCAGCGTCCTGAGTAGCTGGTATTATAGATGTGTGCCACTGTGCCTGCCAAATTTTTGTATTTTTAGTAGAGACGGGGTTTCACCATGTAGGCCAGGCTGGTCTCGAACTCCTGACCTCAAGTGATCTGCCAGCCTCAGCCTTCCAAAGTGCTGGGATTACAGGCGGGAGCCACTGCTCCTGGCAGACACTGACTATATATTTAACTATATATTTTTGGCTGAATCATTGTAAATTGCAATAAACCATGATGCTTTACCCCTAAATACTTCAGCTTGTACCCTTCCCAAAAAAAGGACATTTTCTTGCATAATCACTTATCCCACCTAACAAAATAAGGGCTAATTCCCTACGATCATCTGAAACCCAGTCTAGTAGAGGTTTACAAAGTGCAGATGCCAAAGACTAACTCAGAAGGTCTGAGGGTGGAAATTAGAATGTTGTCTTTTTCAGAAGCTTCACAGGGTTGGAGCACAGGCAGAATGAGAAACTGCTTTAGATTAGGAGTTCTTTTAGGAGAGAGTTGATGTCTCATACCTGCTTTAGCCACCTTAGTGCTTAGTACAGGTTGAGTATCCCTTATCTGAAATGCTTGAGACTAGAAGTATTTCAGATTTCAGATTTTTTCAGATTTTGGAATATTTGCAGAATGCATAATGGTCGAGCATCCCTAATCCGAAAATTCAAAATGTTCCAATGAGCGTTTCCTTTGAGCATCATGTTAGCACTCAGAAAGTTTCAGATTTTGGAGCCTTTTGGATTTTGGGTGCTCAACCTGCATAAGGAACATAATAGGAACTTGATACCTTTCAGTCTCCCTCCTCCCCCAAATTATTACAACATCTTCATAGTGCTAGGCTTCCATTTGTTTTTGTTTTTGTTTTTGTTTTTGTTTTTTCCTGGAGACAGGGTCTCACTTTGTTGCCCAGGCTGGAGTGCAGTGGCACAATCTCAACCTCCCAGGCTCAAGTGATTCTCCCACGTTAGCTTCCTAAATAGCTTGGACTACAGGCGACCACCACCATGTCTGGGTAATTAAAAAATTTTTTTTTTGTAGAGACAGGGTCTTGCTATGTTGCTCAGGCTGGTCTCGAAGTCCTGGGCTTAAGTAATCCTCTCACCTCAGCCTCCCAAAGTGGTGGGATGACAGGCGTGAGCCTCTGTGCCTGGCATGTTTGGTCTCAACTTTGTGATTAAAACCTGAAATGTTTCCTAGTTGTACCTTTACCTTTTGGTGCTTGAATTTTGTTAAAGATCAGTATTTCTGGGCATTTAAAGAGATTTGTTAATTTTTTAAATGCTTTTGCTAAGAGTCTCTTTTTGCCGTAGGACCTTAGAGCTTTTGGTTGTAACGAGACAGGGCAGGCTGGAAGTTAGTAAATGTTTCCCTTATTGACAACCCCAACTTTTCTCTTATTGTAGTTATCCATCTTGGTGCATCCTGACAAAAATCAAGATGATGCTGACAGAGCACAAAAGGCTTTTGAAGGTATTTGTAAATTTACCTGCTTCTGAGTATTAGATTGTGAATGGCAGGGCCTAACTGTTCCTTGTCCTAGATCAAGCAAAGACTGTTATAGTTTTGTCTTCTGGTCACCAAGAAGCTGTGGTTTTCAGTAGAGCAGTTGCCATTTCAAAGCAGAATGTTGTTGTTTAAGAAGTAGACCTTAACTTTGCTTTGTTAAAACTTTTATATGCCAACAAAGACTGTTATTGCATAGGATCATTTTTTTTCTTTGAACATAAAGAATTTTATCACTGAATTAAATCCAGATGTAGTGTATTTAGCCTTGAGTATATATTTAATTTTTTCCAAGGCTCTTAAGGAAAGTCATTGCTATAGTTGAATGTTTTTTTTAACTTAGTTTAACGACAGTAAATAATTAAAGTAGGGAATGCTTTAGAGAGCACAAGTCCATTTACACTGCCTGAGTATAGTTCAGACTTTCAGAGGGTGTTTGCAGAAACAGTTAATTTCAATGTTTTGCATTAGCTGTGGACAAAGCTTACAAGTTGCTACTGGATCAGGAGCAAAAGAAGAGGGCCCTGGATGTAATTCAGGCAGGAAAAGAATACGTGGAACACACTGTAAGTATTTATAGTGCTGCTGTGTTTACAGGAAGTATCAGCAAGCCTTGGGCACCTTGTAGAAGGGTACATATGAACATAGTAATGCCTACTGGCACAACCTGTGGCTACTTCTGTGCTCTCTACCACTTTGCTGTGGTGGTCATGAATAGTGTGTGCCTGAAGCTGTAATTCACCCCTAAGAGAAGAACTCAGATGAGGAGTAGCTGGTACACTGCTCCTACCTCTTTCCCTACCAGTCCTGTGTTGGGGAGAAAGGGTTGTTCTCTCCCTCTCATCACATATTGCCACTTACCCCATTCTTAGAGTGGAAACGTGGAGCAGCCTGTGACTCTTGACTCTTGATTTTTATTCTTGTCCCTGTGAAGGGTTTGCAACAAGGCTTGGCAAAGGCTAGCAAGAGGATAGGCGTAAACTTTTTTTAAAATAGGAGGAGGTTTATGTCCATCTTAATAACAGAGTTGGGAAGAACTCAGTTGAAGGAAACTGAGTTGTAGCTGGTGTTATTTTTGTTTGCTCTTGAGGGCATACATAAGTCTCCAATGTGGTGGGAAATGTCAGTATGGCTTTCCCAAGGTAAGAAAGGTCTTTTAACTTTTTACTTGCTGGGGCAAGAATCTTGAGGTCATTTGTAAGAGCTGCTTCAATTGTGATTGGATGACTTTTCACATGAAGAGCTTTGAAATCTGAGACAACTTTATAACCATAATAATGAATCCAGTTTCGGTGAGGAAAATGGATAAGAAGAGGAGACAAAGGGCCCATAACTATATCCTGCGGGTCATGTGTTGGAAATGGCACTTGTAGGCCCTATCCTGGTAGAAATAGGGAAAGTGCCTGACAGTTTCTCCTTAAATCATTGTGGCTTCGTATGTCTTTCACCTGTAAGAAAGTCATCCTTAGGCTTCCTGACCACAGGGTGGCAGTAGGGCCTTTCTGAGCTTAGAGGGTACTTGGCCTTTGCTGGTATAATAGACTGGTTAGTTCATGGAGTAGTGTCATTCTTGTATGAATTCGTATATTTATTTATTTATTTTTTATCTCAGTAGTGGCCAATGTGATAAAAGTATCAGTTAATATGATATGTGGTTTAAGGAGGTTCCATGGTGAAAGTGATCAAGAATGCAGTTATAGAAATGCCAGAAAAACTACTTGGACATAATGCCACAGATTCTGTAGCTTCTTCTAAAACTTGACAGATATATTTGCTTTGCTCTAAACACATAACCACAAGCCAAGAAAGGTAAATAAGTAGTCTGTTTCAAAGACTTTTTGGATCTGATGAGTTGGGGACAACCTCCCGTTGGTCCCCTTTCATCTTTCATTCTTCCTGGTAGATTGGATTTTAGATGAGATTAGAAAAAGGACTTGTGGTTCCTAATTTTCCTTGATTCTGTTGTTCTTTTGAGGAGGGAGGGGAGGGGCTCTTTTTTTTTTTAATGAAAACTTTTTGCTATACCCGTGCCTATAGAAAGTTAAATATATTGTATGTGTACAGCCCAGTGGATATTCTCAAAGCACAGATGCTCGTCTTTTGATGAAAAAAAATTCTTTTTAGGTGAAAGAGCGAAAAAAACAATTAAAGAAGGAAGGAAAACCTACAATTGTAGAGGAGGATGATCCTGAGCTGGTGAGTTAAATATAGGAAAAGCCACTGTATCTTGTGTGATTGTGTCTACGAATTGGTGGGTTACAGAGACAGAAGCCAAAAGAATGATGAATATATGCTATTTCACATTTATTTATTTATTTATTTATTATTTTTGAGACTGAGTTTCACTCTTGTTGCCCAGGCTGGAGGGCAATGGCGCGATCTCGGCTCACTGCAACCTCTGCCTCCTGGGTTCAAACGATTCTTCTGCCTCAGCCTCCCAAGTAGCTGGGATTACCAGCATGTACCACCATGCCCGGTTAATTTTGTATTTTTAGTAGAGATGGGGTTTCTCCATGTTTGTCAGTCTGGTCTCGAACTCCTGACCTCAGATGATCCGCCTGCCTTGGCCTCCCAAAGTCCTGGGATTGCAGGCTACAGGCATGAGCCACCCTGCCCGGCCTCTGGCTAATTTTTTTGTATTTTTAGTAGAGACGGGGTTTCATCATGTTGGCTAGGCTGGTCTTGAACTTCTGACCTCAGGTGATCCACCCGCCTCGGCCTCCCAAAGTGTTGGGATTACAGGCATGAGCCACCGTGCGCGGCCTAATTTTTATTTTTTAAAAAAACATTTTATTTGGCTGGGCGCAGTGGCTCACGCCTGTAATCCCAGAAATTTGGGAGGCCGTGGCGGGTGGATCATGAGATCAGGAGTTCGAGACCATCCGGGCCAACATGGTGAAACCCCGTCTCTACTAAAAATACAGAAATTATCTGGGCGTGGTGGCACGTGCCTGTAATCCCAACTACCCGAGAGGCTGAGGCAGGAGAATTGCTTGAACCTGGGAGGCAGAGATTGCAGTGAGCCAAGATCGCGCCACTGCACCTCCGCCTGGTGACATAGCAAGACTCTGTCTTAAAACAACAACAACAACAACAACAACAACAAACATTTTATTTGAACTTAAAACATATAAATATACATTTATTTATGTATTTGTTTGAGACGGGGTCTTACTCTGTTGCCCAGGCTAGAGAGCAGTGGTGCGATCTCAGCTCACTGCAACCTCTGCCTCCCAGGTTCAAGTGATTCTCCTGCCTTAGCCTCCTGAGTAGCTGGGATTACAGATGCCCGCCATCAAGCCTGGCTAATTTTTGTATTTTTAATAGAGACGGGATGTCATCATGTTGGTCAGGCTGATCTCAAACTCCTGACCTCAAGTGATCTGCCCTCCTCGGCCTCCCAAAGTGCTGGGATTACAGGCGTGGACCACCGCACCTGGCCCAATTTTTTTCAGTTGTTTTTTTTTTTCCTGATTATAAAAGAACACATGCTAATGATAGAAAATTTGGAAAAAGAGAAATATAAAAAATATAAAATCGCAGTGTCTGTCTATCCCGTGTATGGAGCTTTTAAATATACTGAGCTATTCATTACAGACTCCTTTATCCCTTTGATGTTTGTCTTTATTAGGGACTGGGGTTGAAGCATTGCTTTTAGTGAGCAGTGTCTAGCAGGTAACAGGATAAAAGAGAAGTCACAGAGATTTAGGGACTTCTTTATTTTCCTTTCTCTCCATATATCACTCTTTGCTCCAGTGTCTGATTTTAGAATTTAGGCACTATTAAATATGCATGACAGATTACTTTTGTACTTCCATGTCTATTTAAAATACTTTATATCTGGAGAAAAATATTTAAAGGTAGAATAACATAAGCTGTGTTCTTAAGAACTCTTGAAAATAAAGAATTAAAAACTGGTAGGGAGGGCATTGTGATTTCATTAACTTAGTGTGACAGGGGCTGGGTCACTTACGTTCACTTATTTTTTTGTAATTCTTTTTAGAGATAGGGTCTCCCTTTGTCACCCCGGCTGGAATATAGTGGCATGATCTTAACTCACTGCAGCCTTGACCTCCTAGGCTCAAGTGATCCTCCCACCTTAGTGGATATTATACATTCTAATAATAACCTCTGGTGGCTCATACCTATAATCCAAGTGCTTTGGGGGCTGAAGTAGGAGGATCTTTTCAGCTTAGGAGTTGAGGCTGCAGTGAGCTATGATCACACCACTGCACTCTAGCCTGGGTGACAGATTGAGACCCTGTTTCAAAAACAATAATAATAAATAATAATAGCTTCTGTTCCTATCATTGTAAGACTATCATATAATATACTTTTTTAAAAAAGAGATAGAGTCTTGCTCTGTTGTCCAGGCTGGAGTGCAGTGGCATAGTCATGGCTCACTGCAGCCTTGACCTCCTGAGCTCAAGCGATCCTCCCACCTCAGCCTTCTGAGTAGCTGGGACTACAAGTGTGCGCCACCACACCTGGTTAATGTTTTATTTTTAATATTTTTTGTAGAGATGGGATCTCACTATGTTGCTCAGGGTGGTCTCAAACTCCAGGGCTTAAGTGATCCTGCTGTCTTAGCCTCTTGAAACGCTGGATCTACAGGTGTGCACCACCATGCCCCGCTAATTTTTGTTTTTGAGACGGAGTTTCCCTCTTGTTGCCCAGGCTGGGGTGCAATGGCATGATCTCAGCTCCCTGCAACCTCTGTCTCCTGGGTTCAAGTGATTCTCCTGCCTCAGCCTCCCGAGTAGCTGGGATTACAGTCACGCACCAACATGCTTGGCTAATTTTTGTATTTTTGATAGAGACAGAGTTTCACCATGTTGGCCAGGCTGGTCTTGAACTCCTGGCCTCAGGTGATCTGCCCACCTTGGCCTTCCAAAGTGCTGGGATTACAGGTGTGAGCTACTGCGCCTGGCCTGCACGCTAGTTTTAAAAAAAATTTTTTTGTAGCAATAGAGTTTCACTATGTTGCCAGGGCAGTCAAGCTCTTAGCCTCAAACGATTCTCCTGCCTTTGGCCTTCCAAAGTGTTGGAATTACAGATGTGAGCCACGGTGCACAGCCTGTGCCAGGTTTTAATCTGCTTTATCTTGGACTCCAGGTGAAAGTACATGGTTCAAGTTGCTGGTAAAAATATTTACTCTGATTTTCTTTTGTTCTTGATTTTCCTGTAGTTCAAACAAGCTGTATATAAACAGACAATGAAACTCTTTGCAGAGCTGGAAATTAAAAGGAAAGAGAGAGAAGCCAAAGAGATGCATGAAAGGTACATATCAGTATATTCATTTAAACCATATTTAAATACCTAGATTAACTAACATTGGTCTTTGGTGATTTTCCTAATGAGGGAATTATATAGTATACCATTTAAGAGACTATAAAAATAGTTACCTAAAAACAGTCAAGCTTTTGAATCACCAGGGTAAGTAGTTTTTTTCTTTGACTTTTGAGAATTATTGAATAGGTCTGTCCTTAGGGAGTGTATTTTTTATTTATTTTTTTGAGACACAGTCTTGCTCTGTAGCCAGGCTGGAATGCAGTGGTGCGATCTTGGCTCACTGCAACCTCCACCTCCCAGGTTCTAGCAGTTCCCCTGCCTCAGCCTCCTGAGTAGCTGGGACTACAGGTGTACACCACCATGCCCGGCTAATTTTTTGTATTTTAGTAGAGACAGGGTTTCACCATGTTGGCCAGGATGGTCTCGATCTCCTGACCTCGTGATCTGCCTGCCTTGCCCTCCCAAAGTGTTAGGATTACAGGCATGAGCCACTGCATGCTGCCAGGGAGTTTATTTATAATCAAGAGCCTTGTGTGTGTTCTTCCTGATGTCCTGGAGTGAAATAAGCAGTTATTAAGGCCATTGTTACTGAAGCCAGAACCTTTTGTGGGGCTAGTGGCTACAGCTTTGGTGAGTGTATAGTACTGTAGTGTCATCAGTAACAAAATGTTTAATGTTCTAAAATATGATTTCTCTTGAACATCAGAAATGTTAGAATTTCGCTTTTGTTGCCCAGGCTGGAGTGCAATGGCATGATCTTGGCTCACTGCAACCTCCACCTCCCCAGGTTCAGGTGATTCTCCTGCCTGGCTAATTTTTGCATTTTTAGTAGAGACGGGGTTTCACCATGTTGGTCAGGCTGGTCTCGAACTCCTGACCTCACATGATCCACCTGCCCCAGCCTCCCAAAGTGCTGGCGTTACAGGCATGAGCCGCTACATCCGGCCGAGTTTTGTTTCTGTATGTATTTTATATTGTTGCTTGGTAGGTACCAGTAACTAAAATTTGCTAGTTGAGGTTGTGTGAAATATCTTTGTTTTCGGATAGGGTTTTGTCCAGAGATCTTAAGAACTTTGGCTTTATAATGGTCATTCTGCTGAAATAAGGTGGCCTGTGTTCTCGACATAGCTTTGTCACTGAAAGAGCCCAAAACCTCAGATTGCTCTTGGCTGGGCTTTAGTTACTTTATCTGTGTAACAAGGATATTTATGTCTTTCCCCACAGCCATGCCCAAGTCTGATCTGCGTGTTTTAGAATGAGACATTCATGAAAATGCTATGAGCCCTTTCCAGACAGCCATCTTTGTAGACTTCTAGGGAATTGATTTACTATATATGCTTGCTTCTGTGGGGAGATGCCACCTTGTATGGTTAATTCAGTCTGTAAGTATCATATAAATACTATGATCTGGTTTTCCTCCTAGGAAACGACAAAGGGAAGAAGAGATTGAAGCTCAAGAAAAAGCCAAACGGGAAAGAGAGTGGCAGAAAAACTTTGAGGTAAATTTCCAAGGTGGCCAGGGATTCTAATTCCAGAATAAGGCAGCTTGGTTCCTGTGGCGCTCCCAGGACTGAGTGGGGCAGTCAGAGGGGAGTGGGATATGTGGGGAAGAGTGGGAGAGGTGAAGAATGAGGCTGGGCCTGCCTCAGCCTCCTGTAAGCTCTGTAGCCTTGGCAAGGACGATGAGGATCCCTGAATGGCTTTTTTAAAATTTATTTTTAAAAATTATTGTTTAATTTCTTTTTACAGCACACTAACAGTTTCACCCTGAATGGTTTTTTAGATTGTAGTAGGCACAGCTGCCCAGTGGGCTCAAGAAAAATGGATTGCACTTTTAATTTAGGGGGTAAGCATAGAGTATTGTGCTGCTTAGAGATCTGTTAGTAGATGCTGAAGTTCTTGTGCCCACAGTGTCCTACCTGCAGAGAGAGTTAGAACCTTTGAACTTGACTCTTCTTTGACACCCTGGTTATATGCTTCAGGTGGTTGGACAGAAGGATTGTGGCAACATTCGGTCTTTTCTTCTATAGGGTTTAGGACTCATGGTTAGGGGCTGGCTAATCAGAGTTGATGACTTTGTTTCTGTTGCACTTCATGTATGGAAAGAGAAAAAATGATAATGAGGTAGAGGTCCTAGTGGCCACCCCTACACAACTCGCTAGGCATTGTACTGGCTTTGGAGCAGCCATCCAAGTTTTGGGGGGCAGCAGAAAGGTGCAGTGGAAAGAGTAGCTGTACTGCTAGCTAGCTGTATGGCTTTTAGAAAATCATTTAACCTTTTTGAGCCTCAGTGTTATTTGTGAAGCACTGGTAGCAGTACACACCATAGTCGGCTTTTGGTGACAATTAGAAATACCATATGCTGGCCGGGCGTGGTGGCTCAAGCCTGTAATCCCAGCACTTTGGGAGGCCAAGGCGGGCAGATCATGAGGTCAGGAGATTGAGACCATCCTGGCTAACATGGTGAAACCCTGTCTCTACTAAAAAAATACAAAAAATTAGCCAGGTGTGGTGGCTGGCACCTGTAGTCTCAGCTACTCAGGAGGCTGAGGCAGGAGAACGGTGTGAACCCAGGAGGTGGAGCTTGCAGTGAGCCAAGATTGTGCCACTGCACTCCAGCCTGGGTGACAGAGCCGTCTCAAAAAAAAAAAAAAAAAGAAAAAAAAAGGCCGGGTGAGGTGGCTCATGCCTGTAATCCCAGCACTTTGGGAGGCCACGGCAGGCGGATCATGAGGTCAGGAGATCGAAACCATCCTGGCTAACACGGTGAAACCCCGTCTCTACTAAAAATACAAAAAATTAGCCGGGCGTGGTGGCGGGCCCCTTTAGTCCCAGCTATTCAGGAGGCTGAGGCAGGAGAATGATGTGAACCCGGGAGGCAGAGGTTGTAGTGAGCCGAGATCGCACCACTGCACTCCAGCCTGGGCAACAGAGCGAGACTGCATCTCACAAAAGACAACAACAATGACAACAAAAAAAACCATGTTAAACGTCTAGCCTCGAGGTCCCCAACAAATGGGGCCTCAGTGTTGTGATGATTATTACTGATTTCGTCCTCCTCTTGCAACCTGCAGCTCATCCTGCGTTCTAGGGGTGCTATGACACTTTCTTGGGCCCTTGGGAGTGGGAAGAAAGCTCTATTCTACTTTTTTTTTGAGACGGAGTTTTGCCCTTGTTGCTCAGGCTGGAGTGCGATGGCGTGATCTTGGCTCACTGCGACCTCCGCCTCCCAGGTTCAAGTGATTCTCCTGCCTCAGCCTCCCGAGTAGCTGGGATTAACAGGCATGCGCCACCATGCCCGGCTAACTTTTTATATTTTTAGTAGAGATGGGGTTTCTCCATATTGGTCAGGCTGGTCTCGAACTCCCAACCTCAGGTGATCCACCTGATGTGTGAGCCACCATGCCTGGCCTATTCTACTCTTTTTTCTTTTTTTCTTTTCTTTTTTTTTTTTTTGATACAAAGTCTCGCTCTTGTTGTTCAGGCTGGAGTGCAGTGGCATGGTCTGGGCTCACTGCAACCTCTGCCTGCCAGGCTCAAGCGATTCTCCTGCCTCAGCCTCCCGAGTAGCTGGGATTACAGGCACCTGCCACCACGCCCGGCTAATTTTTGTATTTTTATTAGACACAGGGTTTCACCATGTTGGCCAGGCTGGTCTTGAACTCCTGACCTCAGGTGATCTGCCCGCCTCGGCCTCCCGAAGTGCTGGGATTATAGGTATGAGCCACTGTGCCTGGCCAGCTCTATTCTACTCTTGGGTTATTCCAGAGGACTGAAGTGGGCTGGGCTACAGGAGGGTGAGTGGATGGCAGACCAGGTTTAGGCCTTTCCACTCATTGACTGGTCTCCTCACCTCAAACTTCTTTTGTACTTAGGAAAGTCGAGATGGTCGTGTGGACAGCTGGCGAAACTTCCAAGCCAATACGAAGGGGAAGAAAGAGAAGAAAAATCGGACCTTCCTGAGACCACCGAAAGTAAAAATGGAGCAACGTGAGTGACCGCCCAAGGTCACAGGCACAGAACCTTTCCCCTGCTATCTCCCTTCCTGCTTCGAAGGACTCATTCTTTCCTCCCACTTCCACCCCAACATAGAGTAGTATTTGCTTTTTAGTCCATTTTGTTTTCAATACGATTTAATATCGATCAGAGTAATTCTTTTGTACATTGAAATGAGGGGCTTGGTTTAAAAAAAGACCTTTCCCTCTCCCTGCCCCTAGAACAACCAGTATTAGAAGGTGCCACCATTGGTGCTGCCTTCTCTTCCCACAGCCTGTAACTCAGTGTTTTGTACTTCACTGAATTGTGATGGTTAGAAACTTCGTGGATAGTTTGTGGAAATCATCCAATTAAACATACTGCTTAAAACAGTGTTGCTGTGACTTCAGAGACAAGCCTGGAAGGGGCACCTTAGGAAGCCCCTTCGCTTCAGTTGCTCGCTTCTGGGTGTGCTCCCTTCGAAGGCCCAGATAAGACAGGGAACACTTGTGAGCACACAGAGCAGCATCTGATGCCCTGTGGTGTTTGGCATGTGCCCCCTGTCTACTGAC